>NC_000017.11:26935980-28185980 GCF_000001405.40 Homo sapiens
GAATTCAATGGAGTGGACTGGAGTGCTGTGGGGTGGAGTGGAATGGAGTGTAGTTGAATGGAGTGGAATGGAATGCGATGGAATGGAGTGGAGTTGAGCAGAGTGAAGTGGAAAGGTGTAGAATGGAATGGAATGGAGTGGAGTGGAGTGGACTCGAATTGAGTGGAGTGGAATGGAATGGAGTGGAATGGCGTGGAGTGGAATGGAGTGGAGTGGAGTTTACTGGAATGGAGTGGAATGGAGTGGAGTGGATTCGAATGAAAAGGAGTGGAGTGGAGTGGAATGGAATGGAGTGGACTGGAATGGAATGGAGTGGAGTGGAATGGAGTAGAGTGGAGTGTAATGGAATGGAATGAAATGGAGTGGAATGGAATGGAATTGAATGCAATGGAGTGGAATGGCGAAATGAAATGTGAGCTGAGATTGTGCACTGCCCTCCAGCCTGGGTGAGAGAGTGAGATCCTGTCAAAAGAAAACAAAGGAATGGAATGGATTTAGAATGGAATGGAATGAAACGGAATGGAAAGGAAGGCAGTGGAAAGGAATGGGGTGTAATGTAGTGGAGTGGAAATGGAGTGGAGTGGAGTGGAGTGGAATGGAATGGAATCGAATCAAATGGAATAGAATCGAATCGAATGGAATAGAATCGAATGGAATCGAATGGAATACGGAGAACTGGAATGGAGTGGAGTGGAATGGAGTGGAAGGGAATGGGGTGGAATGGAATTCAATGGAGTGGAGTGGAATGGAATCGAAAGGAATGGAATGGGAAGGAATGGAATTGAACGGAGTGCAGTGGAGTGGAGTGGAATGGAATGCAAAGGAATGGAATGGAATGGAATGGAATGGAATGGAATGGAATGGAATGGAATGCAAAGGAATGGAATGGAATGGAATGGAATGGAATGGAATGGAATGGAATGGAATGGTGAAATGAAATGTGAGCTGAGATTGTGCAGTGCAATGCAGCCTGGGTGACCTAGTGCGATCCTGTCAAAAGAAAGGAATGGAATTCAATAGATTTAAAATAGAATATAATGGAATAGAGTGGAGTGGAGTGGATTAGCGTGGAGTGGAGTGGAGTGGAATGGAATGGGAAGGAATGGAATTGAACGGAGTGGAGTGGAATGAAATGCAATGGAATGGAATTGAATGGAATGGTGAAATGAAATGTAAGCTGAGATTGCGCACTGCACTCCAGCCTGGGTGACAGAGTGAGATCCTGTCGAAAGAAAGGAAGGGAATTGAATGTATTTAGAATGGAATATAATGGAATGGATTTAGAATGGAATGGAGTAGATTGGAGTGGGGTGCAGTGGAATGGAGTGGAGTGGAATGGAGTGCAGTGGAATGGCGTGGAGTGGAATGGAGTGAAGTGGAATGGAGTGTAGTGGAATGGAGTGGAGTGGAATGGAATGGAATGGAATGGAAAGGAATGGAGTGAAAAGAAGTGAAATGGAGTGGGATGCAATGGCATGGAATGGAGTCGAGCGGAGTGGAGTGGAATGGAGTGGAGTGCAGTGGAATGGAATTGAGTGGAATGTAATGTAATGGAATGTAGTGGAATGGAATATAATGGAAGGGAATGCGATGGAGTGGAGTGGAGTGGAATGGAGTGGAGTGGAGTGGAATGGAGTGGAGTGCAATGGAGTGGAATGGAATGGAATGGAGTGGATTGGAATTGAATGGAATGGAATAGAATGGAATGGAATGGAATCGAATGAAATGGAATTGAACAGCATCAAATGGAATTGAATGGAATGTGGTGAAGTGGAGTGGAGTGGAGTGGAAGGGAGTGGAATGGAATGGGGTGGAATGAAATTTAATGGAATGGAGTGAAGTGGAGTGGAATGGAGTGGAGTGGAATGGACTGGGAATGAATGGAATTGAATGGAGTGGAGTGGAGTGGTGTGGAATGGAATGCAATGGAATGGAATGGACTGGAATGGTGAAATGATATGTGAGCTGAGATTGTGCACTGCACTCCAACCTGGTGACAGAGTGAGATCCTGTCATAAGAAAGGAATGGAATGGAATGGATTTACAATGGAATGTAATGGAATGAAGTGGAGTGGAGTGGAGTGGAGTGGAACGGAATGGTATGGATTGTTATGGAATGGAATGCAATGGAGTGGAGTGGAGTGCTGTGGGGTGGAGTGGAGTGGAGTGGAATGGAGTGGAATGGAATGGGATGGAATGGAATGGAGTGGAGTGGAGTGGAAAGGTGTAGAATGGAATGGAGTGGACTGGAATTGAGTGGAGTGGAATGGAATGGAGTGGAATGGAGTGGAGTGGAGTTTAGTGGAATGGAGTGGAGTGGATTGGAATGAATGGGAGTGGAGTGGAGTGGGGTGGAATGGAGTGGACTGGAATGGAATGGAGTGGAGTGGAATGGAGTGGAGTGGAGTGGAATGGAATGGAATGCAATGGAGTGTAATGAAATGGAATGGAATGAAATGGAATGGAATGGCATGGAATGGTGAAATGAAATATGAGCTGAGATTGTGCACTGCACTCCAGCCTGGATGAGAGTGTGAGATCCTGTCGAAAGAAAGGAATGGAATGAAATGGATTTAGAATGGAATGGAATGAAATGGAATGGAATGGAGTGGAATGGTATGAGGTGGAATGGAGTGGAGTGCAGTGGAGTGGAGTGGAATGGAGTGGAGTGGAATGGAATGGAATGGAATCGAATGGAACCGAATCTAATCGAATCAAATGGAATCGGATCGAATGGAATCGAATGGAATCAAATGGAATCGAATGGAAAAAATGGAATCGAACGGAATTGAACGGAATCGAATCAAATGGAATTGAATGGAAAAAATGGAATCGAATGGAATTGAATGGAATCGAATCGAATGGAATCGAATGGCATCGAATGGAATCAAATGGAATGCGCTGAAGTGGAATGGAGTGGAATGGAATGGGGTGGAATGGAATTCAACGGAGTGGAGTGGAGTGGAATGGAATCAAATGGAATGGAATGGGAAGGAATGGAATTGAACGGAGTGGAGAGGAGTGGAATGGAATGCAATGGAATGCAATGGAATGGAATGGTGAAATGAAATGTGAGCTGAGATTGTGCAGTGCAGTGAAGCCTGGGCGAACTAGTGAGATCCTGTAAAAAGAAAGGAATGAAATTGAATGGATTTAAAATGGAATGTAATGGAATGGAGTGGAGTGGAGTGGAGTCGAGTGGAATGGAGTGGAGTGGAATGGAATGGGAAGGAATGGAATTGAACGGAGTGGAGTGGAGTGGAATGAAATGCAATGGAATGGAATCGAATGGAATGGCAAAATGAAATGTGAGCTGAGATTGCGCACTGCACTCCAGCCTGGGTGACAGAGTGAGATCCTGTTGAAAGAAAGGAAGGGAATGGAATGGATTTAGAATGGAATATAATGGAATGGATTTAGAATGGAATGTAATGGAATGGAGTAGATTGGAGTGGAGTGGAATGGAGTGGAGTGGAGTGGAGTGGAATGGAGTGGAGTGGAATGGAGTGCGGTGGAATGGAATGGAATGGAGTGAAAAGAAGTGAAATGGAGTGGGGTGGAATGGCATGGAATGGAGTCGAGCGGAGTGGAGTGGAATGGAGTGGAGTGGAGTGGAAAGGAATTGAGTGGAATGGAATGGAATAGAGTGGACTGGAATATAATGGAAGGGAATGGAATGGAGTGGAGTGGAGTGGAGTGGAATAGAGTGGACTGGAATTGAATGGAGTGGAGTGGAATGGAGTGGAGTGGAGTGGAATGTAATGAAATGCAATGGAGTGGAATGGAATGGAATGGAATGGAATGCAATGGAATGGGATGGCATGGAATGGTGAAATGAAATGTGAGCTGAGATTGTGCACTGCCCTCCAGCCTGGGTGAGAGAGTGAGATCCTGTCGAAAGAAAGGAATGGAATGGAACGGATTTAGAATGGAATGGAATGAAATGGAATGGAATGGAATGGAGTGGACTGGAATGGAATGGAATGGAGTGGAATGGAATGGAGTGGAATGGAATGGAATGGAGTGGAATGGAATGGAGTGGAATGGAATGGGGTGGAATGGAGTGGAGTAGAATGGAATGGAATCGAATGGGATCAAATGGAATTGAATCGAATCGAATCAAATGGAGCCGAATCAAATGGAATCGAATGGAAAAAAATGGAATCGAATGGAATCAAATTGAATGGAATCGAATGGCATCAAATGGAATCGAATGGAATGTGGTGAGGTGGAATGGAGTGGAATGGAATGGGGTGGAATGGAATTCAATGGAGTGGAGTGGAGTGGAATGGAATTGAATGGAATGGAATCGGAAGCAATGGAATTGAAAGGAGTGGAGTGGAGTGGAATGGAATGGAATGGAATGCAATGGAATGGAATGGAATGGAATGCAATGGAATGGAATGGTGAAATGAAATGTGAGCTGAGATTGTGCAGTGCAGTGCAGCCTGGTTGATAGAGTGAGATCCTGTTGAAAGAAAGGATTGGAATGGAATGGATTTAGAATGGAATGTAATGTAATGGAGTGGAGTGGAGTGGCGTGGATTGGACTGGAGTGCAGTGGAATGGAGTGGTATGGATTGTTATGGAACGGAATGTAATGGAGTGGGGTGGAATGGAGTGGACTGGAATGGAGTGGAATGGAATGGGATGGAATCGAATGGAGTGGAGTGGAGTGGAAATGTATAGAATGGATTGGAATGGAATGGAGTTGACTGAAGTGGAGTGGAGTTGAGTGGAGTGGAATGGAGTGTAGTGGAATGGAGTGGAATGGAGTGGAGTGGAGTGGAGTGGAGTGGAGTGGAGTGGAATGGAATGGAATGGAGTGGAGTGCAGTGGAATGGAGTGGATTGGAATGGAATGGAATGAAGTGGAATGGAGTGGAGTGGAGTGGAATGGAATGGAGTGGAATGGAATGGAATGCAGTGAAGTGGAGTGCAGTGGAGTGGAATGAAGTGGAATGGAATGGGGTGGAATTGAATTGAATAGCGTGGAGTGGAGTGTAGTGGAATGGAGTGTAGTGGAATGGAGTGTAGTGGAATGGAATTTCGCCATAGATAAAATCTAGTATTTCAGCCTACCATTGAGTGTGCTTATAGCTAACCAAAACGGCACTCTGTCTCGGGAATACAGATTTGCCTAGAGGTATCCTATTGCAGTCAAAGAAAGAGCAATGAGGGATAGAAAAGGTTAGTGATGGAGACACCAAAGCTGCATTTTACAAAAAACAATGTAAAAACTTTACGGATTGGTTCTGCTACCTTACTACAGTTTACATTCCTCTCAGGTGGCAGAATTGTTAAGTTTTTTCTTAAGATAGAAAAGCAATTCAGATAATCTGAAATCTCCACAGGAAGGATAAGAAGCACAACAGAAACTATTCTAGGCAGGAAGTCAATCCTTTCAACTGTCTGTGCTCCATAGATACAATTGTCTGCACTGGGAGTCATGTGCGGTACAGACAACAGCCAGACCTCTGATCCTCTCATTTGTGATTTCAGAAGAAATTACCAGTCAACTGAGTAATTCACTGACTAAAGTATACATTTGGCACTGAAAGAGGTTAGACGGATAACTATTTGTATCACCATATTCATGAAGCTGGAATATTTTCATTACTCATATCACATCCGAATGGAAGATTTTAAAAGCTCTCTCATCTTGTAAGATGGATATGAAAGAACATTTTCTGAGAAATGAAATTATAAACACACCTGTGAGGTGGATGGAAGAGAAAAAAAAAGAATAATCAGCTTGAGTTCTTCTCCTTGATAAGACAACTCACTAAAAACATAGAGAGAAAAGTACAAGTTTAAAATAATTAACCAGAAGAAGACAGCTCTAGAGTTTTTAAATGGCTGATAAGATTTTAGTCTGCTGCAAGTTGAAAATAACTATATTGCTTGTGTTTTAAGGTACATAATGAGCAATTATATCACACATGATAGGTTCAGCTGTAAAATATTATCCGTTCACAGCTGGTACTCATAAAAGCATAGCACAATGGAAGATGGAATTTGCTAAAATAAACCATCTTCTGAAAACTACTATTCTGTAAATTTAAAAACAAAGTTTATATGTTATTTGTCTTATTTAATAGGTCTGTGAAAAAAATGAGATATTTGAAAAGTAAGTGCTACCTTAATTAGTTCTTTATATTAGACAGCTGGTTACAGTAATGCACAGTAAGGTGCTACATACAAATATTGCTAAATTTTCTGCATATACTATGTATTTAGCTTAAATTATTTGAAATTTTATAAAGTAACAAATGTATATTTAAATGTTTTGACACAAATTGCAAATATACCTTTAAAAAGCGTCTTACACTCTAAATATTATTTGTCACCTATATATTTATATTTTCTCTATAGGAAAGTTTAAATTTTTCCCTTGAAGCTTTAATTATTTCAGTCTATAAAACAAACTGATAATGTTCAAATTAACAGAAAAAAAGGTTTACAGATATGTGCACAAGTATGCACTTGGAGTTTACATAATATATATAAATATATATACAAATATTTGTATATTATAAATAGATATACAAATATATACTATATATATAAAAACTCCAGGAAAGGCAAGGTAGTCAACACGCCTATGCTGTCTTGAGGTTACAGAAAACACAGACCTGTACGTTGGTGAATCAGTCTTTGCGGAAGACAAGTGACGACAAGGAAGACAGAGGAGCCTGGCAGCAGAGGTGGTTTTGTTACACGGATGAAACCTCACAGGGAGCAGCCCTCTTCTTGGGAAGTATAGATAGGAAATGGTTTTTAGAAATGTAAACGTGCCAGACTCAGTTAATCTTTCCTAAACACAGACAAGGGAGTATCTCAGGGAAAGCCTGTCTATATCAATGCAGATTTTCTCTACAAATGCAAATCTCCCCAACAAACACAGCTTTTCAGCTATTCTTGTAGAAGAAGCTATCTCCAGTCTTCCGAGTAGCCATCTTGAAATATATCAAAAAGTTGGCCAGGCGCACCCCTGTAATCCCAGCATTTTCCGAGGCTGAAGTGGGTAGAACACCTGAAGTCAGGAGTTCGAGACCAGCCTGACCAACATGGTGAAACCCCGTCTCTACTAAATACAAAAATTAGCCGAGAGTGGTGGCGCATGCCTGCAATCTCAGCTACTTGGAAGGCTGAGCTAGGAGAATTACTTGACCCTGGGAGGCTGAGGTTGCAATGAGCCAAGATTGTGCCATTGCACTCCAGCCTGGGCAATAAAAGCAAAACTCCATCTCAAAAAAAAAAGTATTTTAGGGTAATATTTTGTGTATCTTTACCTCCATATGTACAATAAATATTATTGTGATTTTTAATCTTTACTCTTCTGTGGAGAAAACACAGGTGTGATTTCTAGTGTAGCTGAACATCACATTTATTTGACAATACTGCACTTGTGTGTGTGTGTGTGTGTGTGTGTAGCTACTCTTTACCTTTGTTCTCACTTAATGATTAGATATTAACAATTAATTCAGTAACATGTATGTTTTGCAATTTCTCCATGTTATGCTTTAAATTAGATTAATCATGCCCCTATAATGTGTACATTTTAACCTTTGACTATAGGTCTCAATCTTACTTTGGCTCCTGTATTTGAATTTATGCTATTAAAGTCCTACAGCTAAAAAGGATTATATAGACTTATCTATATTTTTACTAGTATTCTGGTGTCATTTTAAATTATGTAATGAAATCAAATTTTAATTTGGATTATTGTTATCTGAGTTAAGGATCTAAATTTTTAATTTTCTTATAGATGTTACATAACTGTTTCTGAACCATATATTGACTAATCTGCTCTTTATATGATGTGCATTATAAGAGCTTGGGATTTATTCATTTGCAAAGATGAATGCTTGAGAAGTAGATATTTAATCATAACATTTCAAAATCTACTGGATAACCTAGAATTGAAAAATAGCCTATAGGTTGAAAAACTCCTGTAGTGAAGAAAGAAAATAACTAATATAAAGTGACAATATAAATATTATAAGTATTTATTTTATTATCGCCCTGAAATTTGATAATACAAACATGTAATATCTACATATCATCCTTATATCAGGTCATAAAAAATCAATACATTCTTCAAAAATTTAGCATAACAGAAAATGCACTCTCTCCTTGATGGAATTAAGTTACAAATAAAAGTAAAAATAAGTAGATAAGTAGATGGAGGTAGATGTTTAAAAACAAAGAAAAATATTTGTTTTGTATAACATAAAAACTCAATTGACAATTACAATATTTCAAGAACTTTGGCTGTCAACCGGTGGAGAGTTTTCCCCAGGAGACATTTGTCAATGTCTAGGGTTATTGTGGGGATGTCAAGACTGGTGGAGGTGTGAAATATAGAGGTCAAACGAATCACCTAGCGTTGCTAGGGGAGCCTCCCAAAACAAAGAATCCTCTGGTCCTAAAGGTAAGTACACCAAGGTTGAGAAACCATAATATAGAAAGCAAACACTATGTAGCTATTCCAAGTGCTCAGGAAAACACATCAGTGCCCTCGTGGGGAAAAGTGTAAACATTTTAATTGCTGTACATGGTGACACAAATGCATGTTGTTAATCTAAGTGGAAGAGGCTGAAGCACAAAACGCAATTCAAAGAGTTTACTTGAGCCAAAATGAGGACAGCTGCCTGGAAGAAACAGACCCAAGTATCCTTGGATATGAACTCCATTTGGAGCTTTGCAACAAGCAGTTTCTTAAAGGCAAAAAAGGGATAAGAAGTGGGATGATGCAAAGAGGTTTGTCACAAATTCTCATTGGCTTATGGAAATAACATTTATTAGTGACTGTTACACTATTATTGGGTGTGGATTGTAGTGTCTGGTGTGGCATCATTGGTTAATTTATAGCTACTGTGGCAACAGCAAGCAGCCTAGATGAACACACAGCTCAAAGAGGAGCAGGACAGAACTGCTGTCTCATTTGAATAACTCTCTGGGCCTGATTATTTCAAAGGACTTGCGTTTCTCACATGAAAGTTATTTTCTTTTCTCAATTTCAATAAATGAGAATAAATAGACGTAAAATAGATCTTTTCGAGGATGAAGTAAATGGAATAAAAAACAAAACCCAAGCTGACCAGAAATCATAGAGGGAAGAAAAAGGTTATAAAGATATGGATTTTTCAAAGTGATTTTAAGTTATTAGGAATCAGTTAAATGTTGGGGGATTTTGTCTGAGTATAGGCTAAAGGAGAATGTCCCTTTTGCCTTCTGAAGTTTCCCTGAAAATCACTAATAAGAGGCAGATAAATAGTAGAAAAGGCATACAGGATTCTGCAATGTGTGTACACTGGAGCCCTTAGAATGGAGACCCAGACACAAGATGGGTGCAGAAGCTTATCTACCACATGAAGTTTACAGAAAGAATGGGGTCTTGGATCACAGGGAAAAAAAAGAGGTTATGTGAGAAAAGGACCCTGACTAGCAACAGTGGACTTATTACGTGGGTGAAACCTCGCTGGGAGCAGTCCTCAGAGAGAATAGAGAGAAAATGTTTCTTTCAGACCTTTGGAGACCTCAGACGCTCAGCTAACCTTTCCCAGATCCAGACAAGTTAGCAGACCTCAGAGAAAGCCTGGCTGCATCAAAGTAGATTCTCTACAGATGCAAATCTCCCCAAGACAGCTTTGCAGCTAAGTTTGCATTTCCAGCCCTTCTGAATAGCCATTTTGAAATATATCAAGGAAATATATTTCGGGGTAAAATACATTGGATTCCTTCATACAGCTATAAAACATACAGAAATAATTTTTGTCAATGTCTACTACAAATCCAATATAGCAGTAATTATAAAACCCACCAGATATTGAAGAAAAAATATGTAGAGTACATCACTTACAAATATTGATACTAAAATGCCAAATAAAATAAAAATAATATCCAACAATATTTGAAACAGTAAGACAAGAAATTGGCAAAAATAAAAACAAATATCCACCTTGGGGATGAAAGTGTGATTCCAAATTTGGTGATCCAATAATATTAATAATCATATTGATTACCCCAAATAAACAATAAATAGGGGATTCTCAGTACATGCTAAAATATATTTGTTAAAAGGTAATATTCATGTCTTTAAAGATTTTAAATGCTATAAAGAGTCTGATATTCTATATGCAAACATGTATATGTCTATTAGAAGAAGAGAGGCTTGATTTTCATATGTTACTACATAGAGATAGAGAAGTGGATAGATTAATTTGCATATTCATAGAGAAAGCATAAAATAGCAATTTACTATCATACTTAAAGGAATTTAAATTCAACAATAAAATAATTCAAAAGTAAAATTTTAAATATTTTTAACAGTTACATTCTTATTAGATAATATAATAATTGTGAAAATATTCAGTGCTAAAATAAGATAGAATGTCTAAATCTCAGTATTAAAACTAGTATAAATATTTGCTTGTTTATACAAGGAAAATTCAAGCTCAACCTAAAATTATATAGGAAATATAAGAAAAATTTTAAGGGAGCTCTTTAATAACACAAACATATATATATATATACACACACATATAACATGTATATATGTTATATGGGATAGATATAGATTTAACATGTTATATCTATATTTGTATCTATCTATGACTACAGCTGTATGTATCTACATTTCTATATACTTACTCAGTGATATAAATATAGGCTGGAATAAATATAAAGCCACATATGATTCTTCGATAAAAAGGATTTAGTATCATAAAGACAAATTCTTTCCAAAATCACCTATGAATTCACAACAATATACAGTTTCATTAGTATAATTTAAAATTTTTAAATAAATTCCAAGATTCATTTAAGGAAATATACACGTATACCAGCAGCAAAGAAAGAAGTAAGAGTGCACTCAACTAACTTGCTATTAAAATACATTTTTAAACTTAGTAACTAAAACTGAGAAGTACTGATTTGGAGTACGGGAATTTAGGTATATGGGATCTCAAAAGCATAGAGCTCAAAGGAGACCCCTGTATGCACGAGAGCTTAGGACGTGCTTTAGAAGGCATTACCAAACCACGGGCAAAGTTACTTTAGTGTCTTAGTCTTACTAGGTTTGAAAAGCCAGAGAAAAGACTCAAGGCCACCATATAAGAGCAAAACAAAAGGACAGGGAGAGAATGTGAAGATACTGAAACATTTTACATAAAGTAGTATAAAACATACTTTAAAGAAAATGTAAAGTTTAGGATATACATCAAAACCAGCAAAACCACTAAATAAACAAATAGGCATTGTAAAGTAGCAAGAGAAAATTTAAATGGATTTCTAAAAAGTATTGACACCTATGATTTTTAAAATATGTTTAAGAAATCCCGTATTTCACAGGGCAGCCTTTCACAATATAGATATATTAGGACATAAAGGTCCTTCTGTTTTTAATTTACTAGTGTTTATAGGGTTAAAATTGTCTTCTACCCTTGTCTTTTGTCTGATGGTGCACAAAATTTTCATAAGCATGTATTTCTGAATGCCTGATGGATTGACATATATAATATGCTGCTAGTATTAAAATATGTGACAGAAAACACATCCAAACTTCTTACTGTTTGCATAAATTCTAGGTTTCTCCTATTTACCTCAAGCACGTATGGAGCGAATTCTTACCTTTTAATATTGCCATGGCATTCACATTGAATGTAAGTTGAACTCTCTCATATGGTAGCTGGGTTCAGATTCCCTTGACAATTTCCAGTTCTAACCCTCACAGTTCCTCAGTGTGGCTGGCCCAGATATTGACCCTACACAGTTGCCTCCTCCTGGTGACTACCCGCTATGGAACCATTGGATACAACCTACCTGACTCACCCCACAGACCTCACAGCCCACATGGACAGCTCCCAAACGCCAGAGTGACCTGCTCAGTTGCAGCAGGAGCCAAGAAATATGCCTGCTGGCACTCACCCCACTGACTATAGCCCCGTGGAAATCTTATTTGGGTTATGTTCTGGGCCCAATAAAGGCTGGAGTCCCACAGACCCCTTTTCTCTCTCTTGCTCCCCACTCGTCTTCCCCATTTTGTTCAGCCCTATGAGGTGTGCTACTGTATTAGTCCATTTTCACACCACCAGTAAAGACATGCCCAAGACTGGGTAATTTCCAGAAGAAAGAGGTTTAATAGACGCACAGTTCCACATGGCTGGGTAGGCCTCACAATCATGGCGGAAGGTGAAAGGCAGGTCTCACATGGCAGCAGACAAGACAAGAGAGCTTGTGCAGGGGAACTCCCCTTTATAAAACCATCAGATCTTGTGAGACTTATTCACTATCAGAAGAACAGCATGGGAAAGACCTGCCCTCATGATTCAATTACCTCCAACCTGTTCCCTCCCACAACATGTGGGAATTCAACATGAGATTTGGCTGGGGACACAGCTAAACCCTCTTCTCAGCTACCCTCTTCTCTCTGGATCTGTGAGTAATAAAACCACTTCTGTGATTTCCCATGTTTGGTCCTGTGGCCTCAATGTGTCTGAGCTGACCTACACTGGAACCTAACTCTCCTCCTGGCCAGGGTCTCTGAGAGTGGCTCTTGTCAGAAATACACAGGACACAGGTCAGGCAACAGTCACCAGGCATCTCCTAGTCTCAACAGATGTTCTGTGAGAGGGAGGCCTGGTCGTGGAATGCACACCTGGCCACTGCTGGGGTAAGGAAGTGTCCTGTGAAAGGCACATGTTAAGCATCCACAACCCCCTGCCCAGAACCCCAGAAAGGCAGGGCTCCAGTTGACAGCCACTCTCCAGAGACAAACCTCAAGCCCTAACTGGAGGAAAAGAAAACAATGTAAAAAGTTGAATTTATCTTACTATTTCAATGATCCAGTAAAGACATTCTATGCCTGCACACCACATATTTTCTTTGATTGTGGATATATTTTAGATAAAATTTTATATCTGGCTTTCACTTTAGCCTGGTCCCTATCTCAAGCATAAGGTAAAGATTTTCCATGGGTTCTTTTCTGGTACTACTACCTGCCAGTGTGGGCTCATGTCCTAGTCTATCTTGAGGGAATCCCCCTATTCATTATTGTCAAAGTGAGACTGTTAAGTCTTGATTTCCCTGGACAACTACATTGCATGACTTTTAATATGATTTTTAAATATACCCTTTACTGGACAATAAATTATATAGGTATCTGAGTAAGAGATATGGTCAGGAAGAGGCATTGCCTCATTCAGCTTTTCTGTTTGGTGAACTTGCATATGTTCTCCTCACCCACCAGTCACCTCTAAACCATATTGTTCCAAGACAACAAACAGAACTCAAGTGTGTATCTTTCACCACTGGATTTGTATTTGCTCCATAAATCTTAATGCTTAATAGGGTTTCTGTTAGCATTTTCTCTATCTATTTTCCCATAAAATATCACAGGCCTTCTTCATATGGAATTATGGGTGATTTCCTTCAATCTGCATCATATCAAGTTGAGGTTCATGTTGATGGAAAGTAAAACATACGTATAAAATATCAGTAATGATGTTTTCCCCTCCTTTTTAGCACATGTGCTTGTGAGAGTCATTGTAATACAATTCTAGTCTCATGCTTTGATCATCCCTAAGATGAAAATAACATTTTTAGATAAAATATCTGAGTTTTATGAGGCCTTTTGTATATGATGTGATAGAATATCAGAAGACCATACTTTTTTCTAGTTTTCCATGCAATTCTATCGTTTCATCTTTACTCCTACCAGAGTAATTTTCCAGAGTAGATATCTTGTCATTCTTCCTGTTGTTATCAGTAAATAAGTGAAATGAAAAGCTAGATTATATAATTTATCTAGAACAAGAAAGTAGAATTGAATCTATATACATTAATGAGACTAAGCAGTCAATTACACAGATAGGCATTTTACATTTTGAAGATCATATGGACCCATTGTCAGATATATTAGTATTTATGTCTACATGGACATCACCTGTGCATATTTATGTAGAAATCAATAAGAGCTGATTTTTATTTTTATTATATATATTTTTTGAGATAGGGTCTTGCTTTGTTGCCCAGGCTGGGGTGCAGTGGTGCAATCACTGCTCACTGTAGATTCAACCTCCCAAGCTCAAGCAATCCTTCCACCTTGGCCTCCCAAATTGCTAGGACAACAGGTGCACATCACTATGCCCACCTTTTTTTTTTAACTTTTGATAGAGACTGGGTCTTGCCATGTTGCCCAGGTTTCTCTTGAACTCCTTGAACTCCTGGGCTCAAGGAATCCTCTCATTTCAGCCTCTTCAACTGCTGGTATTACAAGCATGAGCCACCATATGGGCTGGAAGCTGATTTTTAAAATACTGAGATCATATAGATGACAGCACCTGAAAAATAGACAACACCAAGCTTTATGTTAAAAGGTGTGAGGGTATCAATATTGTTGTGGCTATTGGGGAGGAAAACATTAGTAAAACCAGTGAGTTAAAGCTGTTGCTTTAAACTTTGGCTTTAATTCAACAAATGTTCTCTGTGGTGATAGTATGTATGTAACCATGCTATGCCCATTCACTGATGCAGTAGAGGGAAGAATTTCTCAAAGACAACTGTTCTAAGATTGAAATTAAACCGTACTGGGTTTGAAAAGAGAAAGTCCAGGACTTACCAAATATTTTAGATATCAGATAAAAGCGAATGGTAGGTATGCGATGATAATCAGCAATGGTTGTTCACACAATATATCAAATCAGTATTTCAATTAGCTTTTGAATTACAAGGACAAATGGATCAAGTCTTGACTCTTTAGTAGATAAATCTTATTAGGCTGAGATGTGTTTTCACCTGTTTTTCCACAAGGAGATTGCAAATTTGCAAACCTCAGCTGCTTTCATTTTATGCTCTCACCAATGCAAAAGCTGAAGTTCATCAATCAGTGTGTCTAAGTGTTCACTAGTTATATACCATTTTGTAGTTTAGGCTATCTTTCCAACTTCCTAAATCATCACCTTCATTTGACCTTGTTTTTTTCCACTATCACTTCTTTGTTGACCATATAAAAAATACAAGTAAGTTCTTATTTCGTTATTGTTCATTTTAGTCTAATCTCATCAAAATATCATAATTCTTTAATTTCATTTTAATTTCAAAGATGAAATGAAACCTACATAGAAAAGAGTGTAAGATTGCATTTGCGTTATTTTGGCATCAATTTGCTATCCTCCCTCATACACAGAGATCATTTCCATGTACTGGATTTCAAACATCCAAGTGCAGTATTAAAAGCAGTTGTAAATTATGGTTCTCATTTTCATGATACAATTACTATATAAACTTCCTCTTGCTGCTGTAACAAATTATCACGAAATTCATATCTTACAATAAAGTGACTGTTAAGCCTACAGTTCTGGAGTTCAGAAGCCTTAAATGAGACTCACAGGGCTAACATCAAGTTTTGGGCAGAGCTGCAGTCTTTCTGAGGGCTCTGTGGCAGAGTCTATGTACTTTATTTTTTTCAGCATGCAGAGGCCACCTTTATTCCTTGGAACATGACCTCATTCTTTTTCTTTTTTTTTTTTTTTTTTTTGAGATAGAGTCTCCTTCTGTCACCCAGGCTGGAGTGCAGTGGCAAGATCTCAGCTCACTGCAACCTCTGTCTCCCGGGTTCAAGCGATTCTCCTGCCTCAGCTTCCTGAGTAGCTTGGACTACAGGCATGTGCCACCATGCCCAGTTAATTTTTTGTACTTTTAGTAGGGATGGGGTTTCACCAGGTTAGCCAGGATGGTCTCGATCTCCTGACCTCGTGATCCACCCACCCCAGCCTCCCAAAGGGCTGGGATTACGCTTGAGCCACCAAGCTGGGTCCTTGTTCTTGTATCTTAAAAGTCAGTGATGTTGAGTAATTTCTTACGCCACCACCTCCATGGTTGCCTTTCTTCTGCCTTCTTCTTTCACTTATAAGGAAGCTTGTGATTTCATTGATCCCAATCATTTAAGATAATCTCTCCATCATTTTATTGCAACCTTAATTTCACTTGAAATCTAATTTTCCTCTGCCATGTAACCTAACATATTTGTAGGCTAGACTCTGGGAATTAGGACATGAACATTTTTGGGAGGCCATCTTTTTGTCTACAGCAGACATAATCTATTTACTGGCAGATTAAAGTGTTCTTTATTTTTCTTCATCCCTGTCTTAATTTTTTTTAAATAATATGAATTGTAGTAAAGAGAAAGAAAGAAAAGGAAAGAAAGAAAGTAAAAAGGAGGAAAGAAGAAAGAAAGAAAGAAAGAAAGAAAGAAAGAAAGAAAGAAGAAAGAAAAGAAGGAGGAAATGAGAGAAGGAAGGGAGGGAGGGAGGAAGGGATAAAGGCAGGAAGGGAGACAAAAGAAAGAAAGAACAGAAAGAAAGAAAGAAAGAAAGAAAGAAAGAAAGAAAGAAGAAAGAGACAGAGAGAGAAAGAAAGTGAGAAAGAAAGAAAGGAAGGAGGAAGGGAGGAAGGAAAGGAGGAAGAGAGAATGGTAAAAGGGAGGAAGGCAAAGAAAGAAAATAAAGAGGAAAAGGAAGGAAGGAAGGAAGGAAAAATGAGGAAAGGAAGGGAGGCTGGAAGGAAGAAAAGGAGGGAGGGAGGATGGGAGAAAAAGGAAAGAAAGCAAGGAAGTGAGAAAGAAAGAATAAGAGAAAAGAAGGAAGAAAAGAAGGGAGGGACAAAGGAAGGGAGGGAGGAGGGAAGGAAGAATCAGAGGAAAGGAAGCAAAGAAGGAAGGAAGAAAAAAAGAAAAAGAAAGGAAAAGAAAAAGAAAAGAAAGAGGAAAAGAAGAAAGGAAGGAAGAAGGGAAGGGAAGAGAAGAGAAAGGAAGATGGAGAGAAGGAAGGAAGACCGCAAACATTAGAAATTCTGGGTTTGTTAGAGAATATGCCATACCGTTTTTTTTTTCACTTGAAAGGAAAGAGTACCTGCCATTGAAGATTGGATGTCTTGTTGGTGATATTGTTCTTATCTTCCATATGATTACTGAGTTTGTGCCTAGTCTGTCCCTTACTAAGACAAAAGTTTTGAAGTCTGCAAATATAATTTTGGATTTTTCTAGTTCACCTTTGATTTCTTTCTTGTTTTACCTCATGTATTTGGAGGTTCTGTTGTTAGCTGCATACCCTAATTAGTAGGATGTTTACATCTTCTTGAGAATTGATTATTATATTATCTATTATCTCTCATCTCTGATACTATTTCTTGTTCTGAACTCTGTTGTGTCTAATATCAATGTAGTCCTTCCACAGCTTTATTTTAGTGTTTCCATGATATGGCTTTCTCCATATCTTGATGATAACCTATTTATATCTCTATATATTTGGAGCAAGATATAAAATTTAGAGTTGATTTTTTAAAGATTTTCCAAGATGTAATTCTTATTTATTTTTGTTCTATTTGAGATTCTCTGAGTTTCCTATATCTGAAGTTTGATTTTCTGTCACTTCTTTTAGAATATTTTTGGCAGTTATTTTGAAAAATATTTCTTTTGCTCCAGTATTTTTTCCTCTTTTCTTTTTGGGATTTCAATTATAACTAGGGTAGGTAATTTCATCTCAGTCTTATGCAGGTACTTTTTCTCAGGATCTCAGGAATGTAGACTTCTCACACTTCTGTTCTTTTCCTGGCTGTGTTGGTGAGCTCAGTGATATTCCTCCTTCACCTTCAAGAGCAGTTTTGTTTTGTTTTTCCTGTTTTCATACTTCCAGCATCAGGAGTATTCTAGTTGTGTCAGTTTTTGTTACCTTCCCCTACATATTAAGTGGAATATCTTGGTCTATTTGGACTCTTATAACAAAATAACATGAACTGGGTGACTAAAAAACAACAGATATTACTTTTTTCACACTTCTTGAGGCTGTAAGATCTCAGGTCAAGATGCTCACAAATTCAGTGTTGATGAGAGCCCATTTCATGGTTCATAGATGGTGCCTTCTTTCTATGTCCTCACATAGTGGAAGGCACACAAGAACTCCATTGAGCTTCTTTTAAAAAGGCACTAATCCCATTCATAAGGGCTCGGCCCCCAAGAGCTGGTCACCTCCCAAGTGTTCTGCTCTCCCTGATCTGTATCATATACAGACTCTCTTGGATTCCTTACCAATTGCTTGAGAGATCGCAGTGGGTTTGTAGGGAAAAAGTTTTCACGATGATGGATCTTTCCCAACTTCTGCAGCTGTCAGCCGTCTCCCAATCTGACCAGCCCCACTTTGTCCTTAGGAATATATTGGTTATTCCAGCTTTACTTGTCATAGTGGTGTCTATTTGCATCCGTCCTATGTAAGTGCATCTGTCCTCTTTCGCCTTGCAGATGCTTGCTTTCCCTCACATTTTGACTCAGTTCTTGGCAACCTGGTTGCTATAAAAATAAAGGCATGACTTTGAAGTTAGTTTGGTTATTACATTGTTGTAAGGTTAGGAGCCCTATTCCATCCCAGCTCTGCAAAACCCAGAATTTTTGGGGGGTTGAAATTTTAGGCTTTCTCTTTGAATTGTAGTTTTATCTTATTTCAGTTACAATTTGCATTATCATAATGATTAATGAGACTAAGCTTTTTTTGTGTAGTCGACTGTACCTTTGGATTTTTTTCCCAAATCCCTTTTCATTTCTTATTTTCTTTATGGTTTCAGAAAATGTAGTTTACATAATTGCAGATTGATTTTTTAATCAGTTAATGGCATGCTTAATGGAGAGAAAAAATATTAACTATATTTCCCTTTTTAATTACTGTGCCTTTTTCTTTTTTAAGGAAATATTTCATTACGTTAAATTTTAGTGTTATTCTACTTAGCTATTCCTTAAGTATTATAGTATTTTGGATTTCACATATAAATTTATAACACATCTTGAGTTTTTTGTATATAGAGTAAGGCTATTTTCTCTTTTTTGTTTTTTAACGCAAAAATCACATAATATAAAATTAATAACTTAACCATTTTAAAACATACAATGCAATTGCTTTTAGTATATTCACAATGTTCCAGGGCAATTTCATCATGTCCTTTCCAAAAACCCATTATGCATAAAGTTGTTACACCCTATTCTGCTTCCCTGAGCCCTAATGACCACTAATCTGATTTATATCCCAATTGATTTGCCGATTCCTGATATTTCATGTGAATAAAATCAAGTAATATTTGTCCTTCTGTGAACTTAACATAATGCTTTCAAATTTCACCCATATTATACCATGTATAAGTACTTCATTCTTTGTTATAGCTGGAAATTGGGTGTCCATTTATGAGTCAACAAGCATAGGGATTGTTTCCACTTTTTGACTGTATGAATATTACTGCTGTAAATATTCATGCACATGTTTATTGTTTGAGCACCTATGCTTTTTAAGAGTAACAGCTGACTTAACAGAAACAATGGAAGGCAAGAGGCAGTAGAATAATATAGTCAAAATATGCAAAGGAAAAAAAAACTGTCACCCACCAATTCCTTATCCAGCAATTATTTTTCAAAAATGAAGATAACACAAAGACTTACCCAGATAAACAGAAATATTAACTGAAGTTGTTGCTGGCAGACCTACCATATTAAAAAAAAAAAAAAAAACTAAAATAAATTCCTAAGGCTAAAAGCAAGTTACACAAGACTGTCATTTGAATCCACATTTTTAAAAAAGCACTGGTATAGGTAATATTAACATTATAAAAGACAGTATAAATGCAAGTTTTCTCTTTATCATAAATTGTTTATAAAATAATATGTGTATAACGGCCGGGCACGATGTCTCATGCCTGTAATCTCAGCACTTTGGGAGGCTGAGGCGGGTGTATTACGAGGCCAGAAGATCGAGACCATCCTGGCTAACACAGTGAAACCCCGTCTCTACTAAAAATACAAAAAATTAGCCGGGCGTGATGACGGACGCCTGTAATCCCAGCTACTCAGAAGGCTGAAGCAGAAGAATTCATGAAGCCGGGAGATGGAGTTTGCAGTGAGCGGAGATTGTGCCAGTGCACTCCAGCCTGGGAGACAGAGGGAGACTCCGTCTCAATGATAATAATAATAATATGTGGATAATGTATTGCTGAATATTTGACATGTAGAAATGTAACATGTCTATAACATATTTTCCAGTAGCATCAAAAAGGAGGTAGTTGGAAGAAAAATGTATTGTTAAGGTAATCCCTCTGGATGGTAAAGTAATAATTACTAAAATGTATTGTTGGCTTTGTAACTTTAATAGATGTAATGTGTAAAGTGATAATACTTTAAAATGGAGGAAATAAAAGAGATTTGTAAAAGAATGATGTTTCTATGTATTACTAAAAGTTTACTAGTATAAATTGGAAGACGATTTGAATAATTAATTTTCCATATACTTATATGGTAAACTTACAACAACAACAAAAATTCTCAAAAATATATAGTAAAATAATTCATTAGCAATCTAAAGTTCCCTGTTTTGGAAAATATTCACTCATTGCAAAATAAAGCAACAAAGAAAAATATTTGGGAAATATACAAAACAAACGGTAAAAAGGCAGACATAAATAGAATTATACCAATTATAATATTAAATGTGAGCAGATTAAAGTCCAATCAAGAGGCAGAGATTGTCAGACTGGATTAAAACAAGTGATCCCAATATACACTGAGATGCAAGGATACTAATGGATTGAAAGTAAAAAGATGACAAAAAATATCATGCAAAGAGCAATCATAAGAACACTGAACTCATTATACTCATAACACATGATACAGACTATTAAAAATGTGAATAGTATTTTAAAAATTTATATTGTAGTAATAAGGGGGTCAACGCTTTTGGAAGACATAGCTATTACAATCATGTATGCACAGATAGGAGCTAAATTGTTTCCTCTATATAGATGCTGAAATCCTAACCACTGAATATGACCTCATTAGGAAATAGGTTCTTTGCAGGTGATCAAGTTAAGATAAAATCAGATGAGCCTGAATTCAATATGACTGATGTCCTTATAAAAAGAAGAAATTTGAGTAGAGGGAGACATACACACAGGGAGGGTACCATGTGATTATGAGGGCAGAGATTAGCCAAGGAATGCCAAAGACTGCCACTAAACCACCAGAATCTAGAAACAAGGCATAGAACCGACTTTCTCTCATAGCCCTTGAAGGGACCATCCCTGCTGATACCTCAATCTCAGACTTTCAGCTTCCAGGACTATAAGACTATAAATGTATGTTGTTCAAGGCACCCAGTTTGTGTTACTTGGTTATGGCAGCCCTAGAAAACTAATACATGAGCTAATAACAAAGCATAATAACATGAAGCAAAAATTGACAAAAGAGGAGCATCAGCAAAATGGCAGTGGAGACAGCTGCAATCTTTCATTTCCCCACAGAAACATCACACAACTAAGAGAAACTGTCTGAATAAACTTTTCCAAAACTCTGGAAAATGGTCAAAAGATTACAACAACCAAGTGAAAGCACACTCAAGAAAAAGACAACTTGAAAACTTTATGACATTTTTAACTTGCCTTTGCCCCAGCAAATTGGCAGTTTTGAAGTGTCAGAAGCCCACGTTCCCAGTGAGGAACCCTGGTCCATGGTTCAAAGGAACAAGAGAAGATCTTACCCACAAATTATTATGTATCTGTTCTGACTGGTCTGGGGGATACCTAAAGGACTAATGAAAGGTTTTTTTTTTTTTTTTCTGTGTTGCTAGAATACAGAAGAGATAAGGAATGGACATTATTAAGAAACTCTGCAAGGAGACCTAACAAACCACAGATGCTTAGGGCAAAAATTAGAGTTTACACATATAGTAGATCACCTTCAGCACAGGAAGAAAAGTTGGAGAAGAGTATTTGGAAAACTAAGACATTCAAAATCATTCACGGACATGGGAGTGTCTAGAAATTCACATGTATGCATAGGTTTAGCCACATGCTGACAAATGTCATAAGAAGACCCTACACGTTTACCTTGGCTGATCCCTCCCCTCAGTGCAAGCTCTGTGCAAGTGTGAACTTGAACTTCACTCAGTGCAAGAGTGAACACACACTTTGTGCCGGCATTAAAGAACCCAGCACAAAGCCAGTCTGCATGGCCTAGAAACATATTTTGCTGGATAATGATTCCTTGTTTTTCTTTTTTTGTTGTATTTGCCTGTTTGCTTAGTTCCTGACATACAATAAAATCACTGTCAAAACATTAGCTTAACATTTGTTAAGGAAACAAAAAGACTTCAGTGACCACACCTTATAAAGCAAACAGTTTTGTAAATCACTTTGGAAAATTTCACTAAAAATTAAAACCTTAACAATAATAAGTAAATAAAACTTAAAACCACAAAACATTAGTGTGTTTGTGGGGGGGGTCTGATTTACAGAGTAACCACATAGTAATTATAATTATTATAATGTCCAGTTTTCAAAAAGTTACAAGGCATACAAAGAATGGGAAAGTATGGCTCATTCAAAGGAACAAAATAAATTGACAGAAAATATCTCTAAGGAAACCCAGACATCAAACTTACTAGACAAAGACTTTAAAACAACTCTCTTAATTATACTCAAATGTCAAAAGGAAAACAGAAACAAAGAAATAAAGGAATCAGAAAAAATATTAAAAAGTAGAACTATCAACAAAGAGATAACAGAAATTCTGGAGTGGAAAACAACAATGATAAAAATTTAAAAATTACCAGAAGGATTTAAGAGTATATTCACACACACAGAAGAAGTCATGAGCTTGAAGATAAGAAAATGGAAAATATTCACTCTGAGAAACAGATAAAAAATGAGCAGAGACTAAGGAATCTGTGGGACATCATCAAATAGACCAACATTCATATTCTAGAAAGTTAAATTATGTTGTTAAAAACTTTACCATTCTTTCTTTTTACCTTTCTTTCTTCCTCCCTCCCCCTCCTCTTTACTTTTCATCCTCTTCCTTTCTCTTATTTCTCTCCTTCATTATCCCTTTCATTCTGTTTCTCTTTCTCCCTTTCTCTTTTTTCTTTCAATTTTCTCAATTACTAAGAGATGTTTAAATACCCTTACCATGTTAGTACATATGGTTATTTATCCCTTTAGTTCTCTTTTGAGATTTATAGTCACTCTAAGTAAAGAGATAACCCAAACATAAGCCCCACAAACAGGCTTCCATACCATTCTTAATTTGGTCCTGTAATTCTTTGTTGCTGTATTAACTTTCTGATGCTTTTAAGGATGTTTTATAACAAATTGTTTAGTTTTTTCCAATGGAATGTTTATTCTGAATTATCTAATTCATATTGTAAGTATATAGGGAGTTTAATATAAAATTATTAAACTAATATTTGTGAAAGAATGTATTTGTGCATTTAACAAATATGTTAATCCTCAAACTGTTATTGGGCAGCTGAGCATACAGCAATGAAAATAACATAATTTTTATGTGTACAATATTTATGGAATACGTTACTGGAACAAATAAATAATTTAGTTAATAACATGACAAAGAACAGAAATGGTATACACTACAGAGCACAGTAATGGAATAATGAATGATTAAAGTTATTAATATTAGGTAGAAAATGAAGGGTATCTTTGAGAGCAGATCTCAGGGAGAAAGCAATTCACCTTATGAGGAAAGAGTTACCTGTGGATAAAGGAGAATCTGAAAAATTTACAAGTCAAGACTTTTTGAGCAAAAACAAAAATATGACTATTAGGCACCAATTCAGTACAGTGAAAAAAAAGTTGAAGAGATATCTTGGAAGTAAACCATGTTGTGGAAGAGCATGTAGGGTTTTGATAATCATGGGATGATTCTTAATTAATTTTAAATGCGATAGGAATATATGAGATAATTTCACCAGAGAATAACATGATTGTGTTTGCATTTCAAAGGGGTGTATCTGGTGCACTGTGTAGAATAAGTAGGTCATGTGAGCAAATAAATTGGGAGGCTACTGTAATCCAGAGAAAAAAGGTAGTGACTTAGGTGAGAATGCTGTTAGTATGAGTGGTATTAGTGGTGAGAAGTCGTTAGGCCATGGATGTATTTCATAGGACTGGCCAAGAGAACTGCAGCTAAATTGGAGTGTAGGGAGTGAAATGGAGAACTCAAAGATGACCCTCAGCACTGGAAGGTGACAGCTGTCACTGAAGCATGCTGATGCCTCTTATTAAGAGAGTTACTTGGGAATGGCAAGATCAAAACTTCTCACTTTCAAATTTATGAAAAATATTGTTTTCAGAACAAATGACTTTGGGATCAGAAAGCCATCATTCTAATTGATGGCTCCATGACTACACAGGCTCACACTCCCAAGAACAAAATCATCACAAAGGTGCTTCCTGATAATTCTAGAGAATGGAGAATTACTGTAACATCTTTCTGATTTTAGGAGAGGTAGCAGTTCCCTTTTTAGCCTAAATGCTATTTTTTTTAAAGCTCAGGCAAGAGACTCCATTATAATTTTCAAATGTGTATAACTTAACTTCTCATATTAAATACCATTATGCTTAAATTAGTCAAAACATTTTCCCCATCTACAACTCTATCTTTTCATTGCAATCATTTTCACAAAAGTGACTGCAGCTAACAGACCCTAAAAGGGGAAAATCTAGGGTAGGTTATCTGATCTAGTTAGTTTTGAAGACAGGATCTAGAGATTATTTAATATGAAATAGGTCACCTGAAATGAAGTGTTTACTGAAAACAGCTTGGATCAGCCCAGTTTTCTACCACTGAACCATGCATTTGGTTTAAAAAACACAACAACTCTGGGGAATATTGGCTGCTTCCAACTGTATTGAAGGTGTTAAAGAAAAGAGCATAAAATTATAAATGATCATCTGAGGCCTTTATAGTCTCTGCTCAAGAGACTAGAGTCTTCCATTCTTAATGAAACACCCAAATATCTTCATAATTAGGCAAATTCTAAATATCAGAGAGATAATTTTATCTTGAAGATTGTTAAATTATAATGGTGATTCACTACCTTGCCAAGTCTCTGAGTCAAAAATTAGATCTTTGTTTAGGAATTGATGGTACTTTGCAACTTGGAAATAGGAAGATTTTAGAAGACTCAAACATTGACTTTCTTGTGTGCAAAAAAAAGACGTATTGAGATAAGACAAGTCTTTCCTTGCAAGGATACCCCTAATGCTCATACACCACCTCCCCTAACGTTAATATAGCTTCCAGATCACTAACCAGTGTCAGAGAGCAGCCTATGCAACTACAAATTCAAAAGATGTTGAACACAGGGTCAAGCCTAGAATAAGGAGTCTTAGCTAATTTAGTATGCTTTTTTCCCGAAATTCATATTAACAAAAACTTGGATATGTCAGAGAATGCATTCTAAGTTCACTCAACCTAGGAGGGAGAAACATAATTTTAAATTAAGAGCTGAAGCAATCTTGTCCTAACAAAAAGCAAGGAAAACGAAATATCACCCCACAGGAAGGATTTCACAAATTAGTGTCAACATCAAAACCTTAAAATAGGCAAGGAAAATGGAGATTCACAATTAACTCTTCTACTTGTTTTGTTCAGAGAATAGATGGTTCTGAGAGAATGACAGTGAATTAACCCCAGCTGGTTTAGTTGGTGCTTTCAATTGCTGCTTCTGATAAACTCCTTTAGCTAGAATAAATTGATGAGGATTTTGGCATGTGGTATTAGAGATGGTTATTAATTTTGTCCTCTTATTTGCATTGTTCAATGTAGTAAATACTAGCTGTATTTGGCTACTTAATTTCAAATTAATTACAATGAAATATACTTAAATATTGAATTTTTTAGTAACTGTTGGTTCATTATTGAATATCTTCAGCTAAGATTTCCCATCTAAAGACACTAAGAGGTGGCTTAGTTAACTGGTCGTCCACAAATATTGATGCTGTTGTTAACTCCTGATATATTCTCTGCAAATAGAATATTCATGAGCCTCCTCCTGAAACCAGCAGCCTAGAGATAATTTTATAAATTGGACACAAGTTGGAAATCTATACTCTTTAAGTTTTTGAAATATTAGCTTCCCAGGGAAGAAAATCAAATTCATAAGATATGTTAGGACAATTTAACTCAAGATGTTCAAAACTGAAATGACATATTCTATAATATGTGATAAAACCACCCCCTAACAACTTAAAGCAAAACAGGGATTGACCTTAAAGACCTGCCTTTTCCTCATCCCCCAGCCAATCAGTTTTCAAATCTTGCATTTTATTTTGAAAAGTCCTTATCCCCTTAGTCTCTTGTTTCTAGACTTGGCACATATTTAAGTTTGTTACCTCTATCTATTGACTTTCCTCTCTTCAAACAGTATCTATGCCTGCCAAATGTGAACATACAAAAAACAAATCAGAATGTGCCATTCTGATTTAAACTGCTTATTAGTTAATACCCTCAAGATAACATCTGGGTTCTTAGCTGCACTAAGTTAAGCCTATTTACATCTTTTTTTGTCTTCGACTGCACTTTTCCTATCACATCACACTCCAGCAATGCCAAGCTGTGCCGCCTTCTACCCCATTTCCACTATTTTGCCCCCGCCGCCGAGGCTTTTTGCCCCCGCCGCCGCAGCTTTCTCCCACCGTGGCTTTTGCCCCCGCCGACGCAGCTTTCTCCTACTGCGCCTTTTTGTCCCTGCTGCCGCGGCTTTTTGCCGCCGCGGCTTTTTCCCCCACCGCCGCGGCTTTTTATGGCTTTCTTCCCCCCACCGCCGCGGCTTTTTGCCCCCTGCCGTCGCGGCCTTTTGCCCCCGCCGCGACCTTTTGCCCCCGCCGCCACAGATTTTGGCCGCCGCGGCTTTTTGCCCCCTCCCCCACGGCTTTTGCCTACGCGGCTTCTTGCCCCCGCCGCCGCGGGTTTTTTCCCCCGGCCGCGGCTTTTTGCCCCCGCCGCCGAGGCTTTTTGCGACCTTTTGCTCCCCCCACCGGGGCTTTTTACCTCCGTCGCCGCGGCATTTTACCCCACCACCGCGGCTTTCTGCTCCCGCCGCCGCGGCTTTTTGCCCCCGCCGCCGCAGCTTTTTGCAGCTTTTTGCCCCTGCCGCCTCGGCTTTTTGTGGTTTTCTGCGTGCGCCGCCGCGGCTTTTTGCCCCCGTCGCCGCGGCTTTTTGCCGGCGCCGCCGCGGCTTTTTGCCCCTGCCACCGCCGCGGCTTTTGCGGCCTTTTGCCCCCCGCCTCAGCGGCTTTCTGCCACCGCGTCTTTTTGCCCCCGCCACCGCGGCTTTCTCCCACTGCGGTTTTTTGCCCCCGCCGCCGCGTCTTTTTGCCTCCGCCGCGCAGATTTTTGCCCCCGACGCTGCGCCTTTTTCCCGCCCTGGCGGGGTCAGCACTGAGGGGTGCTCCTGGTCCAGCTCTCCAGGCTCGGGGGTTCCTTGCCTAGGCGCCCAAGCCCCCTGCCTGGGCCGCTGCGGCTTGCATAGAGCGGCCCTGCGCGCAGCGGCGATGGGAGAAAAGAAGGAGGGCGGTGGCGGGGGTGATGCCGCCGGGTCCAGCCCTCTCATCTTGTAGGTGAGGAAACCGAAGGCCTGAGGGAGAACTGACTTGCCAGGAACCCCTGTTAAGGAGAATTAACAAAGTGTGATTATTAAAGGAGCACTGACTTGGGAGTGAGACCTGGAGGCCCACACCCTTGGTTAAGACATTATACCACCTTGAGTCTGGCCTGTTGACTGAGGGTGAGCCACTCTATCCTCATCTGATTGTGGGGTCTTGACCTCAAGGGGTTTCCTGCAGGAAGAAGCAAATGGGTTTGCTTTCCTAGCTCTGTCCAGTACCTTAGGGACCCTGAGAACTGGAGAGATTCTTGGAGAGCCATCTGGTGTATGTCATGGGTGGGCCTTTCTTGAAGGTCAGTCTGCCCAGTGGTCTGGCTCAGCCCCAATGAACTGTCTTGAATCATTGGAGTTGTCTGTGTACTTTTAAGGGCTTCTTATCCTTGCACCAAAAGATCCCCTGGAAATTAGGTGGTAAAACCTTAACTTTTGTGGGGCCTTGTGTTTGTCTTAAAAGTTCATGCACATAGCCAGGTGTGGTGGTTCACACCTGTTATCCTGTCCTGGATCCTTTGAGTCAAGGTGTTGAGACCAACCTGGACAATATAGTGAGACCCCGTCTCTACAAAAAATAAAATATTAGGCAGGGGTGGTTGCGCGCATCTGTAATCCCAGCTACTACTGTGGCTGAGGCGGGAGGAGCACTTGAGACTGCACTGAGCTGTGATCTCACCAGTGTACTCCAGCCTGGGCCACAGAGCAAGACCTTGACTCAAAAAAAAAAAAAAACCAACAAGAAAAATTCTTGAAGATTTTGCATTCTGTGCCACTATCCATTGGTTTTCATGTCAAGATAATGTCAGAAATTCTTTACAATTGCTTCCAGAAGGAGTAGACTTTTGATCTAGTGCACAGGTGTCCAGTCTTTTGGCTTCTCAGGGCCACATTGGAAGAAGAATGCTCCTGGGCCACACATAAAATACACTAATGCTAACAACAGCTGATGAGCTTAAAAAAAAAAAAGGTTTGTGCATAATTTTCATGATACCCACCACCACAGATAGGCGGAAAAGTCCTTGTAGTCAAAGGGTTGGACACGGCTGATCTAGTAGTGTCTTGTCATCCGTTTTGGCTTTCTCCCTGATTCCAGAATGCAGGTAGAGATGTAGAGACATGCTCTCAGGACAGCTGTTGAGATAAAAAAAAATCGTTGTCATTTATTCCCAAGCACAGCTGTTTGTCATTTGCATTGAAAAAGTCTCCATTGAAACTGCTGTCACATATAAAATCTATTTATATAAGTCTGTATTTTTCTGTTGTCTTGGCCTTTGTGGGCAGTAGTGTGTTTTAACTGAGCAAACTGTCCTTCCAAGTAATGAAGCAGGTAGGCAATCAGCCTACCTGCTTGCCATTTTTGTTCCCCTTCCATTTTTCTAACCTCAGGATAATTGTAAGAATGAAGTAAGATTTGTGTTTAAGGCCAGGCACAGTGTCTCAGGCCTGTAATCTCAGCACTTTGGGAGGCAGAGATGGATGTATCACTTGAGCTCAGGAGTTCAAGACCAGCCTGGGCAAGATACTGAGACTCCGTCTTGTATAATTAAATTAAAATTTAAAAAAAGAAGAGAGAAAGACCTGTTTAAAATTTAAAAAAAGGGGGGAAAGTGTAATGCAAAATGTGGACTATGCCAGCTGTGATTGGGAAAAATAATTTTTCCTACAGCATTATCTGTAGACTTGTATTAGCAGCATACTGGTCATAAGCGTTTTGCTTTCTTCAAATATGATGAGGTAAGCTACTTTAAAGTGTGGTGGGGCTTTCCTCCGCGTGGCTCCTGGAGGTGTTGAGTCCCAATTTAGCCAATTAATTCGGGTTTAGTTTTGATATGGATAAGGGAGACCAGCTTCATTCATGGTGCACACACAGTTTTGCCAATAAGGAAAAAAAAAAGCCACCTGAATGTTCCTACTCATTAGATGCTATCTGGAGAGCTCCTACCCCACCGCCACCAAGGCCCGGGCCCTAAAAAAGACTCAATGCAGCCTTTCTGTATCTCATACTGTATTCTGCAAGATGCTCCTGTGAAAGAAAGTTGTGCTGCATCAGCCATCTCCCTCCTGAAGATCCTTGCGAATGAGGATTTGTGTTTTAAAGGTTCTGAGAAGTCCTGCACCAACAGTTCTCAAACTTATTTGTCCAGAGGATCTTTTCTTCCACTGAAAGTAGCTGGGGAGACACGGCCTTAAGCCTTGAGCAGAGAAAGAGACAAGAAACTGTTGTCTCACTTACAACCAAGTGTTGTGTTTATGTTTTAGGTTTTTATGAAACTGAGGTACTGTTTGAGGTTCTAAATCAAACTGGGTGGTTGAAGAGAGCCTGGTATCCCTGTAGACTTAGCCAGCCATGAGAGGTTGCCTTTTGTTGAAGGAGGTGTTTTACAAAGGGAAATAGGGTGTCTCCTGGGCATCGCATTAGCACTTAAATACATGTATCACTGAAATGAAATGAACTGATGAAATGATGAAATGAAATGAAATGATGGAATGAAATGAAATGATGAGATGAAATCATGAAATAATGAAGTGAAAGGATGAAATGATGAGATGAAATGAAATGATGAAGTGATGAAAAGATGAAATGGAATGATGAAATGAAATGAGGAAATGATGAAATGCAATGGTGAAATGAGGGAATGATGAAATGCAATGGTGAAATGAAATGAGGAAATGAAATGAAATGAAGAAATGAAATGAAGTGAAATGATGAAATGAAATTAAATGATGAAATGAAATGAAAAGATCAAATGATGAAATGAAGAAATGATATGAAATGATGAAATGAAATGATCAAATGAAGTTAAATGATTAAATGATGAAATAATGAAATGAAATGATGAAATGATGAATTGAAATGAAATGATCAAATGAAATGAAATGATGAGATGAAAAGATGAAATGAAATGAAATGACGAGGTGAAAAGATGAAATGAAATGAGATGAAATGAAATGATGTGATGAAATGAAATCATGAGATGAAATGATGAAATGATGAGATGATGTGAAATGATGTGATGAAATGAAATCATGAGATGAAATGATGAAATGATGAGATGATGTGAAATGATGAAATGAAATGAAATAATGAAATGACAAAATGCAATGATGAGATGAAATGATGAAATGAAATAATGAAATGAAAGGATGAAATGATATGAAATGATTAAAGGATGAAATGAAATGAAATGATTAAATGAAATGAGGAAATGAGGAAATGAAATGATGAAATGAAGTGAAATGATGAAATGAAATGAAAAGATGAAATGATGAAATGATATGAAATGATGAAAAGAAATGATGAAATGAAGTCAAATGCTGAAATGATGAGATGAAATGATGAAAGTAAACGATGAAATGATGAAATAAATGAAATGAAATGATGAATTGATGAAATGAAATGATGAAATGAAATGAGATGAAAAGATGAAATGAAATGAAATGATGAAATGAAATGAGATGAAAAGGTGAAATGAAATGATGAGATGAAATGAAATGATGAGAGGAAGTGAAATGATGAAATGAAATGAAATGTTGAGATGAAACGATGAAATGATGAGATGAAATGATTAGATGAAATGATGAAAGGATGAAATGAAAGGATGAAATGAAATGAAATGATGAAATGAGGAAATGAAATGATGAAATGAAATGAAATGATGAAATAGATGAACCAAACATACTTATTCATTTTTTTCTTGGCATCCTTCTAAGAGTATTTTAGTGAGGCTAATTTCTAAAAATAAATTGCTATTCAATGGCTATAGAGTTGGCCTTTGCACCACAGTGGTTTAACTGTGCAGGTCTACTTAGCAAAACCAACAATTCTATATCCTTCTCCACACCCTGCCCATGAAAAGGATGAGGATGAAGACCTGTTTGATCATCTACTTCTATTTAATAACTAGTAAATATATTTTCCTTATGATTTTCTTTTTCTTTTATCTGGCATGTTTGTTAAGAATACAGTATATAAGACATATAACATATTAAATATGTGTTAATTGACTGCTTGTGTTATTTGTAAGGCTTACAGTAGGCTATTAGTAGTTAAGTTTTGGGGAAGTCAAAGTTATAGTGGATTTTCTACTGTGCAGGGTGGTCAGCACCCCAGCCTCCGTGTTGCTTAAGGGTCAACTGTACATGTTATTTCCTTTCCTGTAAGAGAAAAATGATGAGAAGGTCTTTTCTCCAATAAGTGTATTCAAAATGTAGCAGACTTAAAATGTGTCGGCGCCACCATTTTGCGTTTCACTTTGAAAACTTATTATTAAAAATCGTACTAAAGCCTACCTTACTTTTCCAACCTTAGAAAAAATGTTACAAAGAAAAGGGGTGAAACCATGCTAGTTTGCACTGAAATTTGAAATTATCTTTTAAAAATATATTTTTACTTTAATTACTTCCAAAATAGAGATCAGTTGCATACAAATGGCAGGTCACCCTAATCCACCCTACGACTGCACTTAGATTCATGAGGAATTGTGCCATCTAGAAAGGGCAGAGAAGAGGAGCCACATGCTTTGATTCTGTTGTCATGGTGTACTTACTGCCAGGAAGAGGGCATGTTTGTGTATTTTTATGCTAATTATTATCCAAGTTGTTAATGATTTAGGCTTTCAGAACATATAAAGATTTTTTTCCTTTCAGATATAAACTATCTTGCATTGTTCTTCTGATCATATGAGTGACAAATTTGCCTAAATATTCTTCAGACCATAATATTATGTCCATACAAATGCCAGTAGCAAGAGTAGAATCAACCACAATTGCCTTTGTAATTATTTAAAGCATGTGTGCCTATAAGTAATTGGCATTTTATATAATCAAGAATCTTTGATATAATAATATCTCAACTATTTGAAACATGGCTTACATATATTAATTTTATATGCAAATATATATAATATCATTGTATATGAAACTAAATTTTGGACTTTAAAACAGCTTCTTAGAATCTTGACTTAAATGTCTAAAGTAATATTTGACTTAAAAAATTTAGCACACTGTCACTATGATGAAAAAAATTACTATAAAATTATTTAAAAATTTTTTCCACCCTAACATTTAGACTATTCTCACATTTGTGGTTAAAACCTATTGCGATTGTTCTTAGAATTTAGATAAAAAATGTTCCAGAAAGTTTGAAGAGAAGCACTTTAGTCCATTTTTATTTGTTCAAGCATGAAGAAATGGCATTTCATTGTCCTTTTAAAAACTATTCAGATTCCCTCTTTGAATTCAAGTGTTTCAAAGATATTTTAAAATACCAAAATAGGAATAGAATATGAAGGGCTGGTTATGAGTAATATGATACACTTTTATGAGAGGATGAGATTACAATAACAATACCTCCTCTCATAGAATAGCCAGCAAGTCTCCACTAAATAAGTGCCTTGATTTTATAGATGTTTAATCATGGATATTGAGTTAATGTGAACCATTTGTAGACACAGGAGTTTATTAAAGAATTATACAATATCTTTCAAGTATTTAGAAGCGTGTTGAAATTAAGCCTGCATCCCCACGATTTTCAGAGGTGCTGATGCCTAATAAACTCAACCCCTTGCATGCCAAAATTGGCTTAAAGCCCACCCGTTACCCAAGCTACACTTCAAGCATCAAGGCTCAAAAATGTCATTTTAAATATGCAAGAGTTTGAGGAATTCACTACTCACACTTTCTTGAACAGTCTATCCAAGTGCATCAAGCACAATGTGAGTAAAGAAATTTTGACCAAAGGATTGATAGTAATGTTGAATACGTTTAATAGTAGATCTAAGATTAAAAGGTGAGATTGAGGGTGAGAAGAGTGTATGAATGCTTCGTGTTATGACAAAGAGAATGTAGCACCCAGGTCCTACCTGGTTGGTTGCATTGCCAGTGCCCACGGTAGGCTATTTTATCCAGGTTTTTAGGTTTTTTTGTTTTGTTTCGTTTTGTTTCTTTCTTTTCAGGAGAGTTAGTCCAAGACCAATAACTCCATAACTGGTAGATTTGGAAGATTTCAATAGTGCTTAACATTTTGTACATAGCTTTATAACAGTTTTCTTTTTCTTTTTTTCTGAGAGATTATTTTCAATATAACCCATCATGGTTGAACTTAAAGTCATTGCTTATATAAAATCTACAACTGCTGATATTTTGTATCCTTTGCATTCCAGGTAATTCTTTTTGTGCATTTTCTGTGTTTTTCTCCATCAGTCTACCTAGATATTTCTTAGATTTAATATTTTAATATTTTTCTGAAAAAGTGAGCTTTTGCATTTTTAAATATATACTCAGTTGCTTTATTTCTGCTTTTTCATGTACTATTTCCTCTTTTTTTTTTTTTTTTGACACGGAGTCTTGCTCTGTCGCACAAGCTGGAGTGTAGTGGCGTGATCTCTACTCACTGCAACCTCCAGCCCCCACGTTCAAGCAATTCTCCCACCTCAGCCTCCCGAGTAGCTGGGATTACAAGTGCATGCCACCATGCCAGGCTAATTTTTGTATATTTAGTAGAGAGTGGGTTTCACCCTGTTGGACCAGGCTGGTCTTGAACTCCTGACCTCAGGTGATCCACCTGCCTTGGCCTCCCAAAGTGCTGGGATTACAGGCGTGAACCATGGCGCCTGGATATTTCCTTCATTCTTTATGTTTATTTTACTGGTTTTATATATCTGTCTCTCACTGTTTCTCTCCTTCTCACATTCACTTTGAAGTTGTCAAATAGCCCAGGTGATGTTACAGATTGACTCCTTATAAAAGGAGACATTACACATTACACATGCATCTTAGTGGCATTACAAAAGTGTTTGGTTCATTTGTATTGACTATTCACCTTTAAAATATTTAAATAGTCATTAAAATAGCTTCCAACCAATATTATTAGACTTATGTTTCTAGCTTTCTTTATTGTATTGATATTTACCTTCATTGCTGTTTGTTTAGGAAATATATTGTGTCACGTTATTTCCGTGAAAATTGTTTGAATTTGTGGTATGGTCTAGAAAATGTTAATTTTTGTAAGTATTCTGTATGAACATGAAAATGACATGAATTATAATATTCATGTTCCTTATATAACATTTGCCCTTTTTAAAATCTAGTAGCTTCTTTTAAAACTTAGTCTTTTAATTTCTTCTTTTATCTATTACTGAAGGATGTGTGTTTGAAAAGTCTATAATAATTTGGGGGCTTATCCATTTCTACTGACTTGCTGATATTTTTGCTTTATATAATTTGACTCTCTCTCTAAATATGTGTTTGTGTGTGTGTGTGAGAGTGTGTGTGGTGTGTGTGTATATATGTATATATGTATCAGGCTAATGCACATTTAAGTCATCACATCTTAATAACTTAAAACTTTTATTACACTGGTTAGACTAACTAATTTTAATAAATGTTTCTAACTTACATTCTATTTTGTCTACATAGCAACCTTTTAAAAAATTATATTCATGTAGTATGTTTGCATGTATATCATATATACACACACTATCTGTATTGTTTGAACTTCAAAGTTTCTGAAAATTTATATATTAGTTGCCTCTCGTAACTATGATAGAGACGGAATTTTTTAATTTTGCCAGTCTTTGTATTTTAACAAAAACATTGTCTACGTAGGTTTAAGTTAATCTTTGATCATTTATACTTAATTTGTTTTATTAATTTGTTATATATATATATATATATATATATATATATATATATATAATGCCTCATTTTTTCCTATCAGGGTCTGTCTTCTTGTTTTTTAATTATGACTTTTATTTTTATTGTTTTCATAGATACAACAGAGAAATGCATAATGTCCAGTGAATTTATTACAGTTCCAAAGTCGGCCGCACATGGTGGCTCACCCCTGTAATCTCAAAACTTCGGGAGGCCGAGGCGTGTGGATCACGAGGTCAGGAGTTGGAGACTGGCCTGACCAACATGGTGAAACCCCGTCTCTACTAAAAATACAAAAATTAGCCAGGCATGGTGGAACGCGGCTGTAATCCCCCCTACTCAGGAGGCTGAGGCAGGAGAATTGCTTGAACCTGGGAGGCAGAGGTTGCAGTGAGCCGAGATGGCGCCACAGCACTCCAGCCTGGGCGAAAGAGTGAGTGAGACTCCTACGCAAAAAAAAAAAAAAAAAAAAAAACTTCCAAAGTCATACTCACCTTTCTGCTCTTGTCAGACAATTAAGGGGTCTTTGAATACTTCAGCCCTAATAAGTTGCTTCCTAACATACATATTTCCGTGCTTATCTAATTTTAAATATCTTTTTGTTTCAACACCTAATTTTTTATTTAGGTCTATCTGTATGTTTACAATGTATTTTGCTCTGTGTTCATTCTTTGATTTCAGAACTTCAACCTTTCTGAAGCATGTTTTCAGAGTTTCTCTGTAGTTTCTTTAGTGGAATTCTGCTGGTGGCGTTTTGTTTCTTGTCTCTAAATAAGTTATTTAGCCATAGGTTGATAAATATTTTTCTTGGTTGAGAATTTCAGAATGGCATTATTATTCTTAACAAATAATATTGTTTATTTTACCTTTCATTCTTTCAGATTTCAATATGATTAAAGGTAATTTGATTTTTCTAGTGCTAATTGAAATATTTTTCCCTTCCTGATTGTTTACTATTTCTCTAGGAGATGCGTAGGTGTAGGTTTATCTCCATTGTAGCTTGCTTAGCGTGCATGGAATTTTTGAACATGCGGATTAATGTCTTACAAAAGTCTAGAGAACTTTCAGCCAAAATACCATCACATATTGTCCCTTCCCAGTTGCCTTCTTCTATGAGAACACTCACTAAACACATGCTACACTTTCTCACTGTATCTTCCATGTCTCTTCATGATTCTGTCCACATTTTGCATTTTTTTAAATTTTCTGTAATGCATTCTGAAATATTTATGAACTCTCACCATGGCCATCTCTAATCTGATGAGTTCATTTTTGAGTTTTTAATTTAAAATATTATATTTTTATACAAACTGCTTTTCACATTTGCTACATCAATTTTTTAGTCTCCTAAAAATATATTCATTTTATTTTAAATTTTTTTACAGCAAATGTGCTTTATAATCTAACAGTGATATTTCTACTAATGAACCGTTGTGGATCTGTTTGTACTCTTTTCTACTTTCCTTTCAAATGGTGGAATATCATTTCCTTGCGTACTTAGATGCCTTTGAATGACAAATATTTATTTTTCTCTGAAAATTATTTTTGTGGACTTTTGAGGATTAGTAAGAAGAAAATTTGCCAAAGAGAATTTGAATTTTTTTGTGAGTCTACTAAAGGCACCACCATTCTGGGACCACATTATGTTAATTCTTGGCCTAAAGGTGTTTGGACGTATGTTTGGACTGCACATTTAAACAATTTTTAAATTAATTGCTGTAAATCATTAATGATTGAGTTTCTTTAAATCTGTCCAATCTCAAGTCATTTTTACTTGCCGTTTCCAGGGAGTGTGAAATGGGACTAATTTACCTCTGATTCTTCTTTATACTGAGGATAGAAATTTTGGTCCTAGCTTTAGGGAGGAGCTCCTGTGTGATGCCCTATCTTGGGAAAAACTATGTATTTCTTTACTGTCTTATGTGATGTATGACAGTAGGAATCTGCACTCATTCATTTTGGTACATGTCCGTAGGGCAAAATCAGTTTTGGTGTTTAGGTATATTTTGTCTGCTTCCTGCATTCCCATGGTTTTGACCTTATATTTTACTTTTTTGTGTGTGTGAACATACCAATGCTTCACTTTTTTCCAGTAATATAATCAACTGTATTATGAGAAAGAGAAAAATTTTGATAAAACACAAATTTCATGTTTTCCTATTCTAATTGGCTTTTATGTAAAAATACAGGTAAAATTTAGTTGTGCTTTTTTGCTATTTCTGTTTGGCTATTCTCTGTTTGTCTATGTCTTCTCCACATAGGCACAATTAGGGAATTTTGTACACTCTTGTGCCAACTGCTTTGATAGTCACAAGATGTATTTCTCGAACTCCTAGGTATAAAACTCAAGTATACACAATTTAAATTCTTTTTCCCTCACTTCTATTATGTTTCCAGTCTCAATAGAAATCGATGCCAATCCAGAAATACAAGCATTATTCTAATACTTCTCACACATTACAGATATAGATTAAATTTTCTAGATCTCCTTAAATACTGTCATTTTTCACTACTTGTATCTTAACTGTTATATTCAACATTTTCTATAATATTAATATGTTGTGAAAATTTCCTTAGTTTCTTATTTGTCCCAGGTTCAATGTTTTGCAGTCTCTACCTCACCCTGTGAAGCATAAACATTGTACATGCTGTACAAATAACACATAGTTCATGTACTTAGAGATTGCACAATTTTTATTTGGTTGACAATAGTTAATGTTTTCTTCTTCATTTTCTACTTCCTGATTTTTCTTTATTTAGTATATACTACATTATCATAAAAATAAGAACGTTTTACAAACTAAAGCTAAAGCAAACCTAGGAATAAAATGCAAAATAAAGATATGTAAACATACAGTTAGATATACCATGTACCCTTCTAATTTATTTAGACATGTAATTTTAGTACAATTTTAATTAAAGTCTGTGTATTATCTGTCATCGTCTTAGTATTTTTTATATAACAAATTTTGTAAATCAAAAAGTCTCAATGTCGTTATAAACTATCTTGGCAGAGGTTGATCTCCAAGGAATAATTTCTCTCCCAAATTATGTCAATCAGAATTTCACTCTACCATAATTCTTTTAGTCAGTTTCAGAGGAATAATAAATTTCAAAATTGTTCAAGGTACTTGTTGTAGTTCAAGTACATTTTGACAGGTGTAAAACTGTAGACAGACTGATACACACATATTCTAATTGACTCAAAAGTATATGGGACCTACTTTAAAATCTAGATTTTAAAATGTCGTGTCAACATACACATGTTCTCCTTGTGAAATAATTGCTTTTTATTCTCTGGATAGAATAATTTAATCTTTAAACCTTCAATTCACTGTTAAAAACAAAATATTACATAAGGATATGCTTATAAAAGTAATTCACAACTAGCTTTTCAATTCAGAAATATATGTGAAAAATCATCAAGCATCTAATGGATTTCAAGGAGAAATGGGTTAGTAATTTATTCCATATGTCTCAATTTTTCCTAGACTCAAGGCTTCCTTTAAAATAATTGTAGGCGTTTAAGAAACCATGTAAACTAAAAAGAAGAAATTGTGACACTGCCGCTTAGGTTTTTTAAATCTTTGGACATGAATCAATATATTTTTATATTTTATCTTAATTAGACATGGTGAGTTCACAATCTTCCTGTCAGTATGGCATCCAAGCTGATTATCATAGATTACAAGTTCAACTATCAACTGTGTTCTGAGAGTCTAAAAAAATAAATGAATGTATTTGTTTGGGTATTCTTACAGCAGGAGTGAGGACACAGTGAAAGTGAGACAAGGAAGAGAGAACAAAATAAAACAGGAAAGATAGAAAAGCCAATACCACACGTGTTAAGAGGCAAGTTCCTGTGTTAGATATCTGGGCTTAATTCTATGGGAAGCTATGTGGAACATGCCTCACAATTGCATCACTGAATCCAGGGAGATTCTTCTTAGTTACCCTCACCTTTTCTTCCCACTTCATGCCCAATATCAAGCTCCCGTGCTGCTAGAGAAAGTCCTCAGCTAGAAACAGGTGCAAATTCTGGAGATGAGACCTTGTAGAGTGTTAAGAATGGTTTTCTTCCCAGCAGCTACAGGTAAGGAATAGGGGCTGGGCTATTAATACATCTGCTACAAATCAATAAAGCCCTTATGCTCCTTTTGGTGGTCGACAATGTATTTAAAAATATTAGATGATCAAGAAGGGCTGCAGAAAGGAGGAAACAGAAACAAACAGCACACCTCTTGGTTTATTTTTATTCATTTCATCAGTTTCAAGGAAAATGTGTTGGGAGTTCCTGGCATAGAGAATGTCACAAAGACATGTTTTCAATAGTGGTGCTATCCCTAGGGCACAGAAGACCCAGAGAAAGCCCAAGTGGCTGCTGGAACCAAGTCAGACACCTTGCCACCTGTCCACACTCCTTGGCTCTGCCATCATGCTGAAGATCGGTTTAAAGGACTGGCTTCCCTCCCCGCAAAATTAAAAGAGCACAGACTGAGAAGCTGAATGTAGGAGACAGCAGTGGATTATGCTGTTCTCGGGGGTCACCTCAGGTTTAGAAGCATTCTTTCAAATTAACCCATCTCAGGCCATCTGCAGAGAAGAAAGGTGGTACCCAACTTTTTTTCTTGTCAGCATTTGGTAGGGGTGTTTTATTGACCAAATATGTTCCCACAACCTAGTTTTTTGTAACTAACTAAATATAGCAGATTTTTAAATTTTATCAACAAAATCTATAGACAATTTTTGATTAAAATAGACTCCACATCTATGTCCTGCTTTTCTTCTTATTATTAATTACATTGCTGTATCAAAGAACAAGACTTCAGAATCAAGAATATCTTGTCTTTGCATTGAATTTATACAAGGTGCTCTTTCTTTAATGCTGTCTCAAAGGATATATTTTTACTCATTAAAAAGGAAGATTAGAATCTTGTTGTATGTACTGCTCCAACATATTAATAATTAAAATTAGGAGGTAAATGTGGTCAAAGCTAGAGAAAGACTTGAGATGTCATTTATATTGATTACTGTGTAGCGCTCTACAAACAGAAATTTTTAAATATTAGTTTATGTAAATATTTTGTAGCATTTCAAATATTTGAGTGCCTGAAGTTTCTACTCTTACATAGTTCAGATTATCAATTTGAAGACTTACTCCGCTAGTTAAAATGTTTTTAGTCTCGTTTGAGTGTTATATAAAAGCAATTTTCAGTTAAATGTGTTCTGCTTACATAAAACATTACAAATTATTGAGTATTTAATTACATTTTCATGTTCCTGTAATGTCTTTAGAAGATTTTCATATTATTACCTATCAATATATGTATGCTTTGTCAAAGAAAAATCAAACATATATATCATTGAAATTGAAACTTTTTAAAAGTACTTATTAATTCTATTGAAAAACCACATCCATAGGAACAATTACAATATAATATTGTGAACATGTAAATATATATCCTATGTCTATTTTATATATAAGCATATATGATTAAAAATATAGTTAAGAATTTTTAAACCTAGTATTATAAAGTAAAAATTAGTTAAACTTCTAATGATTATATGTTAATTAAGATAAAATTATTTTGATTTGGGTGATTTTAAATAGAGAAAAATATTAAATTACATGACAAAAATTCTTTATAAAATGTTTAAGATTTTTACGTTGGTTTTATCACTTTATTCCACTATTTTATTTTAAGATGACCTGCCTTGTTTAAAACACTGTATTCATCTTAATTAAATTAAATTCCACTTGTAAAAAAATTAACAAATGATTTGCTCTATTATACAGTGCGGTTATAAACTGAGTCAGTATCTCAAGATTTGATCCCCATTATCGTCATCTGTGGCCCTATTTGTTTTATAAATGTATTGTCTTTTTCCATGCCTGTCACATCTCTATTGCTCATTCATTTTTCTCTTTGTCCCTTATAGGGAGCATTGCCTATCTCTAGATTAAGCAAAAGTTGCATCTTAAAAAAGCACAATAACCTGCTCAACCTTTCTCACACAGAGAAATGTTTGTTAAGTAATTAAAGTGTAGATGATGATACAAAGAGCTTGATTAAATTAGATGCCAAAGCACCCTTGTGATTCAGAATATGAATGGTATTTAATTTCTTTGAAATCAATAATTGCTGAGTGACATTAATTAATGCCAATATTTCAGAAGTTGTTCTAGTTAGTGAAATGTATACAACGTGCAAAAGATTCAGAACTCTGAAGGGCAACATTATTCTATAATTAAGAATTAAGTATTAATTCACATTAGTTATTGGGGAGAAATAATTAAGAATTAATGACTGAGAAAATGTTTTCATTTTTTATTTAGAGTACTATTTTGTGCATGAGCATTACTGCAAGTTTTGCAAGAAAAATAAATTTAAAGAAACAATTATGTGCACAAGATGAATTTAATGACATCTTGATATTTTCCACGATTAGAGTTTTATTTGGTAAATGTTTAAATGCACATCAACTAAAGAGAATAAATGAATCTTGGAAATCTTGTAGGTAAGGGTAAATATTAGGATGCATCCAATTACATTTACACACACATACAATTACATTTACACCCATACATGCACACACACTCACTGATACACATGTGTGCATATATATACATGAATTTACTAATTGATTTTAACTAATATTTATAAGAACCAGTAGGATTGATATATATTGTTGAACCTGAAAAATATTTATTATATACATGTTTAAAATACACAAACAAATAGTAATTGCACTAGGCATTTGAAATTGTACTAAAATATAAGCTGTGAACATTTTTTGATCATTACAAATTCTTACACTGAATAAATATTTTTATTTTTATAATATTAATATGTTTGATACATGTGTACATTTTTTACAATGTATTATTTTATTTTTGTCATAGAGTCATGTCATGCATAATAACATTTCAGTCAAAGATGGATTACATATACAAAAGTGGTCCCAGGAGATTATAATACATATTTTTACATACTTTTCTATGTTTAAGTATGTTTAGATACATAAACTCTTATCACTGTGTTCTTATTGCCTGCAGTATTCAGTACAGTAATGTAGTACACAGGTTTGTAGCCTAGGAGAGAGGCTATACCATATAACCTAGACGTGGTAGGCTGTACAATCTAGGTGTTTGTAATATTCTCTGTGATGTTTGCAAAATGATGAAATTGCCTATGGATGCATCTGTTAGAACGTATCCCTGTCATTCAGTGATGTGTGACTGTACTAAAATGCTCAATCTAAGTTTCAGTGCCCTCCATAAAATTGTTGTACTGTGAAATACAAATCTCTCACCCATGGCCTGAATATGTTTGCAAACTAAGCAGATCATGGGAAGGAGAATGTGCTGGCATCGCTGGGATGATTTTCTCACACTACATGAATAATATCTCCAGACGTCGCGAATATGAGCCACTTGCAGAGTTAAAGTAGGCATCTCTTTGCTGGGAAATTTATCAAATGGGAGTATGAAGTGTTTTTAAAAGATACTTGTTTGTAGCCGGTAGGCCTACAGTGGCTCATGGCAATGGTTGAGGTTGCTAAGATTTGGTGGAAGGAGGCAAAATGAAATGGCCACTTATATGGTATGTGGATCACTTGTTTCTGTTGAGTTACAGATTCAGCTGGCTATTTCTCCCAATGTTAGTTATTTGGAGAAAAGAAACATGATGGTAATTTTTGGGTAACAAATACAATATTTGATGAAAGCAAATTTATTGAGGGTTAGACAAACTACAAGATACTTTAGGCTGCAAAGTCAACATGAGACTTCTGGCCCAAATTGTGCAGAGTTTGGGTCCAGCTGCAAAGATCAAAGGAAGAGGCCATATAAGATGATTTTCACTTTTGACACCAACTGGCAGTTCAGGGGTTTCCCCAGAACACCCTCAGTTTCAAGAATTTACTAGAAAGACTCACAGAACTCATTGAATGCCATTGTACTCATGGTTTATAATAGAGAAAGGGTGGAAATTAGGACTAATCAAAGGAAGAGACATATCATATAAGGTGGAATCTAGGAGGATTTTGAATGTTAAGTTTCCATTGTCTTCAGGACATATTACCTGCCATTGTTGTACAGCAAAAAACATGGAGTACTACCAACCTGGGGAGCTCACCTGATGCTAAAAAGACACTATTTAGAAAATGAAAAGACAAATGAAAGGATGAGATAAGATGACCTTCCACATTAAGGCACTGGAAAGAATAGCAAACTAAACCTAAAGCAAGCAGAAGGAAGAAAATAAAAATTAGAGAAATTAATAATTTATAATATTAATAATATTTGTTAGTATTGAATAATTGATATTAATTCTTGACTAGCTTTTTTAAAAAAGAGAAATATTCACTTCCCAATTTATTCTGTGGGGCCAGTGTTACCTTGATACAAAAATTAGTCCAAACAGCATAGAAAAATAAAACTACAAGAAGTATAAATGCAGAATTCCTTAAAAATGCTAACAAATCAAATCTAGCAACATATAAAAGAATTATACACTATGACAAAGTGAAATTTATACTAGTACTCCCAGGTTGGTTTAACAGCCCAAAATCCATTAAGGTAATACATCTTATCCATAGAATAAGAAACGAGAATTGCATGATCATCTCGATAGATTCAGAAAAGACATTTAACAAAATCCAAATGCTTTAATGATTACAAATAAAAATAAAAACTCAATGAACCAGGAATAGAGAACTTTCTACACCAGATACATGGCACCTGTGAAAAGCCAACAGCAAACATGCAACTTAATGGTAAAAGAAAGGATACTTTCCCGCTATGGCCAGAGATAAGAATAGGATATATACTTTGACCTCTTCTAGTCAACACTGTACTAAAGATTTTATGCAGGGCAAATCGGCAAGTAAAGAAATAAGAGTCACCCATATTGAACAGGAAGAAATAAAAGTTTATTTGCAAATAACATTCTTGTATATGGAAAATTTTAAGGAATCCACTGAATGGTAGAACTGGTAAATTATTTCAGCAATATTACAGCATACAAGATAAATATACAAAAATCAGTTGCACACATCTACAATGAAAACCCCAAAATGAAATTAAGAAAACACTTCAATTTACAATAGCATCAAAAAAAGAAATAATAATTAATTTGGAAAATGTGATACAAGATTTTACTCTGAAAATTAAAAATTATTGTTTAAAGAAGATCTAAATAATTAGCAAACATCTTATAGCCATGAATTGGAAGATTTAATATTGTAGTACTTCACAATTTGAACTACAGATGTGATGAAATCCCTGCAAGTATCCCAACAGACTTCTGTCTAGAAACTGACAAGCTGATCCTAAAATACACATGGAATTGTAAGGGACTCAAAATAGCCAAAATAATCTTAAAAAAAGAAAACATATTAGGATAATTCACACCCACGTGCTCCAAACCTTACTGCAAAGCATCAGTAATCAAGACAACACAATACTGATGAAGGAAAAATATATAGATTGATGGAAGAGAATTGAGAGTCCACATATAAAACTATGTATCTAGAGTCAATGGATTCTTACAGTGGTGCCATGTGCAATCCAATGAGGAAGAGACAGTCTTTGAACAAACTGGGTCAACAACGTACACGTGGATCACCACTTGCAAAATAATAAATTCGAACACTTACCCCAAAGCATACAAAAATAGTAACTCAAAGGAATTAAAGACATACATGCAAGAGCTAGAATAAAGCATATGGGAAAATCTTCAGGATTTTGGATCTAGCAAAGAAATAGCTGTAACACCAAAAACATGAGCAACAAAATAAAAATTAGATATTTAAAATTTCTTAAAAATTAAAGACATTGGTGTTTCAAAGGACAACCAAGCAAGTCAAAAGGCAGCTCAAAAATTGTGAGAAAATATTTGAAAAACACATATCTATATGTCTGTATATATACGTATCTTGAATATAGAAAACCTGTTTTAACTCAGTAACAAATATCCCAACTCAAAACTGATAAATGATGGGAATAGATGTATTTCCCAAGAAGATACACGAACGGTCAATAATCTCATAAAAAGATACTCAATAGCATCACTCATCAGGCAACTACAAATCAAAACCACAGTTAGATACTCTATGGCTACAACTGGCCACTTTGGAAAATAGTTTGATGGCTTCTAAATATATTACATATAGAATTGTCATATGACCCAGAAATTTATTCCTAGGTATACACCCAGATTATTGGAAAGAGGTGTTAAACACAAATTGTACACAAGTACTTTTAGCAGCAGTATTTAAAATAGCCAAAGGCTGAACACAACTCAAATGTCAATAAAAATATTATTGGGTAAACAAAATGTTATATCCATGAAATTGAATATTATACAGTTATAAAAAGAAATAAAGTACCAATACGTACATGAAACTTGATAGCATTATGCCAACTGAAAGAAGCCAGGCACAAAAGGCCACCTATTGTATGATTCTATTTAGATTGAAAATAGAATAGGAAAATCTATAGAGACAGAAAACAGATTTGTGGTTGCTTAGGATTGAGTAGGGGATGGGTGCATAGGAGGTTAACAGCCTGGACCGCATCTTTCTGGTGTCGCCCATCACCATCCTGCACGAGATTGACGAGGCCAGCCCGCTCTTCGGCATCAGCAGGCAGGACCTGGAGACGGACGACTTTGAGATCGTGGTCATCCTGGAAGGCATGGTGGAGGCCACAGCCATGACCACCCAGGCCCGCAGCTCCTATCTGGCCAATGAGATCCTGTGGGGTCACCGCTTTGAGCCCGTGCTCTTTGAGGAGAAGAACCTGTACAAGATCGACTACTCGCACTTCCACAAGACCTATGAGGTGCCCTCTACGCCCCGCTGCAGCGCGAAGGATCTGGTGGAGAACAAGTGCCTGCTGCCCAGCGCAACTCCTTCTGCTACGAGAACGAGCTGGCCTTCCTGAGCCGTGACGAGGAGGATTAGGCGGACGGAGACCACGACGGCCGAAGCCGGGACGGCCTCAGCCCCCAGGCCAGGCATGACTTAGACTCCAGGCTGGCGACGGGGCCCTGGAGCAGCGGCCCTACAGACGGGAGTCAGAGATCTGAGCCAACCTTGGCCGACATGCAGCATCCACCCCCAGCCGGGGAGAGGCTCCGCGGTCGCTCAGGGGCATGACCCTATGCCAGTCCTGGAGCCACCCAGAGAGGACATCTGAGGACTCTGAAGACCTTGGCTGCACTAACTTCTCTGTGCCTGTTCTCTCCTCTGTAAAATGGGGCTGATGATCATAAAGCCACAGGTAAGAAGTAGGCAACCGCCTATTGCAGCACGTGGCACATGGGCACTGCCTGAGCACCAGCTTTCCTCTCTTGCTGCCGTGATCTAGGGGTACAGGCATCCCAGGTGGGGCAACACTGGACTGGTGCTGTGGCTGGAGGAGAAAGGGAAGGCCAGTGGGGCTGGGCCAGTTAGAGCCAGGGAGGAGGAATAGGCTGGGGCTGCAGCTGGGATCTGCTGACTCCAAGTGTGATGGGAGCAAGGAAGACCCCTGACATGTTTGATTTTTCAGGATCATTCCTGTTGCCATGTAGGAAGCAGGCCAGGGAGGAGGGCCCTGGGACTAGGGTAGGAGGCTGACTGTGCAGCCCAAGAAGGAGCCCGAGGAAACATCGTGGCATCCAGGCTGGTCTGTGGACTTGGGTGGGAGCAGCCAGGCAGATGGGGAGGACTAGGGAGGAGAAGCTTGCGGAGAGTGATGGCCTCTCTGGATGCTTTAAAATGCAAACAAAGGCACAGCCACTTTGGAGGTTGGTTAGCAGGATCTAAGCCAACTGGGGCCAAAACATGGTGGCATCTGTCTCCACTCACTCCACTCCACTCAAGCCCTCCAGGCCATTCCCATGGCACTGACTGATAGGCATGAGGCCCTGGCCCCAGTTGGCGCTCAACAAATGCTTTATTCTTGATAAAGTTAAACATACACTTGTCAGACGATCCCACCTTTTGTCAACTAGGTACTACTCAAGAGAAATGAGACTCATGTTCACACAAAAACTTGTAAGTGGATGTTTATAGCAGTGTTACTAGTAATCACCCAAACAAGGAAGTGACCCACATGTGCCTCACCTGGTGAGGGGACAAGCAAGCCGTGGCCCACCCCGAGATGGAAGCATCCCAAGCAGGGAGAAGGGAGGTTATTGACACCTGGCACCACAAACATGTCCCAAAGGAAGCGGCTGAGCAGAAGGAGCCAGGCCCCACCACTTCCTGCTGTGGGTCCCACACGTGTCCATGGAAGCTGTGAACGGGGTAGGGGATGGAGAACACATCCTTAGCTGCCAGGGGCTGATGGTGGAGGTGTGGTTACCACGAGGGACAGGAGGCAGTTTTGGGGCTTTGTGTCTTGATCATGGCTACACGGATATGTGCACTTTGTCAAAACTCACAGGAGGGTGCACAGCAAAGGATGAGTATAGGTACATTACACCTTAAATTTTTTTTAAGTGGGGAAAGAAAAAGAAGTTGCCACAAAAGCCTTGTATGTTGAGCCACCAGCCTGTGTGGATTTCAGAACATTGGAGGAGAGGTCGGGTCTGTAGGTTGAGACTGGGTAGTCACCAGCTGTGGATGGAGTCAAGTGACTGAGAGATTAAAGACACCAGACATCTAGACACCGAGGATGTGGCAAGGCGAGGTTGGGAGAGGGCATGGAGGTGGAAGGCATTGGGACTGACAGAGGCAAATTGGCAGGAAGATTGACACACAGATAAAAAGAGATGGTTGGATGAGCAGAAAGTCAGGCAGAGAGACAGACGTGGACTAACAGACAGGCAGAAAGTGGAAACAGAGACAAATATCCACTAACCAAGCAACACATAGACAGAAAGATGCTGTAAAGATAGAAAGTTGTGTAAGTGGATGGTTGGAGCTAAGGGTAGCTCTCAGGTGGACACAGACAGAAATGCAGACAGATGTCTTGGCTTATGAGTGCATGAACAGCCTGCCCTGATTTTCTGGGGCATTCTGCTAGATCTTGGATCTATGGTGTTGGCATTGACTTACGTCCTCTTTGGAGTCAGAGATGACTCCTCTCGCTCAGTGCCCTGCACCACACTTCCCTTCAGCTGGGCCGGCCACTGCTGCACAAGTGGCTGCAGAAATCCCTCCTGGCAGGGACTAAGGAAGGCAGCCTGGGCTGCTGTGCACCCCAGGCCATTTTCTGAGTTGGGAAAAGGTTGCTGTCCAGGTGGTGTGGTCCGTGTAAAGGCAGTAAAGGGTTTCAAGAGGCCTGTCAGTGCATATCATCTGGAGTAGGGTGTGTGCTGGGGAGCAGGGAGGAGGAGGAGAGAGAAAGCAGGAAACTTTGAGCTTGCCTGAGGAAGACCATCCGCATGGATTGTGAAGGATGGCTCATATTGACTGTATTTTCATTCAAATGTGCAAAACTATTTACTGAATTTTTTTTACTGACTGAAAATAACTCCTGACTTACAGAATATTTTCATTTCCAAGTTACACTTTACCCTGAGTTACATAGCAGGGGCATCCGTAGTGATTCTGCACCCCACACCCTCACCAGCCCCTGGAAGACACTGGCTGGCCCTTGGCTGAAATGACCCAAATCAAAAGCCCTTGCCTTTTTGCTAATGGGCGTTGGGGAGATTGACCAGCAAAGAGCTATGGACAAGAAGCAGGACTGTACATATAAAAAGGACAAAAATCAGAGCCCAGTCCCAGGCCTGGGCAGCTCCCGTCAGCGTCCCATCCCCCTTGCTCTGAACCAGCTGTGGCCCACACTTTTTCCCATGGTCATGCCTGGGAAATGAAGGTGCGGGGACATGCAGGCGAGCTGGGGCGTGGAGTCACATCTGTTTCCAGAACATTCATGCTAAGGGAGGAACAGGGTCCGCATTGGAGAACATGGGGCGGGTGGCTGGAAAAAGGGAAGCTAGAGCCACTTTTATTGTTTCCTGGGGTAACAGAAAACTTGGAGCCGCAAGTGAGTCCTGGGAGAGTTTGGGTTAACTGGCCCCGAAGCCATCCTGTGTGTGTGTGTGTGTATGTGTGTGTGTGTGTGTGTGTGTGTGTGTGTATGTGTGTTCCACTATGTGTTTTTCCCTGTGTGGCCTCTGTGTGTGTGTGTTTGCCTGAACTGGTTTCAGTGGTGAAAATCCTGGTGCTGACATGGACAGAATCCATGAAAGCATTTCGAGTCCTAAGTCAGCTGACCTATGTTGGGATGTGGCACATGTTGCATCGTCTGCCTTTGAAAAGGGATTTTCTGCGAGGGCTTGCAATGAAGGCACTCTGATCAGAAAATGGCGGAAGGAAGTCATGCCCCCAAAAGGAGCCATTAGTGAATCCCACTATTAATTGTTAAGTCGTAGATTCTGGGCTCAATACTGCCATTTTCATGATGTTCAAGTGATATAAAGGGCCAAACAATGTGAATCTCAAAACTAATGTGGGAATAGAATACTTCCTGCTCTTTGACTGTTTGACTAAGCACATACATCAACCTTTCCATATTTTTATTTATTTTATTCTGGCTTGTTTTGGATTTAAGGGGAAACTTTCATGATAATTTTACCCTGAAGCCATTTTCCTGGAATGTGTCTAGGCAAGGGATTCCAACTGGAACCCGTGGAGGCCAGGAAAACACTAGTCATCAGGATGTACTGCTTCATCTGGGGAACACCATAAGGGACTCAACTCCAGGCACTGGTGTCTGGCTCTTGTGCATTTGCTAAATTGACATGACTCCAGGATCTGTAGCAGGCGCACACATCCTTGATGAATACAGTGAAGTCTTGTTTTTACCAGCACTCAGTTGGCCAAATATCTTTTCCAGCAATGAGATATCAGAGGACACAGTGAAGTTATTCAAATTAGGGTGGAAAAATCACCAAAATTCACTTAAAATCATGTTTATCGAAAGTCCAGTGGGATCAGGTTAGGTAGTAAATAACAATACAGAATGAATATTTTAACGAGATTACAATTTTAAGCTTGTCTTTTTTCCTTTATGTTTCATTATTTACTCATTGTACATTCACAGAAATACATTTGCTAAGCAAAGAGAATGACATTTGGAAGATAAGTGATTAAATAGTGTCTAAACTAGTTGCAACAACTGACACCACCACCAGTAACATGGGCTGTTCATTGAATTCTGGCAACAATTAAACATCTATTCATCAGTATCTAAGATAAAAAAATAAAACTTTCATCTCTAAAATAGTAAGGTATATGTTCAAACAATGCATCCTTAATTTTTTTTAGAGACAGGGTCTCACTGTGTTTCCCAGGCAGGTCTTCAACTCCTGGCCTCAAGCAATTCTCCCACCTAGGCCTCCCAAAGTGCTGGGATTATAGGCGTGAGCCACCACGCCTGGCCATCCTTAATTTTTAAGACTCCAAATTAAGTTGGAATAGACTGATATATCTAAATCAGATGAAGCATGTTTCTCTTTAAACAAGGGAACTTACAAAACAGAAGTATTTTTGTTACGTGAGCTAAGAGGCCATAAAGCCTTATTTGACAGTGTGCTACGTACCCACGATGGCAGCATGAAGACAAAAACAGTAGGAATCAAAGCAATTGTAATGTGCAGATAACATGGTTCTTTAGGGTCAAAGGAAGGCTTCCTTTGTGCTCTATTAATGAAGCATAGTATTCATGATGCATGAACGTGGAATGAAATCCGAATGTCCTTTGGCACAGAACCACACTCATTTCATGAATTGTTCATGAATTATTGATGGCTGCTTTTACAAAACCATGGCAGAATTGACTAGTTGTGACAGAGACCATATGGCCTACAAAGCCTAAAATATTTAATATCTCACCATTTATAGAAAAAGTTTGGAGATTTCTGATGTAAGCTCCAAGAAGCAGCCAACTTTGTCTGTTTTGTGCACAGACATTCTAGCTCATAAGGAAGGCACTTTTCGAATTTGTCTGTAATGGATGAATGGACAGACAGATGGGTGGATGGACACAGGGATGGATAGACAGTTCCCACACAATGTTAGAGTTGACCAATGGTCAGACCATACATTTATGGCAGCAGAATCTACAACCTCATGGGAGCTTATCCCACAGATTTCAGCCACTTACTATGAAGCAGGCTTAGAAAAGACCAAGAGTGGGGCTCTCCCAGGAAGAAGTGATAGATGTGGAGCAGGTGGTACTGATGGAAGGGGCTGAGTGGGGTCTGTGGAGGCCACCATAGTTGAGGAGGATGTGGAGGCTACAGGCGCTGATGCACAGGGGAAAGTTGGCATTAGATGCCAGCCTGCATGACCCGAGAACGCAGAGCAGCTCCCGTGATAAGGCTGTACCCAAACTCCACTTTCTAAATTTCATTTTCTGTCCCTTTCATCTGAATCATCCCTCACCTATCAAAGGACTTTTCCACCCCTGGCTCCTCCTGTGCTCGCCCACCAAATGCAAGGGAGCTGTTTGCCTCATGCTATGGGCTGTGTCCCCACAATTCATATGTTGAAGCCCTAACCCTGGTGCCTCAGAATGTGACTGCATTTGAAGATGGGATCTTTAAAGAGGTAATTAAAGTGGAATGAGGTAATGAGGGTGGCCCTAATTCAATCGGACTGATGTCCTTATAAGAAGAGATTAGGATGAAGGTGTGCACAGAGGGTCAACCATGTGAGGACACAGGGAGAAGATGGCCATCTACAAGCCAAGGAAAAGCCTGAGGTGACACCGTTTCCCAGGATCCCCGTGGCAGACTGATTGCATTTGATCACTTCCAGGATGAAGAGGGTAGCAAGATGTTCTCCCTGGAAGAGGCACTTACTCTGAATATGGGCTTATCTTCTCTGCCCGCAATCCTTCCATGGAAGTACGATCTGTTAACCACAAACCTTTTCACCATCATGGTGTCCCACTCAGAATTGCTCTGACTCAGGAAGCTACTTTATATCAAAGGAATGTGGCAATGGGTCAGTGCTTGTGGAATTCACTGATGCTGCCTTGTTCCCTGCCTTCCAAAAGCAGCTGATCTGGGAGAATAGTGGAATGGAGATTTTTCTCTCTGAGGCAAAGGAAAAAAAAAAAGAACTTTACCTGATTATGACTTTCTCTCAATAGAAGCACCATATTGCCAAATGCTGCAGACACTAATACGAATGGATGACAAGGCAGCAGTCCTTGCCAGCACACTCAAGCAGGGTCAGAGAAGACACATTGCAGTGGGTGGAATCACGGCCCCTGAATTATCCAGGCCCTCGCCCCTGGAACCTAGGAAAGTTCCCTGACACAGAGAAAGGATCTTTACAGATGTGATTTAAATTAAGGTCTTGAGAAGTGGGGGATTATGATAGATGACCCAGGTGGTCCTAAATGCAATCACATGTGTCTTTATCAGAGGGAGGCAGAGGGAGATTTTACTACAGACAGAAGAGGAGGTGGCCATGTGACCATGGAGGCAGAGGGTGGAGGTGGCCAGCAGCCACTAGAAACTGGAGGAGGCGAGGATTGGGGTCTCCCGGAGCCTGTGGAGGGAGCGCGGCCCTGCTGACACCTTGATTCCAGCCCAGTGAGGCAGGTTTAGGACTCCTGGCCTCTGAACTGTGACAGAATAAATATTTATTGTCTTCAGCCACCAAGTTTCTGGTAATTTGTTACAGCAACCACAGGAAATGAATATATCCATGCCAAAATTAATACATGCATTCCATTTTATATTCTTTTCCAACCTTAAAATAAAACCAACAAGTGCTTCCAGATTTTCTTTTATACTTCTCTTTGTGCATTCAGTTCAGTAAATGTTCAAAAGGATAATACATTTATAAAATGTGATGCCAAATTGCATAAAATTGACCAGACTGAAGGGGAAAATTTACCATTTTATGAAATAAAATATAATTTACAGATGACCAGCATTAATTTATATCATGTCCTGCTTTGGGCTTCCAAATTCTGTTGGCAATTTTACCCTGGAAAAATATCATGAACCAAATAGGAAAACTGGTATTCTAAATACATTTCCTTCATGTGACACACTTCTTGTGTGTGGATGTAATGAGAATTCAAAAAAAGAAAAAAAATGACGTGTTTTTATTCCTCCCTTTATTGCCAAAATTTAGGCAGCAAAAACAGGCACCAAAGGAATGAGTTAAGACAGATTTAGAAGAGGACAAGTGGAAGCCAGGCAGGGCAGAATTCTAAGATGAGGGTCAAGATCCTCACCCTCCTCCTTAGCGGTGGCCCTGGGATGTGATGCGATGTCACTCCCGTGGTTATGGCACATTACATGGCAAAGACGATTTCCACAGATGCGGAGATACAGGCTCTTCTCCTGATGGTCTTCAAGGGGAAAAAGCCATGTTGTGGAGACAGCCACCTGGCAGGGAATGGATAGGCTTTAATCCTTCTTTAAATGTTTGGTAGCATTCAATAGGGGAGAATGCTGTAGTTTGCATGTTTGACCCCTTAAAAGTCTCATGTTGAAATTTATCCCCAGTGTTGGTGATGGGGCCTAATGGGAGGTATTTGGGTTATGGGGGTGGATTCCTCATGAATAGATTAATGCTTTCCCTCAGGGTGAGTGAGCTCTTGTTCTACTAGTTCCTGGGAGAGCTGGTTGTTAAAAGGAGCCTGGCACCTCCTCCCTCTCTCTCTTGCCTCCTGTCTTGCCCTGTGACCTTTGTGCACACTGGCTCCCCTTTCCCTTCTGCCACGAGTGGAAGCTCCTTGAGGCCTCACCAGAAGCAAATGTTGGTGCCATGCTTCCTATACAGGCTGCAGAACTGTGAGCCAAACAAATCTCTTTTCTTTATAAATTACCTAGCCGCAGGGATTCCTTTATAGGAGCACATAACAGACTAAGGCATTTGCTGTTTTGTATAAATGGAATCACACAACATGTGGCCTTTTGTGACCGGCTTGTTTCACTTAGCATCATTTTTTCAGCATTCATCCATGTGGTCATGTGTATCAGGACTGCATTCTTTTTATGGCTGAATAACAATCCATTGTATGTACACACCATATTTGATGCACTCCTCACTCCTTCATCTGTTGCTGGACACTTGGGTTGTTTACCCCTTTTGGCTGTTATGAATAATACTGCTATTAACACTGGCATGCAAGTATCTGTTTGAGTCCCTATTTTCAATGCTTTTGGGATTATACCTAGGCATGGAAATGCAGGGCCATATGGTAATTCTATGTTTAACTTTTTGAGGAAACTCCATGCCGTTTGCCACAGTGGCTGCACCATTTTCCATTCCCACCAGCAATATACAAGAGTTTCAATTTCTCCACATCCTTGCCAACACTTGTTATTTTCCATTAAAAACATTACAGGCATCCTAGTAGGTATGAAGTGCTATCTCATTATGGTTTTGAGTTTCATTTCCCCAGTGACAAAAGATGTGAGAATCTGGTGGCCCAGTGGGCTGAGCGATCTGCTGGGCTGGATGGTGGGGAGGGTTCACCTGCCTCCTTTGTCCCCTCCCAGAGCTCAGGATGCTTTGTGATGTGGGCCTAAACTCTAGTCAGGAGAGCACATTCTCTGCTCAGGTGCTTGAGGTGGCTGTGAGCTTCAGATGATGAAGAATTTTGTTTGGTTTCTTCTGCATTTTAGTGAGCCCTGGAACTTTGGTTCCATTTTTTCATTTGTATGGAGTTGGGATCATCTTTCTGCTATCTGACTGCATTCGGTGGTGTCCACATTTGCCAGTTTGGAAAAAACAAGTACCCAAATCAGATAATGAAACCCAAGGGCTGCCCACTGAAGCAGTAGGCTTTCATCTTCCCTTCCCAACTCCCATTTTTCTAAATCTATTATTGGGATGGAAACACCTAGGGATGGGGACTCTTGGGAGATTTAAACATCAGTAGTCTAGAATAGGTTGAGCAGGGCAGTAGTCTAGAGTAGGTTGAGCAGGGACCCCCTGCTAGGCATGGGGCAGGCTTCCAGGGCTAAGCCCCACACTGCAGTGCAGGCTGTGGACTAGCTTCCCTGCCCCCTGCCACCTGCCCAATGCAGGAGTCTCTGGGCCATGCCATTCCCTTTTGGTGGGCTGGGCTGGGTAGTGCTGCTGGCCTCTGGCAGGCTGGTGGGACCCACAGGAGCTGTCTCAGGGGCTGGACCCTGCAGAATGCAGCCTACATGTGCCTGAACAGCTGAGATTCCATGCCCCACAATTTAGAAATCCATGTAGAAAAGAATTGTTTATTTGAGATTGGTGGAGAAGGATCAGAAGACCATATTTTTAAAACCAATGTATATATATGTATGTATGTATGTATTTTTTATTTAGTTTTGCACCTACACTATACACAGGATCAATCAATTTTAAAAATGAATAACACGGAAACGAGACAGATCTCAATGAAACCCATGTAAGATTATTGATCACATGATTCTTAATCACGCTCTCTCAGGATCTCAAACTCACCAAAATTGACCTGCCTCCTGGATTCCGTGGTGAACAGGCTGTGAGAGTGTCCCTTCTGGTTCTGCTCACAGGCTACAGAGGGCAGTAAACAGGAGGAGAATCTGTCATTGACTCAAGAGCAGCCAGAGACCCTTAGCAGTGGAGGGAGAAATAGGTGTACGGGACTCAAGACCCCTTGCCCAGGAAGATGAGCAGGTCCTGCACCCCAGTTCCTGCCATGGGGTCCAATAAGAGGAACTTAGTGTCAGTGATTTCTTCTTCTGAAGAGAGGGAAGGGTAAGACTAGCCATGGCATGAAGCCTTGGGCAGAGCCCAGGCACACTGAGCAGCAGAGCCATCTCTTGGGTAAAGGGCATATGGACACCCAGAGACAAGTGAGCCATTGCCTGGAGCCTCCAGAGGACGGCAGGCTCATGCCTGGAGCCAACACAAGGAAAAGAAGTCCACCCAAGGGGGTGCTCAAGTCCCAGGCAGAGCCACCCTGTGATTACAGGGCACCCACCTCCCCGAGCACAGCAGAGGGCAGAGGGCTGCAGCTCTGTGCACCTGAGTGTCAGAGAGCTCCACACAATAAGGTCACAGGCAGCGCCCGAGAAACCAAGCAACCTTGCAGTCACCCACTCCCAGGCTTCTAGGGAATGTTTTCCCAGCCAGATCCTGACAGCCCGGACCAGAGCAGCAGGGCCATGGGCCATGCTCACACATGGCAGTTTCCTTGAGTCACCCAGAAAGTCCTCCCCCATCCTCAATCCCAGCAAAATGATGGCCTTACTTCTCACTACCAGCCACGATGAATCTTCCTGAATGGATACATTTATTTACCAAGGAAGGACAGTGTTTTTTCCTCTTTGTGCTGAGTTTGGGGGAAGTTTAGAATATCCCAGGAAATGGAGCTGAGGGAAAAGGTTGGCTTCAGCTCTTTCAGAGAGCCGGCTTGGACTTCTGGAAACTGACCAGCACCTGGCAGGGGGTTTGAAGCCAGGTGGGACACCCATGGTCATCCCAGGTTTCTTCACTTGTTTCTGTGAATACTGCCTTTAGGAAACCAATACAAAAAACAAAAAACAAACAAACAAAAAAACAAAAAACAAACCCAAGCACTCAGGGACTTAGAAAGTGAGAAGACTCATCAAAGAACAAGCATCAGGACCTGGTCTTGTCAGTCCTTCCAGGCCCTCGTTCTACTGAACTGCATAGCCACCAGGGTGCCAGGGCTGCACGGGAACCAGACAGTCACAGTTCTATTGTTCAGTCTCCAGGACAAAAAGAAACCAGAACCTTTACATATCCTGAACGTGGAACTAAGATTTGGGAGTCTTGAGGCTCTAAGTTCAGAAGGGTGATGAACAATGGCCATGACTGAATATTTGGGAGGAGAATTGCTTTCACGTGTCCCCAGAGATCCCATCCACCCCAGTTGGAAGCTGGGGACACCAGCACTGTTTCCCGACTCTTAGCTTAGGCTCAGCTGACCCCGAGCTTCCCCTGCCCCTCCCTGTATGGGAACCCAGCACTCCTGGCCCAGCCTGTGTCTTGACAGTGGGGAGGGAGGCTGAGGGGCAGGCAGGAAGGGCAGAGCCCTGGCACACCTGGCAGTGGAAGGAGAAGCTGTTACTAGGCAGGGCAAAGAGCACAGGGAGCCCCACAGTTCTTCAAGTAGCACTCGCTTGCTCTCCAGCAACTGGAAGGAGCCGATGCCATGCTGGAGACATGGAAATTAACTCACAGCCCACCACCTTCCCCCAACCACAAGACAGCCCTGCCTGAAAGTAGGCATACTTACCTTAAAAAAAAGCTCATATGGACAGGCAAAGGAACTGGCAAAGCTAATGCAATTTTGAAAAACAAGGCCAGGGGAGGTGGCTCATGCCTGTAATCCCAGCACTTTGGAAGGGTGAGGTGGACAGATCACTTGAGACCAGCAATTGGAGACTGGCCTGGCCAACATGGCGAAGCCCTGTCTCTACTAAAATCACAAAAATTAGCTGGGCCTGGTGGCACACACCTGTAATCCCCGCTACCCGGGAGGCTGAATCGCTTGACCCCAGGAGGTGGAGATTGCAGCGAGCCAAGATTATGCGCTCCAGCCTGGGCAACAGAGCGTGACTCTGACTCAAAAAAAAAAAGAAAGAAAGAAAACAATAATAAAGTTGTCCCTATTTCAACACTTTTAACACAGTGAATAAAGACTGTGCCCATAGGCAGAGGGACAGACACTTCGATCAACAGGACAGAATGGAGACCTAAATTAAAGTGCCCAAGTGATTTTTGACAAATGTGCTCAAGCAATTCATGGGAGGAAAGGTGGCCTCTCTGTCACAGGGAAGTAGGGAAATCGCACATCACAGGCACAGCAAGCAGGCAGGCAGAGAGAGAGCTCTTGACCTAGACTCTGAAGCCTCACCATGTACAAACATTCACTCGAGGTGGATCACACACTTCAATGTGAAATGCAAACCTGGAAAATTTTAGGGAAAAGGATTCTAAGAGAAAAGTTAGGTATCTAGGGCTAGGTAAAGATCTTTGAAAGCTTGACCACAAAAGCACGATCTGTAAAGAGAAGTGGATAAATTGGAAGTCATCAAAATAACTCATGCTCTATGAAAGACCCTCTTAAGAGGATGAAATGACTAAACACAGACTGGGAGTCTGATCCAGGACTCACATCCAGAACGTATAAAGAAACTCTTCAATAACTTGATTGGGCCTCCCCTCCCTGCCTAGAAGTTCCCAGGCTCCTGGGCGCCCCCTTGGAATTAGAGAATCTTTCGGGGTCCCCGGAGTGACTTTCCTTCCTGCATGTATGACAGGAAGGGGAACCCAGGCAGGAATTTACAGACACTGTACTCGTCCTAATGGAATGGGCATCTATTGCATGAGACACACCACAAGCCACTGCCCAACAGCAGAGAGACTATGGCAAGGACAAGAGGGACATGCTGCATGGGGCAGGTTGCAGGCCAGAGTGCAGCCATGCTCTGGGGCCTCCCGGGGAGATGGGGTGCACGTCCAGGTGGGAGAAGTGAGCTTTCAGGACAAGAGGAGGGATGGCTTTCCAGGGCTGGGACCAATTCCTTCCTCATCTTCCATCTCTCAATTCCACATTCTTCCTCCTCACTCACCACAGTCATGGGGGCTGAATTTCTGAATTCCTAAGACTCTCCTCTCCCGGGGAACTGGTGGCTGTCCTGCCCACCTCTCGGATGGCTCCTCCCATCCCTGGCCACATCCACCTCTGGATGCTTCTTGCCGTCACACAGTCTCACAGCCAGCCCTGCAACTGAGCGCCCACAGTGTTTAGAATCCTGCAGCCGCTGGCCCCAGGCTTTGACTCCATGGGCTGAGGCCTTTAAGGACATCAGCAGGACCAAGCCAAAGGAGTGCCGCCCACCCAGCCAGAGAACACTGATGCAGGGAGATGGAAATAGGATTTAGTTACTGAGACCTTGTTTACACAAAAATATTCTAAGAGAACTCATAGATTGGAGGGAGTAAACCTGTCTCTGTGGCCCATGGAGAGCGGCTCAGGACAACTGGGGTCATGGAGAGGAGCCAGGAGCAGAGGATGAAAAGCAGGAAGTTTCAATGTATGTGGTTTAAATGGCCTGGCTCAGCAGGACCCCAGGGGTTCCAAGTCCACTCCTGGTGAGGCCCTGAATAACTCGTCTCTGCAGGCAGCAGGGAGCCACTGCAGGTGTGGGAGGGAGGGAGGGTCATAATGAATAGCGGGTTTGAGAGATTCCTACAGCGTTTTCTTCCTAATCTCATGATGGGGTTAGGTAAGCAGCCTCGGCCTCAACCCCGCTCCTGCTGCCGCCTCTGCCCTCAGATTCTGCCTCTGGGTCTCCAGGCAGAGGTGCTGCTGCCCCGGAGAGGGTGCTTGACCTTCCAAGGGTTCCCGCTGCTCAGAGGCACACAATTTAGCATATAATTAGAGCATGGAACAGGGAATACTGTGCTAGTTCCTGGGAAACATTTCTTCTGGGCACAGTCCGCTGCATATGCTGCAATTGCACTCAATGGCCCACCCACAGGCTTTGATATCACAGATCCATTTTAGATCCTTTCTCAGAAAGGAATGGAAAGAAAAGAAAGTTGAATGCAAATTAAGTACACTCTGTCACAGCCTCGCTATCAGGGTTTCCTGGATCTACAGCACATAAACCTTTCAAACATCACACTGACTACAAAGCAGTCATCGGAATGATACTTTTGCCAAATATTCAAAGAAAAGAAGCGCAAAGCATTGACAAAGGTTCCAGAGGGTGCAAAGAAAGCCTTTTTATTGCTAGGCATAAAGCTATCACAAAGCAACAGGGCTGTGAGGGTCCCCAGAACAAATTAGTACATACAAAAAGACTAAGTTGCTCCCTTCCACTGGAGCTAGGAACACCTTGAAAAAAACGAACTGGGGTTGAAGGCAGATAACTCAATTACATATATCTATATCTACACACACACACACACACACACACACACACACACACACATATTTTGCCAGATCTAAAATATACTACAAAGTGTCTCTACTAAAGCCATAATATACAGCACAGCAATAGACCAGCTGACCCATGAAGACTACAAAGCCTGGAAATATCCCAGCTATGTGTGGGAATTTGGTATATGATAAAGGCATCATGTCAAATCACTGAGGAAAAGATGGACTTTTAAATAAATAGTGTTGGGGAAACTAGATGGCCATACTGAAAACAATGAGATTGGGTACACATCTCACATGTCACACAAGATCAAACTCTAATTGACTGGAGATTTAAATGTGGAAACTGAAACCATGTAAGAACCAGAAGCGAACATGAGTAATTCTGTGAAAACCTGGGTATAGAGAAGGCTTTCATCATTATGCTTCAAAGAATCTGATGCACTCACAGAATGAACTAGCAAATTAATACATAAATATTAAGCGAAACCTTTTTACATGGCCAAAAACACCATAAATGACAGCAAAATACAAGTAAAAAATTGGGAGACAATGTTTGCAGCAGATAGGAGGTTAATCTAGCTAATATTTAAAAAGTCTTGAAATTGACGGAATAAAAAGAAAAATGTGAATACAAATGGTCCTTAAAGCATCTCTTTGAATATTTGCAGCTCAGATGCAGAGACCCTAGGGAATCCTGCTGTTGGCCACCTGCAGGAGGAAACGAAAATGAGACTGCTCAGGACTGCGGGGTGAGCCCTACAGTTCTCCCTGGACATGGCCTGTTCAGATTCAAACCCAACCCACACCCCAGGTGTATAGAAGCCTGGTGAGGGCAGGAGGGGGCAGAGAGGGTCCACAGAACGTTCAAGTCCACCAGATGTGGCCCACCCTGAGGGCCGGGATCCCAACCTAGGCACTTGGTGGCTGAGGAAACCATGGTGGGTATTTGGATGACTCTGCCTGGGCCTGTGTCCAAGGATGCAAATGACCACCCTCAGTGATTCCACCAAGGCCAGGGAGTCCTCACCTCGGTCGGGGAGCAGCAGGTGGCAAATTGGAGCCCTGGCTGGGCAAACAGGAGCCTTGGCTGAGTTAGTGTGACCCAGGATGAGTCAAGGCTGAATGAGTTGGGTGTCCAATCCTCTTGCTGGTGGGTGGAGGTCACATCCCCTCAACTGGAAACAGGGCGGGCTCTGAGACAGCTGTGCCCACTGAAGGGCAGGGAAAGATTCACCTGCTGGTTTCTGGCCCAGGACTGAGACACTGGCACCTTTCCCTGCCTGTCTCTTGGGACTTTCTTTTCATGATCCCTGAGCCTCCATGGAAGAAGTCCAACCACCTGAGACCAGCAGGCTGGAGGCCAGGTGCAGGTTCTCTGGAAGCAACCCTTCCAAGGCACGAGTGCAGCCATCCAGGTCTGAAACCAGCCCAGAAACCACTGAAAACCATCATGTGTCCCAGGTGGAGACCACATAGAGCAGAAGAATTTTACAGGAAAGACTTGGGATTTCTAGAAGTATTCTTGGTATGACGGTCATACAAGTCCATAGAAAGACGCACAGGTATTATAATGGTTGAGTTTGTTCCATGGAAACAGTGGGACTAATTATAAATCTCATTAAAGGATATGAGCGAAGACTGAGGACCAAACTCCTGTAGAGGTTAAGTGTGTGTACATAGATCTTCTATTTACTTAGAACTCTTCAGGAAATTTGCATGAGAAATGGCCAATGATTATCTCTTGGAATGAGAGCCAGAGGTGATGAATGGCATTTTATTTTGATTTTACACACTCTTCACTGTATGATCATTTTATACTAAATATGCATAATAGAAATAAAATCTTCTGATAATTATTCACATAAATATGAGATCCACAATACGAGAGATAAAAACATCTAAAAACAAAAGAGACCCAGGAAATTGCATCATATGTGATCCAATCCTATCACTTTAAAATTATCCAAAGGAATTATGCACATTTGCTAAGATTTTAAATAATGTGACTCTTCTCAGTTCTCTATAAGTGTGACAAATTGGAAGTATGACATTGATCTCACACTGAATCTTGTATAAAAACCACGAACTCTAATGCAATGATTTTTATATTAAATTTACTTACATAATTAAACATATCAAGGAATTAAAGGCAGGAGTATTGTCATCTGGAATCAGAAGAGCTCACAGCCATCTCCACTGTTGATTGAAGATTTGAGTGAGGGGACTTAGAGACTGAGTCAGTGGGCTGGGGTCTAGGCTTCACTCCTTTTTGGATCAGGTAACTTTAACTTTGTGTCTGTTTCATTGTTTATTTAGCACTGCTGATACAAACACAGAAGAGCAATTGATCCTCACTGGTGTTCTTCAGGGACAGCTGGTGGTAGGTGAGGGTGAGCTGGGAGGAAGGTGGCATTTTGGGAGAGAAAGAGTGTCCACTCCCCAAGCAGTTTGATTTTCTGGGGCTGTCCCTTTGACACCAAAGATGAGCCCTTACTGTTCTTTTCTATTTCTCTAAGCTCCCTCTGATAATCACAGGTTAAGAATTTTTTTTTGTAATAGTACTAATTATAATAAACTTTTGATTTTACTGCCAATTTAAAAAATTATATTTCATTTTTCTCCATTCACAGGAGCAAATCTGTGAACACATGCTTTGCCTGTATTGAATATGCTCTTGTTCTATGTATTCTGCTTTCATGAATCTAGTTGCGCAGTATTTAATTTTTACCCCTTATTGATTACAAATACCATTTCAAGGAAAGCACAGTTTTTTCAGTCTTGAAGGAGAAAAGGGCTTTCCACAGGTAAGGCAGGTGGGAGTGAGATCAAGTTAGGATGTTGACCAAGAATGGTTTACACAGCAAAGCAGTGCTTACGACTACAAAGGTGCTTGCAGGCATCTGTCTGGAGGTCTCCTCAATAGCAAAGCTCCTATCCTGCCCTTTAGATTAATGCTTTTAGAGCCTCACTCCATTTCCCTGGAGGCTTGGACTTTCTCAATTTTTTCACTTCTGGCCACCTTGTGCAGATGTTTCCAGAATGGGGAATCTTTATTCCTGTTTCTGCCCAAGATCATTCCTGGGTAGTTCTACTATAGTTTGGATATTTGTTTCCTCCAAATCGTATGTTGAAATTTATCCTCAGTGTTGGAGGTGGGGCCTAAAGGGGGCAGATCCTTCTTGAATGGATTTAATGCCCTCCCTCAGGGGTGAGTGAGCTCTTGAGCTCTATTAATCTCGGGGAGAGCTGGTTGTTAAAAAGAGCCTGAACATCCCCTGTCTCCCTTGCCTCCTGTCTCAGCATGTAATCACTGCACAGGCCAGCTTCCCTTCCCCTTCTGCCACAAGCAGAAGCCACTTGAGGCCTCACCAGAAGCAGAGCAGATGCCAGCATCATGCTTTCAGTGCAGCCTGCAGACTGTGAGCCAAACAGACCTCTTTTCTTCATAAATTACCCACTCTCAGGTGTTCCTTTATAGCTACACAAAACAGACCAAGACAAGCTCCCTGCCTCCATTTGTCACAACCGTTGAGACACTTGTTTTCTTGGTTTTGTTTGTCTTAGTTGTTTTTGACTTTGCCTGGTCTTCTTCCTCAGTTGTTATCTATATTTAGGAGCATGTATTTCACAGGGATAAAATATTCACTAACGAATACTTCTATTTTATTTTCACCCACATTTTAAAAAGATACAATTCTCCCTTTTGTAGTAGCAAATGTAGGAGATTTTCATTACTAAATGGCATTTTATACATTTTTCTTATAGGAATTGATTGATGTACGTATTTCTAACTTCCTATATGGATCGCTTCCTCACATTTTCTTACCTTAAAGAATGACTTTTGTAGTTCTTGACAGATGAAAGGGCTTTTCTCAGAGACTGTAGCAGGAAGACAGGGCAGGTGTGGGAGTTCCTTAGAAGGGGAGGGCTGGGGCAGCAAGTTGCATGACACCTCCTCAGCTGGCTCCTGGGAATGAAGACAAGAGGCTGTTTAACTACAGACACACTCAGCACCATGAGAAAGCTAAAACAAACAAACAAAAAGCTACAGGCATATCTTGGAGATATTGCAGGTTTGGTTCTAGGCCACCACAATTAAGAGAGTCACACAAATTTTTTGGTCTCCCAGTGCATATAAAATTATGTTTACATTATATGGTAGTCTATGAAGTGTGCAATAGCATATGTCTAAAACAGTGTACACACCTTAATTAAAAATACTTTACTTCTAAAAAATGCTAACAACCCTCTGAGCCATTAGCAAGTTGTAATCTTTTGGCTGCAGAGCCTTGCCTCAGTGTTGATGGCTACTTACTGATCTGGGTGGTGGTTCTGAAGGTTGGGGTGGCTGTGGCAATTTCTTTTTTCTTTTTTCTTTTTTTTTTTTTTTTTTTAGAGACAGGGTCTGGTTCTGTCACCCAAGCTGGAGTGCAGTGGTGCAATGACAGCTCACTGCAGCCTCAAACTCCCAGGCTCAAGCGATCCTCCTGCCTTAGCCTCCTGAGTAGGTGGGACCACAGGTACATGCCACCATGCCTGGCTAATTTTTAAATTTTTTTTTTTTGTAGAGATGTGGCCCTTCTATGTTGCCCAAGCTGGTCTTGAACTCCTGGCCTCAAATGATCCTCCCATTACCTGAAGTGCTGGGATTACAGGTGTAGCCACTGTGCCCAGCCTGTGGCAATTTCTTAAAATAAGACAATGATGAAATTTGCCACATTGATCGACCCTTCCTTTCACTAAAGATTTCTCTGTAGCATGCGATGCTGTTTGATAGCATTTGACCCACAGAAGATCTTCCTTCAAAATTTGAGTCAATCCTCTTAAATCCTGCTGCTGCTTTATCAACTAAGTTTATGTAACATTCCAAATCCTTTGTTGTCATTTCAAAATGTTCACAGCATCTTCAGCAGAAGCAGATTCTATCACAAGAAATCACTGCCTTTGCTCATCCATCAGAAGCAACTCTTCATCAGTTAATCATGAGATTGCAGCAATTCAGTCTTATCTTCAGGCTCCGCTTTTAATTCTAAGTTCTCTTGCAATTTCCACTACATCAGAAGTAACCTCCACTGAAGTCTTGAACCCTTCAAAGTCATCCATGAGGGTTGGAATCCACTTCTTCCAAACTCCTGTTAATGTTGACATTTTGACCTTCCATGAATCATGAATGTTCTTAACAGCATCTAGAACAGAGACTCCTTTCCAGTAGGTTTTCAACTTACTTTGCCTGGATCCATTAGAGGAATCATGATCTATAGCAGCTATAGCCTTATGAAATATATTTCTTAAATGATAAGGCTTGAAAGTCTAAAACTACCCCTTGATCCATGGGCTGCAGAATGGATGTGTGTTAGCAGGCATGAAAACAACATTAATCTCCTTGTATATCTCCATCAGAGCTTCTGAGTGACTACGTGCATTGTCAATAAGCAGCAATATTTTGAAGAGAATCTTTTTTTCTGAGCAATAGGTCTCAATCACAGGCTTAAAGTGTTCAGTAAACCATACTGTAAACAGATGAGCTGTCATCCAGGCCCTGTTGCATTCACAGAGCACAGGCAGAGTTAATTTAGCTTAATTCTTAAGGGCCCTAGGATTTTCAGAATGGTAAGTGAGCACTGGCTTCAACATAAAGTCACCAGCTGCATTAGCCCCTAACAAAAGAGTCAGCTTGTCCTTTGAAACTTGGAAGCCAGGCATTGACTTGTCCTTTCTAGCTATGAAAGTCCTAGGTAGCATCTTATTTCAATAGAAGGCTGTTTCATCTAAATTGAAGATGTGTTGTTTAGTGTAGCCACCTTTATCAATGATGTTATCTAGATCTTCTGGAGAACTTGCTGCAGCTTCTACATCAGCACTTGCTGCTTTACCTGGCACTTTTACGTTATGAAGACAGCTTCTTTCTTTCAGTCTCATGAACAACCTCTGTTAGACTTCAACTTCTCTTCTGCAGCTTCCTCATCTCTCAGGGTTCATGGAATTGAAGAGAGTTAGAGTCTTGCTCTGGATGAGGCTTTGACCCACAGCTGGTTCCACACCTCTAAAACTTTCTCCAGCCCAGCAATAAGGTTGTTTTGCTTTCTTATCATTCTTGTGTTCACTGAGTAGCACTTTTCATTTCTTTCAAAAACTTTTTTTTTTTGCATTCACAACTTGGCTAAATGTTTAGCACAAGAGGTCAAACTTTTGGCCTATCTTGGCTTCCAACATGCCTTCCTCACTAAGCTTAATCATTCCTAGCTTTTGATTTAAAGTGAGAGCTGTGTGACTCTTCCTTTCCCCCTGATCACTTAGAGGCCATTGTAGGGTTATTAACTGGCCTAATTTCAATATTGCTGCATCTCAGGGAATAGGGAGGCCCGAGGAGAGGGAGAGAGATGGGGAATGGCGACTGATGGAGCAGTCAACACACAACATTTATTGATTAAATTTGCCATCTTATATGGACTTGGTTCATGCCTCAGAACAATTACAATAGGAACATGAAAGATCACTGATCACAGATCACCATAACAGAAATAACAATAATGAAAAAGTTTTAAATATTGTGAAAATTACCAGAGTGTGACACAGAGGCAGGAAGTGAGCACATGCTGTTGGAAAAACAATGACAGATTTGCTTGATGCATGATTACCACAAACCTTCAATTTGTAGAAAGCACAATATCTGTGTTAACTCCTGTTTCTCTGGAATTGTCTCACAAACTTCAGGTTGTCAATGAGAGACTGCTTGGAGGCTAAGCCTGCTCTGAGGGGCTGCAGCTACCCTGCCCCTGGCAGTGTCTTTGACTGCAAGGCGTGGATAAAGCCGGAGATTTTTCGATGGAGCAGAGGCCAGCTGGGTGGTTGCACTGACTCGTGATAACCCTGGTGGCAGTGCTGGAGGCCGGTGAGGTGGTGAAGGGCATGGCACTTCGGACATGGGCCCTTCTTACATGCAGGACCTCCTGGGGTGCAGAGGCTAATTTCATCTTGTATGGATGATGTTCCTCTTCCTCTGTCACCAGAGATGAGATTTCGTGTTCAGATCTGGCCCCCATGAGAGTCATGTCATCTGCGCTGTTTTTTATTTTGTTCTGAGCTTCCCACTGTGCGCTATGGCTGGTATTTCCCCAGTCCATGGCTGTGATTACATCTCTGATACACAAATTAGCTACAGCAGCCTTGTTTCCAGGGGTGACCTGGAAATGGAGAGGATGCTTGAAGTCCTTGCTGCACATGATGCAGAAGCCCCATGGTCCTGGGCCCTGAGGGACTGTCTACTGGGTTGTCATGGCATGGGGACAGGCTTGTAGGACAAGAGCACTGGTCATACCAAGAGAACCTGCTCTGAAAATTGAATTTTCCACAAGCCTAGCTGTAACCCAAGGACCAGTTTAAGCTCATATTTCCTCAAACACACTGCCCTGACTCAAAGACAAACCTTACCTCCAGCTGTCACTCACCAGTCAGAGCTTGCCAGCTCCCAGAAGCTTCTTCAGAGCCAATGTGCTTTCTTTCCAAACAATATCTAACATTTCTCTAATAAAACTCTCACCTTTCTTTTTTTAAAAAAACTTTTAATTTAGGTTTGAAGGTGCATGTTCAAGTTTGTTATCAGTTTACGTAGGTGAACTCGTGTCATGGGTGTTTGTTGTACAGATTTTTTTCATCACCCAGGTATTAAACCCAGTAACCACTAGTTATCTTTTCTGCTCCTCTGCCTCCTCCCACCCTCCAGCCTCAGGTAAGCCCCATTGTGTGTTGTTCCCCTCTATGTGTCCATGTGTTGTGATCATTTAGCTCCCACTTATAAGTGAGAACATGTGGTGTCTGGTTTTCTGTTTCTGCCTTAGTTTGCTAAGGATAATGGCCTCCCACTCCATCCATGTTCCTGAAAAAGACGATCTCATTTTTATGGCTGCATAGTATTTCATGGTGTATATATGCCACATGTTCTTTATCTAATCTGTCATTGATGGTCATTTAAGTTGATTCCATGTCTTTGCTATTGTGAATAGTGCTGCAATGAATATTTGTGTGCATGTGTTTTTACAGTACAATGATTTATATTCCTCTGGGTATATAAATCCCAAATGGGATTGCTGAGTCAAATGGTAGTTCTGTTTTTAGCTCTTTGAGGAATTGCCACACTGCTTTCCACAATGGTTGAACTAATTTGCACTCCCACCAACAGTGTACAAGCGTTCCCTTTTCTCCAGCATCTGTTATTTTGTGACTTTTTAATAATAAGCATTCTGACTTGTGTGAGAAGATATCTCATTGTCGTTTTGATTTGTGTTTCTCTAATGATCAGTGATACTGAGCTTTTTTTTCATATGCTTGTTGGTCATATGTATTCTTTTGAAAAGTGTCTCTTCATGTCCTTTGCCCAGTTTTTAATGGGGTTGTTTTTCTCTCGTAAATTTCTTTAAGTTCCGTAGAGATGCTGAATATTATGTCTTTGTCAGATGCATAGTTTGCAAATATTTTCTCCTATTCTGTAGGTTTTCTGTTTACTTTGTTGATGGCTTCTTTTGCTCTGCAGAGGCTCTTAAGTTTAATCAGATTCCATCTGTCAAATTTTGCTTTTGTTGCAGTTGCTTTTGGTGTCTTCATCATGAAATTTTTGTCCATTTCTATGTCCAGGACGGTATTGCCTACGTTGTCTTCCAGGGTTTTTACAGTTTTGGGTTTTACATTTTAGTCTTTAATCCAGCAGTCCACAACCTTTTTGGCACCAGGGACTGACTCTGTGGAAGACAATGTTCCCACAGAGAGCAGTAGGCAGGGAGATGGTTTCGGGATGAAACTGTTCCACTTCAGATCATCAGGTATTAGTTAGATTCTCAAAAGGAGTGTACAACCTAGATCCCTCACATGTGCATTTCACAATAGGGTTTGCGCTCTTATGAGAATCTAATGCTGCTGCTGATCTGACAGGAGGTGGAGCTCAGGTGGTAATGCCTGCTTACCAGCCACTCACCTCCTGCTGTGCGACCTGGTCCCTAACAAGCCACAGACTTGTACCAGTCCATTGCCCAGGGGTTGGGGACCTCTGCTTTAATCCATCTTGAGTTAATTTTTGTATATGGTGAGAGGAAGCGGTCCAGTTTCAATCTTCTGCATATGGCTAGCCAGCTATCCTAACACCATTTATTGAATAGAGAATCCTTTCCCCAGTGCTTGTTTTTGACAGGTTTGTCAAAGATCAGACACTTGTAGGTATGCGGCCTTATTTCTGGGTTCTCTATTCTGTTCCATTGGTCTATGTGCCTGTTTTTGTCCCGGTACCATGCTGTTTTGATTACTGTAGCCCTGTAATACAGTTTGAAGCCAGGTAGCATGATGCCTCCAGCTTTGTTCTTTCTGCTTAGGATTGCCCCTGGGCTATTCGGGCTCTTTTTGGTTCCATATGAATTTTAAAATAAAAACTCTCAACTTTCTCTTTGTTCTTGGAACACACTGAAGACCACCCAATCTGTGAGTATGCCCCACTTTGCCATTCTTGCCTCCTAAATAATCAGTGTTAAGTTTAGAGATTCATCTCTACATTTTATTTGACTTCAGCAATGTAAACTGTGAGTCAGAGCTGCAGTGGTGGAGGCTGCAACCTTGGCAGCAGGAAGGTCAGTTCACAGGGTTTCTTGGCATGCTCCTCCTGTGTCCCCACCGTCTATAGGTGCCCTCCATCATACGTGTGCCTTTGGCTTGTAGACTGGCCTTATCTTTCCAGAACTATTTTTGGTCATGCCTCATGCATGAGCTTGTGCCTGAGCACAATGATGTGAAAATTAATTTAGTCATATCTTGTCCAAACTAAAAACATTGAACCACTTTAAAGGAAAGCAGCTTCCCAATGTTGCCATATATTGTTTTAAAATAATTGTGAAAAGTAGTTGCTCATGTAACAGCACTGGGCCTGCCATTGACCTTGCACAAGATGCCTCACACACATCTGACAGCCTATTACGGTGGACGCAGTCCTCAGTGCTGCTGCTGCATGGGACCCTGCTTCAGAGGAGCTCTGCAACAGCAAAAGTGCCAAGCAGATCGAAGAGGACACAGCAGGACCATGTGGGGCCCTCCTCCCAGTGGTCAGTTACATCTTCTTTTGGTATCATGGTGGAGGTTGGGGGTGCCCCTGAAGATACCACCTGAGCTTCCTGTGCCCCCTTCCCATGCCTGTACCCACCATGACAAGCTGAGCATGTTTCTGTAGCCGTCCTCTACCCTGAGTAGATACTCTGCATTCTTACTGTGCAATGCTTTCAGGACTGTGCCTCTGTGGTCACCCCTGTCATCCAGCTCTGTTATGGCCATGGGAACCAGAATCTGGCATGTTCCAGCACCTCATTCTGCAGTTAGAAATCAACAAAACCTCCCAAATGGGAGAGGAGGGCCTAAAACCCTTGGAAAATTTCCTCTGCGAGATTTGCATGAGACTTGGAATGCCCTGAAGTTTAATATATGAAGGTATTTGAATGACACATAGAACTCCGTGTAAGACAGGTGTAGCCAACAGAGAAAACCATTCATGTCAACATTCTCCCTCGTGCTCTTTCAGAGACCCTCTGAGTTATAGCACCCAGAGGCCCTGGATGGCTTGCTAGTGGATAAGCCCCATGCACAGGCAGGAGAGTGGCACATTCTCTGGGTAATGAAGTATCCTATAGCTAGAAGATTAGAAACAATTCTACATGAAACATTTGAAAGTATCTCTTGATCAGTTTGTTTCTGAAGACACAGCTTTCCTTTGGGAAACAGTAACCCAGAGAAAGGTCTCCACAACCAAAAAGCACCGTGAATTGTTAGTTGCATTTTGCCTGGTCACGTGAGTGAATTTCCTCCTGGACTGCATTGAATCTGCACTGTTTTGGAGACTGGCAGATGCATCGTTGATAAAGCCACATGTGCAGGGTCACCATCAGTTGATGTACTTCCATCCTAGTTGATGCTGTTGATTTTTCCCTGCCAGGAAGCTTCCTGACACAGCCTGCACCCCAGTGGACTTCCCAAAGCAAGTTGAGTCTGACTTTGCACCCCTGACTTGAGAGTCATCTGACTTCTGGGCATGCCACTGAATACTGATGTACCTGAAGGAACCCTGGGTACCAAACGTGCTCAAGTGAATGAATGATGTCCAGGACAAAGCCCAGCAGGTGTCCAGACAATGGCCTCCCACCAGAGATCTTGTCAGCACGCCGGTCTGAGCACTGTGTGCCTTAGTGTCTTTCTGTCCTGGTTGCAATGAAGTCTTTCTCCATAATGTCAGTTTTTATACTTTTTGACCTAGTAGGACATCATGTGATGGATTTTCACGTGATATGAATTCAGCCTAGGTATGTCTTAGGATTGGTTTAGAGGGAAGACTGAAGCAGGTGAAATGGCAACCCCTTGAATACACATCCGAAATAAATTGAAAAATATTCAGCATGATTTAATGGTATTTTTTAAAATAGGAAACAAAATATTTCCTGTTCATTAGAATCATTACATCAACTAAAGTCGTCATAACTAAAATCATCATTACATCAACTAAAATACAAAATATGGAATCTAATCTGATCTTCAGCAGATGTTGGCATTTCTTTAAGTACACGTCTTTACTTCTGCAGTGCACTAACAGAGACTCAAGAATGACAAAGGGGGAAAAAAGGCAAAATTAGGAAAAAGGGAGACATTTTGTAGTTGATGTTGGATACACTGGATGGACTATCCATTTGATATACCTTCTCATTGATAGAAGAGGAAACTTCAGGTTTCACAAAGGCAAATAGTGTTTCATGAGAAAAAGCAACAGAAAAATATCAATAATCAAAATATTTTAGTGTTTTATGAAGAACTGTATTGTAGCTTGAATCTTTAATTAAATAAATGTTTTCTTTTGCATGTAAAATAGAATTCAGCCTTTCCTAACTCAGGACAGCAATGGGCTGAAGACAGTGCTGGGCCCATCCTGCCACCTGCTGGGAGGCCTTGTTCCCTCAAAAGACTTGGTTTGGAAGGATGATTGGAAAATAGCTTTACACACCCACCCTTTATTGTGTTTTTATTCACAAAGCCTTAATATACCGCCATACTTCATGTAGTTGATTTTTCATATCTCTGATAAGTTTTTAAATGTCAGTATTCCTACTAAAGTCTCTCTCTCTGTCCTGTGTTCTGTGTTCTAGGGTGTATGAAGAAAGGGCTTCAGCAGAAACAGAGGCTGAAGCTGCCTGTGTGCTGGGGGCTGAGAGGCCAGAGGAGAATGTGGTGAGACATAGAATTGGCATGGGGAGTGTCCCCAGACCTACTGATGACTTTGGCTCACAGATAACCAGGTCCCTGAGCAAGGGTGCTGACTGCAGCCTCTCTGCACAACCAGGACACCACCATGGGGTGGGGTGCATAATGTGTGGGGACATCCACACTGTTGAAGGGGAAACAGCCAGGAAAAAAGAAGCGGCAGCTCCATTGTCACCACGAGACACTTCCCCAATGCATCAGGTTTGCAAAACCGTGGGTGCAGAGCAGTGTCCACACAGGCTACCTTTTCTGTTCAAAGTAAGAACCACAAAAAAGGGCCCAGTCACAGAGGCTCATGCCTGTAATCCCAGCACTACAAGAGGCCAAGGCAGGAGGATCGATTGAGCCCAGGAATTTGAGACCAGCATGGGTAATATAGGAAGACCCTGTCTATACAAAAAAAAAAAAAAAAAAAATTTAATTAGCTGGGCGTGGTGGCTCATGCTTGTAGTCCTAGCAACTTAGGAGGCTGAGTCGGGAGGATCCCTTGAGCCCTGGAGTTTGAGACTGCAGTGAGCTGTGATGGCACCACTGCACTGGGTATCAAAGTAAGACTCAAAAAAACCCAAACCAAAAAACCAACAAAACAAAAAAGCACCACAAAAAAGATATCATAGCAATGCTGTGTGTACGGGAGTCTCCAGCAGGACACACAAACAATCCAGCGCTGACCTCTGGAGAGAACTGAGAGGCTGGGGATGCAGCAGGGAGGGGACGTCCACTCCGTGCCTGGATTCCTGTGAACATGGGGCCGTGCACAATGCCCACGAAAATGAAAATGAAACCTGCCAGCCTGCTGGCCAGGGACTTGTAGTGAAGCACAAACACCACGGACGTGACTGTTGCTGGTGGAGGTCGCAGCCTCTGGATGCCTCAGTGGCACTGTTCTTGTAGCTGAGCGGAAATGCCCACAGCATCTGCATCTGGCACGTGCCTGGGGGCCTGCAGCCGCAACAACCTCAACCGGAGATACTGATGGTGTGGAAAGGCAGAGACACTGATGGTGCGAAAAGGAAAAGGCGTCTGGGAGGGCCTGTGAGCTGGAGGGCAGCCATCGGGGAGGTGGAGGAGAACCCTGAGGCGGGTTTCTCCACATGAGAGATGTCACCTGAAACCACCCGGATGCTGGCCAAGGCTTTGGCCTCCTCTTGCTGCCTCTGTATTTCCGAAAATGCATCGCTAATGGGGTGAAGGGACTCACCCTCAGGCCTGCCGCCCCACCAGGCTGGGCCAGGACACCAGGCACCCGGCACTACCCCATCACAGCCCCAGGCTGCGTCTGTGTGTCTGGGCGTATCTGTATTTGCATGTCTGTGTCTCTGTATCTATGCAGGTATAGATATGTACGTCTCTATTATCTATATTTGTGTGTCCATGTATATGTGTGTCTATGCAGATGTCTATATGTGTGTGCCTGTGTGTCCATGTGTGTCTGTGTGTACTGATGTGTGATCGTATGTCCCTGTGTCTGTATGTGACGTGTCCACGTGTGCACGTGTCCGCATCTGTGTGTACTCATGTGTGACTGTATGTGTCCCTGTGTGTCTGTGTTGTGCATACCCATGTATGTCTGTGCACACATGTACATATCTGTGTGTAGATGTGTCTGTGTCCCTGTGCACCCTTGTGTAGCTGCGTCTGTGTCCAGCTGTGTAAGAGGCTTCAGCAGGGGAAGCTGGGCTCTGCCACAGGCCCTGATGAGAGTCAAGGCCATAAAACAAACCCTCTGAGCCCCAAACACCTGGTCCTAGGAATGGGCTGGACTTGGGAGTAAGTCAGCCCAGAGCGACTGTGAGGGCCCCAAGCCTGCAGGAACAAGAATGAAGAGGAGTCCTGAGTCTGGGGTCCAGGACCCTCCCCAGCCAGTACCAAGAGGGCAAGAGAGAGATCACAGCAGGCCCTGCTGACTGGGCTGATTCTCTGCCCTGGAGACTGCAGGCCAGGGGTCTTCCTCTTGGCCTCCCCTGCCACTAGGTGATGCTCAGGGCTGGGGGTAAGGAATGACACTTCATGCCCTGGAGCTGCCTGACTGGCCCTGGCTGTGCCTGCTGCAGAAGTGATATCAGCTGACATCATGAGGTGTGACGTCACTGAGGCCTCCTCAAAGCTGAGTCTGTTACTGTGGAAGAAGCCCATCAGTCCTCGTCCTCAGGAAGCTCATGATTCAGGCAAGGAAAGAGGCCCACAGCCAGATCACTCTGATTTGTGCACTCAGGACATGGCCACGGAATCAGGCAGGATCCAGCCAGGAAAAAGAAGCCCTCCAGTTCTCTCTGACAGAGAGAACAGTGTCTAGGGAGCTGGTCACACTGTGATAAAGGCTCTGAGAGCTAAACAGGTTGAGGAGGAATCCAGGATTGAAATCAGCAGGAAGCCACCGTCCCAGGCTGGAGGCAGGGAAGAAAGCAACAGGGTCAACAGTCCCAGGGGCTGTGTTCACACAAAGAGGCCTGTTCACTGTCAACATTAGACAGATCAATGAGACAGAAAGTCAACAAGGAAACCCAGGAATTGAACTCAGCTCTGCACCAAGCAGACCTAATAGACATCTACAGAACTCTCCACCCCAAATCAACAGAATATACATTTTTTTTCAGCACCACACCACACCTATTCCAAAATTGACCACATACTTGGAAGTAAAGCATTCCTCAGCAAACGTAAAAGAACAGAAATTATAACAAACTGTCTCTCAGACCACAGTGCAATCAAACTAGAACTCAGGATTAAGAATCTCACTCAAAACCGTCCAACTACATGGAAACTGAACAACCTGCTCCTGAATGACTACTGGGTACATAACGAAATGAAGGCAGAAATAAAGATGTTCTTTGAAACCAACAAGAACAAAGACACAACATACCAGAATCTCTGGGATGCATTCAAAGCAGTGTGTAGAGGGAAATTTATAGCACTAAATGCCCGCAAGAGAAAGCAGGAAAGATCCAAAACTGACACCCTAACATCACAATTAAAAGAACTAGAAAAGCAAGAGCAAACACATTCAAAAGCTAGCAGAAGGCAAGAAATAACTAAAATCAGAGCAGAACTGAAGGAAATAGAGTCACAAAAAACCCTTCAAAAAATTAATGAATCCAGGAGCTGGTTTTTTGAAAGGATCGACAAAATTGATAGACCGCTAGCAAGACTAATAAAGAAAAAAAGAGAAGAATCAAATAGACGCAATAAAAAATGATAAAGGGGATATCACCACCAATCCCACAGAAATACAAACTACCATCAGATAATACTACAAACACCTCTACGCAAATAAACTAGAAAATCTAGAAGAAATGGATAAATTCCTTGAAACATACACCGTCCCAAGACTAAACCAGGAAGAAGTTGAATCTCTGAATAGACCAATAACAGGATCTGAAATTGTGGCAATAATCAATAGCTTACCAACAAAAAGAGTCCAGGACACTATGGATTCACAGCTGAATTCTACCAGAGGTACAAGGAGGAACTGGTACCATTCCTTCTGAAACTATTCCAATCAACAGAAATAGAGGGAATCCTCCCTAACTAATTTTATGAGGCCAGCATCATCCTGATACCAAAGCCCGGCAGAGACACAATGAACAAAGAGAATTTTAGACCAATATCCTTGATGAACATTGATGCAAAAATCCTCAATAAAATACTGGCAAACCGAATCCAGCAGCACATCAAAAAGCTTATCCACCATGATCGAGTGGGCTTCATCCCTGGGATGCAAGGCTGGTTCAGTATACGCAAATCAATAAATGTAATCCAGCATACAAACAGAACCAAAGACAAAAACCACATGATTATCTCAATAGATGCAGAAAAGGCCTTTGACAAAATTCCACAACCCTTCATGCTAAAAACGCGGAATAAATTAGGTATTGATGGGACGTATGTCAAAATAATAAGAGCTATCTATGACAAACCCTCAGCCAATAACATACTGCATGGGCAAAAACTGGAAGCATTCCCTTTGAAAACTGGCACAAGACAGGGATGCCCTCTCTCACCACTCCTATTCAACATAGTGTTGGAAGTTCTGGCCAGGTCAATTAGGCAGGAGAAGGAAATAAAGGGTATTCAATTAGGAAAAGAGGACGTCAAATTGTCCCCGTTTGCAGACGACATGATTGTATATCTAGAAAACCCCATTGTCTCAGCCCAAAATCTCCTTAAGCTGATAAGCAACTTCAGCAAAGTCTCAGGATACAAAATCAATGTACAAAAATCACAAGCATTCTTATATACCAACAACAGACAAACAGAGAGCCAAATCATGAGTGAATTTCCATGCACAATTGCTTCAAAGAGAATAAAATACTTAGGAATCCAACTTACAAGGGATGTGAAGGACCTCTTCAAGGAGAACTACAAACCACTGCTCAAGGAAATAAAAGAGGATACAAACAAATGGAAGAACATTCCATGCTCATGGGTAGGAAGAATCAATATGGTGAAAATGGCCATACAGCCCAAGGTAATTTACAGATTCAATGCCATCCCCATCAAGCTACCAATGCCTTTCTTCATAGAATTGGAAAAAACTACTATAAAGTTCATATGGAACCAAAAAAGATCCCGCATCGCCAAGTCAATCCTAAGCCAAAAGAACAAAGCTGGAGGCATCACACTACCTGACTTCAAACTATACTACAAGGCTACAGTAACCAAAACAGCATGGTACTGGTACAAAAACAGAGATATAGATCAATGGAACAGAACAGAGCCCTCAGAAATAACGCCGCATTATCTACAACTATCTGATCTTTGACAAACCTGAGAAAAACAAGCAATGGGGAAAGGATTCCCTATTTAATAAATGGTGCTGGGAAAACTGGCTAGCCATATGTAGAAAGCTGAAACTGGATCCCTTCCTTACACCTTATACACAAATCAATTCAAGATGGATTAAAGACTTAAACATTAGACCTAAAACCATAAAAACCCTAGAAGAAAACCTAGGCATTACCATTCAGGACATAGGCATGGGCAAGGACTTCATGTCTAAAACACCAAAAGCAATGGCAACAAAAGCCAAAATTGACAAATGGGATCTCATTAAACTAAAGAGCTTCTGCACAGCAAAAGAAACTACCATCAGACTGAACAGGCAACCTACAAAATGGGAGAATATTTTCACAACCTACTCATCTGACACAGGGCTAATATCCAGAATCTACAATGAACTCAAACAAATTTACAAGAAAAAAACAAACAACCCCATCAAAAAGCAGGCAAAGGACATGAACAGACACTTCTCAAAAGAAGACATTTATGCAGCCAAAAAACACATGGAAAAATGCTCACCATCACTGGCCATCAGAGAAATGCAAATCAAAACCACAATGAGATACCATCTCACACCAGTTAGAATGGCAATCATTAAAAAGTCAGGAAACAACAGGTGCTGGAGAGGATGTGGAGAAATAGGAACACTTTTACACTGTTGGTGGGACTGTAAACTAGTTCAACCATTGTGGAAGTCAGTGTGGTGATTCCTCAGGGATCTAGAACTAGAAATACAATTTGACCCGGCTATCCCATTACTGGGTATATACCCAAAGACTATAAATCATGCTGCTATAAAGACACATGCACACATATGTTTATTGCAGCATTATTCACAATAACAAAGACTTGGAACCAACCCAAATGTCCAACAATGATAGACTGGATTAAGAAAATGTGGCACATATACACCATGGAATACTATGCAGCCATAAAAAATGATGAGTTCATGTCCTTTGTAGGGACATGGATGAAATTGGAAATCATCATTCTCAGTAAACTATTGCAAGAACAAAAAACCAAACACCGCATATTCTCACTCATAGGTGGGAATTGAACAATGAGAACACATGGACACAGGAAGGGGAACATCACACTCTGGGGACTGTGGTGGGGTGGGGGGAGTGGGGAGGGATGGCATTGGGAGATATACCTAATGCTAGATGACGAGTTAGTGGGTGCAGTGCACCAGCAAGGCACATGTATACATATGTAACTAACCTGCACATTGTGCACATGTACCCTAAAACTTAAAGTATAATAATAAATAAATAAATAAAATAAACTTTAAAATAGGCAAAAGACTTGAATAGTAGGTGAGGCATGGTGGCTCACACCTGTAATTCCAGCACTTTGGGAGGCTGAGGCAGGCGGATCGCGAGGTGAAGAGATCGAGGCCATCCTGGCCAACATGGTGAAATGCTGTCTCTACTAAAAATGCAAAAATTAGCTGGGCTTGGTGGCATGCAACTGTAGTCCCAGCTCTTCTCGGCAGGCTGAGGCACAAGAATCATTTGAACCCAGGAGGTGGAGGCTGCAGTGAGCCAAGATCATGCCACTGCACTCCAGGCAGGTGACACAGCAAGACTCCATCTCAAAAAAAAAAAGACTTGAATAGTAATTCCACCAAAGATATACAAATGGCCAATAAGCACATAGGAAGATGTTCAAAATCATTAGTTATTAGGGAAAGAAAATCAATCCTAAAATGAGACATCACATCACACCTACTAGAATGGCTATAATAATTAAAAGACAACAAGTGCTGGTGAAGAAGTGGAGAAATTAGAACCCTTGAATATTCTCGGTAGGAATGTATAACGGTACAGTCACTCTGAAAAAGTCTGGAAGTTTCTCAAAATGTTAAACATAGAATTACCATATGACTAAGCAATTCCACTCCCAGGTGTATACCCAAAAGAACTGAAAAAAATGAACTCAGAAACATGCTGAGTGCTGATGTGCAAGTGTTGATGTTGGCTGGGGACAAGAGAAGAAAGGAAAGTCCAAGGACAGTATTCACTGCAGTATTAATCACAGTAACCAAAAGGTGGACACACCCCAGGTGTCCATCCATAGATGAAGGGATAAACAAAATGTGACATATACATGCAATGGAATATTACTCAACCATGACAAAGAATGAAGTTCTGATCAATGCTATCAGATATATTGTTACAACCTGGCTGAACCTCCAAAACATTAGGCTAAGTGAAGTAAGCCACACATAAAAGGGCAAGTATTGCATTATTCCTTTCATGTGAGAAACCCAAATAAGCAAATTCATAGAAACAAAAATTACATTAAGAAGTTACCAGGGTATCAGGGAGGAGAGAATGGAAAGTTATTGCTTATTGGGTACGGAATTTCTTTTTGGGATGATGGAAAATTCTGGAAATACATAGTGATGATGGTTGTAAACCTTGTGAATGTAATTAAATGGCCACTGAACTTTACACATTTTAAATCAATCCTTTCTAAAAACCAGAGAAATGGAATGGCATATATTACTTATCAAAGGCTGTGCTGGATACATTATAGCCATTATCTTACTGAGCTTCAGGAATGTCTGTGAGGTGGGAGCTCAGAATGGCCAAGTATCTTTTTTTCTCACAGCTAGGAACAGGCAGTAAATTTTTTCACTAGACAATAGATACTTTTCTACATAAGGGCCAAGGATCATCTGCCAGGGTTATTTAATACAAAGGAGATTTTCACATTAGAAAGCAGATTATTAATACAACCGATAATAATAGTAGCATGCCCTTTGCATACATTATCTCCTTAATCCTCACGAATACAAAAGAAAGAACCTAAGACATCAGAGAGCCACTTAGGATTAAGAATGCAAGTTGCCCCTAATATGCATCCTCTGTCCTTAAAGACCTGAGCTACTAACATGGAAAAGATTGAAAAACACTGCCTTCAGGTATGAATAAACATATATTACATCTCAGTGAGAATGCATCACTTAGGGGCAAGGGAAGCAGTTGCTTATCTATTTTGTCTTATCTACTGATAACTAAATTCAGAAATTGTAATAGAATACAAATGTTATAAATATATTTTCTCTTAATTTTTAAAGAGCAATGGTTACAGTCTGAAAAACTGTCATTCAGCAACTAGTATTCAAAAGTGCCATACTGAGGCGAAATCTTTTTGGTTTTCAGTATCTAGCTTTATCATGTCACAATTACCTTCAGATTCTTTTTCCACTTATATTGCAAAAATGCAAATGAACTCAAAACTCTAGGTAAATCTATAAACCTATACCTATGAATCAACCTTTAATTCATTACAAAATATGCTTGCTCTACACACACTTTCTTTCCCTTTTTTATGTGCATTATCTTATTTAATCCTCAAAGCAATCCTCTGAGTTAGGAGATTTTTTTTTAAAGGGATACATGTGCAGAACGTGCAGGTTTGTTACATAGGTATACATGTGCCATGGTGGTTTGCTGCACCCATCAACCTGTCATCTACATTAGGTATTTCTCCCCATGTTATCCCTCCCCTAGCCCCCCACCCCCCATAGGCCACAGTGTGTGATGTTTCCCTCCCTGTGTCCATGTGTTCTCATTGTTCAACTCCCACCTCTGTGTGAGAACATGCAGTGTTTGGTTTCCTGTTCTTGTGTTAAGTTTGCTGAGAATGATGGTTTCCAGCTTCATCCTGCAAAGGACATGAACTCATCCTTTTTATGGCTGCATAGTATTCCATGGTGTATATGTGCCACATTTTCTGGGAGTGTAAATTAGTCATTCTTCTTTCTTTAACCTTAAAATTTGAATTTATAGAGCTTTAAGTTCTTGACTGTAAAATCAAAAAGAAAAAAGAGATGTGAGGTCAAAGGAAGGAGAGATAGTGAAAAATGGGCCAGTAGTTAAAAAGTAAAATTTTTCAGTAAAGAGTAACAGTTAAGATGGTTGTTCATGTTGTTATTGAAACAAAAGAGGTTTGGTCTAGGTCCTGCTGCTCACCGCACAGAAACCCAATGACAAGTATTGCTAAGGAAGAAGGCTGTAACCTGGTGCTGCAGCCAAGGGGACAGAAGCTCAGTCTCAAATCCATCTCCTTCACTGACTAAAACTAGGAGTCTATTTGGCAGGAAGAAATGTAACAATGTATAAGAAAACAGGAACTAGGGAGGAGCAAGGAAGCATCTGGTACTGTGATCTGGTGAGTTTCAGCTTTTTGATACTTTCTGAAGGTCTTTTTTTGAAGAGGGAAGGCAGATAAATACAAGTTTCAAGCTTTAGCAGCAGGGTTAAATTTCTGTATTTATTGTCTATGAGACTATCAGGATGGTTTCAAAGTAAGCAATGTTTCTACAGGTCCTTTTTGTTCTTTTAAAATCTGAAATAAACCTTTGAATGTATGTTATATGCTAAACCTAAAGAAAATCCATTTCATGTGCTAAACACCAGAGTAGATCGAAGTAAAAGCTGTTACAAATAGCCTATGAGTATCAAGTTTGGGAACACTATGAAAAAATTCCAAAAAAGGTAATCAATTCATAAAACTTACAGATGAACAAGTGAATATTTCAGAATTCTTCTCAGTACTAGGTATCAGCATGACCTTATCAATATTTGCATTACTAACCATACAATAAGAACCTGACTTCTGACTATTCTAAGGTATAAATGTGTACTTTACCTTAAATAGGAAAATGTGTCATGTATCCATTTTGAGATTTAGTACAAGATTCACAGAAGAGAAAACTGATAGCCCTGTATCGATTAAAAGCATTTTTTTTTTTTTGAGATACAGTTTTGCTCTTGTTGCCTGGGCTGGAGTGATAAGATCTTGACTCACTGCAACCTCTGCAGCCCGGGTTCAAGTGATTCTCCTGCCTCAGTCTCCTGAGTAGCTGGGATTACAGGTGTCTGCCACCATGCTGGGTTAATTTTTTTATTTTTTTATTTTTATTTTTAGTACAGATGGGATTTCACCATGTTGGCCAGGCTGGTCTTGAACTTCTGACCTCAGATGACCCACCCACCTCAGCCTCCCAAGAGATGGAATCTCACTATGTTGCCCAGGTTGGCCTAGAACTCCCAGGCTCAAGTGATTCTCCCACCTCAGGTTTGAGTGTGGCTGGGACAATAGAGTGCACACCCAGATGAGGGTAATTTTTGTAACAAAGGGAGTTAGGAAACTTTCTATCAGAGAAACCTCAAGTCCCAGATGGTTTCACTGGCATATTTTACCAACTTATTAAAAAAAAAGAATGTAATTAATTCCTAATGTCACAAGCAGTCAATTACTGAAAACTGACCGCTAAAAACATGAAATTCCCTTGGACATGGCCTAATATGTGTATACACATATTCACATAATTACAAGCCAGAAAGTTTACTCAAAACACTTTCAGTGCTATTTAAACCTGATAAAGCTATCCTTTGAGAGAAAATAAACCTTATTAGGCAATTGCAAATTAAAACCACAATGAGGAATCACTGCATATCAACTTAAGAGGGTAAAAATAAGATTGACCTTACCAAGTATTCAGAAGAATGTCAACCAAAAATCTCATACCCTGATGATGAAAATGTAAAATAATGCAGGTGCTTTGGAAAAGTTTGGCATTTCCTTCAAAAGTTATATACCTACCATAGATCCCAGCTATTCCATTCCCAGATATCTACTCAAGATAAATGAAGGCCTATATCCACAGAAAAACTTGTACACAAACGTTCAGAGTAGCTCTGTTTGCAGTAGCCCCAAACTAGAAGAACCGAAATGTCAATCAATGGACAAAGGGATGAGCAAATTTTGACCCAGATATACAACAGGGTATTAATCAACAACAAAATGGAATCTCCTATTGATACATGCAACACTGGATGAATTTCAAAACAATTACGTGACGTAAAAGAAGCCACAATAATCCCCACCCCTTGAAAACAGTCCACATTTTATCATATCATATGATATATATAGGACTTTCTAGAAAATGCAAATTAAGCTAAAACAGAAAATCAGCATGTTGCCTGAATACTAGGCAGGGTCATGAATTACAAGGGGACACGAGAAAACTTTTGGGGGTATGGATATTTCATTATCTCAGTTGCAGTGAAGATGGTTTATTAGGTATGTACATGTCAAAACTAACTCGGTTTTATACTTTAAATGTTTAATTTACTGCAATTATGCACTGATAAAAAAATAAGCTGACTATATCTGCATTTGCCTATAGGTTTATTTTATTTTGCAACACTAGAAACTGGGATTGAATTCTAAATTGTGCCACAACTTCTGCTTATGCTTTTACGAACATGAATGACTACTTTATATATCCCCTGAATTGTGTGAATTGACCTTATATCCACATTTTTAAAATGTTTTATCCCAGTGACTTATTTACAAATATAGATGTCCATCAAGAACTAATCGATAAAATACTACTTAAGAAGTTAAAGCAACTGATAAACTTTAATTTTAACCACAAATATTTTTTAGAAAAAATACTGCGTTAACCCTTATTACCTTGAATGTGATATAAATCATAATCAGGATCTTCTGATTCTTCCTTTACTGTCACAGCTGCCACTTCCAGGGAAATGCCTATAAAAGCAAATTAAATTATATGATTGCATGTCAGGGATTTCAGCTACATTGTGTAGGGAAATCCTCTCCACGCTCCCTATAAATACAGCAATGAATACCCATTTTAGATAAAGAATTTAAAAGTCTTTGAAAGGACAAAAATTTGCTAGGTAGCAGAGTGTAGGAATCACCTATAGTCCCAACCAAGACAAAGTTTTAATCACTCATTAATATTCTGCAATTATTTGCTGCTAATTTTTTTCTCCAGCAAATTCTTATCTTTAGAATTAAAGAAAATTTAGTTACAATCCATGTTCACTGAATATTAAAAATACTATTATAAACCATTGAAAAACACTTACATACATCAGTTTTAATAACTCAATATTCCAGAGCAGAGATGGTATAATTTTTGGCAATTTCAATAATAAGATACAATGTTTTTTTTTCTCCTCATAAATCCCTTTTATTAACAAGAGGACAAAGCACACCTTTCTGCATAAAGCTTTGCCCACATTTAGGACAGGTAATTTGAAGCAGACCTTTGTGGCCAGATACAAAAGAGTGCATATTGGGTAACTCCTCTCATTTGAAGGTCAAAATAGGCAAATGAAATCTTTGTTATTGAATATCTAGGCTGGGTGTGGTGGTTAATGCCTGCAATTCTAGTACTTTGGGAGGCCAAGGCAAGCAAATCACCTGAGGTCAGGAGTTCAAGACCAGCATGGCCAACATGGGTGAAACCCTGTCTCTACTAAAAATACAAAAATGTAGCTGGGCGTAGTGGCACATGCCTGTAGTTCCAGCTACTCAGGAGGCTGAAACAGAAGAATGGCGCGAAACCCCAAAGTGGAGCTTGCAGTGAGGGGAGATTGCGCCACTGTGCTGCAGCCTGGGCGACAGACTGAGACTCTGTCTCAAAAAAAAAAACTAAAAATATTAATGTAAGGGTAGCAAACTAAATAAGGAACACATTTTTGTGCAACAGCAGATTAGAAAGACTATAGTTAACAACAATGCATTGTACATTCCAAATTAGAAGAGAGGACTAGAGATAGAATCTTGCTCTGCTGCCCAGGCTGGAGTGCAATGGTGTAATCCTAGCTCACTTCAGCCTCCAATTCCTGGACCCAAGTGACCCTCTAGCCTCAGCCTCCTGAGTAGCTGAGATTACAGACATGCACCACCACACCTGTCTAATTTTTGTATTTTTTATAGAGGTGGGGTTTTGCCATGTTGCCCAGGCTGGTCTCTTAACTCCTTTGCTCCAGCAATCCACATGCCACAGCCTGCTGAGACTATAGGCAAGAGTCATCACACTGAGCCATAAGATATTTTTTGAACTCATGTGAAAGCATAGTTAAAAGCCCCACAATGCCAGGATCTGCAACAGTGAGAATTCAGATATAACACAACTGACAACTGGCTCCCATCCTCTGCAAGAGGTTAAGCCCAGAGACATCACTGATTTTTCAAAAATGTAAAATTGTGTTTCATATGATAAAAATTTTTGGACTCCACATATAACCTAAAGACGGGTTACATAGCTTAAAGGAACATATAAGCTATAAATCCCTTAATACATAAACTAGTGCCAGGCACAGTGCTGCATGCTTGTCATCCTAGCACTTTGAGAGGCCAAGTTGAGTGGATTACTTGAGCCCATGAGTTGATTTTTGAAAAATGTTTTATGGCAAGTAAGCGGAGAAGGAATGGTCTTTTCAACAGATGCTGCGGGTACATCACATGCAAAATGATGACTTTAAACTCTTACCTCACAATATGTGCAAAAAATAACTCACAATGGATCTTACCCCCAAACATAAGAGATAAAACTATAAATTTCAGGAAGAAAATGTAAGTCTAAACCTTTGTGACCTTAGGTTGGACAAAGATTCTCTAGATACAACACCAAGAGGGCAGTAATAAAAGAAAACTTGAAAAACTGAATTTCACCAAAGCAAAAGCTTTTGAGCTATAAGGGACACCATGAAGAAAATGAAACAACTAGCCAGACAGAAACAATATGTGCAGAATCTTATTTCTGATAAAAGACTTGTATCCAGAACATATCGAGAACTCTTGTAACTTGTAAAAGAAGAAAAACACAATTTTTAAATGGGCAGACACTTACATAGACATGTCACCCCCCACCCAAAAAAAGTAAAACAAAATAAAATCTTCATGCCTTTGGGTTAAGCATTGGTTTCTTAAATATGAAGTCATGGCCGGATGCAGTGGCTCACGCCTGTAATCCCACCACTTTGGGAGGCCGAAGCAGGTGGATCACGATGTCAGGAGATAGAGACCATCCTGGCTAATACAGTGAAACCCCATCTCTACTAAAAATACAAAAACTTAGCCGGGCGTGGTGGCACATGCCTGTAGTCCCAGCTACTCGGTAGGCTGAGGCAGGAGAATCGCTTGAACTGAGGAGGAAGACGTTGCATTGAGCCGAGATCATGCCACTGCACTCCAGCCTGGGTGACAGAGTGAGACTCTGTCTCAAAAAACAAAACAAAACAAAACAAACAAAAAAAGAAGTCAAAGGCACAAGTGCCAAGAGAATAATCTAGTTTCTATCAAAATTAAAAACTTTTCTGCCTCAAAACAATACTACCAAGCAAGGGAGAAGACAATTTATATATTAAGAATAATGTAGAATTATTAGAATTGGAGAAAATATTTCCAAATCCTACACCACAGCCTGCATGAAAGTGTGACATCCTGTCTCACATGCAAATTTTTTAAATCATCAATCAATTAGGTACTTATATCAAGACTATGTAAAAAACTCTTGTGACTCAATAATAAAAAGACAAACCCAATTTTAAAATGTGAAGAAGATCTAAATAGACATTATTCCAAAAAACATACGTAAATGACCAATAGGCACATTGAAAGATAACACAAACCTATAATCCAAGCACTTTGGGAAGCCTAGGCAGGTGGATTGCTTGAGCCAAGGAGTGTGACACCAGCCTGGACAATATGAGGAAACCCCATCTCTACAAAAAAAAAAAAAAAAATTCAAAAATTAGCTAGGTATGATGGTGCACACCTATAGTCCCAGCTACTCAAGACCTGAGGCAGGAGGATCACCTGAGCCCGGAAGGTTGAGGCTACACTGAGCCCAGATCGTGCCACTGGACTCTAACCTGAGTGACAAGAATAAGAATCTGTCTCAAAAAAAAAAAAAGTATAAAGTAACACATCAATAGTCACTAGAGAAATATAAAACAAAACAAAAAAATACCAAAATGAGATACCACTTCCCACCTATTATGATGGCTAACATCAAGAAGACAGTAAGTTGGCAGCAATGTGGAGAATCTGAATGCTTATAATGTGCTGCTGGAATATAAAATGGTACAGCTACTTGGGAAAACAACTGATCAGTTTCTTAAAAGTGCTGTGTAAATGTACCCTATTCCTAGTAATTATACTCCTAGATATATATACAATGTATGAGATATTAAGGTATATGTCCAGACAAAAACTTGCTCAAGTAAGGTCACTGTAGCATTATTCATAACAGCAAAAAATGAAAACAACAGAATCATCAAGTGATGATTAGATAAACAGGTGGTATGTTCACAGAGTACTTAAATGCTCAGCAATAAAAAGGAGCTACTGATACACGCAACAAGCCCAATGAGCCTGAGGTGAATTACGCTCAGTGAAAAAAAAAACTAATTTCAACAGGAAACACGCTATATATTCAATTTCTATATCATAATTCAGAAATAGGGGTAATAAAAGCATCCTAAAATTAAGATTGTGATGACGGTTGTAAAATCATTTAAAAAATTTTTAAGACTGTAAATTTACTATCAGTGAATTAAATACTTCAGACAGGTGAATTTCATGGTGCATCAATTCTACCTCAATAAAGCTGCTAAAAATTAATCTTTTCACTACAATGAGAATAAAACAAAGATTAACAGAAAACAAAATGTATGTGTTCATGTATGTATTATTTTCCCTTTTATCCCTACATTGTAAAGAGTATTCCAATTATATTGGTTATTTCTTTTCAAAAGTCTAAAAAAAATATTGGCTCCAAAGGGTACCACTCTTTATCATTTTTTCTCTTCAAATGAAATGGCTAAACTTCCCTAAAGGAAGTTGAAATCCTTCTCATTCCCCAACGGCTCATATAAATGTCCTCTCCCTCATGAAATTCTTCCTGAACTACAAAGGAATCCAACCCCTAATGAACATTCGCAGCACTTTCTCTGAACCATTCTTACAGCAGAGATGTGAGGCTCTTGCCATCATCATTTTACAAACTTTTCTCTGTTCCATGAGACTCCGAGCACTCCAGAGCCATAATGCTTATACACAGTTGTGTATCCCCTCCCCACCCAAAGCTGTGTCCAAAAATGCCATGCCTATTCAGTGACATCAGGTCAGTTAATCCTACTCATAATGCTTGAAGTGGGGGCAGATCTATGATCTTACACAGAAAACAAGTAGCTGATCTGAAAACAAAAAACAAGTCTCTACTTTTTCAGCTCAATCAACTTTTCTTGGATTATATAAATATCTAAGCAACCCATCTGAAAATGTCTTACATCATATTCTCAAAGAAAATAAAAGAGAAACCATTAAAGTGTATTAAAATCTAGCAAAATGGGATTAGGAAGCCAGCCAGCTATCAAGGAAGCAAAGCAATCACTAATCTAGATGCTTCTTTGGCTCTAAGAGAGATCTGCAGTAAAACAAAACTAACAAAACTACACATGAATACACAAAATTAATGACAGCATAAATTTAAATGAATTGTGTTATCCAAGAATTTTTAAAATATATTAACATAAGCTGAATATTCAAATTTATATGAATAAACCTTTGATGGGCACGAAGGAAGAAAGCTCCTCACCTCTTAATAATGAATGAAATCCCGGCTGTGTTCTCCAAAATCCATTTCAGGGTTGCAAGATAGTAATTCTCAGGGTGTTTAAAGGCAACACCTTCTGGAAGCCCCTGTACTATCAAAGCTGACTGGTCTTGTAGCATCTTCTCATATGGTACAGTTACCTCTGTGGGTTTTTGTAAAGCTTTCCCTGGGAGAGGTGAAAAGCAGATAAATGTCATTAAATTGTAAGATTAAAAAACAAAATCATCACTACCTTATTGTGGCTTAATAAAGGCATACGTGATCTTTTGTAATATGTGATTTTAAAATTACTTAATACCATAGCACCCTATTCGCATGTAAGAAGTTCTAAACCTGACACCTATCCAAAGGGCCAAAATGAAAAGTATATTAAATATATGACTTCAAAAACTACACAAAAGGAGAGAGAAATGTCTGATTTCTTGCATTATTGTCTTTAAGATGGTCCTACCCTGGCATATTTCTTGAGTTCCTTCTAAATGGAAGTGGAAAGTAAGGTTATTCCTCATCCATTCAGTTTGTGAAAATGTGTGTTATAATACTGTTAAGTCAATGGCGTAACATAGTCTACCCTTTAGAAAACTCTATTATATCATGTTTCTTTTATAAAATTTAAGTGTATCGCTTTTAAGATAGCAAAAGCAGAAATAGTCCTCAACTGTTTTTTCTGAGTGTTGCCACTTCTACAGCATCTACACTCATCTGACTCACCTGGGTTGTAGACTTTATTTAATGCATCTCTGCAACCTTTTCTTCTTCTTCAACACCTGTAAAAAATAATAAAAATGTGCATACCTATTATCTTAATATTTATTTGGTTTTTAGTAAAAATAGTTTTTCCTGTATACCAATATTTGTGATCTGTTATACAAACAAAAAATAGGTCAAGTGAGGTGGCTCACACTTATAATCCCACCACTTTGGGATGCTGAGGCAGAATTACTTGAGCCCAGGATTTCAAGACTAGCTTGACAACACAGAAACAACCCATCCCTACAAAAAAGATAAATAAAATTAGGTGTGGTGGTGCATATCTGTAGTCCTAGCTACCCTGGAGGCTGAAGCAAGAGGATTGCTTGAGTCCAGAAATTTAAGGTTATGATGAGCTATAATTACACTACTACACTCCAATCTGGGTCACAGAAAATGACCCTGTCTCAAAAAAACAAACAAAAAGGCGGGAAGATTTTTTAAAGGAAGGTTTTAAAATAAAAACCTAAAATAAGAGTAATTTATTGGTTATAAACTTAAATATGGGAAGATTATTATCAGGAAACAAATTCTAGGCTTACAAAGTCTAGCACAATAACCAATAGACACATGTGACACTTGAAATGTGGCCAGTCCAAATTCAGATGTTCTGTAAGTGAACAATACACATTAACTTTTGAAAACTCAGCACAAAAAGTATTCCAAATATCCCATTAATAATTTCTATATTGATTACATATTGAAATATTTTAAAGTATTGCCACTAAAATGATTTTCACTTGTTTCTCTATATTTTTAATATTATAACTAGAAAGTTTTACATCATGTGAATGACTCACATTATATTTAGTTCTATTCAATAGCACTTTTCTTTAAATCCCAGAAAAGGGCTCAGAATTCTCCTGAAGAATTTCTACAACTTCCTCATGAACCTATTGATTATGTTTCAGAAGAACGCTATTGCAAACAAATAAAAGGTACTTGAGAATTAGTTACAAAAACCATTCTTCATGGTATCAAATTAGTAACAATGTAAACAAACTACAAATACCAATAGGCATTGGCTACAACTCACAACTGAGGACAACTCCCCTAATGTTTAGTTGCAATCACTGGAGAACCATGTAAGCCATGGAGCACAGGAAGGGGAGAAAAACATAGCTGCCTGCAAGACTGTGGTATTTGTGGATCAGAGGGCAGGTGATACACACACAATCAAAACAGCGTTATTAGTATAAAGAAACATACAATCAAGGACTTAACATTTCTCAAAATTATAATATTGGCAAAATTTAAAAAATAAGTTACTACCATAAAGCTTGGAAGATTATAACACAGGTGGTGAGGGGAGGGATACAGTGGTGAGGATAGTTTTTTTTAAGAAACTAAAAATACTACTCCGAATAGGAATAGTGAATTAGCAAAATTTTTAATTCACTGGTAATCTGCACAATTTATCATGAATTGAATCTAATCTGACAACAGAAATTTAGGTTTAAACCTTAGTGGCATACAGACATCTGTGGGAGGTACTGTAGGTTCAATTCCAGACCACCACAATCATGGAAGTATAAAGTGAAGTCACACAAATGTCTTTGTTTCCCAATGCATTTGAAAGTTATCTTGAATCTTTCTTTCACAAAAGATCTCTAGGAGGTATGATGCTATTGGATAGCATTTTACACACAGTGGAACTTCTTTCCAAATCAGAATCAATCCTCCAAAAGCCTGCCATGGCTTTATGAAGTAAATTTATGGAATATTTTAAATCTTTTGTCATTTCAACAATATTCACGACATCTTCACCAGGAGTAGACTCCATTTCAGAGACCCGTTTCTTTGCACATTGTAAGAAAGAACTCCTTATCTGTTCACATTTGATCATGAAATTGCAGCAGTTCAGTCCCATCCACAGGCTCCACTTCCTTTTTTGGGGGGAGGCGGGGCAGACAGAGTTTCACTCTTGCTGCCCAGGCTGGAATGCAATGACAGTATCTTGGCTCACTGCAACCTCCGCCCCCTGGGTTCAAGCGATTCTCCCACCCCAGCCTCACAAGTAGCTGGGATTACAGGCATGCACCACCATGCCCAGCTAATATTGTATTTTTAGTAGAGATGGGCTTTCTCCATGTTGGTCAGCCTGGTCTCAAACTCCCGACCTCAGGTGATCCACCTGCCTTGGCCTCCCCAAAGTGCTGGGATTATAGGCATACAGTGGCAAAGATAGTTTTTTTAAGAAACTAAAAATACTACTCTGAATAGGAATTAAGAGCTGCTGTGCCCAGCCAACAGGCTCCACTTCTAGTTCTAGTTCACTTGCTGTTTCCACTACATCTGCAGTTCCTTCCTCCACTAAAATCTTGTACCCTTTAAAGTCACCTATGAGAGATGGAATCAACATCTTCCACAGTCCTGTAAATGATATTTTGTTCTCTCCCAATTAATCACAAATGTTAATGGCACCTAGAACAGTAAACCTTTTCCAGAAGGTTTTTAATTTACTTTGCCCAGATCCATCAGAGGAATCACTCTCTGGCAGCTGTGGCCTTACAAAATGTATTTCTTTCTTTTTTTCAGATGGAGTCTTGCTCTGTTGTCAGATTGGAGTGCAGTGGTGCAATCTCAGCTCACTGGAACCTCCGACTCCCTGGTTCAAGCAATTCTGCTTCAGAAACCTGAGTAGCTGGGATTACAGGTACACACCACCACACTCAGCTAACTTTCGTGTTTTTAGTAGAGACAGAGTTTCACCATGTTTACCAGGCTGGTCTCGATCTCCTGACCTTGTAATCTGCCTGCCTCAGCCTCCCAAATTGCTGGGATTACAGGTATGAGACATTGCACCCAGCCTATAAAATATATTTCTTAGAGAATAAAACTTGAAGGCTGAGTGCATTGGCTCACATCTCTAATCTCAAACACTGAAGAAGGCCAAGGTGGGCAGATTGCTTGAGTGCAGAAGTTTGAAACCAGCTTAGGCAACATGGAAATTTAACATCTCTAACAAAAAAAAAAACCCACAAAAATTAGCTGGGTATGCTGGTGCAACACCTGTGGTCCCAGCTATTCAGCAGGCCGAAGTGGGAGGATCACCTGATCCTGAGAAGATTGAGGCTGCAGTGAGCTGTGATTGTGCCGTTACATTCAAGTCTGAGCAACAGTGAGGTGACCTTCTCAAAAAAGAAAAAAATAAAAATCATAAGACTTGAAATTACTCCTAGATCCATGGGCTGCAGAATGGATGTTGCATAAGCAGGCATGAAAATGACATTCATCTCCTTGTACACATCCATCAGGGCTCTCAGAGTGACTGGGTGCAGTGCTAATGAGCAGTAATATTTTGAAAGGAACTTTTTTTCTGGGCAGTTGGTCTCAAAACTAGGCTTAAAATATTCAGTGAACAGGCATGGAGCCAAGATGGCTGAATAGGAACAGCTCCAATCTACAGCTCCCAGCATGAGTGACGCAGATGATGAGTGATTTCTGCATTTCCAACTGAAGTACTGGGTTCATCTCACCACGGATTGTTGGGCAGTGGGTGCAGGACAGTAGGTGCAGTACACTGAGCCTGAGCTGAAGCAGGGTGAGGCATTACCTCACCCGGGAAGCACAAGGGGTCCGGGAATTCCCTTTCCTAGCCAAGGACAGATGGCACCTAGAAAATCGGGTCACTCCCACCCTAATAATGTGCTTTTCAGATGGTCTTCGCAAACGGCACACCAGGAAATTATATCCCACGCCTTGCTCAGAGGGTCCTACAACTACGGAGCCTCACTCATTGCTAGCACAGCAATCTGAGATCAAACTGCAAGGCGGCAGTGAGGCTGGGGGAGGGGTGCCTGCCATTGCTGAGGCTTGAGTAGGTAAGCAAAGTGTCAGGGAAGCTCAAACTGGGTGGAGCCCACTGCAGCTCAAGGAGGCCTTCCTGCCTCTGTTAGACTCCAACTCTGGGGGCAGGGCATAGCCAAACAAAAGGCAGCAGAAACCTCTGCAGACTTAAATGTCCCTGTCTGACAGCTTTGAAGAGAGTAGTAGTTCTCCCAACATGCAGCTTGAGATCTGAGAACGGACAGACTGCCTCCTCAAGTGGGTCCCTGACCCCCAAGTAGCCTAACTGGGAGGCACCCCCAAGTAGGGGCAGACTGACACCTCACACAGCTGGGTACTCCTCTGAGACAAAACTTCCAGAGGTACAATCAGGCAGCAACATTTGCTGTTCACCAATATCTGCTGTTCTGCAGCCTCCGCTGCTGATACCCAGGCAAACAGGGTCTGGAGTGGGCCTCTGGCAAACTCCAACAGACCTGCAGCTGAGGGTCCTGACTGTTAGAAGGAAAACAAACAAACAGAAATGACATCCACACCAAAACCCCATTTGTACATCACCATCATGAAAGACCAAAAGTAGATAAAACCACAAACATGGGGGAAAAAAAGAACAGAAAACCTGAAAAGTCTAAAAATCAGAGTGCCTCACCTCCTCCAAAGGAACACAGCTCCTCACCAGCAATGGCTCAAAGCTGGATGGAGAATGACTTTGATGAGTAGAGAGAAGAAGGCTTCAGACGATCAAACTACTGTCCAAGCTAAAGGAGGAAGTTCGAACCCATGGCAAAAAAGTTAAAAACCTTGAAAAAAAGATTAGACGAATGGCTAACTAGAATAACCAATGCAGAGAAGTCCTTAAAGGACCTGATGGAGTTGAAAACCACGGCACAAGAACTACGTGACGAATGCAGAAGCCTCAGTAGACGATTCAATCAACTGGAAGAAAGGGTATCAGTGATGAAAGATCAAATGAATGAAATGAAGCAAGAAGAGAAATTTAGAGAAAAAAGAATAAAAAGAAATGAACAAAGCCTCCAAGAAATATGGGACTATGTGAAAAGACCAAATCTACGTCTGACTGTTGTACCTGAAAGCGACAGAGAGAATGGAACCAAGTTGGAAAACACTCTGCAGGATATTATCCAGGAGAACTTCCCCAGTCTAGCAAGGCAGGCCAACATTCAAATTCAGGAAATACAGAGAATGCCACAAAGATACTCCTCAACAAGAGCAACTCCAAGACACATAATTGTCAGATTCACCAAAGTTGAAATGAAGGAAAAAATGTTAAAGGCAGCCAGAGAGAAAGGTCGGGTTACCCACAAAGGGAAGCCCGTCAGACTAACAGCTGATCTCTCCACAGAAACTCTACAAGTCAGAAGAGAGTGGGGGCCAATATTCAACATTCTTAAAGAAAAGAATTTTCAAGCCAGAATTTCATATTCAGCCAAACTAAGCTTCATAAGTGAAGGGGAAATAAAATACTTTACGGACAACCAAATGCTGATTTTGTCAGCACCAGGTCTGCCCTAAAAGAGCTCCTGAAGGAAGCACTAAACATGGAAAGGAACAACTGGTACAAGCCACTGCAAAAACATGCCAAATTGTAAAGACCATCGAGGCTAGGAAGAGACTGCCTCAACTAACGAGCAAAATAACCAGCTAACATCACCATGACAGGACCAGACTCACACATAACAATATTAACTTTAAATGTAAATGAGCTAAATACTCCAATTAAAAGACACAGACTGGCAAATTGGATAAAGAGTCAAGACCCATCAGTGTGCTGTATTCAGGAAACCCGTCTCATGTGCAGAGACACACATAGCTCAAAATAAAGGGATGGAGGAAGATCTACCAAGCAAATGGAAAACAAAAAAGGGCAGGGGTTGCAATCCTAGTCTCTGATAAAACAGACTTTAAACCAACAAAGATCAAAAGAGACAAAGAAGGCCATTACATAATGGCAAAGGGCTAACAATTTAACGAGAAGAGCTAACTATCCTAAATATATATGCACCCAATACAGGAGCACCCAGATTGATCAAGCAGTTCCTTAGAGACCTACAAAGAGACTTAGACTCCCACACAACAATAATGGGAGATTTTAACACACCACTGTCAACATTAGACAGATCAACGAGACAGAAAGTTAACAAGGATACCCAGCAATTGAACTCAGCTCTGCACCAAGTGGACCTAATAGACATCTATAGAACTCTCCACCCCAAATCAACAGAATATATATTCTTTTCAGCACCACACCACCCCTATTCCAAAATTGACCACATAGTTGGAAGTAAAGCACTCCTAAGCAAACGTAAAAGAACAGAAATTATAACAAACTGTCTCTCAGACCACAGCACAAACAAACTAGAACTCAGGATTAAGAATCTCACTCAAAACTGCTCAATTTCATGGAAACTGAAAAACCTGCTCCTGAATGACTACAGGGTACATAACGAAATGAAGGCAGAAATAAAGATGTTCTTTGAAACCAACGAGAACAAAGACACAACATACCAGAATTTCTGGGACGCATTCAAAGCAGTGTGTAGAGGGAAATTTATAGCACTAAATGCCCACAAGAGAAAGCAGGAAAGATCTAAAATTGACACCCTAACATCACAATTAAAAGAACTACAGAAGCAAGAGCAAACAAATTCAAAAGCTAGCAGAAGGCAAGAAATAACTAAGATCAGAGCAGAACTGAAGGAAATAAAGACACAAAAAACCCTTCAAAAAATCAATGAATCCAGGAGCTGGTTTTTTGAAAGGATCAACAAAATTGATAGACCGCTAGCAAGACTAATAAAGAAGAAAAGAGAGAAGAATCAAATAGACGCAATAAAAAATGATAAAGGGGATATCACCACCAATCCCACAGAAATGCAAACTACCATCAGAGAATATTGTAAACACCTCTACGCAAATAAACTAGAAAATCTGGAAGAAATGGATAAATTCCTCAACACATACACCGTCCCAAGACTAAACCAGGAAGAAGTTGAATTTCTGAATAGACCAATAACAGACTCTGAAATTGAGGCAATAATTAATAGCTTACCAACCAAAAAAAGTCCAGGACCAGACGGATTCACAGCTGAATTCTACCAGAGGTACAAGGAGGAGCTGGTACCATTCCTTCTGAAACTATTCCAATCAATAGAAAAAGAGGGAATCCTCCTTAACTCATTTTATGAGGCCAGCATCATCCTGATACCAAAGCCTGGCAGAGACACAACAACAAAAGAGAATTTTAGACCAATACCCCTGATGAACATCGATGCAAAAATCCTCAATAAAATACTGGCAAACCGAATCCAGCAGCACATCAAAAAGCTTATCCACCCATCATCAAGTGGGCTTCACCCCTGTGATGCAAGGCTGGTTCAACATACACAAATCAATAAATGTAATCCAGCATATAAACAGAACCAAAGACAAAAACCACGATTCTCTCAATAAATGCAGAAAAGGCCTTTGACAAAATTCAACAGCCCTTCATGCTAAAAAATCTCAGTAAATTAGGTACTGATGGGACGTATCTCAAAATAATATGCTATTTATGACAAACCCACAGCCAATATCATACTAAATGGGCAAAAACTGGAAGCATTCCCTTTGAAAACTGGCACAAGACAGGGATGCCCTCTCTCACCACTCCTATTCAACATAGTGCTGGAAGTTCTGGCCAGGGCAATCAGGCAGGAGAAAGAAATAAAGGGCATTCAATTAGGAAAAGAGGAAGTCAAATTGTCCCTGTTTGCAGATGACATGATTGTATATCTAGAAAACCCTATTGTCTCAGCCCAAAATCTCAAGCTGATAAGCAACTTCAGCAAAGTCTCAGAATATAAAATCAATGTGCAAAAATCACAAGCATTCTTATATACCAATAACAGACAGAGAGCCAAATCATGAGTGAACTCCCATGCACAATTGCTTCAAAGAGAATAAAATACCTAGGAATCCAACTTACAAGGGACGTGAAGGACCTCTTCAAGGAGAACTACAAACCACTCCTCAAGGAAATAAAAGAGGATACAAAGAAATGGAAGAGCCTCTCCCTCTCCCTCTCCCTCTCCCTCTCCCTCTCCCTCTCCCTCTCCCTCTCTGTCTCCCCACGGTCTCCCTCTCATGCGGAGCCGAAGCTGGACTGTACTGCTGCCATCTCGGCTCACTGCAACCTCCCTGCCTGATTCTCCTGCCTCAGCCTGCCGAGTGCGCAGGCACGTGCTGCCACACCTGACTGGTTTTGGTGGAGACAGGGTTTCGCTGTGTTGGCCGGGCCGGTCTCCAGCCCCTAACCATGAGTGATCCGCCAGCCTCAGCCTCCCGAGGTGCCGGGATTGCAGACGGAGTCTCGTTCACTCAGTGCTCAATGGTGCCCAGGCTGGAGTGCAGTGGAGTGATCTCGGCTCGCTACAACCTACACCTCCCAGCCGCCTGCCTTGGCCTCCCAAAGTGCCGAGATTGCAGCCTCTGCCCGGCCGCCACCCCGTCTGGGAAGTGAGGAGTGTCTCTGCCTGGCCGCCCATTGTCTGGGATGTGAGGAGCCCCTCTGCCTGGCTGCCCAGTCTGGAAAGTGAGGAGCATCTTCGCCCGGCCGCCATCCCATCTAGGAAGTGAGGAGCGCCTCTTCCCAGCCGCCATCACATCTAGGAAGTGAGGAGCGTCTCTGCCCGGCCGCCCATCGTCTGAGATGTGGGGAGCACCTCTGCCCCGCCGCCCCATCTGGGATGTGAGGAGCGCCTCTGCCCGGCCGTGACCCCGTCTGGGAGGTGAGGAGCATCTCTGCCCGGCCGCCCCGTCTGAGAAGTGAGGAGACCCTCTGCCTGGCAACCACCCTGTCTGAGAAGTGAGGAGCCCCTCCGCCCGGCAGCTGCCCCGTCTGAGAAGTGAGGAGCCTCTCCGCCCGGCAGCCACCCCATCTGGGAAGTGAGGAGCGTCTCCGCCCAGCAGCCACCCCATCCGGGAGGGAGGTGGGGGGGGTCAGCCCCCCGCCCGGCCAGCCGCCCCGTCCGGGAGGGAGGTGGGGGGGGGTCAGCCCCCCTGCCCGGCCAGCTGCCCCGTCCGGGAGGTGAGGGGCGCCTCTGCCCGGCCGCCCCTACTGGGAAGTGAGGAGCCCCTCTGCCCAGCCAGCCGCCCCGTCCGGGAGGGAGGTGGGGGGGTCAGCCCCCTGCCTGGCCAGCCACCCCGTCCGGGAGGTGAGGGGCGCCTCTGCCCGGCCGCCCCTACTGGGAAGTGAGGAGCCCCTCTGCCTGGCCACCACCCCGTCTGGGAGGTGTGCCCAACAGCTCATTGAGAATGGGCCAGGATGACAATGGCGGCTTTGTGGAATAGAAAGGCGGGAAAGGTGGGGAAAAGATTGAGAAATCGGACGGTTGCCGTGTCTGTGTAGAAAGAAGTAGACATGGGAGACTTTTCATTTTGTTCTGCACTAAGATAAATTCTTCTGCCTTGGGATCCTGTTGATCTGTGACCTTACCCCCAACCCGGTGCTCTCTGAAACATGTGCTGTGTCCACTCAGGGTTAAATGGATTAAGGGCGGTGCAAGATTTGCTTTGTTAAACAGATGCTTGAAGGCAGCATGCTCGTTAAGAGTCATCACCAATCCCTAATCTCAAGTAATCAGGGACACAAACACTGCGGAAGGCCGCAGGGTCCTCTGCCTAGGAAAACCAGAGACCTTTGTTCACTTGTTTATCTGCTGACCTTCCCTCCACTATTGTCCCATGACCCTGCCAAATCCCCCTCTGTGAGAAACACCCAAGAATTATCAATAAAAAAAAATTAAAAAAAAAAAAAAAGAAATGGAAGAACGTTCCATGCTCATGGGTAGGAAGAATCAATATCGTGGAAATGGCCATACTGCCCAAGGTAATTTATAGATTCAATGCCATCCCCATCAAGGTACCAATGACTTTCTTCACAGAATTGGAAAAAACTACTTTAAAGTTCATATGGAACCAAAAAAGAGCCTGCATCACCAAGTCAATCCTAAGCCAAAAGAACAAAGCTGGAGGCATCAAACTACCTGACTTCAAACTATACTACAAGGCTACAGTAACCAAAACTGGTACCAAAACAGAGATATAGACCAATGGAACAGGTAGAGCCCTCAGAAATAATGCCACATATCTACAACTATCTGATCTTTGACAAACCTGACAAAAACAAGAAATAGGGAAAGGATTCCATATTTAATAAATGGTGCTGGGAAAACTGACTAGCCATATGTAGAAAGCTGAAACTGGATCCCTTCCTTACATCTTATACAAAAATTAATTCAAGATTGATTAAAGACTTAAACGTTAGACCTAAAACCATAAAAACCCTAGAAGAAAACCTAGGCAATACCATTCAGGACATAGGCACGGGCAAGGACTTCATGTCTAAAACACCAAAAGCAATGGCAACAAAAGCCAAAATTGACAAATGGGATCTAATTAAACTAAAGAGCTTCTGCACAGCAAAAGAAACTACCATCAGAGTGAACAGGCAACCTACAGAATGGAAGGAAGTTTTTGCAATCTACTCATTTGACAAAGAGCTAATATCCAGAATCTACAATGAACTCAAACAAATTTACAAGAAAAAAACAAACAGGATAGCATTAACAAAACAAACAGGGAGGGATAGCATTAGAAGATAGATACCTAATGTTAAATGATGAGTTAATGGGTGCAGCACACCAACATGGCACATGTATACGTATGTAACAGACCTACACGTTGTGCACATGTACCCTAAAACTTAAAGTGTAATAATAATAAAAAAATTCAGTGAACAATGCTATAAAGAGATGTGCTGTCATCCAGGCTTTATTCTTCTGTTGATAGAACACATGCAGAGCAGATTTAGCGTAGCTCTTAAGGGCCCTAGAATTTTTGGAATGGTAAATGAGCATTGGCTTCTATTAAAGTCACCAGCTGCATTAGCCTCTAACAAGAGTCTCAGCCTGTCCTTTGAAGCTTTGAAGCCAGTAATGGAATTCTCTCTAGCTAGCAAAGTCCTAGATGGCATCTTCCAATATAAGGCTGTTTTGTCTACATTAATAATCTGTTTTTTGAGTGTAGCCATCTTCATGAATTATCTCAGCGAGATCTTCTGAAGAACTCACAGTTCTTACATCAAGCACTTGCTGCTTCACCTTGCACTTTTATATTATAGAGACTGTGTCTTTCTTTAAACCTCATGAGCCAACCTCAGCTAGCTTTCAGCTTTTCTTTTGTAGCTTACTCACCTCCTCTCAGCCATCACAGAACTGAAGAGAGTTAGGGCCTTGTTCTGGATTAAGCTTTGACTTACAGGAATGTTATGGCCCATTTGATCTTCTATTCAGACCAAAGTTTCTCGGTATCAGCAACAAGGCTGTTTTGCTTTTTTATCATTTGTGGGTTCACTGGAGCAGCACTTCTCATTTCCTTCGATAACTTTTCCTGTGCATTCACCACCTGGCCAACTGTTTGGCCTAGCTTTCAACTGCCAACATGTCTTCCTCACTAAGCTTCTTCATTTTTAACTTGATTTAAAGTGAACTGACTGCAACTCCTTCTTTTACATGAACAATTAGAGGCCACTGGAGGGCTATTAACTGGTCTCACTTCAATATTGTGTCTCAGGGACTAGGGAGGCCTTAGGAGAGGAAGCAATGGGAAACCTCCTCATTGGTGGAGCAGTCAGAGCAGACAACATTTACCAATGAGGTTTGCCATCTTACACAGGTGTGTTCATGGAGTCCAAAACAATTACAACAGTAACATCAAAGCTCACTGATCTCAGGTCACCACAGCACATATAATAATCATGAAAAAGTTTGAAATATTCTAAGAGTAACCAAATGTGACACAGACAACCAAAGAGAGCACATGCTGTTGGAAAAATGGCACAACGGACTTGCTTGACACAAGATTGCCACGAATCTTCAATTTGTAAAAACTGCAGTATCTGCAGGGCTCAAAAAAGTTGAGTTATGCCTGGATGTATTCTGTGCCTATAGACGCCCTGCCTTTTTTGTTCCCTTTCAGTGTTTCCCTCAGTTAACATGAAACCTATCGATAGTGTTAGGTTACACACAGATATGAAAGTTGTCATACTGTGAAAAGGCCATAAGTATTAACACCCTATAGTAAATTTTAATACTCTGTTCCAATGTCAGATAAGCTCACTGCTCTAAACAAGGATTGCAAAACCCACTGAAGATTCAGATAAGGTGATTCCACTGAGCGAGTTGAGGAGAACTGTTTAATTCTGCATCATGCTTAAACAAACTTCTCTGCACAGTGAATTTCTTGTTTGCAGTTCACCAACTTTATCTAGAATTCCTTATCTGACTAAGAACTATTCAAAAATTCTCTCCCTTCATTACCTTCTCTCTAATGCATCTCATTAATCCAGAGTGAAGCCAAGCAAGGAGCCCCATACAATCAACACTTGCCATTGTTCTTAACTCTTCAGTATCCACCGTGACATATTACGACTTCGGTGATTCCTTTTGAGCATTTTGAAATGTCTGCATAAACATTTCAGAAAATCATTCATAGTTTAGGCCGTGCACAGTGGCTCACACCTGTAATCCCAGCACTTTGGGAGGCCGAGTGGATCATTTGAAGTCAGGAGTTCAATACCAGCTTGACCAACATGGTGAAACCCCATCTCTACTAAAAATACAAACCAAAAAAAAATTAGCTGGGCGTGGTGCCACGTGCCTGTAACCCCAGCTACTCAGGAGGCTGAGACAGGGGATTTGCTTGAACTCAGGAAGCAGAGGTTGTGTGAGCCGAGACCTTGCCACTGCACTCCAGCCTAGACAACAGAATGAGATTCCATCTCAAAAAAAAAAATTTTTTTTTATAGTTTAAACCTCATTCTGCTTTAGAAGAAAATATGACTAGTCTTATCTATAAATATTTAGGTTGAAAATCAATGAAATAAAAATGATAAAAACACAATGCTTGCAATATTTTACAAAATCTGTTTGAAAATCCTTTCTGGTATTGAAAAAATTGTGTCCTCTGTCCTTCAGTTCCGAAGGCAAAGACATCTGCTTTATACTCAGTGATGCAGGCCCCTTTGGCCTTAAACTTGGCCAGTTCTTTCAACTACAATAAGCACAGCAAATATTATGTTAAAGGCAGATATTTAAAATCACCATTTCTGCTAGGTGAATGAAAAAAAATCTAGCACAAGGCTGAGCACAGCGCCTCACGCCTGTAGTCCCAGCACTTTCGGAGGCCAAGGTGGGAAGATCATGAGGTCAGCAGTTTGAGACCAGGCTGGCCAACATAGTGAAACCCTGTCTCTACTAAAAATGCAAAAATAATAATAATACTAATAATAAATAAATAAATAAAAGGCTGGGTGTGGTAGCTCACGCCTGTAATCCCAGCTACTTGGGAGGCTGAGGCAGGAGAATCACTTGAACCTGGGAGGCAGAGGTTGCAATGAGTAGAAATTGTGCCAATGCACTCCAGCCTGGGTGACAGTGCAGGACTCTGTCTCAAAAAAAAAAAAAAAAAAAAAAAAAAACCTAACACCATTTTTTAAAGTTACTACTCTTTCTAAATAGATTTTTGCCTGATTTTAAAAAAAAGACAGCACAAAATTTATAAGAAAAAAAATGCAGAAATCCCTTATAATCTATTATTGGTCAGATTCTCCAAGAAAGAGACTGAGATTTCACACAGGCTTGCTGGGGAGCACTGTCAATAACAGCACCCAGGAGGTGGGAGGCAGGCATGGATGAACAGGCAAAGTGCTGAACAGGGATGCAGCTGCACCAACAGCTCAGAAGCCAGTGTGGTCCTCCCCAGGGAAAAGGTGGACAAGGTGACTCGAACACTCACAGCAGCTGGGGAACTTAGCGCCATCTGCTGAAACCCAGATGAAACCCACACTATAGCATTCAGTACATAATCCCCTCCTCCAGAAATCCTCCTCCCCATCTACACATAGCCAGAATCACATTTAGATGATTATTTACTGAATTTCACTAAGTATATTTCTCTGAGAGTCAATATTCTTTAAAAACATTATAGAGTACGTAGTACTCCATTTCATGGATACACCATAATTCCTTTAGTGCTTACATTATTTCAAAGGTCAGTGATTCCAATTTTCCCTCTTAAAAATAACACTACCGTAATAACCTGGGAAGAAAATATTTATGTACATATTCAATGATTTTCTCAAAAAAGACATGAAAGTCAAGAAAAACCACCATTGAGAGTCAATACTCCAAATACTCAAAATCTACTGAAATTTGCTTTCTAATAAGGTTCATAATATCCTAGCAAATGTTACCATGTGACTTTTCCAGAAACCTTGAAAAAGGGTATCTTAGACTCATTAAAATACTCCACTGATTGGTGTTAAAATTAAAGAGTATCGTAGCATAATTTTCTGCCAATTACCATATCCTTTGCCTATTTTTCAAATGTGTTAGTGTATATCTGACTAACCCATAAAATTACATCACTTATTTTAGGCATAGAAAAGCCATTTACGGAATTAAATAATTATATAATAATTACATATATTTTGTTTTGGTTTTAAAATTTGTCTTAGTATAACTATTTTTGCTTATCTATAATTTAACTCATCACATGACGAAGACTATACGTTGAAGCTTTTTTTTTTTATACTTTAAGTTTTAGGGTACATGTGCACATTGTGCAGGTTAGTTACATATGTATACATGTGCCATGCTGGTGCGCTGCACCCACTAACTCGTCATCTAGAATTAGGTGTATCTCCCAATGCTATCCCTCCCCACTCCCCCCACCCCACCACAGTCCCCAGAGTGAGATATTCCCCTTCCTGTGTCCATGTGATCTCATTGTTCAATTCCCACCTATGAGTGAGAATATGCGGTGTTTGGTTTTTTGTTCTTGCGATAGTTTACTGAGAATGATGATTTCCAATTTCATCCACGTCCCTACAAAGACATGAACTCATCATTTTTTATGGCTGCATAGTATTCCATGGTGTATATGTGCCACACTTTCTTAATCCAGTCTATCATTGTTGGACATTTGGGTTGGTTCCAAGTCTTTGCTATTGTGAATAATGCCGCAATAAACATATGTGTGCATGTGTCTTTATAGCAGCCTGATTTATAGTCCATTGGGTATATACCCAGTAATGGGATGGCTAGGTCAAATGGTATTTCTAGTTCTAGATCCCTGAGGAATCACCACACTGACTTCCACAATGGTTGAACTAGTTTACAGTCCCACCAACAGTGTAAAAGTGTTCCTATTTCTCCACATCCTCTCCAGCACCTGTTGTTTCCTGACTTTTTAATGATGGCCATTCTAACTGGTGTAAGATGGTATCTCATTGTGGTTTTGATTTGCATTTCTCTGATGGCCAGTGATGATGAGCATTTTTTCATGTGTTTTTTGGCTGCATAAATGTCTTCTTTTGAGAAGTGCCTGTTCATGTCCTTTGCCCACTTTTTGATGGGGTTGTTTGTTTTTTTCTTGTAAATTTGTTTGAGTTCATTGTAGATTCTGGATATTAGCCCTGTGTCAGATGAGTAGGTTGTGAAAATATTCTCCCATTTTGTAGGTTGCCTGTTCACTCTGATGGTAGTTTCTTTTGCTGTGCAGAAGCTCTTTAGTTTAATGAGATCCCATTTGTCAATTTTGGCTTTTGTTACCATTGCTTTTGGTGTTTTAGACATGAAGTCCTTGCCCATGCCTATGTCCTGAATGGTAATGTCTAGGTTTTCTTCTAGGGTTTTTATGGTTTTAGGTCTAATGTTTAAGTCTTTAATCAATCTTGAATTGATTTTTGTATAAGGTGTAAGGAAGGGATCCAGTTTCAGCTTTCTACATATGGCTAGCCAGTTTTCACAGCACCATTTATTAAATAGAGAATCCTTTCCCCATTGCTTGTTTTTGTCAGGTTTGTCAAAGATCAGATGGTTGTAGATATGCGGCACTATTTCTGAGGGCTCTGTTCTGTTCCATTGATCTATATCTCTGTTTTGGTACCAGTACCAGGCAGTTTTGGTTACTGTAGCCTTGTAGTATAGTTTGAAGTCAGGTAGTGTGATGCCTCCAGCTTTGTTCCTTTGGCTTAGGATTGACTTGGCGATGCGGGATCTTTTTTGGTTCCATATGAACTTTAAAGTAGTTTTTTCCAACTCTGTGAAAAAAGGCATTGGTAGCTTGATGGGGATGGCATTGAATCTGTAAATTACCTTGGGCAGTATGGCCATTTTCACGATATTGATTCTTCCTACCCATGAGCATGGAATGTTCTTCCATTTGTTTGTATCCTCTTTTATTTCCTTGAGCAGTGGTTTGTAGTTCTCCTTGAAGAGGTCCTTCACATCCCTTGTAAGTTGGATTCCTAAGTATTTTATTCTCTATGAAGCAATTGTGCATGGGAGTTCACTCATGATTTGGCTCTCTGTTTGTCTGTTGTTGGTGTTTAAGAATGCTTGTGATTTTTGTACATTGATTTTGTATCCTGAGACTTTGCTGAAGTTGCTTATCAGCTTAAGGAGATTTTGGGCTGAGACAATGGGGTTTTCTAGATATACAATCATGTCATCTGCAAACAGGGACAATTTGACTTCCTCTTTTCCTAATTGAATACCCTTTATTTCCTTCTCTTGCCTGATTGCCCTGGCCAGAACTTCCAACACTGTGTTGAATAGGAGTGGTGAGAGAGGGCATCCCTGTCTTGTGCCAGTTTTAAAAGGGAATGCTTCCAGTTTTTGCCCATTCAGTATGATATTGGCTGTGGGTTTGTCATAGATAGCTCTTATGATTTTGAGATATGTCCCATCAACACCAAATTTATTGAGAGTTTTTAGCATGAAGGTTGTTGAATTTTGTCAAAGGCTTTTTCTGCATCTATTGAGATAATCGTGGTTTTTGTCTTTGGCTCTGTTTATATGCTGGATTACATTTATTGATTTGCATATATTGAACCAGCCTTGCAACCCAGGGATGAAGCCCACTTGATCATGGTGGATAAGCTTTTTGATGTGCTGCTGGATTCGTTTTGCCAGTATTTTATTGAAGATTTTTGCATCAATGTTCATCAAGGATATTGGTCTAAAATTCTCTTTTTTGGTTGTGTCTCTGCCCGGCTTTGGTATCAGGATGATGCTGGCCTCATAAAATTAGTTAGGGAGGATTCCCTTTTTTTCTATTGATTGGAATAGTTTCAGAAGGAATGGTACCAGTTCCTCCTTGTACCTCTGATAGAATTCGGCTGTGAATCCATCTGGTCCTGGACTCTTTTTGGTTGGTAAGCTATTGATTATTGCCACAATTTCAGATCCTGTTATTGGTCTATTCAGAGATTCAACTTCTCCCTGGTTTAGTCTTGGGAGAGTGTATGTGTCGAGGAATTTATCCATTTCTTCTAGATTTTCTAGTTTATTTGCATAGAGGTGTTTGTAGTATTCTCTGATGGTAGTTTGTATTTCTGTGGGATCGGTGGTGATATCCCCATTATCATTTTTTATTGCATCTATTTGATTCTTCTCTTTTTCTTTATTAGTCTTTCTAGCGGTCTATCAATCTTGTTGATCCTTTCAAAAAACCAGCTCCTGGATTCATTAATTTTTTGAAGGGTTTTTTTGTGTCTCTATTTCCTTCAGTTCTGCTCTGATTTTAGTTATTTCTTGCCTTCTGCTAGCTTTTGAATGTGTTTGCTCTTGCTCTTCTAGTTCTTTTAATTGTGATGTTAGGGTGTCAATTTTGGATCTTTCCTGCTTTCTCTTGTGGGCATTTAGTGCTATAAATTTCCCTCTACACACTGCTTTGAATTCATCCCAGAGATTCTGGTATGTTGTGTCTTTGTTCTCCTTGGTTTCAAAGAACATCTTTATTTCTGCCTTTATTTCGTTATTTACCCAGTAGTCATTCAGGAGCAGGTTGTTCAGTTTCCATGTAGTTGAGCGGTTTTGAGTGAGAGTCTTAATCCTGAGTTCTAGTTTGATTGCACTGTGGTCTGAGAGATAGTTTGTTATAATCTCTGTTCTTTTACATTTGCTGAGGAGAGCTTTACTTCCAAGTATGTGGTCAATTTTGGAATAGGTGTGGTGTGGTGCTGAAAAAAATTTGTATTCTGTTGATTTGGGGTGGAGAGTTCTGTAGATGTCTATTAGGTCTGCTTGGTGCAGAGCTGAGTTCAATTCCTGGGTATCCTTGTTGACTTTCTGTCTCGTTGATCTGTCTAATGTTGACAGTTGGGTGTTAAAGTCTCCCATTATTAATGTGTGGGAATCTAAGTCTCTTTGTAAGTCACTAAGCACTTGCTTTATGAATCTGGGTGCTCCTGTATTGGGTGCATATATATTTAGGATAGTTAGCTCTTCTAGTTGAATTGATCCCTTTACCATTATGTAATGGCCTTCTTTGTCTCTTTTGATCTTTGTTGGTTTAAAGTCTGTTTTATCAGAGACTAGGATTGCAACCCCTGCCTTTTTTTGTTTTCCATTTGCTTGGTAGATCTTCCTCCATCCTTTTATTCAGAGCCTATGTGTGTCTCTGCACGTGAGATGGGTTTCCTGAATTCGGCACACTGATAGGTCTTGACTCTTTATCCAATTTGCCAGTCTGTGTCTTTTAATTGGAGCATTTAGTCCATTTACATTTAAAGTTAATATTGTTACGTGTGAATTTGATCCTGTCATTATGATGTTAGCTGGTTATTTTGCTCGTTAGTTGATGCAGTTTCTTCCTAGTCTCGATGGTCTTTACATTTTGGCATGATTTTGCAGTGACTGGTACCGGTTGTTCCTTTCCATGTTTAGTGCTTCCTTCAGGAGCTCTTTTAGGGCAGGCCTGCTGGTGACAAAATCTCTCAGCATTTGCTTGTCTGTAAAGTATTTTATTTCTCCTTCACTTATGAAGCTTAGTTTGGCTGGATATGAAATTCTGGGTTGAAAATTCTTTTCTTTAAGAATGTTGAATATTGGCCCCCACTCTCTTCTGGCTTGTAGAGTTTCTGCTGAGAGATCCGCTGTTAGTCTGATGGGCTTCCCTTTGTGGGTAACCGGACCTTTCTCTCTGGCTGCCCTTAACATTTTTTCCTTCATTTCAACTTTGGTGAATCTGACAATTATGTGTCTTAGAGTTGCTCTTCTTGAGGAGTATCTTTGTGGCGTTCTCTGTATTTCCTGAATCTGAACGTTGGCCTGCCTTGCTAGATTGGGGAAGTTCTCCTGGATAATATCCTGCAGAGTGTTTTCCAACTTGGTTCCATTCTCCCCATCACTTTCAGGTACCCCAGTCAGACATAGATTTGGTCTTTTCACATAGTCCCATATTTCTTGGAGGCTTTGCTCATTTCTTTTTATTCTTTTTTCTCTAAACTTCCCTTCTTGCTTCATTTCATTCATTTCATCTTCCATTGCTGATACCCTTTCTTCCAGTTGATCACATCGGCTCCTGAGGCTTCTGCATTCTTCATGTAGTTCTCGAGCCTTGGTTTTCAGCTCCATCTTCTTATACATTCTTCTAAATTTTTTTCAAAGTTTTCAACTTCTTTGCCTTTGGTTTGAATGTCCTCCTGTAGCTCAGAGTAATTTGATCGTCTGAAGCCTTCTTCTCTCAGCTCGTCAAAGTCATTCTCCATCCAGCTTTATTCCGTTGCTGGTGAGGAACTGTGTTCCTTTGGAGGAGGAGAGGCGCTCTGTGTTTTAGAGTTTCCAGTTTTTCTGTTCTGTTTTTTCCCCATCTTTGTGGTTTTATCTACTTTTGGTCTTTGATGATGGTGATGTACAGATGGGTTTTTGGTGTGGATGTCCTTTCTGTTAGTTAGTTTTCTTTCTAACAGACAGGACCCTCAGCTACATGTCTGTTGGAATACCCTGCCGTGTGAGGTGTCAGTGTGCCCCTGCTGGGGGGTGCCTCCCAGTTAGGCTGCTCAAGGGTCAGGGGTCAGGGACCCACTTAAGGAGGCAGTTTCCCCATTCTCAGATCTCCAGCTGCGTGCTGGGAGAACCACTGCTCTCTTCAAAGCTGTCAGACAGGGACATTTAAGTCTGCAGAGGTTACTGCTGTCTTTTTGTTTGTCTGTGCCCTGCTCCCAGAGGTGGAGCCTACAGAGGCAGGCAGGCCTCCTTGAGCTGTGGTGGGCTCCACCCAGTTGGAGCTTCCGGGCTGCTTTGTTTACCTAAGCAAGCCTGGGCAATGGCTCCCCTCCCCCAGCCTCGCTGCCGCCTTGCAGTTTGATCTCAGACTGCTGTGCTAGCAATCAGTGAGACTCCGTGGGCGTAGGACCTTCCCAGACAGGTGCAGGATATAATCTCGTGGTGTGCCGTTTTTTAAGCCAGTCGGAAAAGTGCAGTATTCGGGTGGGAGTGACCCGATTTTCCAGGTGCGTCCGTCACCCCTTTCTTTGACTCTGAAAGGGAACTCCCTGACCCCTTGCACTTCCCAAGTGAGACAATGCCTTGCCCTGCTTCGGCTCGCACACGGTGCGTGCACCCAATGACCTGCACCCACTGTCTGGCACTCCCTAGTGAGATGAACCCGGTAGCTCAGATGGAAATGCAGAAATCACTCACGCTGTGAGGTGTAGACCGGAGCTGTTCCTATTCGGCCATCTTTTGCCTTCATCCTTGAAGCTTGTTTTTACCAAAATTTTTATTTTTTACCAAATAGCCTATTTTCTCAGTATCATTTGTTGAAAACCATAAGCTTTCCACTATTTATTTTTGATTTGTACAATAATCTCCCTCTAATTTCTTAACTGGAGATTATTTCTGCATAATATTGCTTTAAAATGTTATCTTCAGTAACTAATTTAGCAACTGGTGAGGTGATCGAAATCTTTTGAGTTATAATAAAGTCATGGTAGAGAACTTCTGACCTGGAGGTGGGCCGAGAGCTACCCCAGCGTGAAGCTTGATGGGCCTTGGTAATTTCCTTCCATTGCACTTACTTGACTTGTGATGTGGCTACTCTCCTATAAGGAACTATTATTTACTTACCTTGAGTAAATGAGCGTACATTCTTGCTTCACTATCCACACTCTAAAACAATCCTGTCAACAAAGGCAATGGTTATGAAAGAGTAAGCAAGATTCATGTACTATCCATAGATTAAAGAAGTCTACCAGCCAAGGAAGGGACAAAGTCAGCCTGGATCTGCTTAGCACTCTGACAAGCCAGTGAAGAACTCAGCAGTTTCTACACCTTTAATTATACTGTGTTATATACAACTAGGAATAGAAGGAGAAATGGTCTTACTAATGCTGGGAAGGAAGAAATAAAGGCTGAGAATAGTGAAATGACTATGCCAAACATGAAAGAACTATAAAGAAATTCTAAGGAAGTGAATGGGTCTTACGTGGTCCTATGGTACTCTTTGCAGAGATCAATATTTTCAAAAATTATTTTATTGTCGGCCAGGCATGGTAGCTCACACCTGTAATCTCAGCACTTTGGGAGGCCAAGGTGGGTGGATCACGAGGTCAGGAGATCGAGACCATCCTGGCTAACACTGTGAAACCCCGTCTCTACTAAAAATACAAAAAAAAATTAGCCGGGCATGGTGGTGGGCCCCTGTAGTCCCAGCTACTCGGGAGGCTGAAGCAGGAGAATGGCATGAACCCAGGAGGTGGAGCTTGCAGTGAGCCAAGATCATGCCACTGCACTCCAGCCTGGGCAACAGAGTGAGACTCCATCTCAAAAAAAAAAAAAAAAAAAAAAAAAGAGAGACCAGCCTGGGCAATATATTAAGATTTCATCTCCACTAAAAAGCGAAACAAAGTAGCCAGACGTGGTAGTACATGCATACACTCCCAGCTACTCCAAGGCGGAGGTGGGAAGACCACTTGGACCCAGGATGTCCAGGCTGCAGTGAGCCATGATTACACAACTGCATTCCAATCTGGACAAAAGGGTAAGACCCTTTCTCCAAAAAAAAAAGGTAAATAAAAAATAGAAAATACCTAAGCCTGATACTTTTTATAATAAGTACTATTTCCAGCTACATACCCATAAAAATAGAAAATAATTATATAAATACCATGATAGTAATATAAAAATACAAAACTACATAATTGGTACTCAATATTTCACTATAATTATGCATATGATAGGCTTTTTTTTTTTAAAGAGCTGGCCAGGTGCGGTGGCTCTCACCTGCAATCCCAGCAATTTGGGAGTCCAAGGCAGACAGATCACTTGAGCTCAGCAGTTGAAGACAAGCCTCACCAACATTGTGAAACCCCATCTTTAGCAAAAAAATACAAAAATTAGCTGAGTGTGGTGGCACACATCTGCAGCCCCAGCTACTAGAAAGGCTGTCATGAGAATCACTTGATCCTGGGAAGCGGAGGTTGCAGTGAGCTAGGATCGCACCACTGCACTCCACCCTGGGTGACAGAGTGAGACTCTGTCAAATAAAATAAAATAAACAGCTAACACTAAACAATTTAGAAAGAGGTGGTTAGTGCAATAGTGAATGTGTAAGCAGAAGAAATATACATACACAATAGTAAAGATGCCTTAATGACCCCGAATTCTGGGAGTCTTCTACATATAGATACAATAAAACTCCAGCACCATACTCTAGGATACAAACTCATTCTGAGTAACCACAAATATTATACATAATTTCAAAACACTTGCAAAACAAATGATTGCCTAAAATAATGGTAGAAAATTATTTGACATTCAATGTAAAAATTAAACATTCTGAAGCATGGTAATAAAATGTGATTTGAAAGGCATAACTGCTATTCAAGAAAAAAAAACTACTCCTTAAAACCAAAAAAATACGTACAATTATATCTTCTACAAAAACAAATCAACCTTAACTACAGTCCAGTTCTACCCAACTATGGAATGTCAGAATAGAAGGTCTCACCATGGACTCAAGAGCTGACATGAGGAATGTCACCACCATCCTGCTGAGGACTCCTCATCTTCAACGGCCAGGGCGGACATTGTTACTTGGGCCATGATCTTTGTGCAAGACAAGCAATAAGAAAGTGAGTGGTAGAAATATGGTGTTCCAGACCCACATTCAGAGCTCTGAGGATCTCCCACTGGCTGCCTAATTTACTGTTTTCTTGCCTAAGAAAAAAAACAAGACTCAAAAACTACATGATTTGCCCAAAACTCTCATCGGATAGAGAATCTATCCCCTAACTTTCTATCTAGTGTTATTTCAATAAAATTGGGTTAATATAAACACCCAAAAGAAATGCAGATGGCACTCAGAATCAGTGAAATTTCTCTCAAGAAGGAGGAGGAGGAGAGATGCTTTACAACCCAGTGATGGACTATCACAGACCAAGGCAGGACAGAGCTGCCAAGCTCCCTCTCTCCCCTGCACATCCTGATACAGCAAAGGGTGGGTGCAGTGGACTGAGGCTGGGTGGAGAGAAGTTTCTCTTCTTACCGAGAAAATAGATCACAAGCATCAAGAAACAAGTAAGATTATTTATTATTACAGCATATGGCTGTATTTGAAAAACTTTTTGTAATATTTTGGTAACAATAAAGACCCTCAAATGAATTTCAAACACTATAAATATTCAACACATACACAGAAAACATTAACTGTCAGCAAGGATATTGAAAAACTGGACCCTTTATGCACCGCTGTTTGGAATGTAAACTGGTGCAGCCCTTGTGGAAAACGGTTTGGCAGCTCCTTAAAATATTAAGCACAGAATTATCACATAATCCAACAACTGCCATTCAGGTTATATACCCAAAAGAATTGAGAGCAAGGACTCAAATGGGTATTTGTACACTCATGTTCATAGCAACATTATTCACAATGGCCAAAAAGTACAACCAACCCTAATGCCTATCAACAGGTAAATGGAGAAGCAAAATTGTACACACAAACATGGAATATTATTCACCTGTGTAAAGAAAAAACAATTCTGGCCAGGTTCGGTGACTTACCCCTATAATCTCAGCACTTTGGGAGGCCAAGGCAGGCAGATCACTTGAGTCCAGAAGTTCCAGATGAGCCTGGGCAAAATAGCAAGACCTCGTTTCTGTAAGTTTTTTTTTTTTTAAGAAAATTCTGATAATGCTATAGATGAACCTTGATAGCACTATGCAATCTATGCATGCAACAAAATTGCACTTATACTCCACAAATGTATGTAAGGTTGTTTTAAAATGGGGAATTCATCAAGGAAGAAACATGACCCACAGAGAGGAGACAGAAAAGCCACCAACCTCTGAATTGGTGAGTAGCCAAGGGGGGCTCCCCACCCAAGGAAAATAGTGAGTAAGCAAGAGCCACTGGTGACTCACCCTTCTGCCATCGACTTTTGAAATCCTGGGCACAGAAAATCCCCTGACACCCTCCCCACAGGGCTCCCCAACTGACACAGAGAGCTGCATGGAGTCTGGGCAGAGCCTCCAGTCAGGCCCACATAAAACCCTAAGGGCCTTGGACCCCTGAGCACCACAGTGCCAGCTGCTATAGCTCTGCCACCAGAAGAGGCCAGACTCTCTCACATGCCCCCAGGATAGGGGCCATATCTACAGTGCTGAGGAGTAGACAGACTCACCTCCCGTAGAGGCCTCACCTCCACTACACCTTGCCTGGTAATGCCCACTGGCCTGGGTCCCAGTGCAGCCACTTACCCCCTGCCTGAGCACTCAGGCTAATTGCAACTCTGCAGACAGACCTCCTAGAAGTAACTGTCAGGCCTGCTGTTTCTGCAATTGTCATGGCCCCTGCGCCTCTACCTCTCTCAGGCTAGGGAGGGACTGAAGAGCCCAAGAACTATCATAGGCTTCTAGCACACCACAGCTGCCTTGCAGAAAGTGGGCAAACTGTTTTCCACGTGGGTCCCCCTCCCTGCTGCACCTCACTGGGTAGGGTTTCCTGACCTGGGCTCCCAGCACAGCCATCCTGCCCCTTCCACCAGGAGGGATTGCTTCAGTCAGTGGCATCTCTGCATCTCTCTGAGATGGAGCTTTCAGGGGTAACCCACAGGCTCTCTGCCATTGCCACTTTAGCAATACCACCATTGCTGCCCTTGGTATGGGCAAAGAATAAAGACCCTGATTGCTTTGCCAGCACCTCCAGTGTACCACAGCCACCAGATGGAGAGAAGTCCAGTTTCTCTTTTCTGTGAGATTCTGGCTCCCTGCTTTTCACCAGACGGAGCCCCAGGTTTAAGCCCACAGTTCGGCCACCTCACCTTTGGCTGAAGATTCTCATTGGCAGTGGCTCTGCATCTCTCTGGGGTGGAGTTCCCAGAGGCAGCCCTTCTGCCATTACTACTGCAGTGATACTGCCCTTGCTGCCCCCAGGCTGGGGAAGAAACAAAGTGCCTGAGTGCTTTGCTCACACCTCCAGCAGGCCACAGCCACCATATGGAGGGAAGCCCAGTCTCTCTTCCCAGTTGGCCCCAAATGCCCTGCTCTTCACCAGGCAGGGGTCCCAGCTTGGGCCCACAATGCAGCTGCTCCATTTCTGACTGATCATTCTGATTGGCAGCAGCTCTGCATGTCTCTGACGTGGTACCCTAAGAGACAAGTGAAAGGCTTTCTGCCATTGCCATTGCCAAGTTCCCCAATGCTGCTGTTCCCAAGCTGCGGAGAAAATGAAAAGCCTGAGTTCACCCCAGAGCTATGGTGCACAAGGCTATGGGATAGGACTGCCAAGCCAAGACCTATGGCTTAAGTGGAGGACCAGCATAAAATCGCTGAAATGACAGAGAATTCAGAACCTGGATGCCAATGAAGATCATCAAGATTTTGAAGAAAGTTGAAACCCATTTCAAGGAATCTAAAAAATTCAGTAAAACTATTCAAGAGGTGAGAGATGAAATAGCCTTCTTAAGAAGGAACAAAACTGATCTGATGGAGCTGAAAAACTCACAAAAATAATTTTGTAATACAATCAGAAATATTAACACCAGATGAGACCAAGCTGAGGGAAGAATCTCAGAGCTCAAAGACCAGTTCTTTGAATTAATTCAGTCAGACAAAAATAACTGTAAAAGATTGTTTTTCATGAAAAAAAACCTTTGAGAAATATGGGATTATGTGATGACACCGAATCTACAACTCATTGGCATCTCTAAAAGAAAGGAAGAAAGAACAAGTAACCTGGAAAACATTTTTTAGGATACTATCCATGAGAATTTTCTTAACTTTCCTAGAGAGGTTGAAATTCAAATTCAGAAAATTCAGGGGACCCCTGGGAGATAGTACACAAGATAACCATCCCCAAGACATTCAGTCATCAGATTCTCCAAGGTCAATGTGAAAGAAAAAATATTAAAGGCAGCTAGAGACAAGGGTCAGGTCACTTACAAAGGGAACTCCATCAGGTTATGAGCAGACATTCCAGCAGAAACCATACAAGCAAGACAAAAGCAATTGGGGGACCTATATTCATCATTCTCAAAGAAAACAAACTCCAACCAAGAATCTAATCACACCAAACTAAGCTTCATAAACAAAAGATAAAAGATATCCTTTCAGACAAGCAAGATAATTCATTACCACCAAACCTGCCTTAAAAGAGATTCTTACGGGTGTGTTAAACATGGAAAGGAAAGACTATTACTGGCCACCACAAAAAACACACTGAAGTACATGGGCTATTTACACTACAATGTAAATACACAATCAAGTTTACGTAACAAACAGCTAACAACACAATGTCAGGATCAAATCTCCACTTATCAATATTAACCTTGAAAAAGAATGTGCTAAATACCCCACTGAAAAGGCACAGAGTGACAAGTTAAATAAAGAAGCAAGACCCAACTGTATGCTGTCTTCAAGAGACCCATCTCACATGCAACAACATCCACAGGCTCAAAGAAAACAGATGGAGAAAGATCTACCAAGCAAATAGAAAACAAAAAAGAGCAGAAGTTACTATTCTTTTTTCAGACAAAACAGACTTTAAATTAACAATGATCAAAAAAGACAAAGGGCATTTCATGATAAGGGGTTCAATTCAGTAAGAAGACTTAACTATCCTAAATGTTAATTATATACACCCAACACTGGAGCACGCAGATTCATAAAACAAATTCCTAGAGACTTATGAAGAGACTTAGATAACCACACAATAATACTGTGAGACTTTAAAACCCCACCAAAAGTACTGGACAGATCACCAAGGCAGAGTACTTACAAAGATATTTAGGACCTAAACTTGACACTTAACCAAATGGACCTAACAGTCATCTACAGAACACTCCAGCCAGCAAAACCAGAATATACATTCTTCTTATCTCCACATGACACATACTCTACAATTGACCACCACACACTTGGCCATAAGGCAACTCACAACATATTCTAAAGAATCAAAATCATACCAACCACACTATCGGACCACAGTGCAATAAAAATAGATATCAATACCAAGAAGACCTCTCAAAACCATACAATTTAATAAAAAATTAAATAAGTAGCTGCTGGATGACTTTTGGGTAAAGAATAAAATAAAGGCTGGAATCAAGAAATTATGTGAAACTAATAGAAACAAAAATACAACATACCTAAATCACTGAGAAACTATTTTTAAAAAAGTGTTAAAGGGAAAGTTTGTAGCACTAAACACCCACATTAAAAAGTTAGAAAGATATCAAATTAAGAACCTAACATTGTATCTTTTTATTTATTTATTTATTTTTGAGACAGAGTCTTGCCCTGTTGCACAGGCTGGAGTGCAGTGGAGCAATCTCAGCTCACTGCAACCTCCATCTCCCTGGTTCAAGCAACTCTCCTGTCTCAGCCTAGCTGAGACTACAGGCGTGTACCACCACGCCCAATTAATTATTTTATTTTTAGTAGTGATGGGGTTTCACCATATTGGTCAGGCTGGTCTCGAACTCCTGACCTCAGGTGATCCACCTGCCTCGGCCTCTCAAAGTGCTGGGATTACAGGCGTGAGCCACTGCACCAGGCGCTATCTAGCAGAAACAGAAATGTAACCACAAATCAACCTCAAAGCTAGAAGACAAAAAATATCAAACAGAATGAAATGGAGATTTAAAAAACTGGACAAAAATCCAGTGAAACTTATTTCTGAAATAATAAATAAGATTGATAGACTGCTAGCTAAAGGAAAAAAGATGATCTACCTAAACATGATAAAAAGTGACAAAGGAAATACTATCACTGATGCCACAGAAATACATGAAACCATTAGAGACTATTATGAACACCTTTATGCACGCAAACTAGAAAACACAGAAGAAATGGATAAATACCTGGAAACATATAAACTCCCAAAACTGAGCCAGGAAGAAATTAAAACCATGAAAAGACCAATACTGACTTCTGAAATTGAATAAATAATAAAAAGCTTACGAGAAAACACTCTGGACCAGATGGATTCACAGCCAAATTCTACCAGACATATAAAGAAGAGCTAGTACCAGTTCTACTGAAACTATTCCATAAAAAGGAGGAGGAGAGACTTCCTCTTAACTCATTCTATGAGGCCAGCATCATTCTGACACCAAAACCTAGCAGATATGGAACAACAACAAAAAAAAAAGCAAATTGGGCTGGGCATGGTGGCTCATGCCTGTAATCCCAGCACTTTGGGAGGCAGAGGCGGGCAGATCACCTGAGGTCAGGAGTTCGAGACCAGCCCGGCTAACATGGTGAAACTCTGTTTCTACTAAAAATACAAAAAATTAGCTGGGCTTGGTGGCACAGGCCTGTAGTCCCATCTACTCGGGAGGCTAAGACAGGAGAATCCGTTGAACACAGGAGTGGAGGTTACAGTGGGCCGAGATCATGCCATTGCACTCCAGCCTGGGCAACAAGAGTGAAACTCCATCTCAAAAAATATATATATATAAATATATTTATGTAACTATAAATGTAAATATATATAAACTGAATCCAGCATCACATCAGAAAAGCTAATCCACCATGATCAGGTAGGCTTTATTCCTGGGATGCATGGTCAAACACCCTCAAAAACTAGGCATCAAAGGTACGTACCTCAAGATAATAACAACCATCTATAACAAACCCACAGTCAACATCATACTGAAAGGGCAAAAGCTTGAAACATTCCTTTTGAGAACCAGAACAAAACAAGGATACTCACGCTCACTATTCCTATTAAATACTGGAAGTCCCAGCCAAAGCAATCAGGCAGAGGAAAGAAATAAAAGTCATCCAAATAGGAAGAGTGGAAGTCAAATGATTTCATTTCACAAATGATATAATTCTATACTTAGAAAAGCCCACAGTCTCTGCCCAAAGACTCCTAGATCTGATAAAGAACTTCAGTAAAGTTTCAGCATACAAAATAAATGTATGAAAATCAGTAACATTTCTATACACCAATAACATCTGATTGAAAATACAATTCTATTCACAATAGCCACCAAAAGAATAAAATACCTGGAAACACAGCTAACCAGGAAGGCAAATGATCTCTACAAAGAGAATTATGAGCTATTGTTAAAAAAAAAAATTAGAGATGACAAAAGCAAACAGAAAAACATTCCATGCTCATGGATAGGAAGAATGAATATTGCTAAGATGGCCATACTACCAAAAGAAATTTACTTTTGAATTCCATGTTATTCCTAACAAACTACCAACAACATTTTTTATGGAATTTTTTTAAAAATGAAAAAACTTATTTGAAACAAAAAAAAAGAGCCTGAATACTCAAAGCTATTCTATGCAAAGGAACAAAGCTGGAGTCATCATACTACCCAACTTCAAACTATACTACAAGGCTACAATACCTAAAAGAGCATGGATACTGGTACAAAAATAGACTCACAGACCAAAGGAATAGGCTAGAGAACCCAGAAATAAAACCACACATCTAAAACCATCTGATTTTTCACAAAGCCAACAATAACAAACAATAAGGAAAGGACTGCCCATCAGGCATGGTGGCTCATGCCTGTAATCCCAGCACTTTGGGAGGCCAAGGCGAGTGGACCACCTCAGGTCAGGAGTTTGAGACCAGCCTGGCCAATATGATAAAATGCCATCTATACTAAAATTACAGAAATTAGCCGGGCGTGGTGGAGGGTGCCTGTAATCTCAGCTACTCTGGAGGCTGAGGCAGGAGAATCACTTGATCACTTGAACCTGGGGGAGGTTGCAGTAAACTGAGATCATACCATTGCACTCCAGCCTGGGCAATGAGTCAAACTCCATCTCAAAAAAAAAAAAAAAAGGAAGGAAAAGACTCCCTGTTCAATAAATAGTGCTGGGATAACTGGCTAGTCATATGCAGAAGATTGAAGATGGACCGCTTCATTTATACCATATACAAAAATTAACTCAAGATGGATTAAAGACTTAAATATAAAACCTAAAAGTGTAAAAACCCTAGAAGAAAACCTAGGAAATACCATGCTGTACATTGGCCCTGGCAAAGACTTCAAAGACTCTAAAAGCAACTAAAACAACAAGAAGTTGATAAATGAGACCGGATTAAGCTAAAGAGCTTCAGCACAGCAAAAGAAACTACCAACAGAGTAAACACACAACCAACAGAATGAGAAAAAAAACTTGCAAACTATGTTTTTCAGCAAAGGTTTAATATGTAGAATCTATTTAAAAAATCATAATTCACTTAGCAAAAAACAAACTTTATTAAAAATGAATAAGAACATGAACACTTCTGAAAAGAAGACACACATGCATCCAACATGCATATTAAAATGCTCAATATCACTAACCATTAGAAAAATGCAAATCAAAACCACAAGATACCATCTCACATCAGTCACAGTAGCCATATTAAAAAGGCAAAGAACAATAGATGCTAGTGGGCAGTGAAGAGAAAGCTTATACACTGCTAGATGGAATGTAAATTTTTCCAGGCACTGTGGAAAGTTCTCTGGAGATTTCTCAAAGAATTTAAAACAAAACTACCATCTGACCCGGCAATTCCATTATTTGGTATATAGCCCCAAAATAGAAATCATTCAACTGTAAAGACACATACATGCTTATGTTAATCACAGTACTATTACAATACTATTTACAATAGTACAAGTACTAGTACTACTGTACTAGTACACAGTACTATTTACAATAGCACTAAGTACTAGTACTGCTGTACCAGTACACAGTACTATTTACAATAGCACTAAGTACTAGTACTGCTGTACCAGTACACAGTACTATTTACAATAGCACTAAGTACTAGTACTGCTGTACCAGTACACAGTACTATTTACAATAGCACTAAGTACTAGTACTACTGTACCAGTACACAGTACTACTTACAATAGCACTAAGTACTAGTACTACTGTACCAGTACACAGTACTACTTACAATAGCACTAAGTACTAGTACTACTGTACCAGTACACAGTACTACTTACAATAGCACTAAGTACTAGTACTACTGTACTAGTACACAGTACTACTTACAATAGCAAAGACATGGAATCATCAGATGTCCTTCAATAAACAAATGGATTTTGCAAATGTGGTGTGTGTGTGTGTGTGTGTGTATATATAATTTCATTGTGTATATATAACTTCATTCTTTATATTTCATTGTATATACAATTTCATTGTGTATATATTTCATTATATATATATAATGTAATATAGATGTATATTACACAATAATATACACAATCGTATTTCATTGTATATATATTTCATTTTATATATATACACGCATGCAATGAAACAGTATTCAGCCATAAAAAGATAAAATTCCGTCCTTTGTAGCAACAGGGATGAACCTGGAGGTCATTGTGTTAAGTAAAATAAGCCAGGCATAAAAAAAAATACTGCACATTCTCACTAATACATAGAATCTAATAAAGTTGATCTCATAGAAGTAGAGAGTAGACTGGTGATTACTAGAAGCTAGGGTGTGTAAGAGTGGAAATGAGAGAAGCAGCTAGGGTGGGTTGATATGGAAATGAGTGAAGAGGCTAGATTAGCCACAATGTATATGAGATAATCAGAGTTAACCAAGGAGTGGGTAAAATTAAAATGATCATGGTAATTATTTAGAGCACTAAAGAACAAACATTGATAATGTGAGATCTGTTGTTTTTTCCCAGATACATGAAACACATTTCTTTGTTATTAAGATGAACATACTTTAAGCATAATGCTTGTTATGCTTAAAAATACCTTTTGTTAGCGGGCCGTGGTGGCTCACGCTTGTAATCCCAGCACCTTGGGAGGCCGAGGCGGGCAGATCACGAGGTCAGATCAAGACCATCCTGGCTAATAAGGTGAAACCTTGTCTCTACTAAAAATACAAAAACTTAGCCGGGCGTGGTGGTGGGTGCCTGTAGTCCCAGCTACTTGGGAGGCTGAGGCAGGAGAATGGCCTGACCCCAGGAGGCAGAGCTTGCAGTGAGCTGAAATGGTGCCACTGCACTCCAGCCTGGGCAACAGAGCGAGACTCCGTCTCAAAAACAAAAAACCTTTTTTCCCAAGCTGCCATTGGACTTTTAGCCAACACCTTTTTCCTCTTGTTCAACATCTTCACATTTCTTCAGAATCAGAAATCGAAGCCCCATGACCTCATCAGCTGTAACTCGGCCTTCATTCATGTAGTGATATTCCTCACTGTGGTAGACGGTTGGCCTCCAGATATGCTTGAATCACTGCACTTAGGGAATGAGTTCAAATGTAAGTCCTTGTCCTACATAAACAGAGTGACGACGGGCCTGTGTAACACCTGTCTCCTGAGTGTACACCAGGCCAGCACCATCAGCCCCAGCAACTGCTGTTTGGCAAGGCTTAAACAGAAATTCACAAATATCGTTATCAGTGTCATTTTTTTTTTGGTCCGTCAATTTTTCTTTCAGTCATAACATAATATTCTTCACTGTGGCTTCTTCCAATGTGACCCAGACCAGTCTACTTAAGGTCAGCAAATACTGTTCACTTTCTCCCGTGAAGTCCTTCATGAGGAAAGTATTTTTTATTCCTGACATTATCTAGGGATGTCTTCATTATAGGAATTACACTGCATTCAATTGCACACATGGTGATTCTTCTGTCCAGGCATCAGAGGCAATCTCAGCAACTTCACAGCACCAGTTTCTCTCCGTGAGCCTTCCCAGAGAAAAGGGCCACTCAGACCATCCAGCTGTTAAGTTAGCTACTTTCTGGTCATGTGCTGGGTGGAACTCATCATCTCATCCTTTTCAACACTGCTGTGGATGTGCAACCCAGTCATCCTGAGTGTGCAGAACCTTGTGGTCAATGTCTATGCCACTGTTTTTTGTTTGTTTGTTTTTAAGTTTTATTTATTTTTATTTTTTTATTATTATTATACTTTAAGTTTTAGGGTACATGTGCACAATGTGCAGGTTAGTTACATATGTATACATGTGCCATGCTGATGTGCTGCACCCATTAACTCGTCATTTAGCATTAGGTATATCTCCTAATGCTATCCCTCCCCCCTCCCCCCACCCCACAACAGTCCCCAGAGTGTGATGTTCTCCTTCCTGTGTCCATGTGTTCTCATTGTTCAATTCCCATCTATGAGTGAGAACATACAGTGTTTGGTTTTTTCTCCTTGCGAAAGTTTACTGAGAATGATGATTTCCGATTTCATCCATGTCCCTACAAAGGACATGAACTCATCATTTTTTATGGCTGCATAGTATTCCATGGTGTACATGTGCCACATTTTCTTAATCCAGTCTATCATTGTTGGATATTTGGGTTGGTTCCAAGTCGTCGCTATTGTGAATACTGCCGCAATGAACATACGTGTGCATGTGTCTTTATAGCAACATGATTTATAGTCCTTTGGGTATACACCCAGTAATGGGATGGCTGGGTCAAATGGTATTTCTAGTTCTAGATCCCTGAGGAATCGCCACACTGACTTCCACAATGGTTGAACTAGTTTACAGTCCCACCAACAGTGTAAAAGTGTTCCTATTTCTCCACATCCTCTCCAGCACCTGTTGTTTCCTGACTTTTTAATGATCACCATTCTAACTGGTGTGAGATGGTATCTCACTGTGGTTTTGATTTGCATTTCTCTGACGGCCAGTGATGATGAGCATTTTTTCATGTGTCTTTTGGCTGCATAAATGTCTTCTTTTGAGAAGTGTCTGTTCATAACCTTCACCCACTTTTTGATGGGGTTCTTTGTTTTTTTCTTGTAAATTTGTTTGAGTTCATTGTAGATTCTGGATATTAGCCCTTTGTCAGATGAGTAGGTTGTGAAAATATTCTCCCATTTTGTAGGTTGCCTGTTCACTCTGATGGTAGTTTCTTTTGCTGTGCAGAAGCTCTTTAGTTTAATTAGATCCCATTTGTCAATTTGGCTTTTGTTGCCATTGCTTTTGGTGTTTGAGACATGAAGTCCTTGCCCATGCCTATGTCCTGAATGGTAATGCTTAGGTTTTCTTCTAGGGTTTTTATGGTTTTAGGTCTAACATTTAAGTCTTTAATCCATCTTGAATTAATTTTTCTATGAGGTGTAAGGAAGGAATCCAGTTTCAGCTTTCTACATATGGCTAGCCAGTTTTCCCAGCACCATTTATTAAATAGGGAATCCTTTCCCCATTGCTTGTTTTTCTCAGGTTTGTCAAAGATCAAATAGTTGTAGATATGCAGCGTTATTTCTGAGGGCTCTGTTCTGTTCCATTGATCTGTATCTCTGTTTTGGTACCAGTACCATGCTGTTTTGGTTACTGTAGCCTTATAGTATAGTTTGAAGTCAGGTAGCGTGATGCCTCCAGCTTTGTCCTTTTGGCTTAGGATTGACTTGGTGATGCAGGCTCCTTTTTGGTTTCATATGAACTTTAAAGTAGTTTTTTCCAATTCTGTGAAGAAAGTCATTGGTAGCTTGATGGGGATGGTATTGAATCTGTAAATTACCTTGGGCAGTATGGCCATTTTCACGATATTGATTCTTCCTACCCATGAGCATGGAATGTTCTTCCATTTGTTTGTATCCTCTTTTCATTGAGCAGTGGTTTGTAGTTCTCCTTGAAGAGGTCCTTCACATCCCTTGTAAGTTGGATTCCTAGGTATTTTATTCTCTTTGAAGCAGTTGTGAATGGGAGTTCACTCATGATTTGGCTGTTTGTCTGTTATTGGTGTATAAGAATGCTTGTGATTTTTGTACATTGATTTTGTATCCTGAGACTTTGCTGAAGTTACTTATCAGCTTAAAGAGATTTTGGGCTGAGACAATGGGGTTTTCTAGATATACAATCATGTCATCTGCAAACAGGGACAATTTGACTTCCTCTTTTCCTAATTGAATACCCTTTATTTCCTTCTCCTGCTTAATTGCCCTGGCCAGAACTTCCAACACTGTGTTGAATAGGAGTGGTGAGAGAGGGCATCCCTGTCTTGTGCCAGTTTTAAAAGGGAATGCTTCCAGTTTTTGCCCATTCAGTATGGTATTGGCTGTGGTACTGTCATAGATAGCTCTTATCATTTTGAGATACGTCCCATCAATACCTAATTTATTGAGGTCTATGCCACTGTTGTTCCACTGGTACAAGTCAGCTCTGACAAAAAGCTAGTTGACATTCTCCAAAATATGCCAAGTGCTATAAAGCTTTAACAAGTTGGCGATGAAAAAACATTCCTAAAAAATAGACTTCTCCTATAGTTAAATGTTCCAGTAGCCCTGAAGTTCCTTTTATCTTATTTAATAAAATGCATGGAATCACACTTTTATTATAGTTACATGTTTTCAAAATGGATGCATCCGAGGACCATGTAATTTCTTTAATTCAGTGTCTACCATGGGTTGACATTTCTGTATCAAGTTTCTTACATTTTTATTTTCATTTTATCTTGGTAGCAGAAAAGGTTTCTCTCAAAGTATACTATTATACTATAATTATTTTTCTTTTGAGACAGAGTTTCACTCTGTAGCCAGGCTGGAAGGCAGTGGTGCAATCTCAGCTCACTGCAACCTCCACCTCCTGGGTTCAAGCAATTCTCCTGCCTCACCTTCCTGAGCAGCTGGGATTACAGACATGCACCACCACGCCCAGCTAATTTTTGTATTTTTAGCAGAGATGGGGTTTCTCCATGTTGGTCAGGCTGGTCTTGAACTCTTGACCTCGTGTTCTGCCCGCCTCAGCCTCCCAAAGTGCTGGGATTACAGATGTGAGCCACCACACCCTACCTTGATTGTTAATATTGCTTAACAGTCTTCTATTAGTAATAAAATTTCTCAGGGTTTTTACTTTTGAAAACATTTTAATTTACTCTTATTTATGAAAGGTAGTTTAGCTAAATACCCAGTTTTAGCTTTTATACCATGCTTGTTCGTTGGAACCTCCCTGGCTGTAAATATTGGATTTTACATTTAACCTAGAATTTATTTTAAAGGGTTTTAAATATTTACATAATTAGATATTATACATTTACACAATATTTTCCCACATGTGCTATAATTGACAAATACAAATTGTATATATTTAAGGTATACAATGTGTTTATGTGTATGTAAATATATATAATAAAATTACCACACTCAAGCTAAATAACATATTCATCACTTCCCATAGTTACTGGTGTGATAAGAATATTTGAGATCTTCTTCATTAATAAAACTTACCTATGCATTAACTGTAGCCTCCATGCTGTACATTAGGTCTCCAGTATTTATTCATCTTATAAAAACAGGTTTGTACCATTCAACCAATATCTCATTCCCCCAAGCCACAGCCCTTGGTCACTACCATTCTACTCTCTGTAACTACAAATTCAAGACCTTTTTTAGATTCCACATATAATTGAGATAATGCAGTATTCATCTTTCTGTGTCTGGCTTATTTCACTTAGCATAATGCCCTCAAGATGATCTGTGTGGTTGCAAATGTCAAGATTTTTTTCAAGGCCTGAATTGTGTCTCACACACACACACACAGACACACACATGCACATGCATACAATACATATATGTAAAATCTCCTTTTTCTTGTTAGATAAAACAGACTGGAGTGCAGTGGCATGATTATAGCTCACTGTAACCTCTAAATTTTGGGTATAAATTATTCTCCCACCTCAGCCTCCAAAGTAGCAAGGACCAGAGCGATACACCACCATGCCTAGCTAATTTGTAGGGACACGGTCTTGCTATGTTACCCAGCCTACGGAGTTTCACTCTGTTGCCCAGGCTGGAGTACAGTGGCATGATCTAGGCTCACTGCAACCTCCACCTCCAAGGTTCAAGCAATTCTCCTGCCTCAGCCTCTGGAGTAGCTGGGGCTACAGGTGCCCGCTATCACCCAACTAGTTTTTGTATTTTGAGTAGAGATGGGGTTTCACCATATTGGCCAGGCTGGTCTCGAACTCCTGACCTCGTAATTCACACACCTTGGCCTCCAAAAGTGCTGGGATTACAGGCATGAGCCACCGTGTCCAGCCCCTTATCTGTAGTTAATAATGCTTCAATAAACATAGGAGTGAAAACATCTCTTCAAGATAGTGATTTTATGTTCTTTGGATATTTACTTAGACGTGAGATTGCTCAATCACATGATAGTTTTATTTTTAATTATTTGATGAAACTCCATGCTATTTTCCATAACGGCTTTACCAATTTACATCCCCAGTGATAGTGTACAAGGGTCCCTATTCTCTCTATTCTTGATGAACACTTGCTTTATTTTGAATTTTTGATAAGTATCACCTTTATACGTGTTTGAATGCTAACTCACTGTGGTTTTGATTTGCATTTTTCTCAGAATTACTAATGGTTTTTTTAAAAAAAAAAAACCTAGTTTTTTGACCACTTTTAAAAGAATGTGTTACTTTTTGTTATTTTTATTTTGGGGGCTTAAGTTTTATGAGTTTCTTGCAGATTTTGAACACTAATCCTGTATCTGATATTTGGCATACAGGTATTTTTCTCCAATTCTGTAGATAGCACTGGCACACAAACTCAAAACTAAAGCGTTCTTCAAAGTGACACAAATTATCCTCAATATTAAGAAAACTTAAAGAAAACATCCTATTTGTAAAAATAGAAGCAGAATAAGACTGGTCTGATTGCACTGCTAGGAAATCTATTTTGGAAACTTGTTATTAAATTCTTGGTTAAAATTCTGAATGTCCACTTTTCTTTCCCTGTGTCAGCAGTGGGTGAGATTCTGGGTGTGGGTAAGGGTGGGGAGTCACCTGCAAGTACCTGAAGCCAAGAGCATGACTGCTCACTAGTGTAATGTTTATGATTGCCGGCATGTAAATATTTCACTGGGTTATTCCTTTTTTTAAAAGCATATGACTACCATATGGTAATATTACTCTAAAAGGAAGAATAATTCCTTAAAATCATCAAAAACCCAGCATCTATGAACTCCGTGGTCTTTTTCCTAAGCTGACATGCAGTGCTCAGCTGCACATGCATTTCCCTATGTGAAGTTGCTTTCAGAAGTGGCCCTGAGACATTTCCTTCAGTTCAGCCCACTCTATCTGCTGCCTCCTTGGTACAGAGCATCTGCCATTTTTGGCAGCTGGTCAACCTCTGGCCATGCAGAAGATGGAAACTGCATGGCCAGGCCCATCCAACACACACAGGTTACAGGAGTAGGCCAAGAGCACACACCTTTCCCTTGGTCTCCCTCTTATTCCCCACTGCCTCTGCTCCTCTGCCATTATTATTCTCCTCCCCTGAAGATCATGTCTCAACCCTATTTTGATATCCAGTGGCTTCAGAGCCTTCCAAAGCTCCTCTCTAAAACATCCCTGTGTAATTCTTATCTCAGGAACTCCTTTCAATGAAGCCTGTTAGGAAGGAACTTGTCTGGTCTTTGGAATTAAGCTGCTTTCACTCACATGTCATCTGACTTCTAAGTGTGCACCAGGGAAGCCTTCAGAACACCAAGATGTGGAGCTGGCAACTGCTATCAGAGCTGCTCAATTTCAAAAACAGAAGGAAAATATGCTTTTCCAGCTTATGATACAGCTGTTGTCTTTCCGACCTATGTTTGTCTTCAGTTTAACAGTGAACAAAGACGGAACTCTTTGTACTCTGGAGGGAGTAGAGGATCTTAGTGCATACTTAAGTAGCTCCATTTGATAAATTCTTCTGGAAGGAAGCATTAACAGGTGTAGAATGTATCAGCTTTTATGAAAAGTATACTAGCACACACTATACTAGGGTTAAAACCTGAACTGCCTTTCTGCTATTAAGAGATGTGTCTTGCAGAACATACAACATGATAATGATAACAACAACTGTAGCTAATATTTATTGAGAGGCTGCTTGCAGAGCTGGTATCTGAGCCTAGGCTGTGCCACTCTAGAGTCTATGCTTTCATTAACCATTCTGTCTACTGTCCTTTAGTGGAGAGTGGACAGTCCTGGCCTAGTTACTGACATAAAACATGGTTGTATATGGAAGAAATTTTAAGGCCAAGTTGAAGAGATTCAATTGTGACTATGTTGCAGCAAAGAAATAACTATGGGTGAAACTAATAATTGGGTGGTTTGCAGCCTAGCATGACTTCCTCTTGGAATTGAAATGTTCCAAAGCATTTCTGGAAACCCCATCTAGCTAAAGAAACCATTATTTGAATTTTGTTCTTTTGGAATGATATTCAGTCCTCTTCTAGAATCAGACCTCGCTAGCAGTTATGTAAACCTTTTCAGGTTGCAGGGGTACCACTGTGAAAGGGAATGCAAAGGTTTCTATTATTCTTGACATGGAAAGCAGGCTGAGAAAGGCAGACACATCAGATTTTAGTAACAGGATACAGATTCAGGCTCCAAAGAGAATCTCTAATATAGAAAAGAATAAAATGGGGGTAGGTAGTGTGTGGCAACAATATGCTTGCTCTGCAATGCAGTGACAGAGACACTGCTTCCAGAGGGACCTTCAGTCCCTGATCCCTGGGACAGGCTGAATGGTGGTGTGCGTGGGGAGCTGAAAAGAGGTGCAGGAGAAAGTGCTGTGGCCTCGGAAGGAAGGAACATGACAGATGTCCACAGCACAGAAGCATCCTGCTGGCAGAGGTACAGAGCATTCATCAGTGTCGGTCTCCAAAGAGAACGCTCAGAAACTGAGCTTGGGTACTTGTGTGTGCTGTAAAGAGGGTAACAGAGAAGGCAATCAAGGACAGAAAAAAACAAATGGCAGCCTTCAGAATGGAGGGGTTTGGCAACCCAAAGGATCTGGCTGCCTTCTGTCAAGGAGAAGTAAAGTGGAGGGAAAAGCCTATATTCCTATGCTTCAGGGGCTACTGCCAGAGAAATAAGAGCTTTCCTTAGTCTCTATCTTCCTTAATTAAGCCTCTTCTCAGTACCAAGTGGAATCCTCTTTCATATAAAAAAATAGGACAAATGTAATACATGAATGATATAGAGATAAATCGGCTCCCTAGACATAGCTCAGTACAGGCAGTCTCAAATTTTCCATGGCAGTGAAGGGTGTTGCATCAGGAAATTTCCAGCAGCTTCCTTTTGAGAAGGCAAGAAGCAAAAGTCACTGGTTATAGCCACAAACTTCCTAAACTCTTTGCTGCCTTGAAAAACTGTGCCCATGGGTGGAAAAAGTCCTAAACTGTGCCCATGGGTGAAAATAAAACCCGCTGCCCAGATTTCTGGAGAAGTGGTTCTAGGTCTGCACTGGGCCTTATTTTTTCATCTGCAAAATGCGGGGTACAGGTGGAGAACAGAAATGGCTTAAAGAAGTTCCCAGCTCAGGCGCAGTGCCTCATGCCTGTAATCCCAGCAATCTGGGAGGCCGAGGTGGGAGGACTGCTTGAAGCCAGGAGTTTGAGACCTGAACAACATGGCAAGACCCTATCTCTACAAAAAATAAAACAACAATTAGCCAGGCGTGGTTGCTGATGCCTGTAGTTCTAGCTACTCAGGAGGCTGAGGCAGGAGGATCCCTTGAGCCCAGGAGTTGAAGGCTGCAGTGAGCTATGATCATGCCACTACACTCCTGCCTGGGTGATGGAGACCATGTCTGTTGAAAAAAAATCTTAAAAATTAAAAATCAAAAAGAAGTCCCCAAATCTGTGGGTGCCTTAAAATCTCAAATTAGGGCTGGGCTCGATGGCTCAGGCCTGTAATCCCAACACTTTGGGAGGCCAAGGCGGGTGGATCACAAGTCAGGAGTTCCAGACCAGCCTGGCCAAGATGGTGAAACCCCATCTCTACTAAACATACAAAAATTAGCCTGGCATGGTGGTAGGCACCCGTAATCCCAGCTACTTGGGAGGCTGAAGCAGAGAATTGTTTGAACCAAGGAGGCAGAGGTTGCAGTGAGTCAAGGTCGCTCCATTGCACTCCAGCCTTGGTGACAGAGCAAGACTCCATCTCCAAAAAAAAAAAAAAAAAAAAAATTATATATATATATATAAATTACCAAGAGTTGGGTGTCATTTATTTATGCCTCCACACTGTAATTCCGAGGTCGCTGCTTTCCTGATTCTGTGCTGATCCTGGCAAGTGACAGGTGCACAAAAACCTTTGTTCAATTTTGAATTAACCAGGCTGTAAAGGAGTAGCTTTGCTTTGCCAAGGGCTCATGGTGCCAGAGGCTCAAGGAAGCCAGCACTTTGCAGAGTACATGGATATTAGTTTCAGCTCTCTCCTTTTAAAGGGCTGAACCTGGGAGAAAGACATAACCTCACAATTTTTCCTCCTGCTGAATAAAAGTCCCTATGGGGGAACAGGTCTGTCTTAACATATGAGGTTTCTCCTAGGTTGAACTTTGCATGCACTCTATTAAAATATGAACATTAGTCCATGCAGTTTGCAAACACTTCTGCATATATGACTTACTTGAACTTATGTGGATGAAGGTCACTTAAATATAATTCTGCTTTAAGTGTCAACTATTTTAATTACAGAACAAGGAAACTGGACTGTGATGATTCTATCAGCTCTAAAAGATTCTATAAATTTTAGACTTCAAATGAACACCTCTAAATTCTTCTTCAAGGTTTAAAAATCATTTAAGACACCTTAAGTCTGGGTGCCTGCTTAACAGGACATCATTTATTTTCAAATTATTCTGTATTAACTTTGGTTCTATTAGAGGGCCACATTTTCCTTATGGCATCTATAACATAGGTGGATGTTATCTAACATGCTCTATTTTTGACTTCATCTTTTAACTCTTTCTTTAAATGTTCTCATTGCTAATGAGCAAGTTTATTTAGAGCACAGGGATGAGAAATGTATATGGAAGTGACCATTTGGCTAATTGGCCACTATCTTATGAAATTAATCTAGTGAAGAGAAACTATTTTTTAAAAGGAAGTTTCTGGATAAGCTGTTAATTGCAATTATTTATTCTCTCTTGAAGAACCGTAGATGGTTGATAAAATGCAGGCAGGTTCTGTATAAACTTGGTCCTGGGTAGTTGGAATACTTATGACAGTGACTTTCATGCGAAGTCACTGTTTGCCTGTATATAAATCACATTTTCTCATAGCCTCCCTATTTAAATTTGGAAACGAAAATACTCCACTTCACTAGGTAATACTTTTAAATTAGTCTCAAATAGGACATAACAAATGAATCCAAAACATAACCTACAACTCACTGACAATGCAAGAACAACTTTGCCAGGAAGCAGTGTTAGCTAACACAGAATGCACGCTTTAAGTGCAAGCTGCACTGGTGCTTGGAAGAATGAAAACAAAAGTTTACTGAAGGCTGAGCTTTTGATTTTTACAAAAATTCTTTCAATTCTACTGAGAAATAATTTCAGGTGTTCATATCCATCTGGAGGCCAGAATGTAAGAGACAAAAGCTACTTTACAGAGCATGCAGAAGTTACACTGAGGCTCTGAGAACCCACTACAAGAATGGCTTGCCCAGGAAAAGAAAGAGCAGTATTCAAAGCACTACTATTTACTGCTTCGGAGGCCTTCAGGGGAATTTTGAGCTGGGAAAATATAAGCCATATTTATCTTTTTGAAAAATCTTTATTAAAAATATACCAGAAGTATGTGGAAGAAATGTAGAAGAAAAACAGATTGACAACTAAGAGAATGAAGTCACTACAGCAAAGTTTCAACTGTTGTGCAGTGTTTGAGGGTCTGTAAATAGTTCCACTATAAACCTTCACTCCCCACATTTTAATTATTTTCACATATAAGTTTGTTCCTAGCTGAAAGTGTCTAGAGTGAACTTTTTTAGGCTTCTCTTTTCCAAATTATGGACAAATTATAACTACAGACAAAACTGATTATATGTATGGGGGCAGGGGTGGCACAAACAGGGTCAGGGTAGACCCAAACAAAGTTAGTTTAACAAGATGGATTGTCTCTAAAGACAAGATTTGATTTACTGACATGTGTAAAGAAAGTGTTTCTAAGAATAGAAGCTGACCAGCCCTTAACTTGAAACAGAAATTGTCAGAGATGTTGGAGATAATGATGCCACAATCTGCCCCAGGAAGTACATGCTTTGCTGGGCCACCATGATCCATTCTTTCTACCTGGCTGAGATATTCTACTGTCTAAGCGGTGTGTGGCCAATGGTAACTCCCAATCCATTCATTTCTTAATTCACTCACTCATTCTTGTATTCTTACTGAACTTATGTTTTATGCTAACTCACTTCCAGACAGGTGGTGCATACTTATTGAATCATGAATAAATTCTGCGACCCCTTCTTCTGATGCCCTGGTCATGATGAAGTGATCTTCTGCCAAGGCATCTTCCTCTTCACACAGAATGCCCCAGCTTGACCTTGGGCAGTTCTGTCTCATGTACAGTTACGGTTTTCATTGCATCTGGTTTTTCATATCAGTTCTTGCGGCCTTTGCCAATGTGACCTGGCATCTTCGAAGATGACACTGAGCATCTGGATCCTCTAAACATAAAAAGAAGTCAGTGATGGTGGAGATAAGGTCAGTGGCATGTGGTGGGGACCTATCTGGATGGCCAGTTCTTCACAGGTCATAATCTCTATGAATTGTTCCAAGCCTTCTTAACTATGTACAGCTTAAGTTTATTCACATGTAAGAAATGAAAAATTCATGTCACTAGCTATTTAGGGGTTTACATAAGGCTACTTACATTTTGAAATGTGAACATATGCAATTAATAAGACCTACTCTGTTTTATCCGAGTATATTTTCAAAGTCAGCAAAGAAGGACATTATTTTTGTAAATGGGCACTTCCTAGGTATTAAGAAGAAAGTATCTTTGCTGGGGCCTATGTCAAAAATGCTAATTCCTAGGTTATATTGAAGGATTTTTATAGTTTGAGGTTTCACATTTAATTCTTTAATTCATCTTGAGTTGATATTTGTATATGGTGTAAGGAAGGGGTCCAGTTTCAATCTTTTGCATGTGGCTACCCAGTTATCCCAGCACCATTTATTGAATAGGGAGTCCTTTCCCCATTGCTTTTGTCAACTTTGTCAAAGATCAGATGATTACAGGTGTGTGGCATTATTTCTAGGCTCTCTATTCTGTTCTGTTGGTCTATGTGTATGCTTTTGTACCAGTACCAGGCTGTTTTGGTTACGGTAGCCCTGTAGTGTAGTTTCAAGTCACATAAATTGATGCCTCCAAGTTTTGTTCTTTTTGCTTAGAATTGATTGCCTTGGCTATTTGGGCTTTTATGGTTCTGTATGAATTTTAAAATAGTTTTTTCTAATTCCGTGAAGAATGTCATTGGTAGTTTGATAGGGATAGCACTGAATCTGTAAATTGCTTTGAGTAGCATGGCCATTTAAATAATATTGCTTCTTCCTATCCATGAGCATGGGATATTTTTTCACTGTTTGTATCATCTCTGATTTCTTTGAGCAGTGTTTTTGCAGTTCTTATTGTAGAGATCATACACCTCCTCAGATGCCAAAATCAACTGCAACAAATACAAAAATTGACAAATAAGATCTAATCAAAGAGCTTCTGCACAAGAAAAACTAACAAGACAATAAACAGACAAACCTACAGATTGGGAGAAAATCTTTTCAAATTATGCATCCAACAAAGGTCTAACATCCAGTCTATAAGGAACTTAAATTAAGCAAAAACCAAATAGCCCCAACATCTCACACCAATCAGAATGGCTATTACAAAAAAGAAAAAATAACAGATGCTGGAGAGGTCATGAAGATGATGCAATGCTTACAGAGTGCTGGTGAAAATGTAAATTAGTTCAGCCATTGTGGAAAGCAGTGTGGGTGTTTATCAAAGAACTTACAACAGAAGTACCATTTGACCTAGCAATCCCATTACTGGCTGTATACCCAAAGGAAAATAAATCATTCTACATGATTCATGCATGATTCAGTTACATACATGTGTGTTAATCACAGCACTACTCACATTGGCAAAGATATAGAATCAACCAAAATGGCCATGAACAGCAGACTGGATAAAGAAAATGTAGTACACATACACCATGGAATACTATGCAGCCATAAAAAAGAATGAGATCATGTCCTTTGCAGCAACATGGATAAAGCTGGAGACCATTATCCTAAGCAAATAATTGTAAGATCAGAAAATCACATATTGTACTTTCTCACTTAGTAGTAAGAGTTAAAACATTGAGAACACATGGGCACAAAGAAGGCAGCAACAGACACTGGGGCCTACTTGAGGGTGGGAGGTGGGAGGAAGGAGAGGATTAAAAAACTGCCTTATCAGGTACTATGCTTATTATCTGGGTGACAAAATAATCTGTACACCAAACCCTCATGACATGCATTTTTTCTGTGTAACAAACATGTACATGTACCCCTGAACCTAAAAGTTAAAAAATAAAAAGCCCCCTCCAAAAAAAAAAGTGCCTTAAGTGCTTTAGGAATATTATCTTACTTAATCTGTACAATAACCCTACAAGGTAGACTATTTTCATCTTCATTTATGATGATCACAGAGATGACAAGTAATTTGTCCAAGGTCACACAAGTTACTGATGGAGGAACCAGCATTGGGGGTTGAGTTCAGACAATGTAGTTCTATAGTCCATGTTCCTGATCATTAAGCTATGCTGTGCTGTTTCTCAAAAATAGTAACAGCTCATACATACATGGCATTTGCTCCATGCCAGGAATTGCTCTAAGCACTGATACATACATGAGTTAATGTAACCCCCGAGGTCACCCATGGGAGGCAGTATAGTGAGGTGGGGAGGAGCTTTGATGCTGGAGTTCAGTGGCTGCACTTGAATCTGGCCTTTGCACTTTTAGGTCTGTGATTCAAACATGTTATTTCAAGTCTCTCTGCTCCCTTCCTCTCATTTATAAATTGTGGACAATCACATACATCCCCCATATTTGTGGTAAAGATGAAATGAGCTCTGTATGTGTGAGTTCTGGGAATGCTGTCTGGCACATGGTAAGGTCCTGACTATTATTACTATTTGCCAAACACCAGGACTCTACCTTAAATAAGTTTAGGAGGTTCAAATACCTTTTCTGCTACAGCACAAGAATTTCGACCCCAGCCTTCTCGCTGTGGTACATGTGTTATTTCTACTACATCCTGCTTTTACAAAATAAACATCAGCTATGGGACCTGCTACTCTAGTCTCTGGTCATTGATAGCATTTTCTAATATATTGTAAATGCTAAAGTTGTTGAGAAGTGAGCAAAGGCATAAACTTTCGAGGCACAAATGCAAAATAACATATAAGCAGAAACCAAGCCTGAAATGAAGAGTAAAACCCAAACTGACCATGGTTCAAAATACTAATGATTATAACAATACTCCAGGGTCTTTTAGTACAAGGTTAGGCTAGTAAGCATTTTAGTACTAGTTCATTAATAAAGATTTTGATGCTTTCAGGAACGTATTTCATATAGTTATAAACAATCTATGACATTTTGTTAACCCCTAAGAAGTATGTTTAAAAAAAAAAAAGATTTAACCTATGGTTTCTGTCTTATCCCAAAATAGCTTTTAATGTTTCTGACCAAAGTGAAGTTTGTAACCTGAGGTCCCTAGAATTACTATGATTCATGAATAAAATTGGGGGGGTGGGGGTAAGTCCACGAATTACCTTAAATTACATTTTCTTTCTGCGGAAATGATCTCGATATTTCAATGGTTTTGAAAGAAGTTCTGTGTCTTCCAAAGGTGAGGAACATTTGGGCCAGAGTGTACAAGGCTGGGCAGTACTATGGAAAACAGTTAAGGGCACAAGGGTCTCCCTGTTCTCACGTGGGCTGGGGGCTTCTGCTTGGAGATCCTCTCTCTAAGTCCTGGACTCCACAAGGGCGTTGAACAGAGCTAACGCTGATGGAGACAAAAACAAACTGTATATGGCAAGATGAAGGCTAAGGTCAGGACCCCAATCAGGTAGCAAACCCCATCAAATTAGCGCAGTTCACAGTTCAGAAAGAAAGAAATGATGTAGACAGAATCAAGGCACATAAGCTTAAAAGAGTAACGTGTGCATCCCAACAATCTATAGCTCAGGTTACAACATCAAAGATGATGACAATTAACATGTTTTCAGACATGACTTTATCATTGAAAACTTGCTTTTTATTGCTTTGCCATGAGAAGCCTCATAACTAAGAAAGCAGGGGCTGGATCTGGATTAACCATGTGGTTTTGGGGGGTGAGCATGCAGTATACAGGAAACAGTACATCAGGACTGAGCCTCTTTCTTGGGGGACCCCAATGCACAGATCTGGAAAATTCTCACTTAGAAGTGAGGAAGGATGCTCAGTGCTAGGCAAGCCATGTCTAGAACAGACTCGTAGCACTTTCTTCAGTAACAGCCTTGCATGGTCTTTCCCTGAATTATCTGACTCTTGAGGTGTTTTAAAATTAAAACTAAACAGGAGCCCAGTGCAATGGCTCATGCCTGTAATACCACTGCTTTGGGAGGCCAAGGTGGGAGGATCCCATGAGTCCAGGAGTTTGAGACCAGCGTGGGCAACACAGGAAGTTTCCAACTCTACAAAAAACAAAATAAAATATATTAGCCAGGCGTGGTGGTGTGCAACTGTGTTCCTAGCTGCTTTGGAGGCTGAGGTGGGAGAATTACATGAGCCCAGGGGTTCGATGCTTCAGAGAGCTATGATCCCAGTAACTGCACTCCAGTGTGGGTGACAGAGTGAGATCGTGTCTCTAAACAAAACCAAAACCAAATAAAAATCAAAAGAACACTTATCCAGGGCCCCCATGGCTGCCACCATGAGGCCAGCCGGTGTTCTCTCCAGTCAGTAATGTGTGAGTGCCTTCATCCAGCTTGCAGCCTGAGTAGTCTCCAAGGTTGTATTTTGATTGCAAAATATTATCACTTCTGGGGAATCCCACCCACCTGCATGCTCTTCTGCCTTTCACTTTAACCTACTTTTGAAATCTCCACTCTGCCCTATCTCTAACTACAAACATGCAACAGCAGATACAACTTCCTCTCCTTTGAGCCCCTTGTTTGCTAAATCATAAATCTTGAATGTTACCATTGTACTAATGTCTGGTCATTCAGACAACATGAAGTTAATATCAGGTCATCATATATTAATGGCCAGAGAGAAAACAAACTGAGGAGAGACAGGAAGAACATATTAATACCAAAAAAGGAACAGATCTGGCTTAAATGGGATGCCTTCAATTTGCAGAAACATCACCCATTATTATCAAAGGTCATAGTCAGTTACTGCTAGAAAAATCAATAAAATTAAGGGTGGATGGGAGGAAGAGACCCAATACGTAAATTTATAGTATGTCCTCTGTATCAAAGGAACTTGGTGAACAACTGTGCGTTACTAACTTTTGGAAATAAAATTAGTTGTCAACATAGTAGACCATTTACATAGTTTCATAGGTTCCTGTTGTGAATATACTTTAAAGAACTGTATTAGTGCAAAACAGAGAAAAAATAGGGCAAGAAGACATTTAAAGATTGCATCTGCCTGTTGGTCTTCATCACCCATTTTCTTGGCCTCTTGAAGGTGTTAATGTTTTTTCTGTTTGTTTTTCAATGAAAGTGATCCTTGAACATATTCTACCTGTCCATGCCACTTAGTGCAGATTATCAGTGATCTTGATTACTGGTGATGAAAGGCTATTAGTCCATTATGCTTGTGGTATATAATAGAAGATTCTAGCTTTCTCACTGGAACATCATGGTCTGAATGTATTATTCTTAATATGGTATGTATAGTCTTGACTGCATGGTAGATGAAAAATATTCATTCATTTTCCCTCCTCTCCCTGCACCACCACCAGCAGTGATGTTAGTCCTACCAGTTTGAGAAGTCCAATCTGCAGCCCATCTTGTACCAGGGAAAGGCTGCCATGACCTGGTAAACAGGGCATTAGCCAGTGCCCTTCTCCATTAAGGGCAGACCGGTTGTCTACTGCAAACTGATGACATTTGCCATTTCTTATCTGCTTACAAATACATTTGCTCATTAACACTAGAATGCTACCTGAGAGGGTTACTGAGCTATTAAGTATCAGTCACACTAATTCTGCAGAAAGTGACTTCTCTAATGGCATTTCTCTTTAAAGAATAATCTCCTGCAGGGGGAGAGGAGCAGAGAGAACAGACAAAGGGAAGGTAGCCTGGTGAGGGGCCATGTCTAGACTTTGGCAATTTCAGTCTCTACTTTAGCGGTCTGTTTAGTCCCGTTAATCTAGAGGTCCTCAATATTGAAAATACAAGTAGGAGCAACTTAATGTTCTTGCTATCTATGAAAATATAGGTTGCTAATCAAGTTATTGGGAAGATAAGCTCGGGAGTATTTTGGGTATTTTACAATTGAATTTTCTCATGAATTTACAAAAACTTAATTTCAAATTATCATAAAATGTATTAAATCTCATGTTATGACACTTAGTTTAGAACATTTGGAAAGCCATTAGGATGAATTTCAAACCCATAACAACAGGTTCCTCTAAAGATTGATGAATTCCATTTGGTAGCAGCAGGGTTGGGAGGTGTCTAGAACTGGACTCTGACATGTGTCCTTGTTCTGTCCCACGTGTAAGAGCTCAAGCTGAGCCTGGCTTCCTGAAGACCTCAGCAAACCCTATGTAATGGGGCCTGCTTTGTGCCAGGTTCACACTGGAAAGTCTACAGACGACTTTGCATCTGGCTAGCAAAGTGACCTTGGAAGGAGCCATTACCAACTTCATGTCATACACGAGGAAAGACAATGGGGGCTCCAGCAGGTCATCTAGACCGGAGTGCAGAGTACCCTAGTGGTGATGTGAGACTGCTGACTCTGTGTGATGTCACCCAGGTTCCTGGGGCAGCTGTGGGCATGGGACTGGATCAGCTTCCACAGTGGCTCCATTTCAGCCACAGCTGGAGCTTTTCCACCCCAAAGCTTTGCTGTCCAATGCTACCACAGGGAATAACCAAATATAGCTATTTCTATCAATATTAAAATTCAGTTCCTCACTTGTAATAGCTGTATTTCAAGTATGCAGGAGTCACATATGACTTGTAGCTACGATATTGCACAGCGCAGAGATTATTCCCACCACTGCAGAAAGTTTCAGTACATGGGCAGATCCAAGTGTTGGAATTCTGCTCTCTGGCCACAAAGGCCTTTTCTCCTAAATTACGACTCAGCAGCGGGGCCCAGCCTCACTATGTTAGCTCCTTCCCTCTCCTCATCATCCAGTGGACACCTCTGATTGCCCTTCTTCCAAGCCTGGACTTTCCTACCCCAATTACCTTGGCATCCTTGATTCCCTTGGTCACTGACTTTGTGTACACACCCCTCGCTCCATGCCTAACCTTTGGCAGGTCACATCCTTTTGACTTTCCTGCGACTGTTCCTGGGATGTAGCCTATTGCTGGAAATAATGATAAAAATAATAGAATGGGAAGAACGTGTGCTAGTCAGCCTTAACTGGGTGTTATCTGCTTCTTACTCCTTCAGTTCATCCCATATTGACTCACTAACTCATCCCTTAGGATGCCTCATTCGCTAAAACCTCAGCTCCCTCATGACCCCCACCCTCTGCAGATGACCCACTTCATAGGTTGGGAAAATCACCCAAAAACCATTGACATGAGCTTCCTCAACATTTCCTGTGGCTTTCTCCTGTTTCCTTTAGCCAAGGTGACCTGTCAGCTGCTCTCCACCTGGGAGTACTAATTTCCTGCTCCCAGATCTTCGTTCATGATGTTTCTCCATTCAGAAGGCCTCTTTCCAATCTCACCTCTGCCACAAAACTGGTTTTGGGTCATCCCACCTCAAAGCAACCCCTTCCTACTCCAAATTTCCCTAACATTTTATCTGTATCTGTTCCTCTCACAGATGTCACCGGGCACTGTACCTACTAAAGTACATATAGGTGACTGCACATCTTCCCCACTAAACACAACCACTGCAAGAAGGGGGTGCTTGCCAGATTCAGCCTGGCTCCCCAGCAGCCACCAGCACAGTTCCCTGTGTAGAGAGTAGCTGGTGCATATTGACTGAATGGCTATCTATGTATCTACTTTTGCAAATGTCAGACTTACTTCTAAGGTAGACAGATTGAATTCAATAAAGAATTGATGGGCACATTTCTCCTAATAATCTCAACATGAAGTTCTAACTAAACAATTACATGACCAAAACATCTGATGGGAAGACAGAAGTGTACTTGTTGATGGCTAGAATTGCAATAAAAGTGCAGTGTCTTCCTGAGGGAGGGTGAAGTGGGTACAAAATGATAGGAAGTGGGCAAAAGAAACAAAAAAAGACATCAAAGCAGAAATAAACTTACCTTGGGTAGCGATGTAATGATTGGGTCGATAACAAACCTAAAAGTAAATAAAAGAGAATATTTGAAAAACATAAAATCAACAAACAGCAGAAAAGCCACATGCTAACTTTGCCGAAATGAATGTGTACATGAACACCAACAACTGCATCACCTCAAAGTGAAATTGGCAGACCCAGCACCACTGAGTTTCTCTTAATAAGTGAAGGTGCATCAAATACAAGAGTTCTGATGCCCATACCAAAGGTGTGGGTAACTTAATCATAACTGGCTATGAGATGATGGATGAGCAAGAAACACTAACAACATGGATTCTCAGAAATAACATGAGCATTACTCTTATAAAGTGCAAACAGGCAGAGAATTTGCAACAGAATTTCATTTGTGTTTGGAATGTTATTGGCAATGTGCCAATGGTTCAACACATATTCTATTAATATAGACAGTTATGTCAATAGTGATCCTTGAAACCATTCTTAAACACTGCTAATACCATGACATGGTACTGCACAAGGGCCAGGAATTTAAGGAGGCAGAAATTCTGAAAGACCCCTTCCTTTTATCATGACCCTGTAAGAAATGAGACAGATAAACATTGGAACCAAAGAAAAAAGGGGCCAGGTATGGTGGCTCATGCCTGTAATCCTAGCACACTTTGGGGAGGCTGAGGCTGGCAGATGGCTTGAGCTTAGGAGTTTGAGACCAGCCTGGGCAACATGGTGAAATCCCACTGCTACAAAAAATACAAAAATGAGCCAGGTGTAGTGGCATGCACCTGCAGTCCCACCTACTTGAGGGCCTGAGGCAGGAGACTTGCATGAGCCCTGGGGCTCAAGGCTGCAATAAGCCAAGATTGCACCACTGCACTTCAGCCTGGGTGACAAAGTAAATAAAAGAGAATATTTGAAAAAAAAAGAAAAGAAAGAAAAGAAGAGGAGGAAGAAACAAAAAAATGTAGGGTAAGTATCTGGGAAAGATAAAACAAAATCTCAACTCAGAGAAAATTACACCCAATAACATATCGCCATGGAGCTTAATACTTTCTATTTCTGCCCGGAGATTACCCAAAATATACTGTGCCCAAAGCTGGCTGGAAAACAGGAAAAAAAAAAAACTTGAACAGAAAACTCAGATTTGTCAGATAACTTAAATGCATGTGTTAGATTATTTTGCTCTTAAAAACAAGTAGAAAACAATGAACAACAAAAGCAAACATTCTTTTATCCAGTTGACTTGCTGTAGGTCTCAAATTATAGAACCATGACCAATATTAAATAGAACTCTTTAAACCATCACTCATTTCTCGTCGGCTGGTAAGTCCCACAAGGAACTTTGACTTATCCACACTATACATCAGAATGCCTAGCAAGGTCCCCAAGTAGATAGAAGGGACTCATCTGATGTTGAAGTGACCCAGAGTCCACAGTGGCCTGTGTTGCTGAACTCAGTCCTCATCTACTTGGCCATTGGTAGCATGAGTAAGATCAATCCCCTTAAAATACTGTCTTCACTGGCTCCAGGATATGACTCTCCTGGTTTTCTTCCTACCTACCTCCCTGGCCACTTGTTCTCAGTTTCACTGGCTGGTTCTTTCTTTTCAACTTGATGTGGAAGGCCTGGTTCTTGGACTTTTCCCCCATCTGTTTTCACTCTCTGGGTGAGCTCCTCCAGTCCCATGGCCTTGAAGCTTGTCTGTACATGATGAATCCTATGTTATTGTTTCTAGGCCAGACCTTTTCCTGGAAATCTTCATGCATACCCACTGCCTGCTCAACACCTCCAGTGGGAAGGCTAATATATATTTAAAGCTTCACACACCTAACAATGAACTCCTCATTTCCTCCCTAGTCCCTACCCCAATTTGCTCCACCTGTCTTCTCCTCAGCATCCCTGACCCCTCCTCTCCCTCCTGCACCCCATAGCCAATCTGCCAGCAAATCCTACTGGCTCTACCTTCAACGTAGCTCAAGGGTCTTGCCATTTCTCACCTCCACTGCCACCTCTCTGATGACTCCCACAGCCACACAGCAGGCTTCTCTGCTTTAAGTGCCATCTGAAGACAGGTGCACAGTGTTCACGGTGCTGCCAACAGGGAGGTGATTAGCTGGCACTGGCACCACCTGGCACATCTGGGCATTAAAAGGGAGGAAATCTCCATTAGAGACACAAATATATAAGTTTCATTAATCCTATCAAGCTCTCGTTAATGCTATTATGCCTGACATGAGAATTCACTAGGCTTCCTGATGAAAATAAGACGGATACATATCTCTAAGAATAATGTACACAAATTATATGGCAAAAATATAAAAGTTCATACAATGGGCAATAGAATAAATATGAATGGCCATCCAACAGATGAAAAATTTCTTGTTAATTCAAATTACTTTTGAATAGGAAAAAGTATTTGCTAAACACTTTGAATCATTATGTATATGTGTTGTATCTAACACTTATTAAAGCAAAGATCTACAGAAACAGCACTTCCTGAAATTTCTTTAGTAAATGAATTTAAGATCATTAATTTTGTTTAAAGGACAAAAATTGTCTTATTCATCTTTATATATCCTTTGCATTATATCCAATGCAAAGGCTAACTCAAAGTTATTTAATGAATATGGAAAGAAGGAAAAAAGACAGCCAAAGAAAGTCAAGAGGGAAAGCTGAGAAGAGGGAGAGGGAAAAACAAGTAAAAAATATGAAGGTCCATGACAGATCCTAACTTAGCACATGAGGGGTTATTGAAATTCACCAACAAAAAGTTGGGGGAAAAGACCTAAATTTAGACAAGGCTGTCAAACTGTAGTTTCTTTTGTCAGCAATTTATAGATCTTATATCCCAGCTGAAAATCACTTGCTAATCTAATGTCAAATCCAAGTTCAAAGAGACTTATGTAGACTTAATCAACAGGGAGAAATCACTGATAGTTATAAAGATCCTGATCACAGAGGACTTTCTGGCTGGAAACAATGATCTTAGGGCTACCAAAGTCTTCAGAGCCAAAATAAAGCTAGAATGCTTAACAAAACAAGATGGGAGAGGTGGCAGTAAGAGAAGACTGGAATTATTTGAGTTAGTTCAGACTTGTTATTTAGTTACTCGTCTATGGGGAGTTGGAATGTACCCCCCAGTCTCTTCTTCACAGAGATTTACGTAAGGAGGAAAATGTTCCATCTAAATCATTTAGGAAGTTCCAGGCAACTGACCTGAGAGTATCACGTAATCCAGACCCCAATTTGCTTACTCCTCTTCCAACTGAGTTAGTAGTATACAGGTAACGACTATCTGCCGTGAGACAGCATCCCAAATCAGCATCTCAAAGCATTTTTTCACCGGTAAATTATATATATGCTTTTTCCATTGAAATTATAAACATGCTTTTTGTAACGTAAAAGCCATTAAGGAGGCTGAGTGGATGATAACCTCCCACTTCTAAAATAAGAGCTTCAGTGTGACTTTCAGGGAAGGTGGCTTGAACCCCCAAATCAAACATTCAAAATGCATGTGGACCAGGGTCCAAGAGAAGGTCAAATAGTTATCAGCAGGAAAATGTGGTTTAGCCTGCCAAGTGTTTTTCTTTTTTTTTGAAAAGCTTGTATTGAGTCAAGTTTAAACATTCCTAATTACAATTTGAAATGACTAATTCTAATTTTAATTTGAAGTAACTGAGTACAGTACAACAGTTTAATAATTGTGTAGTAAGACGCAGGAGCTCTTATCAGCTCAGTAAGTGACCTTGAAACTCTTTGAACATCAGTTTCTTCATCTGTAAGATGAGAATAATAATACGTACCTGAAGGTTTACAGCGATGGCCAGATGAAATAATAGAGTTAAATACATCTATGTTGTTCTCTGGTTTAAAGCCACAACTCCAAAAATGGCAAATGAAATTATGTTAATATACTAATGATACACATTGAACTAAAATCTGTTTCTGTGGATTTTCCATTCAAAGATCTTAATCAGTCTCTGGAGGAATAAAGCACAGAAGTTAAATATCTTTTCTATTTTAGGCCAGGTGCAGTGGCTCATGCCTGTAATCCCAGCACTTTGGGAGACGAAGGTGGGCAGATCACAAGGTCAGGAGATCAAGACCATCCTGGCTAACATGGTGAAACCCTGTATCTACTAAAAATACAAAAAATTAGCCGGGCATGATGGCACGCACCTGTAGTCCCAGCTACTCGGGAGGCCAAGGCAGGAGAGTCACTTGAACCTGGGAGGCAGAGGTTGCAATGAACTGAGATCATATCACTGCAATCCAGCCTGGGCGACAAAGCGAGATTCCATTTCATATATATATGTGTGTATATATATATATATATATATATATATATATATATATATATATATTTGTGTATATATATAAAATTTGTTTTGAAATAGCAATACATTTCCCCTTAGCTCTTTCTCAATCTAAAATAAACAGTATCTCTATGATAGTAATTGGTTTACTAACTTATATTGCAAAGAATATGCCTTAAATTGAAGCTTATGGATAAAACTTTCAGTGTTTATTTTCATAATCACGCTGCTCACTATGTTTAAGAGGAGTCTTTCCACCTGAAGCATGGCTTACTAGCTGGACGAAATGCAATGTCACACCATCAAATTAGTACTGAAAATGCTGCCAGCTTTAAAATTCAGTCTACTAATCTGAGACAACTGGGACCTGTATCTATTGGTTCCTCAAATGAAACCTCGTTAAAGTGGGTAACCATTTTTAAAACAATAATTTCACATCTTCAACATTTTTAACTTAAAACTTGTAAATGACCTTTACTCACCGATCTTTAAGGCCCAAGGCCTTTTGCTTATGGCTCTGTGGAGGGGCAGAAGTGAAAAGGACAAACAGAAGATTGGCCAGGAGTGGACACTGGTTGAAGCTGAGTGATGAGGACACAGGGCTTATTATAGTGTACTCTCAACTTCAGTCAAATATGGCACATTTCAATATTAAAAGTTAAATACATTAGTCTAAATACTATTTATAAGAAAAACAGGCCAGGCACAGTGGCTCACACCTGAATCTCTGTAATACTGGGTAAGCAGAGGAGGGAGGATAGCTTGAGCCTAGGAGTTAAAGACCAGCCTGGGCAACATAGCCAGACCCGTTTCTACAAATAAATAAAATAATTATCCAGGTGTGGTGGTGTGTACCTGTGGTCCCAGCTATTGGAGGCTGAGATGGAAGCATCACTTGAGCCTGGGAGGTCCAGGCTGCAGTGAGCTGTGATTGCACCACTGCACTCCAGCTTCGGCAATGGAGCAAGACCATGTCTCAAAGAAAAAAATAAGAAAGAAAATTAAAAAAGAGAAAAACAGGAAAAACATCCTCTCCCTAGATGACAAACCAAAGGTTCAAGAGAATGAAAGCAAACAGACCAGCTTAATACCATCCTCTTCAGTGAGAAACTACCCCAAGGGAGACACCAAATGGAATAAAGGGAGAGAATCAAAGAAACAGTTTTAGCTCTGGGTTAAGATGTAAGTTGGAGCCTATAGTGTCTGAGAACTTCTTGTATACTGCAGGCATTCTGCCTCTCCTGTTGACTCTTGTTGAGTCAGTGAAGGAAATAAATCCTATCTAAAAAGCCTTGCCTCTGCCTCTCCACTCACTTGCATGCCTGTTTAGAAGAAATGGTAGAACATGGGAAGGCACAGACCGTAGGTGAGAGGTGCCAGGGAGCCTGCTGCTTAGATTCTGCTCCTGCCCTTGGGGTTGCCCAGTAAGGCTCTCCCATGGAGGGTGGGAAAGGAAGGGGTGAATGGAACAGACTCTCAATCCCACACCTGATGAAAACCAGTTTCTTACAGACTCACTTCATTGAGTCTTTCTAAAACATTCAATTTCTTTTCTTGTTTTTTGTTTGTTTGTTTGTTTTTTTACTATTCACAGAAGTTTACTGACCTCCCCGGCACCTCCCCGGCCAGGCAGGCCAACCTTTCCGACCAGGGGAAATGTCCTTCTACCTGCCCTCTGCTGGGTTGCAGCCTATTCCATGAGGGGGCACTGGAAGCAGGAGGGAGTTCTGGCTAGGGCAGACCTTAAACGCAAGGGAAGCTGAGCAGAGGTTTGCACACTCAACCCCACTTGATGTTCTTCTCCTCCTCAGTCATGGCCAGCGTGTTGGTGACTAGACCGGTGCCAATAATCCAGTTGCCATCTCTCAGGGTGAAGCACTGGCCTTTCTCTAAGATCACTGGCTGCCGCAAGATTAGGTTGAACTTCAGGTTCTCCCCGGGCATGGCAAGCTACTTCTCTGGGGGCAGGATAATCCAACAGGCCATGTCCCAAGTCAGGGAGAACATGACTGGCATGAAGTAGGACACAAAGGGCTTGTGGTGGCCACCTTCCTCCTTGCTGAGGATGTAAACCTGGGCCTCCACCTTCTGGTGGGGCTTGATGGAACCCGGCTTGACCATGACCAGACCCCGCCACAAGTCCTCCCTCGGACCAGGGCCCTGAGGTTATCTCCAGCCTCGGCCCTCTCCAGGCTCTTGTGGAACATCTCAATGCCTGTCAGCACAGTGCAGATGTTCTTATTATGTCCTAGGAGCTCACGCTTGTCTCCTTTCTTTAAAATGTCATGCTCTAGCATACCTGTCACCATGGTGCCATGGCCAGACATGGAGTACACTGCCTCTACAGTCAGCAGGAAAGGCTTCTCCAGGTCACGGGCAGGCACTGGGATGTAAGTGTCCACAGCATCCAGTAGCTTCTGCACAGACTTCAGACCTAACTCAGGGTCCCGACCCTCAAGGGCAGACAGTAGAGCCTACAATGACTGGGGTCTCCTCCCCTTTATAGCCAAACTCAGTGAACAGCTCCTGAATCTCCAGTTCCACCAGCTCCACCATCTCAGAGTCCTGGACAGCATCAGCCTTGTTCACATACACCACCACATGCTCCACCCCAATCTATTTGGCCAGTAATAAGTGCTCTCGGGTCTAGGGCATGGGGCTGTCATTGGCTGCTACCACCAGGAGGCAGCCGTCAAGGGGTGTGGTGCCCGTGATCATATACTTAACATAATCTGCATGACCCGGGCTGTCTGTGTGGGCATAGTGGTGGGCGACAGTGCTATACTCCACATGAGCCACACTGATGGTGATACCTGGAGCTTGCTCCTCTGGGGGCATTGTCAATCTCCTTGTACTTCTTGAACTTAGCCCCACCTCCCTCGGCTAGAATCTTTGTGATAGCTGCAATCAGTTTGGTCTTGCCATGGTCCACATGGCCGATGGTACCCACATTCACATGTGGCTTCTCACACACGTTAAGTCTTCTTGGCCCCCACAGCCAGGCCGTGGCACAAGAGAGGCAATGCCAGGGCTTTCAGCAGCAGCAGCAGACCCTGCAGCAGGAAGGTCCGGCCGGCAGCGAGACCGCTGAAGTGAGGCGTCGCGCGCAGCAAGGTGGCAGCCGCCATTGTGGTCATACTCTCACCCCCGGAACCAAGAAATGGGGACCAGGAGCCCGAGCGTGCAGCAGAGGAAGGGCGCTTGTAGGTGGAAACAACATTCAACTTCTTAATGACAACTATTTCCTGTTTTTTTTTCATTCCTGTTTCATCAATTATGGATGATGTAATATTATCACAATAGTAAATACCAGTTACAATTAACAAACCGGTTTGGGAGCAAGGCTGACTCTTGGTGAGCCAGCAACTCCTCTGGTTGGAGCAGCAGTGCACAGATGTGTCAAGCAGTTTCTTGCCTACAAGAAACTCAGTTCATCTATGAAGACATACATAGACTGAAAGTGAAGGGATGATAAAAGATATCCTATGCAAATGGAAACAAAAAAGCAGGAGTAGCTATAATACTTAGACAAAATAGACTTTAAGATTAAAAAAAGATAATTGTATAATGAGAAAAAAGTAAACAGCAGCCTAACAATTATAAATGAATATGCAACCAACACTGAAGCATCTAAATACAGAAGCAAATATTCACAGGCCTTAAAGGATAGATGGAATGCAATACAATAGAATACCTCAACACTCCACTATAATCAACACCCCACTATTGTCAATGGACAGATCATCCAGACAGACATCATTAGTTCAGTAGCACATGAATTATTCTCCAACACAGACTATGTGTTAGGCCAAAAAACAAGTCTCAGCACAATTTCAAAAACTGAATTCATATCAAGTATCTTTTCTAACCACAGTAGAATAGTGTTAGAAATCAGTAACAGGAGAAACTTTAAAACCTGTACAAATATATGGAAATTAAAATACAGGGTCATGAACAACCAATGGAAAAAAAGGAAATTAAATGTTTATTGAAACAAGAATAGAAACACAACATAACAAATCCTGTGGGATGCAGCAAAGGCAGTTCTAAGAGGAAAAGGGCATAGCTATAAATGCCTTCATCAGAAAAGTAGAAACATCTCAAATAGCCAACCTGACAGTACACCTCCAGTAATGAGAAAAACAAAAAAAATTCAAATGCTAGAATCAGTAGAAAAAATATCATAAAGATTAGGGCGGAAATTTTAAAAACAGAAACAAAACATACAAAAAGTCAATGGAACAAAGAGCTGGGGTGATTTAGAAAAAAAAAATCAAAATTGACAAGCTTTAGCTAGACTAAGGATAAGAAAAAGAAACAAAACCATAGATGAAAAAGCAAACATTACAATTAAACACAAAAATACAAAGGATTGTAAATGATTACTAAAGACGTTTATATACAAACTGAAAAATCTAGAAGTGCTTCAATTTCTAGACACATAATGAATTCCCAAGATAGAATGATAAACAAAAAACCTGAACAGACCAATAATGAGTAATGCAATTAAAGCAGTAATAAAAAGTCTCCCAGCAAAGAAAAACACAAGAATCATGGTTTTACTGCTGAGTTACCAAGCATTTTTTAAAGAGCTAATACCAATTCTACTCAAAATGTTCCCCATAAAATGAACAGGAGAGAAGGCTTCGAAACTTGTTCTATGAGGACAGCATGACCCTGGTACAAAAACCAGAGCAGGACACAACACACAAAGACAACCACAGGCATTTTAAATAACCCTGATGAACACAGATGCAAAAAGTCCTCAACAAAATACTTGAAAATTGCATTTGACAACACAATAAAATGATCATGTGCCATGATCAAGTGAGATTCATCCCGGGAATATGAGGATGATTCAATAAACACAAATAAATGTGTAACATCACATTCAGTGAATCAAGAAAACACATAAATCATTTAAGTAGATGCTGAAAAAAAAATCATTTCTTCATAGAAACTCAACATGAGTACAGAAGGAACATGTCTCAGTGCAATAAAGGCCATATATGACAAACCCACAGCTAACATCATAATCAATGGAGAAAAGTTAAAAGCTCTTCCTCCAAGATCTGGAACAAGTATGGCTACTTTTACACCACTTTCATTCATCATAGTACTGCAAGTCCTAGCTACAGCAATTAGACAAGAGAGTGCAATAAAAAGCATCCAAATTGGAAAAAAAGGAAGTCAAATTTCGTGTTTGCAGGTGACATAAACTTATACATATCTAGAGAGAGAGAGAACCCTAAAAATTCCACAAAAATCCTACTAGAAATAATAAATTTAGTCAAGTTGCAAGATACAGTATCAACATATAAAAATGAGTAGCATGCCCATGCACCAATAGCGAAATACCTAAGAAAGAAATCAAGAAAGCTATTTCATTTCAAAAAAATATATATCTAGGGATAAACTTAACCAAGAAGGCAAAAGATACCACAATGAAAACTATAAAACACAGATGAAAGATATTAAAGCAGACATAAGTAAATGGAAAGATATCCCATGTCCATGCACTAGAAGAATATTGTTAAAATATCTATATCAACCAATGGGATCTACAGAATCAATGCAATCCATCTTAAATTACAAAAGACATTCTTAATAGAAATAGAAAAAACCATCCTAAAATTCATACGGAAATGCAAAATAACTCAGACAGACAAAAGAAATAAAATGAAAAGTTGGAAGCATCACACTACCTGATTTCAAAATATACTACAAATCTATAGTACGCATGGTACTATCAAAACAGCATGGTACTATCAATAAAAAGGGCGGGGGAGAGACAGAGATGAACAAATGACAGACAAGTGAAGCACAATACACAAATCAGGAATAAATTCATGCATTTATTGTCAACCTATTTTTAACAAAGGCACCAAGAACACACATTTGGGAAGGACAATATCTTCAATAAACTGTGCTAGGAAAACCCAACACCCACATGTACAAGAATCTATCTAGGCCGTTATCTTACCATATACAAACATCTACTCAAAATAAAGATTTAAATGTAGGACCTGAAACTATGAAACTACTAGAGAAGAAAACATAGGATAAATGCTTCATGAAACTGGAGAAGACGAGGAATTTTCAAATAGACATCAAAAGCACAAACAACAGCAAACATGTAATTACATTAAACTTAAAAGCTTCTGCAGGCTGGGTGCAGTGGCTCATGCCTGTAATCCTAGCACTTTGGGAGGCCGAGATGGGCGGATCACGATGTCAGGAGATTGAGACCATCCTGGCTAACATGGTAAAACCCTGTATCTACTAAAAATACAACAAATTAGCTGGGCGTGGTAGTGTGCACCTGTAGTCCCAGCTATTCAGGAGGCTGAGGCAGGAGAATGGCATGAACCCAGGAGTCGGAGCTTGCAGTGAGCCAACACCACGCCACTGCATTCCAGCCTGGGCAACAGAGTGAGACTCCGTCTCAAAAAGAAAAAGGCTGCTGCAAAGCACAGGAAGCAATCAGTAGAATGAAGAAACAGGCTGGGTGCAGTGGCTTACGCCTGTACACTCAGCACTTTGGGAGGCTGAGGCACGCCGATCACAAGGCCAGGAGATCAAGACCATCTTGGCTAACACAGTGAAACCCCGTCTCTACTAAAAATACAAAAAAATTGTCCGGGCGTGGTGGCAGGCACCTGCAGTCCCAGCTATTCAGGAGACCAAGGCAGGAAAATGGTGTGAACCCAGGAGGCAGAGCTTGCAGTGAGCTGAGATTGTGCCACTGCACTCCAACCTGAGCGACAGAATGAGACTCCATCTAAAAAAAATTAAATTAAATTAAAAATTTTTAAAAATGAAGAAACAACCCAGAGAATGGAAGCAAGTATTTGCAAACTATGCATCAGGCAAGGGATTCATGCACAAAATATATGAAGATCTCAGACTATTCAAAAACAAAAATACAAATGATCTTATTTAAAAAATCTACTCAAAACCATTGTCCCCCACCATTATTTCCCTACCTTCTTTTCCCGAGCACCTTTGGCCCCCTTCCCCTCGCCACCCTTTTTCTTCCATCTGCCCCCAAACTTCTTCACCATTTTTTTCCCCACCATCATTTCACAAAGCCTTCTCTACTCTCCTGCTCAACACCTTTTCCCCATCCATTTACCCAAACCCCTTCCCCACTGTTTCTTCCCACCATCTTTTCCCCTTATCCCTGGCCACCCTTTTTCCCCCTCCTGCTCTCATCACCCTCTTTTGCTCCTTCATCTAAGCAAAAACATTTTCCCCCATCTTTTCCCAAAACCTTCTCCCCACTCCTACTGCTCGCCACCCTCTTTTCCCCCTTCATCTACCCAAAAACTCTTTTCTTCATCGTCTTTCCCCCCGTTCCTCCTTGCTATTCTCTTTCCCTTTTCCATCAACCCAAAAACATTTCCCCCCATCTTTTCACACAGCCTTCTCCCTACTCCTGCCTACCTCCCTCTCTTCCTTCTCCATCTACCCCCCAAAACTTTTCCCACCATCTTTTCAAAGTCTCCCCCCTTTACCACTCATGCTCTTCTTTTCCCTATCCTGCTTGCCACCCTCTTTTTTGCCCTCCATCTACACCAAACTATGTTTCCGTCGTTTTCCCAATCCTCTGTGCCTGCTCCCTCTGGCCACCCTCTTTCCTCCTCCTCATCACCCTCTTTCCCCCACCATCTATCAAAACACTTTTTACCCACTGTCTTTCCTTTCTCCACCATCTTTCTTTTCTGCCACTGTCTTTTCACAAAACCTTGTCTTCCTCCTGCTGGCTACCCTCTTTTTCTTTCTCCCACTTGCTACCCTCTTTTGCTCCTCTACCCAAAAACTTTCCCCCACACTGTATTTTCTCCCCACTGTCTTTTCACAAAGCCTTCTCTCCCTACTGCTCGCCCCCCTTTTCCCCCATCACCTTCCTCTCTTTCCTCCTCCCACTTGCCACCCTCTTTTCCCCCTCCATCTACCCTGAAACTTTTTACCCACCGTCTTTCTGCAAAACCTTCCTTCCCTCCCGCTCCCCACCCTGTATTTCCGCCTCCATTTACCCAAAAACTTTTTTCCCCACCATCTTTTCGCCGCCATCTTTTTGCAACGCCCCTTCTCCGGCTAAGCTATCCTTTTCTGCCTTTGGCACTAACTACCCTCTTTACTCCCCTCCATCTATCCCAAAACTGTTTTCCTTCTCCTACCGCTCCAGCCGCACTCCTATCTCCGTCGCTGCCAACAACCGCAGCGAGGCGAGCCGCGCTCCCGCGGCTCCAGCCTCCAGCATACGGCCACTGACTCCTGATTCCTAGTCCTCCATGCCGTGGAGCGAGCAACTCAACGGGAAGACACAGGAACCTGAAAACACCTGACTGCTCTTCAGCATCATTTATATACTGCGGCTATGCCCACGGAGGTTCCTGGACTGCATGTTTTGATTGGATGAGAAAAAACCTCCAGGCTTACTCTGATTGGACTTTATGATCATGTTCTGATTGGATGAGAGCAAGTCTTAACACAACCAATCACAGCATGAAAATAAAGTCCAATCAGAGTAGGCCTAGAGGTTTTTCTCTCATCCAATCAGAATATGTAGTCCAGGAACGGCATTTGCATAACCTCGGTATATAAAGCATGGTGAGGTCGCATCAGGTCATTTCAGGCTCTGCTGTGTCAAGTCGGGGAGCGGCTCTTTGCTCAGCTTAGAGAACTGGAAGAGGCCGCAACCTTCTGCCTGCTGGAGGCTGGAGGATGGATGGAGCCTGGAGCCTGGGACACTACCTTGCTGTGGTTGGTGGTGGCGACAGAGCAGTAAGAGGGTGGCCGGCAGCAGGAGCTTGTCCTGCTGGGCTGGAGGACTAGGAGAAGGAAGAGGCACCACCACATGCTGGAGGCTGAAGCCTGGAGTCTGTGCCACCATGGCTCGCCTCGCTGTGGTTGGTGGTGACGCTGGAGACTGCAGCTGGGCCACAGTGGTAGAAATGTGATGGGGTAGGTGAGTTTTCTGGGCTGCCCTGTACGCTTCTGGGGGCAAGGGTTGGGTGTCCTTTTGGTGATCACTGCTAGAGGCCACCCTGCCTGTGTCAGTGGTCTGGTTGGGGGCACTCTCCAGGGTTGCATTGCTGGTAGTGGGGCAGGTTGGCTGGCTATCTGGGGCTATACTGCCTGCGGTGGCAGGGGTGGTGGGGGGAGGCAGATTGTGTACAGTAATGTGTGCTGCTGGTGGCTGGTGAAGGATTAGGGGCACTATCTTCTGCTGCACTGCCCACAGCAGGGGGTGGGTTGGGTGGAGTTATCTGGGTCTACAATGCTGGCAGTGGGGGGTGGTTTAGGGGCATTGTTGGGTGCTGCACTGCCTGTGACTGGGGGGTGCACCATCAGGAGCTGAACTGCCCGTGATGGGGTGGGGGGAGGCGGGTTTGGGATGCTATCTAATGCAGCAACACCCGTGGCTGGGTCAGATTGTGGGCACTATTGGGTGGTACACTCCCTGAGGTGTGGGGGGAGTGCTTTGGGGGGGGGGCATTGGGGTTACATTGCCTGAAACTGTAGGGTGTGTTGGATGTGCTATCCGGGGGCTACACTGCTAGTGGCAGGGGGCAGATTAGGGGTGCTATGGGGGCTACACTGCCAGCAGCATTGGTGAGCTGAGGAGGTGGCAGCAGCAGCGACAGCAGTGGTCTCCTTCTTCTGGTGGCCTCCAAGTAAGAGATCGTTCTCCTCTTCCCGGACTCCAGACTCTAGAAGGCAATTTTCTCCCGCTCGAGCTAGATTGCACGGCAGGGCCCCCACACCCACTGTGGTTTCCCAGCCTGCCGTCATGCTCTGTGTTGCAAAGACCACCTAGGACTACTGGGCAGGGACTAGTAGGCACCATGGGGGAAGTTGGGGACAGGGCACTGTGGGTGGAGGTGTCAGGAATGGGAACCAGCCCTTGGGTGGGGAGGGCTGGCTGGGTCTGAGTTTCTCCTACTTGGGTTCCCCGAGAAGGGCAGGCTTGGTGGACCCAGCAATTCCTGGCCAGCTGGACTTGGCCAGGGGCCAGTTTCAGTGAAGGCATTCACTCTCTCCCCAGGCCCCAGTTCCTGGCCAGCTTTTGCCAGAAGGAGAGGCTGGACTTTGGAAGGTGGGTGTGAGTGCCTTCAATGAAACGGATCCCTGCCACCTAGTCACCAGCGTGACAAGATGAGGCTCTAACGGTTCCACTCCCTGAGTCCTGTCTTGGGCTTTTCTGGCTTTGCCTGCCCAACTGCTCCAAGCCAGGCTGAAGGAGGAGAAGGAGGAGTCACCTGTGGTACGGTCGAGCAGATGATGTGGCTCTGCAGCTTGCCTCATGTGTTTGGTGGTGGTGATGGAGACCGCAGCTCAACTGGAGCAGTAGGAGGGCACCCACGGGGACCAGGCGGTAGGATCCTGGTAGGGTGGGCTGATACATTGAGGGTGACAGTGGTTGTATTGGCATTGGTGCTAGTGGTGGTAGCAGTAGGAAGTCTGGGGAACGGGAAGCGGGAGTAGGAGCACTGCAGGGCCTATCCCATTCTGGGGCGGGGAGGAAACTTTAGGTGCTGTAACGAAGGCCTTGGTGGCAGTGGTGGTGGTACATCTAGGGCAAAGAGGAGTCCTCCCCCTTTTCCTGCAGTCTCTGGAGGGTGCCCTCCTCCTGCTGGTGCCTGAGCTAGGCATGAGTAGCAGCATTATCTCATTCTTAACAAAATTTAGGGGGTGACTATTTGTGTATCCTTTTGCTTGTTTTTTGTTGTGATACTCTGGGAGTTACTCAAATTTTATGAATGGAGGAGGGGATAAAAGGTATCATAATAGGCCTTCTAATTCCCACACCTGTTCTTTTTCCTTTCTTCCATTGTGTATTTTCTTCTCATTTTCTTGTTCCTCTTCATTTTCTTTTGCTACTGCTTCTGTCTCATGTTTGTATTCTTGTTTCTCCTCCTGTTTTTGTTTTTGTTTTATACCAAGCAACGGCCTTAACACACCAAAACTGAGTTGAAAATAAAATACTTGTCACTGTTGTATTTTTTAAATAACTGATCCCTTACTATGTTTTAGAAATGAGGAAAAAAGTCAGTTGTATAATTAGTTACTTGAATAGCTATGCTTTCATAATCGTGTTAATGCACTTATGCCTAGTGTTCCATTATTGGGACATTACTTATATCCTACTGCTAAATGTCATCAACAAGGTCTGATTTTTCACTTATGCAAAAATTCAAAAAATGGCAACCTCTGGCATAAATGGGCTAATGCATTGTAAGTGTTATTCAAGGAATCAAAAAATGAAGCATCACATAAAATATTAGTAGCAAACAGCCATTTCATCTCTCTCACATATTTTTTCTGGAGCTATGGAGGAGTCACAGGGGTAATAAGTTCTAATTTATGAGATGATTAAGTGAACCATATTCCCTTCATTTTTTTTCTCTGCCACCATTTTCAAGAGTATTGTCATCTGCATGAGCAAACCTGGTTTATCACCACATCTTTGCAAGAGGAAAAAGAAAGGGGGAGAATCATGTATAACGTTGTAAGGCAAAGATTCACAACCAAAAACAAGGTTTTATTAACTTTCGCCTTTAAGAACCTTCAGTGTTTAGCCCTCTTTGATTCCTAGTATTACTACCTTTGGTATGAACTCTTTTTTTAAACTGATCCACTCTAGAAGTTTATGCATTTTGTATCATTTTTCAAGCCAACAGAAATGTGTAAGGCCTATAATTCTGACATTTTTAGTTATTTTTAAGGCTGTGAGCATGTAAGATAGTGTTCATATATGGAAGAATATGTATAAATACCACTAGGTAGCTTATTTTGAAGAGATAGTATCTAAATTTTTGTCCAGAGTAGATTGGTTGCAGTTTCTTAGGTGTGTCTCTTAATACGTTGCCTCAATGTTTTAAAGCATGTAGAAATTTGAACACAGTTTAACTTCATATAGTCCTTTGTTTATAGGTTTAATACTTCTAAAGACTGAAGACATCACAGCTCCCTTTAAGATTCAGTAATATTAATAAAATTTTAGAAATATAGGGTTAGAATCCAACAAATTCAGAGGAAAATTGTTAAATTATATAGCTGTAGAGCAGGAATGAAACCCAGGTTCTAAGCTCTAAGGGGGCCATGAGGTACCATACAGGTGCATCAGTGACTGGGCATAGATTCAGCAAAATTACAGGATGGTTAAGAGAGTGAGCTGTGGAGCCCAACTCTATGTAAACATGAATTTTTAAACTGCATGGTGCCTCAGTTTATCCATCTTTACAGTGGGGACTGTAGTTAAGTTTTTCTCCTCAGTTGTCTGTCTTGTTGCCACTGTTCCCTAGTCTGTCTTGTTACCACTCAGTGCCCACATGAGAGGATCTAAGGTAATTTCTGACAGGCTGGGACTCCTTAAAGAAAAATAGAAGGTGCTACAAAACCCATTTTAGGAGAAACTTCTGTTGTCCTCATGGAACCTCAAGAACTTCAGGCAGACAGGTCTCTCAAACTCTAAGGCTCTCCTCTGTTTTGCTTTGCGTTATCTGACCTTTTAAGTTTGGGTGGGAATCAGAAATCAGTCAGGGAGAGAGATCTAGAGAAAGTTGTGGATATGAAGATGTATTTATGTTAAGAAAAGTTGTGAAGCAAAGAAATGTTATATAAGAGAGGATCTTGTATGGCAAATTTTTGTCCTAAAGTAGAATGACTAATTATGAAAGAGGGAAATAAAGGAAAAGTCAGAAAGTTCATGTCATAGATGGTCTGTGGAAGTTGCGTTAGGGTTCATAAAATGAGAAAGAAAAACTTACAACTGCTAGATCTTTTCCTGTCTAGAAGTGTTGTGTATGTGATGTATATATAAAGGAGCCCTAATTACTTGGCTTAGAAGAAAAGGAAGGTTCTTAAATATTTTGTCAGAAAAATAGAAGCTCTAATGCCTTTTATTTCACATGACTTCAGTAATCTTTGGGAAATAAAGACAGTGTTAAAATCATTGGTAAAAAAACATCAAAATTTATCCATTTTGTCTAATTTAAGTCAGAGGTTAAATTTTAGAAGTGCTTTAATGTCACAAATTGTTTGACTTCGGAAAATTGTTCTGTTTACCTGGTTTGGAGCTGTTCAATTTCTAGGTAAGGGCTGGGGACAGGTGGAATTAGCCATGTCTCCTGGCTATGCTGGAAAGAGTCAGACTTTACCTACAGTTCTGTCTTGTATCCTATACGCTGCACCTGGTACGTTATTAAAACTTCCTGCTGCTTCTAATCTCTTGAGTTCCACTTAAAATTTTTTCATCACTTGAATACTATTCCCTGTACTAAATTTTTCCACAATTAAATACTTAGAATCATTTTTGCCCACTTGACCCAAGCATTAGTGATATATCTTTAAAATACTTATAATGTGTCACAATATATTTATCAAATGTAGGGAACGGCATTTTTACTTTTGTCAGCATTTATGTAGCAATGCTATCTCAAGTATTTTTAGTCATTTAAATGTTGCATAATATGCTTTTGATTCCTTTGTTTCTATGTAAATAAATATGAGATATTCAATAAATAGTATCAATGTTTCATTTATAGAATATATTTATTAGGGTTATTTTTAAACACTACATCATATTTACTTGTTGGCTTTATAAGTTAGAAATAATATTTTGGATTAACTGTGTGACTCATGAGAGAGGGAGTTTGTGCAATTATAATCTTTACAAATTTTTACTTGATTTTCAAGACTTACACTGCAACTGTTAGAACAAGGTAATAAGCATATCTATTAATATCAACTCTTGGCTAGACCCAATGATAGTGTAGGAATTAACATAATTTTTCCTGCTAAAGGTATTGGATTTGTTTTGAGAGACTGCAGTTTAAAATCATTGACATAGAAAGTTTAAAAATTGTTAAATTTTTAAAATGCCTTTAAAATTGTTTTATAGAAAAATAATTATCTTGGTTTACCTTGATAGGTTTTTTTTAATAAGGACTAGACCAAGAGAAAGAGAGAGTAGTGATAAATGTCCAGGTTTCCAAGTTGAAAAGTGAAAATCAGTGTATTACAACAGATGGATTTGATGTCAAATTACAAATACTGAAAACATTATATGTAATCTACTAGCCAGAGTAATTGTACAAGGCAAAGAAATGAAAGGCATCCAAATAGCAAAGGAAGGGGTGAGATTGTCTCTGTTTTCTGAAAATGTAATCTTAACATAAAGAAAATCTTAGACTCCACCAAAAAAAACCCGTTAAAGCTGATAAACATATTCAGTAAAGTTGAGAGTTACAAAATTAACATAAAAATAGTATTCTTGTTTCTATACACCCATGACAAACTATCTGAAAAATAAATTAATAATGTAATTCCATTTATAATAGCATCAAAACAAATATATAAGTAATTAAAATACTCAGGAGTAATTTTAATGAAGGGTGTGAAAGATGTGTATACTGAAAATTATAGCACATTGATGAAAGAAGTTGAAAGTGACATAAATAAATAGAAAAATATCCCATATTTATGAATTCAAAAAATAATATTGTCAAAATTTCCGTGCTACCCAAAACAATCTACAGATTAAATGGAACCACTATCAAATTCCAATGCCCACAGAAACAGAAAAATTAGTCCTAAAATCTGTATGGAACCACAAAAGACGCTGAAAAAAACAAAGCAATCTTGAGCAAAAAGAACAAATCTGGAGGCATCAGACTACCTGATCTTTGATAAAGCAAACAAAACATAAAGTGGGGAAAGGACACCCTATTCAATATATGGATGGTGCTGGGATAATTGGCAAGCAACATGCAGAAAAAGGAAACAGTTCTTCAAAAGGTTAAATATAGATTTACCACGTGACTCAGTAAATTCACTCCTGTGTATACACCAAAAAAAATTAAAACAAATGCCTACACAAAAAGTAGCATACAAGTATTTATAGCAACAAAAAGTAGGAAACAACAGAAATGTTCATCAACTGAGGAGTAGATTAATGAAATGTGGTCTGTCCATAAAATATTATATTGGCAATGAAAAAGAAAAAGGTATTAATACATGCTGCAAAAAGGATAAACATTGAAAACATGGTAAGTGAAAGTAGTGAGTCGCACGTAACTATATATTATTATGATTCCGCTTACATGAAATGTCTAGGATAGGCAAATCCTTCCAGAATAGGCAAATCCTTAGGAAGTAGATGGATGGTTGCCTAGGGCTGGGAGGGGTTTAAAGAAAGAGTGGGGAAAATGGGGAAAGATTGCTAATGGGTGCAAGGTTTCTTTTAAGGAGCATGAAAATGTTCTAAAATTATATTGTGGTGATTGCGTATCCACCTAGTTAATGCCCTAAAAAAATTGAATTTTATACTTTATATGAGTGAATTAAATAATATATAAATTATATCTCAATGAACCTGTGAAAAAAGTTAAAAAATATGTGATATGCATACACAAAATTTCTTCATTTTATTTTGTTTCCATAGGTTTTTGGGGAACAGGTGGCGTTTGATTGTAAGAGTAAGTTCCTTAGAGGTAGGTGATTAATGAGATTTTGATGCACCCAACACCTATGCAGTATACACTGTCCAACTTGTAGTCTTTTATTCCTCATGCCCCACACCCTTTCTCCCAAGTCCCCAAAGTCCATTGTAGTATTCTAATGCCTTTGCATCCTCATAGCTTAGTTCCCACTTACAAGCGAGGGCATACGATGTTTGGTTTTCCATTCTGACATTATTACTTCACTTAGAATAATAGTCTCTGATTCCACCCAGGTTGCTGTGAATCCCATTTTTTTTCCTTTTGTGGCTGAATAGTATTCATACATATATATATATATATATATATATATCACAATTTCTTAATCTACTTATTGATGGGCATTTGGGCTGGTTACATATTTTTGCAATTGTGAATTGTGCTGCTATAAACATGCATGTGCAAGCACCTTTTTCATATAATGACTTCTTTTCCTCTGGGTAGATACCCAGTAATGGAATTGCTGGATTAAATGGTAGTTCTACTTTTGTTCTTTAAGAAATCTGCACACTGTTTACCATAGTGGCTGTACTAGTTTACATTCCCACCAGCAGTGTAAAAGTGTTCCCTTTTCACCACATGCCCACCAATATTTATTATTTTTTGATGTTTTGATTATGACCATTCTTGCAGGAGTAAGGTGGCATGGCTTTTTTTTTTTTTTTTTTTGATAGAGTTTGTTGCCAGGTTGGAGTGCAACCTCTGCCCCCTGAGTTCAAGTGATTCTCCTGTCTCAGCCTCCCAAGTAGCTGGGACTAGAGGTGCCTGCCACCACACTCGACTAATTTTTGTGTTTTTAGTAGAGATAGGTTTTCACCATGTTGGCCAAGATGGTCGTCGATCTCTTGACCTCGGGATCCACCCATCTCAGGCTCCCAAACTGCTGGGGTTTCAGGCGTGAGCTGCGAGCCACCACGCCCGGCCCAGCACCAGCATTCTGGTTTCGATTAACGTATCTCTGATCATTAGTGATGTTGAGCATTTTTTCATATATTTGTTGGCCATTTTTTATATCTTCTTTTGAGAATTGTCTATTCAAGTCCTTAGACCATTATTTGAATGGATTGGGGGTTTTTTTTCTGCTAATTTGTCTGAGTTCCTTGTAGATTCTGGATATTAGTCCTTTGTCAGATGTATAGATTGTGAAGATATTCTCCCATTCTGTGGGTTGTCTGTTTACTCTGCTAATTGTTTCTCTGGCTGTGCAGAAACTTTTTGGTTTAATTAAGTCTCACCTGTTTATCTTCATTTTGTTGTTGTCGCACTTGCTTTAGGGTTCTTGATCATGAAGTCTTTGCCTAAGCCAGTGTCTAGAAGGGTTTTTCCAATGTTATCTTCTATAATTTTTATGGTTTCAGGTCTCAGGTTTAAGTTGATCTTTGTTTAAGGTAAGAAGTGAGATACCCATTGTTTCTCTTTTAATACATTTAAAACAAGCAAACCTTCTACCCAGTTTAGATTTATTATTCTTCATTGATTGTTTCATTCTCTTGGAGAACATTCTGGCAGTAAAGTAATAGATACATTGCATCCATCATTGTGTGTCAAAAGGCCATCAGGTCGATGGCTCTTTTTGAACTATGTTGTTTCAGAAAACCATAGCTGAGTATTATAGGCAGAAGTTTGACATTTTCTTTGTTTTTTTTTTTAATTTTATTTTATTATTATTATACTTTAAGTTTTAGGGTACATGTGCACAATGTGCAGGGTAGTTACATATGTATACATGTGCCATGCTGATGTGCAGCCCCCATTAACTGGTCATTTAGCATTAGGTATATCTCCTAATGCTATCCCTCCCCCCTCCCCCCACCACACAACAGTCCCCAGAGTGTGATGTTCCCCTTCCTGTGTCCATGTGTTCTCATTGTTCAATTCCCACCTATGAGTGAGAATATGTGGTGTTTGGTTTTTTTGTTCTTGCGATAGTCAATTGACTTTTACGTGTTTCTGAAGTGAGGCTTGTGCTTCAATTGCAGAAGAAATAGCTTTTATAATATTGGAGAAACAAAATAGAAATTAATATAAAATTTGGATAACAATAGCTTCAATGAAAGTGAGAATTGTATTTTAGTGGTATTATAATATTTTAAATCCATTGAAATAGAATCTGAAATAGAAATTTATGGAAAAAGGTACAGAAATAGAATAATGTCTACCAAATCAAGGTAGTAATGAATAAAATTTACACATAAAAACTCAGAACTGGAACATGTTTAAGGAAATCAAATATTATTAAAGAAGAAATATATAACTGTAATTTGCAATTTATGATATACATATATGTTATGTGTATATAAACACATGACTGCTTATTATACTTGCTTAATTTATCTCTTGCTCCTGGCTCCAGAAAAAATGAAAAAACTCTTTTGTCCATGAGTATATGAATAGCATTTATCATAAAGCTGTGGCAAAGTAGGCATTTAATAGTATTTGATACTGAATATGTTAAAATACTAAAAATAAAAATACTTTTACCATTTTATACTTTTTAATGTTTAAAATGCTGTTTTGCAGGGGGATTTGTGGAGTTTTGTTTTTTTTTTTTTTAGTTAAAACAAATTTACTCCTTTATTTTCGCTAACTTCTAAAAGAAATTTAGCACTTCCTTCAGTTATGAATGTAAACAAAAGACAGTGGCAGTATCTCTGATTTTGTCATCAACAGGTATCGCAGATATTTTCATGTCATATTACAGATTTGTAGACATCTTGAAATACTGTTTAATCGTTATCACTATTTTTTTTTATTAAAGTTTTAGGGTACATGTGCACATTGTGCAGGTTAGTTACATATGTATACATGTGCCATGCTGGTGCGCTGCACCCACCAACTCGTCATCTAGCATTAGGTATATCTCCCAATGCTATCCCTCCCCCCTCTCCCCACCCCACAACAGTCCCCAGAGTGTGATATTCCCCTTCCTGTGTCCATGTGATTTCATTGTTCAATTCCCACTTATGAGTGAGAATATGCGGTGTTTGGTTTTTTGTTCTTGTGATAGTTTACTGAGAATGATGACTTCCAATTTCATCCATGTCCCTACAAAGGACATGAACTCATCCTTTTTTATAGCTGCATAGTATTCCATGGTGTATATGTGCCACATTTTCTTAATCCAGTCTATCATTGTTGGACATTTGGGTTGGTTCCAAGTCTTTGGTATTGTGAATAATGCCACAATAAACATACGTGTGCATGTGTCTTTATAGCAGCATGATTTATAGTCCTTTGGGTATATACCCAGTAATGGGACGACTGGGTCAAATGGTACTTCCAGTTCTAGATCCCCCTGAGGAATCGCCACACTGACTTCCACAATGGTTGAACTAGTTTACAGTCCCACCAACAGTGTAAAAGTGTTCCTATTTCTCCACATCCTCTCCAGCACGTGTTGTTTCCTGACTTTTTAATGATTGCCATTCTAACTGGTGTGAGATGGTATCTCATTGTGGTTTTGATTTCCATTGCTCTGATGGCCAGTGATGATGAGCATTTTTTCATTTGTTTTTTGGCTGCATAAATGTCTTCTTTTGAGAAGTGTCTGTTCATGTCCTTCATCCACTTTTTGATGGGGTTGTTTGTTTTTTTCTTGTAAATTTGTTTGAGTTCATTGTAGATTCTGGATATTAGCCCTTTGTCAGATGAGTTGATTGCGAAAATTTTCTCCCATTTTGTAGGTTGCCTGTTCTCTCTGATGGTAGTTTCTTTTGCTGTGCAGAAGCTCTTTAGTTTAATTAGATCCCATTTGTCAGTTTTGGCTTTTGTTGCCATTGCTTTTGGGGTTTGAGACATGAAGTCCTTGCCCATGCCTATGTCCTGAATGGTAAAGCCTAGGTTTTCTTCAACGGTTTTTAAGGTTTTAGGTCCAACGTTTAAGTCTTTAATCCATCTTGAATTGATTTTTCTATAAGGTGTAAGGAAGGGATCCAGTTTCAGCTTTCTACATATGGCTAGCCTGTTTTCCCAGCACCATTTATGAAACAGGGAATCCTCTCCCCATTGCTTGTTTTTCTCAGGTTTGTCAAAGATCAGATAGTTGTAGATATGCGGCGTTATTTCTGAGGGCTCTGTTCTGTTCCATTGATCTATATCTCTGTTTTGGTACCAGTACCAGGCTGTTTTGGTTACTGTAGCCTTGTAGTATAGTTTGAAGTCAGGTAGTGTGATGCCTCCAGCTTTGTTCCTTTGGCTTAGGATTGACTTGGTGATGCGGGCTCTTTTTTGGTTCCATATGAACTTTAAAGTCGTTTTTTCCAATTCTGTGAAGAAAGGCATTGGTAGCTTGATGGGGATGGCATTGAATCTGTAAATTACCTTGGGCAGTATGGCCATTTTCACGATATTGATTCTTCCTACCCATGAGCATGGAATGTTCTTCCATTTGTTTGTATCCTCTTTTATTTCCTTGAGAAGTGGTTTGTAGTTCTCCTTGAAGAGGTCCTTCACATCCCTTGTAAGTTGGATTCCTAGGTAATTTATTCTCTTTGAAGCAGTTGTGAATGGGAGTTCACTCATGATTTGGCTCTCTGTTTGTCTGTTATTGGTGTATAAGAATGCTTGTGATTTTTGTACATTGATTTTGTATCCTGAGACTTTGCTGAAGTTGCTTATCAGCTTAAGGAGATTTTGGGCTGAGACAATGGGGTTTTCTAGATATACAATCATGTCATCTGCAAACAGGGACAATTTAACTTCCTTTTCTCCTAATTGAATACCCTTTATTTCCTTCTCCTGCCTAATTGCTCTGGCCAGAACTTCCAACACTATGTTGAATAGGAGTGGTGAGAGAGGGCACCCTGTCTTGTGCCAGTTTTCAAAGGGAATGCTTCCAGTTTTTGCCCATTCAGTATGATATTGGCTGTGGGTTTGTCATAGATAGCTCTTATGATTTTGAGATACGTCCCATCAATACCTAATTTATTGAGAGTTTTTAGCATGAAGGGTTGTTGAAATTTGTCAAAGTCCTTTTCTGCATCTATTGAGATAATCATCTGGTTTTTGTCCTTGGCTCTGTTTATATGCTGGATTACATTTATTGATTTGTGTATATTGAACCAGCCTTGCATCCCAGGGATGAAGCCCACTTGATCATGGTGGATAAGCTTTTTGACGTGCTGCTGGACTCGGTTTGCCAGTATTTTATTGAGGATTTTTGCATCGATGCTCATCAAGGATATTGGTGTAAAATTCTCTTTTTTTCTTGTGTCTCTGCCAGGCTTTGGTATCAGAATGATGCTGGCCTCATAAAATGAGTTAGAGAGGATTCCCTCTTTTTCTATTGATTGGAATAGTTTCAGAAGGAATGGTACCAGTTCCTCCTTGTACCTCTGGTAGAATTCGGCTGTGAATCCATCTGGCCCTGGACTCTTTTTGGTTGGTAAGCTATTGATTATTGCCACAATTTCAGATCCAGTTATTGGTCTATTCAGAGATTTAACTTCTTCCTGGTTTAGTCTTTGAGGGTGTATGTGTCGAGGAATTTATCCATTTCTTCTAGATTTTCTAGTTTACTTGCATAAAGGTGTTTGTAGTATTCTCTGATGGTAGTTTGTATTTCTGTGGGATCGGTGGTGATATCCCCTTTATCATTTTTTATTGCGTCTATTTGATTCTTCTCTCTTTTTTTCTTTATTAGTCTTGCTAGCGGTCTATCAATTTTGTGGATCCTTTCAAAAAACCAGCTCCTGGATTCATTAATTTTTTGAAGGGTTTTTGTGTCTCTATTTCCTTCAGTTCTGCTCTGATTTTAGTTATTTCTTGCCTTCTGCTAGCTTTTGAATGTGTTTGCTCTTGCTTTTCTAGTTCTTTTAATTGTGATGTTAGGGTGTCAATTTTGGATCTTTCCTGCTTTCTCTTGGGGGCATTTAGTGCTATAAATTTCCCTCTACACACTGCTTTGAATGCATCCCAGAGATTCTGGTATATTGTGTCTTTGTTCTCATTGGTTTCAAAGAACATCTTTATTTCTGCCTTCATTTCGTTATGTACCCAGTAGTCATTCAGGAGCAGGTTGTTCAGTTTCCATGTAGTTGAGCGGTTTTGAGTGAGATTCTTAATCCTGAGTTCTAGTTTGTTTGCACAGTGGTCTGAGAGAGAGTTTGTTATAATTTCTGTTCTTTTACATTTGCTGAGGAGAGCTTTACTTCCAAGTATGTGGTCAATTTTGGAATAGGTGTGGTATGGTGCTGAAAAAAATGTATATTCTGTTGATTTGGGGTGGAGAGTTCTGTAGATGTCTATTAGGTCCGCTTGGTGCAGAGCTAAGTTCAATTCCTGGGTATCCTTGTTGACTTTCTGTCTCGTTGATCTGTCTAATGTTGACAGTGGGGTGTTAAAGTCTCCCATTATTAATGTGTGGGAGTCTGTCTCTTTGTAGGTCACTCAGGACTTGCTTTATGAATCTGGGTGCTCCTGTATTGGGTGCATATATATTCAGGATAGTTAGCTCTTCTTGTTGAATTGATCCCTTTACCATTATGTAATGGCCTTCTTTGTCTCTTTTGATCTTTGTTGGTTTAAAGTCTGTTTTATCAGAGACTAGGATTGCAACCCCTGCCTTTTTTTGTTTTCCATTTGCTTGGTAGATCTTCCTCCATCCCTTTATTTTGAGCCTATGTGTGTCTCTGCACGTGAGATGGGTTTCCTGAACACAGCACACTGATGGGTCTTGACTCTTTATCCAATTTGCCAGTCTGTGTCTTTTAATTGGAGCATTTAGTCCTTTTACATTTAAAGTTAATATTGTTATGTGTGAATTTGATCCTGTCATTATGATGTTAGCTGGTTATTTTGCTCGTTAGTTGATGCAGTTTCTTCCTAGTCTCGATGGTCTTTACATTTTGGCATGATTTTGCAGTGACTGGTACCGGTTGTTCCTTTCCATGTTTAGTGCTTCCTTCAGGAGCTCTTTTAGGGCAGGCCTGGTGGTGACAAAATCTCTCAGCATTTGCTTATCTGTAAAGTATTTTATTTCTCCTTCACTTATGAAGCTTAGTTTGGCTGGATATGAAATTCTGGGTTGAAAATTCTTTTCTTTAAGAATGTTGAATATTGGCCCCCACTCTCTTCTGGCGTGTAGGGTTTCTGCTGAGAGATCCGCTATTAGTCTGATGGGCTTCCCTTTGAGGGTAACCTGACCTTTCTCTCTGGCTGCCCTTAACATTTTTTCCTTCATTTCAACTTTGGTGAATCTGACAATTATGTGTCTTGGAGTTGCTCTTCTTGAGGAGTATCTTTGTGGCGTTCTCTGTATTTCCTGAATCTGAACGTTGGCCTGCCTTGCTAGATTGGGGAAGTTCTCCTGGATAATATCCTGCAGAGTGTTTTCCAACTTGGTTTCATTCTCCCCATCGCTTTCAGGTACCCCAGTCAGATGTAGATTTGGTCTTTTCACATAGTCCCATATTTCTTGGAGGCTTTGCTCATTTCTTTTTATTCTTTCTTCTCTAAACTTCCCTTCTTGCTTTGTTTCATTCATTTCATCTTCCATCGCTGATACCCTTTCTTCCAATTGATCACGTCAGCTCCTGAGGCTTCTGCATTCTTCACGTACTTCTGGAGCCTTGGTTTTCAGCTCCATCAGCATCTTTAAGCACTTCTCTGTATTGATTATTCTAGTTATACAGTCTTCTAAATTTTTTTCAAAGTTTTCAACTTCTTTGCCTTTGGTTTGAATGTCCTCCTGTAGCTCAGAGTAATTTGATCGTCTGAAGCCTTCTTCTCTCAGCTCGTCAAAGTCATTCTCTGTCCAGCTTTGTTCCGTTGCTGGTGAGGAACTGCGTTCCTTTGGAGGAGGAGAGGCACTTTGCTTTTTAGAGTTTCCAGTTTTTCTGTTCTGTTTTTTCCCCATCTTTGTGGTTTTATCTACTTTTGGTCTTTGATGATGGTGATGTACAGATGGGTTTTTGGTGTGGATGTCCTTTCTGTTTGTTAGTTTTCTTTCTAACAGACAGGACCCTCAGCTACATGTCTGTTGGAATACCCTGCCGTGTGAGGTGTCAGTGTGCCCCTGCTGGGGGGTGCCTCCCAGTTAGGCTGCTCGGGGGTCAGGGGTCAGGGACCCACTTGAGGAGGCAGTCTGCCCGTTCTCAGATCTCCAGCTGCATGCTGGGAGAACCACTGCTCTCTTCAAAGCTGTCAGACAGGGACATTTAAGTCTGCAGAGGTTACTGCTGTCTTTTTGTTTGTGCCCTGCTCCCAGAGGTGGAGCCTACAGAGGCAGGCAGGCCTCCTTGAGCTGTGGTGGGCTCCACCCAGTTGGAGTTTCCGGGCTGCTTTGTTTACCTAAGCAAGCCTGGGCAATGGTGGGCGCCCCTCCCCCAGCCTCGCTGCCGCCTTGCAGTTTGATCTCAGACTGCTGTGCTAGCAATCAGCGAGACTCCGTGGGCGTAGGACCCTCTGAGCCAGGTGCGGGATGTAATCTCCTGGTGCGCCGTTTTTCAAGCCCGTCGGAAAAGCGCAGTATTCGGGTGGGAGTGACCCGATTTTCCAGGTGCCGTCGGTCACCCCTTTCTTTGACTCGGAAAGGGAACTCCCTGACCCCTTGCACTTCCCAAGTGAGGCAATGCCTCGCCCTGCTTCAGCTGGCACACGGTGCGCACACCCACTGACCTGCGCCCGCTGTCTGGCACTTCCTAGTGAGATGAACCGGGTACCTCAGATGGAAATGGAGAAATCACCGTCTTCTGCGTCGCTCACGCTGGGAGCTGTAGACCGGAGCTTTTCCTATTCGGCCATCTTGGCTCCTCCCCCGTGGAGATTTTTTTAAATAAAGATTTGAAATAACTTTCTCTTTTAGTAATAATAAATTATATTTTAAATAATATGCTCAAGTTTTAAAAGTGCTGTAAGTCCTTCTCTGTGTACCTAAGACATTTCTGTGTCACTACACTTAAAAGGATATGAGGCTGAGCCTTCAGCTTTATATTTTTCAACCATGATTTTATTCCTCATACATGCATATTTACATTTCTATGTAACAATATATTTCAGATATAATTTTTTCATGCAAAAAATCACATGAGATTGTTTTAAAATTATGATTTCATTGTTTGATGAGTATACAAAATCATGAAAAGAATACTTGAAAAGAGAAAATTTTCATGTCCCCAAGATTCTTGCTATTTAGAGTTCAGGTGAGTTTATGATGAACTTTCTTTCAGGCCATTCAAATAAAAATGTAGCACAAATAGCTTATTATTTAATAATTATTAATACCATATAGGTTCATATGTTTTCATATGCACAACTAGATAGATGACAGATAGATAAATAGATAATTATAGACCAGTATCGATATTTCCAATACAAACACTCTAATATGTGACAGTTCTCAATTCTCTACCCTTCTGTATAATAAATTCCTTGAAGGATTAGAGTAAGTATTCTACACGTACTCCTTTTCAATCCACTTGCATAGTAAGAGTGTGTACAAATGATGACTAATAATGATGAGGCCATTTTGATTCAGTTTCATCAGAGGTGTAAAATGGTAGTCATGAAAAACATAAGACATCTTTAATTTTTCCTTTTTGAGATTTTGTGGATTTGTTTTTGTCCTGACATTAGTACAAAGAAAATCTGTTTCTCTCCTCGGACAATTAAAATACTGTTGTTATGTAATAAATCAACAAGAACACAAATTATGAAAATTATGAAAAACGTTGGTAATTTTGCAGAAATATCCTCAATACATATTTCAATTACTTAACCTTTCTAAGATGTTACTTTTTTTACTCCAATTGTATTACTTATTTTTCTTACAGCATTTTGTATATCTTATGTATCTGTTTAAAATTCTTATCATAATTATATTAAATAAATATCTCTAACATAAATTATTCAAAACAACATTTTACCTTGATAGGTATTATTAATGATGTTCTCAATTGTCTTAACAGGTCAAGGAAACAAAACATTGACCAAAAAGAATATTAAAAAAATCAATAAATTTTATTTTGAATAGGTGAAACCCAGTTATACCACTGACTGACAAAATATGAGATAAAGTTCCTTTAGTATCTTTACTCAAGTACTGCAACTTTATTTGTCAGATATTTTTTCTCATGTAAAGGCTTAAGTTGTGTAATACCAGAGACTGAGACTCAAACTTGAGTCTGACTCCACAGCCATAGTAGGCTTTACTGCATCATGCTGCCTCACCATTGACAATAGGAAGGCCTCTGGTCTGGGGTTATGTTACCAGAAAGGGGTTCCAATCCAGACCCCAAGAGAGGGTTCTTGATCCTTGTACAAGAATTTATTTATTAAGAAAGTAAAGGAATAAAGAATTGCTACTCCATAGGCAAGCAGTGGCGTGGGCTGCTTAACTGAGTATACTTATAGTTATTTCTTGATCATGTGCTAATCGAGGGGTAGATTATTCAAGAGTGTTCCAGGAAAGGGGTGGGGTGGGCAATTCCTGGAATTGAGGTTCCTCCCTGCTGTTTTAGACCATATAGGGCAACTTCCAAATGTTGCCATGGCATTTGTAAGCTCTCATGGCTCTGGTGGGAGTGTCTTTCAGCATGCTAATGCATTATAATTAGCTAATAATGAGTACTGACGATGACCAGAGGTGACTTTCTTCACCATCTTGGTTTGGGCATGTTTTGGCAGCTTCTTTACCATAATCTGTTTTATCAGCAGGATTTTTGTGACTTGTACTTTGAGCTAACATCCTATCTCATCCTGTGACTAAGAATGTCTAATCCCCTGGATATGCAGCCCAACAGGTCTCAGCCTTATTTTTCCCAGCCCCTCTTCATAATGGAGTATCTTTGGTTCAAATGCCTCTGATAAAACCAATAAGTTTTCATGATGTATAAATCTGAGGCTGTGGGTCTTTATATATTGAATATAACTTTGTGAGATAGTCCTAAGTAGTCTCTTTGGAGTACACATGCATCAACATAATTATAATTCCTTACGGACCTATCTGACCACCCAATGGGTTCATCTTGCCCAGATATAGCTGATTTATCAAGAGAGGGGAGTTGCAATAGAGAGAGTTTAATACATGTAGAGCTGGCTAAATGGGAGACTAAAGTTTTATTACTACTCAAATCAGCCTCCCACAAAATGTGGAGGCTAGGGCTTTTCAAGGGCAGTTTGGCAGGCAGAGGGCTAGGAAAATTGCTGATTGGTTGATAAGGTGTACAAAATGGTCCTTCTGGACTGAGTGTGCTTCTGAGTTGGAGCCACAGAGTAGTCCCTGGCCTAGGTGGAGTCATCAGGTTTTCAGAAATGCAAAAGTCTGTAAAAACACCTTAAAAAGCCAATCTTAGGTTCTAAAATAGTGATGTTAATTACAGAAATAATTAGAGAAGTTGCAGATCTTGTAACCTCTAGAACAATGACTGGTAATTGTTTAAGCCTAAGTTGTGTAATACTAAGCAGAGGGACTGAGACTCAAACCTGGGTCTGACTTCACAGCCATAGTAGGTTCTACTGCATCATGCTGCCTCTCCATTGACAGTAGGAAGACATATGGTCTGAGGTTATATAACCAGAGAGAGGTCGCAATCCAGACCCCAAGACAGGGGTCTTAGCAATATTCAGGCCCCTCTCAGCCTCCTAACCTGGTGGACTTTCATTAGTTTTACAAAGGCAGTTTAGTTTCTGGGAAGGGCTATTATCATGTAAACTATAAACTAAATTTCTCCCAAAGTTAGCTTGGCCCATGCCCAGGAATGACTAAGAGCAATTTAGAGGTTAAAGGCAAGATGGAGTAGGTTAGGTCAGATCTCTTTCACTGTCATAATTTTCTCCCTGTTACCATTTTTGCAAAGGCAGTTTCACTACTGTTCGGTTAAATGAATTTGATCACTAAATAATTTGTGCAATCTTCTAAAACTGGAAAAAAATACATTTTGATTTAGTACCTTTTTACATCAACACTATGTTTATTCAAGTTAAAGAAACATAGTTATTTTAGAAGGGATATAAATGAGACCAACCATAGTTTCTAAGGGAAAACATTGAGGTTAAGGAAAGCAGTAATTTAAGAACTATAAGAAAATACAGAAAGTTCTACATCTAATGGAATTTATAATTGTGTGATCTATCCACATTAATATATCTAAAGTCTGGTATTCCTGACTCCATTTAAATTAGATTAAATAATTTAAGTCCAACATCGTAGATTCCCCTCAAGTACATTTGCTGCTGTTTTGATGTTAATTATCCACATCACTCAGATAATTACCACCTAACTTGTTTATAGCACAAGGTATGCTGTAACTTTTTATCTCAAGGAAGCTTAAGTATTTCTTTTATCATGGGCCAGAGCAGTTTTCAATGTCACTTAATTGTGTCCTAGAAAATTACTAGAATAATAAGCACATTCACAGGGTTAAATATTAACAGATGAGGCAATTACTTTAAGGGAAAACTGCAAATCATTTTAACAATTCTTTTCTTGCACTTTTTTAAAGCAGCATTTGCCAAATGCGATCCTCAGATCACTTAGCCTGAGAAGATAACGTCTGTTAAAAATTTTTCTATGGTGAAAATAATTTTGACAGCTCAGGAAAATGATATGAAAATTTGTAATAGTAATCAAAGGGTTAGAGAAGTTCTGCCATCAAGAAAAATGCTAAAAACTTGTTTTTCTAATATTGTTTTATAACCTTCCTAATAACAGTTTGCAGAGTTTTTCTATAAAGGGCAAGAGGGTAAATAGTTTGGGCTTTGTAGGCTGTATGGGTCTCTCTGGCATCTACTCAACTCTTCCTTTATAGTGCAAAAGCAGACTTAGATATAACAGAAACAAATACGTGGCTGGGTTCCAATACAACTTTATCAAATCAGCCCACTGGGCTGGATTTGGCCTGTGTGCTGGAATTTTCCAACCCCCGACAATATTATGCAGAGGTAGTTTTTAAAAATGTCTGATTTGGAAATCTCTGTTTTAGATTTTATACATAAATATCAAACTCTCTAAAATTGTATCTACAAGATAGCCCTTCCTCTTTGCTTACTCTCATTCTTGAGAAATTTGTAGCAGTAGAGGAGGGCATGAAGAAGGGAATCACTTTTTGCAGAGAATAAACTCTTTCAGCCTTGGTACCCATAGCTATCCCACCACTATCACCTTTGTGCTATATACTGTATGACTAAGGAAAATGAGTCACATACTCTTCCTGCCCTCAAGGAGCTAGCTGTATGGTCTACTGGGAGTGAGGGTGATAATTTTGCAAATGACAAGGAATGTGTCTACTCCACATAATAGTACAATAAAATGTGTGATATTAATGCCACATGAGCAGTAACAATTTCCCCAAGGGGATTAAAAGGAAGAACATAATTTTGGTTACAAGTACCAGGCAAGGCTTTAAATGAGAGATAATGCAGGCAAGGCTTTAAATAAGAGATATTGCTGTAGATAAGCTTGTAAAGAGTATTCCTAGTCATCAACAGGCAGCACTGCAGAGGAGAAAATTGTGAGAAAGTATTGCTGCTAGATGGAAAAGCATAAATAAGGAAAAGGAGGTGGCAATGGTAGCAAATAGTCACTTAGCAGGAGCATATAGTGTTAGTCTGAAAAGTCAGTCTGCATCAACAAGATACTTATAAGGTACCATATACTTGATCCAACAGAAATGCAAAGGTGCTGAAGAACGTTAGCATGATAGGGACCCCTTTTATTCTTTGATTGAGGGGTGCCCATTTGCACTTAGGTAAGAATGGTGCATATTTAAAATGCCTGATGATGCTGTTAATATTGTCTGTCCTAAGTAGTGACATAGCACATGTGTTAAGTAGTTTCAAGAGTTTTGGGGACCAAAAAAGCATTATTTGGATATTTCAGATGTGAATGAATATAAACAACAGTAAAACCTACAACACCTCCCTTCCCTCTGCCTCCACCTCCCACCAAGACAAATCCAGAGGATGGCAGTTGCTAGTGTGTTTTCAGTAGTGCAAACATGTCAGGGCTGCCTCCCGGATTGCTTTCAACTTTCCTTTAGGTGGACAGATTACTGCTGGCTCTCTAGTCATTGTGCTCAGATTTAAAGCAAGAAAAAAGTAAAATCTGCACGAAAGCTTGCTTCTTTACTGTGAGAAAGCCAAACTTTCTCAGAAGCACAAATTTTTACATTGATATTTTATGACCCAGAACTGGATGACAGGGCCACTTCTCACTGCTAGTGAAACAGAGAAAAAATTATTTGGCTTTCTCTTTCATGTGGGAATTGAAAGGGTAGAAGAAGATTTAGAGTAGCTTTAAAGATGCCTAAAGGTGTCCAAATAAATGTTTAAGTATTTTATGAGAAAGTTCAGAAGCACCTAAGAGTTTTAGGCAAACTACATCATATATTTATTTTTCACCTTAATAAATATAACCTGATAATTTTATTGAGAGAGGAAAAAAACTGTCTTTTGCAAAAGGATAAACAAAGATGTAATATATATGTTTTATATATAATATCTTTATATATATTTCTTTATATATACATACACATAATATATAATGTCTATATATAATATAGATATATCTTAAATATATCTTTATAAAGATATGTAATTATATATCTTTATATATCTCTTTAAGACGTATATATATATTTACACATTTACAAAACACAGTTTTTCTTTTCTCTCTCAATAAATTTACCAGGTTATATTTATTTTGTCACATCCTAGCCTAACAAATCTTGTTTTGTGTGTGTGTGTGTGTGTGTGTGTGTGTGTGTGTGTATCATAGATCTTTATATAGTGTATATATAGGTAGATCTAGATATATATCTTTATAATATATATAATTTGTTTGTATGCATATATATGTGTGTGTATATATATATACACACACATACATATATATGATAATCTTACCTCCTAAAGGAAATTTGAAGAGATATGTATAACTATATATAGATACAACTGGATTTATTAGTCTAGGATGTGACAAAATATTCAATTTGAAACTGTATTAGCAGCTTTTTAGATTTCATTTATGAGTGGTGCATTATAATATGAAGGAGTTGTAAAACTTTTAAGGATTTTGCAGTCCGAAGATATGAAATATAATCCCAAGTCCACCATTCACTAGCTATTTGTCTGTACTAAAGTCATTTAGCCACTAAGGACATCAGCCTCCCTTTCATCATTTTTAAAATGAGGATAATAATAACTGCCCTTCACACTGTGTAGGTTTGTTGCAAGGCCCAAATGAGGTGATATTTTTAAAATTGCTTCATCAACAACAAAACACTCTCGCACTTCTCTCTCTGTCTTGATCTCTCTTTCTCTCTCTCTTCTCCCTCCCTCTCTCCCTCTCTTTCTGACACACATATCCCACACACATTTCCACATAAAGCTCCCCGCTCAATCCCTTGAGATTATAAATGCCATCACAGAAATATATCAAGTGCCTCTGACAGCTTCTGGCTTCTGTTGCTCACTTTGTTTTTTTCTTTCTTTTTTTTTCTTTTTTTACTTAGAACAAATTGAATCATGCTATTAGGTACCACTTCTTTAATGATTTCATCTATTTGTCACTTCAAAAGGTTTTATTTTTGACCCCAGGCCCTCTGAAAGCCTGTCAGATATAATCAGCTGTTATTCAATTTGTCTGAATATTGAGGTTCATACCACAACTAGAGAAACTGGTAGTGGAGGCACTTCTGTCTTGGAATATAATCAATGGCTGAAATAACTTTGTCATTAAGAATGAAGATTTCCCCTCACAAGGTAACAGAGGATTTGGAAATCTTTAAAATGTGGAATTTCAATAATATTATTCCCCATCACTCCTACCTACCACTTTACTTCTGTCTCACATCTGTTTACACCTAACACATTAGTGGAATCCCAAAGCATTAGTATCCACATACCAGATCAGAAATCCAAACCCAGCACTCATTACCACTAGCTGCATATAACATTTTTATAATTATTAAGTTGCCACTCTAGAAGAGAAGAAATGTAATTTGTATACATACAAATGTGTGTGTGTGTGTATAAGACATGCATTTCTTCACTTCTAGAGTGGCAACTTAATACTTATAAAAGATATATGTATATATATATATATATACGTACACACATATTTGTATGATTTTGAATGTAAATTGTTTTGGAGCTATAGAGCGTAATAAATTTACCAATAGTTTGCATAATATTTATGTATTTATGTTAATATATTTTTAATGATTTTATATATATAGATAGAATGACTGCCTTCACATATGTGTTAAGATACTTTATTGTAAAAGTAATAAAAACATAACTAAAATTGCCACACAGAATATAGCATATTCATTGGCTTATGAATCTGAAGGTCTAGAATTCCTCTCAGGCTTCAGGCAAGGACTGACCCAAGAGTTTAGCGGTATTACTATCTGCCAGCTTTTACTTCATTGATCATGACTTCATTTTAAGACAGTCTTCCCTCATAATCTCAGTCTATCCTATTCCACTTTCAAATTTATATGCATAACACTTTCAACAGTCACCAACCCCTCTCTGTTTAGCCCACCATTGTAACATACCCATTTCTGAACAAATAGATGATTGTGTGTATTGCTTATTGACTTAGCTTAGGTTACAAACTCCCCCTCTGGAATAAGGTCATTATCATCTTACCCATAATCACAGTGATCTCTAGAGATTGCAACTACTGAAATCAGAAAGATGCAGAGTGGGAATAAGTAAAACCTATTCTAATAATAAAAGAGTAAATTTTACATGTGCACATAGGTATATTTATTGTCTGGATTCTAATTCCTGATGCAAAGAATAAAGACAGATTCTCCCATGAGTGAATAAAATAAATTTTTTTTCATGAACTATTAGGTTAAGACACATAAAACTGCCACATGGAGGTGCCAATTGGTCAAAACGCAGCAACTTCATACTGTTCAACCTAAAAGAAGGCCGCCGTAGGGAAAACTGGCCACAGTTGCTTTACCTATACTAAAGACCACGACCATCAGTACATGTAATATCCTCCATTGTTTCCCTAGCTTATTTAATATATCTGTGTGGCAATGATCTCATTCGTTTTCCTAAAATTATATGTTTAATTTTTTCAAAAGTTGCTATAGCAAGATAGAAACCTCCTAAAGCTGAATATCCCTTGAATGCGTCATTGGTATATTTTAGCCTCAAGCTTCACATGAAGGATCATTATCCATACATATATTTTGCAGATGTAAATTATTTGTCTGTGCAGTGGATTGGAGTGTAGGTCCTTTGTATGTATGAAATAGACCCCTTTATTTCTGGGAAAACATTGTTCTCTTCGTGGGTTTCCTGTGATCACGTGTTGTTGCTATCCACGTGTAGGTCTTCTCTGAACTCCTGTAGGATGATTCGGCCCCAGCTCTGGTTTTGTTGACTGCTGAATCATGTAAATGGAGCCTTAGTGAAAAATATCTCTATTGAAATGCCTTGTCAGAAATCAATAATAGCTGATCTTTACAGCAAAATACATACCAAAAGCTGGTTTTACAAAACATTATGTAAGGATGATTGCTTCTTTATTTTGTATAGACATACTATGTGCACTGAATTGTCAGCTCACTCATCAGGGACTTGATGAGTACTTCTGGCATCTTTGGGATAGTTTCATGTAGACAAACCCTTTAAGGGAAAAGCCCCAATAATTATGTTTCTGTTTCTATCAAAGGAAAACAAGATAGCCTATACTACAAAATAGGTATAGGTTGGCTGGGCGTGGTGGCTCATGCCTTTAATCCCAGCACTTTGGATGGCCGAGGCGGGCAGATCACGAGGTCAGGAGATCCGAGATCATCCTGGCTAACACAGTGAAACCCCGTCTCTACTAAAAAAATTCAAAAAAATTAGCCGGGCGTGCTGGTGGGTGCCTGTAGTCCCAGCTCCCCAGGATGCTGAGGCAGAGGAATGGCGTGAACCTGGGAGGCAGAGCTTGCAGGGAGCCGAGATCACACCACTGCACTCCAGCCTGGGCGACAGAGCGAGACCCCGTCTCAAAACAAAACAAAAAAAGGTATAGGTCATTGTCACTATTGGCAGGGAGCTAGAAATCATGCATGGGAGTGAATTCTAAAGATGTTAGACAATGGGCAACAAAATACAAAACTTGCTGAAGCTGAATTCTTTTGCACAAATGCATTCACCCTGAATTCAGGGTGTGATGTTTTGGCTACCACAATGAAAAGTGGCATTAATAGTCAGCTAGATTAGCTAACTGAAACCAAGTCTCAGTAATAGCTTATAGTTAATGAAGTCAAAATGTCTGAACTTTTACAGCACATTATAAAACAAGGTTCTCAAATTTCAGCAAGCATCAGGGTGATATGCATGGCTATTTTATTTTAAGACAGAGTCTCACTCTGTCGCCCAGGCTGGAGTGCAATGGTGCAATCTGCAACCTCTGCCTCCCAGGCTCCAGAGATTTTCTTCCCTTAGCCTCCTAAGTAGCTGGGATTACAGGTGCCCACCACCATGCCTGGGTAATATTTTTTTATTTTTATTTTTAGTGGAGGCGGGGTTTCACCATGTTTGCCAGGCTGGTTTCGAACTCCTGACTTCAAGTGATCCACCCGCCTCTGCCTCCCAAAGTGCTGGGATTACAGGCATGAGCCACCATGCCCAGCTTCATGGATGGCTATTTAAACACAGATTGCTGAATTGGGATCTCTGAGTTTCTAATGCAATAGTTTGGGATGGAGCCGCAAATATGGATTTTGAACAAGCTCTCATGCAAAGATGATGCTTATGTCAGGGGACCACACTTTAGAAACACTGTGATAAAGCCTACTTTCATAAAGTGAGACACATAGACAAGCAGCATCAACTAGAAGGCTCTACCCTCCTACCCTATATCTACTAAATCAGAAGTTATAATTCTAACAAGATCTCTAGGTGATTCATGTGCACATTAAAGTTGAGAAGCCCTACTTTAGAGGAGTTTAAAATTTCAGAGTGATGGAAATGTGCAATGAATTTATCTTCATGTGTAATCTGAGAAACCAGTTTTTTATCTATACACTTCTAAGATAACCAGAGGACACGCACTTCAGCAAGATTTAACAAGTATATTGGTAAAGGGGCATCCTGCTCTTCCTTGAAGAGCCCTACAGTCTGTTTTCATTTTTTTTCTCTGTAGATTAGGGATGTCAGTGGGGGATGCTGTAACAGAATGGGCTTCCTGTTCTCAATAGGAATAAATAAATGATCCTGTGTGTAAAGTGCTCATAGTGACCTAGATGGGATTAATATGTGGGCTCAACAAGATAGCATTACTAAGGCTAATCTGATTACCTCTGTTGCTGTTACTCAATGTGCCAGTAATAGAACCCAAATCTGAATCCCTAATATGGTATCATTCCTCAGGGAACCAGCTCACTGACCAGTGGCATTAAACCCACTTTTACCACGGAGGAGGGTCCTTATATGGATAAATATTATTCAGTATGGATTTGTGTTACTTGTCTGTAGATCTTCTACCTGAAACAACATTCATATGTTCAGAGAACATCTTTCCAATGCTTTTGATCATTATCTGGTGGACATACCACCTCATTTCCAACAAGGTGATTTATTTTAACGTGAAGAATCATAGCAAAGAGCTCACACCACAGACAAATCCAATAATGTTTCTAAAATGCCTACCATTCAGAAGCAGCTAGCACAAGAAGATGGTAGGATAGAATTCTTAATTCTTAGATAACTGCTAGTAGAAGATGAACTTCAATGAGGTTTGGTCATTCTCTTACAGTATGTGGCATATGCTTTAAATTAGAGGTCACAAAGGCATGCCCTCTCCTGAATAGCTATGCAGGAGATGGCATGACATAACAGAGCCTGGACAACTTGAAGTGAAGATGAAAGTGATCTCTCTTGCTATCTTACTTAATAATCTGTGAATAATTTTGGCTTTCTTGTCTGTGACCTTCAGTTGGGTGACATTTGAGTTCTAGGACCAGAAGTTGAAAGCTTTGATGATGAAACTCAGCCATTGTTCTGACTAATTGGAAGCTCAGATTGTCCTCTGGCCATTTTTGGACCCTTCATGCTGATGAACGTTTGAACAGAGAAAAGGCTTTCCATACTTATGGGGGATAATTGGCCCTAATGCCTTCTAGCAAATACAATAAGGACAACTGAAGGAAGAGGAACAGATGTAAACATATCTGAGTGTACAGTTCAGTGATATTAAGTATATTCATATGGTTGTGCAACCTTTACCACCACCTATTTCTAGAACTCTATTTATCTTGCAAAACTAAAACTCTATACCATTCATCAATAACTCCTCATTACACCCTCCCCAAGTCGTTGGTAACCACCATTCTACTTTATCAATGATTTTGACTACTTTAAGTACCCCATAAAAGTGTGTTACCAAAACACCAGGGATTTGGTCTAGGTCCTGCTGTTTGACACACGAACTCAATCACTGAGACGATGAATATTGCCAATGAAGAAGGTTTTAATCAGGTGATACAGCCAAGGAGATGGGAGCTGTCTCAAATTCATCTCCCTGACTGATGAAAACTAGGGGTTTATATAGTAGGGAAGAAATGCAATAATGTGCAAGAAACAGGAATTACAGAGGGACAAGGAAGCAAGAATAATGAATGAGGGATCCTGCATCTCATTGTCTGGATGTGGTTATATGGTGAGTTTCAGTTCTTTGATACTTTGAGAGGCCTGAAGATCATTTTGTAAATTTCAAACTTGCAGATCAGAAAAGTAAACACCTATGTTTATTTAAAAATATATGGAAGTATTGGGTCATTTTCAAGTATAATCATGCCATATTTGTCTTTTCATGAGTGGCTTATTTAACTTAGCATACCAGCCTCACTCTTGATCCATGTTGTAGCATGTGTCAGAATTTCCTTCTTTTTCAAGGCTGAACGATATTCCTTTTGTGTATATACCACATTTTGTTTATTGATTTATCCATGGATGGATGCTTAATTTGCTTCCAAGTTTTAGCTATTGTGAATGATGCTGCCAGGAACACGGGTATATAAGTACCTCTTCCAGAGACTGCTTTCAAGTCTTTTGAGTACATACTCAGAAGTAAAATGGCTGAATCACATGGTAATACTGTTTTTAATTTTTGAGGAAACATAACGTTTTCCACAGTTTCCATGTGATTTTATTTTAAACTTTCAATTTTTTAATAAAAATTGTATATATTTCTTTTGTAAAACATGATGTTTTGATATGCGTATGTATTGTAGAATGGTTAAATCAAGCCAACTAACAAATGTATTACCTCACTTATTTTATTGTACAGACAGCACTTAAAATCTACTCTCTTAACAATTTTCAAGTGTACAATACATTGTTATTAACTATAGTTACTAGGATGCAAAATTAATCTCTTGAACTTGCTTCTTTTGTGTAACTGAAATTTTGGGCTGCACCACTTTGCCTTCCAACCAACAGCGCACTAGTGTTTCAATTTCTCCACATGCTCACCAACACTTGCTATTTTTTAGGTTTTTTGTCTAGTAGCCATCCTAATGAACGTGAGGTGGTTTATTATTTTAGTTTTCATTTTCATTTCCCCAATGATTAGTGATGTTCACCATCTTTTTGTGTGTTTATTATTTGTATATTTTCTTTGAAAACATATCGATTCAAGTTCTTTACACACTTTTCAATCAGATCATTTGTTTTCTTGTAGGATTTCAGAAGGTCTTTATATATTCTGCATAACAATGCCTGTTTATAGTGGGAAAAAGTTATGTTGAGAAAGTAGATAATCACTTTCAGGTGGCTCTCTGATTAATATTTGAATAATATTATGTAAAAATAAAACATATTAAAATATCTGCTTATTATTATATGAAGTTAAACAATCTTCCTCTTTCTTAAATACACTGTGTGTAGAAAACCCTAAAGCAAACTTGTCCAACCTACGACCAGCAGGCCACATGCAGCCTAGGACAACTTTGAATGTGGCCCAACACAAATTTATAAACTTTCTTAAAACATTATGAGATTATTTTTTGGGATTTTTTTTGTAGCTCATCAGCTATCGCTAGTGTTAGTGTATTATCTGTGTGGCCCAAAACAATTCTTCTTCTTTCACTGTGGCCTAGGGAAGCCAAAATATTGGGCATCCCTGCCCTAAAGATTCTACACACACACACACACACACACACGCGCACACACACAACTAATAACTAAATTCAGCAAAGTAGTAATTACAAAACCAATGCACAAAAATCAGTTGTACTTGTATACCTAACAATTAATAAGCTAAGAAAGACATTAAGAGAATAGTTCAGTTTACAATAGCATCAAAAAGAATAAAACACATAGGAATTAATTTAACCAAGGAGGTGAAACATTTATGCAATGATTATTAGAAAATATTTTTGAAAGTAAAGTACTTTGTCAGGCTTTAAAATAGCTTCTTCAATGTGTAAAATGATTTTCATCATCTTACAGACCAAATGAATAAAATGACCTTTAGAAAATATCTGAAAGAATCTTAATTTAGTTTAGTTTATTTATTTGATTTTTTAAAAAGGGCAAGTACCTGTGCTATTGAAAAGGAATACGACTTAGAAAGTTTACTTCATTTGCAGTTAGAGTACATTAAATTAAATTTGTTTGGCTGGATTACCCTCTCAAATGATAAGCCTATCAGAAAACTTTGAACATTTGAGTACTCTTTAGTTAATTACATTTGTGGTGCTTTAATTATCAAACTTAAGCTTATTTATTTTTCTACAATAGGCACTGCCATAGAAAAAAATGACAGAATTTAGTCTTAATACTTGCCCACTTTTACATGAAAAAAGCAAAGTGTGCTTGAGCACGTATGGTTATTAAATATGTCCTCCAATTAATTGTTTCCAGAAGCAAATTGCCTATAGAAACAAAACATTTTTCTGTAACAGTTCTAATTCACATGTAGTATAGTCATAACATCCTTCTGTTTTATTATTTTCAATAACTTCTTAAAGAATTTTCCCTTATTGTTTACAGAATTGTTAATCTGAATGATTTTATAGGTGAGAAAACAGATTTAACCGTAGGGTTACGGCAACTTAGAATTCTCCTAGAGGTACTGAAAAACCACATTTTCTATTGTACAAATTTATCTACGGAATAAAAAGTTTTAAATATCTTATATTAAAAATTAAATCTGAAATCAGAGGAGAAATGGGGGAGGATTATGATGTGAGCTTTCTCTCTGCCTAGAATATAGGCAGATCAACCAGAAACTCAAAAAATAAAATAAATGGAGTTGTTGAAATATGTTTGTTGATTCACTACTACTAGTTAATTCCACATCCATTTCTTAAACTTATTCTTTACCTTATGTAATTCTGTTTGTTGTCCTACAGTCAATTAGGTGCTTTTGTTTATTTTTTGAATATGTGGGTTGTCTTTGCATGGAATATTGCTTGGGTTTTAACTAATATTAAATATGTATAAATGACATAGATAAAATCAAAATCATATTTGACCATAAAATGTAAACATTTTCATTCCTGTTATGAACATAGGAAGACTGAAAAACTAAGGCAAAACACTTTAGTTTGTTCTGTGATTAAAGTTCTATTTAACTCATAAGCTTAACAAACTTACTTCCCTTATCCAAAGTACTATATATGCAATCTTTAATAATTAAACTACTGTGATGTTGATAAATTTAATACAAACTCTTCAAACATGTAAAAAGGTAGGCAAGCATACCCAAGAGGATTTTTTTTCTCAAGGCACTTAATCAATTCTTTCAATCTAATCAATCACACTTACAAATTTACTGAATCGAATTATTTAAAACTGAAATGGTGTTTAAAAGCTTAGTCAAAATTTTTATATTTTAAATCACATATCTAACAACAACTACTTTCTACAGTTGCATTTTCACTAAAAAAAGGAATTTCACAAGTTGAAATGAAGTTTTAGTTAAAAAAAAGGGGGGGATCTTCAGCTTGGTAGAGATTTAATTTCTTGGTTAGGGAATTGAAGAAAAACCCAAAATTTGAGGTTTATAATTGATTCTAATGGAGACACAGGTTAAGAGGTTGAGCTTTTTCATCAAGTAGGGCTTTTTTGGCTTTTATCTTTTCAAATCAATCTTTCATATACATTTTAAAACTATATTTTTGGCTGGGCTCAGTAGCTCACACCTGTAATCCCAGCACTTTGGGAGGCCATGGTGGATGGATCACTTGAGGTCAGGGGTTCAAGACCAGCCTGGCCAATGTGGTGAAACCCCGTCTCCACTAAAAAAAAAGAAAAAAAAAATTAACTGGTTGTGGTGGCAGGCACCTGTAATCCCAGCTACTAGTGAAGCTGAGTCACAAGAATTGCTTGAACCCAGGAAACAGAGGTTGCAGTGAGCCGAGATTGCGCCACTGCACTCCAGCCTGGGCAACAGAGCAAGACTCTGTCAAAAAAAAAAATCAACAATATTTCTTTCTTTGATTTGAACCCCTGAGATATATTTTTCTAATGAACAGAACTGCCTGATTAGATTCTATACTCTTTTGTTTTTTGGTGGAGGAGAGTGGGGTATGAAGATTGTTTTTTACCCACTTTAATCATTATGTTGAAACACACACACACACACACACACACACACACAAACACAGCGTGGTCTGCTTGTACTTTTAATTTTAACTGCAGCAATTTGATGGTCTGAAAATAATAAAATCTTGCAGTATTCTGAAGGTATGAACCTTTCCCATTTACACCAGTCTGAGAATTAAATATGGCAATTCCCTGAAAGTCTTTATATTTTATCTCTTAGTCCAGTTAATACCGTCAGCAAATGCTAATAAGTACTAATAAGCATTTTTGACCTTAGTAATATGATTTTTATTGCTTATTATCTTGTTCATTTTTGCTTTTGGCAGCAAGAAATGGCCTTTTATTTCATGAAAAATTATCAATGGTAACTGTGAATAAACTGTTGCCGTCTTTTTGTTTTATGTTTTACACATATATACATAGTCTTTTATTTTCTTGCTGGTTTTTATGTATATTCTGTGCTTCTTTTATTTCAGTTGTAAAGAAAGTACATTTTACATTTCAAAAAATTTTGTTAATGTTCCCAATTTAATGAAAAATAATATATAACTCCTTTATATGCTTAAATCTATATAAATTCCTAGTAGCTGTAGGATGAAAAATGTTATTCTTTGGTTAATTGCATGCCTCCACTTACATTCATTTTTTTTTTCTCATAGAACTCTATATTGCCAATTGTAAAAATCTTGGGAACTTGCTTAAGCTCACAGTTAGTAAGTAGTGTGCGGCCAAGATTCTGAACATAGATCTTTTGACATTAAACCCTGTATCAATTACCTGTTATTGTATAACAGTATCATTAAAATTAGATAATTAAAAAAACACACATTTATTATTTGATAGTTTCTTTGAGTCAGGAGGCCAGACACAGCATAGCCAGGTACTCTGCTTAAGGTTTCACAAGAGTATAATCAAGGAATTGTCAGGGCTACCATTTGATCTGAAACATGATTAGGGAAGCATTTGCTTCCAAGCTCAATCAGATTGTTATGTATTCCTTATGGACTCAGAACACAACACAGTTTGTGTTCTCATGTTATACAGACACATAGACAAATGTATACAACATAGAATCTCATGTTATGTAACCACATAATCACATACATGGGAAATAGAAACATAGACTTTTCTTTGGGGTAGAAGCAAGTCACAGATTTTTTGGACCATCCTTAATGCCCCCTATCCTCTTTCATGGGTGGCAAGCTCTAATGTCACAGATGACATCTATATCTATCTCTGTATCTATGACCTAGGGAAATTGATTCTAGGGTCATGTCGGTAATTATATTATACTCTTCTCCCATATTTTAGAGTCATTTCCATTGTAATCTTTTGAACTTTTGCGAAAAATGTTATAGGGCATGAAATTCAAAATAGTGAATTTATACGTATTCAGGATTTTTGAGTAACTTTCCCAAGAACTGAAAACAAAACTAAAAAGATGTTTATGTTTTTATATTTTAAAAATGTGTATATCCAAGAGAAAAGCAAAATATAGGGAACTAGGGAAAGGAGAACCAAACTGTCAATTAGTAGAATCAGGCTTTTGTTTTGAATCTGCTTTTATTATCTAGGTTGTCTTGGTTAGGTGATTTTAACTCTTGGGATTGGAAAATGTGGAGATAACAGTCTTAGATTGACTTTATGTTCCACCTATACATACATAAAAAGGGATGCTAAGTTTCCTCCTAGTTCTAAAATTTTGTGATTCAATTTTTACTTGTATGTGACTTTTGAACAAAATAAGCATAAATTCTACACCAAAATGTACAATGTACGTGCATTTACTTAGTACTTTATTCACAACATAATAGAATAATAAATATTTAGTAAGTACCTAAATATTAAGGTATTTCTTTCAGTTTCTAAAGAAAAAGCTAAAGATAGAAGAACAAAACTCCAATTCTGAACGATTTTTCTTTTTTTTTTAGATAGAGTCTCGCTCTGTCCCCCAGGCTGGAGTGCAGTGGCACAATCTCGGCTCACTGCAAGCTCTGCCTCCTGGGTTCACGCCATTCTCCTGCCTCAGCCTCCCGAGTAGCTGGAACTACAGGCACCTGCTACCACGACCAGCTAATTTTTTGTATTTTTAGGAGAGACAGGGTTTCACCGTGTTAGCCAGAAAGCGCCGGGATTACAGGCATGAGCCACCACGCCCGGCCCATAATAAATAATTTTAACAATCTTCCTTTGAAAAAGATCTTATATTCCTGTCTTGGCTAAAAGCTAACATTTCTTATGGCCCTAGAATCAATGAGAGATGGTAGAAGTGGGTCATGAAAAGAATTGATATTAGCTCTGGAGGAAACTGTCCAAATATAGTTAGTGTAAGGCTATTAGGCAGAAGAGGACTAGAGAAAGTGAGAGGGTCTATGTTCACTAGCCAGAAAGTTCATGGAATTGAGAGATTAAATGTTTTTACCCTTATCATTTTTCCCATCTCATGTCTCAATGTCTTTTTTCCCCCCAGTGCCGATTTTCAGTGCCTTTTCTTTAGCTTAAGAGGACCAAAAGGGTTGAGAGTTCCAAGTATGTTGCATCTCTGCAACACTTATAATTATAAAAAGATGGGCTCCTTCAAAGCTGCCCTGATGACATTCTGTTTCTCCATGTGTTCTTACTGCATTTTATACCTGTTAGTTTTACATTTTCCCTGTATACATTCTCAAGTATATAGAGAATATATACTTGGTTGTCATGAGAAACCAAATGTAATAATTACTACTATTGCTACAGTGATTAATTGCTTCAGCCACTTGATCATCCAATACTTTATACTTGCACTCATCCTATGCCACCACAGGTGTCATTTGAGTAATTGTGATGCCACATCTGGCAAAAATTAGCCACAAGCTATGTGAATCCCCACCTCCACAAAAGGAGTTTATGCATGGATCCTTAATATGCACAGTCCAATCCAAGAATCTCATTTTGAGGTTTTTTTTTTTCTCAGAGACAACTCAAGCACCAATTACTATAATACTTGGTGTATCAGCAAGAAAATGTCACCCTCAAATTTGGATAAACCAATGTGTTTTTAGTAAAGGAAAGCTTAAGAGAGGTGTGAGTAGAGTATAGGGTAACTATAAGAGGTAATGTCATACACTGACAAAACAAGGAATACAGAAGAAAAATTTCGCCAGAAAAAAACATAATCTAATGGGAAAATGTCATATAACATGAGCCGTATTTAGAAAAGAAGGCAGCCAGCTTGGAGAGAACCTATGCAACACATACCTGGCTATTATTTGCCTCTTCCCCTTCATCTTCTCCTTTCTTTGCCCATTTGTGGAAGCCAACTGAATGTCAGATGGCTCAGGAGCCTTCTGATGTAATCCATGCATCTCTGAGCAAGTGAAGAGTGGATGTAAAGGGCAAACAGACATATCTGCAGCTTACCTCCTCAAGGCAGTATCTTCTGAATTGGTCTTGTCAAGAGAATCTCAATCAACAATGGGATATAGATTCAGGAGAAATTGAGAGGAAATTTATGAGTTAAAGCTTAAGTGATTGGCTTAGGAAAACAAGTGCCATATAGGGTGAGGCATAATAACACTGTGGTATTGGACATTATTTAGTTGTGGTTTCCTTTATGTGTTTGTATAAAATCAACTTTTAGTTATATAATTTGCTCTATAGTATAGGTACTTTGTTTCAATCTCTCTCTTTCCACTATAAGAATTGCATACACATTTTAAAGCTAGTTTAATTTTAAAAAAATTATTAATTTGGCCAGGCGTGGTGGCTTACACCTGTAATCACAACACTTTGGGAGGCTGAGGCAGGTGGATCTCTTGAGGCCAAGAGTTCAATGTCAGCCTGGTCACCATGGTGAAACCCACCCCATCTGTACTTAAAATACAAAAAAATTTGGTGGACGTGGTGGTGGGCACCTCTTATCCCAGCTACTCGGGAGGCTGAGGCAGGAAAATCACTTGAACCCGGGAGGACTCTGTTGCAGTCAGGCGAGATTGTGCCACTGCACTCCAGCCTGGCCTGGGTGACAGAGTGAGGCTGTTTCAAAAAAAAAAAAAAAAGAAATGTATTAATTTACTAGCTTCTATTGTGAGTAACGAAAGATTATACTTCTGTGTTTAGATCATATTGATAGTATTTGTAACATTACATAATTCTATATTTTGCTCCCAAAAAAATTTGTGGCCAGGCATGCTGGCTCATGCCTGTAATCCCAACACTTTGGGAGGCCAAGGTGGGGGGATCACTTAAGGTCAGGAGTTTGAGACCAGCCTGGCCAACATAGTGAAACCCTGTCTACTGAAAATACAAAAATTAGCTGGGTATGGTGGTGCTTTCCTGTAGTCCCAGATAAGAGGCTGAGGCAGAAGAATCGCTTGAACCCTGGAGGTGGAGGTTGTAGTGAGCTGAGATTATGCCACTGAACTCTGGTCTGGGTGACAGAGTGAGACTCAGTATCAAAAAAAAAAAAAAATTGCATTGCTGCAAAATGAGAAAGCTGCTCCTCTAGCCAGAGTATGGCTAAGGGAAGTACATCATAACTTTTAATCATTGATGTGTGATTAAAATTTTAAAGCTTTGATAACATTTTAATTAATGATTTAAGATGTTTGGCTAATTTTCATCTCAATTTAGATTCAAGCACTTTGCAAGCCTGTTTTAATCTCTATGCTTAAAAACCTACATATTAATAAAATCAGCCTTACTACATACAAGCTGTCAACAAACTGTTCTAAACACAGTGGAGGTATGAAGTCAAGTACCTTTCTAGCTAATGTAGTCAGCCTATACAGTTGTTCAATGGGGCAACACAATCATATCTCCAATTGTTACAGAGATTGAAATGATTATCATCTGAACTACTGCACTTGGTAGCAAAGTTTTCTTTCTCAAGAAGGTTTTTGGTAAAATACAGATCTATCAACAGGAGATACCATTACATTTTTTGCATTTACCAAATCATTTGCAGAGGGATACACTCAGAATATGATAGTTTCCATGAAAAATAGTGAACCATAAAAACCGAACTAAATGGAATATAGAACAGAAGTATTGGAATGCGAGGCAAATGTTAAGAGGAAGAGATATAGGAAAATATATCAACTCATTATTCAAGCTTTATTTACATCACAAAAAGTTTCCATTCACAAATTTTTCAAATAAAACTGAAAGGTTTCCATGATATTTTAAAAATATACTCTGTATTTTATCTTCACAAGAACTTGGAACAATAGTCTATCCACAATTCCTGATCCAAACAAGTGCCCAATCTTCATCTATCTTGCCTCATATTTTCAGTATAAAAAGCCCATTCAATTTTTAGGGAAAAAGACACAACACAATGGCACAATTCCTAAGGTTCTTATTATATACAACCCTATAGCTAATAATGCACATTTCATTTCCATTTCTAGGTTGAATAATTTTGATGGGCAGAAGTGTTCTAAAGTATGCTTTTATAAACCTCATATCACAGTAATCCATTGTTGAAACATGGCTTAATGCATGTTTTAGGATGGGTGAAGGAAGGAGAGAAGGGAAAAAGAAAAGATGAAGAAAGGAAGAAAAAAAGAAAAAAGAAGGTGAAGGAAAGAGAGAGGAAGAAAGAAAATGAAAATATGAGCATGTTATGAAGAAAACTGAAAATATGTAATTATTTTTTCTTAATTTTAGCAGGTGTAGAAACTCTTAAGGCTGATGATGAGATAGCTATTTTTGCCATAAATTACATGAATTATATTCATTTTTACATTCTTATAATACAGCATTAGAATATGTTGTGTTATACGTAGACTCCTTAGAAGATACACATAAATAAAAGAAAAAAATTAAAAGCTGCTTTCAACTTACTATCATTCATGTCCATCTCTGTGTGCATGTATTACACACACACACACATCCCCACAGTAAGAACCCACTAAATATTGTTAAGTTCTGGGAAAATATGACCTTAAGTGAAATGACGTACAATAGGTCCTTGAATAACATAGTCATTTAGATATAATTATAATATGGAAAAAATGGATTTTGTTATGCATCGTTTTGATTAAAGTCACAGTTTCCAAGAACCTATTGATGACATTGAGGAGTTTATACACACACAAACATACACAAACATGCACACACATACAACACACACACACACAAATGTAGTTATACACAATATACTGACTGCCTTATAAGAATTTTTTTTCTATCTTGTAATAATACATGAGTACCACATTTTTCAATGCATTTAATCATGCTGTATCTGAGAATGTGACTTAAGTCCCATAATAGAGTATAAATGTTCAATGTATTATTGTAGATAGATAATATGAAACTGTGTGTGGGAGTGGAGTGAGTAATAATTTAAGAAAAGGCTCTTCCTGAACCAGTTCATCTATGGGAGATCAGAATATGGCACCCCAAAATAGGATGGTTTGGCATAAGGATTATTGAGCTGAAGGCAATTAAGAAGCAGATGAAGAAAAGCTCTCTGCCTCTATTTACCTAAAAGGAAGATATACATTTACAAAGATAAAAAATATCCCACCTCCCCTCTAAACCAGGGAGAACAAATGTTATCTACTGAAGAGAACATTAGACTGTTATGGGCCTGGAGATGGCACCAGAGGAATGTACGTTAACAAGCTTTACTTAGACTTTATCTGCCTTTTCTTTGCCTTGCCTCAAGTTGCTGTCTTTAGAAATTCAAAATCCTTTTCCTTTGTCATGTCACTTCCCTAAAATTTACTGTTCTTTGTTGAACAACGCGTTATACAGCTGAAATTCAAACTCACCTCCTTGACAGCTACTCATTCCCTTGCTGTCTTCCATGTATATATGAAATACACATGTCAATAAACTTCTCTGGCGTTTCTCTTGTTAATCTCTCTTTTGGTCCATGGGTCCATTCCAACTAATACTTTACAAGAATTGAGGAAAAAAATATTTTTCCTCTTCCAAATAGCTATTTAGTATTTTCTGGCTGTCAGAGCAAGTGTATTGACAGAGTACTCACATTTCATTCTCTTTCCAACACTCTTCTTTGGATACACTTTAATTATAATCCTTAAAAATCAGTCTCTGTGTTAGAAGTTGACATGATATATGGAGGAAAAGGGCCACTTTTTAATTCTGGAAGTTAATGCAATAATATAAAGTAGAAAAATAGCATATCTTGAAACATATTTCATGTCAAACACAGACATATCCTTCTAAAATGCAGCATCAGGAAATAAGCATAATAACAGAGTTCAAACTATGATTTCGAAACAGATAATTTGACAACTCAAGTATATGGATATAATAAGCCTTTATTCTGATTTTTTTTCCAAATAGTCTGATAGTGGAAAATGTTCAAAGAAAATTTGAAGGAGGAGGACTGTGTACTATCTTATTTTCCCTCATTATTTTTCTTATATACTTTAAAGTAATTTTATTCTGCAATATTGTGTCGATCTATGAATTTCTCAACCACTGTTTCTGAATTGCAATAAAATCAAACCAAGCAAGATGGCCTTAATATTTCCCTCATCTTGACGAAACTTTAAACAGTTTTCTTCCTGACCACATGTCCTGACTTTTATATATATATATATATTTTTGTTATACTTTAAGTTCTAGGGTACATGTGCACAACGTGCAGGTTTGTTACGTATGTATACGTGTGCCATGCTGGTGTGCTGCACCCATTAACTCATCATTTACATTAGGTATATCTCCTAATGCTATCAGTCCCCCCTCCCTGCACCCCACAACAGTCCCCGGTGTGTGATGTTCCCCTTCCTGTGTCCATGTGTTCTCATTGTTCAATTCCCACCTATGAGTGAAAACATGCAGTGTTTGGTATTTTGTCCTTGCGATAGTTTGCTGAGAATGATGGTTTCCGGTTTCATCCAGGTCCCTACAAAGGACATGAACTCATCATTTCTTATGGCTGCATAGTATTCCATGGTGTATATGTGCCACGTTTCCTAATCCAGTCTATCGTTGTTGGATATTTAGGTTAGTTCCAAGCCTTTGCTATTGTGAATAGTGCTGCTATAAACATACATGTGCATGTGTCTTTTTAGCAGCATGATTTATAGTCCTTTGGGTATATACCCAGTAATGGGATGGCTGGGTCAAATGGTATTTCTAGTTCTAGATCCCTGAGGAATCACCACACTGACTTCCACAATGGTTGAACTAGTTTACAGTCCCACCAACAGTGTAAAAGTGCTACTATTTCTCCACATCCTCTCCAGCACCTGTTGTTTCCTGACTTTTTAATGATGGCCATTCTAACTGGTGTGAGATGGTATCTCATTGTGGTTTTGATTTGCATTTCTCTGATGGCCAGTGATGATGAGCATTTTTCCATGTGTTTTTTGGCTGCATAAATGTCTTCTTTTGAGAAGTGTCTGTTCATATCCTTTGCCCACTTTTTGATGGGGTTGTTTGTTTTTTTCTTGTAAATTTGTTTGAGTTCATTGTAGATTCTGGATATTAGCCCTTTGTCAGATGAGTAGGTTGCAAAAATTTTCTCCCATTCTGTAGGTTGCCTGTTCACTCTGATGGTGGTTTCTTTTGCTGTGCAGAAGCTCTTTAGTTTAATTAGATCCCATTTGTCAATTTTGGCTTTTGTTGCCATTGCTTTTGGTGTTTGAGACATGAAGTCCTTGCCCATGCCTATGTCCTGAATGCTATTGCCTAGGTTTTCTTCTAGGGTTTTTATGGTTTTAGGTCTAACATGTAAGTCTTCAGTCCATCTTGAATTAATTTTTCTGTAAGGTGTAAGGAAGGGATCCAGTTTCAGCTTTCTACATGTGGCTAGCCAGTTTTCCCAGCACCATTTATTAAATAGGGAATCCTCTCCCCATTGCTTGTTTTTCTCAGGGTTGTCGAAGACCAGATAGTTGTAGATAAGCAGCATTATTTCTGAGGACTCTGTTCTGTTCCATTGGTCTATATCTCTGTGTTGGTACCAGTACCATGCTGTTTTGGTTACTGCAGCCTTGTAGTATCATTTGAAGTCAGGTAGCACGATGCCTCCAGCTTTGTTCTTTTGCCTTAGGATTGACTTGGTGATGCGGGCTCTTTTTTGGTTCCATATGAACTTTAGTTTTTCCCAACTCTGTGAAGAAAGGCATTGGTAGCTTGACGGGGATGGCATTGAATCCATAAATGAACTTGGGCAGTATGGCCATTTTCACGATATTGATTCTTCCTACCCATGAGCATGGAATGTTCTTCCATTTCTTTGTATCCTCTTTTATTTCCTTGAGGAGTGGTTTGTAGTTCTCCTTGAAGAGGTCCTTCACGTCCCTTGTAAGTTGGATTCCTAGGTATTTTATTCTCTTTGAAGCAGTTGTGAATGGGAGTTCACTCATGATTTGGCTCTCTGTTTGTCTGTTATTGGTATATAAGAATGCTTGTGATTTTTGTACATTGATTTTGTATCCTCAGACTTTGCTGAAGTTGCTTATCAGCTTGAGGAGATTTTGGGCTGAGACAACGGGGTTTTCTAGATATACAATCGTGTCATCTGCAAACAGGGACAATTTGACTTCCTCTTTTCCTAATTGAATACCCCTTATTTCCTTCTCCTGCCTGATTGCCCTGGCCAGAACTTCCAACACTGTGTTGAATAGGAGTGGTGAGAGAGGGCATCCCTGTTTTGTGCCCGTTTTCAAAGGGAATGCTTCCAGTTTTTGCCCATTCAGTATGATACTGGCTGTGGGGTTGTCATAGATAGCTCTTATGATTTTGAGATACGTCCCATCAATGCCTAATTCATTGAGAGTTTTTAGCATGAAGGGTTGTTGAATTTTGTCAAAGGCCTTTTCTGCATCTATTGAGATAATCATGTGGTTTTTGTCTTTGGTTCTGTTTTTATGCTGGATTACATTTATTGATTTGTGTATATTGAACCAGCCTTGCATGCCAGGGATGAAGCCCACTTAATCATGGTGGATAAGCTTTTTGATGTGCTGCTGGACTCGGTTTGCCCGTATTTTATTGGGGATTTTTGCACCGATGCTCATCAAGTATATTGGTCTAAAATTCTCTTTTTTGGTTGTGTCTCTGCCAGGCTTTGGTATCAGGATGATGCTGGCCTCACAAAATGAGTTAGGGAGGATTCCCTCTTTTTCTATTGATTGGAATCATTTCAGAAGCAATGGTACCAGTTCCTCCTTGTACCTCTGGTAGAATTTGGCTGTGAATCCATCTTGTCCTGGACTCTTTTTGGTTGGTAAGCTATTGATTATTGCCACAATTTCAGAGCCTGTTACTGGTCTATTCAGAGATTCAACTTGGAAATTTGTAGCACTAAATGCCCACAAGAGAAGCAGGAAAGATCTAAAATTAACAGCCTAACATCACAATTAAAAGAACTACAGAAGCAAGAGCAAACACATTCAAAAGCTAGCAGAAGGCAAGAAATAACTAAGATCAGAGCAGAACTGAAGGAGATAGAGACACAGAAACCCTTCAAAAAATCAATGAATCCAGGAGCTAGTTTTTTGAGAAGATCAACAAAATTGATAGACCACTAGCAAGACTAATAAAGAAGAAAAGAGAGAAGAATCAAATAGATGCAATAAAAAATGAAAAAGGGGATATCACCACCGATCCCACAGAAATACAAACTACCATCAGAGAATACTATAACCACCTCTATGCAAATAAACTAGAAAATCTAGAAGAAATGGATAAATTCCTCGACACATACACCCTCCCAAGACTAAACCAGGAAGAAGATGAATCTCTGACTTTTGTTTTCTTAGAGCATTTACTTTAGAAAATTTTCCATTGTAAATTCTTCCTATGACTCTTTGAGTTATAATTTTCTCCCAGCCACTCATTAGTTTTATAACCCAGGGATGTCTCAGAAACCTTGGAGACATCCCTTTGAAATATTGTTATCCAGAAAGATATTTTCCCAGTCTCCCAGTTTGTATAGATAATAGGAGCTGAAATTCCATAGGCAACAATTAAACACAGGTGGTCCAAACTCAGGGAAAAACCTCCCCTTCACTTCCTCCAGTGCTTTTCCACTAAAATTTTCTTGCATTTCATTTCAAAAGAACTGAGTTCAATTTCTATCCACTATTGCAATAGCCTTGAATAAAGTCTTGCCTGTTTAACTCTATCTGGTATAATTTTTCTTCAAAAGAACTTAGTCACGTTCTATTTTGGCAATGGGATTCATATTGGAACTTAATTTTATATTATAAAATAGATCATCACAAACATAAAATATGAGTATATGTTTCCAACAACATTGTGTGCATCAAACCAGGCACTAAATGGCAAAGGTATACATAATCATAATAACAACTTTTGTGGTGATAGAGTTTTTTCTAGATGCACTAGATATGCAGATATTCTTAAAATAAAGTTTCTTACAGATTAACCAAAAGATACTTCTGCCAGACAAAAGTTTTACTCATTATTACAAGGATTCTAGACCTTTTAAAATTCAGATATTCTGTTTGAAAGTCAATGTACAAATTCCCCTAAGTTCTTAAAAAATAGGGGCCAGTTTCATGGTGACCTGTTCAAAGATCTATTGCTGAGATAGATTTTAGTAAATCAATTTGGTTCACTATCCTAGTTGGTCACAAATAGGAGTTTTTGTTATTACTTCAATTATCTTATTCATTACTTACTCAAAATAATTTTTAAGTTTTATCCCATACAAAAAATAGATGGTAAGGTTTTTAAAGTAACTATATGACTATTAGACTTATTTCCAGGTAACTTGCTTTATTTTGGCATGTCTTTAAGAAGATTTATTACATAAAAAGTAAGAAAAATTAATTTTAATGCATTTCTAAAATTTCAAAATCTTGCTTTTTAAAAAAATTAGTCTTAATTTAAAAAGCACAATGAAAGAAAATAAGTCGTTAAGTGATCTATATTATCCTAATTATGTTATATAAATCAAAATTTGTGAAAAAAATAGGTTCACACTTCTGAATCTCAAATAAATTTTATAGATCAAAAATTACCACCAAAGGTGCTCAGAAACAATGACTAAAATTTCCATCTCTAGCAATTTTATATACAAAAAAATTGTCTCAACAATGCTAGCTAATAAATTAGAGTTTAGTTACAAAATGAACAGTGATAAAATCTATCACAGGCAGGAAAATTTTAGAAAAGGTCAAGACCTCTTAGATGATCTTACCTTCAATTTTAGACCAATGAAAGTTTATAAGTGAAATTTAACCCTTCAAAAATGCCCCCCAACATAGTATCTTATTCTTGTGTAACCTGAAAAAACAAAAAAAAACTGATATTAGAAAAAAAATCCAAATCTTCTGGTAGCCTAGAAATAATCAATAGCCTTGTAGACAACCATGTATCTGGGTTGCATTATGAACTAAGCATAGGATAGAATTAAACTAGATACTGCTAAAATGAATGGACAATTTTTAGTGGTGTGTATACAACGCTTAAAGTTCAAGTAACGTAAATGGCCTACTTCAAATATATTTTCTAAACTGTAGAATTTTACACCAAACAGTATATTCTGCCACAGTAAACTGTCTCTGGCTTTCTTAAAAGTGATTTATTTTATACTGCAAATTATTTTGTCATGTCTATTTTGCATATATGTGTGTTCCCTTCCGATTTTCTCAACAACTCTCTCTTAGACGGAAAGCATTTTCTTTTTAGAAACCATTTTGAATACATCATCACATATATGTAACAGAACATTTAAAAAGAAACTGTTTCATCCAAAACTATGCTACCTACTCTCAGTGAAGAGAGTTGCAGACAACTTTTGTAGAACATGGAAGAGAAGTGACTGAAGTTCAGTGTGTAACATTCACATGATTAAATATCATATAAATATAAATAATATAATGATTAAAGATGGGAGGCTCAGGTAGCTTGGAGACTGAGGATTTGGGAGGAAAGCAATATTACAGAGTGTTGATTGTAAGTTGTCAACAAAAAGTCATCGGACTTCTTGCATTTCTCCATAAGCTTCATGACAAGAACATCAGGAGGGTCTCTCTGAAAAGAACTAAATTTACAGAAGTTAGAGAATTTAGAGAAATTAGTTGATGAGTATCTGACTTTCACTTGACAACTTTAAAGGGTGAAAGTCTAAATGAAGAACTTTTGCAGGAGATTAAAGGCCTGCAGTTAGGAAGTAACTGTATTCCAACTAGAGATGAGTCTCAAGTGAGTGTTTCCCACCAGCAAATGTGGGCCATGCAAGAGAGTAGACAAGAAGGAGACGATCTCAAGCCCAGCCCAAGAGAATCACCATGAGGAATGAGGAGACCTCAGCAGTAAGATGCTGGGCTGTGCAGCCACATCCGCGGGAACAGCAAGAGTAAGTAACCACATGACAAATTCTCCAGCCATCCCAGGAATTGCCAGAAACAGCTATCCAAATTTGGAGGTCTCCAAAGTATCTGCCTACGTGGTTCAATCTCAGGAGTTGCCAAAATCAGACGTAGAGAGTACAGCAATGCACCCTTTCTTTTCTCTTTACCTCTAATGCTTTTTCCAGGGTCAAAACTGGAGGAGATGAAAATCAGCATTTAGTAAGTTGAAGAAAGAGAGATGAATAAGGCAGAGAGAGAACAAGGTTGTTGACACCCAGATTCTAAGGCAGCCAGGAAAAATGATGCCTACAAAAGGATATCTGTGCAGAAAAAAAATTGGAGTAGATTTCTAGCCAAACTTACAAGTCCTCTGTGTCTAATGTATTTCAGAGTAGGAGATAAAGTATTTGTTGGATTAGCGCATTAGCAAAATTATCTAGAGAAAGGAATACGTGTGTAATGTCCAATAAAGGCCAGTGATTCTCCAATTGAACATAAAATGGACTAAGTTGATAAGCAATGTGGGGCTTTTTCAACAAGTAGTTTAAAATAAAAATCATGAAGGTGGATGAAATATTTCTTTACCTCAAAAAAAATAAATGGATAAAGACACTTCTACTATCTTTGTTATTTTTCACTATACTAGCCCTAATTATTTCATTACTAACTTTACCATCAATTGAAAGTTATAAAATGCATGTTTCCATCATGATACTGTGTCATATATATTTTAAAAGATGGTTATAAAAGTCATCTATCATTATTAAATTAAATTTTGAGTCAATATATATTTGTATTGGGCCATGAATATGCATAAGAAATTAATACTCTGAATAATATGTACTCTTTCAGTGCCCTAGAAAAGACAATAGGAGCCTGCTACAATTTGTTATTATTGCACAGTGACAGTTAATCAAAAATTATTAATTCATTATCAAAGTATCGTTTCCATGACAAAGACTAGAGGAAAACAGGCAGACTGTGTCCAGATTTCTTCCAGATATCTACCAGCAAAATATCACCAAAATTAAACAATGAAAGATAGAGGAAAGGAGAAAAAGGTCAGAGGGAGAGGAGAGAGACAGAAAGAGAATGATTATGTTTTACTTAAAAAAACAGTAAATTGAATTCCTTACTTGATTTTTATAGGTATTGTTCATCCAGTTTGTAGTAAAGGGAACATGGCTGTAGACAGGAAACTGTCATTGTTGAAAATTTGGAGCTTAAAAGTATTTGGTAATTTTAAATGCAGGACATGTATTTTTGAAACCATTCATAATTAAGAAATTAAAAAGATTTTAGTAACATTTGTGAAAAACAGAAAGAAAATATTTAAAAGCCTTTGCCCTTTGGAGATAGTGCCTGGCTTTTGTAGATTCCTTTCACCTCTACACTATGCTAAAACCTGGCTTTGTCTAAAAAAACTTTAGCTATATAGATGGTCACTTCCTATAAAGGCTTTTCTTTGTTATTGTCATAGCATTATAGAATATTGATGACTTCCATATCACCTACACAGAAAAACTGTATATGACTTTTGGAAAAAAATGAGAGATTTAGGGCAAGCAAAGTTAGGGTGGTGTTGTAGATTCAAAAGAAAATGACATTTTAGGTTAAGTATGTTTTCAATGTTCCAATTATAATTGTAAAACTATAAATGCAGGTAGAGGTAACCTCATTAGAAATAACTCCTTATTCTAAGAGCAAAGAGAAAAACTGAAATGCTAAAATGGATACTCATTCTTAATAGCATCAAGAAACACCAAATACCCAGCAAATATCCAAAGATTATGTTCAATGACTCTGAACAAGGAAACAAGCAAAAAATTAAGTGAAACATGAATGAAAGAAATTACAGAAATCTAAACAAAGGTATAATACACAATATCAATGGATTGTAAAACTCAGTAGCTTAAGGATGCTAAAATCTCCTCATGTAATGTCAATAAAAATTTTAGCAATTTTGAAGAAATTGAAGAATTAATTCTAAAATATATACAATTCAAATTACAAAGTGTATGCAAGTAATTTATGACTTTACTGGTTAATTCTATCAGTATATAAAGAAGAAAACATCTTAAACAAGCTATTACAAAAAATAGTAGGAAACACATAGTATTTTGTTTTTTGATGCTAGCATAACCCTGATAACAAACCTGACAAAAATACATCAAAGAATAAAAAAGTACACATGAATATCCTCATTCACACAGATACAAAAATACTTAATGAATTTATTTAAAAAATAAATCCAGCAGTCTATAAAATGAATAATGCATTATGATCAAGTTGGTTTTACCAAGAACGCATGTTTGATTTAATGTATAAAATAAATAAAATCTTATTAACAGAATGAGGGAAAAAAACATAACTCAAACAACATAGAAAATTCATGTATCAAAAGTAAACATGTATTCAAGATAAAAAAAAGTTAAGCAATTAGGAATAGAAAGTAACTTCCTCAATCTGATAAGCAAAATTTTTATATCAAAGAAAACAGAACTAAACTAAACTAAAGCTGACAGAAAGAAGAAGGCAAGATCATACAATCTTTTAATTTCTATTCCTCATGGTAGTTGGAATTCCTAGCCACTGAAATAAAGCAAGGATGAAAGATATATGTTAACAACAAAGAAGAAATATGCTCCTATTTAGAAACAGCATGATCCTTTATGTATAAAATATTAAATACATATACTCCTTTTATTGCTTTCTTTATTACTTTATTGAACTCCACAGAGATGGCATTTTAAAAAAAATTGAAGGTTTGTGGCAACCCTGTGTTCAGCAAATTTATTAGCTGTTTTTTCCATGTGCTCACATAATGTCTGTGTGTCACAGTTTGGTAATTCATGCAATATTTCAAACTTTTTCATTATTATATCTTTTATGATTATCTGTAATCAGTGGTTTTTACTATTATTACTATTATAATTATTTTGGGGTGCCACAAACCATTCCCACATCACATTGAACTTAATTCATGAAATGTTTTGTGTGTTCTGATTGTTCCACCTACTGGCAAATATCCCATCTTTCTCCATCTCTTCAGACCTCTCTATTCCTTGAGACACAACAATATTAAAATTAGATCAATTAGTAACCCTACAATGACTTCTAAAGGTTCAAGTGAAAGAAAGAGTTGCACATCTCTGACCTTAAATCAAAAGCTAGAAATGATTGAGCTTAATGAGGAAGGTATGTTGTAACCAAGATAGGCTGAACGCTAGCCATCTTGCACCCAACAGTTAGCCAAGCTGTGAATTCAAAGAAAAACTTAAGGGAAACTAAAAGTGTTATTCTAGTGAATACACAAATGATAAGAAAGCCAAAAAACCTTATTGGTGATAAGTAGAAAGTTTGAGTGATCTGAATAGAAGATCAAACAAGACACAACATTTTCTTAAGCCAAAACAAAATCCAGAGCAAGGACCTAGCTCTCTTCAAAGCTATGAAGGCTGAGAGAGGTGAGGAAGCCACAGAAGAAAAATTGGAATCTAGCAGATGATGGTTCATAAGGCTTAAGGAAATAAGCCATCTCCATAACACAAAAGTACAAGGTGAAGCAGCAACCACATGATTATGTCAATAGATGCAGGAAAGGCTTTCAATAAAATTCAACACCCCTTCATGTCAAAAACTCTCAAAAAATTAGGTATTGAAGGAACAGACCTTGAACTAATAAGAGCCATATGTGAAAAACTCACAGCCAACATTATACTGAATTGGCAAAAGCTGGAGTATTTCCCTTGAAAACCGGCACAGGACAAAGATACCCTGTCACCACTCCTATTCAACATAGTATTGGAAGTTCTGGCCAGAGCACTCAGGCAAGAGAAAGAAAAAGGGGCATCCAAATAGGAAGAGAGGAAGTCAAACTATCCCTGCCAGCGCAAGACACGTACCTATATTCAGAAACCCTCAAAATCTAGGCCCAAAAGATCCTTAAATTGATAAACAACTTCAGCAAGTCTCAGGATACAAAATCAATGTACAAAAATAACTAGCACTCCTGGACACCAATAACAGTCAAGGATCCAAATCAGGAATGCAATCCCATTCATAATTGCCACATACACACACAAACACACAAAACCTAGAAATATAATTAAACAGGAAGGTGAAAGATCTCTACCAAAGAACTACAAAACACTGCTAAAAGAAATCAGAGATGACACAAACAAATGGAAAACAGTCCATGCTAGTGAATAGAAAGTATTATTTTTGTTAAAATGCCTGTAATATCCAAAGTAATTTATAGATTCAATGTTATTCCTATTAAACTACCAATGACATTCTTCACAGAACTAGAAAAGGCTATTTTAATATTCATATGGAACCCCAAACAGGGCCTGAATAGCCAAGGCATTCCTAAGCAAAAAATACAGAGCTGGAAGCATCTGGCTACCCAACTTCAAACTATACTACAGGGGCTACAGTAACCAAAACAGCATGGTACTGGTATAAATACATCCACATAGACCAATGAAATAGAACAGAGAACCCAGAATTAAGGTTGCCTGCCTACAACTATCTGATCTTTGACAAAGCTGACAAAAATAATCAATGGGGAAAGGACTCCCTATTTAGTAAATGTGTTGGGAGAACTGATGAGCCATATGCAGAAGATTAAAACTAGACCCCTTCCTTATACCATATACAAAAATGAACTCAAGATGAATTAAAGACTTAAATGTAAAACCAAAAACTATAAAAACCCATTTCCCTGGATGTAGGAACAGGCAAAGATTGCATGACCAAGATGCCAAAAGCAATTGCAACAAAAGTAAAATTTGACAAATGGGATCTAATTAAGCTAAAGAGGTTCTGTACAACAAAAGAAACCATCAACAGAGTGAACAGACAAACCTACAGAATGGGAGAAATTTTTTACAAACTATGCATCTGACAAAGGTCTAATATCCAGCATCTAAAAGGAATTTAAACAAATTTTTAAGGAAAAAAGCAACCCCATTAAAAAGTGGGCAAAGGACATGAACAGACACTTTTAAAAACAAAACATACATATGGGCAACAAGCGTATGAAAAAAATCTCAACATCCCTAATCATTAGAGAAATCCAAGTCAAAACCGCAATAATATACCATCTCGCACCAGTCAAAATGGCAATTATTACAATTTAAAAAGTCAAAAAATAGCAGATGCCAGTGAGGTTGCAGAAAAAAAGCAATGCTTATACACTACTGGTGGGAGTGGAAATTAGTCCAACCATTGTGGAAGAGAGTGTGGTGATTCCTCATGGACCTAAGAACAGAAATACCATTTGACCCTGCAATCCCATTACTGAGTTTATACCCAAAGGAATAAAAATTGTTCTGTCATAAAGATACATGCATGTATATGTTAATTGGGTCACTATTCACAATAGCAAAGACATGGAATCAACTTAAATGCCCATCAATGTTTGAATGGATAAAGAAAATGTGGTACATAAACCACACTTGGAATGTGGTACATTCCATGTGTACCACATGGAATACTATGCAGCCATATAAAGGATGAGATAATGTCTTTTGCAGGAACATGGATGGAGCTGGAGGCAATTATCCTTGGCAAACGAATGCAGGAACAGAAAACCAAATACTGTATGTTCTTACTTATAAGTGGGATATAAATGTTGATAACATGTGGACACATACAGGGGAACAACACAGTGAGGCCTATTGAAGGTTGGGAGGAGGGAGAGGATCAGGAAAAATAACTAGTGGGTACTAGGCTTAATGTCTGAGTGATGAAATAGTCTGTACAACCAACCCCCATGACACAAGTTTACCTACATAACAAACATGGACATATACTCCTGAACATAAAATAAAAGTTAAATTTAAAAAAAACTAAAACTTAACATGCAATATTTTTAGTGGTACAAATATATTTATGTAACTGTAAAAAAGAGAGATGTATAAGAATATATACAAAATGTAATAATGGTTACTTCCAAACAATATATGAAGTTTAGAAGTTGAGTTTTTTTTTAATCTGTAAGGTTTTCTTTTAAAAAAGAAAATGTATTAGTATATTGTTTTACAATTTTTTTAAAATGTACAAGAAAGTTCTTATTTCTACTATATTGGTCTGCTTCTTTGTATTTTTTCTGGCCCAACCCGAATCAGTCTTTTCAAAGTTTATCTACATTGGTTAGAGATGGAGCCTTATAGAACATTTAATTAAAGGTAGTCACCCAAGCAGTTATTGTATGGAAAAGATCTGTGTACTAAATATGAACGTGTGTATTGTGTGGGGGCTTATAGTATTAACAATATGCATTTTGTCTTTTTGTTCTTTATGTGTATTGTTTGTGTACCTGTGAATTTCAGTATTCGTGAGCTATGCATTAATGTATACCACAGTTAAATAAATGAATTAGTTACAGAAAAAGGAAGATCAAAATTGGAAGGCCTTATCTATCTGATTTTAAGATGTACTAAAAAGCCACAGAAATAAATAAATAAATAAATAAATGGACTAGAATAGGTAGGAATTAGTCAACTTTATCATTAAAGGGCCAGATACTAAATATTTCAGGCCTTGTGGGCCACATATGAGGTGTCTGTCACTTTTTGCCCCCTTCCTCCTCCTTTCTCCTCTTCTGCCTCTTTTTCTACCTCTTATTTTGACAATATTTTAAAGATGCCAAAATTGTTATTAGATTGTGAGCCACATAAAAACAGGCCAGGAGTCATTATTTGGCAATTTTTGGAACAAAGGCAAAAAACAGACCCACAGTAGCCTTTCCACTAACACTTCACAGGAATTTGATGGATCAGGAAAAATCTCTGTAGCACATGATGCTAGGACAACTGGGTATCCATATGAAAAACAAAAGTTAACCTTAACCCCTACCTCATAACAAACACAAAATTAAATAAGGAGCAAAGGTAAGAGTAAAAGGCCAAACTACAAAGTATTTAGAAGAAAACAGGGGATTATCTTCATAGCCTGCTGTGAAACAACACAGAAAGCAACAACCATAAAAGACAACTTTAATATATTAGAGTTTCTTAAGAATTTGAAACTTTTGTTCTTCAAAAGATACCGCTACATAAATTATAAACTGGAAGAAAAATATTTGCGGAACATGTGTCTAACAAACACTTGTACGCCAAATACACAAAACTCTATGACAACTCAATAATATAAGGACAAATTTTAAAATGGACAAACTACTTGAAAGAAACTTCCTGAAGGAACGTGCATGAATAAATAATAGTTATATGAAGTGCTCAATATCCATTGATAAAAAATTCTTAAATAGGCAAAATGAATCTACAGTGATAGAAAACAAATTGAGTTGCTTGGGGAAAAGGATGGAGAAAACTGATTGGAAAAAAGTACCTGGGAACTCTTTAGAGTAATTTAATTTTTCTATACCTTGTTCAGAGTGGTAGTTACATGTGTGTATATACTTTCCAAAACTGTATAGTTAATGTTGGTATATTTCATTGATTTCAATGTAGGTAAATCTAACCTCAAATATCCATAAAAATAATAATCATATGGAAGGTCACTTCCAAATTAGTGGAGGAATAGTTGAAAAAATAGTCTAATACTATTATTTTTTAATCTGGATAATGGCTCCATGATAGTTTGTTATGGCATTCAATTTATTCTGTATATGGCTGAAATTTTAAAACTCTTAAGCTAAAAAGCATTTGTCACATGCTTTTGCTGAAATATTGGTTCCTTGTAACTTCTCACTTAATTAAAGCAGACATCTAAAGGTGATTTATTTCCCACCCAGAAAACTAAGAGTACAAGGATTCATTTGTGTCCACTAGGGAATCAAGTGATCCAGGAGAATGTGCTTCACTATTTTTTGCTTTTCCTGACCCTTAAACTAGCTTCTAATTCCTCTTGCTAAAAAAGGAAAAGGGATAGCTGGGTCTGGTGGCTCCCACCTATAATCCCAGCACTTTGGGAGGATAAGGCAGTTGGATCACTTGAGGGCAGGAGTTCCAGACCAGCCTGGCCAATATGGCAATACCTCGTCTCTACTAAAAATATACAAATTAGTTGGGGTGGTGGCTCAATCTCATAATCTCAGCTACTAGGGTGGCTGAAGCATGAGAATCACTTGAACCTGGGAAGTGGAGGTTGCAGTGAGTGGAGATCATGTCCCTGCACTCCAGCCTGAGTGACAGAGTGAGACTCTGTTAAAAAAAAAAAGAAAAAAAGGGAAAGGAAGCAAAGAAAATAGAAAAGTTACTTCCTCGAAGGTAACCCTAGGAGTTTTCTTCAGTGTATTTAGGAACATAATTAGCTTTTTTAAAAAGAAATATTGATGCATGCTTGCTTTCTCTCTGTGTAGAACTACATTACGCAGAAGTGTTAATGATGTTTTCAAGGTGACAGTGTTATCTCACAACATATAATTTCCTCTCTTAAAAGTACTATCATTGAAATGGGCTCACATAATATGTAAATATATGGTGATAAATTTATAGTCTCATTACAAACTATAAGAATTATTCCGTACATGTAAAATATGAACTACTATAATTAGGTGTAAAACCAAGGTTGTAAATTTAATTTTAATAATTTGCCTATAATATTTATCAGTCCAAAGTGATTTGAAAAGGAAATCTCTTTATTATGAGTTTTACAATATTCTTACATTACTTCTGTCATTATATATGAGACAAATCATGACACATCAGCATTTGACAGGTGTAGCAGATGCCGTGGATCAACTTACACAAAACTTATTCCAACTACCTCCTTTGCACATGTTTCTGAACTGCAGAACTGAGAAGCTAAAACTATACTTAAAAGATTCAATTGCAGCTATGATTCTATGTATGGGGTTACTCTGACAAGATTATTTTTATATAAGACATTGTTCAGAATGTACTATGAAGGAGACAGGTGTTACACTTTTGGCAGGTACAAATCATGGCAGAAGTGCTGTGGTTCTAGTGTTAGCTGTGGTTCTGTAGTTGGCAATGCCAGCATCAGCTTTCTGGAACCAGGCATCTGGATCATGGAAAAGGCAGCTTTTTCTAGGTGGTATTGTTTGGCTATGTCCCCACCCAAATCTCATCTCGAATTGTAGCTCCGATAATTCCTTCATGTTGTGAGAGGGACCCAGTGGGAGATAATTGAATCACAGGGGCGGTTTCTCCTATGGTGTTCTCATGGCAGTGAATAAGTCTCATGAGCTCTGATGGTTTTATAAAGGGAAAACCCTTTCACGTGGCTCTCACTCTCTTGTCTGCCACCATGGGAGACATGTCTTTCACCTTTCACCATGATTGTGAGGCCTCTCCAGCCACATGGACCTGTGAGTCCATTAAACCTCTTTCTTTTGCAAATCGTCCAGTCTCAGGTATGTCTTTGTCAGCAGTGCGGAAGTGGCCAATTATACTATAGCAGATCAGTTATGTTGTGGTTTTGCACCTCATTCCTGGCAGGTCAAAACAGAATCTATCTCTTCCATCCTTTCAATAATATGTGAGCTATTTATGCCACTTAATAATTCCCTTCAGCTTGAGGAAGCTAGAGTATATTGCTTTTTGTAACTAGTATCCCTAACTGATATTGCAAACTTCACATAAAAACATCCTGTTGAAGATGAAGAACTAGAAGTAGAAGATTCTTTTTCCCCAGGGACATATGATATTTAAAAAAAGCTACAGGTAGCTGGTCTTTACTGTGTACATTATCAATCTCTTACCCAAAATACTATAGTGGTATTCACTGCTATAACTATTTACAGTATATACAGCTGTTTTCTTACGGTCTTAGCAAAACCATCTTCTCCTCTGTTGTGACTTGCATGTGCCCCCCCAAATTTCATGTGTTGGAAACTAAATTCCCAAATTCATATGTTGAAGATATTTGGAGGTGGGGCCTTTGGAGGAAGTAATCAAGATTAGATAAGGTCATTAAAGTTGTTCTCCCATGTTGAGACTGGCAGCTTTAGAAGAAAAGAAAGAGAGATGTGAGCTGACTTGCATACTCTTGCCCTCTCACTATGCGATGCCCTCTCACCATGCAATGCCCTCTCACCATGTATGATACAGTAATAAAGCCTCACCAGATGCCAATGCCATACTCTTGGACTTCCTAGCCTCCAGAACCATAAGAAATAATTTTTTTCTTTGTAAATTACCCAGTCCATAGTATTCTGTTACAGCAACAGAAAAGCAATTAAGATACCGTCTCAAACCTGGTTTTGTCTATACCTTGTGAGAACCTCACAACTGTAATTCTTCTGTATAACACATCAATTAAAATAGAGTCTAGACAAAATGTCAGTATTAAAGAAATCAGGAAAACAGGGCCGGGTTGATAATAAGGCCACAATATTTGCTGCCTCTGAGAATTTGGAAAGGAATGAATTTGAAGAAGAAGCTTTCTGCTTGCATATCTAGTTCTTATTCATATGCACACAAGCCTAAGGGGAAAAATTCAGGCTCATCATCCTTTCAATTGCTTAGAAGCATGTAGCAGCTCTCCAACTTACCTTTCTTAACAAAACAGCTCAGGCTGCAGAATGATCATAGTTTTGAATTCAGCCATGGCTTTTAATTTATTTATTTTAGGCTTTGCTAGATTATAAAGCTCTGGAAGCTGGGGTTCAAAGGCAATCATGTTTAAAGAAAATACTTAGTTGGGAATATTCTAAGAGCAACTGATGGGTTTAATAATTCTCGTAGATACTATATAAACTTTTGAATAGCTAGCATTTAGGTAAATAATCACAAAGAAACACTCTTCTTTTGGAATAAATTACATAGGGTCCTGTTGTTATCTATTTGCAAATAATCTCATTCACGTTTTGATGAAACTCACAATGTACAGGTTTTCTGAGTAAAATGGAAACAGGAGGCCTCCTGAAGATACAATAAGATGGTTATATTTATTTTCAAACCTTTAAGGAAAGCTCCTGCAAGTTAGGCTAAGATGTAAATTTTAGTGAGGATTCTATTAGAAGTTCCAAGGCAACAGTCACTTTCAAAAATGATAGACCCACTGTGAGCAAAAGAGAGAAGATAATGACTCTGACCGAGCTGGCATTGTTGAATAAGGGCCCCGATTTGCTGCTCAACAGTTGACTCTGCAGGTTTCAATTATAGGAATAGCTGGAATATACTGCTCTACAATATTACTGGCAGAATTTGCAAAGAATTGATAGAGTTTAAGTGTGTGTCTGTGTGTGTGTGTTTGTGGGTGTGCATGTGCAGCACACAGACATGCATTATGAAGAGGGAGTTACTCAAGTAAAAAGCACCTGCCATTACCATAACAGGTATGATCTAGGCCGACCCACGATGCTTGGGTGGGTGGTGGGACATTCATAATAGAACATTTAACTACAGGCATGCTTATATTCCAGTTATGTAGAGGGCCCAGTACACCTCTAAATTGTTGCACTAGAGTCTTTATTTTGGCTGGATTTAAAGGCCAGTTCCCAAAATTTGTGTAGATTCTTTGTAGTTACATAATTAAAAATTGAAAGAATTTTAAAAATGACAACTGTAGTCTCACTGATTTTTTTAAATAAAATTAAAAGACCAGTATAACTGTAAGCCCTAGTTCAGAAAAATAAAAAATGATAAAGGGGATATCACCACCGATCCCACAGAAATACAAACTACCATCAGAGAATACTACAAACACCTCTACGCAAATAAACTAGAAAATCTAGAAGAAAGGGATAAATTCCTCGACACATACACTCTCCCAAGGCTAAACCAGGAAGAAGTTGAATCTCTGAATAGACCAATAACAGGATCTGAAATTGTGACAATAATCAATAGCTTACCAACCAAAAAGAGTCCAGGACCAGATGGATTCACAGCTGAATTCTACCAGAGGTACAAGGAGGAACTGGTACCATTCCTTCTGAAACTATTCCAATCAATAGAAAAAGAAGGAATCCTCCCTAACTCATTTTATGAGGCCAGCATCATGCTGATACCAAAGCTGGGCAGAGACACAACCAAAAAAAAGAATTTTAGACCAATATCCTTGATGAACATTGATGCAAAAATCCTCAATAAAATACTGGCAAACCGAATCCAGCAGCACATCAAAAAGCTTATCCACCATGATCAAGTGGGCTTCATCCCTGGGATGCAAGGCTGGTTCAATATACACAAATCAATAAATGTAATCCAGCATATAAACAGAACCAAAGACAAAAATCACATGATTATCTCAATAGATGCAGAAAAGGACTTTGACAAAATTCAACAACTCCTTCGTGCTAAAAACTCTCAATAAATTAGGTATTGATGGGACGTACCTCAAACTAATAAGAGCTATCTATGACAAACCCACAGCCAATATCATACTGAATGGGCAAAAACTGGAAGCATTCCCTTTGAAAACGGGCACAAGACAGGGATGCCCTCTCTCACCACTCCTATTCAACACAGTGTTGGAAGTTCTGGCCAGGGCAATTAGGCAGGAGAAGGAAAAAAGGGTATTCAATTAGGAAAAGAGGAAGTCAAATTGTCCCTGTTTGCAGATGACATGATTGTATATCTAGAAAACCCCATTGTCTCAGCCAAAAATCTCCTTAAGCTGATAAGCAACTTCAGCAAAGTCTCAGGATACAAAATCAATGTACAAAAATCACAAGCATTCTTATACACCAATAACAGACAAACAGAGAGCCAAATCATGAGTGAACTCCCATTCACAACTGCTTCAAAGAGAATGAAATACCTAGGAATCCAAATTACAAGGGACGTGAAGGACCTCTTCAAGGAGAACTACAAACCACTCCTCAAGGAAATAAAAGAGGATACAAAGAAATGGAAGAACATTCCATGCTCATGGGTAGGAAGAATCAATATCGTGAAAATGGCCATACTGCCCAAGGTAATTCATAGATTCAATGCCATCCCCATCAAGCTACCAATGACTTTCTTCACAGAATTGGAAAAAACGACTTTAAAGTTGATATGGAACCAAAAAAGAGCCTGCATTGCCAAGTCAATCCTAAGCCAAAAGAACAAAGTTGGAGGCATCATGCTACTTGACTTCAAACTATACTACAAGGCTACAGTAACCAAAATAGCATGGTACTGGTACCAAAACAGAGATATAGATCAATGAAACAGAACAGAGCCCTCAGAAATAACGCCGCATATCTACAACTATCTGATCTTTGACAAACCTGAGAAAAACAAGCAGTGGGGAAAAGATTCCCTATTTAATAAATGGTGCTGGGAAAACTGGCTAGCCATATGAAGAAAGCTGAAACTGGATCCCTTCCTTACACCTTATAGAAAAATTAATTCAAGATGGATTAAAGACTTAAACGTTAGATCTAAAACCATAAAAACCCTAGAAGAAAACCTAGGCATTACCATTCAGGACATAGGCATGGGCAAGGACTTCACATGTAAAACACCAAAAGCAATGGCAACAAAAGCCAAAATTGACAAATGGGATCTCATTAAACTAAAGAGCTTCTGCACAGCAAAAGAAACTACCATCAGAGTGAACAGGCAACCTACAAAATGGGAGAAAATTTTTGCAACCTACGCATCTGGCAAAGGGCTAATATCCAGAATCTACAATGAACTCAAATTTACAAGAAAAAAACAACCCCATCAAAAAGTGGGTGAAGGACATGAACAGACACTTCTCAAAAGAAGACATTTATAGCCAAAAAACACGTGGAAAAATGCTCATCATCACTGGCCATCAGAGAAATGCAAATCAAAACCACAATGAGATACCATCTCACACCAGTTAGAATGGCAATCATTAAAAAGTCAGGAAACAACACGTGCTGGAGAGGATGTGGAGAAATAGGAACACTTTTACACTGTTGTTGGGACAGTAAACTAGTTCAACCATTGTGGAAGTCAGTGTGGCAATTCCTCAGAGATCTAGAACTGGAAATACCATTTGACCCAGCCATCCCATTACTGGGTATATACCCAAAGGACTATAGATCATGCTGCTATAAAGACACATGCACACGTATGTTTATAGCAGCACTATTCACAATAGCAAAGACTTGGAACCAACCCAAATGGCCAACAATGATAGACTGGATTAAGAAAATGTGGCAAATATACACCATGGAATACTATGCAGCCATAAAAAATGATGAGTTCATGTCCTTTGTAGGGACATGGCTGAAATTGGAAATCATCATTCTCAGTAAACTATCGCAAGAACAAAAAACCAAACACCGCATATTCTCACTCATAGGTGGGAATTGAACAATGAGAACACATGGACACAGGAAGGGGAACATCAAACTCTGGGGACTGTTGTGGGGTGGAGGGAGGGGGGAGGGACAGCATTAGGAGGTATAGCTAATGCTAAATGACGAGTTAATGGATGCAGCACACCAGCATGGCACATGTATACATATGTAACTAACTTGAACATTGCGCACATGTACCCTATAACTTAAAGTATAATAATAAAAAAAGAAAAAAAAACAGGTTGAAAACACTTTTTGTAGAAACTACAAAGCAACATTTCAATGTTCATTGACACCTATAAAAAAACCCTATAACACGGCAATAAAAACTAGAAACAAGCTATTTGTGAAAATGCTTTGCCATGTGTTCATTCTAGGTTGGAAACACTCTTTTGTAAAAGTCTATGAAGAAACATTTCAAAGCCCATTTAAGCCTATACTGAAAAACTAAATACCCTGCGATAAAAACTGGAAACTAGCTCTCTGTGAAAATTCTTTGCAATGTGTGAATTCATCTCACAGAGTTAAACCTCTGTTTTGATTTAGCATTTTGGAAATACTCTTTTCTAGAATCTACAAAGTGACATTTCATAGCCCATTGAGATCTAAAGTGAAAAACCTAATATCCCAGATAAAAACTACAAACAAGCTATTTGGGAAAACCCTATATGATGTGTGGATTCATCTCACAGAGTTAAACCTTTGTTTTGATTCAACAGGTTGGAAACACATCTTTTCTAGTATATACGAAGGGACATTTCAAAGCCAATTGAGGCCTATATGAAAAAACAAATATCCTGCTATAAAAAGTAGAAACAAGTATCTGTGAGGATGCTTGATGATGTGTGTAGTCATCTCACATAGTTAAACCTTTGTTTTTATTCAGAAGGTTGGAAACACTCTTTTTGGAGAATCTACAAAGAAACATTCTGAATCCCATTGAGGCCTATAGTGAAAACTTGAATATCCTGTGATAAAAACGAGAAGCAAGCTATCTGTGAAAATGCCTTCTGATGTGTGGATTCATCTCTCAGAGATAAGCCTTCATTTTGATTCAGTAGTTTGGAAATACTTTTATTGTAGAATATAGGAAGGGACATTTAAATGCAATTGAGGCCTGTGCTGAAAAACTGAATATCCTGTGATAAAAACTAGAAGCAACACATCTGTGAAAATGCTTTGTGATGTGTTCATTCATGTCACAGAGTTAAACTTTTGTTTTGATTAAACAGTTTGGACACATTCCTTTTCTAAAATCTACGAAGAGACATTTCAAAGCCCATTGAGGCCTACAATGAAAAACCGAATCTCCAACGATAAAAACTAGAAATCAGCTATCTGTAAAGATGATTTGTGATGTGTGGATTCATCTCACAGAGATAAACATTTGTTTTGATTCAACAGGTTGAAAACAGCTTATTGTGGCCTGTGGTGAAAAAATGAATATTCCGTGATAAAGATGAGAAACAAGTATCTGTGAAAATGATTTGTGATGTGTGCAGTCATCTCATATAGTTAAACCTTAGTTTTGATTTAACAGGTTGGAATCACTCGTATTGTAGAATCAACGAAGGGACATTTTGAAGCCCATTTATTTTTATAGAGAAAAACCAAATATCCTGTGATAAAAACTAGAAACAGGCTACCTGTGAAAATGCTTTGTGGTGTGTGGATTCGTTTCACAGAATTAAACCTTTGTTTTACTTCAGCAGTTTGAAAATGCTCTTTTTGTAGAATCTACGAAGAGACATTTCAAAGCCCATTGAAGCTTATAGGGAAAACTGAATATCCCATGATAAAAACTAGAAACAAGCTATCTGTGAAAATGCTTTGCAATGTTTTCATTCATTTCACAAAGTTAAACCTTTGCTTTGATTCAGCAGATTGGAAACACTCTTTCTGTACAGGCAGTGAAGGGACATTTTGGAGCCCATTGAGGCCTACAGTGGAAAACTGAATATCCCACAATAAAAACTAGAAACAAGCTATCTGTGACAAGGTTTTTTGATCTGTAGATTTATCTCACAGCATTAAACTTTGTTTTGATTCAGCAGGTTGGTAGCACTTTTTTTATAGAATCTACAAAGGGATATTTTGGAACCAATTGAGGCCTGTAATGAAAAACCAAATGTCCTGCAATAAAAACTAGACAAAAGCTATCTTTGAAAATGCTTTGCAATGTGTGGATTCTTCTCACAGAGTTAAACCTTTGTTTTGAATCAGCAGGTTGCAAAAGCTCTATTTATAGCACCTAAGAAGGAACATTTTGGAGCCCATTGAAGCCTATAGTGACAAACCAAATATCCAGTGATTAAAACTAGTAGCAAGATATCTGCAAAAGTGCTTTGCAATGTGTGGATTAATCTCATAGAGTTAAATCTTTGTTTTGTATCAGCAGGTTGGCCACACTCTTTTTGTACAATTCATAAAGTGACATTTCAGAGTTCACTAAGACCTATAGCAAAAAAACAAATAATTCAAAATAAAAACTAGAAACAAGCTATATTTCAAAATGCTTGGTGATGTGTGGATTTATATCACAGAGTTAAACTTTTGTGTTCATTCAGCAAGTTGGAAACACTCTTTTTGTGAATTCTACATAGGGACGTTTTGATGTCAGTTGAGGCCTACAGTGAAAAACCTAATATCCTGTGAACAAAACAAGAAACTGTCTGTGAAAATACTTTGTGATGTATGGATTCATCTAGCATAGTTAAACCTTTGTTTTGATTCAGCAGGTTGTAAACACTTTTTTGGTAGAATTTACAAAGGGACATTTCAGAGCCCATAGAGGCCTACATTGAAAAACATAATATTTCATGTTAAAAACTAAAAACAAGGTATCTGTGAAGATGCTTTATGATGTGTGGATTCAGCTCACAGAGATAAACCTTTGTTTTGATTCAGCAGATTGGCAAGACTCTTTTTGTAGAATCTACGAAGGGACATTTTGAAGCCCATTGAGCCCTATAGTGAAAAAAAGTATATCCCACGGTAAAAACTAGAAACAAGCTATCTGTGAAAATGCTTTGTGATATGTGCATTCATTTCACATAATTAAACCTTACTTTTTAATCAACTAGTTGGAAACACTCTTATTGTAGAATCTAGGAAAGGACATTTCAAAGCCCATTCAGGCCTACAGAGAAAAACCAAATATCCTGTGATAAAAACTATAAACAAACTATCTGTGAAAATGCTTTGGGATATGTGGACTCTTTTTGTAGAATCTACGAGGGCACATTTCAAAGCCAATTGAGGCCTACAGTGTAAAACCTCATATCCAGAGACAAAAACTAGAAACAAGCTATCTATGAAAATGCTTTTCAATGTGTTAATTCATCCCACAGAGTTAAACATTTCAAAAAAAAAAATCAGGTTGGAAACAGTCTTTTTGTAGAATCTTTGAAGAGATGTTTCAGAGTGCATTGTGGCCTACTGTTTAAACTAGAATATCCAACAATGGAAACGAGAAACAACTACCTTGATTCAGCATGATGGAAACACTCTTTTTAAAGAATTTACTAAAAGGCATTTCGGAGCCCATGGATGAGTATATTGAAAAACTGACTATCCCACAATACAAACCAGCAAAAATTTATTAGTGAAAATGCGTTGCTTGTGTGGATTCATCTCACAGTGTTAAACCTTTATTTTCATTAAGTAGGTTGGGAATACTCTTTTGTAGAATATACAAAAAAGACATTTTGGTGAACATTGAGGCCTAAAGTAAAAAACCGAATATTTCGTGATAACAGCTAAAAACTATCTATCTGTAAAAATGCTTTGCGATGTGTGTATTCATCTCACAGAGTTAAACCACTGTTTTGATATAACAGGTTGAAAACACTTTTTTGTAGAATCTACGAAGGTACATTTCAGAGCCTATTAAGGTATATACTGAAAAACCTAATATCCTGGGATAAAAACCAAAAACAAGCTATCTGTGTAAATGATTTGTGATTTGTGGATTCATCTTACTGTGTTAAACCTTTTTTTTTTTATTCAGTTAAACTTTTTTTTTGTTCCCCACAAGTTGGAGTCCTCCCACCTGGGCACCACGCCATGTTGTGGACAGCTTGTGCAAGGAAGGGAATGGGGGGATGGAGTTGGTAGCACTTTCTGTGTCATCTCTCTGCACCTTTTTTGCAGGTTAAGTTGTGGGACCCTATCCACACCCCACCAGATTGTATCCTCACCCCTATCTAACCTTATTGCTGCTCACACTCTTCATCCTACAATGAAACTTCAGGATGATGGAGGAGTGCCTGGCTCATGACTTCAAGCACAGTTCAGCTGAAAACCGAATTTGAGGTGGATTGAAGGGGCCCAGCGGACAGGACTGCTAGGGACTGGAAGTGGGTTGGCCACAGAACAATGAGGCCCTGGGAGGTGTCTGTTCTTGGATGTGGTGTGCTTCTGTTCTTTCTAGAAGAGTGGTTCTTTTGCCGGGGGAGGTGATTTAGACCACTGCGGACCTCAGCCAGCCCTCAAATCACCAGGGATTGAGGAACCACGGAAAAAAAAAAAAAAAGGACACGCAGCCCAGTAACCCAAGCAGAGCCACACAGGCACACCAGAAGGTGGGGTTACTCAAAATAAAAAGAGTTCCAGTGCATGAGCCACATTTCTTACAGCAGGCGCCACTTACACACCCACAGACACACACACACACACACAGCCACACACAGGCAGACATCCATCACTTGCAACACTCCCACAGAAACTCACAGCCTGGCAGCTTCTGAGGCTGAGCAGTTCTGCTTCACCAGGAAGTCCATCCAGCAAGAGAGCATTCCCAGGGAACACAGCCAAGCTGTACCTAGAAATCATAGTGGGAGAACTTTCAAGAAGACTCACTGCACACCACCAAGGCAAGCCTGACGCATCCTGCAGATCTTTTTGGACCCTTAGGGATTTTGCGGTGTATTTCTGGGGCTCCACTTGAGATTTCCTCAGGCTGACTCACCGCTGCCAACTGCTAGGATTGTGGGATTATCCCATGGATCCCCCAGAGAAGATGGCAGAGTCCAGTGCCGACGCACGTTCATAGAGGTCTTTTCCACTAAGCCACAGGGACTTGTTACCAGGCAATGGTGGCGTTCACTGTGACCTGAGCCTTGTCTCACCGCTCACACCGGGTGCCCTGAGACTGGTGCGTGTGCATTTTTGAGGCAGCCTCGGAAGCTGGTATGTCAAGGCAGTCAGTCTACCTAAGCAGAGAAAAATGGTACAGGCAGAGCCAGCCTGGTCTTGGGAAAAAGTCTGCTGGGACAACCACTGCCGGGATCCTAAAACTCTCAATAATATGGCCTCCTAGGATCATCTCAGTGGTTGCGTTGCGCTGGAGGGGGAGGAGTTTCAATAATGTCAGCTGGGCGCAGGAAACTGCTCTTCTGACTCCATTCCCGAAAGAGGCTGTATGCAGGAATTGGGTCACATGGGGGTGGGAATACAACCTGGTGAGTTGTTGAGGGGTGTCCGGGTGATGGAATCATACCTGAGAGTCCAGAGGCGGGTGTCAGTGGAAGATGGCTGGGCCACTGAGCTCCCTGCCTTCCTTCATCCTGGGCCTCTCAGGGTTTCCTGCTTCTCAGCACGGCTCTCTGGGAAAGGGAGGATCCATGACAAAGGCAAGTCCAAGGTGGAGCAGAGGTCTCAGACTAGGAACTGGCCTCTCATGGGTGCAGATGACGTTGAGTGTCTCAGAGGCCATCTGAGGTGATTGCAAGCCTGAAAATTGTGTCCAGAAGTGCTGTCGAGGGGCACTGTGGACTCCTCCATGAAAGCAGAGGAAAATCAAGGCTCGATTGGGAGAACAAGAGGGTCTGTGCTGGAGTCCAAGCTGCTTTGAAGAATTCCTGCCAGAAGACCCAACAGCCTCCTGCAAAGTGCAGACAACCCCAGCCCCCACAACAAGACCACTACCTACAACCTGGAGTGCAGCCAGCCTACCCGAAGTTTCTTTTGCTCCTTGGAACACCTGGCAGCCAAAAGATCCATGGCAAGAGGCAGTCCCACCCAACAACAGCCCAATAAAAGACCCTTTTCACAATGAGAAAGGACATGCAGATGAAATGAAACAGAGCCTAGATTACCAGGCAAAAGCCAGACAAGGCTGCAAGCTTCTCAAGCTACATAAAACATGCAGCCCTCTGATAAAACTGGAAGAACAAGAGTTTTCTTGTTTGTGAATATTGCAGGAATTTATGCTTCCAAAAGTATCACAGCTGCCCAGTCATTAAAACTTGACAGTATTTAGAAGGAAACACTCATGCAATTGATCCCCATGAGAGTCGTCATCCCTGAACTGGGAAATGTTTACTGTGGAAGACTTAGAGCCTAACCCAGGAAACCTTTGGCCCACGAGAAACTTGTAAGTCAGAAAAACAGTAGGCCAGTGCGGAGGCCACCTCCTACCCAGCATCAATCCATCCCACTCCCATGTGGCTCCAGGAATAAAAGCCCAAATCAGGAGCTGGCTAGAGTGGCCCCACTTTGCACTCCAACTGTTCCCTACATGTTGTAGTCCTCCAACCTGGGCATTGGGCCATGGTGTGGACTGCTTGTGCAATGAAGGGAATGTGTGGATGGAGTTGGAAGCACCTATTGTGTCATCGGGTCTGCACCTTTTTTGCAGGTGAAGGTGCGGGACCAAAACCACAAGTTGCCAGATTTTATCCTCACCCCTGTCTGACCTTATTGCTGCTCACACTCTCCATCCCAGAATGAAATATCAAGACAATGGAAGGGTGCCCACCTTACGAAGTGGAGCACCTGCTCCACTAGGAACCGAATTTGAGGTGGATTTAAGGGGCCCTGCTGACAGGACTGCTTGGGTCTTGCCCTTGGTTGGCTGCAGGAAAATGAGGCGCTGGGATTTGTTTGTTCTTCGGTGTGATGTGCTCCTCTTCTTTCTAGAAGAGTGGAACCTTTGCAGGTGGAGGTGATTTGGACCCCGACAGGTCTCAGCCAGCCCCCCAATTCACTACGGATTCAGGAACCATGGAAACACCAATGACAGGGAGCCCCACAGCTCAAGCAGAGCCACACAGAAAGGCACACCAGAAGTTGGGGCGACTGGAAAAAAAAAGTGCTGCAGTGCGTTAGCCACAGGCCTTTCAGGACAGTCCACTTACATGCACACACACACAGCCACACACACACACAGACATCCAACACTCCCAACGCTCATGGAAACACAGTCTGGCAGCTTCTGAGGCTGCACGGTTCTGCCCGAAGCCCCTTCTGGGACAGAGAAGGCCTGGGGAAGACAGGCGGGCTGTACCTAGAAATCACAGTGGGGAGGCAAGTTTCAAAAAGACTCACCCCTACACCGTAAGGTAGGCCTGACCCTCCTGCAGAGCCCTTTGGATCTTTAGGAATTTCACAGTTTATTCCTGGGGCTCCCCTTGATGTTTCTTCAGGCTGGCTGACCCCTGCCCTCTCGTAGGATTGTGGGACTATCCCGTGGATCCCCCAGAGAAGGCAAGCTACAGTCCAACGCTGACGCAGGTCCATAGAGGTCTCCTTCTACTTCAAGCCACAGGGACTTGTCACCAGGCAGCGGTGGCATTCACTGTGCCGTCAGCCGCTGGTCACCGCTGGCACCTAGTGTTCTGAGACTGGCGCATGCGCATTCGCGACACACACCTGGCTGTCAGGACAGTCAGCCTGCCTAAGCAGAGGAAAATGGTACAGGCAGAGCAGGCCTGGTCTCAGGAAAAAGGCTGCCAGAAACGATTCATTGCGGGACCCTATAAGTCTCAACCATAGTGCCTCCTTGGGCCGTCTCCATGGTCAGGTCCTGCTGGAGAAGGAGGCATTTTGAGACTGTCAGGTGGGCACTGGAAACTGCTCTTCTGACTCCATTCCTGAAAGAGGCTGTGCAAGAATCAAGAATCGGGTCCCATGGGAATGGGTATACAGTCTGGTGAGTTGCTGAAGGGTCTCTGGGTGATGGAAAGATACCTGCAATCCCAGAGGCTGGTGTCAGCAGAAGATTGCCAGGCCCTTGAGCTTACTGACTCCCTTCACACTGGGCCTCGCAGGGGCTCCTGCTTCTCAGCATGACTCTCTGGGAAAGGCAGGAACCAAGATAAAGGCAAGTCCAAGGTGGAGCAGAGGTCTCACACCTAGAACTGGCCTCTCACGGGTGCAAATGAGGCTGAGAGAGTGTCTCAGAAGCCATCTGGGGCCATTGCAAGCCTGAAAAGGGTGTCCAGGAGTGCTGTTGAGGGGCTCTGTGGAACCCCTTGAAAGCAAAGAAAAATCAAGTCTCGCCTGGGAGAACAAGCGGAGTTGTGCTGAGTTCACCATGTTCAAGTATTCCTGCTGGAGGTCCAAACAGCCTCCTACAAAGTTCAAACAACCCCAGTCCCCACAACGAGACCACTACCCACAACCTGGAGTGCAGCCAGCTTACACAAACTTTCTTTTGCTCCCTGAAATACCTGGCAGCCAAAAGATCTGTGGCGAGAGGCAGTCCCACCCAGCAACAGCCCAATGAAAGACCCTTTCCACAATAAGAAAGGACGTGCAGATGAAATGAAACAGAGCCTAGATTACCAGGCAAAAGCCAGACACGGCTGCCTGCTTGTCATCCTACAGGAATCATGCAGCCCTCCAATAGAAGGAGAACAGGAGTTTTCTTTTTGGCGAATATAATGGAAATCTACGCTTCCAAAAATATCACAGCTGCCCAGTCATTAAAACGTGACAGTGTTTAGAAGGAAGCACTCTTGCAATGGATTCCCATGAGGGTCATCCTCCACGAACTGGGAAACATTTACTGTGGAAGACTTTGAGCCTAACTGAGGAAACCCCAGGCCCATGAGGAAGTTGGAAGTCAGGAAAACAGTAGGCCACTGCGGAGGCCACAACCCACCCAGCATCAATCCGTCCCACATTCATGTGGCTCTGGAAATGAAAGCTGAAATTGGGAGCTGGCCAGAATGGCCCCAGTTTGCGCTCCAACTCTTCCCTACACCTTGGAGTACTCCCTCCTGAGCACCAGGCCATGGTGTGAACTGCTTGTGCAAAAGAGGCAATGCAAGGATGGAGTTGGAAGCACCTTCCATGTCATCTGTCGGCACGTTTTTTGCAGGTGAAGGTGCGGGACCCCATCCACACCTAACCAGATTGTATCCTCACCCCTATCTACCTGATTGCTGCTCACATTCTTCATCCCAGAATGAAATCCCAAGACGATGGAGAATTGTGTACCTCACGACGTGAATCACCTTCTCCACTGGGAACCAAATTTGAGGTAGATTCAAGGGGCCCAGCGGACAGGACTGCTAGAGTCTGGCCCTGTGTTGGCCACAGGAAAATGAGGCTCTGGGAGGTGTCTGTTGTTGGGTGTGGTGTGCTCCTCTTCTTTCTAGAAAAGTGGCTTCTTTGCAGGGGGAGGTGATTTGGACCCTGTCGGGTCTCAGCAAGCCCCCAAATTCACCGCGGATTCAGGAACCACGGTAAAACAAATACATGGAGCCCCGCTGCCACAGCAGAGCTACATGGACAGGTGCACTAGAAGGCAGGGTGACTCGGAAAAAAAAAAAGGTGTTCCAGTGCGTGAGCCCCTTTCCTTTCAGTAGACGCCACTTACAGGCACACACAGACACACACACACGCACAGCAACAGACACACGCAGACATCCAACACAACACTCCCACAGAAACACACAGCCCGGAAAATTCCGAGGCTGCGCAGTTCTGCAGGAAGCCCCTCCTGGGAGAGAGCAGCCCCAAGGAACACAGGCGGGCTTTACCTAGAAATCACTGAGGGGCAAGTTTCAAAAAGATTCACCCCCACCCTCTCTAGACATGCCTGAAACATCCTGCAGATCTTTTTGTATCCTTAGGAATTTCATGGTTTATTCCTGGGCTCTGCTTGACGTTTCTTCAGGCTGGCTCGCCGGTACCATCTCCTAGGATCCTGGCGCTATTTCATGGATCCCCAGAGAAGACAGGCGAGAGTACATCGCTGACGACGTCCACAGAGTCCTCCTTCCCCTCCATGCCTCATGGACTTGTCGCCAGGCAACGGTGACTTTCACTGTGAGGAGAGCCATGGCTCACGGCTCGCGCCTGGTGCCCTGAGCCTGACGCATGTGCATTTGTGAGGCATGCCTGGGCACCGGGCTGTCAGGGCTGTCAGCCTGCCTAAGCAGAGGAAAATGATACAGGGAGAGCAGGCCTGTCTCGGGAAAAGGCTGCCTGCGACAATCACTGCGGGACCCTAAAAGTCTCAACTATAGGGCCTCCTCCGCCGTCTCCATGGTCAGGTCCTACTGGAGCAGAAGGCATTCGGAGACTGTGAGATGGGTGCTGAAAACTGCTCTTCTGACTCCATCCCCGAAAGAAGCTCTGTGCAGCAATCGGGTCCCATGGGAAGGGGAATACTGTATTGTAGACTGTTGAGCAGTCTCCAGGTGCTGGAGTCATATCTGAAACCCCAGAGTCGGTTGTCAGCAAAAGATGTCCATGCCCTTGAGCTCACTGTCTAACTTTGTCCTGGGCCTTGCAGGGGCTCCTGCTTCTCAGCACGGCTCTCTGGGAAAGGCAGGAACCACCAAAAAGGCAAGTCCAAGGTGGAGCAGAGGTCTCACACCTCAAACTGGCATCCCACGAGGGCAGATGAGGTTGACAGAGTGTCTCAGAGGCCATCTGGGGTGATTGCAAGCCTGAAAAGGGTGTCCAGGAGTACTGTTGAAAGGCACTGTGGACCCCCCATGAATGCAAAGAAAACTCAAGGCTCGCCTGGGAGAATGGGAGTGCCTGTGTTGGAGTCCAAGCCATGTTCAAGGATTCCTGCCAGAGAACCCAAGAGATTCTTGCAAAGTGTAAACAATCCCAGCCCCCCAAAACAAGACCACTACCCACAACATGGAGTGTAGCCAGCCTATCCGAAATTCCATTTGCTACCAGAAATCTCTGGCAGCGAAAGGATCTGTGGCAAGAGGCAGTCCCATTCATTAACAGCCCAATGAAAGGCTCACTGCACGAAAGGAAAGGACGTGCAGATTAAATGAAACAGAGCCTAGATTACCAGGCAAAACCCAGATAAGGCTGCCTGCTTCTCATTTTATAAAAATCATGCAGCCCTCCAATAGAAGTGGGGAGCAAGAGTTTTCTTAATAGTGGATATGGTGAAAATGTTTTGTGATATGTGGATTTATTTCACAGAGTTAAGCCTTAATTTTGATTTAGAAGGTTGGATACACTCTTTTTGTACAATCTATAAGGAGACATTTCAAAATCCATTGAGGCCTAGAGTGAAAAACCAAATATCCTGCGATAAAAACTAAAAAGAAGCTATGTCTGAAAATGTTTTTCAATGTGTGATTTCATCTCACAGAGTTAAAGCTTTTTTGTGATTCATCAGGTTGGAAACACTCTTTTTCTAGAATCTATGAGGGGACATTTCAGAGAAAATTGAGGCCTAACGTGAAAAACAGATTATCCTGTGATAGAAACTAGAAACACTATTAGTCTGGCTTTATCTCATGAAATTAAATCTTTATTTTGACTCAGCAGTTAGGGAACGTTTTTTTGTAGACTCTATGAAGGAACATTTTGGAGCCCGTTGATGCCTATAGAGAAAAACAATATCCCACAGTAAAAACTTGATGCAAGCTATCTGTCAAAAGGCTTTGCAATGTGTGGATTTATCTCACAGAGTTAAACCTTTGTTGTGATTCATCAGGTTGGAAACACATTTTTTGTAGAATCTAAGTAGGGATATTTCAAAGCACATTGAAGCCTGTAGTAAAAAAAAGGAATATCTCGCGATAAAAGCTACAAACAACCTATTTGTGTAACTGCTTTGTGATATGTGAAATAATGTCATACTGTTACACTTTTGTTTTAAATTAGCAGTTTGGAAACACTCTTTTGTAGAATCTACAAAGGGACATATTGAAGCCCATGGAGGCCTGTATTAAAAAACCGAATATGTTGCAGTAAAAACTAGAAGCAAGCTATCTAGCTATCTGTGAAAATGCTTTGTGATGTGTGGACTCATCTCACAGATTTAAACCTTTCTTTTGATTCAGCAGATTAGAAACATTTATTTTGTAGAATCTACGAATAAACATTTCAGAGCCCATTGAGGCCTATAGTGAAAAAACAAATATCCTGTGGAAAAACTAGAAACTTGCTATCTGTGAGTATGCTTTGTGATGTGTAGATTCATCTTACAAAGTTAAACCTTTCATTTGATTTAACAGACTGGAAACACTCTTTTCATAGAATCTACAAAGAAAAATTTTAGAGCCCATTAAGGCTTATAGTAAAAAAAAATATTCTTGCGATAGTTTACTGAGAATGATGATTTCCAATTTCATCCATGTCCCTACAAAGGACATGAACTCATCATTTTTTATGGCTGCATAGTATTCCATGGTGTATATGTGCCACATTTTCTTAATCCAGTCTATCATTGTTGGACATTTGGGTTGGTTCCAAGTCTTTGCTATTGTGAATAATGCCACAATAAACATACGTGTGCATGTGTCTTTATAGCAGCATGATTTATAGTCATTTGGGTATATACCCAGTAATGGGATGGCTGGGTCAAATGGTATTTCTAGTTCTAGATCCCTGAGGAATCGCCACACTGACTTCCACAATGGATGAACTAGTTTACAGTCCCACCAACAGTGTAAAAGTGTTCCTATTTCTCCACATCCTCTCCAGCACCTGTTGTTTCCCGACTTTTTAATGATGGCCATTCTAACTGGTGTGAGATGGTATCTCATTGTGGTTTTGATTTGCATTTCTCTGATGGCCAGTGATGATGAGCATTTTTTCATGTGTTTTTTGGCTGCATAAATGTCTTCTTTTGAGAAGTGTCTGTTCATGTCCTTCGCCCACTTTTTGATGGGGTTGTTTGTTTTTTTCTTGTAAATTTGTTTGAGTTCATTGTAGATTCTGGATATTAGCCCTTTGTCAGATGAGTAGGTTGCGAAAATTTTCTCCCATTTTGTAGGTTGCCTGTTCACTCTGATGGTAGTTTCTTTTGCTGTGCAGAAGCTCTTTAGTTTAATTAGATCCCATTTGTCAATTTTGTCTTTTGTTGCCATTGCTTTTGGTGTTTTGGACATGAAGTCCTTGCCCATGCCTATGTCCTGAATGGTCATGCCTAGGTTTTCTTCTAGGGTTTTTATGGTTTTAGGTCTAACGTTTAAATCTTTAATCCATCTTGAATTGATTTTTGTATAAGGTGTAAGGAAGGGATCCAGTTTCAGCTTCCTACATATGGCTAGCCAGTTTTCCCAGCACCATTTATTAAATAGGGAATCCTTTCCCCATTGCTTGTTTTTCTCAGGTTTGTCAAAGATCAGATAGTTGTAGGTATGCAGCATTATTTCTGAGGGCTCTGTTCTGTTCCATTGATCTATATCTCTGTTTTGGTACCAGTACCATGCTGTTTTGGTTACTGTAGCCTTGTAGTATAGTTTGAAGTCAGGTAGTGTGATGCCTCCAGCTTTGTTCTTTTGGCTTAGGATTGACTTGGTGATGCGGGCTCTTTTTTGGTTCCATATGAACTTGAAAGTAGTTTTTTCCAATTCTGTGAAGAAAGTCATTGGTAGCTTGATGGGGATGGCATTGAATCTGTAAATTACCTTGGGCAGTATGGCCATTTTCATGATATTGATTCTTCCTACCCATGAGCATGGAATGTTCTTCCATTTGTTTGTATCCTCTTTTATTTCCTTGAGCAGTGGTTTGTAGTTCTCCTTGAAGAGGTCCTTCACATCCCTTGTAAGTTGGATTCCTAGGTATTTTATTCTCTTTGAAGCAATTGTGAATGGGAGTTCACTCATGATTTGGCTCTCTGTTTGTCTGTTGTTGGTGTATAAGAATGCTTGTGATTTTTGTACATTGATTTTGTATCCTGAGACTTTGCTGAAGTTGCTTATCAGCTTAAGGAGATTTTGGGCTGAGACAATGGGGTTTTCTAGATATAGAATCATGTCATCTGCAAACAGGGACAATTTGACTTCCTCTTTTCCTAATTGGATACCCTTTATTTCCTTCTCTTGCCTAATTGCCCTGGCCAGAACTTCCAACACTATGTTGAATAGGAGTGGTGAGAGAGGGCATCCCTGTCTTGTGCCCGTTTTCAAAGGGAATGCTTCCAGTTTTTGCCCATTCAGTATGATATTGGCTGTGGGTTTGTCATAGATAGCTCTTATTATTTTGAAATACGTCCCATCAATACCTAATTTCTTAGTAAAAAAAAATAAATATTCCGAGATATAAACTAGAAACAAGCTATCAGTGAAAATACTTTGCAATGTGTGGGTTCATCTCACAGGTTAAACTTTTTTTTTTTTTTTTAGCAGGTTGGAAACCCTCTTTTTGTAGAATCTACAAAGGGACATTTCGGAGCCCATTGAGTTGTATAGTGAAAAACTGAATATCCTTCAATAGAAACTAGAAACAAGCTAACAGTGAAAATGCTTTGTGATGTGTGGATTCACATCATAGAGTTAAACCTATGTTTTGATTAAACAGGTTGAAAACACTTATATTGTAGATTCTAAGTAGGGACATTTCGAAGGCCATTTAGGACAATAGTGAAAAATCAATTATCCTGTGATAAAAACTAGAAAAAAACTATTTGTGGAAATGCTTTGTGATGTGTGGATTCGTCTCACAGAGTGAAACCTTTATTTTGATTCAGCAGGTTGGAAACATGTTTTTTTGTAGAATCTAAGAAAAGATATTCTGAAGCCCACTGAGGCCTATAGTGAAAACTCAAATATCCCACAATAAAAACTACAAACAAGCTTTCTGTGAAAATGCTTTGTGATGTGTGGATTCATCTCACAGATTTAAACCTTTTTTTTAATTCAGCAGTTGAAAACACTCTTTTTGTAGAATCTGTGAAGGGACATTTCAGGGCCAATGGAGAAAGGTACGGAAAAAGCGAATCTACTTTTATGAAAAGCAGAAATAAGCTATCTGTGAAAATGCTTTGGGTTGGGTGGATCATCTCACAAAGTGAAACCTTGTTTTAATTCAGCAGGCTGAAAACACTCTTTTTATAGATTCTACAAAAGGACGTTACGGATCTCATTGAGGCCTACAGTGAAAAGTTGAATATCATGTGATGAAAACTAGAAACAAGCTATTTGTGAAAAGGTCTTGTGATGTGTAGAATTGTCTCACAGATTTAAAGCTTTGTTTGTATTCAGCAGGTTGGAAACATTCTTTTTGTAGAACATACGAAGAGACGTTTAGAAGCCCATGGATGAGTATATTGAAACACAAAATATCCTGCCATAAAAAGTACAAACAAGCTATCTGTGAAAATGCTTTGCATTCTGTGGATTGATCTCACAGAGTTAAACATTTGTTTCCATTCAGCAGGTTGGAAACACTTGTTTTGTAGAATCTACTAAGAGCCATTTAAACCCCATTGAAGACTACAATGAAAGGCCGAATATCCCATGATGAAAACAAGAAACAAGCTATCTGTGAAAATGCGTTGGGATATGTGCATTCATTTCATAGAGTTAAACCTTTGCTTTAATTCAGCAGGTTGGAAAAACTCTTTGTAGAATCTACGAAGAAACATTTCAAAGCTCATTGAAGTCTATAGTGAAAACCAAAATATGTAGAGATAGAAACTAGAAACAAACTATCTGTGAAAATGCTTTGGGACGTCTGGATTCATATAACAGAGTTAAACCTTCGTTTTGATTAAGCAGGTTGGAAACAGTCAGTTTATAGAATCTATGAGAAGACATTTTGGTGCCCATTGAGGCCTATAGTGAAAAACTGAATATCCTGTGATAAAAATGAGAAATAAGCTATCTGTGAAAATGTTTCGTGATGTGTGGATTCATCTCACTGAGTTAAACCTTTGTTTTGATTCAGCACATTAAAAACCATCTTTTTTTTACAATCTATGAGGGGGCATATGGGAGCCTATTGAGGCCTATAGTGAAAAACCAAATATCCTGTGATAAAAACTACAAACAAGCTATCTGTGAAAATACTTCACAACGTGTGGATACATCTCACAGATTTAAACCTTTATTTAGATTCAGCAGGTTGGAAACACTTTTTTTGTAGAATCTATTAAGGCACATTTCAGAGTCCATGAAAGCCATTAGTAAAAACAATATCCCATGACAAAAATTAGAATAAAGCTATCTGTGAAAATGCTTTGCAATGTGTCGATTCATCTCACAGAGTTAAACCTTTGTTTTGATTCAGCCAGTTGAAAACACTCTTTTTGTAGAATCTAAGAAGGCACATTTCAGAGAACATTCAAACCTACAGTTAAAAACCTTATATCTCAAGATAAAAACTAGAAACAAGCTATATATGAGAATGCTTTATGATGTGTGGATTCAACTCACAGAGTTAAACCTTGTTTTGATTCAGCAGGTTGAAAACACTCTGTTTGTAGAATCTATAAAGAAACATTTTGAAGCCCATGAAGAAGTATATGAAAAAAACAAATATCCTGTGATGAATACTAGAAACAATCTATTTGTGAAAATTCCCTGTGATGTGTGGATTCATCTCACAGAGTTAAACCTGTGTTTTTATTCAGCAGGTTTAAATCACTGTTTTGTAGAACCTAAGAAGGGATATTTTGGAGCCCACTGTGGCCTGTACTAAAAAACTGAATATCCCACGATAAAAACTAGAACCAAGCTATCTGTGAAAATGCTTTATGGTGTGTCATTTCATGTCACAGAGTTAAAACTTTGTTTTTATTCAGCAACTTAAAAGTACTTTTTTTGTAGAATTTACCAAAGCACATTTCAGAGCCTATTGAGGTCTACAATGAAAAACTAAATATCCCACGATAAAAACTAGAAACATGCTATCAGTGAAAATGCTTTGCAATGTGTGGATTCATCTCACAGAGTTAAACATTTGTTTTGATTTAGCAGGTCTGAACAACTCTATTTGTAGAATCTACGATGAGACATGTAAAAGCCCAATGAGGCCTCTAATGAAAAACAGAGTATTCCGCGATAAAACCTAGGAATGATTTATCTGTGAAAATACTTTGTGATGTGTGGAGTCATCTCACAGAGTTAAACCTTTGTTTTTATGCAATAAATTAGAAACTTTTTTTGTAGAAACTATGGAGGGACATTTAGGAGCCCATTTAGACCTCTACTAAAAAAGAGAATATCCCACTATAAAAACTAGAAACAAGTTATCTGTGAAAATGTTTGTGATGTGTGGATTTGTCTCACAGAGTAAAACCTATATTTATATACAGTAGGTTGGAAACACTCTTTTAGTGGGATCTAAAAGAAGGCCTTTCTAAGCTCTTTGTGGATTACAGTAAAAATTCTTTTTTTTTACTGTAATATATAAATATATATATATATATATATATATAAATATAGGGGATAGAATATCCCCTATAAAAACTAGAAACAAACAATCTCTGAAAATTCTTTGTGATGTGTCAATTTATCTCACAGAGTTAAACCTTTGCTTTAATTAAGCACTCTTTTTGTAGATTCTACGAAGGGACATTCTGAAACAGCTTGAAGCCTATAGTCAAAAACCGATTATACCATGATTAAAACTAGAAACAAGCTGTCAGTCAAAATGCATTGTGATGTGTAGATTTCTCTCACAGAGTTATACCTTTTTTTAATTCAGCCAGCTGGAAGCACTATTTTCGTAGAACCTACGAAGGGACATTTCAGAGCTCATAAAGAAGTATATTGAAAAACTGAATATCTCGCTATGAAAATTAAAAACAAGCTATTTGTGAAAATGTTTTGAAATGTGTGGATTAATCTCACAGAATTAAACCTTTGTTTTGATTAAGCAGGTTAAAAACACTCTTTTTGTAGAATCTACTAAGAAACAATTCATAGCCCATTGAGGCCTCTAGTGAAAAACTGAATATTCCATAATAAAAACTAGAAACAAGCTATCTGTTAAAAAGCTTTGCAATATGTGGACTCTTCTTACAGAGTTAAACATTTGTTTTTATTCAGCAGGTTGGAAACACTCTTTTTGTAGAATCTAAGAAGGCACATTTCAGAGCCAACTGAGGCCTATAATAAAAAACCAAATATCCTGGGATAAAAAATAGAAATAAGCTATATGAGAGAATGCTTTGTGATGTGTGGATTCATCTCACAGAATTAACCCTCTGCTTTGGTTAAGCAGATTTGAAGCACCTTTTTGTAGAATCTATGAAGAGACATTTTAAAGCCCATTGAGGCCTATAGTCAAAAACCAATTATCCCATGACAGAAACTAGAAACAAGCTATCAGTGAAAGTATCACAGAGTTAAACATTTGTTTTGATTAAGCACATTGGAAACCTGTGAAAATGCTTTGCAATGTGTAGATTCTTCACACAGAGTTAAACCTTTGTTTTGATTCAGTAGGTTGGAAAAACTCTCTTTGTAAAATCTACAAAGAAACATTTCAGAGCCCACTGAGGCCTATATTTAAAAAACCTGAGTATTCCACAATAAAAACTAGAAAAAACTTATCTTTAAAAGTGTCTTGCAATGTGTGAAATGATCTCTCAGAATTAAACTTTTGCTTTGATTCAGCAGGCTGGAAACATTCATTTTGTAGACTCTATGTAGGGATCTTTCAGAGCCTAATGAGGCCTCTAATGAAAAGCAGAGTATTCAGGCCAGGCACGGTGGCTCATGCCTGCAATCCCAGTACTTTGGGAGGCTGAGGCAGGTGGATCATGAGGTCGGGAGATCGAGACCATCCTGGCTAACATGGTGAAAACCCGTCTCTACTAAAAATACAAAAAATTTACTGGGTGTGGTGGTGGGCACCTGTAGTCCCAGCTACTCGGGAGGCTGAGACAGGAGAATGGCATGAACCTGGGAGGTGGAGCTTGCAGTGAGCCAAGATTGCACGACTGCACTTCAGCCTTGGGGGACAGAGCAAGACTCTGACTCAAAATAAAAACAAGAACAACAACAACAATAACAAAAAAGAGTATCCAGCAATAAAACTAGAAATAATCTATCTGTGAAAATGCTTTGCAATGTGTGGATTCATCTCACAGAGTAAAACCTTTGTTTTTACACAGCAAATTAAAAGCTTTTTCTTGTGGAATCTACAAAGGGACATTTAGGAGCCCATTGAGGCCTCTCATGAAAAACCAAATATCATGTGATAAAAACTAGAAACAAGCTATCTGTGAAAATGTTTGCAATGTATGGATTTATCTCACAGAGTTAAACCTACAGTTTTATACAACAGGTTGGAAACACTCTTTAAGGAGAATATTTTAAAAAGACATTTCTGAGCTCTTTGTAGACTATAGTAAAATCCAAACATCCCCTATAAAAACTAGAAAGAAATAATCGGTGAAAATGCCTTGCAATGTGTGGATTCATCTCACAGAGTTAAAAACCTTGTTTTGATTCAGGAGGTTGGAAACACTCTCTTTGTGGAATCTATGAAGGGACATTTTGAAGCCCTTTGAGGCCTATAGTGAAAAACCAAACACCCTGTGATAAAAATTAGATGCAAGCTATATATGAAAATGCTTTGTAATGTGTAGATTTATCTCACAGAATTAAACCTTTGTGTTTACACAGAATTTTGGAAACACTCTATTAATAGAATCTAAAAGGAAATAATTCTGAGCCCATTGAGGCCTATAGCGAAAAACCGAATATCTTGCGATAAAAACTTGAAACAAGCTGTCTATAAAAATACTTTGTGATATGTGGACTCACCTCAAAGAGTTAAACTTTTCTTTTGATTAAGCAGGTTAGAAACATTCTTTTGTAGAATCTACAAGGGGCATTTCTGAACCCACTGAGGCCTATAGTGAAAAACAGAATATTACAGGATAAAATCTAGAAAAAACATATCTGTGAAAATGCTTTGCAATATGTGGCTTCTTCTCACAATGTAAAACCTTTGTTTTGATTTAGCAAGTTGGAAACTCTCTTTTTGTACAATTTGTGAGGAGACATTTCGAAGACCATTGAGGCATGTAGTGAAAAACTAAATATCCCATGATAAAAACTAGAAACAAGCTATCTGTGAAAATGCTTTGTGATGTGTGGATTTAGCTCACAGAGTTAAACCTTTGTTTTTTATACCACAGTTTTCAAACACTCTTTTAGTAGAAAGTAAAGGAAGACATTTCTGATCCCATCAAGGCCTATAGTGAAAAACCGAATATCCAGCGATAAAAACTAGAAACAAGCTATCTGTGAAAATGCTTTGCAATGTGCAGATTCATCTGACAGGGTTAAATCTTTGTTTTGATTCAACAGGTTAGAAACAGTTTTTGTACAATCTACAAAGGGACATTTTGGAGCACATTGACGCCTACAGTGTGAATCCAAATATTTTGCGATAAAAACTAAAAATAAGCTATTCTTTGAAAATGCTTTGTGATGTGTACAATCATCTCACAGAGTTAAACCATATTTACATACAGCAGTTTAGAAACACTCTTTTTGTAGAATTTAAGAAGGTACAATTAAGATTCCATTGAAGCTTATAGTTAAAAACCAAATATTCAGCAATAAAAACTAGAAACAAGCTATCTGAAAAATGCTTTGCAATGTGTGATTTGATATCACAGAGTTAAACCTTTATTTTGATTCAGAAAAAAATAAACTTTTTTTTCTGGAATCTACGAAGAGACATTTTGGAGCCCATTGAGGCCAATAGTGAAAAATTGAATGTCTCATGATAAAAGCCAGAAACAAACTATCTGTGAAAATGCCTTGCAACATGTGGATTCGTCTCACAGAGTTAAACCTTTGTTTTTATTGAGCAGGTTGGAAACACTCTCTTTACGGAATCTGCAAATGGACATTTCAGAGCCTATTGAGGCCTACACTGAAAAACCAAATATCCTGCAATAAAAACTACAAATAAGCTACCTGTGAAAATGTTTTGTGAGGTTTGGATTCATCTCACAGATTTAACCCTTTGTTTTGATTCAGCAGGTAGGAAACTCTTTTTCTAAGATCTACTCTGAGACATTTCTGAGCCCAATGAGGCCTATAGTGAAAAACTGAATATCCCACTTTAAAAACCAGAAACAAGCTATTTGAAAATATGCTTTGCAATATGTGGATTTCTCTCACAGAGTTATACCTGTGTTTTGATTCTGTAGGTTGAAAAAATTCTTGTTATAGAATCTATGAGGGGATATTTCAAAGTGCACTGAGGCCTATAGTGAAAAACAGAATATGCCATGATGAAAACTAGAAAGAAGCTATTTGTGAAAATGCTTTGTGATGTGTGGATTTATCTCACAGAGTTAAGCCTTTGTTTTTATTTTGCAGGTTGGAAATACTCTTGTTGTAGAATCTATGAAGGGACATTTCAGAGCTCATTGAGGCCTATAGAGAAAAATCAAATATCCTGCGATAAAAACTGTAAAGAAGCTACCTCTGAAAATACTTTGTGATGTGTGATTTTATCTCAGAAGTTGAACTTTTCATTTGATTCTGCAGGTTGGAAACTCTTTTTTTGTAGAATCTACAAGGAGACATTTCATAGCCCATTGAGGCCTATAGTGAAAAATCGAATATCCCTTGATAAAGACTAGAAACAACCTATCTGTAAAAATGCTTTGTGATGTGTAGATTCATTTTACAAATTTAAACCTTTGTTTTGCTTCATCAGGTTGGAAACTCTTTGAATCTACAAAGGGACAATTCAGGGCCCATTGAGGCCTTTAGTGAAAAACCAATTACCCTCAGTAAAAACTAGATATAAGCTATGGGTGAAAATGCTTTGTGATGTGTGGATTCATCTCACAAGTTAAACCTTTGTTTTGATTCAGCAGGTTGGAAACACTCTTTTAATAGAGTTTATGAGGGAAAATTTCAGAGCCCATTGAAGCCTCTTAATAAAAACTGATAAGAAATAGAAACAAGCTATCTGTGAAAATGCTTTGTGATGTGTGGGTTCATCTCACAGAGTTAAACCTTTGTTTTGATTCAGCAGGTTGTAAAGATTCTTTTTGTAAAATCTATGAAGGAACACTGAAGGCCTACAGAGAAACATCGAATATTCTGCAATAAAAACTAGAAACAAGCTATTTGTGAAAAAGCTTTGCTATAAATGGATCTTTTTCACAGAGTTAAATATTTGTTATTATACACAGGTTGGAAACACATATTTAGTAGAATCTAAGAGGAGTCTTTTTTGAGTCCATTAAGGCCTGTGGTGAAAAACTCAATATCCCACAATTAAAACTAGAAACAGGCTATCTGTAAATATGCTTTGCAATATATGTTTGCATCTCACAGAGTTAAATTTTGGGTTTTATTCAGCAGGCTGGAGACACTTATTTTTTACAGTCTACTTCGTGACAGTCTACTTCGTGAGGCCTAAAGTGAAAAACCGAGTATCTTGTGATAAAACTACAATCAATCTGTGAAAATGCTTTGCAATGTGTGGATTCATCTCAATGAGTTAAATGTTTGTTTTGATTCAGCAGGTTAGAAATACTCTCTTCGTAGAATCTATGAAGGAACATTTCGGAGCCCTTTGAGGCTTATAGTGAAAAGCTGAATATCCTGTGATAAAAACTAGAAACAAACTGTCTGTGAAAATGCTTTGTGATGTGTGGATTCATCTCACAGAGTTAAACCTTTGCTTTTATAGAGCAGTTTGGAAACAATTTTTTAGTACAATCTAAGGGGACATTATTGAGCCCATTCATTCCTATAGTGAAAAACAAAATATCCTGTCATAAAAACTAAAACAAACTATCTGTAAAAATGTTTTGCAATGTGTGGATTCATCTCAAAGAGTTAAACCTCTGTTTTGATTCAGCAGGTTGGAAACACTCTTTTTGTAGAATCTGCAAAGCAACATTTCAGACCCCATTCAGGCCTATAGTGAAAAATCAAATATCCCGCAATAAAAACTAGAAGCAAGCTATCCATGAAAATGCTTTGTGATGTGTGGATTTATCTCACTGAGTTAAACGTTTGTTTTGATTCAGCAGCAAATGTCCTGCAATAAAAACTACAAAGAAGCTATGACTAAAAATGCTTTGTGATGTGTGACTTTATCTCACAGAGTTTAACCTTTCTTGTCATTCAGCAGGTTGGAAACACTCTTTTTCTACAATCTACAAAGGTACATTTTGGAGCAAATTGAGGGTTATACTGAAAAATCGATTATCTCACAATACAAACTAGGAAAAAGTTATCCGTGAAAATGCTTCGCAATGTGTGAATCCATCTCACAAATTTAAACCTTTGTGTTCATTCAGCAGGTTAGGAATACTTTTTTTGTAGAATATACAAAGGGACATTTGACACCTTTGGAAGCCTATAGTAAAAAAGCAATTATTTCTCAATAAAAAATTTGTCTCTGAAAATGCTTTGTGATATGTGGATTCTTTTCACAGAGTAAAACGTATGTTTTTATCCCACAGGTTGGAAACACTGTTGTTGTTGAATATGCGAAGGGACATTTCAGAGCTAATTGAGGCCTATAGTGAAAAACCGAATATCCCATGATAAAAACTATAAAGAAGCTATCTCTGAAAATATTTTGTGATGTGTGATTTTCATCTCACAAGTTGAACTTTTGTTTTTATTCAGCAGGTTAGAAACTCCTTTTGTAGAATCTACGACGGGACATTTCATAGCCCATTGAGGCCTACAGTGAACAAACAAATATGCCTTGATAAAAACTAGAAACAACTTATCTGTGAAAATGCTTTGCAATGTGTATATTCATCTTACAAATTTAAACCTTTGTTTTGCTTAGCCGGTTGGAACCTCTTTGTTTGTAGAATCTACAAGGGAATATTTTGGGACTCATTGAGGCCTATAGTGAAAATAACATATCTCACGGTAAAAACTAGAAAAAAGCTATGAGTGAAAATGCTTTGCGATGTATGGGTTTATCTCACAATATTAAACCTTTGTTTTGATTCAGCAGGTTGAAAACACTGTTTTCGTAGAATCTATGAAGGGACATTTTGGAGCCTATTGATGCCTATGGTGAAAAACTGAATACCCCACAATAAAAACTATAAACAACCTATCTGTGAAAATGCTTTGCAATATGTGGATTCATCTCACAGAGTTGAACCTTTGTCTTGATTCAGCATGTTTGAAATACTGTTTTTGTAGAATCTACAAGGGATAATTTCAGAGCAAATTGAGGCCTATAGTATAAAATCTAATATCCTGCAATAAAAACTAGAAAAAATCTATCTGTAAAAATGCTTTGTGATATGTGGGTTCATCTCACAAAGGTAAATCTTTATTTTGATTCAGCAAGTTGGAAACACTTTTCTTTGTAGAATCTACAAGGGGACATTTCATAGCCCATGGAGGCCTATAGTGAAAAACTGAATATTCCATGATAGAAACTAAAGAAGCTATATGTGAAAATACTTTGCAATGTGTGGTTTCATCTCACATAGTTTAAACTTTATTTTGATTCAGCTAGGTTGGAAGCATTCTTTTTGTAGAATATATGAAGGGACATTTTGGAGTCCATGGAGGCCTATAGTGAAAAACTGAATATTCCATGATAGAAACTAAAGAAGCTATATGTGAAAATACTTTGCAATGTGTGGTTTCATCTCACATAGTTTAAACTTTATTTTGATTCAGCTAGGTTGGAAGCATTCTTTTTGTAGAATATATGAAGGGACATTTTGGAGTCCATTGAGGCCTATAGTGAAAAACCAAATATCCCATCATTAAAAACTAGAACTAAGCTATCTGTGAAATAGCTTTGCAATGTGTGGATTCATGTCACAGAGCTAAACTTTTGTTTCTATACAGCATATTGGAAACACACTATTAGTAGAATCTAAGATGGGACAATTCAGAGCCTTTTGAAGCTTATAGTAAAAAATTCAAAATGTGGCAAAATTTACATACAAACTATCTGTAAAAATGCTTTGTGATGCGAAGATTCATCTCACAGTGTTAAACATTTGTTTTGATTCAGCATGTTGGAAAAAATTTTTTGTAGAATCTACAAAGGGACTTTTCGGAGCCCATTGAGACCAATATTGAAAAAATGAATATCCAGCTATAAAAACTAGAAACAAGCTCTCGGTGAAAATGCTTTGCAATGTGTGGATTCATCTCTCAGAGTTAAACTTTTATTTTGATTCACCCAGTTGGAGACACTTAATTGGTAGAATCTATTAGGGGACATTTCATAGCCCATTGAGGCATGTGGTGAAAAACTGAATATCCCGCAATAAAAACCTGAAACAAGCGACCTGTGAAAATGCTTTGTGATGTGTGGATTCATCTCACAGAGTTAAACCTTTGTGTTGATTCAGTAGGGTTGGAAAGACTTTTTTTAGAAACTACAAAGGAACATTTTGTAGCCCATTGAGGCCTATAGTGAAAAACCGAATATCCGGTGATAAAAACTAGAAACAAGCTATTTGTGAAAATGCTTTGCATTGTATAGATTTATCTCTAATAGTCAAACCTTTGTTTTTATACTGCAGTTTTGAAACGTTATTTTAGTAGAACGTAAAGGAAGACATTTCTGATCCCTTTGAGGCCTATAGTGAAAAACCGAATATCCCACAATAAAAACTAGAAACAAGCTGTGAAAACGCTTTGGGATGTGTAGATTCATCTGACACTGTGAAAATGCTTTGTGATGTGTAGATTCGTCTCACAGAGTTAAACTTTGATTATATACAGCAGGTTGGAAACATTTATTTTGTAGCATTTAAGAAGGTACAATTAAGAGTCCATTGAAGCCTACAGTGAAAAACCCAATATCCAGTGATAAAAACTAGAAACAAGCTGTGAAAATTCTTTGCAACATGTGGATTCATCTCACAGAGTTAAACCTTTGTTTTGATTCAGTAGGTTGGAAGCAACTCTTTTTTTGAATCTACAGATTGACATTAAAGAGCCCATTGAGGCCCATACTGAAAAACTGAATATCCTGTGATAAAAACTAGAAACAAGCTGTCTGTGAAAATGCTTTGCAAGGTTTAGATTCAACTCACAGAGTTAAACCTTTGTTTTGATTCAGCAGGAGGGAAACAATTTTGTAAAATCTACTATGAGACATTTCAGAGCAAATTGAGGCTGATAGTAAAAGTCCAAATATCCCTCGATATAAACCTGAAACAAGCAATCTGTGAAAATAATTTTTGATGTGTAGATTCCTCTCAAAAAGTTATACCTTTGTTTTGAATCAGCAGGTTGAAAACACTTTTTTTGTGTGTAATCTATGAAGGGACAAGCTATCTGACAAGGATTTCAGAGCCCATTGAGGCGTATAGTGAAAAACAAAAAATTCCAAACTATCTGTGAAAATGCTTTGCAATATGTGGATTCATCTCACAAAGATAAAAGTTTGTTTTGATTCAGCAGGTTGGCAACACTGTTTTTGTAGAATCTATAAGAGGACATATTTACAAGAGGTCCACTGATGCCTATGGTGAAAAACTGAATATCCCACTTTAAAAACTAGAAACAAGCTATCTGAAAATATGCTTTGTGATGTGTGCATTCCTTTCACATAGTTATACCTTTGTTTTGATTCAGAAGTTTGAAAACACTCTTGTTATAGAATTTTCGAAGGGACATTTCAGAGTGCAATGAGGCCTGTAGTGAAAAACCAAATATCTCACAATAAAAACTAGAAACAAGATATTTGTGAAAATGCTTTGCCATGTGTGAATTTATCTCTCATATTTAAACCTTTATTTTGATTCAGCCTGTTGGAAACACTCTTTTTATAGAATCTAAAAAAGAATATTTCAAAGCCGCTAGATGGCTATACTGAACAACCGAATACTCCACGATAAAAACTAGAAACAGGCTATCTTTGAAAATGCTTTGTGATGTGTGGATTCATCTCACAGAGTTAAAGCTTTCTTGTGATTCAGCAGGTTGGAAGTACTCTTTTTGTAGAATCTACAAGGGGAAGTTTTGGAGCAAATTGAGGCCTACATTATACAATCGAATATTCTGTGATAAAAACGAAAAAAAAAATCTAGCTGTAAAAATGCCTTGTGATGTGTGGTTTTACCTCACAAAGTTAAATATTTTTTTTTTTGATTCAACAAGTTGGAAACACCTTTTCTGTAGACCTACGAGGGGATATTTCATAGCTCATGGAAGCATATAGTGAAAAACTGAATATCCCGTGATGGAAACTAAGGAAGTTATATGTGAAAATGCTTTGCAATGTGTGGTTGTATCTCACAGAGTTTAACTTTCTTTTGATTCAGCTAGGTTAGAAACACTCTTTATGTAGAATGTACAAAGGGACATTTCAGAGCCGATTGAGGCCCATTTCAAAAAACCATATATCCTGTGACAAAAACAAGAAGCAAGCTATCTGTGAAATAGCTTTCCAATGTGGGGATATTTCAGAGACCTTTGAGACCAATATTGAAAAAATGAATATCCTGCAATGAAAACTAGAAACAACCTCTTGAAGCCCATTGAAGCCTATAGCAAAAAACTGAATATCCCATGATAAAAAATAGAAACAAGCTATTTGTGAAAATGCTTTGTGATGTGTGAGTTCATCTCACAGAGTTAAACCATTGTTTTGATTCAGCTGGTAGAAGACACTTAACTGGTACTACTAGAGGACATTTTGTAGCCCACTGAGGCCTGTGGTGAAAATCCAAATATCCCATGATAAAACTAGAAACAAGCTATCTGTGAAAATGCTTTGTGATATGTGGGTTCATCTCACAGAGTTAAACCTTGTTTTGATTCACCAGGTTGGAAAGACTCTTTTTGTAGAATATATGAAGAAACATTTCACAGCCCATTGAGGCCTATAATGAAAAACTGAATATCCGGTGATACAAACTAGAAACAAGCTATTTGTGAAAAAGCTTTGTGATGTGTGGATTTCTTTCACAGGGTTAAATATTTGTTATTATACATCAAGTTGGAAACACATATTTAATAGAATCTAAGAGGAGTCTTTTTGAGCCTATTAAAATCTGTAGTGAAAAACCAAATATCCCATGATTAAAACTAGAAACAGGCTCTCTGTAAATATGTTTGTGATATATGGATGCATCTCACATAGTTAAATTTTGGTTTTTATTCAGAAGGTTGGAGACACTTATTTTTTTCAATCTACTTGGTGACAATACAGTTCTCATTAATGCCAATAGTGAAAATTCAAATATCCTGTGATAAAATTACAAACAATCTGTGAAAATGTTTTGCAATGTGTGGATTTATCTCAATGAGTTAAATGTTTGTTTTGATTCAGCAGTTTGGAAACACTCTGTGCGATGTGTGGATTCATCTCACACAGTTAAACATTTGTTGCCATTCAGCAGGATGGAAACAATCTTTTTGTAGAATCTACAAGGGTCATTTTGACACCCGTTAAGGCTTATAGTGAAAACCTGGATATCCTGAGATAAAAACTAGAAAGAAGCTATGTGTGAAAATGCTTTGCAATGTGTAAATTCACCTCATAGAGTTAAACCTTCATTTTAATTCAGAAGGTTGGAAACACTTTTTTTGTAGAAAGGACATTTTGGAGCCTTTTGAAGCCTATGGTGAAACCAGAATATCCCACAATAAATATTAGAAGCAAGGTATCTGTGAAAATGCTTTGTGACATGTGGATTCATCTTACAGAATTAAACCTTTCTCCTGATTCTGCAGGTTGGAAATTCTCCTTTTGTAGAATCTACAAAGAAATATTTTGGAGCCCATTGAGGCTCAAATATCCTGCAATAAACACTAGAAACTAGCTATCTGTGAAAATGATTGGCGATGTGTGGATTAATTTCACAAAATTAAAACTTTGTTTTGATTCAGCACTTTTGAACCACTTTTTTTGTAGCATCTACGAAGGAACACTTCAGAGTCCTTTGACAGAAAGGGTTATAGAGGGTTATAGAGAAAAACGGAATATTCCATGATAAAAACTAGAAGCAAGTTCTCTGTGAAAATTCTTTGCAATGTGTAAATTCATCTCACAGAGTTAAACCTTTGCATTGATTCAGCAAGTTGGAAACACTCTCTTGTACAATCTATGAGGGGATATTTGGGAGCCCGTTGAGGCCTATAGTAAAAATTTGAGTGTCCCATAAGAAAAACTAGGAAGAATTTATGTCTGAAGATGCTCTGTAATGTGTGATTTCATCTCACAGCTTTAAACCTTTCTTTTGATTCTGTAGGTTGGAATCACTATTTTTCTTAGAATCTATGAAAAGACATTTTGGAGCAAAATGAGGACTATAATGAAAAATTGAATATCCCACAATAAAAATTAGAAACAAGCTGTCTGTGAAAATGCTTGGCAATGTGTGGATTCATCTCACACATCTCACAGAGTTAAACCTTTGTTTTGATTCAGCAGGCCAAAATTACTCTTTTGGTAAAATCTACGAAGGAACATTTTGGAGCCCATTGATGCCTGAGGTAAAAAACTGAAAACTGAATATCTTGTGATAAAAACTAGAAACAAGCTTTCTGTGAAAATGCTTTACAATGCATCATTTTATGTCACAGAGTTAAATCTTTGTTTTGATTCAGCTGGTTAAAAACACTCTTGTAGAAACTATGAGAGGACATTTCAGAACATGTTGAAGTCTATAGTGAATAACAAAATATCCCGCAATAAAAACTAGAAGCAAGCTATCTATGAAAATGCTTTGTGATGTGTGCATTTATCTTGCAGATCTAAACATTGTTTTGATTCATCAGGTGAGAAACACCCTTTTGATGCAATGTACAAACGGACGTTTCAGAGCCCACTGAGCCCCATAGTCATAAAACCAAATATCCTGCTATAAAACTGGAAACGAGCTATCTGTGAAAATGTTTTGTGATGTGTGGATTCATCTCATATAGTTAACCCTTTATTTTGATTCAGCAGGATGAAAACACTCTTTGTGTAAAACCTACAAAAGGGAGGTTGGAAACACTCTTATTGTGAAATTTACGAAGGGACATTTTGGAGCCCACTGAAGCCTATGTGAAAAACCAAATATCTCACCATTAAAACTAGCTAAACAAACTACCCATGAAAATGCTTGGCCATATGTGGAATAATTTTACAGAGTTAAATCTTTGTTTTTATTCAGCAAGTTGGAAATGCTCTCTTGTACAATCTACGAGGGGACATTTTGGAGCCCATTGAGGCCTATAGTAAAAAATCAAGTGTCCCGTAATAAAAACTACAAAGAATCTATGTCTGAAAATGTTCTGTAATGTATGATTTTATCTCACAGAGTTAAACTGTTGTTTTGTTTCAGCAGGTTGGAAACTCTCTTTTGGTAGAATCTTCAAAGAGACATTTGAGAGCCCATTGAGGCTTGGAGTGAAAAACCAAATATCCAGCAATAAAAACTAGAAACAAGCAATCTGCAAAAATGCTTTGTGATGTGTTCATTTATTTTGCAGAGTTAAAACTTCATTTTGATTCAACAGGTTAAAAACACTCTTGTAGAATATAGGAAGTGACATTTCTAAGCCCATTGAGGCCTATACTGAAAAACTGAATATCTCACAACAAAAACTAGAAAAAAATCTATCTGTGAAAATACTTTGCAATGTGAGGATTTATCTCACAGAGGTAAGCCTTTGTATTAATACAGCAGGCTGGAAACACTCTTTTTGTAAAATCTACAAAGGGACATTTCATAGACCATTGAGGCCTACAGTGAAAGATCAAATATTTTGTGATTAAAACTAGAAAAAAGCTATCTGTTAAAATGCTTTGCAATGTTTGGATTCATTTTACAGAGTTAAGCCTTTGTTTGGATTCAGCAGGTTGAAAACACTCTTTTTGTAGAATCAACATAGGGACATTTCAGAGCACATTGAGGCCTACGGTGAAAAACCCAACATCCCATGATAAAAACTAGATTCAAGCTATCTGTAAACATGCTATGCAATGTCTGGATTAGCCCAAAAAAGTTAAACCTTTAATTTGATTCAGCAAGTAGGAAACACTGTTCTTGTAGAATCTAAGAAGGGACACTTCAGAGCCCATTTAGGCCTAGAGTGAAAACCCACTTATCCTGCGATAAAAACTAGAAACAAGCTATCTGTGAAAATCTTTTCTGATGTGGGCATTCATCTCAAAGAGTTAAACCTTTCTTTTGATTCAGCAGGTTGGAAACACTCTTTTAGTAGAATCTACAGAGGGACAGTTTGGAACCTATTTAGACCCATAGTCAAAAAAGCAAATATCCCACAATAAAAACTAGTAACAAGCTATCTGTGAAAATGCTTTGCAATGTGGGGATTCATCTCACAGAGTCAAACCTTTGTTTGGATTCAGCAGGATGAAAACACACTTTTTGTAAATCTACAAAGAGGACTTTGGAAAAACTCTTTTTATGAATCTACAAAGGGACATTTTGGAGCCCATTCAGGTCTACAGTAGAAAACCAAATATTCCAGGATAAAAACTAAAAACAAGCTATCTGTGAAAATGCTTCTTGATGTGTGCATTCACCAAATATAGGTAAACTTTTTTTTTGATTCAGCAGGTTGGAAACCCTCTTTTTATAGAATCTACAAAGGGGCATTTCGAAGCCCATTGAGGCCTATAGTGAAAAATTGAACATTCAACAATAAAAACTAGTAACAAGCTATATTTGAAATTGCTTTGTGATGTGTGGGTTCATCTCACTGTTACATCATCATTTTGATTTAGCAGGTTGGAAATGCTCTTTTGTAGAATCTATGAAGGAACATTTGGAATCGCATTAAAGCCTATAGAGAAAAACTGAATATTCTGCAATAAAAACTAGGAACGAGGTATCTGTGAAAATGCTCTTCGATGTGTGCATTCATCTCACAGAGATAAACATTTCTTTTGAGTCATCAGATTGGAAACTCTTTTTGTAGAATGTACAAAGGAACATTTCAGAGCCCATTGGGGCCTATAGAGAAAAACCTAATATCTCATGATAAAAACTAGAAACAAAATATCTGTGAAAATGCTTTGCGATGTGTGGATTCATTTCACAAAGTTAAATCTTTAGTTTTATTCAGTAGGTTGAAAACATTCTTTTTGCAGAAGCAAAAAAAAAAGGGACGTTTCAAAGTCCATTGGGGCCTACAGTGAAAAACCTAATACCCAGCGATAAAAACTAGAAAAAAGCTATCTGTGAAAATGCTTTGTGATGTGTTCACTCATTTCACAGAGTTTAACATTTGCTTTGATTCAGCAGGTTGGAAACACTCTTTTGTAGAATCTACGAAGAAACATTTCATAGCCCATATAGGCCTATTCTGAAAAACCAAATATACTGTGATAAAAACTAGAAACTACCTATCTGCAAAAATTTGTTGCAATATATGAATTCGTCTCAAAGGGTTAAACCTCCATTTTGATTCGACACATTGAAAATACTCTTTTCTAGATCCTATGAAGTGACATTTCAGAGCCCATTGAGGCCTATAGTGAAAAATCTAATATCCCACCATAAAAACTAGAAAACAGCTAATTGAGAAAATCCTTTGCAATGTGTGAATTCATCTCACAGAGTTAAACCTTTATTTTGATTCAGCAAGTTGGAAACCCTCGTTTTCTAGAATCTATGAAGGGACATTTCAAAGCCCACTGAGGCCTACAGTGAAAAACCAAATATCCCACAATAAAAACTAGAAAAAACTCTTTGAGAAAATCCTTTGCGATGCGGGGATTCATCCCACAGAGTTAAACTTTTGTTTTGATTGATCAGGTTGAAAATGTTCTATCAGTAAAATCTATGAAGGGCAGGTTGAAAACACTCTTTTTGAAGAATCTACAAAGGGACATTTTGGAACCCATTGAGGCCTGTAGTGAAAAAATGAACTTTCTGTGGTAAAGACTAGAAGCAAGTATTGCGGGATGTGGCCAGCAGCCTGCAATGCAACAGGGCTCTCTCTTTGTTCCCAGGTGGATTGGCAGGTGGAGAAATAATAGACACACAAAAGATAGAGAAAGCTGGATCCAGGGGGGTCACTGCCTTCTGGTCCCATGATGCCAACAATGCACTGGATATACCAGCACTTATTATTAAGTTTAGTGAGGGTGGTGATAGGTTAGTGAGGGATTTAGGGTCATTTGATTATGAGGTGAGATGGTCACATGGGGATGAAGTAATTCTTTAACATAACATCTGTGTGCAGAAATACAGTATACAGAGATAAGAATTTATAATATAGTGTGTGCATCAGTAATTTCTAACAGAGCCTTAAAACAGAAACACAGTCTTTCCATAACCTATGATTAGCAAGATATTAATCAGCAGTAACAGTTGCAGCAAAAGCTGGTTACAAATAATCTGTAGAAACAGGAAGTGAAGCTAGACAACCTGTTAGACCAGAAATTCTCAGAAGGAAGTATGCCTTAACCTTAAAGAGGCCTAGAAAAGCCATGGCAAGAAAAGGGCGTTTATAGCTCTATCTTATCCATATGGACAGGTGCCCCCCAAGCGTCTGTTTATAGGCTCTCCACAAGGGTCACATTCCATTCCCAGAGCTATGAACATCTGCTTTTCTGGGATAGGAATCTTGGTGATGTGAAACCTCCCTGACTGCACATCCATTCATAGGCTCTCTGCAGGAGGAAGCACATCATGCGTTGTTGGCTCATTCTGGCAGTCCAACCTGGCATTGTCTTTCTACAATCCTGCATGCAATTTTGCATTTACAATAATCAGGAGCATTTCATCTTTTATTCCATAGCAATAGTTTCAGGGGGTCTCCCTACAAGCAAGTATCTGTGAAAATGCTTCGTGATGTGTACAGTCATCTCACATATTTAAACCTTAGTTTTAATTTAACCTTTGGAATCACTCTTACTGTAGAATCTACAAAGGGATATGTCAAATCCCATTTATTCCTATGGAGAAAAATTGAATATCCCATGATAAAAACTAGAAACAAGCTATCTGTGAAACTGCTTTGCGATGTATGGATTCATCTCACAGAGTTAAAACTTTGTTTTGATTCTGCAGTTTGGAAACACTCTTTTTGTAGAAACTGCAAAGGGACATTTCAGAGCCCACTGAGGCCTACAGTGGAAAACAAAATATCCTATGATAAAAACTAGAAACAAGCTATCTGTGACAATGTTTTTTGATTTTTGCATTCATCTCACAGAGTTAAACTTTGTTTTGATTCAGCAATTTGGAAACACTCTTTTTCTAGAATCTACAAAGGGACATTTTGGAGCCAACTGAGGCCTGTAGTGAAAAACCAAAAGTCCAGAGACAAAAAGGAGACACAAATTATCTGTGAAAATGCTTTGCAATGTGCAGATTCATCTCACAGAGTTAAACCTTTGTTTTCAATCAGCAGGTTGAAAATACTCTTTTTGTAGAATCTAAGAAGTCACATTTGAGAGCCAAGTGAGGCCTATAGTAAATGAACACATATCCCATGATAAAAAGTAGAAACAAGATACATGTGAAAATGCTTTATAATGTGTGGATTCATCTCACAGAATCAACCCTTTGCTTTGATTAAGCAGATTTGAAGCACTGTTATTGTGGAATCTACAAAGCCATATTTTGAAGCCCATTGTAGCCTATAGTCAAAAACTGATTATTCTGTGAGAAAAACTAGAAACAAGCTATCTGTAAAAATGCTTTGCAATGTGTGGATTCATCTCACAGAGTTGAACCTTTATTTTTTATTTTATTTTATTATTATTATATTTTAAGTTTTAGGGTACATGTACACAATGTTCAGGTTAGTTACATATGTATACATGTGCCATGCTGGTATGCTGCACCCATTAACTCGTCATTTAGCATTAGGTATATCTCCTAATGCTACCCCCTCCCCCCTCCCCCCACCCCACAACAGTCCCCAGAGTGTGATATTCCCCTTCCTGTGTCCATGTGTTCTCATTGTTCAGTACCCACATATGAGTGAGAATATGCGGTGTTTGGTTTTTTGTTCTTGTGACAGTTTACTGAGAATGATGATTTCCAATTTCAGCCATGTCCCTACAAAGGACATGAACTCATCATTTTTTATGGCTACATAGTATTCCATGATGTATATGTGCTACATTTTCTTAATCCAGTCTATCATTGTTGGATATTTGGGTTGGTTCCGAGTCTTTGCTATTGTGAATAGAGCCACAATAAACATATGTGTGTGTGTGACTTTGTAGCAGCATGATTTATAGTCCTTCGGGTATATACCCAGTAATGGGATGGCTGGGTCAAATGGCATTTGTAGTTCTAGATCCCTGAAGAATCGCCACACTGACTTCCACAATGGTTGAACTAGTTTACAGTCCCACCAACAGTGTAAAAGTGTTCCTATTTCTCCACATCCTCTCCAGCACCTGTTGTTTCCTGACTTTTTAATGATGGCCATTCTAACTGGTGTGAGATGGTATCTCATTGTGGTTTTGATTTGCATTTCTCTGATGGCCAGTGATGGTGAGCATTTTTTCATGTGTTTTTTGGCTGCATAAATGTCTTCTTTTGAGAAGTGTCTGTTCATGTCCTTCACCCACTTTTTGATGGGGTTGTTTGTTTTTTTCTTGTAAATTTGTTTGAGTTCTTTGTAGATTCTGGATATCAGCCCTTTGTCAGATGAGTAGGTTGCAAAAATTTTCTTCCCTTCTGTAGGTTGCCTGTTCACTCTGATGGTGGTTTCTTTTGCTGTGCAGAAGCTCTTTAGTTTAATTAGATCCCATTTGTCAATTTTGGCTTTTGTTGCCATTGCTTTTGGTGTTTTAGACATGAAGTCCTTGCCCATGCCTATGTCCTGAATGGTGATGCCTAGGTTTTCTTCTAGGGTTTTTATAGTTTTACATCTAACATTTAAGTCTTTAATCCATCTTGAATTAATTTTTAAATAAGGTGTAAAGAATGGATCCAGTTTCAGCTTTCTACATATGGCTAGGCAGTTTTCCCAGCACCATTCATTAAATATGGAATCCTTTCCCCATTGCTTGTTTTTCTCAGGTTTGTCAAAGATCAGATAGTTGTAGATATGCGGCATAATTTCTGAGGGCTCTGTTCTGTTCCACTGATCTATATCTCCGTTTTGGTACCAGTACCATGCTGTTTTTGGTTACTGTAGCCTTGTAGTATAGTTTGAAGTCAGGTAGCATGATGCCTCCAGCTTTGTTCTTTTGGCTTAGGATTGACATGGCAATGTGGGCTCTTTTTTGGCTCCATATGAACTTTAAAGTAGTTTTTTCCAATTATGTGAAGAAAGTCATTGGTAGCTTGATGGGGATGGCATTGAATCTGTAAATTACTTTGGGCAGTATGGCCATTTTCACGATATTGATTCTTCCTACCCATGAGCATGGAATGTTCTTCCATTTCTTTGTATCCTCTTTTATTTCCTTGAGGAGTGGTTTGTAGTTCTCCTTGAAGAGGTCCTTCACGTCCCTTGTAATTTGGATTCCTAGGTATTTCATTCTCTTTGAAGCAATTGTGAATGGGAGTTCACTCATGATTTGGCTCTCTGTTTGTCTGTTATTGGTGTATAAGAATGCTTGTGATTTTTGTACATTGATTTTGTATCCTCAGACTTTGCTGAAGTTGCTTATCAGCTTAAGGAGATTTTGGGCTGAGACAATGGGGTTTTCTAGATATACAATCATGTCGTCTGCACAAGGGGACAATTTGACTTCCTCTTTTCCTAATTGAATACCCTTTATTTCCTTCCCCTGCCTGATTGCCCTGGCCAGAATTTCCAACACTATGTTGAATAGGAGTGGTGAGAGAGGGCATCCCTGTCTTGTGCCAGTTTTCAAAGGGAATGCTTCCAGTTTTTGCCCATTCAGTATGATATTGGCCGTGGGTTTGTCATAGATAGCTCTTATTGTTTTGAGACACGTTCCATCAATACCTAATTTATTGAGAGTTTTTAGCATGAAGGGTTGTTGAATTTTGTCAAAGGCCTTTTCTGCATCTATTGAGATAATCATGTGGTTTTTGTCTTTGGTTCTGTTTATATGCTGGATTACATTTATTGATTTGCATATATTGAACCAGCCTTACATCCCAGGGATGAAGCCCACTCGATCATGGTGGATAAGCTTTTTGATGTGCTGCTGGATTCGGTTTGCCAGTATTTTATTGAGGATTTTTTCATCAATGTTCATCAAGGATATTGGTCTAAATTCTCTTTTTTGGTTGTGTCTCTGCCTGGCTTTGGCATCAGGATGATGCTGGCCTCATAAAATGAGTTAGGGAGGATTCCCTCTTTTTCTATTGATTGGAATAGTTTCAGAAGGAATGGTACCAGTTCCTCCTTGTACCTCTGGTAGAATTCGGCTGTGAAACCATCTGGTCCTGGACTCTTTTGGTTGGTAAGCTATTGATTATTGCCACAATTTCAGATCCTGTTATTGGTCTATTCAGAGATTCAACTTCTTCCTGGTTTAGTCTTGGGAGAGTGTATGTGTCGAGGAATTTATCCATTTCTTCTAGATTTTCTAGTTTATTTGCACAGAGATGTTTGTAGTATTCTCTGATGGTAGTTTGTATTTCTGTGGGATCGGTAGTGATATCCCCTTTATCATTTTTTTGTGTCTATTTGATTCTGCTCTCTTTTTGTCATTAGTCTTGCTAGTGGTCTATCAATTTTGTTGATCTTTTCAAAAAACCAGTTCCTGGATTCATTAATTTTTTGAAGGGTTTTTTGTGTCTGTATTTCCTTCAGTTATGCTCTGATTTTAGTTATTTCTTGCCTTCTGCTAGCTTTTGAATGTGTTTGTTCTTGCTTTTCTAGTTCCTTTAATTGTGATGTTAGGCTTGTGTCTTTGTTCTCGTTGGTTTCAAAGAACATCTTTATTTCTGCCTTCATTTCGTTATGTACCCAGTAGTCATTCAGGAGCAGGTTGTTCAGTTTCAATGTAGTTGAGCGGTTTTGAGTCAGTTTCTTAATCCTGAATTCTAGTTTGATTGCACTGTGGTCTGAGAGACAGTTTGTTAGAATTTCTGTTCTTTACATTTGCTGAGGAGAGCTTTACTTCCAAGTATGTGGTCAATTTTGGAATAGGTGTGGTGTGGTGCTGAAAAAAATGTATATTCTGTTGATTTGGGGTGGAGAGCTCTGTAGATGTCTATTAGGTCTGCTTGGTGCAGAGCTGAGTTCAATTCCTGGGTATCCTTGTTAACTTTCTGTGTCATTGATCTGTCTAATGTTGACAGTGGGGTGTTAAATTCTCCCATTATTATTATGTGGGAGTCTTAAGTCTCTTTGTAGGTCACTCAGGACTTGCTTTATGAATCTGGGTGCTCCTGTATTGGGTTCATGTATATCTAGGATAGTTAGCTCTTCTTGTTGAATTGATCCCTTTACCATTATGTAATGGCCTTCTTTGTCTCTTTTGATCTTTGTTGGATTAAAGTCTGTTTTATCAGAGACTAGGATTGCAACCCCTGCCTTTTTTTGCTTTCCATTTGCTTGGTAGATCTTCCTCCATCCTTTTATTTTGAGCCTATGTGTGTCTCTGCACGTGAGATGGGTTTCCTGAATACAGCACACTGATGGGTCTTGACTCTTTATCCAATTTGCCAGTCTGTGTCTTTTAATTGGAGCATTTAGCCCATTTACATTTAAAGTTAATATTGTTATGTGTGAATTTGATCCTGTCATTAAGATGTTAGCTGGTTATTTTGCTCGTTAGTTGATGCAGTTTCTTCCTAGCCTTGATGGTCTTTACATTTTGGCATGATTTTGCAGTGGCTGGTACTGGTTGTTCCTTTCCATGTTTAGTGCTTCCTTCAGGAGCTCTTTTAGGGCAGGCCTGGTGGTGACAAAGTCTCTCAGCATTTGCTTGTCTGTAAAGTATTTTATTTCTCCTTTACTTATGAAGCTTAGTTTGGCTGGATATGAAATTCTGGGTTGAAAATTCTTTTCTTTAAGAATGTTGAATATTGGCCCCCACTCTCTTCTGGCTTGTAGAGTTTCTGCCGAGAGATCTGCTGTTAGTCTGATGGGCTTCCCTTTGTGGGTAACCCGACCTTTCTCTCTGGCTTCCCTTAACATTTTTTCTTTCATTTCAACCTTGGTGAATCTGACAATTATGTGTCTTGGAGTTGCTCTTCTTGAGGAGTATCTTTGTGGCGTTCTCTGTATTTCCTGAATCTGAATGTTGGCCTGCCTTGCTAGACTGGGGAAGTTCTCCTGGATAATATCTTGCAGAGTGTTTTCCAACTTGGTTCCATTCTCCCTGTCACTTTCAGTACACCAATCAGACGTACATTTGGTCTTTTCACATAGTCCCATATTTCTTGGAGGCTTTGTTCATTTCTTTTTATTCTTTTTTCTCTAAACTTCCCTTCTCACTTCATTTCATTCATTTCATCTTCCATCACTGATACCCTTTCTTCCAGTTGATCGCATCGGCTCCTGAGGCTTCTGCATTCTTCACGTAGTTCTTGAAACTTGGCTTTCAGCTCCATCAGCTCCTTTAAGCACTTCTCTGTATTGGTTATTCTCGTTATACATTCATCTAAATTTTTTTCAAAGTTTTTAACTTCTTTGCCTTTGGTTTGAATTTCCTCCTGTAGCTCGGAGTAGTTTGATCATCTGAAGCCTTCTTCTCTCAACTCGTCAAAGTCATTCTCCATCCAGCTTTGTTCCATTGCAGGTGAGGAACTGCGTTCCTTTGGAGGAGGAGAGGCGCTCTGCTTTTTAGAGTTTCCAGTTTTTCTGCTCTGTTTTTTCCCCATCTTTGTGGTTTTATCTACTTTTGGTCTTTGATGATGGTGATGTACAGATGGGTTTTTGGTGTGGATGTCCCTTCTGTTTGTTAGTTTTCCTTCTAACAGACAGGACCCTCAGCTGCAGGTCTGTTGGAGTTTGCTAGAGGTCCACTCCAGACCCTGTTTGCCTGGGTATCCACAGCGGTGGCTGCAGAACAGCGGATTTTCGTGAACCGCGAATGCTGCTGTCTGATCGTTCCTCTGCAAGTTTTGTCTCAGAGGAGTACCTGGCTGTGTGAGGTGTCAGTCTGCCCCTACTGGGGGGTGCCTCCCAGTTAGGCTGCTCAGGGGTCAGGGGTCAGGGACCCACTTGAGGAGGCAGTCTGCCCATTCTCAGATCTCCAACTGCGTGCTGGGAGAACCACTGCTCTCTTCAAAGCTGTCAGACAGGGACATTTAAGTCTGCAGAGGTTACTGCTGTCTTTTTGTTTGTCTGTGCCCTGCCCCCAGAGGTGGAGCCTACAGAGGCAGGCAGGCCTCCTTGAGCTGTGGTGGGCTCCACCCAGTTCAAGCTTCCCAGCTGCTTTGTTTACCTAAGCAAGCCTGGGCAATGGCGGATGCCCCTCCCCGAGCCTCGCTGCCACCTTGCAGTTTGACCTCAGACTGCTGTGCTAGCAATCAGCAAGACTCCGTGGGCGTAGGACCCTCCGAGCCATGTGTGGGATATAATCTCCTGGTGCATCGTTTTTTAAGCCCGTCAGAAAAGCGCAGTATTCGGGTGGGAGTGACCCGATTTTCCAGGTGCCGTCTGTCACCCCTTTCTTTGACTAGGAAAGGGAACTCTCTGATCCCTTGTGCTTCCTGAGTGAGGCAATGCCTCGCTCTGCCTCGGGTCATGCACGGTGCACTGCACCCACTGTCGTGCACCCACTGTCTGGCACTCCCTAGTGATATGAACCTGGTACCTCAGATGGAAATGGAGAAATCACCGTCTTCTGCATCGCTCACGCTGGGAGCTGTAGACTGGAGCCGTTCCTATTCAGCCATCTTGGCTGCCTACCTGAACCTTTATTTTGATTCAGTAGGTTGGAAAAACTCTTTTTGTAGAACCTTTGAAGGAACATTTCAGAGCCCATTGAGGCCTATATTTAAAAACTGAATATCCCACAATGAAAACCAGAAACAACCTATCTGTAAAAGTGTTTTGCAGTGAGTGGGATGATCTCTCACAATTAAAACTTCCTTGTGATTCGGCAGGCTGGAAACACTTTTTGTAGAATCTATGTAGTGATCTTTTGAAGCCTAAAGAGGCCTCTAATGAAAAACAGAGTATCCTGCAATAACAACTAGAAATAATCTATCTATGAAAATGCTTTACAATGTATGGATTCATCTCAGAGTTAAACCTCTGATTTTATAGAGCAAATTGGAAACTTTTTTTTGAGAAATCTACAATAGGACATTTAGGAGCCCATTGAGCCCTCTAGTGAATAACCAAATATCCCACAATAAAAACTAGAAACAAGCTATCTGTTAAAATGTTTGTGATATGTGGATTTCTCTCACAGAGTTAAACCTATATTTATATACAGCAGGTTGGAAATGCTCTTTTAGTAGAATCTCATAGACATTTCTGAGATCTTTGTGGCCTATAGTAAAAAAACGAATATTCCCCTATAAAAACTAGGAGCAAACAATCTGTGAAAATGCTTTGCAATGTGTGGATTCATCTCACAGAGTAGAACCTTGTCTTAATATAGCAGGTTGGCAACACTCTTTTTGTAGAATCTACAAAGGGAAATTTTGGAGCCCATTCAGGCTTATAGTGAAAAACTGAGTATCACATAATAAAAACTAGAAAAAACTATCTGTGAAAATGTTTTGAGATGTGTGAATTCATCTCACAGAGGTAAACCTCTGTTTATATTCAGCAGGTTGAAAACTCTCATTTTATAGAACCTAAGGAGGGACATTTCAGAGCCTTTTGAGGCCTATAGTGAAAAACCAAACATCCCACAATAAAAACTAGAAGCCAGCTATATCTAAAAATGCTTTGCAGTATGTAGATTCATCTCACAGAGTTAAACCTTTATTTTTATACAGCATATTGTGAACACTCCTTTAGTAGAATCTGAGAGGGGACAATTCTGTGCCCACTGAGGCCTATAGTGAAAAACAGAATATCCCCCAATAAAAACTTGAAACAAGCTATCTGTGAAAATGCTTTGTGATGTGTGGATTCAGCTTAAAGAGTTAAACTTTTGCTTTGGTTCCACAAATTAGAAACATTCTTTTTGTAGAATCTATGTAGGGCATTTCTGAGCCCAGTGAGGCCTATAGTGAAAAACCGAATATGCCAATATAAAAATTAGAAAAAAATTTTTGTGAAAATTCTCTGTGATATGTGGATTCATCTCACAATGTTAAACCTTTGTTTTGATTCAGCAGGTTGAAAAATCTGTTTTTGTGCAATCTTTGAGGAGACATTTTAAAGCCCATTGAGGCTTATAGTAAAAACCGAATATCCCATGACAAAAATTATATGAAGCTATCTCTGAAAATGCTTTGCAATGCGTGATTTCATCTCACAGAGTTAAACCTTTCTTTCAATTCAGCAGGTTGGAAACACTTCTTTTATAGAATCTATGAAGGGACATTTCAGAGCCCATTGAGGCTTATAGTGAAAAACAGAATAGCCCAAGATAAAAACTAGAAGCAACCTATCTGTGAAAATGCTTTGTGATGTGTGAATTGATCTCACAGAGTTAAACCTTTGTTTTGATTCAGCAGGTTGGAAACACTTCTTTTGTAGAATCAATAAAGGAACATTTCTAAGCCCATTGAGGCCTTTAGGGAAAAACCAATATCTCTGATTTTCAAGACACAGATTTTCAGAGATAGATTTTCAAGCTATCTCTGAAAATCTTTGCAATGTGTGGATTTATATCACAGAGTTAAACCTATGTTTATATGCAGCAGGTTGGAAGTATCTAAAAGAAGATATTTCTGAGCCCTTTGAGGCCTATAGTGAAAAACATAATATCCCCCAATAAAAACTGAAAACAAACTATCTGTAAAAACGCTTCACAATGTGTGGATTAATCTCACAGAACCCTTGCTTTGATTCAGCAGGTTGTAAACAATCTTTTTGTAGAATTTATGAAGGGACATTTCGGAGCCCATGGAGGCCTACAGTAAAAAACTGAATATCACATGATAAAAACTAGAAACGAGCTATCTGTGAAAATGCTTTGTGATGTGTGGTTTCATCTCAAAAACTTAAACCTTTGCATTTATTCAGCAGGTTGGGTACAGTTTTTTTGTAGAATATACAAAGGGACATTTCACACCCATTGACACCTATAGTAAAAAATCAATGTTTTGTGATAAAAACAATGAAAAACCAACTTCTGAAAATGCTTTGCAATGTGTGGATTCATCTCACATATTTAAACTTTTGTTTTGATTCAGCAGGTTGGAAACACTGTCTTTGTAGAATCTATGAAGTGACATTTCAGAGCCCATTGAAGCCAATAGTGAAAAACCGAATATTTTGCAATAAAAACTAAAAATAACTATTCTGTGAAAATGCTTTGCGATGTGTGGATTCACCTCACAGAGATAAACCTTTGTTTTGATTCAGCAGGTTGAAAAGATGTTTTTATACAATCTAAGAAAAGACATTTTGAAGCCCATTGAAGCCTATAGTGAAAACCCAAATACCCCGTGATAAAAACTACGAACAGCTTTTTGTGCAAATGCTTTGAGTTGTGTGGATTCACCTCACAGAGATAAACCTTTGTTTTGATTCAGCAGGTTGGAAAGACGTTTTTGTACAATCTAAGAAAAGACATTTTGAAGCCCATTGAAGCCTATAGTGAAAAATCAAATATCCCGTGATAAAAACTACAAACAGCTATTTGTGAAAATGCTTTGTGTTGTGTGGATTCATCTCACAGATTTAAAACTTTGTTTTAATTCAGCAGTTTGGAAACAGTCTTTTTGTACAATCTACAAAATAATGTGTTGGATCCCTTTGAGGCCTATAGTGAGAAACCAAATATCCCCTGATAAAAAAAATAGAAGCAAGTTCTCTGTGAAAATGCTTTACAATGTATGGATTCCTCTTACATAGTTAAAACTTTCTTCTGATTCAGCAGGTTGTAAATACTTCTTTTGTAAAATCTACGAAGCAGCATTTCAGAGCCCATTGAGGCTTATAGTGAAAAACAGAATATCCCATGATAAAAACTAGAAACAACCTAACTGTGAAAATACTTTGCGATGTTTGAATTGATCTGACAGAGTTAAACCTTTGTTTTGATTCAGCAGGTTGGAAACACTTTTTGTAGAATCAACAAAGGAACAATTCAGAGCCCATTGAGGTCTACAGTGAGGAACAAATATCACTTGATAAAAACTAGAAACAAGCTATCTGTGAACTAGCTTTGCAATGTGTGAGTTTATCTCACAGAGTTAAAACATTTTTTTTTTGATTCAGCAGGTTGGAGACACACTATTTGTATAATCTACAAGGGGACATTTCAGAGCCCATTGAGGCCTATAGTGAAAAACTGAATATCTTGCAATAAAAACTAGAAACAAGCTATCTCTGAAAACCTTTGTGATTTGTGGATTTTTCTCACAGAGTTAAACCTATGTTTATATACAGCAGATTGGAAACCTTCTTTTAGTAGAATCTAAAAGAAGACAATTTCTGAGCCTTTTGAGGCCTATAGTGAAAAATTGTATATCCTGGGATAAAACTACAAACAATCTATCTCTAAAAATGATTTGTGACACGTGGATTCATCTCAAAGAGTTAAATGTTTGCTTTGATTCAACAGGTTGGAAAGACTCTCTTTGTAGAATCTGCAAAGGGACATTTTGGAACCCATTGGGGCTTATAGGGAAAAGCTGAATATCCTGTGATAAAAACTAGAAACAAACTATCTGTGAAAATGCTTTGCAATGTTGGATTCATCTCACAGAGTTAAACCTTTGTTTTCATACAGCAGGTTGGAAACAATTTTTTAGTAGAATCTAAGAGGGGACATTTTTGAGCCCATTCGGTCCTATAGTGAAAAAGTGAATATCCTACAATTAAAACTAAAAACAACCATCTGTAAAAATGTTTTGCAATGTGCGGATTCATCTCAAAGTGTTAAACTTTTATTTTGATTCAGCAGGTTGGAAACACTCTTTTTGTAGAATCTACGAAGCAACATTTTGGAGCCCATTGAAGCCTATAGTGAAAAACCGAATATCCCACGATAAAAACTAGAAGCAAGCTATCTGTGAAAATGCGTTGCAGTGCGTGGATTTATCTCACAGAGTTAAACCTTAGTTTTGATTCAGCAGGTTGGATACACTCTTTTTGTGCAATCTACAAGGGGACATTTTGGAGCCTAATGAGGCCTATAGTGAAAAACCAAATGTCACACGATAAAAACTACAAAGAAGCTATGTCTAAAAATGCTTTGTGATGTGTGATTTTGTCTCACAGAGTTTAACCTTTCTTGTGATTCAGTGGGTTGGAAACGCTCTCTTTCTACAATCTATTGGGATACATTTCAGAGCAAACTGTGGCCTATACTGAAAAACCAATTATCCCATGACAAAAACTAGGCAAAAGCTATCGGTGAAAATGCTTTGTGATGTGTGGATTTATCTCATAAATTTAAATCTTTGTATTTATTCAGCAGGTTTGGAACACTTTTTTGTAGACTATACGAAGGGACATTTCACACTTATGGAATCCTATAGTAAAAAAGCAAATATTTCATGATAAAAACAATAAAAATTTATCTCTGAAAATGCTTTGCAATGTGTGGATTCATCTCAAAGAGTTAAACCATTGCTTTGATTCAGCAGGTTAGAAACACTCTCTTTGTAGAATCTACAAAGGGATATTTCGGAGCTTATTGAGGCCAACAGTGCAAAACCGAATATCTCGCAATGAAAACTAGAAACAAACTATCTGTTAAAATGCTCTGTGATGTGTGGATTCATCTCACAGAGTTAAACCTTTGTTCCCATTCAGCAGGTTGGAAACTATCTTTTGTAGAATCTATGAAGGGTCATTTCAAAGCCCATTGAGGCCTATAGTGAAAAGAGATACCTCATGATAAAAACTAGAAACAAGCTATCAGTGAAAATGCTTTGCAATGTGTGAATTCATCTCATAGAGTTAAACCTTCATTTTAATTCAGCAGGTTGGAAACACCTTTTTTGTAGAATCTAGGAAGGGATATTTTGGAGCCATTTGACACCTATAGTGAAAACCGAATATCCCCTGATAAAAACTAGAAGCAAGGTATTTGTGAAAATGCTCTGTGATATGTGGATTCATCCCACAGAGTCAAACCTTTGTTTTGACTCAACAAGCCAGAAGCACTTTCTTTGTAGAATCTACAAAGAGACATTTCAGAGCCCATCGAGACCTATGGTGAATAGCTGAATATTCCCTGATAAAAACTAGAATTAAGCTATCTGTGAAAATGCTTTGCAATGTGTGGATCACCTCTCAGAGTTAAACCTTTGTTTTGATTCAGCAGATTGGAAACACTCTTTTTGAAGAATCAACAAAGGGACATTTTCAGCCCATGTGCAGGTATATTGATAAACCAAATATCCCACAACAGAAACTAGCAACTATTAGTGAAAATGCTTTGCAATATGTGAATTCATCTCACAGATTTAAATATTTATTTTCATTCAGAAGGTTGGGAACACTCGTTTTGTAGAATCTACAAAAAAGACATTTCAAAGCCCATTGTGGCTTACAGTGAAAAACCAAGCATTTCACAATAAAAACTAAAAACAATCTATCTGTGAACATAATTTGCAATGTGTGGATTCACCTCACAGAATTAAACCTTTGTTTTGATTCAACAGGTTGGAAACACTTTTTTCGTAGAAGCTATGGAGGGACATTTTGGAGCTTATTGAGGACTATAGTGAAAAAATGAATACTTTGTAATGAAAACAAAAAACAATCTATATGTGAAAGTGCTTTGTGATGTGTGTATTGATCTCACAGACTTAAACCTTTGTTTTGTTTCAGAAGGCTAGAAACACTTTTTTTGTAGGATATACAAAGGGACATTTCAAATGCCATAGACAAGTATAGTGAAACACTGAATATCCTGCAATAAAAACTATAAACAAGCTATCTGTGAAAATGCTTTGCAATGTGTGGATTCATCTCCCAGAGTTAAACCTTTGTTTTGATTCAGCAAGTTGGAGACAGTCTTATTCTAAGGGACGTTAAGGAGCCCATTAAGGGAAATTTCAAAGCCCATTGAGAACTATAGTAAAAGAAGAATATTCCGCAATAAAAACTAGAAAAATCTATCTGTGAAAATGCTTGGTGATGTGTGAATTCATCTCACAGAGTTAAACCTTTGTTTTGATTCAGCAGGCCAAAATCACTTTTTTTGTAGAATCTACGAAGGGACATTTCAGAGCCCATTAAGGCCTGTAGTAAAAAAAAAAAACTGATTATCTTGCGATAAAAACTAGAAACAAGCTATCTGTGAAAATGCTTTAGGATGGGTCATTTCGAGTCACAGAGTTAAATCTTTGTTTTGATTCAGCAGGTTGAAAACACACTTTTGTAGAAACTATGAGGGGATATTTCAGAGCATATTGAAGTCTATAGTGAATAATGAAATATCCCACGATAAAAACTAGAAACAAGCTATCTGGGAAAATGCTTTGCAATGGATGAATCTCACAGACTTAAACCTCTGTTTTGATCGAGCAGGTTGGAAACATTCTTGTGGCACAATCTATGGAGGGACATTTCAGAGCTCATTGAGGCCTATATTTGTAAAACAAAATATCCTGCTATAAAAACTGGAAACAAGCTATCTGTGAAAATGCTTGGTGATGTGTGGATTCAACTCACAGAGTTAAACCTTGGTTTTGATTCAGCAGGATGGAAACACTTTTTTTGTAAAATCTACAAAGGGGAGGTTGGAAACACTCTTTTTATGAAATCTACGAAGATACATTTTGGAGCCCATTGAGGCCTATAGTGAAAAACTGAGTATCCCACAATTAAAACTAGAAAGAAGCTATCCGTGAACTGCCTGGTGATGTGAGGATTCATTTGACAGAGTTAAATCTTTGTTTTAATTCAGCAGATTGGAAACACTCTTTTGTAGAATCTGCGAAGGGACATTTCGGAGCCCATTGAGGCCTATGGTGGAAAACCAAATATCCCATGATAAAAACTAGAAACAAGTTATATGTGAAAATGTTTTGTGATGTTTGGATTCATCTCAGAATTAAACCTTTGTTTGGTTTCAGCTTGTTGGAAATACTCTTTTGGTAGAATCTTCAAAGAGACATTTTAGAGCCCATTGAGGCCTACAGTGGAAAACCGAATATCCCACAATAAAAACTAGAAACAAGCTATCAGTGAAAATGCTTTGTGATGTGTTTATTCATTTTACAGAGTTAAACCTTTGTTTTGATTCAGCAGGTTAAAAAACACTCTTTCATAGAATCTATGAAGCAATATTTCTAAGCCATTGAGGTCTATACTGAAAAACTGAATATCTCACGATAAAAAGTAGAAACTAGCTATTGGTGAAAATGCTTTCTGATGTGAGGATTCATCTCACAGAGTTAAACCTTGGTATTGATTCAGCAGGCTGGAAACATCCTTTTTGTAAAATCTACAAAGGGATATTTTGGAGACCATTGAGGCCTATAGTGAAAGACCAAATATCCTGTGATTAAAACTAGAAACAAGCTATCCATGAAAATGCTTTGCAATGTTTGGATTTATTTTACAGGGTTAAACCTTTATTTGGTTCAGTAGGTTGGAAACACTCTTTTTGTAGAATCTATGAGGGGACATTTTAGAGCCCATTGAGGCCTACAGTAAAAAACCCAACATCCCACTATAAAAACTAGAAACAACTATCTGTGCACATACTTTGTGATGTGTGGATTCATCTCACAGAGTTAAACCTTTGTTTTGATTCAGCAGATAGGAAACGCTCTTCTTGTAGAATCTAAGAAGGGACACTTCAGAGCCTATTTAGGCCTATAGTGAATAACCACATATCCCGTGATAAAAACTAGAAACAATCTATCTGTGAAAATGCTTTGCTAAGTGTGGATTCATCTCACAGATTTAAACCTTTATTTTAATTAAGAAGGTTGAAAACACTCTTTTAGTAAAATCTACGAAAGGCAGGTTGGAAGCACTCTATTTTTAGAATCTACAAAGGGACTTTTTGGAGCCCATTGAGGCCTATAGTGAAAAAACCTATATCCCAAGATAAAAACTAGAAACAAGCTATCAGTGAAAATGCTTTGCCATGTGTTCATTCATTTCACAGAGTCAAACCGTTGTTTTGATTCAGCAGGTTGGTAATGTGGGCAGCAAGCCACCCAGGCACCGAGGCAAGAGACAGAGGACACAAGCTGTTCCAGCATAATAAAATATAAAACAAGAATAGTTATACCAGATATAGATCTTAGATATGATTATATATGAATATCATTAATCATTGGTTTGTAGTAATTACTTTTTATTCCAATATTATGATAATCCTCACTCTATAACATAGCCTAGGAAAAACCAGGCCATACAGAGATAGGAGCTGAGGGGACATAGTGAGGTGTGACCAGAAGACAAGAGTGCGAGCCTTCTGTTATGCCCGGACAAGGCCACCAGAGGGCTCCTTGGTCTAGCGGTGACACCAGCATCTGGGAAGACGCCCATTACCAGGCGGATCATGGTCCAGCGGTAGCAAAAGGCATCAAGGAACAACACCCGCTACTTAGCAGACCGGGAAAGGGTGGGGGGGGGGGGGTCTCCCTTTCCCCAGGGGAGTTTAGAGAAGACTCTGCTCCTCCACCTCTTGTGGAGGGCCTGACATCAGTCAGGCTCGCCCGCAGTTATCCGGAGGCCTAACCATCTCCCTGTGATGCTGTGCTTCAGTGGTCACACTCCTAGTCTGCCTTCATGTTCCATCCTGTACACCTGGCTCTGCCTTCCAGATAGCAGTAGTAAATTAGTGAAAATACTAATAGTCCCTGATATGCAAAATAATGGCGTAAGCTGTCTTTCCTTTTGTCTCCTCTCCCTCTCTGCCTCAGCTGCCAGGCAGGGAAGGGCCCCCTGTCCAGTGGACACGTGACCCACGTGACCTTACCTATCATTGGAGGTGACTCACATTCTTTACCCTGCCCCTTCTGCCTTGTATCCAATAAATAACAGTGCAGCCAGACATTCGGGGCCACTACTGGTCTCCGCACATTGGTGGTAGTGGTCCCCCGGGCCCAGCTGCCTTTTCTCTTGTCTCTTTGTCTTGTGTCTTTATTTCTACACTCTCTCATCGCTGCACACAGGGAGAGACCTACCGACCCTGTGGGGCTGGTCCCCACAGTAAGACTTTTTTATAGAATCTACAATGGGACGTTTCATAGCCCATTGATGCCTATAGTGAAAAACCAAATATCCCGCAATAAAATCTAGAAACTAGATATTTGTGAAAATGCCTTAGGATGTGTGTGCAAACACAGCCATGTTTGCTAAAGGGAATAGCACAAAGATAATCTGACCCAGATGGCCCATATCCATCCTCAGCCTCAGATCCTGGTGAGTCTGAGCCTCTCCCCAGCTCCTGCTACCTCTGATGGGTCTTCAGGACTTGCTTGTCATAGCAGGGCTGATACTCCTGCTGAGTTCCCCCATTTGAGTGAGGACATGTCTGGAGAGAGGAGAGAGCTGGAACAGAGTCTTCCCAGTGATTTCCAGTGACTCAAAGAGGTTTTCCCAAAAGTCTTATAGTAGAAGATAGAGAAAGTGGGGCATTACAGAGAAAGCGGGGCGTTCAGGGCCAGACCTTAGGAGAATCCTCTACCCCAACCCAGTGAAGGCCTAATCTTGTGCTACTTTCCCTTGTAACACTGGGAGAATCAGATTCATCAAGAACTTTCACCTTTCCTCTACTGAATTTCGGTTCCCTTTCCAATGGTTCCAACATGCCCAGTAAAGTGAGTTGTTCCATCTGTACAACCTGGGGTGGTGTGGTGAAGGGGAAAGAGACCAGCTCCTTCTCCCACTTCCCAGTGAGGCCTATGAAGAGGCAACTAGACTCTTTCTACCAAGTGGATGAACTCAGGCCTAGAGTTGGAGTTAGCAGACCACTGTGCAGAAGCCATGGCCCTCAGCAGAGATAGGAACAATGAGAAACAAATGTGTGACTATAGGAACTGCTTCTTTTTTTTTTTTTTTGAGATGGAGTCTTGCTCTTTTGCCCAGGCTGCAGTGCAGTGGCATGATCTTGGCTCACTGCAATCTCCACCACCTGTGATCAAGCAATTCTCATGCCTCAGCCTCCCAAGTATCTGGGATCACATGCACGTGCCACCATGCCTGGCTAATTTTTGTATTTTTAGTAGAGATGGGGTTTCACCATGTTGGCCAGGCTGGTCTCAAACTCCTAGCCTCAAGTGATCCACTGCCTCAGCCTCCCAAAGTGCTGGGATTACATACAGGATGTGTTCTAAGTGGACGACTCAAGGTATACATAAAACCAAGCTTTCTGTTTATACTTGTGTTAGAAGAAGCTGACCTCAGAAGGGCAGGTGAATATTTGGGTGAGAAAAGGCAAAATATGGCTAAGGAGCAGCCAGGAGGCCAGGTTGGCTGGAGTACAGGTTTATTAGAAGAGACAGTCATGGATGGGGCTATTCTGGGCAAAGCCCTGGAGGTCTGGCTGAGAAACTGGAATTCTCTGCCTATAGCCCCAATGTACTAGGTGGTTGTTACCCAAGTACAAAGCTACAGCTATGTCCTTAGCTTGGATTTCAGAAAATAATACATTTTTAAATCATCTGCAAGAGTCTAACACATATGTTTATCTTTGGCCCCAATTATATAATTTCAAAAGCATGAATATTTTTGTACATGTCTGTTTCTTGGTTGCGCACATCAGAAGCCACCTGCAGTTTACCTGAACAGAAAAAGAGTGAGTATATTGGAAGAATGTTGGTGGGTCACAGAATGGGTGGGGAGGCTTGGCCACCAGCCCCAAGAAACAGGCAGGAACCCATGGAGGTGAGTCAGCAGGAAGCCCAGTCAAAGATGTGACACAGGAACATCACCCACAGCCACAGACGCTGCTGTGGATGCTCTCTAACGGCTCCTGTGTCTTGGCATCATCACGCTCCCCATAACCATTATTCCCAGCTGGAGGGGCCCACTGGTAAGCCAGGAGATAGGGACAGGAAACATCTGGCCTTTTCCAGCTCCCACAGGCAGAGGACCTCCCATTAAGACCTTCCAAAAGTGGAATTCCCATGAAATAGGAAGGAGATCTAGGTGTTACATAGCCCCCCAAACAGCAAATGTTCATAATTCGGAAATATTTTTTAAAAGACTAATTTTTCTATTTTTTTTTTAGTTTTAGCTCAAAGACATGGTAGGTTTTTAAAGGATGTATTTAAGAACCAGATTATTCTATTTTTTAAATACAGTATTTTGGAATTGGCAGTATAGGAGAATGGGTTAAATATATGGCCTGGACTCAGATCAGACCTGGGTTTGAAGCCCAGCTCTACCATTTCCTAGCAGTGTGGCCCTGGGCAAGAAAATTAACCTCTCTGAGCCTGTGCTCTTCTAAAATGGGGTCATTATAGTACTTACCTCACACCTTTGAACTTTGAGGTTTAAGTGAGATAATGCATGTGAAGATCCTACCAGTGCTTGGCACCAGGGAAACACTCCATAAATATCAACTATTGTCATTGAGTTACCTGTCCTAAGGCCTGAAAAATCAACATGGTCACATTGGGCCCCATACCTTGGGGTATGTGGGCTTGGCCTGACTTAAGTCCAGGCAGCTAGAGCCACACAAGGGAAGGAGGATGTCCAGATGTCCACTTGGACACATTTCCCCCTCATTCCTTGCTTTTTCCCCTTTTATTGTTTAAGGCCATGGGTTTTGATGTTACAGGTTTGGATTTGAATCCAGACCTGCCAGATGATGTTGGGCACCTCACGTGAGTTATTTAACTTCTCTAACCTTCAGGCTTTTTTCACTGCAAAATGAGAATAATGCTATCTACCATGTGGCAGTGCTGTAAGAAATCAGATAGTTTGTGCAGGGTGCTTAGCACTGTGCCTCATAGGTGAGAAGGGTCCTCATTAGTATATATTCATCCTCGTGGGTTAGGGGAGAAGTAGCACTTCCCAAGAAGGTTATTTTCCTTCTATAATACCACATGTAAATTTATCTCTTTGATGCTTAAGTCATCTGGCAAGGATTGTTCTGGCTTCTACAAAAAAAAAAGGTAAAATCATCTTGACAGTTGGAGGTGACATCTGTGGAAAATGCTAGTGTTCATGTAGCAAAAACCTAGACCAGATCACTGCAAGCATGTCTTGCTTTATGAATCTGGGTGCTCCTGTATTGGGTGCATATATATTTAGGATAGTTAGCACTTCTTGTTGAATTGATCCCTTTACCATTATGTAATGGCCTTCTTTGTCTCTTTTGATCTTTGTTGGATTAAAGTCTGTTTTATCAGAGACTAGGATTGCAACCTCTGCCTTTTTTTGCTTTCCATTTGCTTGGTAGATCTTCCTCCATCCTTTTATTTTGAGCCTATGTGTGTCTCTGCTCGTGAGATGGGTTTCCTGAATACAGCACACTGATGGGTCTTTACTCTTTATCCAGTTTGCCAGTCTGTGTCTTTTAATTGGAGCATTTAGCCCATTTACATTTAAAGTTAATATTGTTATGTGTGAATTTGATCCTGTCATTAAGATGTTAGCTGGTTATTTTGCTCATTAGTTGATGCAGTTTCTTCCTAGCCTTGATGGTCTTTACAATTTGGCATGATTTTGCAGTGGCTGGTACCGGTTGTTCTTTTCCATGTTTAGTGCTTCCTTCAGGAGCTCTTTTAGGGCAGGCCTGACAAAATCTCTCAGCATTTGCTTGTCTGTAAAGTATTTTATTTCTCCTTTACTTATGAAGCTTAGTTTGGCTGGATATGAGATTCTGGGTTGAAAATTCTTTTCTTTAAGAATGTTGAATATTGGTCCCCACTCTCTTCTGGCTTGTAGAGTTTCTGCCGAGAGATCAGCTGTTAGTCTGATAGGCTTCTCTTTGTCTATATGTCTTTCTTAATACACATTTATACAAGTAAATGTTTTTAGAAGATGTGTTCATGGCTGGGTGTGTTGGCTCAAACCTGTAATCCCAGCACTTTGCGAAGCTGAAGCTGGAGTACCACTTGAGCCCAGGAGTTCAACAGCTTGCAACAAAGCAAGACCTCATCTCTATGAAGTCTTTTAAAAATTAGTTGAACATGGTGGTACTCACCTGTAATCCAAGCTACTCAGGATGCTGAGGCAGGAGAGTTGCTTGAGCCCAGGAATTCAAAGCTGAAGTAAGTTACACACCACTGAACTCCAGCCTGGGCAACAAAGCTAGACCCTGACTCAAAAAATATATATATGTGACCGGGTGCGGTGGCTCACACCTGTAATCCCAGCACTTTGGGAGGCCAAGGTGGGCAGATCACGAGGTCAGGAGTTCGAGACCAGCCTGGCCAACATGGTGAAACCCTGTCTCTACCAAAAATACAAAAATTAGCTGGGTGTGGTGGTGGGTGCCTGTAATCCCAGCCCCTTGGGAGGCTGAGGCAGAGAATTGCTTGAACCCGGGAGGCAGAGGTTGCAGTGAGCCAAGATTGTGCCATTGCACTCCAGCTTGGACAACAGGGCAAGACTCCATCTCAAACAAATATATATATATGTAATTATTTTATTATTTATATATGATTTTTATTAAATATATATTTGTTTAAACAAGGTATTTAACAACTATATATGTGTGTATGTATATATGTGTGTATATATATTTTTTATATATTTGTTAAAATACATTTTAAAGCTTATTTATACACCCCAGCAATTTCCACACTACATTTTGAAACATATTGCTCTGTGTGCGAAACAGAAAATGTCTTAGCTCTATGGAAGCCAGTCCAGGTTAGGTGCTGTGTTTACACGAAATACCAGGAGGTCCAGGGATTTGCTGGGCCCTGTTCCCTGTGAGTCTCAATTCAAGAGGATGACACAAGCTTAGAATAAAATTAAAGCATGACTGCAATGCCATTGGTTTTTATTTCTTTGGGTTTTTTTAATTAGAAACAAGAGGTGGGCGGACACTGAATCAGGTGCTCCTATGAAAGTGTCTCCCATTCTGTAATTCATTAGGTTGCACATACTATGGAATGTTTGAACTTATAACTTTTTAAGAACTATCTCTATATCTTTAATGTGTACACCTTACATTGAGAAAGCCAGAGTTAGTCCAGCCTTTGTAAAATGGTGGGGAAATGACTCGTGCCTTGGAATATTAGTTGCACTTGCTTCTCAGCCTGGAGGCTGAAAACGCAGCAGAATCATTGTGGAACACTACACGCCCTGTCTCATCTGACTGCCTCCCACTTTAGAAATGAAGAAAGAGAGTAAAATCATTTAAGTTTTGCCTAGAGTTAAGTTACCTTTTTTTTAAAGCATTCCTCCTTCACCTTTCAGATAAAACAACCCATATAGACTGTACCAGATACAGAGATTTAATGCTTTTTCTGTTCTCTTCAAAGACAAAAATTTTCGGTGGACTTTTCCATTTGGTGCATCTCCTGTGCTTGGCTTGTCACCTTAGCTCTGACACAAAGGTAATATAACCCATGACTGGTGAGACATACCCTCTCCTTTGCAGTCCACATTCAGAAGATCTCATTTCCATTTCCAGTTACACAAGTATGAGTCCCAATGTGGGTAAAAAGTCTTCCAGAAATGAGAAACCCAGATTAGCTAGTCAAGTTGCTCCTTGCAGATGAACTAAAAATAATAATTTGTAAAGCATTAACAGTATACTAGCTGAAAGCACAGACTTTCATTCAGACAGAGCTGAGTTTGAATCCTGGCTTTACCACCATGAGATGTGGGGCGAGTGAATTAACCTCTCTTGTCCTTCAGTGTCTTGACTTACAATCCAAGCATACGAATAGTACCTACCTCATAGGGCTGCTTTGAGGATTAAATGAGATCATGCTTATAAGATATTAAGTGCTAGAAAGCACTGGAAATTGCTAGCCATTATTCTCATATAACTCTCATGATTACCATTACTTACAAATTGCCTGAAATCCATATGGTCACTGTGGCAGATTCCACGAATGGGTCCACACAACATCTGCTTTGACCATTTCTAAAACCTACAGTGTCTGGACTCTTTTGTAGCTAGGGTTCTGACTGTGACCCAGGTTCTGCCCAGCAGATGCCTATGTGCTCCAGGGAGATGAAGGTCATATAAGTGAAGTGGCAGCACATATAGGTGGGTCCATATTTTTGCAGACATGACTGAAAGAGCTTTGAGAGAAGTCTCACTGTCCAGCTCCTAGCATCACAGGTATTGACTGCTGAGCAGCAGTAGTGGGGCTTCTATGAGAACAGTCCTGTTTATGGTTGGGCATTTCTGCTGGGGTTGTTTCTGGCTGTGTGGTATCCTAGCCTGCTTCTCTGGCACTGCTGGAAATCCTGTAAGCTACCTAATACCCTGCTGTAACCCCTTTCTATTGAAACTAGCTAGTGTGAATTATGTTGTCTGCAACTAAGAACACAGTAACTATCAAAACAATCAATACAGTAATTATCAAAATAATTCTTGTTACTATAAGGGTTTTTTTACTAGTCATATTCAGGTTACTAAGGGATAAATAAAAGTACGTATAAAAAACCTTGCTCTTGCCTTCAAAATGCATTTATCCTAAAATATACTACGTGAGTGGAGACCTGTTGTGTTTTTTTTAAAAAAAAAGTTTTATTTTCTTTGGCAGCAGAAAGCCTTTTCTGAGGAACTAGCAGAATAAACTGATTAAAATTGAAGTCTTACAGGAAAGAATCCTCACTTGGGTCCTTATTGAGGATGACAGATGAGCCTACCTGGCATAGTGTTCTCTAGAAATTATAATGGGAGAGTTAAAAGGTGCACCAGAAAGCCAGTTTACGTGTATAAGTATTTGGCTAGGTATGTTGTATATAGTCATTAATGTACTTACTTCTAGGATGGTATCCAGGGATGTGCTCAATTACAATGAGAAGAATGCCTTGAAAGAAGTAATTAACAAGAGCATTGAAATATCTCTCCAGATTTTGACTTAATGAAAAATTACTGTGTGATGAGTACAGCCCTCAGTGAAGCGTGGTTTCAGTTTTGCCAGTTTCTTATCTGCTTTCATTATCATTAATAGTTTTAAAAATATAACATCAAATTCTTTCTCTTTACAAAGACTGCTCTTTTTTTTGAGATGGGCTCTCACTCTGTCTCCCAGGTTGGAGTGCAGTGTTGCAATCTTGGCTCACTGCAACCTCCACCTACCAGGTTCAAGTAATTCTCCCACCTCAGCCTCCTGAGTTGCTGGGACCACAGGCATGCACAACCACACTGGACTAATTTTTTTGTATTTTTAGTAGAGACAGGGTTTTACCATGCTGCCCAAGCTGGTCTTGAACTCCTCCTGGCCTCAAGCAATCTGCCTGCCTTGGCCTCCCAAAGTGCTGGGATTGCAGGTGTCAGCCATCACAGTCAGTCACAAAGACCGCTCTTATGGTGTGTTTTTGAGTAACCGTGGCCCCACTGGCAACTCTCGTCATTTTTATTCAATGCCTAGTTTCCCATTTTCTCCCTTATATACTTCTGGCAAAATATAATGACCTGTTCAAAGCAGATCAGAGAACTTCTCACAATGCTGATAGGCAGAATGGTCAAGTGCTTAAGGTATTGTCTGTCTTCTTCAATAAAAGAACACAAAAAATGCTGGACCTCTGGCTTAGTCTATCAGTTGGCATATTAGTTTCCTGTGGCTGCTGTAACAAAATGCCACAAATTTAGTGGCTTAAAACAACACAAATGTATTCTCTTATAGTTCCAGAGGTCAGAAGTCCAAAATCATTTTCACTGAGATTTAGCTAAGGGTTTGCAGAAATGGCTCATTCTGGAGGCTTCAGAAAATAATACATTTTCTTGCCTTTTTCAGCTTTGCAGGGTGCCTGTAGTCCTTGCCTCACAGCCCCTGCCTCACATCACTCCAACCTCCTGTTTCCGTGGTCACATCTCCTACTAATCACTCTGACCCTCCCTGTCCCCTCTTATAAGGACCCTTGTGATTACATTGGGCCCACGCAGATAATCCACGGTTGTCTCCCCATCTCAAGATCCTTAATTCAAGTCAAATCTTCAAAGTCCCTTTGTCATATAAGGTGATATTCACAGGTTCTGGGAATTAGGGATTACTCCACCTACTACAGGTGTCAGGAAAGCAAGTTCTAGCTTCCTCAATCAGTGAGGACTTACTAGAAGGTTACATCGAGAAAATAGTAGGAAATCAAGAAAACCAACAGGCATTTGAGATACAAGGCAAATACATACCTGGTTATCTTGCTGTCCTTTCAGCAGCCGGTGCCTTTTGCTGCAGACTCTAGACTTCTACCTTTATTGTGACTGTCTTTACTTCCTTTTCTGTCTAACTGATGATTCTAGTAGCTCTAGCAGTCAAACTGAGTTAGCCAGAGGCCCATCCTATAGAGGGCGCCCCTTTTCTGCCAGGCTCTTTTATGAGGAAATCTCATTGACTGCTATCTAACCTACAGATAGCAGCTTTTGAATCAGTCATTAATCCTTGGTCCACTCAGCTTTGGCCAGAAAAGCTGGGCCACAAGACACAAAATGTGTACAGGAACCACGGGCCTTTGTCTCTGAAAGGCGCTGGGAAGTTCCAAGCATTTGGAGATCGTTAGACTCTTCTCCAAAACACTGTCAGTGATGGCAGAGTTTGAGCAAAATATTTTGCTTCCCAATTTTTGAAACTGGAATGTTTATAGGTGCTTGTTACAAACAGATTTTTGTTAATGTTTACAAAATATAGTATTCCTAAGAAAACAAATAAGAATGGTCCAAAAATAAAGAGTGCTTTGGAAAGCTAAAGGCTTGTCATGATATCCTGTAGTCTAATCAGAGACTCTAATTACGGGAAAAGACATACATATCACCAAACGAAGTCTTCAAGATCATCCTGGTCTTTATAGCTCTTCAAATTATATAAAGCAACACACTGGAATTCCCAAGCTCTGAGTCATCCATGAAAAAAACAGCTCATATGACTTTCAGGACACTGAATTTAATTCAGAAACCATTTTATAAATGTCTACTCTCTTTGACAGAGGAGATCTAGGAAAAGAGAGAAGTAATCTGGAGTGTAGCACAGAATTAAACTGACTTCTCTTTAATGGAGACGTAGAGCCTGTTACACTGCAGATTCTTGGATCATGTCAGATAATCATAGCTTCAGCCACTGGATTAGTCATATCATGAATTTCATAATCACCATATAATTGACACAGGCCTTTAAACAGTCATTTCTCCTGGAAGCCAGTTTATTGCTGGAATTAAATGAACTGTCACTCTCTGCAGAAAATGGAACAAACTTTTCACTTGGCTCACCTTGGCAGTAATCAGGAGATTTCTAGGAATTAGCAACAATCCTCGCCAAGCTGTCCAAGTGGTAACAAGCAGATTGCCCTTAAGAATGCAAAGGTTCATACTGCCCAAAGTAATTTATAGATTCAATGCTATCCCCATCAAGCTACCACTGACTTTCTTCACATAATTAGAAAAAACTACTTTAAACTTCATATGGAACCAAAAAAGAGCCCACATAGCCAAGACAATCCTAAGCAAAAAGAAAAAAGCTGGAGGCATCATGCTACCTGAATTCAAACTATACTACAAGGCTACAGTAACCAAAACAGCATGGTTCTGGTACCAAAACAGATATATAGACGAATGGGACAAAACAGAGGCCTCAGAAATAACACCACACATGTACAACCATCTGATCTTTGACAAACCTGACAAAAACAAGCAATGGGGAAAGGATTCCCTATTTAATACATGGTGTTGGGAAAACTGGCTAGCCTTACACCTTATACAAAAATTAACTCAAGATGGATTAAAGACTTAAATGTTAGACCTAAAACCATAAAAACCCTAGAAGAAAACTTAGGCAATACCATTCAGGACATAGGCAAGGGCAAAGACTTCACAACTAAAACACCAAAAGCAATGCCAATGCAAGCCAAAACTGACAAATGGGATTTAATTAAACTAAAGAGCTTCTGCACAGCAAAAGAAACTATCATCAGAGTGAACAGGCAACCTACAGAATGGGAGAAAATTTTTGCAATCTCTCCATCTGACAAAGAGCTAATATCCAGAATCTACAAAGGACTTAAACAAACTTACAAGAAAAAAACAAACAACCCCATCAAAAAGTGGGCAAAGGATATGAACAGACACTTCTCAAAAGAAGACATTTATGCAGCCAACAAACATGAAAAAAAGCTCATCATCACTGGTCATTAGAGAAATGCAAATCAAAACTGCAATGAGATACCATCTCACACCAGTTAGAATGGTGATCATTAAAAAGTCAGGAAACAACAGGTGCTGGAGAGGATGTGGGGAAATAGGAACACATTTGCACTGTTGGTGGGAGTGTAAATTAGTTCAACCATTGTGGAAGACAGTGTGGCAATTCCTCAAGAATCTAGATCCAGAAATACCATTTGATGCAGCAATCCCATTACTGGGTATATACTCAAAGGATTATAAATCATTCTGCTATAAAGACACATGAACATGTATGTTTATTTTTGGCACTACTCATAATAGCAAAGACTTGGAACCAACCCAAATGCCTGTCAATGATAGACTGGATAAAGAAAATGTGGCACATATGCACCATGGAATTCTATGCAGCCATAAAAAGGATGAGTTCATGTCCTTTGCAGGGACATGGATGAAGCTGGAAACCATCATTCTCAGCAAACTAACACAAGAACAGAAAACCAAATGCTCCATGTTCTCACTCATAAGTGGGAGTTGAACAATGAGAACACACGGACACAGGGAGAGGAACATCACACACTGTGGCCTGTCATGGGGTCGGGGGCTGGGGTAGGGATAGCATTAAGACAAATGCCTAATGTAGATGACGGGTTGATAGGTGCAGCAAACAACCATGGCTTGTGTATACCTATGTAATAAACCTGTAAGTTCTGCACATGTACCTTCAAACTTAAAGTATTAAAAAAATGCAAAGGTTATCTCTCCAAGTTGGAGCCCAGAGCAAAGGTAAAGGAGAAAGTATTTAATGTCCAGGCTGTTAAGTAACTAAATGATTTTACTGTATGTATTTCCACTGCATAAACACCAACATTTAATTAACCCATTACACAGCTCAGGCACATCTAACTCTAGCTTGGACTCTGGGGCCAGAAGGACTGTTCAAATCCCAGCTTGGCCACTTACTGACAGTGTGATCTTTGGCAGATGGGCCTAACAGGGGTGCATGTTCCATAGGAATGTTGTGATGATTAAAAGCAGATGAAATTCACATGGCAGGCAGGCGCCCACCGCCGGCGGTGATGCGGCTGTGAAGCCCTAGTCGCTCTCAGCAACCAGACAAGTGCCTTGCCCATCACAGACACCAAGGGATGAATGAAAGAAAAAGACTCAGACGCTTAAATCAAACAGAAGTTCACATGATCTCAAATGGGAGCGAAGAGAAGGATTTGGAGTCTGTCCTGTGCACAGGACAAAGGAAGGCTTGACATCTTTCCCTTCCCTACAAGAGGCTCCTCCCCTCAGGTGCATCTTCTCTGAAATCTGAAAATGCCGATGTGCATGCTGGCGGTTTCAAGTTCATTAGTTCCATTCTGAGGCTTTATCAGGGCCTCTTCTACCGCTATTCCACTTCCTAAATGGGAAGTATCATATGCTTTCTCCCTGCTTCCCTCCCTCCCCTCCCTTCCCTTCCCTCAGTCCTTTCCCTCTGTCATTTTCTGTTTCACAATTGAAAACAGAGCTGTGTAAAATAAGTCATATTCAGATAGAACCCAATTGGGCTGAATTTGACCACATGTAATTTTGAAGCCAGTGTTTTTTTTTTTTATTATTACTTTTTTTAAAGACAGGGTCCCACTCTGTTACCCAGACAAGAGTGCAGTTGGCCTCATCATAGCTCGCAGCAGCCTCCACCTCCTGGGCTCAGGCAATCCTCCTGCCTCAGCCTCCTGAGTATCTGGGACTACAGGCATGCACCACCAGGCCCAGCTAAGTTTTGTGTTTTTTATAGAAACAGGCTCTTGCTTTGTTGCCCAGGCTGGTCTGAAACTCCTGGCTTTAGCTGATCCTCCTGCCTCGGCCTCCCAAAATTCTGGGATTACAGGCGTGAGCCACTATGCCTAGCCTACTGCTTTTATCTTTAATAGCAACATGTCTGAGCAGTGGAGGAAGGTAGGACTAGAAAGACTTCCCCTCCTCACTGCAAAAGGAACCAATGACAAGGGCAAGTTTACTTGTTTTAGTTCTGCAGAGGTATAGCATTTACTCCTGTCTAGTGCAGAGCACAGAGCTCTAAGGTCTGTGTTCAAAGAATCAAGTCCTACAGAATGTGTGTGTGTGTGTATTTTAATATATCTTTATATATAATATATATTTTATAAATTTTTCTTAGATGTAGTGAATATGAGAATATAAGTCCAGAAAAACCCTGTTTATAAAATTTGCTGTGTTTCCCAGAGACTTTCAAGAATCCAGGCCAAATTGGCTTAGGGAAGGAGTCTTCCTGAGAGTTACAGAAGGACTCTAGAAATCTCTGTTTTGGTGATGATTGTGATGTGCAATTGTAGACTTTATTTTGCAGTGCCTTGGTAACTAGAGATTTCTTCTGCATAGTCCCATCTTGGTTTTGTCTGTTTCCACTGCATAGAATTTCTGGCTACTGCTGAACATACACATGCCAATCAGTTAGGGGAAAAATCACCCATTATATTGTGAGAAACTAATGCAGAAGTAGATTTGCAACTTTGTCAAGTTGCGTTTTAATTTCCCTTTTTTGAAGAGACAGCCTCTCGCTGTGTCGCCCAGGCTGGAGTGTAGTGGTGCTCAGCCTCAAACTCCTCAGCTCAAGTGATCCTCCCACCTTGGCCTCCCAAAGTGCCGGGACTACGGGTGGAGCCACCACACCCAATCTTAATTTCCTTCTTCCTGGCAGGGTGAAAACATGCAAATCAGTCTGGAATTAGTTAAAAAGTAAAAGATATGGGAAACTCTGCCCGTCTCCCTCTCCCGTCTCCCTCTCCCTCTCCCGTCTCCCTCACCCTCTCCCGTCTCCCTCTGCCTCTCCCGTCTCCCTCTCCCTCTCCCGTCTCCCTCTCCCTCTCCCTCTCCCGTCTCCCTCTCCCTCTCCCGTCTCCCTCTCCCTCTCCCGTCTCCCTCTCCCTCTCCCGTCTCCCTCTCCCTCTCATGCCGAGCCAAAGCTGGACGGTACTGCTGCCATCTCGGCTCACTGCGACCTCCCTGCCTGATTCTCCTGCCTCAGCCTGCCGAGTGCCTGCGATTGCAGGCGCGCGCCGCCACGCCTGACTGGTTTTCGTTTTTTTTTGGTGGAGATGGGGTTTCGCTGTGTTGGCCGGGCTGGTCTCCAGCTCCTGGCCGCGAGTGATCCGCCAGCCTCGGCCTCCCGAGGTGCCGGGATTGCAGATGGAGTCTCGTTCACTCAGTGCTCAATGGTGCCCAGGCTGGAGTGCAGTGGCGTGATCTCGGCTCGCTGCAGCCACCTCCCAGCCGCCTGCCTTGGCCTCCCGGAGAGCCGAGATTGCAGCCTCTGCCCGGCCGCCACCCCGTCTGGGAAGTGAGGAGCGTCTCTGCTTGGCCACCCATCGTCTGGGATATGAGGAGCCCCTCTGCCTGGCTGCCCAGTGTGGAAAGTGAGGAGCGTCTCTGCCCGGCCGCCATCCCATCTAGGAGGCGAGAAGCGCCTCTTCCCCGCCGCCATCCCATCTAGGAAGTGAGGAGCGTCTCTGCCCGGCCGCCCATCGTCTGAGATGTGGGGAGCACCTCTGCCCCGCCGCCCTGTCTGGGATGTGAGGAGCGCCTCTGCTGGGCCGCAACCCTGTCTCGGAGGTGAGGAGTGTCTCTGCCCGGCCGCTCCGTCTGAGAAGTGAGGAAACCCTCTGCCTGGCAACCGCCCCGTCTGAGAAGTGAGGAGCCCCTCCGTCTGGCAACCACCCCGTCTGGGAAGTGAGGAGCGTCTCCGCCCGGCAGCCACCCCGTCCGGGAGGGAGGTGGGGGGGGTCAGCCCCCCGCCCGGCCAGCCGCCCCGTCCGGGAGGTGAGGGGCTCCTCTGCCCGGCCGCCCCTACTGGGAAGTGAGGACCCCTCTGCCCGGCCAGCCGCCCCGTCCGGGAGGGAGGTGGGGGGGGTCAGCCCCCCGCCCGGCCAGCCGCCCCGTCCGGGAGGGAGGTGGGGGGATCAGCCCCCTGCCTGGCCAGCCGCCCCGTCCGGGAGGTGAGGGGCGCCTCTGCCCGGCTGCCCCTACTGGGAAGTGAGGACCCCTCTGCCCGGCCAGCCGCCCCGTCCGGGAGGGAGGTGGGGGGAACAGCCCCCCGCCCGGCCAGCCGCCCTATCCAGGAGGTGAGGGGCGCCTCTGCCCGGCCGCCCCTACTGGGAAGTGAGGAGCCCCTCTGCCTGGCCAGCCGCCCCGTCCGGGAGGGCGGAGGGGGGGTCAGCCCCCCGCCCGGCCAGCCGCCCCATCTGGGAGGTGAGGGGCACTTCTGCCGGGCCGCCCCTACTGGGAAGTGAGGAGCCCCTCTGCCCGGCCACGACCCCGTCTGGGAGGTGTGCCCAGCGGCTCATTGGGGATGGGCCATGATGACAATGGCGGTTTTGTGGAATAGAAAGGCGGGAAGGGTGGGGAAAAAATTGAGAAATCGGATGGTTGCTGGGTCTGTGTGGATAGAAGTAGACATGGGAGACTTTTCATTTTGTTCTGTACTAAGAAAAATTCTTCTGCCTTGGGATCCTGTTGATCTGTGACCTTATCCCCAACCCTGTGCTCTCTGAGACATGTGCTGTGTCCACTCAGGGTTAGATGGATTAAGGGCGGTGCAAGATGTGCTTTGTTGAACAGATGCTTGAGGGCAGCATGCTCGTTGAGAGTCATCACCACTCCCTAATCTTAAGTACCCAGGGACACAAACGCTGCGGAAGGCCGCAGGGTCCTCTGCCTAGGAAAACCAGAGACCTTTGTTCACTTGTTTATCTGCTGACCTTCCCTCCACTATTGTCCTATGACCCTGCCAAATCCCCCTCTGCGAGAAACACCCAAGAATGATCAATAAAAAAAAAAAAAAAAAGAATTGAAAAAAAAAAAAAAAAAAAAAAAAAAAATTCACATGGCAAATTGCATGAGTGGGACACCTCACTAAGCCTTACCTACTTTTTGTTATTTACTATTTACTCTCACCACTCCAAATCTTCAAGCCCTATCCAGAGTCAGGTCACACTCAGAAGACACCTCAAAAAACCAGGCTACCTCTCCCTTCTTTGAAACTCAGTTTTGGAATCTTTTTGGTATTTATTTGGGTTTCCAACCTTCCAGTAACACTTTCTAACACCTAAACATAACTCTGGAGTTTGGCTTTTGATGACATCTTCTCTTCCCCTATGTTCTAAGCAACTTTCTTTTATTTAAGAGTCTCCTCTATTTCCCTCCAACTTTTCATTCCTGGTCCTCTCTTTCCCTAATTTTCTCTCTCCAAGGCCAGAGATTGAAGAGGAAATTCCCATCAAGTTTAGAAAATGTGAAATGTGGTCAGGCTGGGGGAAGGAGAAAGGGAAGAAATCACATCTTTATGATTCCTTTATTTTATCTCCACACACATAAATTCAGCACTTGGTAAGTAATTCCCTACCCTGTCCTGGTCTGTAATTTCTCAACCTTCTTTGAATCCCCTTTGAACAATATAAGTATTTCCTTCCATGACCCACCCCAATTTTATTCAAAACTTCAAAATAAATGGGACATCATGACTAAAAACATATTAAAACTATGGTCACCTGCTGGACCCAACCCACAGATTCTGGCCAAACGATGGATGAAAGAACACACTCAAACACAGTTATCCAGTGAAAGAGTGGGCTAGTGGACCAGGCCATGCACAGACCCCGAGGAGGGTGCTGTAAAGAGTCAGAAGCCACAGCCCTGACCAGCTGGCACTGCAGGCCTTTATTTAGAACAGATTTAATGACAGAGGCTTTGAGTCAACACACTTGGGGATAATAAACATGGTCGCCTTCCCCAGAGAGAGCAGTCCTGTGTGCGGATGATTAAAGGCCAGTTTCTGAGGGATAAGTAAACTAACTTATCCAGATCAGTTTCTTTACATCCCCTTGTTATCTAACCCACGCTCTTAAGAGAATTCAGGTGCCTTCAGCTAAACCCCCTTCTGAAACCATGCAAACCCCTGGCCTTCCAAGAAGGTTTGCATCTTTCTACAATTTTTCCCACCACCCTGACCGATCTCCTACAGTCACCTTAGACTATGCCTATCCAGACTACACAAGCACCCTGAGAAATGTGAAACCTCTCCCTTGGCCCCCTCTCCAGTCCCAGGGAGTTGGCAATCACTGCCTGGGTTTAATGGTCTTCTTCAACAGAATGTGCTCTAAATTTGTGAGTTTCCTGGCCAGAGTTGGCCCTGTCGGGGTAAGCTCCTAAATCTGGTGACCATTTCTATCTGATTCTGTTTGGTTTGTGTTTCATCCAGAATAGTACCTTACATAAGCACTTACATCCGATTTTTGAAACAGATTTCTTGGCAAATATTGGGTATGGTTAAGAGAATACATTCGGTGTCATGCCATGCACAAGACAGCTACATTTCCTGGCCTCTATGGCAATCAGGTTGGGACCAGGTTGACAAGGTTCTGGCCATTTGACAGAGGTGGATGTGATATACGCCACTTACAAACCTGTTCCCAAAATGTCCCACACTATGTTCCACACTCTTTCTTTACTAGTTGGGCAATCAGATAGAAAAGATCTAGGAGAGAACTTCAAGAAGGCTCTGGGGAGTTATGGAGCTACAAGATAGAAAGAGCCTGGATCCCTGAGTCACAGCTAGGAGGAGATTGCCCAAGAGAGCTGCCCAACTCATATTCACTGTGAGGTGAGGGAGAAATGAATCCTTGTTGCATTAAGCCACAGAGATTTGGGGGGTTCTTTGCTATAGTAGCTAGTGTTAATTAACCTAATACATTTTTAAATTTCTTAGAATATAATAATGGCTACATAAATGTTGATTTTTATAGCTTATTGTTCTATCCACTAATATTTATTGTGTCTTACAGGTAATATTGTATGTTTCCCACAACACCTTAGGTGGGTGCCCAGGCCTTGCTCTCTCTCACCAGAAGGCCTTTATCGATGTTGTTTTCTCTGGCTTACCTGTTCCTTCTTCCCCTCTCCACATAGTCAACACTACTTATCATTAAGGTCAAAGCTCAGGCGTGCTCCTACTCATCAAAACCCTCCCTAGCTCCCTAGACTAGATCAGTGTTCCCTATTACATGATCTCATAAATCCCTAAACATCTCCTATGGGGTACTTATGACAGTTTGTCATTGCATGACTATGTAATTCTTTGGTGAGCATCTCTCTTCCTCAACATAGAATAAGCACCAAGACTGCAGGGGCCATCTTATCCGATTCGCTGTGATATTCCCTGGGCCTAGCCCGATGCCTGGCTACAAGATGTGCTCAAAACGTATTTGACTGTACGGGTGTATCTGCACAGGATGGGCCTCACAGGCTTTCTGCCTCTTAGTGAGGTCAACTGTCAGTGTTAAATCTGGTCTTTATCTTCACAAGTTTAGAAACTTAATTTTTCATGGAAGCCCAGCACCTGGAACATGATTCCTGATAACTACACTTAGGGGATATCTACTTCCTGACTGTGAGGTCCCTGGGAAAGTAAGTTAGTGAGCATTCAGAGCACATTTGATGACTAAAGAAAGAGGATGGTTTTGAGAGGAATTCACTTCTCTTAGGCTGGAAAATTAACCTTGCTTTCTTAAAGAGTGCATGTTTCTTCTAGACATAGCTTTTTTCTCCCACCATTAGATCCATTAAAATCATGCTTAGTAAGGCCGTGGCATATAATAAGAGCTCAGTAAATATCTGAATACATATCTGTGGGTCTCACTGGTTGAATGACTGACAAATGGTCTTATGCTTTGGCTCTCCATTTCTAGACCCCATGTAGTGATTGCCTTTTGTTACAGCATCACTTGTCCCTGGATTTCTACCATAGAAGTTTGAGAAGAACTAGTGAATGTGAGCCAGACCTACAAGATCATAAATTCCTTGCAGTTAAGAATCATCATCAAAGAGAAAAAGAAAATCATTATCATCATCATCAGAGCCAACACTTTTCATGTACTTATCCAAACCAGGCACTGTGCTGAGCCCTTTACAACTGTCATCTCATTAATCCTTATAACAATCATGTGAGTAGTGTCCCTGTTTATTTTTAATTTATTTTTGCTTTTTGGTTTGTTTTTAGAGACAGTCTCATTCTGTCACCTAGGCTGGAGGGCATTGCCACAATCACAGCACATTGCAGCCTCAAACTCCTGGGCTCAAGTGATCATCCGGCCTCAACCCACACCCCACCCAAGCAGGACTGTAGGCCTGAGCCATCATACCCAGCTAATTTTTTTTGTTTTTTGAGACAGGGTCTCACTCTGTCACCCAGGCTGGAGTGCAGTGGTGTGATCTCAGCTCACTGCCTCCTGGAACTCCCAGGCTCAGGTGATCCTCCCACCTCGGACTTCCAGGTAGCTAGGACTACAGGTGCACACCACCACATCTGGCTAATTTTTTGTAGAGATGGGGTTTTGCCATGTTGCCCTGGCTGGTCTCAAATTCCTGGACTCCAGCAATCTGCCCACCTCAGCTTCCCAAAGTGCTGGGATTACAGGCATGAGTCACCGCACCCAGCCCCTCACAGTTAATTTTTAAATTTAGTAGTTCTCTTTTACAGATGAGGAAATGAAACTCAGTCATGATAAAGGAACAGGTGAAAGGTCACCCAGCTAGTGAGTGGCAGAGACAAGACTTGAACTCAAGCCTGTCTCACTATGGAGCCTGTATTCTCATGCACTGTGTATAGTGCATTCCAGACTGTATTCATCTTGGTATCCCTATAGCACCTGAAAATCAGCATTATACTATGCCTTCCAAACATGTGTATATAGTCAATTATTGGTTGCAAGCAGCAGAAAACAACTCTGATTATTGTAAACAGAAAAGAGATTACAAGGCCACTTTGAATTTATAAGAAGCAACAAACAGATTATAAAAATGAAGATAGGGACAGGGTGTACAGTATAGTGACTATGACTAATAAAAATGTACTGTATATTTTAAATTTGCCTTCACGCACATGCACACATGTACACACAGAAAGGTAACTATATGGGCAAAAAAAAAAAAAAAAAAAAAAGATACAGAGGCCCAAGAAGCAGAATACAAGATAATCATCTTTGAGCAGGAACAATCCTACCAGGATGCCTTGGCCAAATCCTTCCAGTGCACATGGATTCTAACTTTCCATTCATCTTTGCCTCACACCACACATTTATTCCAAATATAAAGTCTAGGGTGACAGCATCTGATTGGCCAGCCCTTCATTTGCCTTTGTGCTAACTAAAAGCGTGTTGGGGAAGAGGTTAGTCTCTAGACCTTCCTACTTCCCTAGAGGGAGGCGTAGCTTGCTGTGACTGACGCAGTGGGAATTTCCCCCAGATAGAGGGAAGGCATAGATGCTAGGCTGCCACAAACATTGACAAATGTCCACCACAACAGGTGTGCATTAACTCAGGCCTACCACAATCCCTGAATTGCAATTTATGTCACATTTTAGTCCCCTTGCTGATACTAGAGAAACCCCAGAAGCATGATTACAAGTCATCATTTAGCATAGTTTAAGCACGTGATTCATTTTCATTTTTATTTTAGAAGGTGGCATTTTCTGACCCACCTTGGAGATGCGCCCTTTGAGGAGCCTGCAGCCTCCTGCACCTGAAGAAAGTGGCCCACTCATGAAAACGCCCAGGCTCCCAGTTGGGGAGAACCATCTCCACCAGAGGGGGATCCAGATCCAGTGGAGAAGAATTTTTTTTATTGTTTTTAGATAAACTGTCTTCAAATAGTGCAGCACGGGCACTTCCTGCCTCGATGGAAATTCAGCACACTTCCTGCTGCTCACCTGCCCCATCTGTGTTTATCTTCTGCCTCAATCATGTGAAGGCCAAATGGGTGGCATGAGTGCAACTGGGCCAGCTGTGGCTGGGGGCAGCAACAGCTCCATGTTTTGAGGCCAGATGGAGGCTGCTTTGGTCTAGGAGGTGGAGGGGAGCCAGTGGCTGCTTCAGGCCTCCCTGTGTGGAGTGCTTGGAGCTGGAAGTAGAAGCAGGGCCCAACTGGGGGCTCCATTGGATGAAGCACACCATCCCATCCAAAAGCCTGCTCCCAATGTCCTCACTGAGCTCTCTTTGTTTCTTTCTGTTTCTTCTATATGTATACATATCAAATATGTGTGTGTGTGTGTGTCTATGTATGTGTGTGAAACAGAAAGAAGCAAAGAGTCCTTTGCACTTTATCAAAGGTACTCTACTAATTCCTTTACACTTTTATCAAAGATATTCACTTGTCAGGGACACTAGAGCAGTGTCCAGGCTGCATGTAACATCAGCTGGGAAGCTTTTATAAATTAAAACAACTATAAAATAGTTGCAGGCATTTTCAAGTTTTTATTAAGCCTCATAAAAACTTGAAAATGTCTATAAGACACCTACACTACAGGTCTCCATGGCTCTCTGCAAAACATGACCAAGCTCAAAAAGACACACAAGGTTAGAAGACACCACAGATTTGGCAACAGCCCATGATCCTTGGGTTTATCTCCCCTCAGAGTGGCTCCTTAAAGTGACACTGGCACTTTTCTGAAACGCTTTCCTGCAGGTTCTTGAGCACACTCTAATGGAAGCTCTCTCTCAGAATTATGCACATGAGAGTGTCATTGTAGAATGCTTTTTAGCATATCCACCACAGGTATAATGAAACACAGGCTACATACTGATAAAATGGAAGGACCAAATGAAACAAGCCTATTCATACACATTTCTGTGTCTCTTTGCATCTGTGGTTTTCAGACTTTAGTGTGCATCAGAATCGCCCAGAGGACTTGTTAAAACACAGATTGCTAGGCCGCACCCCAGAGTTTCAGATTCAGTAGGTCTGAGATGAGGCCCCAGGAGCTGCAGCAAGTAAAACGGGCAGCAACAGCTACTGCGTCACCTGAGGCCCATTTGCGACAGTCTCTGCTCTGTGTGATAAAAAAGATCACATTTTCCTTTCCTCTAGGTCTGATGTGAGGCTGGCTTGTTTTACATTGGGCATCTCTGAGAAAGTATCAGGAAAAAGGCAGACAAAGCAGAAGTGCCTGAAATGATATTTATTAATTTGGATTCTGAGTAGCTAAATTGAAACTTGATTGTGCCCTTACCCCTAGCTCCTCCTGGGCCTGGAGCAAGGACAGGCTACGTCTGAGGCAGCAGGCATTGGAAGGAGTAGGATCGGGTTAGGGCTAGTTTTAGGGCAAATGAGGTACCTCCATCCTTACCGTCCAGCTATGTAGTAACAAATTAGCCTCTTCTAGATGGTCTGAAGTCTATTATATAAAGTTTGGCTTGTATAAGTGTTTCTAAAAGTGTTTTAACATGAAAAATTTTAAACACATGGAAACTTACGAAGAATAGTACAATGAACACCTATATATACCCAGGAACAAAATTCAATTATTATTAAAATTTTGCTTCTTGTTTCTTGGCTCACTACAACCTCTGCATCCCAGGTTCAAGTGATTCTTGTGCCTCGAGCCTCCCGAATAGCTGAGATCATGGGCATGCACCACCACAACCCTGCTAATTTTTGTAATTTTTTAATAGAGACAGGGTTTCTCCATGTTGGCTAAGCTGGTCTCAAACCCCTGGCCTCAAATGATCCACCCACCTCAGCCTCCCAAAGTGCTGGGGTTACAGGCGTGAGCCACTGCGCCTGGCCCATTTGTTTCATTTATATATATGATCTATATTTTTTGCTGACATCATCTCCAAAAAAGTAAGGACATCTGCACAGTCACAATGTCATTATCACCTAAACATTAACAGTATTCCCCAATATTGCCTTATATCATCTCTTCCTTTTATCCCCAAAATGTTTTATGGATATTGTTTCTTTGAGTCACACACAGAACCTAGGCAAGGTCAGGGCCAGGGTGATATGGGTTAAAAGGACTCCAGAAAACTCAGTAATCAAGAGTAATAATATTGTAATGCAATATTTCAAAAAGTCCAATTGGCTAACTACAGCCCATAGGCCAGCTGCGTGTTTTTGCAGGAAAAGTTTTATGGGGCTGGGATTAGCATGAGATAAGTGAGGCAGGGTTGTACAAATGTAGGCTCTCTTTTTTTTTTTTTTTTTTTTGGAAACAGAGTGTCACTTTATTGCCCAGGCTGAAGTGCAGTGGCATGATCTCAGCTCACTGCAATCTCCACCTCCTGAGTTCAAGCGATTCTCCTGCCTCAGCCTCCCGAGTAGCAGGGAATATAAGGCATGTGTCACCATGTCCGGCTAATTTTTGTAGTTTTAGTAGAGATGGAGTTTCACTATGTTGGCCAGGCTGGTCTCGAACTCCTGACCTCAGGAGTGTACATGCACTACACAACATAGGTCCAGACAAGAAAAACTAATAACTGGCAGAAGTATGGGGTGAAAAAATAAATTAATATTTCTAGATATTGAAACACCTCTTTCAAAAACTATATTTCACATAGGCAAAAAGTTAAGCAAAGATGAAGAACATTTGAATAAGCCTGATCTAATAAGCATAAATAGAATTGATCACTCATAAGAACTACATTTTTTTAAGTACATGTGAAACATTCACAAAAATTGACCTGGGTGCAGTTGCTCACGCCTGTAATCCCAGCACTTTGGGAGGCTGAGGTGGGTGGATCAACTGAGGTCAGGAGTTCGAGACCAGCCTGACCAACATGGTGAAATGCCGCCTCTACTAAAAATACAAAATTAGTTGGGCATGGTGGTGCATGCCTGTAATCCCAGCTACTTGGGAGGTTGAGGCAGAAGAATCGCTTGAACCTGGGAGGCGGAGGTTGTAGTGAGCTGAGATGGTGCCATTGCAGTCCCACTTGGGCAACAAGCAAAACTCTGTCTCAAAAATTAATAATAATAAAATTGACCTGAACTAGACAACAGAGAAAACCTCAAGGAGATCCAAAAAGTTCATATCATGTAGACTTTCTCTAACTATAATGTAATAAAATTAAAAATGAATTTTGAAAATTCCCTTTAAAAGTTCCATGTAATTGTAAACTAAAACGTGTGTCTAAAAAAAGTTTACATAAAGAAGAAATCATAAGGAAAATTATTAAATATTTAGAACTAAACAAAAATGAAAGCACTTTGTGTCTTTCTAATGCTGTAATTAGAAGGGAATTTGTAGGTATAGATACATTAATTTAAAAACTAGAAAGCTTTTCCTTTTCTTTAATGAGATAAGTGTTTAACTGAAAATTTAGAAACAAAACAATAGAGTTAGCCTAAAGAAACAAGATGGAAGGGAATGATAATCAATAAAATAGAGAACAAAATATTATAAAGAAGATTGATAAAACAAAAAATAATTCTCCAAAAGACTGATCATGGGGAGGAGAGTGAGAGAGACTAAGGAAATTCAAAGTACTATGACACAGAATGAAAAGGAGATAGTATACAGTCAAAAAGGGGATTTAAAATTTAAGAAAAATATACTATAAACTATATGCCAGTAAAATTTAAAATCTAGATGACGATAAATTGCTAGAAGGGTATAAAATGCCAAAATTTGCATAAGAAGAAACATAAAATTTGAATATTGAAATAAAATGAAAGAAAATAAATAGGTAGGCTGGGTGCAGTGGTTCACACTTGTAATCCCAGAACTTGGGGAGGCCAAGGTGGGCAGATTGCTTGAGCCTAGCAGTTCAAGACCAGCCTGGACAATATAGTGAAACCCCATCTCTATCAAAAAATACAAAAATTAGCTGGGTGCAGTGGTGCACACCTGTAGTTCCAGCTACTAGGGAGGCTGAGGCGGGAGGATCCCTTGAACCTGAGAGGCAGAGATTGCGGTGAGCCAAGATTGGGTCACTGCACTCCAGCCTGGGCGACGACAGAGTGAGATGACCCTGCCTCAAAAACAAACAAACAAAAACAAAACAAAAGACCAGGTGTGGTGGCTCATGCCTGTGATCCCGGCATTTTGGGAGGCCAAGGCAGGTAAACCACTTGAGCTCAGGAGTTCGAGACCAACCTGGGCAACATAGTAAGATCCCCATCTCTACAAAAAATACAAAAATTAGCTGGATGTCATGGCATGCACCTGTGGTCCCAGCTATTTGGGAGGCTGAGGCGGGAGGATCACTTGAGCCCAGAAGACAGAGATTGCTTTGAGCTGAGATCACACTGCTGCATGCCAGCCTGGGCAACAGAGCAAGACGCTGTCTCAAAAAGAAAAAAACAGAAAGAAAGAAGAAAAAAAAGAAAAGGAAAGAGAAAAGAAAAAGGAAAGGAGGGAGGGAGAGAGAGAGAAAGAAAGAAAAGAAAGAAAAAGAAAAAAGGAAGGAAAAGAAAAGAAAGAGAGGGAAGAAAGAAAGAGAAAGAAAAAGAAAGAGAAGGAAGGAAGGAAGGAAAGGGAAATTGGCAGTCAAGATATCCTCCACCATCCCTCAAATTCTCTGGACTTGATAATTCCATAGGTAAGTTTCACCACACTTGTGAGGAATAAAACCCCATATCTTGTGCATGTTTTTCCAGAAAATAAAAATAGAAAGTTACCCAAATCATTCTGTGGAACTGGTATAAACTTGATTCCAAAGTCATATAAAACAGCAAAAGAAAATAAAATTATAGGCTCATTTTACTTATCAGCAAAGATAGGAAAATTCAAAATAAAATATTAGTAAAGCAAATACAAAAGAGGACAAAAAGTAGGGCTTATCAAAGTAATTTGACATTAGAATATTAATCAATATAAAAGAAAAACATAGTTATCTCAGTAAATGCAAAAAAAGCATTTGGCAAAGGTAAACAGCTCTTTATGGTTTTTTTAAAAAACTATCAGGAAGTTAGGAATAGGTCCATGTGTGGTGGCTCACGCCTGTAATTCCAGCACTCTGGGAGGCCGAGGTGGGTGGATCACTTGAGGCCAGGAGTTCAAGACCAGCCTGGCCAACATAGTGAAACCCCATCTCTACCAAAAATACAAAAATTAGCTGGGTATGCTGGTGGGCACAGGTAATCCCAGCTACTTGGAGGCTGAGGTGGGAGGATCACTTGAACCCAGAGGTGGAGGAGGCTGCAGTTAGCTGAGATTGTGCCACTGCACTCCAGCCTGGGTGATAGAGTGAGACTCCACCTCAAAAAAAAAAAGAAAAGTTAGGAATAGAATATCCTCCTTAACTTGACATCTACTAAAAACCTGCAGAGCCATAAAAAATGATGAGTTCATGTCCTCTGTAGGGACATGGATGAAATTGGAAATTATCATTCTCAGTAAACTATCTCAAGGACAAAAAACCAAACACCGCATGTTCTCACTCATAGATGGGAATTGAACAATGAGAACACATGGACGCAGGAAGGGGAACATCACACTCTGGGAACTGTTGTGGGGTGGGGGGAGGGGGGAGGGATAGCATTAGGAGATATACCTAATGCTAAATGACGAGTTAATGGGTGCAGCACACCAGCATGGCACATGTATACATATGTAACTAACCTGCACATTGTGCACATGTACCCTAAAACTTAAAGTATAATAATAATAATAAAATAATAATAATAATCAGAATTAGAGTAATTGGGATATCCATCTCTTCAAACATTTGTCTTTTCTTTGTGCTGGGAATATTACACATCTTCTCTTCCAGCTATTGTGAAGAATAAAATAAATTATTTGTAACTGTAATATTTATATTATAAATATACTTTACTATTGAATACTAGAACTTAGTTCCTCTACAGAACGGCGTTTTTGTACCGCTTCACCAAGTTAGTTCTTTCACCCTCATTCCCCTTCCAGACTCTGGTAACCACCATTCTACTCTCTACCTCCATAAAATGCACTTTAAAAAAAAAAAAAAAACTGCAGAAAGACATTATGGTTAGCTGAAAAATTTCAGATTCATTTTGCTTTAAAATGGGGAGAAAAGATAAGGATACCCATTGTCAAAGTTACTTTTAATTGTAGTATTGGAGGTATTTGCCATCATTATAAGGCAAGAAAAATAAATTAGAGGTGGAAGGATTATATAGAGAAGCAAAAATGTACGAATAAGAAAGTTCCCCAAGGTTGTCATGCAAATAATCACTTACAAAATTAATAATGCTGTATTAGTCAGGGGTCTCTCAAGAAACAGAATTAGTAGGATACATTCATTCATTCATTTATTATAAGAAATAATAAAGGATTTATTAGAAGGAATTGTCTTATGTGATTATGGAGGCTGGCAAATCCAAATCTGTCCAAGTCTGAGTCAATATCCCAGTTTAAGTGTGAAGTCAGAAAGCTCCTGTAGAACCAGGAAGAGCCAATGACTCATTTCAAAAGCCATCAGGCAGGAGAATTCTACTCGGCGGATGGTCAGCCTTTTCTTCTGGTCAGGCCTTCAACTGATTGGATGAGGCCCATCCACATTATAGAGGGCAATCTGCTTGCATCAGTCTACAATTTAAATGTTAAGCTCATCCAAAAAACAGCCTCACAGAAACACCTAGAATAATGTGTGACCAAATACCTAGGCACCCCATGGCCCAGTCAAGCTGACACATAAATCTAACCAATACAGTGTTCCTCCTCATTAAGGTAAAATATTAAAAACTGTCTCCAGTGAATCATGCCTCTCTGGATCCATCCCTTTGCAATGTGCCTTTGCTCTCCTGCCCACCATCAGGCCCTCAGACATGTGAATGAAGCCATCTGGAAGCCTCTAAGACAGTCCAGTCACCCCACTGATGTCATGTGGAGCACTTCCTGTGGAGCGCTGCCTGAAACTCTGACCCCTGGGTTCGTAAGTAACAACATGGTTGTATTTATTCGCTGAGTTTAGGGAGTGGTTTATTATGCAGCCATACATAAGTGACATAACTGATACTACTAATACAATAAGTAGTGAGAAAATATGAATTAAGATACATCACAGTAGCACCAGAAATTATTGTGTATCCTGGAATTAACCTAACACAACTGCACAAAATCTTTATGAGGAAAAATATAAAACTCCTTTAAAGGATGTTTTAAAAGACTCAGATAATGAAAGACATGCCTTTTTTCTTTTTCTTTTTCTTTTTTTTCTGTGACAGGGTCTCACTCTGTCACCCAAGCTGGGGTGCAGTGGCGTAATCTTAGCTTACTGCAACCTCCGCCTCTCAGGGTCAAGCAATCCTCCCACCTCAGCCTTCCAAGTAGCCAGGACTACAGGTTCACACCACCACACTTGGCTAATTTTTGTATTTTTGGTAGAGATGGGGTTTTACCATGTGGCCCAGGCTGCCTTGAGCTTCTGAGCTCCAGCAATCTGCCCACCTCAGCCTCCCAAAGTGCCGGGCTTACAGGCATGAGCCACTGTGCCTGGCTTTATTGAAGTGTACCTGACCTACAATTGATAGTACATTTTAAAGTGAACAATTTAGGTTTTGACATATGTATACACCTGTGCAATCACCACCCCTAAAAATGGTGAACATATATCCATGGTGAACATATATCCATCATTCCCAAAACTTTTCTCATGTCTTTTTGCAACCCTTTCCTCTCACCTCTCCCTGAACCCTTTCCCATTCCCAAGCAGCCATTAACCATTTTTTGTCACTATAGATTAATTTTCATTACTAGAATTTTATATAAATAGAATTATCCAGCAATTTTATTGTCTGGCTTCTTTAACTCAGCATAATTATTTTGAGGTTCATCCCTGGGGTTGTGTGTATCAGTAATGTATTCCTCTTTATTGCCAAGTAGTGTTATTCCATGGTTTGTATGTACCATAATTTGTTTACTCATTCACCCATTGATGCACATTTAGGTTGTCTCCAGTTTTGAACTAATACAAATAAAGCTGACATGAATATTCATATCCAAGTCTTTATATTGACTTATACTTTCATATCTCTTGGATAAATACTCAGGAGTGGAATGGCTGGGTCTTTCAGGAGGTATTCCAGAAGAAGGGATTGTTAACACAGGAGAAGACAGCTCCATGCATGTTATTTCCCCCGAAGATCTCCCAGTGGGACAAGACGTGGAGGTGGAAGACAGTGATATTAGTGATATTGATGATCCTGATGATTTGTAGGCCCAGGCTAATGTGTGTGTTTGTGTCTTAGTTTGGGACAAAAAAGTTTAAAAAGTAAAAAAAAAACAAAAACTTTTTAATAGAAAAATGCTTATAGAATAAGGATATGAAGAAAAAATTGTTCTGTGCAGCTATACAATGTGTGTTATACATTAAGTGTTATTAAAGAGTCAGAAGTTTTAAAATATCAAAAAGTTTATGAAATTAAAAAGTTACAATAAGCTAAGGTTAATTTATTATTGAAGAAAGAAAAATATTTTAAAAATAAATTTAGTGTAGCCTAAGTGTACAGTGTTTACAAAGTAAACAGTAGTTACAGTAATGTCCTAGGCCTTCACAGTGACTCACCCTCACTCACTGACTCACTCAGAGCAACTTCCAGTCCTGCAAGCTCCATTAACGGTAAATGCCCTATCCAGGTGTACCATTTTCTGTTTTATACATATTTTTACTATGCCACCTCTATGTTTAGATGCACAAATACTTCCCGTTGTGTTACAATTGCCTAAAATATTCAGGACAGTAACATGCTGTACAAGTTTGTAGCCTATCCAATAGGCTATCCCACATATCCTAGGTGTATAGTAGGTTATACCGTCTAGATTTGTATAGTACACTCTACGATGTCTGCACAATGATAGAATCATCTGACAATACATTTCTCAGAACATATCTCTGTTGCTAAGTGGCACATGACTGCACTTATTTGCCATCTACATGCCTTCTTTGGTGAAATATCTATTCAAATATTTTGCCCATCTAAAAAAGTTGAGTTGCTTCTTATTATTGAGTTTTGAGAGTGCTGAGTATATTCTGGATACAAGTCCTTTATTAAGTATATGATTTGCAAATATTTACTTCAGTCTCTGGGCTGTCTTTTTATTGTCTTACCAAGATGTTTCAAAGAGCAGAGATTCTTAATTTTGCTAAAGTCCAGTTTATCAATTTCTCCTTTTATGGATTATGCTTTTGGTGTAGCTAAGAAATCATTGCCTAATACAAGGTCACAAAGATTTTCTTCTAGAAATGTTCATGTTTTAGGTTTTACCTTTAGGTCTGTGATACATCTGAATTAATTTTTGAATATTTTATGAGATAAGAATCAAAATCTATTGTTTTGCCTATGGATATCCAGTTATTCTAGTACCGTTTATTTAAAAGACTGTCCTTTCTCCACTGAGTTGTCTTTGCACTTTTAATAAAAACCAGTTGTCCATGTAAGTGCAGGTCTATTTCTGGACTCTGTTTGAGTCCATTGATCTATTTTTTTCATGTCAATGTTCTCAGCTTCCACCTTAAGATTCTTAAACAAAAAAGAAGAGTAAATTAAATCTAAAGTAATCAGAAGAAAGGAAATAGCAAAGATTAGAGTGGAAATCAACACACTAGAAAACAGAAAAATAATAGAAAAAAATTCAGTGGAACAAAAAGCTCTTTCTTTGAGAAGATCAATAAGATTGAAAACTTCTAGCCACACTAATCAGGAAAGAAAGGGAGGATAAAAATTAGCAATATCAGGAATGAGACAGCCAACATCCCCACGGGCTCTCAGATATTAGAGGATGATAAGGGAATTTTATGAACAATTTTATGACAATTTTTTTTGAGATAGGATCTCACTCTGTCACCCAAGCATATAATGCAGTGGCATGATCAGAGCTCACTGCAGCCTCAAACTCCTAGACTCAAGCGATCCTCCTACCCCAGACCCCTGAGTAGCTGGGACTACAGGCATGTACGACAACAACCAGCTAATTTAAAAAATTGTTTTTGTAGAGACAGGGTCTTGCAATGTTGCTCAGGCTGGTCTCAAACTCCAAACCTCAGGCAATCTCCCATCAGCCCCTCAGTGGGCTGGGATTACAGATGTGAGCCACCACCCCTGGCCTTAGGGAAACTTATATGACAACTTAGATGAAAAGGACAAATTTTTTGAAAGACAAACTACCAAAACTCATTCAACAAGAAATAGATGGCCAGGCATGGTGGCTTATGCCTGTAAAATGGTACACCTGTATACGGCATTTACCCTTAATGGAGCTTGCAGGACTGGAAGTAATCCCAGTACTCTGGGAGGCCAAGGCAAGTGGATCACCTGAGGTCAGGAATTCGAGACCAGCCTGACCAACATGGTGAAACCCTGTCTCTACTAAAAATAAAAAAAAAAATTAGTTGGGCATGGTGGCGGGTGCCCGTAATCCCAGATACTTGAACGGCTGAGGCAGGAGAATTGCTTGAACCTGGGAGGTGGAGGTTGTGGTGAGCAGAGATCGTGCCACTGCAGTCCAGCCTAGGAGACAGAGCAAAACTCTGTCTCAAAAAAAAAAAAAAAAAAAAAAAAAAAGGAAAAGAAAAAAATAGATAATCTGAGTAGTCTTGTATCTATTAAAGAAATAGACAATTGGCCAGGCGCGGTGGCTCACGCCTGTAATCCCAGCACTTTGGGAGGCCGAGGCGGGCGGATCACGAGGTCAGGAGATCGAGACCATCCTGGCTAACACAGTGAAACCCCGTCTCTACTAAAAATACAAAAAATTAGCCAGGCGAGGTAGCGGGCGCCTGTAGTCCCAGCTACTCAGGAGGCTGAGGCAGGAGAATGGTGTGAACCCCGGGGGGCGGAGCCTGCAGTGAGCCGAGATTGTGCCACTGCACTCCAGCCTGGGCGACAGCAAGACTCCGTCTCAAAAAAAAAAAAAAAGAAAAAAGAAATAGAATCTGAAGTTCAAAATCCTTCCCACAGAGAAAACTTCAGGCCCAGGTAGCTTCTCTGGTGAATTCCATCACATTTAAGGAATAACTAATACCAATTCTGCACAAACTCTTTCAGAAAATTGAAGAGGAGTTAACACTCCCCAACTCATTCTATGAGGCCAACATTATACTGTTATTAAATTCAGACAAAGACTTTGCAAGGAAAAAGAAAAGAAAGAAACAATCCCAAACCAAAAAGTTACAGACCAATACCCCTCATGACAAATATCTCTCTTAAAATGTTAGCAACATGTTCATGGATAAGATGACCTTAACAATTCTAAGATATTAATTCGCTCCCAAATTCATCTATAAATTTATGCAAGATGATTCAAAATTCCAACAGGACTTTTTCAAGTAAAAATTTTAATGAAGTATATACATACAGAAAGCTACACCAATTATTAAGTACACAGCACAATAGATTTTTGCAAAATGAATAACTCTATATAAACATGATCCAGATTAAAAAAAAAAAACTAAAGTATTATCTGCACCCCCACCCTGGAAACTAGAGAATAGCCTTGCCTATTTTGAACTCTATATAAACGGAGCATGGGCTGGGTTCCGTGGCTCACACCTGTAATCCCAACACTTTAGGAAGCCTAGATGGGCAGATCGTTTGAGCCCAGGAATTCAAGACTAGCCTGGGCAACATGGTGAAAGCCCATCTCTACAAAAAATACAAAAAAATTAGCTGGGTGTGGTGGCACATACCTGTAGTCCCAGCTACTCAGGAGGCTGAGGCAGGCAGATCTATCGAGCCCAGGAAGTCAAGGCTATAATGAGCTATGATTGTGCCACTGCACTCCAGTCTGGGCAACAGAGTGAAACCTTGTCAAAAAAAAAAAAAAAAAAGGAATATGGATGGTGTATAAAAGGAAAGTACGTAATTGAATAAAACAAGAGCAGTTCCTTGGTGATGATAACGTACCATGAATTGAGGGGTATGATGAATTCAACCCTCTCCACCTGAGAGATCTCTAAAAACCTACAAAACAAACTAGCAGAAAACATAAAGCCTTCTGGTGAGCCTACCTTATCAAGTCAAGACAAATCTGAATTCCAGTGGTAGACACAATTTAGGTTCTTCCTGCTTCCATCTCTCCACCCCCACGAGCTCCAAATAGAATGAAGTTCTTTTGGGATTAATAACATCCTAGACTGGGTGGGTGTTAGGCGCTCCTCATTCTTGTAGTTGGGCTCTTCTCATCGCTCAGTTTCTTCATCTGCTAAATGGGTTTACTTGTCCTATCTAATTCACAAGCATTTGAGGAGGAAGATCAAAATAGGGTAAGATATCTGAAAACAATTTGTGAACTATAAAGCATTGTTAAAATAAAAGCCATCATAATTATTATTTTAAAAGTTTCCCATGGCACACATTTACCTATGTAACAAACTTGCACATCCTGCACATGTACCCCTGAACTTAAAATAAAAGTCAAAGGAAAAAAAAAGTTTCAAGCAATTCCAGCCTGGATTAAAAAACAAAAAAAAACAGAAAAACTTTATTTTATAATGTGAAATATTTTAGGACAATATAAGTATTTTGATTTCTGGGGGGAAATAGGTCCCCAAATTGAACTCTTAAGTGCCATGGTTTGTGTATATTGCTTATTTCTTTATGTGTTGAACTTCAGATTACGTGTAATAAACAGTCTGTGGTGCAATGCAATTGATTTTCCTGCATTGAAAGTTGAATTAAATGTGCATTACTCTGGGGCTGGTCACCATGGGGGAAGCTTAAAAGGTCTGATGGAAAATATATGAAGACCATTAAGGCTTGCTAGGCCCCATCTCCCTTGGTTAGAAACATGAACACTAGTAGCATCAAATTCATCTCCTTTCAGCTCTGTAATCCAAGAGGGAACAGAGTTCCTCTCTTCCAGCTTCAGGGAAACACTTCAGGGAGAGGCTGATTGGCCTAGCCCGGGTCTCATTCCAAGAAGTGTGTCCAGTGGATGAGGCCAGTTATCAAAAGGGGTGGGGGAAGGATGCTGAGCAGATTAAACAGTAACATCCACCTCCTACATTTTCTGAAATGTTGATACATTCACTCAAGTTGGGGAGTTTCTCCTGCTTCTCCAGGGTGGTCGTCTTTGATTTGCAGCGTCTTTTCCTACGTTTCTCACGTGGGAGGAAGCCCCGTGGGATGGATCTGCTGCCTGGTTCAGCGAGAAGGCTTTGCGGTGCAAGCCTCCTGCGTGCTGGGTCGGCCCGCCCCCGGCTATCGAAGACAGAAGAGGAGAAGGGCTCTGTCAGGGTTCTCCCAGCACTAATTCCAGAAAAATTGGAATAGTAGCCTTTACAGTGTCTCTGTTAGGTTTCCGTTTGCTACGGTAACAGAAATATAGAGGATTTATTGGCTCCCATTGCTTAAAATGTGGGTCGCTGGTGGGGGTGGGGGATGGGATGTGGGGCAATCAGGGCTCCCGCTCTGGTTCTTGGGACTCCCCAGGCTCATCTTTCCCCTGTGCTGGCAGCAAGGTGGCTGCCACAATTCTAGGCCTCACCTGACAACATGCCCAGGAAGACAGCCTCTTCCGGCAGCGATCTCTTCAGCACCAGGGTGTAATGTCCCAGAAGCTGCCAGCAGACTTCTCCTCACATCTCAGTGACTCCAACCCCTTTGTGAACCCATCCCTGTGTCCAGGGAGACGTCATGCGTGAATCCGCTCAGGCCTGGATTCCTGAAACAATCAATGGTTAGGGATAGAAATCCGCTTAGGCCAATTGGACCAATCCCTGGTGCTGGCAATGAGGTCAGTCTTGAAGCACATGGGTTACGTGAGGGAAGGCAGGAATCTGAATGAAAGCTGGGATACTGTAGGGCAGAAGGAAATGGGTGCTGGGTAGGAAACACCTTAACGAGCATCCTCTGCCTCCTTTCCGTGTCTGATCCAAGTCCCTGCCATCCCAAACTCCGTTGGAAATTCCCCCATGAGAATCCGGGAGGGGAGATAAACTAGATGTTCACGCTCACCTTGCCATTTTATGCCCAAACCCTTACAGATCACCCAATTCAGGCCCCTCATCTTACAGATAATGAGGCTCAGAGAGGAAAATGACTGCCCAAGGTCACGCTGTGGCTACAGTTGGCTGTAAAGTCATTCAAACCTTCCCAGTTCCTTTTCTGAGACCCGTCTGTGATGGGTAATTTTATGTGTTAATTTGGCTAGGCCACGATACCCAGATATTTGATCAAACATTATTTTAGATGTTTCTGTGAAGGTATTTTTTCGATGAGATTAGCATTTAAATCAATAGACTTTGAGTAAAGCAGATGACCTTCCACAACGTAGGTGGGCCTCAACCAACCAGTTGAAGGCCTTAATAGGAAAATGATTACCTGCCCAGAAGAAGAGGGAATCCTGTGAGTGGACTGCCTTTGGGCTCAGCTGCACCTCTTCCGTGGGTCTCCAGCCTGCCTGCTGACCCTGCAGATTTTGGACTTTGCCAGCCTTCACAATGGCATGAGCCAATTTTAAAAAGTAAATCCCTCTCCCTGTGCATATACATCCCATTGGTTCTGTTTCTCCAGAGAACTCTGACATCCCTAAAGGCTCAACCTATTATTTATCCTGACTTTGGGCCTACACCTATGTTTAAAAAAGTAATATTCTAAAAGAGTGGCTGCTCAGCAATGGGTATAGGATTATTGAATAACTAGTTTTCAGTTAGTGATGAGCTGGTGGAGTGTATAGAGACTAATGCCAGGGTTCTCACAACTGTAGCAATAATGTAACTGAAGAAAAGAGGCTTACCCTGTTGATGTTCAACATCAGCAAAGATCCTTTTCTCCCTGCTGTAGCTCTTTCTGCTTGAGACAAAGTGTCCATGTTATCGGGATCTGCTATGCGCCATCAGGCTCCCTTTAGTTGCCCTTTGGGCTGCCCACATCCATTTCCCCTTCTCAATAGCCAAAATTCCCTTTGGGGCATTACCCTTCCCCAATGTGGATGGCTAATTGTGGGCAGTGCTCCCACTAGGGATGCTCAAGGGGCCAGACCTGTTTCTCCTGGCTCCCATCCAGCCCGAGTGTGAGCATGTGACTTCAACCCAGCCAATCATGGACTCTCTCCTGGGACTTTAAATCAAGTGACATGAGAATAAGAGGGTGTATTACTCCGTTCTCATGCTGCTATGAGGAAATACCTGAGACTGAGCAATTTGTAAGGGAAACAGGTTTAATTGACTCAGTTCTGCAGGGCTGGGGGGCCTCAGGAAATTTACAATCATGGCAGAAGGGGAAGCAAACATGTCGTTCTTCACATGGCGGCAGCAAGAAGCTCAGAGCAAAGACGGGGGAAGCCCCTTATAAAACCATCAAATCCCGTGAGAACTCACTCACTATCACAAGAACAACATGGAGGTAACCACCCCCATGATTCAAGTACCTCCCACGGGGTCCCTGTGGAGATTCTAGATGAAATTTGGGTGGGGACACAGTCGAACCATATCAGAGGAGAAGGTTGGTGCCATGCATTGCAGAAGAGGCAGGAGAGGCATCAACATTTCTACAGGCTCCTCTGGTTATGAGACTATTTATGGACTTTCTGTGAACTCTGTCCAGCTTCTTGGCCTTCCAGTGTGCTCGTGGTTCTGGCCATTTCCAAGCCTATCAGGCTCCTGTCAATTTTGCAAGCCCCTGTGAGTCTTTGCTTTGATTATCCAGAATTGGCATCTAACCAGCAACCAAGTCCCCCGACTGATACAGACCGTTGAGTACTGTCTCCAGCTCTGCTTTAACTTAGTGATGTCATTTCACTTCCCCAAGCCTCAGCTTCCTCATATGTAAAATTAGGGAATGAGCCTAGATCTGTGTTCTGCAAATATGTTTCAGCCACAGGAAATTTCATGCAAACAAATTTTCCTTATAGGAGCAGATAAATCATAAAACTGGTCGACGCAGTGCTGCTCTGGTTAAAGAGAGTCCTGTCCTCTTGGCACTTTCTCAGTAGTGCCCTGCTGTGACTCCTGCAGGGTTCCATAGAGCACGCTGGACTAGACAATCTCTAATACCATAAAGGGACAGGGGTGTACTCTCTCTCCCTCATGGCAATGAAAAATAGTCTGGGTTGATTTAATTAACTCAGGGAGGCGTCATATCCACAGTTTCTTATTGACAAAAACTTGTTTCTTCTCTTCTTGAAGGAAATGTGCTTAGCAAATGTCTGTGATATGTTTAAACACACACACACACACAACCAATTTAGCTGCCAAGTTTTTTTTTCTTTTCTTTTCTTTTCTTTGAGACAGAGTCTCGCTCTGTTGCCTAGGCTGGAGTGCAGTGGTGCGATCTCGGCTCACTGCAATCTCCACCTCCGAGGTTCAAGTGACTCTTCTGCCTCAGCCTCCCGAGTAGCTGGGATTACAGGCACTCACCACCACGCCCGGCTAATTTTTGTATTTTTAGTAGAGACAGAGTTTCACCATGTTGGCCAGGCTGGTCTCAAAGTCCTGACCTCAGGTGATCTGCCCACCCCAGCTTACCAAAATGCTGGGATTACAGGCATGAGCCACTGCACCCAGACAGCTGCCAAGTTTTAAGAGCACTTTTTATCATGGGGAAGGCACAGCAAAACTACAAAAAGCAAACAACAACAACAAAATCTTGAGTGGGGATGTTTTAAACCATTTAAAGTGTCTCTTTTTAAAATTTTTTATTTTTTAATTAATTAATTAATTTTGAGGCTGTGTATGAGACTGGCTAATTTTTGTATTTTTAGTAGAGGTGGGGTTTTGCCATGTTGCCCAGGCTGGTCTCAAACTCCTGGGCTCAAGGGATCCACCCGCCTCAGCCTCCCAAAGTGCTGGGATTACAGGCATGAGCCACTGTGCCTGGCCCAGACACACTTTTTCTCACAAAAAAAGTGCTGACTTATGCATTTATCATGGAGAAATACTCAATTCTATATCTCAAAGACCCAATAAAATAATCTAAAATGGACAAGACTCTATTCACAAGTGCCTTAAAGAGACACTTTAGACTAGGCACAATGGCTCACATCTGTAATCCCAGCACTTTGGAAAGCTGAGGTGGGTGGATCGCTTGAGCCCAGGAGTTTGAGACCAACCTGGGCAACATGGTGAAACCCATCTCTACAAAAAATACAAAAAAATAGCCAGGTGTGGCGGTGCCTGTGGTCCCAGCTACTTGGGAGGCTGAGGTGGGAGGACTGCTTGAGTCTGGGAGGTTGAGGCCACAGTGAGCCAAGATCACTCCACTGCACTCCAGCCTGGGCAACAGAGTAAAACCCTGTCTGAAATTAAAAAAAAAAAAATCTGCCATAGGCCTGGTGCGGTGGCTCACACACTTATAATCCCAGTGCTTTGGGAGGCTGAGGCAGGAGGCAGCAGGAGGATCACTTGAGATCAGGAGTTCAAGATCAGCTTGAGCAACATAGCAATATTCTGTCTCTACAAGAAATTAAAAGAAAAAAATTAGCTAGACATGGTGGCATGTGCCTATATATAGTTCCAGCTACCCAGGAGGCTGAGGTGGGAGGATCACTTCGAGGCTGGAGTAAGCTGTTATTGCACCACTGCACTCCAGCTTGGGCAATAGAATGAGACCCAGTATCCAAAAAAAGAAAAAAAATCTGGTGTATATTTAATTCCATGAAGAAATCAAACATTATCCCTCCCTTTGGCCTGTAGCACCAGGTACTTTGCTTAGGATTTTCACACACACAATCTCATGTATTCTCAAACAACTTTCTGGAAAAGTATCATTTATGATTCCTGTTTTATTGGTGAGGACACTGAAGCTCAGAGAGATTAAGTCATTTACCTAAGCTCACATAGATAGTAAGCAGCCACTAACTGCATGGCTGCAAAGCTTATGTTCTTTCAAATATAATACTCTACTCCTTTCGTTAACACTATGCATTTGGAGATATTAAAGTGTAGAATAATTTGACTACATAGTTCAGTGGTCTTTCAGCTTTCTCTTCTAGATACAGCCTCAATAGGGAGACCCAAAACTCCCAGCTGAAGAAGCATCAGAGACCTCTGGGTGCCTCCCTTGGGTTCCATGTGTCTCTGCAGGAACACTGGTAGAGTTAGTTCTTGAAAGGAACAGTCCTCTTAACCCTGGGGAGTCTTATTTCCTATGGCCAGTTGAAGTTTCCTCTAGGAAGGCAAGCTCATTTTAACAAACTACAATCAGGAATAAATATTTACAACTAAAAAAAAGGGTTTTGTGAAAATGAATTCTCCGACTCTCTTCTTTGTTACTCTACAGACATCATCAGTCACTGAAGATAATGACGGAGTTATGGGATTAGGGGATATGGGATACGGGATATAAAGGTAACTATGACCTTGCTCAAATAATTCTAATTTTGACTCTTGGTTACCACTTTGTCCTTGTCAGCTGTTCTTATTTCTAAAAATGATGGTACTCTAAAGATAATCCAAAGAGTATTTATTCATTCCAATGAAGTTAATCAACATTTGCATATGTGGTTTACTGGGCAATAAATCATTTCTAGGTACTGGTCCTGAATATGCCACTTCATAAGTAACTGTGTACTCTTGGGTAGGTCACATAAGCCCATTGAATCTTATTTTCTTCATCTCTGAAATGAGAGATTTAGATGAGGCATTCTGTAAACTTTAAGATTCTTATTTTGCTGGTTACTTTCAAGGACCTGGGAGCTATGCAATCCCAAATGTGTCCAGCAGAGGTCAGGAGATGTCACTAAAAGCTCTGAGGGCTACTTTAATCCCAGTTAGCTTTGTAAATAGTTTTATGATAGTCCCTACTCTCTGTGTTACTTACCTGATTTTTTTAAGGTTGGGCAGGCATTTTTCTTGAAAAATTAAAGTAGGGATGCATTGTGTGCTTTAGGCCTCTTTCTCAAATGTAAACCATTTCTCCCCTGGCCAATGCCTAGTGAGCAAAGGTAAATTGCCCAACAGAAGGTGATACGTGGGAACAGTTTAACCTTTGGTAAATGTAAGCAAGTATGGATGCTATGGCAAATTCCATTTCGTCAAAACTTTCTCTTTATGACAAAGGATTTCTAAGCTCTAGCTAGTGATCTAATATTTTGAAAAAATTCATGATCACACCACTGCACCAGCCTGCGTGACAGAGTGAGACTCTGTCTCAAAAAAAAGAAAAGAAACATATTTATCCAGCAAAATTATCGTCATAATATGGGTTTCAATCAATATTTCTCTTTTTCTCTCTCTTCTGGGTTTCATCAGAAAAATTATCTTGGAAATATACCATTGCAGAGATAGAGACTCTTAATAAATATTTAAATATTATAAGCATTGGTTTATTTAGGCAGAAACAGGAGGACTGATTTAAATGTGGGTTGAATCCAAAGAATTGGGAATCACAGGAAGACCCTGCAGCAAGGTCAAGCCCGTCACAAAGAGCTGTTTAAAGAAAATGTAGTAGAGACAGTCTGGAAGTTAAAGTTGACTCTGGGTAAGACCCCCATTTAAACCTTGGTCAAGTTATTTGGTAAAGTTTCTTAACTTTCCTGGAGATAAACTCCCCCATTTCCTTATCTATATAGTGAAGACAGTGGTAAAACCTCATAAGATTTGTGTGGGGATTAAATGAGCTAATACACATATATAAAGAGTTTAGGAAAACACTCGCCACACATTAAATGAGCAATAAGTGAGAGCTATTGCTGTCATACATTTTATTAGAGAGGAGTGTTTTTAGAAAAAGCAAATGGGGAACAAAATCACTATGTCTTTTTCTAAATCTCTTTCATGACTATCTCAGACTAGGTTTGATGATTCTGTAGTGTGTTTCAGCCACTGGAGCTGAGAGACCCCGGCCCGGCCACCTGGCCATGCAGACTTGACTGGCACCATCATTCCCAGCTCACAGCAGCAGCAGAGGCAGCTGGATGCCCATTCCTGCCAGCCAATCCTTATCCGACTGCCGGCCCGTCAGCCAGAGTCAGAGGCTGCCTTCCCCATGGAGCAGGGACTGTCGGTGGCCTTCCCCCTCTCTCAGCCCCACGTGGAGCCTAGGCTGGTGCTGAGTTGCCTGCTCCCTGCTTGGAGGTCAACTTCCATCCAGTGCTTCATCTTTGGCCTCTGAGGCTTTTCTGTTTTTCAGCACTCAGGCCAGGTGAGGGTGGCTCATGCCTGTAATTTCAGCACTTTGGGAGGCTGAGGCTGGTGGATCACTTGAGCCCAGGAGTTCAAGACCAGCCTGGGAAACATGGCAAAACCCCGTCTCTACAAACAATAAAAAAATTAGCTCAGTGTGGTGGCACACACCTGTAGTCCCAGCTACTTGGGAGGCTGAGATGGGAGGATTTTGGGAGCCCAGGGAGGTCGAGGTTGCAGTGAGCTGAGATCGCACCACTGCACTCCAGCCTGAGCAATAGAGTGAAACTGCCTTAAAAAAGAAAGAAAGAAAGAAAGAAAGAAAGAAAGAAAGAAAGAAAGAAAGAAAAGAAAAGAAAAAAAGAAAATTAGCACGTGGTTTACTCATTGTCATTACTTCTTCCCCTGCTCTGGCAGGCGCCTCTAGGACAGGTCTGCACTGATCTCTCCCACCATCGCTAACCCACGGTAGGATGGACTGGGCTCTGAGAAAGCTGGGAACAGTGGGCCAAGCAGGGCAGGGAGGGCTATGTGCTTCCTGCAGGAGAGAGAGCTGGGTCGTGCTGCGCTCTGATGATGAGGGGTGTGAGCTGGGTGGCAGGAGGCATGGGCCAGGTGGGATGGCTCCCTCGAAGGTTGGAGAAGGGTTGGCAGGGGGGCAAATGAACAGAACATTCCAGATCAGCTGTGGCACCCATCACCCACCATGGGCTGTCCAGCAGGGTGGGGGCCAGAGCAGGATTGCTACAGCCTGCTCACATCCTTGAGACCTTTCTGAAGACCCAGGCCAGTCGTCGAGGGACCTCCCAATCACTCACGTTCAAAACCAAAGATTAAAAGGGAGATGGCTGTCTCCTTACACCGACCATAGCTCCAAACTTTCTGAAAAAGGCTTAAACTCTTAAGGTTTGTGCTTACTCAAATGGAAAGAAAATGGGAGGAAGTGTCAATTCAAAGAGAAACTTTCTGCTTCCTTCTAAAGATGACTGCAGCCTAATTCTGGCTCTGACACTGTCTTGCTCAGATCCAGCCAAGCTCCTGGCTCCTCCAGGCCTTGCTTTTGGTGCCTGTAAGGCAGCTCTGGAGTAATGGGGGCAAGCCCCACCTGTGAGGAGTGGGGGAAGGCGTGAGTGTGATTTGTGATTGCTGATACTTGATGCCCACATACCTCACTCTCAACATGTGTTACTATCAGTGTAATTTAAGATATTTTTATAAAACCAAAAAAAAAAATCTAGTGTCTTACCTTGTTGGAAATCCCCTTTGGGAAAGTGCTAATACTAACTATTGAACATGTATCCATTGCATTTATAATTATCCTGATAATAACTGCCATTTATTTAGAAAAAGTATATAGAAAGCCATGGTGCAGTAACACCATTCTTCCCATTTTACAGACAGGGACACTGAGCCTTAGGGAGATGAAGCAATTCTGCCTAAATGCAGGCCGCTAGGCATGCATGAGCTCAGAGCTGGCACTCTTAAACCCTTCTGCGTGTCTCCATGCACAGTGAGTTCCTGCTCGGCCCACCCTCAGGGCTCTGCGGACAGGCCTGCCTCAGGACCTTTGCAGGTGCTGCTTTCTCCCTCTGGGATTCCTCTCCCCTCCCTCCCGCCCCCTGCCCTTCCTTCAGACTTCTGCCCCATGCCCGCTATTACTGAGCCTCTCCCTCCCATATGAACGGGTCCACCTCTTCGCCCTTTCCCTTTCTTGTTTGTCTTCCTCCCTTCCTCGTTTGATCATTCTCTGTCTGCTTCCCCCACTAGAATAAAGACCTGTGGGGTCTTTGTTTTGTGCATGGCTGTATCTTTAGGATCTAGGAGAAGGTGCTCCCTCACTATTAATTCAACAAACCAGTGAATGAATGAGTGGCCGCCAGGATTAGCGGGGCTGGTGGGCAGAGCAGAAGCAGTCTGGATGCCGAGATTTGAGGGAAAGCTCCCTCCAAGCCCTCAGGACTCACTGTAGGGTTAACTCACTGTAGGGTTAACAGGGCCCAGCTCTGGCAGAGCACAGTTCAACAGCCAGGAATGAGCTCAGCTCCCGTCCCCACTCCCCCCTTCATCAGAAGACTGAGCAGCTTTTTCCCTCTGCCAGGCTTCCAGCAATACCTCCCCTTGGGGTCTTTTCTGCTTATTCTCCCTTGGGAGGTACTGTGGGAGTCCAGGGATTGGGGTGGGGTGCAAGCGTGAGGGTCTCTGGGGAAGGGAGACTGTAAACACTTCCATTTTAGCACTGAAATCCCTGAAGTCTCTTCCCTCTGGCTGGTTGGTTCAGCCAGAATAAACTTTCTTTTGGGGTGAGCAGCTTGGCTGGCTTTTCAAGACTCAGTTCAGACATCTTTGCCGCCCGTCTTCCAGGTTAGTGCCCTCTTTGCTGTCCTCAGGATGGTCTCAGCCCTCTCTCTGCTTCTCACAGCAGCGTTGCCTCTGTCTGCTTCTCAGAGAACACTCACGGTCTGGGGTCGTGCCTTTCTTCCTCTGGGCCCCAGGCCCAGAATGGCAGGGGCTCAAATCAATGTTTGTTGAGTAAATGAAGTGGGATGGGGAGGCGACCGATGTTACCATCTGAGAGCCAGCACTGTGCATCATCAATGTTTGCATGCCTTCTCCAGCTACAAGTGCCAGGGTCAGCCGCGAATCCAGAGGGGACCACATTTTATGTAGGCCATAGGACTGACTCAAGACAAATAATGCTTTGCCCTGCAAAATCAGTGCTGTTGGGCCAGGAGTGGTGGCTCACACCTGTAATCCCAACACTTTTGGAGGACGAGATGGGTGGAACACCTGAGGTCAGGAGTCAGAGACCAGCCTGGCCAACATGGTGAAGCTCCATCTCTAACTATAAATACAAAAAAAAATTAGCTGGGCGTGGTGGTGTGTGCCTGTAATCCCAGCTACTAAGGGGGGCTGAGGCAGGAGAATTGCTTGAACCTGGGAGGCAGAGGTTGCAGTGAGCCAAGATCGCACCACTGCACTCCAGCCTGGGCAACGAGACCCCGTCTCAGAAAAAAAGGAAAAAAAAGAAAAGAAAAACCAGTGTTGCTGGTAGCAGGCTGCCCCACGGTTAGTCCCTATCCAGCTCAGAGAATGAAGACACCAGCATCAGGGGCATCTCCCTCACTCCTCCCTTCCCTCAAGCTCCAACAGCTTCTTGCATGCATCCTCCCACTGACTGCAGAGTGGAGGGTGGGGAGTGGGGGCAGTTCTCATTTACAGGGGGAAAGAAATCCTGGGTGGGGGTGAGAAAGGGGAAGAGCAGTAGGGGAAGCCCTGAGGGTTGGGTGAGCACCCCTGGAAGCCCAGAAACCTCATTACCTTCCATTCTGACTCATCTGTCTTCTAATTCTTTCTAGCTTCTTGGCAAGGACAGAGGACCCTGCTGAGAGGGCTTCAGGAATGGCCAAAGACTGAGACGGTGCAGCCTCAGCCACGCCCAGAAAGAACTTGGATAAGTCTGTCTTGCTGTTTTTCCAGTTTTTGTTTGCACCTCACAGGAAGAACTGGTCCGCCTTCATTCCTAGCCCCACCAAACTGACAGGTTAGACTGACTCAGGGACCATCCCCTTTGTCAGGCAGTTCCCTCACTTGCTGGACTGACCGTGGTTCTGCAGTGTGGTTGGGGCCCCTGCATAACACTTTAGCCAACAACTACATTAGAGAACTCTTTGTCTAGACTAAAGCCACATTTCCCAAAGTCGTCAGATTAAAGACATCACCTGGAAGTTCTGATTGGGTCGGTCTGGGGATGCCCTGAAATCGACTTCTGAAGCGCGCCAGATGATTTATAAAATAGCTCAGTAAAAACCAAGCTCAGCCGGGCACAGTGGCTCACGCCTGTAATCCCAGCACTTTCAGGGGCCAAGGTGGCTGGGTCACTTAGGCCCAGGAGTTCAAGACCAGCCTGACCAACATGGTGAAACCCCGTCTCTACTAAAAATACAAAAATTAGCCAGACATGGTGGCACATGCCTGTAATCCCAGCTACTCAGGAGGCTGAGGCAGGAGAATCAGTTGAACCTGTGAGGCAGAGGTTGCAGTGAACTGAGACCGTGCCATTGCACTCCAGCCTGGGCAACAAGAGCAAAATTCTATCTCAATAAATAAATAAATAAATAAATAAATAAATAAATAAATAAATATACCAACCTCATAGAAAGTGATAGAAAATGTGAAAAAAACAAACAAACCTCATTAGCGCCTGGCCCCTTCCCACCTGTCAAGCCTAATTCCCTGCACATGCGCCCTGAGCTTCCTCCTGCAGTTCGCTCTGCCTGGAAGGTCCTTTCTCTCCTTTGCCTGTCTGGGGAGCTCTGAGTCTGAGTTTTTAGCCTGGGAAGGCTTTCTCCATTACATTCTTGAGGCCTCTCACAGAGTTAGGAGAGTCCTCTGCTCCCATAGCTCTGTGGGTATTTCCCATCTGGAGCCTGCAGCAAGCTGGAATGAGAGGTAGTAGTAAGAAACCAGCCCTCTTTATGAGTAAACGTGTATTTGGTAACTGATACAGCTGAAGAGCTGGTCAAGTCTTGCTTTCCTCGGAACAATGCTGCTGATTTGTACAGTTGATCACTCTCACCAGCCCCAGATTATTTCAATGGCTCCACATTGTGCCTGGGATTGAGTCCAAGATTCAAGTGCCTAGCATGCTGCAAGAGCCCTAAATGACCTATGGGTTCCTCCAGCCTCATCTCCACCCATCCCACCCCTACCCACCTTGCATTTCCTCACAAGGGCCACACTCTCGCACCTCCCACCTTCATTCATGATGTTCCCCCTGCTTGGAATACTTTCTTCTCATGTCCTACCCTGCTTCATCTGACTCCTACTCATCTGTCAGAAGTCACCTGCTCTGGGAAGCCTTCCCAGGTTAATGAGAGGTGAGTCAACTTCCCCCAGCAAGATGGAGAAATCAGGATGCCCCTAAATAGGGGGTTGGATAAATCCAGGATTCTACCTCCACAAAATGAAATAAAAATAGAGATGTGAATTTTCTTATTTCTGTATTAGGCAGTTTTTAAAATACTGTTGTGTTCATGGCAATATATTCAAGAATGTAAAGTGAAGAGTAAGTCCCTCCTCCTGGTTTCAGTCTTCCCTGAGGCACTCACTGTTGTCAGTTTCTTGGGTGGGTCTTACAGACATGTTCTACCCCTAAACGGGTATACACGTATGTCAAGGTGAGAGAGGGGTAAAGATGGGGGATACAAAATGTATTTAAGTCATGGACCCTGCACCTGAGAAACTCACAACTTCTTGGGAAGGTTAAGTCAGCCCTACTCCATGAGTTAGAGTATTAAATGGCATGTGGGAACCTGAATGAGGTCACTCACTCAAGGCCACTCACAGCCACTCAGAGCCAGGATTCAAGCCCCAAAGAGATTGAATGGGCTTGTTCTATAAACCACCCACCTGCCATAAGTAAAAGGGACACCTTTCATAAGTGGTATCAAGACAGAATTCCTAACCCCCAGTCCCCAGGTATAGTTCGAATGCACATTATTGTAATCCCTCTATTGCAAAGTCCTGGTTCTTGGACTTTTAAAGCTGGGACATAGCTGAGTCTGGGGCTGGAAACCAGGACTGGCAGGTGCAATAAAAGTAATAGTCCATCAAGCTTTGTTGCTTGAACTATGGTTACCATAAGTAATTACAGGAAAAATAAACAAAAACACTCCATGAAGCTGAAGTAGTAAAATGAGACTCCAGCTTCGAGAACAGACACGGTATTAAAATTGGGGCATCTTTGGGTCTGGCATCTCCACCCAGGCCATTTGACATGTGAGAAAATCTCGAGAGGTGAAGTGACTTGCCTGAGGTCACTGGGTTGATTTTGACAAAATGAAGATCAATATGCCTGTTTCCTATTCTGAGTTAGTCACTGTCCACAGCACCGCCTTCCCCACCACCAAGGGGAAGAGAGGCTGCAGGACAAGGTGAGCGCACCCATGTCCTTCCTGAGATGAGGCCTGTGCACTCTTGAAGTATTCTCTGACTTCAAGGGAGAACCAGTGGGAACGTCAGGCTTGGAAGACCAAGTCAGGGACTCAATTACGGCCTCACTGTCATTGTTTCTAGCTACAAACTATAAACACCGACTGCCTGAATGGAGAAGAAAATGTATCAGAAGGTAAACAGGCAGCTCACAGAACCACCACAAGACCCTAAAACTAGGTTTAAAGCTGCACAGTCAGGGACAACACCCCCCGACGGAACCCAAACCCTATGTGCCGAGAAACCTCGATGTGTCCCCAGCCGGCTCAGCGGCCCCTGCTGTGCCAGGAATTCAGATGTGCTGCACTGCCGACCATCCACAGTGGACATTCTCGGGAGTCCTGGCCTCCCTCAGAACCCCCACGCTCCCCTAAGGTCTGGCACAGGCCCCTCTGGTTGGCCAGCCCTCGTCACATGCGCTGGCTGTAGTTGCAAAAGGGAGGCTGAGAAAGGGGAAACGGAACATTTCCGTTTCTCTAGTAGAAGGTGAGGACCTCCTCCCGATCCAATCATAAAGTAGGAGTCCCCCAAACATGAGAAAGGAGTTCAAATGCCCAGTGGCTCCAAAAAGAAGATAAATGTCCTCCACCTGTTGGAAGTGGGGCATAAAGAAGATGGATGAGTCCTAGAGGAGGAAGGGAGAGGAGACCCTCCACAGAGCAGGGGCAGCTGAGTCTGTTAAGTGAAATTTGACTTAGTGGTGCAGGAACATGACGCATGAGGCATAACTCCACTATCCCAATAGCACAGGGCTAGGGTTGCCAGATGAAAGTCACATGCTTGGGGAATTGCAACACAGGAAGAGAAATTGAGCAATGAAGAGAAATTGAGAAATGAAGTCTCCGTACATTAAAGAGGAAGGGAAGGCTAATCTCTTCCTACCCTGGTTAAGAAAGAATTTGAATGGAGAAGAGGAGGAAAGGAGGCTGATTTGCATTAAGCACCTACTATTTTTGAGCACCAGGCCCTGAAATGTGGCTGGCGTGATCTCCTTTAATGTGGAGAAACAGAAACAGTACAATCTTGATAATTTGGGGATTTGGGAAAAGACTCCTTTCCCGTATGTTTCTTCCGTTAGTGTTACAGCCTCCTGGCCTCTCCCCTTCCTGCAAGCCCCTCCTGGAAAGAGGAGGTGATTGTGAGCTGCAGAGGGCAGTGTAAGCCTGGCTCTGCCTGCCTCCTGCTTTCCCTTGGGTGGGGCCTCCCATCGGCAGCTGGCGAGCACAGCTGTCATGCAGCCAGCCCTGCAGTGAGGCCCGCATGTCTGAGTCCTGCCTATGACCAGGCAGGTGGGTCTAATTCTGGGTATGACATTAGGATGTTGGTTGTTGCCTGGTTCATCTAAGCCACACCCTCAATCCGGGCCTTTATCAGCAATGAGGGTGATACTGCAATCCATACCTATCTTACTCCTTTATGTCTCAATAGTTTAGAACTCACACTGAGGAAAAGGGATGCTCCTTACCAATCCCCCTTCTCAAATCTCACCAGTAATTTCTGATAGGATTAGCACAGCATTTGACAAATATTAAAGGATTCAATTTTTAATCATCCTAGGAAGCAGGGCTCTTAACTTGAGATTTGGGGATGGACTTCAGAGCATGGGACATTCATTTATTCATTATTTTTCTTTTCTTTTCTTTTCTTTTTTGAGACAGGGTCTTGCTCTGTTGCCCAGTCTGGAGTGCAGCAATGCAATGACAGCTCACTGCAGTGTTGACCTCTTGGGCTAAATTGATCCTCCCACCTCAGCCTCCTGAGTAGCTGGGACCACAGACATGCCACCATACTCACCCCCTCTACCATAAAGTCTGAGGGAAAATTACTTTCTCTCCAAGACATTCTTGCAGCTGAAAATGTTACATAACATAGTTGGCCAATGAAGTATAAGCCAAAGAATTCTGGGAGCTTCTGGAAAAATTTTGCTTCCTTGATTGGAGCTGTGATTCTTTTTTTTTTTTTTTTTTTTTTTTTTTTGAGACAGAGTTTTGCTCTATTGCCCAGGCTGCAGCGTCAGCTCACTGCAACCTCTGCCTCCCAGGTTCAAGGTATTCTCCCACCTCAGCCTCCTGAGTAGCTGGGATTACAGGTGCCCACCACCATACCCAGCTAATTTTTTGTATTTTTAGTAGAGACAATCTTTCACCATGTTGGCCAGGCTGGTCTCAAACTGCTGACCTCAGGTGATCCACCCACCTCAGCCTCCCAAAGTGCTGGGACCAGCCACTGTGCCTGGCCAATGTCATTAATTTCTTATGTGTCCTTTCAGAGATACTTTATTTGGACACAAGCAATTACAAATACAGTTGACCCTCTGTATCCACAGCCTCTGTATCTGCAAGTTCTGTGTTCATGGATTCACTCAATTGCAGATCAAAACATATTGAAAAAAACAATAAAAATAGTAGTACAATAGTAAAAAATACAAATACAAATAAATAATACAAATAAAAATAAAAATAGTAAAAAATAATACAAATAAAAATATCATAAGTAATCTAGAAATGATTTAAAGTATACAGTAGGATGTGCAAATACTATGCCATTTTATATAAGGGACTTGAGCATCTTTAGATACTGGTATCTGCAGGGGTCCTGGAACTAATGCCCTGTGAATATGGAGGGATGATGACTGTATATGTATCTTTTGCCTCCTTTTAGACAAATAGTAGAATACTATACACACTGTTCTGCATCTTGCTTTTTTTCACTTAAAAACACATCTTGGTGACAATTCCATATCAGTACTTAAAGCATGCCAAACTCTTTTTAGCATCAGCATACTATTCCACTGTGTGACTGGAGCATAATTAATTTAACCAATTCCCTACCATGGGATGTATATGTTATTTGGAATCTTTTTTAAAGGATAGAATCCAGCTCAAGAACTTCTAGCCATGCAAGTGACTCAAAGCTTTAATGCAGAGTAACTTTAGGCAAGTTGCTTAACCTCTCTGAGGTTAAGTGTTTCTTATCTTCCTTCCCACCACAATGGCTCCCCAGAGCCCATCACTGCCCTGGGGAAGTGCTTTTATATTTCCAGCCCCACACAGTAGCATCCACCTTCATCTGGGGAGTGGGGGTCGAGGAGGCAGGAATAGGAGGTTTCAACCAGAGGACAGGTCCCCAGTGTCTTGGCCAAGGGAGCCTGGTGGGGGGCTCTCTCTGGCTGCTTCTCACGCCCTTATGTTGTCACCCTCTGAAATATGCTGTTTGCCTTCCCTGACGCTGACCTAGTTGGCAAGGACTGCAGAACAATGTCAGGCCCAGGGCCTGGTGCATCCTGGGGATGTCACCGCAGAGCAAACATGAGTTTGCTGGCTGGGTGTCAACAGGAAGATACATTAAGGGCAAATAGGAGCGAGATCCCTGGCATGGAAACAAGAAGAAGGCTGGCTGCTGGCTCTGTGTGGGAGTTTGTTTATTTATTCTATAAAACAGCTTTATTGATATGTAATTCTCATACCATACAATTCAACCATTTAAAGTGGACAATCTAGTGGTTTTTGTGTATTCACAGAGCTGTGCAACCATCGTCACAAGGAATTTTAGAACATTTTCATCACCCAGAAAAGAAATGCCATGCCCCTTAGGCAATCACTCTCCCATGCCCGCCCTCTTTTCAGTCCTAGGCAGCCACTAATCTACTTTATGACTCTATAGATTTGCCTGTTCTGGACATTTCATACAAATTGAATCATATAATACATGGGTTTTTTTGACTGGCTTTTTTAACTTAAGCATAATGTTTCCAAGGCTTATCCATGTCGTAACACCAGTACTCACTTCTTTTCATCACCAAAGAATATTCCATTGTATGGATATACCACATTTTTGGCCATTTCGAATAATGCTGCTATGAACATTTCTGTGGACATGTGTTCCATTTCTCTTGGGTATATACCTAGGAGTGGAATTGCTGGTCATATCGTAACTCTGTGTTTAACCTTTGGAGGAACTGCCAGACTATTTTCCAAAGTGGCTGCACCATTTTATATTCCCACCAGCAAGGCAGGAAGGTCCCAATTTCTCTCATCCTCACCAACACTTGTTGTTCCCCCCCACCCCCCCGCAGCTAATCCTTTTATTTCATTTTTAAATTTTTTTATTTTAGATTGAGGGTACACATGTAGGTTTGTTACAAGGGTATATTGTGTGATGCTGGGGTTAGGATTTCTATTGATCCCATCACCCAGGTAGTGAACATAGTACCCAATAGGAAGTTTCTCAGCCCTTGCCCCACCTCCCTCTTTTTGGAGTCCCCAGTGTCTATTGCTCCTATCTTTATGTCTGATCAACGTTTGTTATATGTCAATTTGATGTAGCCATCCTAGCAGGTGCAAAATGGTATCTCATTGTGGTTTTGATTCGCATTTCCCTGAAGACTAATGATATTTAGCATCTTCTCATGTGATTATTGGAAATTTGTATATCTTCTTTGGAGAAATGTCTATTTTGGTCCTTTGGTCCTTTGCCCATTTATAATTGGATATTTGTCTTTTTTATTATTGATTGTAACAGTTCTTTTTATATTCTAGTGTGGTGTCTTATTTTAATCTTTTTGAAATAAATGTTTTCTCAGTCATACTCATATACTCTAGAGCAGCAGTGTGTTTGAATCCAAAGAACACACACAGGCAAGGCAGGGTGGCTCACGCCTGTAAACCCAGCACTATGGGAGGCCAAGGTAGGCAGACTACTTGAGGTCACGAGTTTGAGACCAGCCTGGCCAACATGGTGAAACCCTGTCTGTACTAAAAGTACAAAAATTATGGCTGGGCACAGTGGCTCACTGCTGTAATTCCAACACTTTGGGAGGCCAAGGCAGGCGGATCACGAGGTCAGGAGTTTGAGACCAGCCTGACCAACATGGTGAAACCCCGTCTCTATTAAAAATGCAAAAATTAGCACTTTAGAGAATCTCACGGTTCCAAGATGGCCGAATAGGAACAGCTCTGGTCTGCAGCTCCCAGCACAATCGACACAGAAGACGGGTGATTTTTGCATTTCCAACTGAGGTACCTGGTTCATCTCATTGGGACTGGTTGGACAGTGGGTGCAGCCCATGGAGGGCCAGCCGAAGCAGGGCAGGACATCAGCTCAACAGGGAAGTGCAAGGGGTTGGGGGGATTCCCTTTCCTAGCCAAGGGAAGCCGTGACAGATTGCAGCTGGAAAATCGGGATACTGCCACCCAAATACTGCACTTTTCCAATGGTCTTAGCAAATGGCACACCAGGAGATTATATCTCACACCTGGCTCAGCAGGTCCCACGCCCATGGAGACTTGCTCACTGCTAGCACAGCAGTCCGAGATTGAGCTACAGGCGGCAGCCTGGCTAGGGGAAGGGCGTCTGCCATTGCTGAGGCTTGAGTAGGTAAAAAAAAGCAGCTGGTAAGCTCGAACTGGGTGCAGCCCACCACAGCTCAATGAGGCCTGCCTGCCTCTGTAGACTTCACCTCTGGGGCAGGGGATAGCTGAACAAAAGGCAGCAGAAACTTCTGCAGACTTGAACATCCCTGTCTCACAGCACTGAAGAGAACAGTGGTTCTCCCAGCACAGTGTTTGACCTCTGAGAACAGAAAGACTGCCTCCTCAAGTGGATCCCGAACCCCTATGTAGCCTAACTGGGAGATACCTCCCAGTAGGGGCTGACTGACATCTCAAATAGGTGGGTGCCCCTCTGGGATGAAGCTTCCAGAGGAAGGATCAGGCAGCAATATGTGCTGTTCTGCAATATTTGCTGCTCTGCAGCCTCCACTGGTGATACCCAGGAAAACAGGGTCTGGAGTGGACCTCCAGCAAACTCCAACAGACCAGCAGCTGTACCTGACTGTTAGAAGCAAAACTAACAAACAGAAAGGAATGGCATCAACATCAACAAAAAGGACATCCACACCAAAACCCCATCTGTAGGTCACCATTATCAAAGACCAAAGGTAGATAAAACCACAAATGGGGAGAAATCAGAGCTGAAAATTCTAAAAACCAGAGTGCCTCTTCTCCTCCAAAGGATGGCAGCTCCTCACCAGCAATGGAACAAAGCTGGATGGAGAATGACTTTGACGAGTTGACAGAAGTAGGCTTCAGAAGGTCAATAATAACAAACTTCTCCGAGCTAAAGGAGGATGTTTGAACCCATCGCAAGGAAGCTAAAAACCTTGAAAAAAGATTAGATGAGTGGCTAACTAGAATAAACAGAGTAAAGAAGACCTTAAATGACCTGATGGAGCTGAAAACCATGGCAGGAGAACTACGTGACACATGCACAAGATTCAGTAGCCGATTCGATCAAGTGGAAGAAAGTGTATCAGTGATTGAAGATCAAATTAATGAAATGAAGCAAGAAGAGAAGTTTAGAGAAAAAAGAGTAAAAAGAAACGAACAAAGCCTCCGAGAAATATGGGACTACAGGAAAGACCAAATCTACATTTGGCTGCTGTACCTGAAAGTGACAGGGAGAATGGAACCAAGCTGGAAAACACTCTTCAGGGTATTATCCAGGAGAACTTCCCCAACCTAGCAAGGCAGGCCAACATTCAAATTTAGGAAATACAGACAACACCACAAAGATACTCCTCAAGAAGAGCAACCCCAAGACACATAATTGTCAGATTCACCAAGGTTGAAATGAAGGAAAAAATGTTAAGGGCAGCCACAGAGAAAGGTCAGGTTATCCAGAAAGGGAAGCCCATCAGACTAACAGCTGATCTCTTCGTCAGAAACTCTATAAGCCAGAAGAGAGTGGGGGCCAACATTCAACATTCTTAAAGAAAGGAATTTTCAACCCAGAATTTGATATCCAGCCAAACTAAGCTTCATAAGTGAAGGAGAAATAAAATACTTTACAGACAAGCAAATGCTGAGAGATTTTGTTACCACCAAGCCTGCCTTACAAGAGCTCCTGAAGGAAGCTCTAAACATGGAAAGGAACAACCGGTACCAGCCACTGCAAAACCATGCCAAATTCTAAAGACCATCGACACTATGAAGAAACAGCATCAACTAATGGGCAAAATAACCAGCTAACATCATAATGAAAGGATCAAATTCACACATAACAATATTAACCTTAAATGTAAATGGGCTAAATGCCCCAATTAAAAGACACAGACTGGCAAATTAGATAAAGAGTCAAGACCCATCAGTGTGCTGTATTCAGCAAACCTATCTCACATGCAGAGACACACATAGGCTCAAAATAAAGGGATGGAGGAAGATCTACCAAGCAAATGGAAAGCAAAAAAAAGCAGGGATTGCAATCCTAGTCTCTGATAAAACAGACTTTAAACCAACAAAGATCAAAAAAGATAAAGAAGGCCATTACATAATGGTAAAGGGATCAATTCAACAAGAAGAGCTAACTATTCTAAATATATGTGCACCCAATACAGGAGCACCCAGTTTCATAAAGCAAGTCCTTAGAGACCTACAAAGAGACTTAGACTCCCACACAATAATAATGGGAGAGTTTAACACCCCACTCTCAATATTAGACAGACCAACAAGACAGAAGGTTAACAAGGATATCCAGGACTTGAACTCAGCTGTGCACCAAGCTGACCTAATAGACATCTACAGAACTCTCCACCACAAATCAACAGAATATACATTCTTCTCAGCACCACATCGCACTTATTCCAAAATTGACCACATAGTTGGAAGAAAAGCACTCCTCAGCAAATGTAAAATAACAGAAATCACAGCAAACTGTCTCTCAGACCACAGTGCAATCAAATTAGAACTCAGGAATAAGAAACCCACTCAAAACTGCACAACTACATGGAAACTGAACAACCTGCTCCTGAATGACTACTGGGTACATAATGAAATGAAGGCAGAAATAAAGATGTTTTTTTAAACCAATGAGAACAAAGACATAACATACTAGAGTCTCTGGGACACATTTAAAGCAGCGTGTAGAGGGAAATTTATACCACTAAATGCCCACAAGAGAAAGCAGAAAAGATCTAAAACTGACACCCTAACATCACAATTAAAAGAACTAGAGAAACAAGAGCAAACAAATTCAAAAGCTAGCAGAAGGCAAGAAATAACAGATCGGAGCAGAACTGAAGGAGCTAGAGACACAAAAAACCCTTTAAAAAATCAATGAATCCAGGAGCTGGTTTTTTGAAAAGATCAACAAAATTGATATACCGCTAACAAGCCAAATAAAGAAGAAAAGAGAGAAGAATGAAATAGACGCAGTAAAAAATGATAAAGGGGATATCACCACAGATCCCACAGAAATACAAACTACCATCAGAGAATACTATAAACACCTCTACACAAATAAACTAGAAAATCTAGAAGAAATGGATAAATTCCTGGACACATACACCCTCCCAAGACTAAACCACGAAGAAGTTGAATCCCTGAATGGACCAGTAACAGGCTCTGAAATTGAGGCAATAATTAATAGCCTACCAATGAAAAAAAGTCCAGGACCAGATGGATTCACAGCCAAATTCTACCAGAGGTACAAAGAGGAGCTGGAACCATTCCTTCTGAAACTATTCCAATCAATAGAAAAAGAGGGAATCCTCCCTAACTCGTTTTATGAGGCCAGCATCATCCTGATACCAAAGCCGGGCAGAGACACAACAAAAAAAGAATTTTAGACCAATATCCCTGATGAACATCAATGCAAAAATCCTCAAAATACTGGCAAACCAAATCCAGCAGCACATCAAAAAGCTTATCTACCAAGATCAAGTTGGCTTCATCCCTGAGATGCAAAGCTGGTTCAATATATGCAAATCAATAAACGTAATCCATCACATAAACAGAACCAAAGACAAAGACCACATGATTATCTCAATAGATGCAGAAAAGGCCTTTGACAAAATTCAACAGCACTTCATGCTAAAAACTCTCACTAAATTAGGTACTGATGGAACATATCTCAAAATAATCAGAGCTATTTATGACAAACCCACAAGGAATATCATACTGAATGGGCAAAAACTGGAAGCATTCCCTTTGAAAACTGGCACAAGATAGGGATGCCCTCTCTCACCACTCCTATTCAACGTAGTGTTGGAATTTCTGGCCAGGGCAATCAGGCAAGAAAAAGAAATAAAGGGTATTCAATTAGGAAAAGAGGAAGTCAAATTGTCCATGTTTGCAGATGACATGATTGTATATTTAGAAAACCTCATCATCTCTGTCCAAAATCCCCTTAAGCTGATAAGCAACTTCAGCAAAGTCTCAGGATACAAAATCAATGTGCAAAAATCACAAGCATTCCTATACATCAATAATAGACAAACAGAGAGCCAAATCATGAGTGAACTCCCATTCACAATTGCTACGAAGAGAATAAAATACCTAGGAATCCAACTTACAAGGGATGTGAAGGACCTCTTCAAGGAGAACTACAAACCACTGCTCAATGAAATAAAAGAGGACACAAACAAATGGAAGAACATTCCATGCTCATGGATAGGAAGAATCAATATCATGAAAATGGCGATACTGCCCAAGTTCATTTATAGATTCAATGCCATCCCCATCAAGGTACCAATGACTTTCTTCACAGAATTGGAAAAAACTACTTTAAAGTTCATATGGAACCAAAAAAAGAGCCTGCATTGCCAAGACAACCCTAAGCCAAAAGAACAAAGCTGGAGGCATCATACTACCTGACTTCAAACTATACTACAAGGCTACAGTAATCAAAACAGCATGGTACTGGTACCAAGACAGAGATGTAGATCAATGGAACAGAACAGAGCCCTCAGAAATAACATCACACATCTACAACCATCTGATCTTTGACAAGCCTGACAAAAACAGGAAGTGGGGAAAGGATTCCCTATTTAATAAATGGTGCTGGGAAAACTGGCTAGCCATATGTAGAAAGCTGAAACTGGATCCCTTCCTTACACCTTATACAAAAATTAATTCAAGATGGATTAAAGACTTAAATGTTAGACCTAAAACCATAAAAACCCTAGAAGAAAACCTAGGCAATACCATTCAGGACATAGGCATGGGCAAGGACTTCATGCCTAAAACACCAAAAGCAATGGCAACAAAATCCAAAATTGACAAATGGGATCTAATTAAACTAAGGAGCTTCTGCATGGCAAAAGAAACTACCATCAGAGTGAATAGGCAACCTACAGAATGGGAGAAAATTTTTGCAATCTACCCATCTGACAAAGAACTAATATCCAGAATCTAAAAAGAACTTAAACAAATTTACAAGAAAAAATCAAACAGCCCCATCAAAAAGTGGGCAAAGGATATGAACAGATGCTTCTCAAAAGAAGACATTTATGCAGCCAACACATGCAAAAATGCTCATCATCGCTGGTCATCAGAGAAATGCAAATCAAAACCACAATGAGATACCATCTCACACCAGTTAGAATGGTGATCATTAAAAAATCAGGAAACAACAGGTGCTGGAGAGGATGTGTAGAAATAGGAACACTTTTACACTGTTGGTGGGACTGTAAACTAGTTCAACTGTTGTGGAAGACAGCCTGGCGATTCCTCAAGGATCTAGAACTAGAAATACCATTTGACCTAGCAATCCCATTACTAGGTATATACCCTAAGGATTATAAATCATGCTGCTATAAAGACACATGCACACGTATGTTTATTGCCACACTATTCACAATAGCAAAGACTTGGAACCAATCCAAATGTCCATCATTGATAGAGTGGATTAAGAAAATGTGGCACACATGCACCATGGAATACTATGCAGCCATAAAGAAGGATGCATTCATGTCCTTTGTAGGGACATGGATGAAGCTGGAAACCATCATTCTGAGCAAACTATCGCAAGGACAGAAAACTAAACACCGCATGTTCTCATTCATAGGTGGGAATTGAACAATGAGAACACTTGGACACTGGGTGAGGAACATCACACATTGGGGCTTGTCGTGGAGTGGGGGGATGGGGGAGGGATAGCGTTAGGAGAGATATCTAATGTAAATGACAAGTTAATGGGTGCAGCAAACCAACATGGCACATGTATACCTTTGTAACAAATCTGCACATTGTACACATGTACCCTAGAATTTAAAGTATAATTAAAAAATAATAATAATACAAAAATTAGCCAGGCGTGGTGGTGCGCACCTGTAATCCCAGCTACTCAGCAGGCTGAGGCAGGAGAATTGCTTGAACCCAGGAAGCGGAGCATGCAGTGAGTCGAGATCGAGCCACTGCACTCCAGCCTGGGTGACACAGCAAGACTTCGTCTCAAGAAAAAAAAAAAGGTGCAAAATGATACAACATTATTACATTGAATCTGTAGATTGCTTTTGGTAATAAAGACATTTTAATAATAGTAATTTTTCAAATCCACGAGCATGGGGTATCTTTCCATTTTTTGTGTCCTCTTTAATTTCTTTTATTCACATTTTGTATTTTTCATTAGTTCTGAATCTTTATTATAGTGGTGGTTACAAACATCTATATATGTGATACACATACAAAATGCTGATTTTGACATGATACTCTGATAATGTGAGATGTGACTACTGGGGGAAACTGGGTGAAGATATTCAGTTCTCAAGATCCACATTGGGCCTGATCCAGCCCCTATACAGGCTCTCAGATGGTGTATAATTCTACTTCCTGTGAAAGAGACAGAAAGAGGGACCAGGCCCTGGGAAGAAGAGTGGGCTTGGCCCTGAAAAGGGGATTGGTGAGAGTAGGAGGGAGGGGACCCAGAAGGTGCGCTCTGTTTATTCTACACCTTTGTTTGTCGCCATATCTTGCCCACTGTCTACAGACTTATAATGAGTAACTAAATGAATGATGTCAAAAGCTGAGCCCTTGGTGTAAAACAGGCACTCTTCCTCAGTTCCTCAGTGCCAAAACCCATCCCATTGCCTCTGGACCCCGGTCCTCTGGAAGCTGGAAGGAGGATAATCATGCTTTTCCTAGAAGCTCCAGGCAAGCTACCAGTGGTTTGGATATTTCATTCCTGCAGCCCTTGACTGGGCTGGACCTGCTGCCCCAGGTACGTGTTACAGTGCAGGAGCGTAGTATGTCAACCCTGAAGCTTCCTGATGCAAGCCACTGAACGCTCAACTCAAAAGGGCTTAAGCAATAATGAAAAGTATCCTTTCACATAAGAAGAATTCTGGAGGTCAAGGAGTTCCATTATTGGTTCATTTCCCAGAACAATTTGGTCATGAAGTACTCAAATTCTTTCCACTTCATCTTCAGTGGATTGGCTATTCAGCTTTTTCATATTTGCCAATCTGACACATAAAAAATGGTATGTAATAAACAAGACACAAGTTTATTGACATTCTGGAGTAGTCACTAGCAGGAAGGGTTTTGAGAAAATACTCAGACTCTTCCTGCCCCAGAAGGTGTATCCAGCAAATCAACTCCTGGGATCTCCAAACAGACTGGATTAAAAATGGAAAATAGCAAAGGATCTTGGCAGAGAATCCTCTCTGACTTTGTCAGATACAAGACTAAAAAAAAAAAAAAAAAGTTATTGTCTTGCTTCCTAAAACAAATTCTGATAAAGACCCCTAAGAATCTAAAGTCAATTGAACACAGAAAGTTTAAAGCAAAGGAATTTCCCTACGTCCTGCCAGGAAGAGGAATGTTTACAATCTCTGCACATGGCCTAACATGGCTCCCCTAAAAACAGACTTCCCTTGTTTCAATTTCCATTAAAAGAGGAGCATAAGGGCTTTTTTTTTTTTTTTTTTTTTTTTTGAGACAGAGCCTCGCTCTGTTGCCCAGGCTGGAGTGCAGTGGCATGAACCCAGCTCACTGCAAGCTCTGCTTCCCGGGTTGAAGCAATTCTCGTGCCTCAGCCTCCTAAGTAGCTGAGATCACAGGCATGCACCACCACACCTGGCTAGTTTTTGTATTTTTTGTAGAGACAAGGTTTCACCATGTTGCCCAGACTGGTCTGGATCTCCCAACCTTAAATGAGTCACCATGCCCGGCCCGCATAAAGGCTTTTCTAAACCAGTGCTGCCCCAGTAGAATTTTCTGTAATGCTGAATATGTTTTATATCTGAGCTGTCCAGTAGAGTAGCCACTGTCATGCATGTGTGAGTATGTAGCACTTGAAATGTGGCAAGTGTGAATAAGGAACTGAATTTTTAATTTTAAGAAAGTTTACTTAATTTAAATTTAAATAGCCACATGTGACTAATGGCTACCATATTGAACAGAGCAGTTCTAGGTAGACTTGTTTGGGGTTTTCTTTTGCTAAGAGCGATGCCCCAGGTCTTACTGGTCCAGGATGCCTGTAACTGCAACCTCTGGACACAACTAGGGTTGTTGCTGATAAACCACAGGATAGTATAGCTTCAGGTTTTTATAATAATAAAAATAAATAAAGTGAAAAGAGTAGAGGATGTTTATACTCAAAATCACAGGCACCACCCCATCTCCACTCCAGCCACAGGCTGAGTCTGCACAAATGAAATCAAGTGTTGAGCTGAGCTAAATACCTTGCTGAGAAAGGGAAGTTTGGTAGGAGAGGTGAGGAAGACAGAAGGTCTGAGCATTGTTGAATTACCTGGATGTAAGTGTTTTACTTCACCACTTTGTCCCTAATATCACAACACAATTATTGAAGGGAGTACATGCCAGGCACAATTGCAATTTTACTTTATTAAATGTTCACAATGTGTAAGCAACTGTACAGAACATAGAAACAATTGTCCTCATCCTCCAGGACTATATACCCTGGTGAGATGCGTAAAAAAAATAATAAAGAAGGCCAGGCTCAGTGGCTTATGCCTGTAATCCCAGTACTTTGGGAGGCTGAGGCGGGTGGATCACCTGAGGTCAGGAGTTCGAGACCAGCCTGGCCAACATGGTAAAACCCCATCTCTACTAGAAATACAAAAATTAGCTGGGCATGGTGGCAGGCCCCTGTAATCCCAGCTACTCGGGTGGCTGAGGCACAAGAATCACTTGAACCTGGGAGACAGAGGTTGCAGTGAGCCAAGGTCATACCACTGCACTCCAGCCTGGGCAACAGAGTGGGACTCTGTCTCAAAAAATAATAATAATTAATAATAATAACAATAATAAAGGAGATTGAGTGCAGGTAAAAGATATCATGATGAAAAAAAGGATGGATAAACCAATGATGTGTGATTTTCTTCTATTATGGATTTTAAAAATACATACTTTTTCCCCTATAATTATTGAAATGATATTTGCCCATTATGGAAAAACTGAAATAAACATATAAGCACAAAGAAAATAAATATCAGCTATAATAGCATGAAAATATTTCCTTAACCAATTTTCTTTTTTAAAAAAATATATTTTTAGGTTGGGCACGGTGGAGGAAGTTCTCTAACAAAGAGAAAAATCAAGCTAGAGAATGTTTTAAGGTAAAGGAATTGAAATAAATTACTCACGTTCATTGCTATCTAAATACATGATGACAAAAACGGGAAAGTAGAATAAACCATAACCCAAACTCTAGATAATACAAACAGCAAACATAAAAAACCAGAGCTAGTAAAATATACCTAGGTACACACATGTTTGGTAGAGAACACATAGATATTGACAAGGTTAAGAAGCTGACTACAGGGAAATATAGGTATTAATGTAAGGGATATACCCCAGAAGAATAAAAATAGAATGTATATCTTAAGCCAACAGTAGAAGAAAATTTGTTCTATCCAATGAAAGGAAAAAAGGAATAAAAAAGAAATAAAAGTATGAAATAGAAAATATGAAATTAAAATTATAGAAATAGTTCTAGTAGACTGGTGATTAGAATTTATGTAAATAGGTTAAATTCACCAATAAAAAAATTACCAAATTGGATTTTAAAAATAGGCTGGCCACGATGGCTCATGCCTATAATCCCAACACTTTGGGAGGCCAAACTGGGAGGATCTTTTGAGCTCAGGAGTTGGAGACCATCTCTGGGCAACATAGCAAGGCTCTGTCTCTATTTGAAAAAATAACAGAGTATCAGATAAGGTAGAACTTTAATTTCTCCCCCAAATTGTAAGCCAATTTCTCCTTCATTATTTGTTGAGAAATTTGTATTTGTATTCTCCCATTACCGAATTGTGATGCCAACTCTGTCTAGTACTCATGATTTATATGTATTTGGGTTTGTCCTTGGATGGTGGACTCTAGCTCCTGCTTCAATGAAAGACTTGTCCCACCGCTGGTAGTGTTGTCAGCGGAGTATTCAGGGGTCATCTCCTGCAGGGATTTTCTCAGCTGTAGAGAGCCACCACATCTGAGGAGTTACCCCTTCCCAGTGGCCTACATCCAGTGACTCATTCCTGTGGGTATAAATGCCTGGCCACAGGTCCCACTTGAGACAACTCCGAAGGCCATTGAGCACCCGGCTCCTGTGGGTTTGGCCAGGGCTCTTGGGTCTACTGAATCATGGTTTGACTTCTCCCCCTGTCTGCTTGTCCTTCCTCCTTCCCCTCCCATCCACTGGTGGTGATCCCAAGGGTGCTCCTACATGTGAACACCCTGCATGCTAACCCTCGTCTCAGAGACTGTGACACTTGACTTTGCATTCTGTGCCACGCAGTGGCCTGTCCTTTCCGCAGTGCACTGTGAAGTCAGCTTCCTTTTAGCAAGCTTAAGGTCTACAGTGCAAGTCCTGCGCTTGATGATGCCAGGACTGAGCTTGTTTAATTTGGTTACTTTTCCAGATGTTTCATTAAGCGCCAAAAAAAAATTTCCTTGTCACTTTGATTGGAATTACATTAAATTTATAAATTTATTTAAGGACAACATCATCTTGATAATATCCAGTCATCCCCTCAGGGAACATGCTTTACCTTGGCATACACTCTTTCTTTAATGTCCTTCATTAAAGGTTTGTGGTTTTCTATTTCTTTTTTTCTTTGACACAGTGTCTCGCTCTATCACTCAGGCTGGAGTGCAGCGGTGTGATCGTAGCTCACTGTGGCTTCGAACTTCTGGACTCAAGCCATCCTCCTCCCTCAGCCTCTCAAAGTGTTGGGATTACAGGTGTGAGCCACCACACCCAGCCTGGTTTTCTATTTCTATTTGCATTGTTATTATAAAATAATACATATTATTATAGTATATATGAGATATATACTGGCTTTTATATAATCTATTTTTTTAACTAACATGTAAAAGCTATTGATTTTTATAAAAATACTTATTTTATATACTTCTTTTATAACTGGTCTCTTGGGTTTTTAGGTAAATGTTCATGGGATTGTGCAAATGGCAATAAATTTGACACCTTTCCAAAAGTTTTATTTTACTTGTTTTTCTTGTTGTTATTCAATGACTGGAATTTTGAGACCAAGCTTAAGCAGCAGTGGGGATAGTTTCAGATTACTAGTGGGAATGTCCCAAGTATTAACCGTTAAGGAAGGTATTAGTTTGGGACATTAATCATATCAAAAAAGCAGCCTTCTAATTCTTAACATAAGAGTTTTTGTTTGTTTTAAAAATCAGCGATGGGCCGGGCGCAGTGGCTTACGCCTGCAATCCCAGCACTTTGGGAGACCAAGGCAGGTGGGCAGATCATTTGAGGTCAGGAGTTCGAGATCAGCCTGGCCAACATGGTGAAACCCCATCTCTACTAAAAATATAAAAATTAGCTGGGCCTGGTGGCACACACCTGTGATCTTAGCCATTCGGGAGGCTGAAGCATGAGAATCGCTTGAGCCCAGGAGGCGAAGGTTCCAGTGAGCCAAGATCATGCCACTCCAGTCCAACTTGGGTGACAGAGCAAGACTCTGTCTTAAAAAAAAAAAAAAAAACCAGCAATGTTGTCAGGGTAAATTTAAATATTGGCATCTTTCTATTGCTTTTGCCTGGAATCCCTTTAAGTCTACATATATAGGCTTTGTTTTTCAATTCGGAAGTTTCTTTGATTACATCCTCCATTATTAGGTCTGTTTCAATGTTCCTGTTTTAGCCTCAGCAACATCTTAAGTTCTTAATTTTTATCTTCCTTCTCTGTCTTCTATATTTATTGCCTTTTCTCATGTTATTTTGAAATTTATTCTTTTCTTCTGCATTTTAGGAGGACTTTTGGGCCTCCATATTGTGGATTCAGTTTTCCATCTTCTTGAATCTAGAGGCTTTACTGCCGCTCATGTATTTTCAAATTCCATTATATTGTTTTAGTCCATTTATATTACTTTCTTATCCAATTCCCCTTTTGAAAAAATTTTAGTGGCCTCTGCTTTTCATCTCAGTCTACTATTTGAGAACATCAATTTTGAGCTATTGTTTCACAGAGTCCATGTTTTCATTTTGTTAGGATCACAATAAAGTTTATCATCTAAAATTTATAGGTTGGTGCAAAAGCAATTGCAGTTTTTGCCATTAAAAGTAATGGCAGGGTATTAAAGTAACACTTCAGTCTTCTACCGTAATTCTGATGTCAGTTGGATTCAGACAACCCTGGGTCAACCTTCCATCCCATGGGAAGTCCAATGCCACACCCAAGATTTCTAGGGTTCCTTGTGCTCACTGCTTGCTCCATTTTCCTGTTCCTGCTCACTAGAGCTCATTTGTTTCTTTCATTTCATGCTTGCTTTCCTCTCTGCTCAGGGCCTACTTTCTTCCCAAGGTTCTTGAACTTCCATCCCTTTCTCTCCCCAGACTCTCCCAGATCACATCCTCTCTGGTCTGCGCCAGCTCCTCCCAATTCTGGTTCCTTTCATATCTCTGGATCTTTTTGCTCACCAAACCATCTTAGCCATGCCTAGAAGGCTTCATCTTCAAAGCTAGTCATGCTCTGCAAGATATGTTCTTAAACACATTTCCCCCCACCATGAGAAATGAAGTATTCTGCTCATAAAGTAACATTTTTTTCCTCCTCAGTATACTACCATTCACCTTATTCAATAGCTTGGTTTTCCTCTTGAGTGTTACGTTCTCTTCTCTTCATGATACAGAATACTTTCATAGTTCCATGTTGGTTTTACCACCATTTCACCTTTGAAAATGGAGAGATTTATCTAAACTTTCTAGGTGACCCTGAAACAGGGTAAAATGATTTTCTTGGGATTCCATCACCAGTCGCTGTTACAATGCTCTTCTCTGTTCTTAGTTTGAAGGCCTCTTTGATGCTTAGAATAAGGGAAGAAGGGATCCAGAGCTATGAGCTGAAGGGCAGATTCTGTGATTCTAGGTGTTCGGGGATGCACCAGGCTCAGCTTTCTGACTGGCCCTGCGATGACTGGCCTGGGGGCCTCAGCATCCAGGTGTATCCCAGCCTATTGTAGTGTCCACTGTCTCTAGAAGGAGTCCTATCCCTACTCCCACACCGTGATATTCTCCATGGGGTGGCCAGTTTAACCTTGGACCACGTGCACAACTGTTTTTAAAGGTAAAAAGGATTGCAAGTAGTGCGATTGACCCAAGGTCTATTTTACTGTTAACTCTTGCTCTTTCTAATTAGGGGATGTTACTAAGATCTGAGATCTCAATTATTCCAGGATGCTGTTTCTTGGGGAGAAGGGAGGTCAGGGTATACCTGGAGCTTTTTCTTCCATGCAGATTTCTTGCTGTAGTCCAGTAGAAAGTCCTCAATATTTTTGAAATGTAGATGATAACCTTTTCTAGTTGTAGCACTGATATTTATTTTACTTATATTGTATTCCTTTCAATCAGGAGCTGGGGGTGTGGGGTGGGACAGGATTAGATGTTGACATTCAAAGTCAGGCTGGACGCAGTGGCTCACACCTGTAATCCCAGAGCTTTGGGAGGCTGAGGCAGGTGGATCACTTGATGTCAGGAGTTTGAGACCAGCATGGCCAATATGGCAAAATCCCATCTCTACGAAAAGTACAAAATATTAGTCGGGCATAGTATCATGCACCTGTAAGTCCCAGCTACTTGGGAGGTTGAGCTGGGAGAATTACTTGAGCCAAGAGGTCAAGGCTGCAGTGAGCCATTGCACTCCAGCCTGGGCAATAGAGTGAGACCCTGTCTCAAAACAAAAACAAAGTCACCTATCCTATTCAAAAGTACCAATAGTTTCTTCCTTTTGTGTTTAGTTTATGGAAAAGTTCTTTCAGTTTAAATCAGGCATTCATAATATTTCAAGTCTGAAACATGTCTAGAGAAAGGGTCTACTCAAATACACCATCACAACCTGTTTGTGCAGGCACGGAGCTGGGTAGCACTGCCTCTATTTTTGTTAGAATGATCTTTGGATTTCCTTACTCCTGTTCTGTTAGGGAGAAAAACAGCTTAGAAATATCTGAACAATTCCCAAAAATAATACACGGCTGAAAATTCCTTTGGCTATAGTTTTCTCAGGAAGCAGATCAAGCCTTTCCATTTCCTAGCAGATCCCTCAACAGTCAAAAGGACAGGGAATGTTTGTAAGGGTATCTTGTGTGCTTCTGTTCTCACCAGCCCTCAGGTCCCCTGGAAACACCAGACTCTAATAAGCAAAATAATCTAAGGAGTAAAGAAATAGCAGGCACCTTTTAGATAGGATGCGCTGCAGCCAGAACATTGACGTGCGGTCAGCTGGGCACCAAGTTGCTGTTTTGAATTTGTGAAAGTTCCATCTGTTTGGTAACCAAAATCCAGGGAAGGAAAAAATTCTGCTCCAAGTAAACTCAAATTTAGTGGCATTGGTAGAAAGATGTGAATAAGATGAGCTTCCATTTGGTAAGCAACATCCTTCTATCAGACAGGCCCATGGGGGAGTGGCACATGTGGCTTTGGGTTAAGTCACAGAGGGGTTCCAGAAACTCTGCACTGCCACAGACAGACAGTCAGGAGTTCAAGACCAGCCTGGCCAACATGGTAAAACCTCATCTCTACTAAAAATACAACAATTATCTGGGTGTGGTGGTGGGTACCTGTAATCCCAGCTACCTGGGAGGCTGAGGGAGAAGAATCGCTTGAACCTTGGAGGCGGAGGTTGCGGTGAGCTGAGATCATGCCACTGCACTCCAGCCTGGGCGACAAGAGTGAAACTCCATCTCAAAACAAAACAAAATAAAAATTATCTGGGTGTGGTGGCACGTGCCTGTAATCCCAGCTGCTCAGGAGGCTGAGGCAAGAGAATCACTTGAACCTGGGAGACGGAAGTTGCAGTGAGCGGAGATCGCACACTGCACTTCAGCCTGGACAATGGAGCGAGACCCTGCCTCAAAACAAATAAAATAATAAAGAAGCTCTCTGAATATTTCCCTTTACGGTCCTCTTGAACACTCTTGCTTAACCTTTGTGTGCCTCAGTTCTTTGACTGGTCCTTCCCTGTTCTGACATTGTTATCTATAGCATGCATTTTCTTACTTCCTTATGTGAGTTTGCTAAGCTGAAGTTGGAATTTGTGAACTTTGGACATTTCTTCTCCATTTCTCTTGTTATTGCTCAGTTTGGAGAAGTGAGGGTATAGGATATGGGTTTGCGTGTGCATGTGTGTGTGTGTGTGTGTGTGTGTGTGTGTATCAGATAACAAAAGATCTAAGATACCTCTAGCAAAAAGGCCATCAAAAGAGAAGTGGGTTGCCCTTAGATTAGTGGCACAACTGGTCTAAATAGACCCAGTATAAAATCTCTGTGAGGTCTTTATGCTTTCTGCAACCTCTTGCATACACAAGCATACTTTGTTTTGCCATACTTCAGGACATTACCTTATTAATAATTAAACACCATTGTTTTTAATAATACCAACATATTATAAAATAACTGTATATAAAAATTTTAAATCTAGGCCGAGAGTGGTGACTCATGCCTGCAATCCCAGCACTTTGGGAGACCGAGGCAGGTGGATCACTTGAGGTCAGGAGTTTGAGACCAGCCTGGCCACCATGGCAAAACACCATCTCTACTAAATAAAAAAAAAATTAGCCAGGCGTGGTGGCGCACACTAGTAATCCCAGCTACTCCGGAGGCTGAGGCATGAGAATCGCTTGAACCCAGGAGGCAGAGGTTGCAGTGAGCTGAGATAGTGCCACTGCACTCCAGCCTGGATGACAGAGGGAGACTGTCTCAAATAAATAAATAATAATTTTAAATCTAACACTAAAATCAGAAACACAATAACTTAAATAAATTCTGTCCATACAAAATATTGTATGTGATCTTATAATCATCATCATGATTTATTTGGCAAAGTCACCAAATAAGTTTTGCAATTTCCAGTTGCTTGAGCTACTCTACTATTCAGAGCACTCTGTTAAATATTGTTCCATATTGTTTGCCTTCCTTATCAGTATTTCCCAAACTTCCCTGATGATATGAATCACCTGAAAAACATGAGGTGCCTCTGTCACTCAGGATTTGGTGCCCATAGTGGAAGAACAATCTGCAATTCTCAACATCCACCAACATGTTCAAGCCCCAGTGCTCTCAGCTTTTGCTCTTCGTTTGCAACATGAAAGGTGACAGAACAATGCCTCAAAATTGGGCAATAGCAGGCTTTATTTAGTTAGTCAGTTTATTTTTTATCAGCTGCAATAAATACCTTTACTATAGGTATTTATTGAATTGCTTTTGAATTTTTAAATTGACACATTATAATTGTACTTTTTTTTTTTTTGAGACAGTCTCGCTCTGTGGCCCAGGCTGGAGTGCAGTGGTGCGATCTTAGCTCACTGCAATCTCCCCCTGTGGGGTTCAAGTGATTCTCCTGACTCAGCCTCCTGAGTAGCTGGGATTACAGGCACCAGCCGCCATGTCTAATTTTTGTATTTGTAGTAAAGATGGTGTTTCACCATGTTGGCCAGGCTGGTCTTGAACTCTTGCCCCCAAGTGATCCGCCCGCCTCAACCTCCCAAAGTGCTGGGATTACAGGAATGAGACATAGCGCCCAGCCTATCCTGACTTTTTAGTAATTTTGCTAAAACGAAGTTAAGACAAATACATTTTATGAAATAAATATATAAAAGTTATAAATTATGCTTGTTTTATTTTGTTTTATCTTCCAAACATTCCTGATCTATCAACTGAACATCAAGATATATCAAGATATAAACAATAATATATTTACTAATTTGGATACTAACCATCACTTTACATGTATTTTTTAAAATGTTGCCATTTTGAAGATATATTCATCAAGGAAGGAGAGTGGAACACAATTCACTTAATAATTTGTTTATCTGACTTATGATTTTTAAATATTTAGCCATATGGCCTGTGGGCCTTAGTCCCAGGGACTGGAAATGTTAGGGCTGGCCCTAACAGCAACTTCCTGGGGAGGGTTGTCCATTCTTTTGCACTTGTAGCCTTTCTCTTGGGAATGAGCTTTTCTGAAGTTCTAAGAAATATAATTTCCTCCTCCACCTTACATGTAAAGGACAGTTAATTTTAAATCTCCTGGACATCGGTTTCAAGCTTTCACATAATTTGTATGTACACCTTGATGTTCTCCTATTGTACCAGGACTAGGACTTTAAACAACAAACTGCTTAAGGTCAAAAGCCTGGGCTGGACGCAGTGGTTCATGCCTGTAATCCCAGCACTTTGGGAGGCCAAGGTGGGCAGATTACTTGAGGTCAGGAGTTCGAGACCAGCCTAGCCAAAATGGTGAAACCCTGTGTCTACTAAAAATATAACAATTAGCCAGACATGGTGGCAGGCACTTGTAATCCCAGTCACTTCGGAGGCTGGGGCATGAGAATCACTTGAACTCAGGAGGTGGAGGTTGCAATGATCCGAGATGGTGCCACTGCACTCCAACCTGGGGTGACAGAGCAAGATTCAGTCTCAAAAAATAAAAATAAAAAAAAGAACAAAAGCCTGTTAGAACTAAAGAGTAGAGGTCGGGTGCTCTGTGGGTCACGGCTGTATTCACAGCACTTTGGGAGGCCGAGGTGGGCAGATCACAAGGTCAGGAGTTCAAGACTAGCCTGGCAAACATGGTGAAACCCCGTCTCTACTAAAAATACAAAAATTAGCCACGCGTGGTGGCAGGTGCCTGTAATCCCAGCTACTCAGGAGGCTGAGGCAGGAGAATTGCTTGAAACCGGAAGGCGGAGGTTGCAGTGAGCTGAGATCATGTCATTGCGCTCCAGCCTGGGCTAAAGAGCAAAACTCTGTCTCAAAAAACAAACAAACAAAAACCTAAAGAGTAGAAAAAAACAGAATCCTACAACCCCTAATCAAAACCAGGTACTCAGAGCAGAAGCGCCGGTGCTTGTCAGAAATGTAAAATCTCAGGTCCCAATTCAAGCCCACTGAATAGGAATATACATTCTAATGACCAGATACTGTGGCTCACGCCTGTAATCCTAGCACTTTGGGAGGCCAAGGCGGGCAGATCACCTGAGGTCAGGAGTTCGAGACCAGCCTGACCAACATGGTGAAACCCCATCTCTACTACAAATACAAAAACTAGCCAGGCATGGTGACACATGCCTGTAGTCCCAGCTACTCAGGAGGCTGAGGCAGGAGAATTGCTTGAACCTGGGAAGCGGAGGTTGCAGCGAGCTGAGACCGTACCACTGCACTTCAGCCTGGACGGCAAGAGCAAAACTCTGTCTCAAAACAAAGAATATACATTTTCACAATATCCACATTACCCTATATACCCCTATACCCACTAAAGTGTGAGAAGCACTTCCGTAACCTCTGGACTGAGGCAATTAAAGGAATAAAGTTGAGAAAGAGTGGAGAATGATGGCTGTGGATCAGATAGATGTCTGGGTCGGGGGCAACCATAGAAGTACTTCTCACACTTTAGTGAGAAGCAGCTAGACTCCCAAACAGTCTCAGTTTCTGCTCTTCCTCAAACCTATGGTTAATTTTAGGGGCTATAAGCCTTTGCTTCTAGCAACCAATGGACTCTTGACTAGAAGAGCAGGTAAACTAATGCTAGTAACCTAATTCCAAATACTCTAAAACTATCCATTTATTATCCTTCTATTAGTGTTGGCCCAGAAACTGGGGAGAATGGGAAGAGTGAATATGGGTGGGAAGAGAGAATGTGTCTCTGAGGATTGACACCTAGGTGAGTGAGCACTCAGTTTTAGTACTCACATCTAGCCTAGAGGTTATCACAGCACATTTTATTTCTCATTACTTGGTTTATCTCTGTGTTTTTTAAAATTGGAGAAAACACTAAGAAATTCAATAGAAAGCCCAGATTAGGGGTATTGTTGGTTAAGTACTTATTTAGAGCTTAGATTATCCAAGTCAATTTTGCTAATAGGCTCTTAATATTTTAACATGCTAGAGAAGATTAATTAGGGAGATTTAAAATAATACTGCTCTAGCCATCTTGGCTTTAACCTGGGTCTGGATTGTTCATGATATGTATGGGGGAGTGAGGGACAGTTGGGGGGTGGTGCAAGAGGGGCTCTGGAAGAGTCAGTTCTGGACAATCCATTTACATAAGAGTTGTTGCCAAGGGAACAGGAACATCTGCCTACACCAGAGAACAGGTGTCTTTGGAGGGCAGTGCTGATCTGAGTGCTAGGGGAGAGGTGGTTCTAAAATATGCTGAAGGAGCTGTTGCCTGTAAAAAGTCTGAAATATCAGGCGCAAGCCTCATTGTTTTCATGCCCAGGTGGATCAACACACGACAAAAAATGGAGGTGCGGTTCCCCACGCCAGCAGCAGGTCCTCAAGTGGACCTCAGGGCATTGAGGGCAGCAGTGTTGCTCAAGCACCTCGAGCTTCCTGGGCTGTCCAGGTTTTGTTTTAAGCTGGCTTACTGTCCTCTGTGTCATGTGATCTTGCTTTGTTCTTAGTCTACACGTTTAAATTCTTGTCCAAAATCTGTTTTTGTTTTTTTTTTCACTCCTGACATCATGCATATCCCAATCTTTACTTGTCTGCTAGTCTCCAACAGGATTTACAATGACAGTCTCTTAACAACCTGGTCTCCCTGCTGCCATTCTTGTCATCCTCTCCATTCTCAGCTTGGTAGCTGGAAGGAACTTTGAACAATGGAAACCTCCTCTTAATATCCCATTGTTGGCTGCTCTGCCTATGGATAGTCATTCTTTATTCCTTTACTTTCTTAATAAACTTGCTTTCACTATATAGAGATAGAGATAGAGATATCTCCCAATGTCTTCCTGCCATCCTTAGCACAAGTCAAATCTCTTATCCTAGTCTGTACTGCCTTGTGTGATCTAGCCCCTGCCTTCCTCTCTGACATTACCTGCTACCTGCTACTGCTCTCCTTGCTTTTTTCGCTCCATCCATATGACTTCCTCTTTCTCAAACACCCTGAGCTCCTTCTGCCTCAGAGACTTTGGAGAAGCTGGGCTGGCTGCCTGGGCTCCACCTTGTCTCACCTGAAATGCTACCTTCTATTGCTAAGCCTTTCCTGATCTATCAGTCTAGAGGGCATGCTCTCTGCTGAAGCCACTTTCTAGCATATCATTGTGTTTTATTTTTTTTCACAGAATACATCTCCATCTAGAATTCCCATGAGTCTGTTTCTTGTTTGTTTGTTCATTCCCTGTCTCCCTCCAGTACAATGAAAGCTTCATGACTGCAGAGACCTCATCTGCCTCCATAGCTGCTGCATTGCCAACACCTAGAACAGTTTCAGGGACATAATAGGTGCTCAATAAACATTCATTGAAAACACAAACAAGCAAACTTCCCAGCATCGCTGATCTCCCACTTGCCACTTGGATTGATTGCATGCATGCTTGAATTTGCTCCTCTGTTATGGAGACTCCACCCTCCATTTACACCTCTTTCTGGAAATCCTGATAAACCTCTCAGATCAAGCCCTGTCCCTGGAATTTTCTCTAGCACTGGGAAAGGAAAGCTCATGCACAGTTTGACTTTGTGTGTTTAAACTTTTGGTGATTGGAGTAACTGCTTCCTATTTCACAGCCACTCGACTCTGTAGAGAAATATTTCTATAAGCATTTTGCCCTCAGTCTTGCTCCTTCTGCATGTTGACTTTGTGCTCTGAGACAACAGCCCTGCTTCCTGGCAGCACCTGAGCCTCACATCCAAGGAGGCCACCAACAGTGACGTGCTGATTCTCCCTCCTAAGTTTCTGTTTGAAAACTCCTGGAGGACGCCGGGTGTGGTGGCTCACGACTGTAATCCCAGCACTTTGGAAGGCCGAGGTGGGCACATCACCTGAGGCCAGGAGTTCAAAACCAGCCTGACCAACATGGTGAAACTGTCTCTACTAAAAATACGAAAATTAGCCAGGCTTGGTGGCATGAGCCTGTAATCTCAGCTACTCAGGAGGCTGAGGGAGGAGAATCACCTGAACCCGGGAGGCAGAGGTTGCAGTGAGCTGCAATCATACCACTGGACTCCAGCCTGGGTGACAGAGTGAGACTCCATCTCCAGTAAATAAATAAATAAATAATATGGTTTGGCTGTGTCCCCACCCAAATCTCAACTTGAATTGTATCTCCCAGAATTCTCACATGTTGTGGGAGGGACCCAGGGGGAGGTAATTAAATCATGGGGGCGGTCTTTCCCAAGCTATTCTCGTAATAGTGATTAAGTCTCGTGAGATCTGATGGGTTTATCAGGGGCTTCCACTTTTGCTTCTTCCTTATTTTCTCTTGCTGCCACCCTGTAAGAAGTGCCTTTCACCTCCCACCATAATTCTGAGCCCTCCCCAGCCATATGGAACTGTAAGTCCAATTAAACCTCTTTTTCTTCCCAGTCTTGGGTATATGTTTATCAGCAGCGTGAAAATGGACTAACACAATAAATAAATAAATATTTTTAATTTCAAATATGCAGCTTTTAAAACCAGGTTGGGAAAACTTCTTTAATTTTTAAGATTCAAGAAGTTTTTTTTAAATGATGAGAAATGTTCCCAATTACATTTCAAAGCTACGATGTGGCAGTTACAGTTCTAACGCAGTTATTTAAGAGCAAAGCTTGTGAAACGTATCACTTCTGACAAATTCTTCACTTTCCTCAGTTATGGTTAAGGCTCTCTTGAGTCCTCTCAAATTCTAACCATTCTATTTGTGGCCTGAAACCTTATCCCAGTTGTCCACATCATCTTTAAGCCAGCAACCAAGTAGAAAGGACTGTGTTTATTGTACTTCTCAAAACGTGGGATAGCAGAATCACTTGACGTGGTTGTAAAAACACAGATTGCTGAGCTGCACCCTAGGCATAGTAACTGGAGGGTCTCTGGGGGTGAGTCCAGAACATTTTTTTTTTTTTTGAGGCAGAATCTCACTGTGTTGCTCAGTCTGGAGTGCAGTGGCAAGATCTCAGCTCATTGCAACCTCCGCCTCCCAGGTTCAAGCGATTCTCCTACCTCAGCCTCCCGAATAGCTGGAATTACAGGCATGTGCCACCACGCCCAGCTAATTTTTGTATTTTTAGTAGAGATGGGGTTTTGTCATGTTGGCCAGGCTGGTCTCGAACTCCTGACCTCAGGTGATCCACCCACCTTGGTCTCCCAAATGCTGGGATTACAGGGGTAAGCCACTGCATCTGGCCCAGAGCACTTTTCTTAATACTCAAAATTTTATAGGTATCCAGCTTCACCTACCCTACCCTCTACAGAACAGCATGCATTGTTCTTACTTGTTAAACATTACAAATAGCAATTCTCAGATTCCACTGTGGTGATGAGAGACAAACTTAAGCCTACGTACTTAAAAATAAAGCAAAAGAAATTTATTTAAATGCCAAAAAGTAAGAAAATACACGCAAACTACTAGAGAGATCATTCATTTGAAGGTCTTTGGTTTGTGTTTGTTTTATTTTAAATAAGATGTTCATTTAAAATGAAGGGGTTGTGCATTAAAAGTCTTGCTCTGCTATATTTTATTTTATTTTGAGACAGAGTCTTACTCTGTCACCCAGGCTGGAGTGTAGTGGTGCAATCTTGGTTCATTACAATTGCCACCTCCCAGGTACAAGTGATTCTTTTACCTCAGCCTCCCAAGTAGCTGGGATTACAGGCAAGTGCCACCATGCCTGGCTAATTTTTGTATTTTTAGTAAAGATGGAGTTTCGCCATGTTAGCCAGGCTGGTCTTGAACTCCTGACCTCAGGTGATCCACCAGCCTTGGCCTCCCAAAGAGCTGGGATTACAGGCATGGGCCTCCCAAAGTGCTGGGATTACAGGGTTGAGCCCCCACACCCGGCCTATTTTATTACTTTATGGTACGAGGAATACAATTTCAGAAACCTTGATTCATCCAGCAGTTTTCTTAATTTGGGCAAATGTCCCTGATGATGGATTTCTATGTAGTTTCCGGAGATTAAATACCACTATTATTCTTTTTTTCTCATACAAATAATTTTTCCCAAAAGGTGCACATGGGGTCCCAGGAATGTTAGATGACTCTTCCATTGCCCTCTTGCCAAAGGCAAGAGGATGCGGACTTGAATCCTGAAAATAATTTTTAAAAACTTTTTTTTTTTTTTTTTGAGACAGGGTCTCACTCTGTCACACAGGCTGGAGTCCAATGGCGCAATCTTGGCTCACTGCAACTTCCACCTCCCTAGTTCAAGCAATCCTCCTGCCTCAGCCTCCCAAGTAGCTGGGATTACAGGCATGCACCACCACGATTGGCTAATTTTTTTTTTGTATTTTTGGTAGAGACGGGAGACGGGGTCTTTCCCTATTGTTCAGGCTGGTCTTGAACTCCTGGGTTCAAGTGATCTGCCTGCCTCGGCCTTCCAAAGTGCTGGGATTATAGGCGTGAGCCACTGCGCCTGGCCTAAAAATACTTTTTAATATTTAAAGATTCATAAACAATTAACATGATTTTGAGAAAAGAGGAGCAAAGGAATAGACTGTCTCTACCAGACATTACAATGCCACAGCAAGAAAAAGCGTGACACTGTCATACAAACAGGCAAAATAGAGAGACAGAATAGAATAGAGTCCAGAAAGAGACACAGTTATGTGTGAGGGAAGGATGTAGAGTTGGGAAACCTGATTCACTAAATGGATTTTTTAAAATGGCTCTCCAGGCATGGTGGCATGTGCTTGTAGTCCCAGCTACTCAGGAGGCTGAGGTAGGAGGATTGCTTGACCCCAGGAGGCTGAGGCTGCAGTGAGCCGTGATGGCACCTCTATACTCCAGCATGGGTGACAGAGAGAAATCCTGCTCAAAAAAAAAAAAAAGGTCTCTCTATTTCACACCATAAATAAACTCCAAGTGTACAAAACACTTAAATGTGAAAGGTAAAACCATAAAAGTAATAGAAGAACATGTAGAAGAATATATTCGTGACCTTGGATTGAGAAAGAGTTTCTTAAATAAGACTCCAAAAGCATAAAACCATGGGCAAAAAAAAAAAAAGATGAAATTCACTCTATCTGTGGGCTTATAGAATGCTTTATCCATCATCATAGTATTCCACACGCACTATTTCTAACCAAAGAGTTCATTTCACAGCAAATAAAGTGTGACCAAAGGCCCATGTTCATGGAACTCACTGTTCTTACCATGTTCCTCATTGTCCTGAAGCAGCTGCCTCGATGGAACAGTAGAATGGCCTTTGGAAGACTCAATTATAGTTCTAGCTAGATGGTAACACCTGTGGGGCTGAGGCAGTGTTCTTCAGAAGGCAGTGTGTGTTCTCAATCAGCATCCAACATATGGTAATATTTCTGTCATAGCCAGGATTCCCAGGTCTGGAAGTCAAAGGATGGGAATGGGAATAGTTTCTTCTCACTATTACTCCTAGCAATCCATTAGCGACACTTCTGCTTTCCAGCCCCATGAATGGTCCAGAGATTTTGGCTCCAAAGGGATAAATGCTTCCATCAGGGGCACAACAATGATTCCAATGAACTGGAAATCAAGAATGCTACCCAGCCACTTTGGGCTCATGCCTCTGAATCAACAGGCAAAGAAGGAGTACTGTCTGTGGTGATTGATCCTGACCATCAAGAGAAAATGGGGCTCTTCCAGGGATGCTGTCTACAGGCACTCAGAATGGTCCAGCGTTTGACATACATTGTAGGCTTTCCTACAATACAGCCTCTAACAAAACTAGGCTGTCCCGAACCAAAACTAGGCTGTCCCGAACCCCTGGTAATAGAATTGTTTATCTTTATACCAAGAAGTTTGGGAAAGCACCAAAATCTGCATGTGGCATGTGCCCAGGCAGACTTCAAGTGGTTCCTGCTGTAAGACCTAAAGTTCTTATGAGATTGTCCAAAACAAAGGAACATGTCAGCAGGGCCTGTGGTGGTTCCATGTGTGCTAAATGTGTTCGTGACAGGATCAAGCATGCTTTCCTTACTGAGGAGCAGAAAATCGTTGTGAAAGTGTTGAAGGCACAAGCACAAAGTCAGAAAACGAAATTAAAAAATGAAACTTTTTTGAGTAATAAAAATGAAAAGACTTAAAAAAAGAAAGAGAAAATGAGGATGCTGTTATGAAATGAGGGTAAGGGGGCATATGCCTGGAATGCAAGAGATTCTCCAGGGTTCCCCTTTGTCCTCCCAAGCCCAGGGATTAAAGTCAATTGAAAACTATAACAACCCAGTTAAGGCAGGGCTGTTGATGGTCCAGACGGTTCAGGAATGAAGGTCTGGGTTATTTTAGCAGGCAGGGAACTAAAATCAGCTGAGGTGCCTGCTGAGGACACAAATAATAGGAATGGGAAGTGGAAGAAAGTAGTTATAAATGAAGTATGGCAAGGGGCTCATGCTCATGGAATTCATTTTTTTGTTTGTTTGTGTTTTTTTGTTTTTTTTTTTTAGACAAGTCTCACTCTGTTGCCCAGGCTGGAGTGCAGTGGTGCAATCTCGACTCACCACCATCTCCACTTCCTGGGTTCAAGCGATTCTCCTGCCTCAGCCTCCCAAGTAGCTGGGATTAGAGGCACCCACCGCCATGCCCAGCTAATTTTTTTTTTTCCGTATTTTTGGTAGAGATGGGGTTTCGCCACGTTCGCCAGGCTGGTCTTGAACTCCTGACCTCAAGTGGTCTGCCCACCTTGGCCTCCCAAAGTGCTGGCATTACAGGCGGTAATATGAGCCACTACGTCCGGCGGGAATTCATATTCTTATCATGTTCCCATCATTCCGAAGCAGCTGGCTTGATAAAATAGTTTACAGCCATGTAGCTAGCTGCAGAAATAAGGACTGTAATGAATATTTCTTCCTTTTTTTACATGAATATGTTTGTGTCTATATGAATAAAGTAGTTTGATTTTCTTTCCCTCTCCCATACCCATACTTAATAGCAGATTAGATTTATATCAGTTTTTAAATTGTGGAATACCAAAGGAAAAGTGTGAATTAGGTAGGAAAATGAATACCCTTCAAAAACTGAAAAGGAATTTTGCCTCATCTTTCTGGGGAAAGGGTTAACGTGTTTTGTGTTGTACATGGTACAGTTGTGTCATATTAGACAGAAAGATGCCTTAGTTGTTATCTTTATTTAGAGGTTAAGTGTGGTTTAAAACATGGGTGCCTTAATCCTGGCCTGTGGAGTCCAGGAGCGGAAGTGGGAGAGAGGCCGGCTGGGAACTGTAGTAGCCTCACCTCGGTGTTCACAGCAGGTAGGTGGTCATTTTGCTAATGGCTTGGTGAGAGTGGACAGTAATTAGGCTTTCGCACTTTGGAGGATGGCTCCGGCTAAGAGAAGCGAAATGCTTCTCGAGTGAAAGGGCTTTTTATTATTTTTATTTATTATTTATTTATTTTTTGTAGAAGTGTGGTGGGGGGAGTGGAGGGGGTTACCATGTTGGGCAGGCTGGTCTCGAACTCCAGACCTCTAGTGATCCTCCCGCCTCTGCCTCCCAAAGTGCTGGGATTACAGACGTGAGCCACCGCGCCTGGCCAGGACTTTTATTTGCGCTTCCTCTTACACATGGCGAGTGAGCGCCTGAGATTCGGAGTGTCTCCTTCGCAGAGGACGCCTATGGTAGGGGCTTAGTGTTTGCTGAATTAAAGGGAATTTGTCTTCCTAACTTTAGATTCGCAACACTTCAGAACCGAATGAGAGACCTTCCTCCATAAAATTGACTTTATAAATCTTTTTCTTTTCTTTCCTTTTTTTTTTTTTTTTTTTTTTTTTTTTGTTAGAGCCAAGGTCTCGCTCTGTTGCCCAGGCTGAAGTGCCGTGCAGTGATCATGGCTCCCTGCAGCCTTGAACTCCTGAGCTCAAGAAATCCTCCTGCCTCAGTAAGTCACCAAGCCTGGCTAATTCTTTCTTTATTTTTTTATTTTTTATTTTTATTTTTTTGTAGAGAAGTGGGTCTTGCTTGGTTGCCCAGGCTAATCTCGAACTCCTGGGCTCAAGTGATCCTCCCTCCTCGGCTTCCCAAAGTTGAGATTGTAGGCATGAACTATCACGCCTGGCCTTATAAATCTTTATTCATCTTTGCAAACTTCTAATTATCAGAGAATATAGTCAGGTCTAATCCATCATTTTACAAATAAAGTGACTTCCTGACATCCCCCAGCTAAATAAATAATAAATATATAAATAAATAAACTCAGGTGCCAAATTGAGAAGCGGTAGACCATGGTGGCTTTGAAACGTATTGTGTCCCCTTGGCGAGGTGGAACTACGTTTCCCAGCATCCCCTGTGGATATGTTTCTGGTTAGGGTGGGCCACAGGAGACATTCTCATGCAGATTTGAGGGCGGGAGCGAAGCAGCAGACATTTTGTGGCTCGTGTTATTGTTTATCTGCTGGTTTACCTCCTTGGCTTGGGCCAGCAGCTGGGCCTAAAACTGCTCCGCCTTCCCCCAAGTCCTTCTCCAGCGTTTCCTACTCCTAGGCTAGGTGTGTACTGAAGGAACGCAGCTGCTTCTGCAGGATGGCCATACTATCAAGGTCAAAGGCAAAGAGAATTGACACGGTTTTAGTTTGCCTTTGTGGGTTCCAGCTGGTATTTGCTTTTCTCTACGCCTTCCTGACTGCCTTTCCTGACGTCTTCAAGCTCCAGGATCAGCTGTGACGATAACAGCTTTACAGGGATTGCTTAAGCAGTTCCCACAATTGTGTAAGATTATATGCGGTATATATGATATATAATATACATACCCTAGTGGGTTCTGCTCTGCTTCAATCTCTTCTGTGCTAGAATCCTGACTGATTGTATTATAATGATTTTGTAATCCGGTAAATGCATTATCTTCTTCGGATTTGCACTTCCGAAAACTTTTCATTCAGAATGGTTTGTGGTGGATTAAATCAGGGGTGTCCAATCTTTTGGCTTCCCCAGGCCACGTTGGAAGAAGAATGGTCTTGGGCCACGGTTAAGATAGGCTAACATTTACGATAGCTGATGAGCTAAAGAAAAAAAAAATCACAAAAAAATCTGATAATGTTTTAAGAAAGTTTACAAATTCGTGTTGGGCCACAATCAAAGCCTGGGCCACATGCAGCTAGTGGGCCGTGGTTTGGACAAGCTTGAACTACATTGAAGTCATTATTGCTGTGTTGCCTGGGCTGGAGTGCAGTGGCCATTCACGAGCACAATTATTGCAAGCTACAACCTTAACCTCCTGGGCTCGAGCAGTCCTGCCTCAGCCTCCATAGTAGCTGGGCCTACATGAATTTTGAAGAACAATAAACTTGATCAGATAAACAGTTCACGTGTGTAAGCTTTTCACAGTTGCTTAACATAAAAATTGCTATGTGGACCAGGTGCTGTGGCTCACGCCTTTAATCCCAGCACTCTGGAAGGCCGAGGCTGGTGGATCACTTGAGGCCAGGAGTTCGAGACCAGCCTGTCCAACATGGTGAAAACCTGTGTCTACTAAAATTACAAAAATTACCTGAGTGTGGTGGTGCACACCTGTAATCCCAGCTACTCAGGAGGCTGAGGCATGAGAATCCCTGGTACCAGGGAGGTACAGGTTGCAGTGAATCACTGCACTCCAGCCTGGGTGACAGAACAAGATCCTGTCTCAAAAAAAAAAAAATGCTATGTGACAAACTAGAGATAACATGTACGTATTTCTTAGATATAACAGAGATAAATGTCCAAAGAGATAAATTTTGTTTTCCAACTCTTTTTTTTTTTTTTTTTTTTTTTTTTTTTTTTGAGACAGAGTTTTGCTCTGTCACCCAGGCTGGAGTGCAATGGTGCGATCTCGGCTTACCGCAAACTCCACCTTCCAGGTTCAAGGGATTCTCCTGCCTCAGCCTCTCTAGTAGCTGGGATTACAGGCATGTGCCACCACACCTGGCTAATTTTGTATTTTTAGTAGAGATGGAGTTTCTCCATGTTGGTCAGGCTGGTCTCGAACTCCCAACCTCAGGTAATCCACCCGCCTCGGCCTCCCAAAGTGCTGGGATTACAGGCATGATCCACTGTGCCCGGCCTGTTTTCCCACTCTTATTATGTACCCACAAAGCAATAAATTGAACAAGTTGAGTAGTTGCCTCTGAGTGGTAGGAAGTGATGAAGGGGTAGGAGTGAAACTGCTGCTTTTGCTCTAAGCCTTTTTAGCATTATTTGACCCCTAGACTAGTTGCATGGAATATTTTGATAAAAAATAAACATTGGTTACAAAAACAGTTTTAATAAAAGCAAAAACCATACCACCTATTTGTATAGGGTGGGCAAGAAGAAAGAAGATAGGAAAGGTTATCATTTGAGTTGGACAATAGACTTCAGTACTGGAGAGTTTCCAATAGAAGTTGAAAGGAAGGTCAGGTTCCCTCCACTATTGTCCTATAACCCTGCCAAATCCCCCTCTGCGAGAAACACCCAAGAATGATCAATAAAAAAAATAAATAAAATAAAATAAATAAAAATAAAAATAAAAAAATAAAAAAAAGAAAGGAAGGTCAGGTTTAGGGAGGATTATGAAGCTGTGAGATTTAAAAGGATAAGAGAATGAGCTCTTCCTTCTTTCACAGTCATTTTCTACAAAAAGAACATCTTGGCAACATAGTCTCAGGCTCCCCCCCTCCTCTCCACCTCTCTGCCTTCTCTTTTTATACTGTATTTATTGTGCTAACTGAATCTAAATCTCAGAAATAATTGAAACAATACTTTGAAGCAGCTCCTCTCAGAGTTGTGTTTCATAGACTTGAGGAGTCTTGAGTTCTGGGATTGGTATAGTAATGGCCATAAAAAATAATTTTCACTTAAAAAAAAATTTGGCTAGCCACTTGGAGGCTGAGGTGGGAGGATCACCTGAGGCTAGGAGGTCAAGGCTGCAGTGTGCTGTGATTGCGCCACTGCACTCCAGCCTGGGTGACACAGTGAGACCCTGTCTCAAAAAAACAAACCAGGCTGGGCGTGACTCATGCCTGTAATCCCAGCGCTTTGGGAGGGCAAGGTAGGTGGATCACTTGAGGTTAGGAGCTTGAGACCAGCCTGGCCAGCATGGTGAAACCCCATCTCTGCTAAAAATACAAAAATTAGCCAGGTGTGGTGGCACTGTACCTGTAGTCCCAGCTACTCGGAAGGCTGAGGCAGGGGGAGGTTGAGGCAGGAGAATTGCTTGAACCCCGGAGGGAGAGTTTGCTGTGAGCCGAGATTGTGCCACTGCACTCCAGCATGGGGAAAAGAGTGAGACTCTGTATCAAAAAAATGTAAAATAAAATAAAATAAAATAAATAAAATAAAAATCTTCAATGGCAGAATAATTACTAGTTATAAAATTACGTGATGTGAGAGAGGGTCCCAGCTTAAATGCCATTTACTACCCATAGTCTTTAGGTTCCTTTCCATCCTTCCTTCCTTCCTTTCTGCTTTTCTTCTTCCCAGATAACAAGCTGAGAAATTTAGAGTCTCGCCCTGTCGCCCAGGCTGGAGTGCAGTGGTGCAATCTCAGCTCACTGCAACCTCCACATCCTGGATTCAAGCCATCCTCCTGCCTCAGGCTCCCGAGTAGCTGGGACTACAGGTGTGTAACACCATGCCTGGCTAATTTTTGTATTTTTAGTAGAGATGGGGTTTCACCATGTTGGCCAGGTTAGTCTCAAACTCCTGACCTCAGGTGATCCTCCCACCTTGGCCTCCCAAAGTGCTGGGATTACAGGCATGAGCCACCATGCCCAGCCTAAGTTTCTTGACAAAGAAAATTATTAGGATTTTTTTTTTTTTGGTGTGTTATGTTGAGGGTGAAATGAACGGATGAATGGTAGATGAGTTATCCAAAATCAGATTGCATCAGACAAGCCACTGAGAAATAAGAGGAATCTATCACTTGCTAGTTCCTTGTGTGTTATGGGTCCACTAACTTTTTGGCTATATTTCAATAAAGAAAACAGAAAGAACTCTAAGATATTCACCATATGTTCTATAAAATGGGTGCATTGAAATATATGACACCAGCTTTTCCAGGAGCAATGCTGCATGGTGAGGATCTCTCATCTACGCCCATAGCCATGTGGTCCAAGAGCCTGCTGCAGTCCATGCAGGTCTCTGGACAGAGGAAGATGACCACAGCCATGGCGGGCCGCAAACATGGCAGTGGCCTCATGGAAGTGAACAGGCGGCCCCTGGAGATGATGGAGTCATGCACACTGCATTACAAGCTGCTGGAACCAGTTCTGCTTCTGGGCAAGGAGCGATTTGCTGACGTGGACATCCATGTCCTACTGAAGGGTGATGGTCAGGTGGCCCAGATTCATGCTATCTGTCAGTCCATCTCCAAAGCCCTGGTGGCCTGTTACCAGAAATACGTGTGGCTTCCAAGAAGGTCAAAGACGTCCTCATCCAATGTGGCTGGACCCTGCTGGTGGCTGACCCTCATCGCTGCAAATCCAGAAAGTTTGGAGGCCCTGGTGACCGTGCTTGTTACTAGGAATCCTACCCTAAAGCCCATCACGAGTTATCAGTAAAAGTCCATCATTGTGTAATAAATACCTACGTAATAAATAACGTTTGAGTTTAAAAAACTAAAACTAAAATAAAATATATGACTCAATGGGCCAGGGAGACAGAGTGCTGGGGATTTGGCATTAGGAGAACTGTGGGGGCAGCAGCATCCATGGAGGCTGAATGAGGTGGGGACTGTGAATGACCTGCTGAAATATGAAAAGAAGTTTCCATCTGAGAAGGCAGCAGGCTTAGTGTCCAAGAGTCTGCAGTTTGAAAACACATCATGCCTGGTGTGGAGCAAGTACAATGATGTTCTCCAAGGCATCAGCCTGCCAAAAGGGGCTGCTATTCAAAAGGGGGTAAAAGACAAACCAACCAACCCAACAGGGCTCTATACCTGGCTGAGGGCACTGCCAGCTTCTGGACTGTGAAAAGGCCCTAAGATACGTGCAAGAGCTGCCGTGGGCAGAGAAGCCAGGCCAAGGAGCTGCAGAAAAGAGAAAGCCTCTGTCCTTCCTCCTTTCCCTCCCCTGTTGTAACTCTCAACCATCCCCATCTCTGCTCCCCCCTCCCAAATTTAGCTCCTCATCCTCAGGTCCTTGTGAATTCCTGGTTATTAAGACCTTTTCCTACCCCCATGTTTAAGGCTTTTAAGTCTCCTTTTAAATCATCTCCCTCCAGGCAATTCCCTCTCAACATCCTCTCACCAGCTTAGGGAAGCCCTCCCGATGAGATTTAGGAGATAGACAGGTCACATGACTATCTCTATGTGGATTATTTCTACATAAGAAAAACATCCAGTTTGGATTGATTCTTAACAGCATTAATCTTGGAGTTTCAATTTTTCAAAATAACGTATCAAATTTTGCCATTGTTCTAGCATATGGTGCAATATAAAATGGTCGAATGATATTTATGCAGGGAAGAAAGATGAAGTCAGGAGGCCCACTACGTGGATCCACTTGTGTCCCCGTGTGAGGTGATGAATAAACTAAGGAAGCCCATGACTGAGCAAAGGAGCTGGAGATGATTATGGGTCAGGATTGTTGGCTCTTTTGATCAGTGTTGTTTCAGTTTGGTGGCAAAATCAGCCTAGAGCCCAGGTCTCCAAATTTATAATTTCATGGTTTCCACGAAGCACATGAACTCAAGTGAGAAAGAAAGGTTTCAATTCTGACTCTGCCTCTTACATAAGTATGTGAATTTGCAGAAGTTACTTAACCTCTGAAACTTTCCTTATCTGTGAAATGGGGAAATACTTGCTGGGAGGATTAAATGAGCTAACCCAGCAAAGGGCCAGACAGAGTTTAATGAAGGGTAGCCTTCTCCCTAGCTCCTTAGTGCTTGCTTGAGAGCTGGAACAAACCATAAGGATTGCACAACTCCCAAATTCCCAGATCACATCAAGGTGGCCAAATCTTAAGAGGAATTTAAGCTCCTAGGCTTAAATTTTGCTTGGCTTAATCATACTATTCGCTATGCTGGGATAATTCTCCAAACCTCTCTGGAACTGAGTTCATTCCTCTGTGGGATGAAGAAATAACAGTCTATACCCTTGAGACACAAGGTTAGATAACAGCCAATTAATGCTTACAAAGTACATTGGTATCCAAGGATGAAAGTGCAAAGTCAAAACATATTTTCGGCTGGGCTTGGTGGCTCACACCTGTAATCTCCACATATTGGGAGGCCAAGGCAGGCAGATGGCTTGAGCCCAGGAGTTTGAGACCAGCCTGGGCAGCATAGTGAGACCTTGTCTCTGTTATATTTTAAACTTAAAAAAATTTTTTGTTTTAATTTAGGCCCGGCAAGGTGGCTCACACCTGTAATCCCAGCACTTTGAGAGGCCGAGGCAGACGGATCACTTGAGGCCAGGAGTTTGAGACCAGTCTGGCCAACATGGCAAAACCTCACCTCTACTAAAATACAAAAATTAGCCAGACATGGTGGTGTGTGCCGTAATATTCCATAATTCGACACAGATGATTAGGGCATCTTCTGCTCTTTTGACTAAGAGTCAATGGCTCTGTTCTCCCATCCCACTTTCTTTCCATATCCTTTTTCAGGTGTTTTAATATCTAATCCAGAAGAAACATGGATTTCCATTTTATTAACACTCATAAATTTAACTATTGTATATGTTATTCCAAAAATGCACAAGAAAGAGATTATTTGTAATGGAAGGAATATTGGATTTTGAGGGAGCTGATGTTCATTCTCACCCTTGATTTGCCATTTACTGACAATGTGATCTTAGGTAACCTAAGTTCTTGTTAGCACTAAAATTTTAGGAAATGCAAATGAGTCTATGAAAGGGAAATAGCTTAGCTGAAAGTTCACTTCCTTCCCTTTTCTAATTGAGAAATTGAACACCCTTACAGTAACATTTTAATATAGACCCAAAACTGAAAGGAGATCTTCATTTTAATTCTCATTTTTTATCTTAGTCTGGTACTTGGCACATAGTAAGACATCAGTAAATATTCAGTGAATAGAGTGGCTTCTCATGAACATGAGACCAAGAAGAAGAATGTTTCATCATGTAAGAACTCAATTCAAAGAGAATTAACTAAGCATCTGCTATTTGGCAGCTGTATTTGCCAGGCATTCTAATTTTTTATCTTTCATAAAAATTGAGATGAGGCTGGGCGCAGTGTCTCACACCTGTAATCCCAGCACTTTGGGAGGCTGAGGTGGGCAGATCATGAGGTCAGGAGTTTGAGACCAGCCTGGCCAATATGGTGAAACCCCGTCTCTACTAAAAATACAAAAAATTAGCTGGGCGTGGTGGCGTGTGCCTGTAATCCCAGCTACTTGGGAGGCTGAGGCAGGAGAATTGCTTGAACCCAGGAGGCAGAGGTTGCAGTGAGCCAAGATCATGACATTGCATGCCAGCCTGGGTGACAGAGCAAGATTCTGTCTCAAAAAAAAAAAAGTTTAAAAAAATTGAGATGAATGGATATGACCTCTGTCTTCCATTAACTTATGACTTTGGGGAGAGATAACATGTATACAAAGTTCAGTGTAATAGGAAAAGTGCTGGGAGTCTTGCAAGGAAAACCATGCCTCATCCTCATTTTATCACTAACCAGTTGTATGAATGTGAGAAAGTTATTTATACACTAAGACAATAGCTTCATCATCTGTAAAAGGTAATACTACATGATCTGGCCTCTAAGGTCATTTCTAGCTATGAGTCTGAAAATGATTCTATGCCTCTGAAACATTAGTTTAAATGCCTGTTCTTAAAAACTCCTAAATATTTATTGAAGATAACCTCTTCAATACACTTATTTTTCCATCTGCAACTAATAAGCAAAGTCACACAAAACAGTAGTGCTTACTTCTCTTGGAGGATACTTCCAAGACCCTAGTAGATGCCTAAACCTGCAGATAGTACTGAACCTTATGTATACTATGTTTTTTCTTATAGATACCTATGATAAAGTATAATTTATAAATTAGGCACAGGGCTGGGCGTGGTGGCTCGTGCCTGTAATCCCAGCACTTTGGGAGGCTGAGGCAGGCAGGTCACCTGAGATCAGGAGTTTAAGACCAGCCTGGCCAACATGGTGAAACCCCGACTCTACTAAGAATACAAAAATTAGCTGAGCATGGTGGTGCACGCCTGTAATCCCAGCTACTTGGGAAGCTGAGGCGGGAGAATCGCTTGAACCCCAGAGGCGGAGGTTGCAGTGAGCCAAGATCACCCAGCTTGGGCAACAGAGTGAGACTTTGAAAAAAAAAAAAAGGAATCTGAAAAAAAAAAAGAAAAAACCAAATTCAGTAACTAAAACAATATGGAAGATTAAAAAGAACTGAAATAATGTGGAGGAGTCAGTCAGAAGTTCCTTAGCCTAAAAAAAATACTATGACCTATATTCTAGCAAGTAAAGATAGCAATAGCAGATCTTGGATTCAAATCCATTGTACCAGGACAAGACTGGCTGGCAGGGGTGAAATCTTGAGGAGAGATAGCCTGTGACCTGTCACTAGGACTCTCTGAGACCCTTGAAGAGGATTCAAATTCCAGCCCATGTCATTGCACCAGAAGTGGGAAACAGCTGACTAAAAAGCTTGCCAAAAAAGCCGGGCACCTGGAGATAAGACTCAGGAAGCGTTTTCCAAACAAGAAACAAAAGAGTGAAGGAGGAGGCCACGAAAGAGAAATCCTGGAGTTGTATGCAGTTGGTGAAGGATCATTGTTTTCTTCCTCGCAATCTCTGTGGAATGGTCACAGGCAAAAACATCAGAAAATGAAAGTGCAGAGCTCTATTAGAGGAAGAGGAAAATTATTGATAGGAGGAAAATCTCCATCATCGCATGGAATATTCCATTTTACACAGATTTCTTCTGAAGGTCAAGGACTGAACTAAAGGACACAGCCTGCATGTAACTGCCCTGAGTTTGGGGGTAAGGAGAGGAGAGGGAGCTGGGTTATCTCATCAGTGTGTATAGGAAATCCAACAGAGCAATAGAGATGGGGGGCCTCTGCTTACTCTTTTTTTTTTTTTTTTTTTTTTTGAGATAGGGTCTCACTCTGTCTCCCAGGCTGGAGTGCAATGGCACAATCATGGCTCACTGCAGCCTTGTCCTCCTGAGCTTAAGCGATCCTCTCACCTCAGCCACCCAAGTAGTAGCTGGGACTACAGGCATACTACCATACCAGACTAATTTTTTAAAAATTTTGTAGAGATGAGGTGTCATGTTGCCCAGGCTGGTCTCAAACTCCTGGACTCAAGTGATCCTCCCGCCTTAGCCTCCCAGAGTGTCAGGATTACAGGCCTGAGCCACCACACCCAGCCCCACTGCTTACTCTTTCAGATATAATTTCCTGTAAGCCTCCAGCATTCTGGCCCAGACACAGATGCAGAAACATCTAGACTGGCTGCACCATTTTCCACACTTTGAGCCTTTTTGGGTACAGTTTTAAACTAAGATCAAAGTATACATCTTTGAAAACCCAATACTAATATTCTGCTCAAACCACATTGTCAAAACACCCCACACAAAAAATGTGAAATCAGGGAAAAAGTGAAAAATAAGACAGCAGGGTAAAAATGGGGGCACTATTAGATATTTCATCCCCAGCAAGACTACCACCGCCAAAAGTGGTTGCCTTCAGAATTTTCCTCTGGGTCCTCTTATTTTTCCAGCATTTCCACAATTACAAAGATATCTATTACTATTTATTAATGTACATGCTTATGTGTATAAATTGTACTTGCCCAGCTGAATCCTGGGCAAATTCCATATCCTTTCATTCTAGAATCCCAGACTTAGTGCCACAAATCCCATGATTTGAAACTCCTGGCCTAGAATCCAAACCCTGCATAATTTTGTATGCATCCTTAGACTTAGCATGGAGAAGTTGTAAAAACAATGCAATAGCAGAGAGGTCCAAAAAGCAAAAATAAGCAACTCTCCTATTGCTTAAGCAATGCATGCTGTGCAAGGCATTTTTAATTGTTTTTTGTTTGGACTTGGTCAGGACAGAGTCAAAACAGTATGATAGGCTTTTTTTTTTTTTTTTTTTTTTTTGGGAGACAGAGTCTCATTCTGTTATCCAGGCTGGAGTGCAGTAGTGCCATCTTGGCTCACTGCAAACTCCACCTCCCGGGTTCAAGTGATTCTCCTGCCTCAGCTTCCCAAGTAGCTGGGATTACAGGCACCCACTACCATGCCCGGCAAACTTTTTATATTTCTAGTAGAGATGGGGTTTCATCATGTTGGCCAGGCTCGTCTTGAACTCCGGACCTCAAGTGACCCGCCCACCTCAGCCTCCCAGAGTGGTGGGATTATAGACGTGAGTCACTGTGCCTGGCCATATGATAATCATTTTTATCTTTGAGATTTGACCACACTAGGAAACAATAAAATATTGGCATTGTGTTTGTTGAGTTTGGTTTTTTGGTTTTTGGGCTTAAAAAATTTTTTTTTTTGGTGGTAGTGGGCTTCATTCAATTCTCTGTTACAGAATTTATTAGCTTTTCTATTTTATTCATGTGTGGTTTTTTCTTTATTTTCTTTATTTTTTTTAAAGACGAAGTCTCACTGTGTTGCCCAGGCTGCAGTGCAATGGTGTGATCTCAGCTCACTGCAACCTCCGCCTCCCAGGTTCAAGTGATTCTCCTGCCTCAGCCTCCCAAGTAGCTGGGACTACAGGCGCCCGACACCACGCCCAGCTAATTTTTTGTATTTTTAGTAGACACAGGGTTTCATTACGTTATCCAGGCTGGTCTCAAACTCCCACCTCAGCCTCCCAAAGTGCTGGGATTACAGGTGCGAGCCACCGCACCTGGCATGTGGCTTTTGTTTTAAGTAAATGTTGCTTTCTTTTAGTTATAGGAAGGGGATATTTCCTTTCTTCTGTCACCAAAATATAGGTTCAAAAATAAGAACCTGCAGGAATCCTTACGAATTTTAAATTTATTTAGAGGTTTGTCTGCAACTTCAGAGCTCTATATGGATGCATATCCTGATAGCAACCCACTTGAATTGCTCAACAAAAAGACCACAGTTGTGAACTGGATACATTCATGGTATCAAGGGAAATATACCTGTAATGTCTATAGGAATAATGAAAAGTTAATTATAGGAGAAGCCCAGTCCTCCGCGATAGTAAGTATTGTGAAGAAAAGAAAAATGTTCAATGCCAAATGAAGTCAAAGTTACCTACAGTGATGTAGTAAAAAGTGTTTGTTTGTTTTTTGAGGCAAAGTCTTGCTCTGTTGCCTAGGGTTGAGTGCAGTGGCAAGATCTCGGCTCACTGCAACCTCCATCTCCTGGGTTCAAGCAATTCTCCTGCCTGAGCCTCCCGAGTAGCTGGGACTACAGGCATACACCATCACACCTGGCCAATATTTTTGTATTTTTAGTAGAGACAGGGTTTCACCATGTTGGCCAGGCTGTTCTTGAACTACTGAGCTCACATAATCTGCCCGCCTCAGCCTCCCAAAGTGCTGGGATTAGAGGCATGAGCCACCACTCCCAGCTAATTTTTGTATTTTTAATGGAGACAGAGTTTCACCATGTTGGTCAGGCTGGTCTTGAACTCCTAACCTCAAGTGATCTGCCTGCCTCAGGCAAAGTGTTGGGATTACAGGCATGAGCCACCACTTGGCTGAAAAGGTTTTTTAATACAGGAAAACATTATTTTATGATAGGAAAGAAAAGGCAAGACACAAACTTTTAAATTGTAATCTACTCCAAATGCTAATTATTTCCATATGCATAGTTATATTCACTCCCCCTGAACAAACGAATGTGACTATTGTTCCACCTCTTTAATGCTTCTGCACCTCCCTGTTCATATAAGAAAATGGTGTAGAAAAAGCAAAGGTATAACTACATGAAAAGCCTGCCTGTTTATACAACATTTTGCTGAGATGTGAGATAATAGCATGATGGAGGATGCATATACAGTTACATATACAGGTTGAATATCTCTCATTGGAAATGCTTGGGACCAGAAGTGTTTCAGATATCAGAATATTTGCATACACATAATGAGCTATCTTGAGGATGGCACTAAGTCTAACATGAGTCTAAACATGACATTTATTTATGTTTCATATACATCTTACACATAGACTGAAGGCGATTTTATACAATTTTTTTTTTTTTGAGATGAAGTCTCACTCTCTCACCCAGGCTGGAGTGCCGTGGCACGATCTTGGCTCACTGCAACCGCCGCCTCCCAGGTTCAAGCGATTCTCCTGCCTCAGCCTCCTGAGTACCTGGGACTACAGGCATGCGCCCCCACACCCGGCTAATTTTTGTAGTTTTAATAGAGACGGAGTTTCACCATGTTGGTCTTGAACTCCCGACCTTGTGATCTGCCCACCTTGGCCTCCCAAAGTGCTGGGATTACAGGCGTGAGCCACCGCGCCTGGCCTTATATAATATTTTTAGTAATTTTGTGCACAAAACAGAGATTTGACTGCGCAAACTTTTTTTTCTCTTTTTGAGGCAGCATCTCACTCTGTCACACGAGGTTGGAGTGCAGTGCTGCAATCTCTGCTCACTGCAATCTCTGCTTACTGCAATCTCTGCCTCCCAGGCTCAAGAGATCCTAGCACCTCAGCGATCGACCCCAGCTAATTTTTTGTATTTTTGGTAGAGACGGGGTTTCACCATGTTGCACAGGCTAGTCTTGAACTCCTGAGCTCAGGCGATCTACCCACCTCAGCCTCCCAAAGTGCTGAGATTATGGCTGTGAACCACTTTGCCCAGCCTGTACAAACTTTTGACTGTGACCTGTCACATGAGGTCAGGTGTGGAATTTTCCACTTGCAGCATCATGTTGGAATTCAAAAAGCTTTGGATTTTGTAGCATTTCAGATTCTCAGATTAGGGATGCTCAGCCTGTATATGTATATGTGTGTGTGTGTATATATCTCAGGATAATAAATGTTGGTAAAAATTATGGGTAAATTGGCCTTAACAAATAACTATATAACAGTGATGTTTTTTGAATAATTCAAGAATGAGATTCAAGAGAATGGGATTTTAGTGGTTGGGTCAGCTTTGTTTTTGAAATGAATGCTTTCTAGAACTTTTGTTTATTATTATTTATTTTTATTTATTTATTTTTGAGATGGGGTCTCACTTTGTCTCCTAAACTGGGGTGCAGTAGCTCAATCACAGCTCACTACAGTCTTGACTTTACCAGGCTCAGGTGATCCTCCCACCTCAGCCTCCTGAGTAGCTGGTACTACAAGTGCGTGCCACCATGCCCAGCTAAATTTTTTGTATTTTTTTTGTAGAAGCAAGGTTTCACCATGTTGCTAAGGCTAATCTAGAACTCCTGGGCTCAAGCAATCTGCCTGCCTCAACCTACCAAAGTGCTGGGCTTATAGGCATGAGCCATCATGCCTGGCCTTTTATTTATTGTTTCAATTGTACATATACTTAATGTTATTTCACAGCTTTTTGCCAACCCTCTATTTTCTATGAGATTTTGATCTTTCAGTTTTGCAGTTAGCTAGGATTACTATATATAAAAATAGTATTTAACACATATATAGTACTCTGTGTCAGGCCCTGTTGTAAATACTAATCCTCAAAACTGTGAAGTAGGTATTATTACTATCCCCATTTTCTGGATGAGAAGACTGAGGCACAGGGAGGCTAAATTATTTGTCTAAAGACATGACATTACTAATACAACTTTTTAAGGGGAAGGAAATAACACCAAGGTGTCAATGGTGGTTTTTCAGGGTGTGGGGTTATAAAGGATTGTTAAGAGGATTGAAATGACAAGATCTTGAACTAAGCCCATGGCAGCTGAGCTGGGACAGACAGGACAGACTCTAGAACAGTTTAAGATAAAATATTGGCAAGCCTTGTGGATTGGTTGATTTCATGTTGGGATGAGGCATAGCAGGGAAGCTAGGAAGACTCACCTCTGGCACCTGTGACTGGGTGGACATTTCACTAGAGTAGGAAATACAAAAGATGGAGCAGACTGAGGAGAAATGATGTGTTCAGTTTTGACATTTTGAGTTTTATTGTAAGCATTTGAACATGTAAATTTTAAACTTAAGACAGGCCGGGCTCAGTGGCTCATGCCTGTAATCCCGGCACTTTGGGAAGCCGACACAGGTGGATCACCTGAGGTCAGGAGTTCGAGACCAGCCTGGTCAACATGGTGAAACACTGTCTTTACTAAAAATACAAAAATTAGCTGGGTATGGTGGTGTGCACCTGTAATCCCACCTACTGGGAAGGCTGACACAGGAGAACTGCTTGAGTCCAGGAGGCGAAGGTTGCAGTGAGCTGAGATCGCGCTGTTGCACTCCAGCCTGGGTGACAAAGCAAGACTCCGTCTCAAAAAAAAAAAAAAAAGACGGAAGTTAGCTCTCAACTTGAGGGTCTTCACACAGAGCTGGTATTTAAACCCAAGAAAGAGGTTGCCATCACCCAGGGAGACTGCGAAAGAAGGAAAAAAAAAAAGCTGTGGGCCAAGGACAGAACTCTAGAGAACCCCAACATCTATGCGACATGTAGGGAATAAGAAGCCCCTTCAGATTTGACATTAAAGTAGCAAACACAGATATGAAATGCCAGGTATATATTTGCTTTTCAAGCTAGGTTTCATTTATGAGAGGCAAGGTAGCATGGAAGCAGGGCAGTCAAACAAGTCTGAGTTCAGATCTAGCCCCTGCAGCTTACTCTGTCCTGTGGCTTCTCAGGTTACTAAGTGTCTATGAAATGTATGTCAATACACTGTATGTGCACTCCAGCCAGGGCGACAGAATGAGACTCCATCTCAGGGAGAAAAAAAAAAAAGAAAAAGTCATCACAATAATTCACTGATGGACACTCAAGAACTGGTATTTCCCATGAATTTGTATGGTATAGTACAAGTAACAGGGATAATAGCAGTTGGTTAAAAGAATTAACTGAGATGGATATAAATGTTGGTATATGAGCTACAAGACTGCATTAAAGTTTTTCTGTAATGTATGTCAATACACTGCTCATATGTTGTGAGCATGAAATCGGTTAATCCACAGAAGCACTTATATGGCTCAGTGCTTAGAAGTATCTATTACTAATGAGTACACAAATCATAAAATTATTTTTCATTCCATTGTCATGCTTTGCCAGTTGAGAAAATGGCCAGGAAGTCTGTTGGCTTGCAGGAATAAACTAAAATAGAAATTAAACAATTGTATTAAAAAGTCTGGCCGGGGTGGCTCACGCCTGTAATTCCAGCACTTTGGGAGGCCAAGGCGGGCAGATCACTTGAGGTCAGGAGTTTGAGACCAGCCTGGCCAACATGGTGAAATCCCGTCTCTACTAAAAATACAAAAATCAGCCAGCCATGGTGGCGTGTGCCTGTAATCCCAGCTACTCGGAAGGCTGAGGTAGGAGAATCACCTGAACCCAGGAGGCAAAGGTTGCAGTGAGCCGAGATCGTGCCACTGCACTCCAGCCTGGGCGACAGAGTGAGACTCCATCTCAGGGAGAAAAAAAAAAAGAAAAAGTCATCACAATAATTCACTGTTGGACACTCAAAAACTGGTATTTCCCATGAATTTGTATGGTATAGTACAAGTAACAGGGATAATAGCAGTTGGTTAAAAGAATTAACTCAGACTGATATGAATGTTGGTACATGAGCTACAAGACTGCATTAAAGTTTTTCTTTTGTTCTACTCTAAAAATTCAGCAACTAGGCCCAGTGCCTGATACAGAGTGAGTCCTCAAGATATCGTTGACTGAAGCTAACAAAGTGATTTATTGATTTATTTATTTATTGAGACAGAGTTTCACTCTTGTCACCCAGGCTAGAGTGCAGTGGTGCAACCTCAGCTCACTGCAACCTCTGCCTCCCGGTTTCAAGCAATTCTCCTGCCTTAGCCTCCAGAGTAGCTGGGACTTCGCCACTACGCCTGGCTAATTTTTTGTATTTTTAGTAGAGATGGGGGTTTCACCATGTTGGCCAGGCTGGTCTCGAACTCCTGACACCCGCCTCAGCCTCCCAAAGCGCTGAGATTACAGGCGTGAGCCACCGCCCCCAGCCTAACAAAGTGATTTTTTTTTAAAGACGAGGGGCAGGCAGGGCGCAGTAGCTTAACGCCTCTAATCCTAGCACTTTGAGAGGCCGAGGTGGGCAGATCACAAGGTCAGGAGTTCAAGACCAGCCTGGCCAATATCGTGAAACCCCCTCCCTACTAAAAGGATGAAAAAAATTAGCTGGGCGTGGTGGCAGCCACCTGTAGTCCCAGCTACTCGGGAGGCTGAGGCAGGAGAATCGCCTGAACCCGGGAGGCAGAGGTTGCAGTGAGCCGAGTTGGCGCCACTGCACTCTGCTCTGGGAGACAGAGCAAGACTCCGTCTCAAAAAAAAAAATAAATAAATAACCAAAAAAAAAAAAAAGGAGGGGCGATGTTTTATTAAACATTTCGCTATTTGAAGAATTAATACACTCATGCAAAGAAAAGATGAAGTAAACATGCCCTACAGTGTTATCATTTGAGATCTCTTAAAAGCGGCTATGCAGCCGGGCGTGGTGGCTCACGTTGTAATCCCAGCACTTTGGGAGGCTGAGGCGGGCGGATCACTCGAGGCCAGGAGTTCGAGACTAGCCTGGCCAACAGGGTGAAACGCCCTCTGTACTAAAAATACAAAAATTACCCGGGCTTGGTGTCACATGCCTGTACAAATCCCAGCTACTGGGGAGGCTGAGGCAGGAGAATTGCCTGAACCCGGGAAACGGAGGTTGCAGTGAGCCAAGATCACGCCATTGCACCCCAGCCTGGGAGAAGCGAGACTCCGTCTCAAAAAAAAAAAAAAAAAAAAAAAAAAAAGCGGCTATGCAACACTCTACTCTGTCCCATGAATATCTGCCACATATTTGAATTCCCAGTCTTATACGCCCCAGGCCTTTGCAATGTTTAGGGTCCACACGAGAAGCCATTAAAATGCAAATACGTCATCTGTGACCGGGAACCAAGCTGGCATCTAGCAGATACTGACACATTTATCAGTCTGATGTGTGGACAACTAGGTGCCTCCCAGAGGCCTTCAGGTAAGGTGGAGGAAGGGCCAATTCTGAGCTGACACAGTGGGATCCATCTTGGCCAGGACAGTGGGATCCATCTTGGCCAGGACAAAGGCAGTCCAGAGAGGCCCCGCGGCGCGGTGCGGCGCGATCACGCCCGAGTCTCCTTCTCGTTCCCCTCGGCCCTTCCTAAAACCTGCTGGCTCAGGTCTGAACAATCGCAGCTGGACAGGTGGTGCACAACGATGTTAATTTTCATCCTGTCTTTTTCATCAGTGCATCCTTCAGTTCCCTATTACTTGTGGGCTGGGGAGTTGGCCAAATTGAGTGAAAACCTGAAATGTCTTTTTGTTCTTTTGGTTCAGCCAGTTTAAGTTCCATGCAATCTTTAAGCTAGGAGGCTAATAATAATACAATTCTCTGCTTGCCCTTTTCAAAGCCACTTCAGCTTATAAACTCCATATTAGACCATCCAGGCCCAGAAGACGCCACCGGCCTACAGGCAGAGTCAGCGGAACCAGCCTGGGCTGGATCTCCCCCTGCGAGGCCCCCAGGCAACGCCCGCGCCGGGCCGGGGAGATCACGTCCCGTGCGTCGGGAGGCGGGGGCCTCGGGCTGTGACGTCACGTGGCCGCGCCCCTGCCGCCCAGATATCTCCGGCGCCGCCCGCCATTTTGACTCCAGTGTCTCGTTTGCAGTCGGCGCTTTAGGGGAACTGTCTTCCTCCGCAGGCGCGAGGCTGGGTACAGGGTCTATTGTCTGTGGTTGACTCCGTACTTTGGTCTGAGGCCTTCGGGAGCTTTCCCGAGGCAGTTAGCAGAAGCCGCAGCGGCCGCCCCCGCCCGTCTCCTCTGTCCCTGGGCCCGGGAGGGACCAACTTGGCGTCACGCCCCTCAGCGGTCGCCACTCTCTTCTCTGTTGTTGGGTCCGCATCGTATTCCCGGAATCAGACGGTGCCCCATAGATGGCCAGCTTTCCCCCGAGGGTCAACGAGAAAGAGATCGGTGAGGATTGGGACCGTGGGTGGGCGCATGAGGGCCGAGGAGAGGCAGGGACTCCCCGGAGGAGGTTTGGGAGGAAGCGACTCCAAGTCTGAGGGAAGAGCTCCAGTGCGCCAGGGCCAGCCCACTAGCGAGGAGGAGGAAGCCGCCTCGGTGGGAGTTGGCTGAGGGGTAAACGGCACCGACGTGGATGCAGCACCTACTGTGCTCCCTCGCGGTTGCTGTGTGGCTGGGGCGGGCAAGGACCCCGGTTTCTTCGTCGGAGGTCCGCGCAGGGCTCTTGTCCTGGGAGTTCTTGGCTCAGGGCATGACTGTCGAGTGGACAGGGAAGGGCCACTCAGGGACTTTAGGTTTACAATGGGGAAAAGTAAACTTGTGGGTTGTAAGCGGTAATGAAAGGAGGGGGTCCTCGTGTGTACCAACCACTCTTAGATAGAAATGAGATGGAAGAGGTCCCAACAGCCTGGCAAAAGCAATACAGTATTTTTAAAATGGTGTGGCCTTAAGAAACGCAGCGGTTCGGGGGAGGAGACTTTTAGAATTATCTTTCAAACACTTAAGGGAGGAGCTGGGTGGTTGGGTGGAGTGACAGAAGGAAAGCTTTTGTGCGGAAGAGGAAACTCTGGAAAAGGCTTTTCTGGCTTAGTGTCTAGCCCTGGTCGGCTTAGTAAAGGGCAATTAGTGTTGAAGGTTGTGCGTCCACACCTACTTAGTGGCTCAGTGGAAAGCACGTCGCATTATTTAAATCCTCTTTTAAAGTAAAATAACTGGAACAACGTTTGACGGTGTTGGGGGGTGCTGTACATTGGCTGATAACACTTAGCAAACACTGATCTTACTGTGTGAAGTAATAATTAGCTGCGGCCGCTGAGCAGAGAGCATTTACATTTTCCTACTCTTGAAGTGAATGTGTGCCTTTACTAAGTACAAGGAGGAGTTATTTCTAGAGAAGGGAAGAGGCTGAAGTAGCCAAAACGCGCACTATTTTGTATGTGGGTGAATTTTTATATCTAGAAACAGCTGTTTTAGAATTCTGGACTTTTGTTGTCTTAGGGATGATTGATTAGGAAGGGACTTTAACCCTGGTTTTAATAACCATTTTTAAAGATACAAACACAGAAAAAAAAGGGAAAAAATTGTAGCAGAGTTCACACAGAAAAAAGAAAAAAAAAGATGCAAAGAACACAGAATTTGTGTCCAGTTATTATTTTAACTGTATTTTAAGACTAGAAAGTATGTCGCGAAGTGGGACAAAGAACTCAAAAGTTCTTATCAGTCCAGTGGGTTTTTCTTTTACTTTAGTACACCATAATGTTATAGACGAGTGATCTGCCTTTTTTTTAAATCTGTATTTTACTTCATCCTGATAAACCATTTTGAAAACTTTGCGGTCCTGTTTTCTCTCTCTCTTTTTTTTTTTTGAGATGGAGTTTTTGCTCTTGTTGCCCAGGCTGGAGTGCAATGGCACGATCTCGGCTCACTGCAACCTCCGGCTCCCGGTTTCAAGCGATTCTCCTCCCTCAGCCTCCTGAGTAGGTGGGATTACAGGCATGCACACGCCCGGCTAATTTTTGTGTTTTTAGTAGAGATGGGGTTTCTCCATGTTGGTCAGGCTGGTCTCGAACTCCCGACCTCAGGTGATCGCCCACCTCTGCCTCCCAAAGTGCTAGGATTACGGGCGTGAGCCACCCCGCCCAGATTTCCGGTTTTGTTTTCTAAGAGATGGATAGAGATGGATAGCATACCTACATAAAGTAGAACCATCCACTAAGTGTTCCCCCACTAGCCCCCTGATTTCTCTTTTCTTTTCTTTCTTTTTTTTTTTCATATTTAGGTCTCAGTGTTATTTCCTGGATACGTTATAAAAACTTACTAGCTAAGTGCCAGATATCTAGAAGAACTTTTGCTTTTTCTGAGCTTTTTTTAACCCCAGTTTTTTTCTTTGTTTCTTTTTTTGAATTATCATTTGGATACAAGGTTGAACATTTCTCTGCGTAGCTTTTTAAATCTATGAATAAGGATTTACTTTTTTTCTTTTCTTGGGTGTTAATTAAAAGCCAAGCCAAGTTTAGTTTCTCAAGGACATACGGAGAGTAGAGGCAAGATTTCCATGAATGATTAAATAATTCTGTGATACTACTGCCTTGAGCTACTGCCCTTTTTCACAAGGCACTGCCACAGATCATCCCTTTCTGGTTATGAAATTTTGGGGAGGAATGTAAAGAAGGAGCTAAATCTGGTTTGCTTGGTTCAGCAGTGACTCAGATGGTATGTTACTGTTTTACAGATATTAATAATGTAGTGTTGTATCTTACGGCTGATTTCCCATGGCAGCCTTTCCCTTAATAAGGTCATTAAATCATACATTTCTGTTGCTAACATTAAACAGTTACAGATAATGTAATAAAGGTTTAACTTAAAAATTTTTTTTCAAAGCACTTTATTACAAACTTTGTGCTAGGTTTATAAAATTGTACCAGTATTTAATCTGAGCACTTAAATCATTTTATTAAAGTGCCAAAGGCAATTTGATATACCTGTTATCCAGCAAAGAAACACAAGGCAATTATTAGTAAATTTTAACAGATTAATGCATTTATTTGGTAGGTTTTATAATGGCTCTATTTCTTGAGTTTGTATATATTTGAGAATTATGTTATAAATATGTTATTATTTCATTGTCTTTGCTATCTATTTGAACCAATTTTTTAGTAATTGTTACCGCTCTTTTACTTTTTTTTTTGTTCCTTTGAGACTGAGTCTCGCTCCGTCGTCCAGGCTGGAGTGCAGTAGCGCAGTCTCAGCTTACTGCAACCTCCACCTCTCGGGATCAAGCAGTTCTCCTGCCTCACCCTCCCGAGTAGCTGGGATTACAGGTTCGTGCCACCACACCTGGCTGATTTTTTGTATTTTTAGTACAGATGGGGGGTTTCACCATGTTAGCCAAGCTGGTCTGGAACTCCTGACCTCAGGTGATTCACCCTCCTCGGCCTCCCAAAGTGCTGGGATTACAGGCGTGAGCCACTGCCCCCGGCCTACTCTTTTTTTTTTTTTAGACAGAGTCTTGCTCTATCACCCAAGCTGGAGTGCGGTTGTGAAATCTTGGCTTTCTGCAACCTCTGCCTCCTGGGCTCAAGCAATTCTCCCACCTCAGCCTGGTACTACAGGTGCATGCCACCACACTCGCTAATTTTTTAAATTTTTTGTAGAGATGAGGTCCCCTATCTATCCCAGGCTGGTCTCAAACTCATGGGCTCAAGTGATCCATCCACCTTGGCCTACCAAAGTGTTGGGATTACCAGTGTGCCTGTCCTATTACCACTATACACAAGGAGTTCCATGATTGTGGTCAAGGTAGAAGAAAAATATAGAGTAACCTTAAAATACAGTCTAGGCTGGGCACGGTGGCTCATGCGTGTAATCCCAGCACTTTGGGAGGCCGAGGTGGGCAGATCACCTGAGGTCAGGAGTTCAAGACCAGCCTGGCCAACATGGTGAAACTCCGTCTCTGCTAAAATATACAAAAGTTAGCTGGGCGTGGTGGTGGGCATCATGATGGTGCATACCTGTAATCTAAGCTACTCGGGAGGCTGAGGCAGGGAGAATTGCTTGAACCCGGGAGGCAGAGGTTGTAGTGAGCGGAGATCATGCCACTGCACTCCAGCCTGGGCAACAGAGCAAGCCTCCGTCTCAGAAAAAAAAAAAAAAAAAAAAAAAGTCACGTATGAAAAATTTAAGTCTTGCTTATGCTTGCTAAGGGAGAGCTTAATTTTAGTCTCATTTACTAGATGTTCTTGAAATTGAATGCAAGGGCTGTTCCTCGTATACAAGTTACATAAATATTCTCCATAGAGACTTTTAAGTTGAATTTTAAAACTTGCTTCCCTTATTTGTGAACTTAGCATTTTTTTCCTCCTAAAAATGCTTGTAAAATGTTTTTAAAATGCTTTAAAAATGTTTTCAAAGATAGATGTGGTTAAACAGGAATCCAAGTTAAAAAAAAAGTGTGCCTGATGCAGTGGGTCATGCCTTAATCTCACCGCTTTGGGAAACCAAGGTGGGAGGATCGTTTGAGGCCAGGAGCTGGAGACCAGCCTGGGTAACATAGCAAGACCCTGTCTATAAAAAATTGTTTTTTTGCCGGGTGCGGTGGCTCACACCTCTAATCTGAGCACTTTGGGAGGCCGAGGCGGGCGGGTCACAAGGTCAGTAGTTCGAGACCAGCCTGGCCAACATGGTGAAACCCCGTCTCTACTAAAAATACAAAAAATAATAATAATAATTAGCCAGGCATGGTGGTGCACGCCTGTAATCCCAGCTACTCGGGAGGCTGAGGCAGGAGAATTGCTTGAACCCAGGAGGCGGAGGTTACAGTGAGCCAAGATCAAGCCACTGCACTCCAGCCTGGGCGACAGAGCAAGACTGTCTTAAAAGGAAAAAAAAAAGTTTGTTTTTTGTTTTTGTTTTTTTCAGTTAGCCAAGTGTGGGGGCATGTGCCCGTAGTCCCTGCTACAGCTACTCAGGAGGTTGAGGCAGGAGGATCATTTAAGCCTACGAGTTTGCCTCTGCACTCCAGCCTTGGCAACAGAGCAAGACCCTGTCTAAAAAATTAAGCAGGCAGGGGTTGCAAATTCAGAGGCCAGGCATATAAAGAACCCTGGTAAAAGGAACAAATAAGGCTGTAGGTTTGGGAAAATTGTAAGGAAACCTGGAGCAGCATGCTCTTTCTGAAATCATTTGTATGTTAAAGGTATCTGCAGGCATTTGAGGGTCACCAAGTTTGTGAATTTTGTATTAAGAAAGTTATGTGGCTCACATCTGTAATCCCAGTACTTTGGGAGGCTGAAGGTGGGAGGATCACTTGAGCCCAGGAGTTTGAGACCAGCCTGGGCAACAAAAGGAACACCTACCTTTACAAAAATAAAAACATTAACCGGGTGTAGTGGTGCATGTCTGTGGTCCCAGCTACTTGGGAGGCTGAGGCAGGAGGATCGCCTGAGCCTGGGAGTTCAAGGCTACAGTGCGCAGTTATTGTGCTACTGCGCTCCAGCCTGCATGACAGAGCAAGACCTTGACTCAAAAAAACAAAGTTATGTGACGGCTAGTAAAGTTAATGTCATCTTATGCTGTGCTAATATGGGGTGGGTGGGGGACTCTGCTGCTTTGATTAAACCACACCTGAAGTATTGTGGTTAGTTCTGGGTGCCACTTTTATGAGGGCCAGTACTAACTAGAATTTATCCAGAAAAGTATGATGAAGTTAGGATGGGAAATGGACTTGAAACCATGTGATCTAAGGTATGATTGAAAGGATAGAGATCTCTTAGCCTGGTAAAAAAGATTCATTGATGGCTATCTTCAATATATAAATGCCATATGAGGATAGCAGCAGGCTTATTCTCTTAGGTCAGAATCAGTACTGAGTGGGTAGAGTGGTAGGAGGAAGATTTTGAGTCATTAAAAACGGTCTCAGTTGCACCAAAATAGTGTAAGCCTTATTATGAATATCATAGAAAAGTAGGTCTCAGGCTTTTTGTTTTTGCTTTCTAAACCACACCTATTTGTTAAGGTGTCAAGAATTGGGCAGATAACATATTTAAATCACTTTAGAATGGGAGCATAAATGTGTGCTTTCATATTCATTCCGTAAATATTTACTGAGCACCTGTCATATGCCAGGTGCTATACTAGCTGTTGATGGAGCATACATTCAGGCTGAAGAAGTACATTTTGGGGGTGGGTGTGTCCATGTCCAGGTTCTCTAGCTATATCAGTGTAAGGGGTTCTTATGTGAACAGCAATAACATAGAATATATTAAAGCTTAGGTGTTGGAAAGTTTAAACCAGAAATACATAAAAATATATTATTATACAGTGTACAATTGACCAGACAACTGACCACAAAATAGGTAATAGGGAAAATTAAGACCAACCCAAAATAGGTGATACACTGATAAAGAGGCTCCTTTCCCCAAATTGAGGAAATTGTAGCTGAGTTTGCATGCATGCATTGCAGTATGAGCTTGTTGATCATGCTTTTTGTTAAATATGGAAGTAATATTCTCCATATACTCTGGTAATATGCCAATTTTTGTTAGGAATACAAAATTTGAGTAATCTGAATTTAAAATATATGACATTGTCCATTTTTTGTCCTTAAAAACCAAAATAATTCCATTTTTGAGTCAGTTTGAGGCCTATTAGGAAGACTCTTAAGGACCAGTATTTGAGAATCACAAATATAATGCATTTTGGTTTTTTTTGTTTTTTTTTTTTTATGACAGTCTTGCTCTGTCACCCAGGCTGGAGTGCAGTGATGCAGTCTTGGCTCACTGCAGTCTCCACCTCCAAGATTCAAACAGTTCTTATGCTTCAGCCTTCCAAGAAGCTGGGATTACAGACACACTCCAGCATACCACCATGCCCGGCTATAATGCATTTTCTTTTATTTTAGCTTATTTTTTTTTTGAGATGGAGTCTCACTCTGTCGCCCAGGCTGGGGTGCAGTGGCACTTTCTTGGCTTACTGCAACTTCCGCCTCCTGGGTTCAGGCAATTCTCCTGCTTCATCCTGGGATTACAGGCGCCCACCACCACGCCCAGCTAATTTTTGTATTTTTAGTAGAGACAGGGTTTCAAACCATGTTGGCCAGGCTGGTCTCAAACTCCAGACCTCAAGTGATCCGCTTGTCTTGGCCTCCCAGAATGTTGGGATTACAGGTGTGAGCAACCACACGCGGCCTATAATGCCTTTTTAAAGCACTGGTTTGGAGGGTTGGACTAGACAACCTGTAAGTCTCTTCTAGTTCTGAGGGTTTTGTGATTTTTGTGACCTGGGCCTGAAAAGGGTAAAAATACTTGTTTGGATAGTGTATTTTGTAGTGCTTTCCTTTGAGTAATGGTGTAATATTGTATTTTATGGTGAGGTATGGTTTTTGAAAGCTAAGAAACTTAATTTGGAAGATACTTTTCCTGCCAACTAAGTTTAATTTCTTGCATTTTAAATGTTAATAATTTGATGAGAACGTAATACAATGCAAAAGTTAGGACTTTTGTAATTGTTAGGTCTAATTGGTCATTACATTATTATTGACCAGTTTTTTTTACGGAAACTTTCTTAAAAACTCTTGCATTGGGAAATTTTAGGGAAATCACTTTATCAAAACTTGGAGATAGTCATTATCGTTAAGGGGTCTTCATATACTGCATACCCCCCGTTAGAGGATGGAATGCAGAACTCACTATACCCTGTCTGCATAGAAGAGGGAAGAAACTCAATCCCAAAGTAATATGGAAGCAGTCTCACATGTATTGTTGGTTATATATGATATCCAGTATTTTTATTTTTCCTTTTAGTGAGATTACGTACTATAGGTGAACTTTTAGCTCCTGCAGCTCCTTTTGACAAGAAATGTGGTCGTGAAAATTGGACTGTTGCTTTTGCTCCAGATGGTTCATACTTTGCTTGGTCACAAGGACATCGCACAGTAAAGCTTGTTCCGTGGTCCCAGTGCCTTCAGAACTTGTAAGACTGTTACTTTTCTGTATTTTGTATCTGTTTGTGGAATTTACCATTTTCTCTCAGTGTAGGGTAATAAAAACATTTTGATATTTAAGTTTTACTTTATAGATGATGTCGTGAGTTTTAATCATGGGCTGAATATATTTATTGGAAATTTTGTGTAAAGAATTCTTTGGGCCGGGCGCGGCGGCTCAGGCCTATAATCCCAGCACTTTGGGAGGCCAAGGCAGGCAGATCACTTGAGGTCAGGAGTTTGATACCCGCCTGGCCAACATGGTGAAACCCCATCTCTACTGAAAATACAAGAACTAGCTGGGCGTGGTGTGGCACACCTGTAGTCCCAGCTACTCGGGAGGCTGAGGCAGAAGAATTGCTTGAACCCAGGAGCCGGAGGTTGTAGTGAGTCGAGATAGCACCACTGCACTCCAGCCTGGGTGACAGAGCCAAATAATGTCTCAAAAAAAAAAAAAAAAAAAGAATTGTCTGGTGTTATTTATACATTAAGTTTTTCTGTATGTTAAAAGTCAGATTGTGTCTAACAAGTGTATATATATATATAGTGTTGTGCCAGAGTAGGTGACTTCTGTGATGTGAAGCTTTTTGGATTCACTTTGGATTTTACATTTTGTTGGATAACCCTGGTGCATAGTAGTAGAGACAGGGGTTTCACCGTGTTGGCCAGGCTGGTCTCGAACTCCTGACTTTAGGTGATCCACCCTCCTCAGCCTCCCTAAGTGCTGGGATTACAGGCGTGAGCCACCGAGCCTGGCCCTTTGTTGTTGTTGTTGTTGTTTTTGTTTTTAATGGACTTATAGTCCCTCTGTTTGGGGTAAATTGAGTTTGGATGTTTGTTGAAAGTTTTTCTAAAATGTATCATGTGCTATATTGGATCTTTCCCTGTTTTTTTTGTGTCTAGCAGACCTTCATGGTTATAGTCACTAATGTTCTCATTACATATAACTTGAGGTCTGGAACCTATGGGAAACTGATCATTATGGTTTGAGGATTTTTTTCCCCCTTTAAGGCAATTTTCTGATATCAGCTTGACCATATCTTAAGTTACTGGGTTTTTTTGTTTGTTTGTTTGTTTTTTGCTTATTTATACTTGTGTTTTTAGGTTGAAGGAGCACCAGTTGATTCGGTGGTTTTGAGGAAAATTTGGGAGGCAAATAAGTTATAATATAAATTGCTTTATTGTTGAACTTACTACTCAGTCACTGAGAATTTCTATTAATGTCCTTCTCTCGTAGTTCAAATATCAACCTTTCCCTTCCTATCTATAGGATTCTATTGTTATTTGGTGTCATTATAATAATATTGAGGTTATTTTAACAAACACTTGTAATTATTCAATGTCCAGAGGAGTCCAGAGTGAATAATAATACAATTTCCATCTGACTTCCCCCACTCCAGTCTCTTGCATGGCACCAAGAATGTTACCAATTCAAGCAGTTTAAGATTGCCAAGACAAAATAGTGATGGTGGTCAGAAAAATAAGCCTCGTGAACATATTATAGACTGTGGAGATATAGTCTGGAGTCTTGCTTTTGGGTCATCAGTTCCAGAAAAACAGAGTCGCTGTGTAAATATAGAATGGCATCGCTTCAGATTTGGACAAGATCAGCTACTTCTTGCTACAGGGTTGAACAATGGGCGTATCAAAATATGGGATGTATATACAGGTATGGATTCATAGTTTTTAAAGCAAATGTATTATTTTATGATGCAGGGCACTGCTTATAGGCACTGGAATTGGGATTTGAGGATTTCAGCTTACTGAAAAGCAAGAATTGATGGCATAGGTGCGTCTTTATAATAGACCTGAATGTCACCTTCTTCAGCTCATGATTTTAATTTAGGAAAACTATGGAGTTCATATTGCTTCATCACTCTTTAGAGAGTATTACAGTAGGAAAGGGTTTTCCAGGGAATGTTTAGTTAGTTGTCCTTTATAAACTAGTTATTTAGTTAATGACTCACATGTCAAGGTGTTTTCTTTGTTTATGCTTTTTCAATGATTGATAGCTTAGAGGTTTTCGAGGTAAATCAGATTTCAGTAATCATCTCACCTTGGAAAGGTTTAGTGAAAGTTTAGATAGATTGAGAAGTTAAATTCTTTGGGCAACTAGAAATAAATGTGTTGCTTATTGCCTAAAACACTTTCTGGCATATAATATGTACTCAAAAACATAAAGGATTTTTAAAGAAGCATTAAAAGAACATGTACATTAGAACATAACAAGTGATACTAACATAGGTGATAATGAGTCAAAATTTGGGTTCTTGAAAAAAACAAGATGAACACATAGATTGTCTTAGAAAACAAAGCTCTTACATTATTAGTTAAATACATTTTTTTTCACTGGGATCATGTTTGAAAACTAAAGTTGTGGGATAACTTGTATCTTTTGAGGAGCTTAACATTCCTAGGCCAGGGAAATAACAAGCAAAGAAATAATTTGATTTTATATTTTAAAGTTCATGCCTGTAATTCCAGCACTTTGGGAGGCCAAAGCTGGGGGATCACTTGAGCCCAGGAGTTTTAGACCAGCCTGGGCAACATAGTGAGACTCCATCTCTCCAAAAAAAAAAAAAAAAAAAAAAAAAAAAAGGCCAGCCGTGGTGACTTGTAACTGTAGTTCCAACTATTTCGGAGGCTGAGGTAGGGGGATTGCTTGAACCCAGGAGGTCGAGGCTGTAGTGAGCCAAGATTACGCCATTGCACTCCAGCCTGAGTGACAGAGTGAGACCCTGTCTCAAGAAAAATAAGAACAAAACAAAAATATATTAATACTGTCTTTTTTTTCCCTTTTCTATCATATTTAGGAAAACTCCTCCTTAACTTGGTAGATCATACTGAAGTGGTCAGAGATTTAACTTTTGCTCCAGATGGAAGCTTGATCCTGGTGTCAGCTTCAAGAGACAAAACTCTCAGAGTATGGGACCTGAAAGATGATGGTATGTCTTTTTTCCAAGCTATGAACTAGGATTTGTTTCTTGATACTACTATGGAGAGGTATTGGGAACATGTGGGGCATTTGACTTTAAAAATGACATGTGATCAAAGTTCCTTTTCTCTGCCTTAACACTTAGGTTCCTTTCCTGAATAGATCAAAGAAAAACATAAATGTGACCCAGAATAGGAGCCAACAGTTATTCGAAGTAAATGATCTGATATTATTCAGAAACTAACCACATAAATCTGTATCAACTATCTGAGGACCAAATATGGATCAGGTTTGGGATTTTACAGGAACCAGTCTGTGTTTATGTCCTCTTAGGGAGGGTTATTAACTTACTGTATTGGCTGAGTGAAAATTTAGGTAGGTCTTGAAGTAACTTAGTATCTAATAAAATTTAAATTGAAACATGACCTACATACCAGAACTTATAACATGTGAATATTAGTAAACGTTAAATTGGCTAGGTTAAGAAGTGCTTTTATAAAAAGTGAAAGATTTACTGTCCAATACAATAGAAAGATACGTTGGTGTCAAGTACTCACCTTTCTCTAAAGCCTTACAAAGTTTTGGAGATGCTACCTCATTTGAGATGAGCATCTCTTCCCTTTCTCAGTCCCTAATGAAAGAGTTTATATGTTTAACTAAAACCTTAAATGTAAGGTCTGTTGGTGCTCTAACAGCCTCAAGCTGGAGGTTAACAGGCTTGCCTAGGGGTAATAAAGCTTAAATTGAATTAGTAGGAAACAAAACCCTCAGATCTGGAGATGTTCCAGCTGATAGATAGTAACCATTCCTTAATAAAGTTCTATGCTAACATTAACAAATCATGAAGGACCTTCTCTGTGTTTTATCTGCTCAGCTGTTGAGGTGCAAAGGGATGCCAACAGTTGAAATATTTTAATAATTTTTTTATTTTGCATATCGAATGATGCTTGCTTATCTCAAACTAATTTCAGCAATGTACATGTTTTAAGAACATAGTCTTAGTAAAATATAAGCTCCAAGATAGTGGGGTCCTTGCCTTATTTCCAGTTATATCCTCAGTGCCGGCATAGGGCCTGGCATGCGTAGGCACTCAGTAAGTATTTGTAAAACTAAGAGTTCAGTATACTTAAGCATAGTTGTGTGCTGTGGGTATAATACACAAGGACTTTGGAGTGAGTTGTAGGTTCTCAAAAATGAAGAATGAAAAGGCATTTTGAAGATGGTCAAGTTTCTTAACCTTGCTGTTGTGTTCCAGTTGCTTAACTTTTAAAATAAGGGGATTGGACTAAAAGAATTCTGTCTTTTTTTTTTTTTTTTTTTTTTTTTTTTGAGATGGAGTCTCGCTCTTTCGCCCAGGCTGGAGTGCAGCGGCGTGATCTCCGCTCACTGCAGCCTCTGCCTCCCAGGTTCAAGTAATTCTTGTGCCTCAGCCTCCCAAGTAGCTAGGATTACCGGCATGCGCCACCATGCCCGGCTGATTTTTTAATGTTTTTTAGTAGAGATGGGTTTCACCCTGTTGGCCAGGATTGTCTCAAATTCCTGGCCTCAAGCAGTCCACCTGCCTCAGCCTCTCAAAGTGCTGGAATTACAGACAAGAGCCACCGCGCCAGGCCCCAGACTTTTTCTTGAAGGGCTAGATGTTGAATATTTGAGGCTTGTGAACCATGCTGTCTGCTGTAGAGCACAACATAAACACATGGACAGGATTGTGTTCCAGTAAAATTTAAAACCTAAGCAGCTGGTGTATATCGGTAACCCTTGTTATAGATAAATTGCTTTCAGCTATAAATGTTTGTGATCCTTTGCTTTACTGCTGTTTTGAAATACTGCTCATTTGAAGTGGATTCTAGGGTTAATACAGATTATTTCTTTTTGTTCAGGAAACATGATGAAAGTATTGAGGGGGCATCAGAATTGGGTGTACAGCTGTGCATTCTCTCCTGACTCTTCTATGCTGTGTTCAGTCGGAGCCAGTAAAGCAGTACGTGTCAAAGTTCTTGTACATTCATTATGAATTGGATTATGATAATGTGTGCATAATCATTTTAAATCTAAGTAACCTATGAAGTCTGTGCTCGGTGTCATGAATATTTTAAATGTTTTATTTCATGATGGGGGAGAATTTGCATGAAGGAAATTAAATATAGTTATTGATTGCCAAGTGAGAAGTTGGATTGTTTTTAGAGATAATAGATAATAATGGGCATATCAGGGTTTTTTTTTTTTGTAAGTCTAGAAAAGTTTATGTGCTGTAGAAGAGATCTAGTCTATATGTTAAGACATTCCCTTGCTAATTATTTTCTTCTCTGTTGTTCTATTTTTTTGGTCCAGTTTGCTGTTTTTAAAGTTTTGAGTCCCAGCTGGTCCTGTACATTTAACTGAAAAAAAAGTAACTTAAAATAATATAAAAATAGCACTCATGTATGTCCTACAGTTATAGGTGAAATTTGATATTGTTTGTCTTACATAGCATACCTATAGACAGCTTAAGTAAAGTGACTGTTAAGAGGGTTATGCTTATTGATGAACTCTTGTAGTTGTTTACCAGCTCTGTTAGTATAGTTAAATTGATCTCAGTAGCTTCAAGTATTTATAAAATGGTTGAAGTCCAAATACATGTGATAATTACAATACACTTTGAATTAATGGAGGGTGGGAGGCTAGTTGAAATGCATTTTATTTACCCAAGGAGTATGTTAAAATGATAGTTATAAATGTTGGAAGTTTAAAGCAAGATACTCAGTTTAGTTCTTTACAAATCATAAGAAGAACAAAATTAGATGTTGACATTGCTATTTTAGGCTGTGTGTTTTCCATATGCTTCTTGCTTTCCCTGTCACAGGTGGTGGCAGCAATATTGGTGTGATTGAGGTTATGCTGGCACCACTCGCACACAGGCGCACAATGGTGTTAGCTGGGCAGAAAGAGTGGCATCTCTGGCTACCGGGCTGGGGGCGACCTTTACCATAGGATGAAGTAACCTTGCATTCGGCTGCAAGGTGTACTGTACGTACACAGGTGCTGGTCGATGTCCACTTTCTGCTTTTCTTTCTTTCTTTTTTTCTTTTTTAAAGTAATTTCCCCCACAGTAAAATACACTGACTCCTGAGTAAATTGATTTTCCAGTTTTATGGAATTGGGAGTCTGACAAGTGAAACCAATTTAATGTAAAGTATTTGGCTTTCAAATGGTTTCTCTGTGCTATTTTTTGGAATTCTTTCAGATTCCAGAGATATCTTACGTCTTTGATTCAATTTAAAATTTGTACTTATTTTCTTTTAGAAATAATGTATTGTGTCTGTGCAGAAAAAAAAAAAACCAAAAAGGATTGCTTTACTCCAAGAGGAGAGATTGTCTTAGGATAAACCTCCAAGCTCACATTTAATATAACAGACTGAAGTAAACATTAGAATCCTGTTTAGAGCTATTCTGCACAGTTAACTACTGATCTTTAGAATCTAAAATTGTATATGAACTTATTCTTAAATAATTGAACCGTTTTATATTCAAATGACTTATGATCGTGGTTAGTTTGGGAAAAATAAGATGGTTAAATTTTGATTTATTGAAATGTAATTGTATTATTTTCATAAAATAGCATTTTCATTTTGTAATGTGGTTTAACATCCTTGTTGTTTGCCAAAGAAATTTCATTTGGCTGTGAATATTCTATTTGCTTGCAGTATCTGTTTCTCTTCCTAGGCTCAAGTTGGTGACCCAAGCCTATTGTAAACAAGTGATTATCTCAAAGGGAGATGCCAATGGAGTAACAATTTGTTAACCTTACGTTTTCTGTCTGTATATTTTTTTAAAAATCTGGTAGTTTCTGGAAAAAAAAGAGAAGGGGGTTTGTAGTACTTAACCCTATTTATTTCCGTATATTTTAGTTAATTAGTTTTTGGAATAAATGGATTTCAGTATAGCTTTGTGGTTAAATTGCATTGCCTTTATTTTATGTTTAGGCTTATTTTTAAATTAACATTTAACAGAAACATTTGAAATAGAATTTGCATGTCTGCCTTAATTAACTTAAAGACTGATTTTAATCTGACTATGACACTGAGCATATTCTTTAAATTACTCATAATTTATAATGCTTAATATAATCTTAATTAAATTTAGCAGTTTTAGTATAAGATGTGCCATTTTGTCCTCTGTATGTCTGAATGAAGCTATAACATTTGCCTTTTTATTGCAGGTTTTCCTTTGGAATATGGATAAATACACCATGATACGGAAACTAGAAGGACATCACCATGATGTGGTAGCTTGTGACTTTTCTCCTGATGGAGCATTACTGGCTACTGCATCTTATGATACTCGAGTATATATCTGGGATCCACATAATGGAGACATTCTGATGGAATTTGGGTGGGTACAGCATGAATTATTTTAGTCTATAATTCATCTCCACCTATCAAGTTATGTGAATAATTACAATCACCAATATATGCAACCTAAAATTACAGTCTATTCTAATTTAAAATGTTGGTATTATTTAAGCCCTTGACTAATGGAAAGCCTTCGATATAAATTCTAAAAGTAAATTTGGCTCTCTTGATACAAGTCTTGCTACTTAACAGTACCCAGCTCTCTATAGAAGTACTAATTATGTTTAGAGTTTTTGTTGGAGAAAAACAGTTAAAACCAAAGTTGGACTTAATCTTACTGTCTTAAATCATAAAAGATTTTTTTTTTTTTTGACAGAGTCTTGCTCTGTCGCCAGGCTGGAGTGCAGTGGCGCAATCTCAGCTCACTGCAACCTCCACCTCCTGGGTTCAAGCAGTTCTCCTGCCTCAGCCTCCTGAGTAGCTGGGCTTACAGGCACCTGCAACCACCCCTGGCTAATTTTTGTATTTTTAGTAGAGATGGGGTTTCACCATGTTGGTCAGGCTGGTCTCAATCTCTTGATCTCGTGATCCACCTGCCTTAACCTCCCAAAGTGCTGGGATTACAGGCATGAGCCACTGCGCCCGACCATAAAAGATTAGTTCTTTTCAGGTGACTTTAATTTGGATGTATCATCTCTACTGAGTCTTCTCAGTTATATTAATTAAGGCTACTTTAAACACTATTCAAAGACAGATGTACTTTGTACCTGGGTAATTTTGTTTTCTTGAAGTGACTGATATCCACTGAAAACATATATTTGACCTCAGGCACCTGTTTCCCCCACCTACTCCAATATTTGCTGGAGGAGCAAATGACCGGTGGGTACGATCTGTATCTTTTAGCCATGATGGACTGCATGTTGCAAGCCTTGCTGATGATAAGTAAGTATGTGCATTATAGCTTGACTGACTTACTATTACCTTTTACATTCTTAAGCCTTAAAGCCTTTCTGCAGTTAAGAGTTTTAATGTCTCTTCCTCAACACAAGCCCCTGGGAGATTTTGTTGTGTCTTAAAGAATATCGGCCTGAACAATTATCTGTGTAAACTAAAGATAATGCATGCCTCTCCCTGTGTTCCTTGTTTAACTTGTTTAGGCATAGTGGGTTGATTTTTAGTCAGCTTTTAGCCCAGCTTACAGAGATTTTTTAAAGTAATGTCTTAACAAAGGTTGAAGCAGAAGGAAATTTCTAAAGTGAAACAAATAGTAAAACCAAAAGAATTACAAATAAATAGTAATTTGTATCCACCATGATTGAGATTAGAATATGAAATGTCACATGAATGATATGTGCTGCTTGTTGGTAAGAAGCAGAAACTAGTTGCAACCATCTGTGTTCATGCATATAGCATTGAGTAGTTCGGTGACGTCAATTCATAAGGCAGCTCTTCTCTTCCCAGAATGTTAGCAAACATATGGAGAGAGGTTTTTTTTGTTTGTTTGTCTGCAACCATTGTTTCCTGTTTGCTCAGATAGATTCTGCATGTTAGTTCTCTGCTGTATTTGTAGACACACTCAGCCTGGGTGAAAAGCTTTTTTTCCTTTCCTGGTTTTTTTTGTTTGTTTATTGGAGACAGGGTCTTGCTTTGTTGCCCAGGCTATAGTGCAGTGGTGCAATCACATCTCACCACAGCCTTGATTTTCTGGGCTCAGGTGATCCTCCCACCTCAGCCTTCCGAGTATCTCACACCACAGGGGTATACCACCACACCTGGCTAGTTTTTTTAAAAAATTTTTTGTAGAGACAGGGTCTCCCTATGTTGCCCAGGCTGGTCTTAAAAGTCCTGGGCTCAAGCAGTCCACCCACCTCGGCCTCCCAAAGTGGTGGGATTATGGTTGTGAGCTACCAGGCCCACCTAGCTTTTAAAAATGTCTTGGGAAAAGGGTGAAACAGACTAGAAGTTGATTGTATTGTAAGTGTAGGAAAGTAAGGAGAAAGTTTCCGGGTGTGAACATTCTAGGTTTGAACACTGGGAAGGAGGGAAGGCAGCCATGCATTGTAGTCTCTTAAGTGAAAGTTTATCCAATTTACCAACTGATATTATAGACCTTAAAATATTTTGTAATTGTATAAAGCAAGTTATTATAATTGCCTGTTGGTGTGATGTGTGTATTTTGTGACTCATAACTCAATGGCATTTCTTTCTAAATTTTAAAAAAGTTGCTTTTACCTTACATTTTCTACAAGATACTAAATAATTTATTTCATTTTCAGAATGGTGAGGTTCTGGAGAATTGATGAGGATTATCCAGTGCAAGTTGCACCTTTGAGCAATGGTCTTTGCTGTGCCTTCTCTACTGATGGCAGTGTTTTAGCTGCTGGGTAAATATATTTTTCTCTTTTTTTTTTTTTTTTTTTTTTTTTTGAGATGTAGTCTCCCAGGCTGGAGTACAGTGGTGCAATCTCTGCTCACTGTAGCCTCCGTCTTCCAGTTCAAGGAGATTCTCCTGCCTCAGCCTCCCGAGTAGCTGGGACTACAGGTGCACACCACCAGTCCTGGCTAATTTATTTGTTTGTTCGTTTTTCCAGTAGGGTCGGGATTTCACCATGTTCGCCTGGCTGGTCTCAAACTCCTGACCCTGACCTCAAGTGATCTTCCCGCCTCAACTTCCCAAAGTGCTGGGATTACAGGCGTGAGCCACCACACCTGGCCCATTTTTCTCTTTTCTTTAAGGGCCAATTTAAGGGGGCTTTTAGCAGCTAGTAATTTATTGTCAGTAAAACTCTAATAAGTGTTCTTCATAGTAGTGTTACCTTGTCATGGAATACATCATTGGTTAGTTCTTCCTGGTTGGGTTTTAATGTGAAGTTTGTGACTCCACTACTCACATGTATTGGGTGATAGTTGTTTGAGCTGTAGCAACACTGAAATACATATACTTGGGTGACTAAGCATGTGCTTTGTTTCTGTTTAGGACACATGACGGAAGTGTGTATTTTTGGGCCACTCCACGGCAGGTCCCTAGCCTGCAACATTTATGTCGCATGTCAATCCGAAGAGTGATGCCCACCCAAGAAGTTCAGGAGCTGCCGATTCCTTCCAAGCTTTTGGAGTTTCTCTCGTATCGTATTTAGAAGATTCTGCCTTCCCTAGTAGTAGGGACTGACAGAATACACTTAACACAAACCTCAAGCTTTACTGACTTCAATTATCTGTTTTTAAAGACGTAGAAGATTTATTTAATTTGATATGTTCTTGTACTGCATTTTGATCAGTTGAGCTTTTAAAATATTATTTATAGACAATAGAAGTATTTCTGAACATATCAAATATAAATTTTTTTAAAGATCTAACTGTGAAAACATACATACCTGTACATATTTAGATATAAGCTGCTATATGTTGAATGGACCCTTTTGCTTTTCTGATTTTTAGTTCTGACATGTATATATTGCTTCAGTAGAGCCACAATATGTATCTTTGCTGTAAAGTGCAAGGAAATTTTAAATTCTGGGACACTGAGTTAGATGGTAAATACTGACTTACGAAAGTTGAATTGGGTGAGGCGGGCAAATCACCTGAGGTCAGCAGTTTGAGACTAGCCTGGCAAACATGATGAAACCCTGTCTCTACTAAAAATACAAAAAAAAAAAAAATTAGCCAGGCGTGGTGGTGCACACCTGTAGTCCTAGCTACTTGGGAGGCTGAGGCAGGAGAATTGCTTGAACCCAGGAGGTGGAGGTTGCAGTAAGCCAAGATCACACCACTGCACTCCAACCTGGACAACAGAGCGAGACTCCATCTCAAAAAAAAAAAAAAATTGTGTTGCCTCATACGAAATGTATTTGGTTTTGTTGGAGAGTGTCAGACTGATCTGGAAGTGAAACACAGTTTATGTACAGGGAAAAGGATTTTATTATCCTTAGGAATGTCATCCAAGACGTAGAGCTTGAATGTGACGTTATTTAAAAACAACAACAAAGAAGGCAGAGCCAGGATATAACTAGAAAAAGGATGTCTTTTTTTTTTTTTTTACTCCCCCTCTAAACACTGCTGCTGCCTTAATTTTAGAAAGCAGCTTACTAGTTTACCCTTGTGGTATAAAGTATTATAAATTGTTGTGAATTTGAAGAATCCGTCTACTGTATTATTGCTAAATATTTTGTTTATACTAAGGGACAATTATTTTAAGACCATGGATTTAAAAAAAAAAAAAAAAACTCTGTTTCTGCAGGGGATGATATTGGTGAGTTGCCAAAGAAGCAATACAGCATATCTGCTTTTGCCTTCTGTTGTTTATCTTACCTGCAGATATTAAGAATGTATGCATTATGTAAAATGCTCAATTATATATTTTTGTTGAGTTTTTTAATTAAAGACTTGTAAAAAAAAAAAACAGTATATTGCAAATGTTTCTTAAATAGGTTAGGTGGAGTACTTTCTCTCTGTCTCCATTGTAAGGTTGATGGTACACCACAGGCAAATTAAGCAAAAAGGACAATGAAGAAAGAATGCAGGACTCAGGCGCTGCTCTAGAATTCATTCAGGGCTCCCCGAGTGCAGCAGCTCTTATGGTGGTTTTGTTTTTAGGAGAACTGTTGTAATAATGCATATTTTAAAAGCATAGGGAAGCTCTAGAACACAGGAAGGTGACTACTAAGCAAGAGAAAAGTATCTTTTAGTGGGGAACTACCAGCCTATAGTAAGTCTATCTGGTTAAAGTAGTTATTATGAAAATCTAGCAGTCTGGGTCCTTTGAGAAGGCATTAAAAAAGCAAAACTCTTATGAGCCATGTGTGATTTTGAAGACTCATTTCCACTGAGAAATTATTTGGAAGTTCCTATGGTTAGCTCTGTTAAGGAATGTAAAAATTTATAGGGGGTGTAGGGTTATCAATTTGAAAGCCAGTAGAAAATCTGCTCAAGTTACTTCTTGAGGATCATCTGTATTTTACAAAAAGAAGCACAAGAAGCATCTAATCTTTATACTTCTTGTGACTTTTTTTCCCCTGCATTTTACTTTGTAATATATCGGCTTTATAATTTTAAAATACACTGGCCGGGCGCAGTGGCCCACACCTATAATCCCAGCACTTTGGGAGGCCAAGGCAGGTGGGTCACTTAAGGCCGGGAGTTCATGACAAGCCTGACCAACATAGTGAAACCCCTGTCTCTACTAAAATTACAAAAATTAGCTGGGCATGGTGGTGGGTTCCTGTACTCCTAGCTACTTAGGAGGCTGAGGCAAGAGAATTGCTTGAACTGGAGAAATGGAGGTTGCAGTGAGCTGAGATCACGCAACTGCACTCCAGCCTGGGTGACAGAGTAAGACTCTAAATAAATAAGATACCATTACTTTTCATATCATTGCATTATTTTTGCTTTCCACACCAACATATCCAGTCAAGTAAAAACAGCTTTTTTTATTTTTTATTTTTTATTTTTTTTGAGACGGAGTCTCACACTGTCACCTGGGCTGGAGTGCAGTGGTGCGATCTTGGCTCACTGCAGCCTCCACCTCCTGGGTTCAAGCAATTCTCCTGCCTCAGCCTCCCAAGCAGCTGGGATTACAGGCGCTCCCCCACCACGCCCAGCTAATTTTTGTTGTATTTTTAGGACAGACGGCGTTTCACTGTTGGCCAGACTGGTCTCAAACTCCTGACCTCGTGATCCGCCCGCCTCGGCCTCCCAGAGTGCTGGGATTATAGGTGTGAGCCACCGAACCTGGCCCAAAACAGCATTTTTGGAAGCTACATTCTGTGAGATGTTCACCTGTTTGCCACCTCTTCTCGTGAAAACCATAGTGAGTGCCAGTGTGAAAGGAAGATTGCAGCGTATATGTCAAGTAGAAACATGTTTGAATTTTCCATTTGTCTGTGGGGAAGAAGGTAATAACAGTAATAACAGACTGAAGGACCAAAGGAAAATAGGGAAGACGTTGATTATGGACTTGGATCAGATTCTAGCTACATGATTTGAAAATGACACTGCCTCTCCTATTTTGCCACAAGCCTGTCATTTGGAGAACTGGCAGATCATTTATGTTCAGATTTAATTTTCTGTTTTAGAATCCCATGGAGTACATGTGAACATAGGAAAATCACACTCAGCAGCCAAGCTATCCTTTTGCGATAATGAAATCACTTTAAAACCTATAACTTGATCTTAGGTTGGCAAATCTTAAACTTAACGATCCTTGAAATTTCCTGCCTGCTGTGACTGTGATGCAGTTGGATTCAACTGGTTTACACTGCTCTTGGGTCGGCAAGACCAAAAAAGGTTGGACTGCACTGTAGCATGCTTATGGGTTGAGGCAGTGGCAGAGGCAGAGGACTTGGCCGTCAGCCAGCCAGCACAGGCGTAAGAAAATAGCATGAGAAGTTTCACGAGCCTGAAACCATTGAGACAGTGATTACAACCTCCATATTAATCAGATGAGGGTTTGTAGGTGACATAGCATTTTACCCAAGTAATTCTGAACAGACTGTGGCTTATGATAATACATTTTAACTAGCAAGTGTGTGGACTATAAAACAAATATCTAGAGTTATATATGGATGTACTATCATTTGGTGATAAAAGCATAGAAAAAGCATAAGTTGGAGTATACTGGGTTTTTTTGTTGTTGTTAAATTCTTTTCCATCAGAAGTAAGAGCTGTTGGCAGCAACTAATAAAATGCAACCTAGTGACATGCTCGTCATAACCTTGGCAGATGTTTATGGTAAGATGCTTGGAAGGAATGAACGTAAGTAGGCAATCTCAACCTGCCCTTTGATCCATAAAGCATTCTTTAGCCACCAGCAAAAATCTGGTCTGAGCCAGGTATAAAGTGACCTGTTTTATTACAGGTGGGTGGGGTAGCTTTGTGTGGTTGTTTTTTGACATTATGTATGCTTTTATTTTTTACTTTGAGGTAGGATCTCGCTCTGTCACCCAAGCTGGAGTGCAGTGGTGCAATCTCAGCTCACTGCATACTCTGCCTCCCCTGGTTCAAGTGGTTCTCGTGCATAAGCCACCTGAGTAGCTGGGATTACAGGCGTGAGCTGGGCCAATTTTTGTATTTTTAGTAGAGATAGGGTTTCATCATGTTGGCCAGGCTCGTCTTGAACTCCTGGCCTCAAGTGATCTGCCCATCTTGGCCTCCCAAAGTGCTGGGATTACGGGCATGAGCCACAGTGCCTGACCAGTCTAGGCTTATCTTAACAGTTGAGGAATCAGAAAATGATTGAATAGGGCTGGAATTGGAGAAGGAAAAAATGATTTAATTCAATTTTTATCAACTCCAGCACTATTTTCTCTATTAGAGACTACTGTCATTATCCTTCTGGTTTCTGTTTTAAAGATACTGATTAAGGAATTTTCTTTATAGTTCCACATAACAGTTGGTCTTCTGGTCTGAAAGTAGTATTACAGGTTTTGTTAGGAAAACCTATAATACAGTGTTGCCTGTCACCGTCATTATAGTGAGTTTGTGTTTGTTTGGTTTTAAATAAGGCTGAAGCATCAATGGCTCTTTCTGAAAAAATTGTTCTCCAAAAGTAAAGTGTGAGCTATAGAAATCATCTAGAACAGGGGTGTCCAATCTTTTGGCTTCCTTGGGCTACATTGGAAGAATTGTCTTGGGCCACACATAAAATACACTAACTGATGAGCTTAAAAAAGAATTACAAAAACAATCTCATAATGTTATTAAGAAGGTTTACGAATTTGTGTTGGGCCACGTTCAAAGCCATCCTGGGCCACATGTGGCCCGTGGGCTACACGTTGGACAAACTTGCTCGAGTATAGATCAGTAAGTAAGAGAAATGAAATGGCTACTCCACTGGGTCGTTTTATGCTTCCGAATTGTTGAATAATAATGAAATGTTCTTATAAAAAATAGATTAAGGATGATGGGCATTAGAGAGATACCTGAGAAAGATAATGATTAAAATAGATCCAAGAGGCCAGGTGCAGTGGCCCTCGCCTGTAATCCCAGCACTTTGGGAGGCCAAGGCAGGCAGATCACCTGAGGTCAGGAGTTCGAGACCAGCCGGCTAACATGGTGAAACCCCGTTTCTACTAAAAATACAAAAAATTAACCCAGCATGGTGGCATGCGTCTGTAATCCCAGCTACTCAGGAGGCTGAGGCAGGACAATCGCCTGAACCCGGGAGGCGGAGGTTGCGGTGAGCCAAGATTGCACCATTGTACTCCAGCCTGGGCAACAAGAGTGAAACTCCATCTCAAAAAAAAAAAGCCAAGAATGAGGCTGATATTAAACAGAAATATATATATATATGTATATATATATATTTTTTGACACGGAGACTCGCTCTGTTGCCCAGACTGGAATGCAGTGGTGCAGGCTCAGCGCACCACAACCTCCGCCTCCCGGGTTCAAGAGATTCTCCTGTCTCAGCCTCCTGAGTAGCAGGGATTACAGGCCGTGCCACCACACCTGGGTTATTTATTTATTTATTTTGAGACGGAGTCTCTCCCTGTCACCAGGCTGGAGTGCAGTGGCACATTCTCGGCTCACTGCAACCTCTGCCTCCTGGGTTCAAGCGATTCTCCTGCCTCAGCCTCCCAAGTAGCTGGGACTACAGGTGCCTGCCACCATGCCCAGCTAATTTTTGTATTTTTAGCAGAGGTGGGGTTTCACCATGGTGGCCAGGATGGTCTCGATCTCTTGACCTCGTGATCTGCCTGCGTCGGCCTCCCAAAGTGCTGGGATTACAGGCGTGAGCCACCACGCCCGGCTGTATTTTTTTTTTTTTTAGTAGAGACAGGGTTCTGCCATGTTGGCCAGGCTGGTCTGGAATTCCTGACCTCAGGTGATCCACCCACCTCAGCCTCCCAAAGTGCTGGGATTACAGGCATGAGCCATCACGCCCTGCCTTAAATGGAAATCTTAAAAGACATACATTTGCACCAAGTGAGCTAAATATTTTGGCACCAAACTCACACAAAATGGCCGGGCACAGGGGCTCACACCTGTAATCCCAGCACTTTGGGAGACTCTGGTGGGCAGATCACTTGAGGTCAGGAGCTGGAGACCAGCCTGGCCAACATGGTGAAACCCCATCTCTACTAAAAATACTCCCCAAAAATTACCTGGGCGTGGTGGCTCATGCCTGTAAGTCCCAGCTACTCAGGAGGCTGAGGCAGGAGAATAGCTTGAACCTGGGAGGCAAAGTTGGCATTGATCCAAGATGGCGCCACTGCACTCCAGCCTGCATGACAGAACCAGACTCTGTGTCAAAAACAAACTCACACAAAATGGGAAACCCAGTAAGTTGTATGATTCACAATATTAATCTCACAGTAATGGCTGAGGAAAAGCACAGTTAATATTATGGACCGAATGTTGTATGCACACCCCACGACCACCACCACCACCACCAGTAATACGTTGAAATCCTAATCCTCAATGTAATGATATTAGGGAGTGGGGCCTTTGGGAGGTGATTAGGTCATGAGGGCGGAGTCCTCATAATGGGATTCGTGCCCGTGTGAAAGGAACCCTAGAAAGCTCTCATTCCCTCTCCACCATGTGAAGATACAATGAGAAGACAACAGTCTAACCGAGAAGAGGACCTGCACCCTGATCTCAAACTTCCAACATCCAGAACTGTGAGAAGTTAACTTCTGTTGTTTATAACCCATCTAGTCTATGGTACTTTCTTCTAGCAGCCCAAATGGACTAAGGCATAGGAACAGCAGGAATGCCTCCTTGAAACTTCTTTATTTTTTCAAGATGGTCTCGCCCTGTGACCCAGGTTGGGGTGCAGTGGCATGATCACGGCTCACTGCAGCCTCCATCTCCTGAGCTCAATCGATTCTCCTGTCTCAGCCTCCTGAGTAGCTGGGACTATAGTTATGCACCATCACACCCAGCTAATTTTTGTATTTTTTATAGAGACAAGGTCTTGCTGCCTAGGCTGGTCTCCATCTCCCAGACTGTAGCAGTCCTCCCGCCTTGGCCTCCCAAAGTGCTGGGATTACAGGTGTTAGCCCCCCACACCTGGCCAAAACTTCTTAATTAGATATAAACTGTGCTAGAGCACAGACAGTGATTTCTGTGTACTCCCCAACCATCTTGCCACCTCTAAGACCCCTAACATGATTTGGCAGAAATTACACAGGCTTCAAGTTCTCCCTTGGATGATAACAGTTGAGCTCAGAAGAGAAACAGTAAACATTACTGTGGCCTTGCTGTGTTGCAAGGGTCTGCAGGCAGCTTCTGGGAAATAGGACCGGGAAGCCCCCAAGTCAAAGGTTGTCCCTGCCATCCCCCTGGGTGACATGAGCCTGTCTCACTTGTTTTACCCAATTTCATAACAAACCCAATTCTTGTATATTTGAGTTTATGATGCATTACCTAAATGGCCTGTTTTTGGTGGTCAGATAAGCTGGCCCAGCCAGAAGTCATCTTGCCCATTTCTCAAGTTCCATCAGAGTCCTAATTTCCACATCACTTCCTTCAAATACAGCCTGTTGCTAGGTACTCATTCTTGGGTGTTGGTTACTCATTTAGAATGCAAATTCCTTACACCTGAGGAAATCCTTCAAACTTTTCCCACTGGACTCTACCCCTGGCTGATATTTGGGTCACAGTGGTTGTTGATGCCTTGGCAAGTGAGAGACCAGCCCCCGGTCAGCAGTCATGGCAGTAGCTCTGGCCTGGGGAGCTGGGATGGGCATCCTGGTGCACGCTCATCCAGCTTGTGCTGGGTGGAGAAAGCAGCTCCCTCAGACTGTGTCTGGGTCACGCTGCTCAACACCTGGCAAAGACCCAGCTTTCTAGGCTTGGCCCCATCTGGCCTCAGATCAGGAGGCTGTTCATATAGCAGCTTGGCCCACTTTCTCGCCACAGGGCCTGCTGCCCAGAGGACTTTGCAGAAGTGTTGGCTGAGGCTGCAGTCCCAAGAAAGACAGGTGATTGCTGGCTTGGCTGCTTAACAGCTTGTAACTTTCAGAGCTTTGATCTAAGAATACTGTAATAATACCTCTCCTCCATGAATAGTGTTTAGCTTCTATTTTGTATCTGCAACAGTGTCAGGTACATGGCAGGCACTTGACAGCTGCTACTACCATCTGTTGAGCACTGACCACGTGCTCGTCACTATCCCTGGTACTTCTTAACAACCCTGTAGAATTATCCTGTATTATAGCTGTGGAGGTTCAGAGAGGCCAGCTCCTCAGGTCACACAGCTAAGAGAAGACCATCGAGCATGTAAATTCAGATTAATCTGTCTCCAGGCTGGGCCCAGTGGCTCACACCTTTAATCCCAGCACTTTTGGAGGCCAAGGCGTGAGAGTCACTTGCACCCAGGAGTTCAAGACCAGCCTGGGCAACATAGTGAGAGCTCGTCTCTACAAATAATAATTTTTAAAAAATTCGCTGCACATGGTGGTGTGCCTGTGGTCCCAGATACTCTTGTAGCAGGAAAAGCTGCAGACAAAACCCCTCAGACATCGAGTTAAAGAAGGAAGCAGTTTATTCAGCCGGGAGCATCAGTAAGACTCCTGTCTCAAGAGCCGAGCTCCCTGAGTGAGCAATTCCTGTCCCTTTTAAGGGCTCACAACTCTAAGGGGGTCTGCGTGAGAGGGTCGTGATCGATTGAGCAAGCAAGGGGTACGTGACTGGGGGCTGCATGCACCAGTAATTGGAACGGAACAGAACAGGATGGGGATTTTCACAGTGCTTTTCTATACAATGTCTGTAATCTATAGATAACATAACCTATTAGGTCAGGGGTCGATCTTTAACTACCAGGCCCAGGGTGTGGCGCTGGGCTGTCTGCTGGTGGATTTCATTTCTGTCTTTTAGTTTTTACTTCTTCTTTCTTTGGAGGCAGAAATTGGGCATAAGACAATATGAGGGGTGGTCTCCTCCGTTACTCTGGAGGCTGAGGTGGGAGGATCACTCAAGCCTGGGAGGTAGAGGCTGCAGTGAGCTGTGATTGCACCACTGCACTCCAGCCTGGCAACTAAGAGAGACTCTGTCTCAAACACAAAATAAATCTGTCTCAGGAGCCCTGTTTCTTTTCATGATGGCCATAGACGGGCACTGTCATTTAGGAAGGGCATTCAGTCAACATCAAATACCAAAATTAGCTCTCTTTTTTTCTATGAATTTTTTATTTCAATATTTTATTTTTGTGGGTATATAGTAGGTGTATATGTTTATGGGGTACATGGGACTAAATTGGTTCTTGCCTGTGCCTCTGCCAACTCCCTAGAGCCAGCCATGATGTCAGGCTAAACCTTTCCCAACACTCCCTACCTTTCATTGAATCACAGGGAAAACAAACGCAGAAGGAATGACTCCAAATATAATTAGGCCATTGAAACCCACACAAGGTGTCCTTCGCCCACCACCTGGGCAAATGATACCAAAGGATGGTTAGTTTTTTCCTACACACCACTCTCCTTGGGAACTGATCTCACATTTTCATTGCAATGTGAACAAATCCAACTCAAACAGGCTGGAGCAGGATGCTCCAAAGCAATCACTGCAGGTGAGGAAGTCACCTGACCCTGCACCCCTGGCTTTATTTATTTGTCTGGTCATGGTCACAGGTTGAGCCTCTAGCTTTAATGATCAACAAGAGGTCAGGTTACAAGCTGACGTGAGCCCCTTTTTTTTTTTTAATTTTATTTTTGTGTTTTGAGACAGAGACTTGCTCTGTCTCCTAGGCTGGAGAGCAGTGACACAATCATGGTTCATTGCAGCCTCAACCTTCTGGGTTTGAGCAATCCTCCCACCTCAGCCTCCTGAGTAGCTGAGACTTCAGGTGCGCGGCATCACACCTGACTAGTTTTTGTATTTTTTGTAGAGTTGGGTTTTCACCATGTTGCCCAGACTGGTCTCAAACTCCTGGACTCAAGCAATCTGCCCCCATCGGCCTTCCAAAGTGCTGGGATTACAGGCATGAGCCAGCACACCTGGCCTGACATGAGCCCCTTCTACCAGCTGTATCAGACAAGGGTAGTCCCACTTGCCTGGAGCTGACCTGCCAGTAATACCAGCCATTGGGGCTGGCCCTGGGTTAAGAGTCCAGGGGCCAGACTGCATTGGGTGGAACTGTTATCTAGATCAACTAATACAGATGCCATCTAGGGAGCAGGGAGAATTCATACCCAGGAAGGACCCAACTCAGTAATAAAGGGTCAGACCATTCTTACCATATTTCACTGATAAGAAAGTTATACTTTTATCTCTGCACTCTGAAATTAGGACATATTTTATAATCAAAGATGTCTTAAAAATTGTTTTAAGTGGTACACACTGTAATGGTATATTATAGATAATGGTACAGATTATAAGTGTCATTGAGGATTTGATAAAACACAAAGTCAGGAGAATGTACATATAAAAGTCAAAGGTCAGTGGAATGCTATATATAATGTCAGCAGTAAAAGACACCAGAAACAGGTAGTAAGTGAAGTGTTAATTTCTATTTGTATTAAATAAAGTGTTAATTTCCATTTGTATTGAAATATAGCTAACATTTATGAACTTTCACCATGATTCAGGCACTGTTCTAAGTGCTTAATGTGTATAATTGAATGCTCACAACAACCCTATGAAACAGACAGTTATCTTCATTTTATAAATGAGGAAACTGAGGCACAGAGGGGTTAACTAACTCGCCAGAAGTCACGTGATAGTAAATAGCAGAGTCAGGATTCAAGCCCAGGCTATCTGACTCCAGAGTCAAGAAATACTTGGGGCTGGGTGCAGTGGCTTACGTCTGTAATTTCAGCACTTTGGGAGGCAGAGTGGGGAGGATTGCTTGAGTCCAGGAGTTACAGGCCAGCCTGGGCAACAAAGTGAGACCCCATTCCTACAAAAAAATCAAAAAATTAGCTGGGCATGGTGGCCTGTGCCTGTGGTCCCAGCTACATGGGAAGGTAAGGTGGGAAGATCACTTGAGCCCGGGAGGTCCAGGTTGCAGTGAGCCATGTTTGCATCACTGCACTCAAGCCTGGGCAACAGAGTAAGACCCTGTCACAAAAGAAGAAAAAAAAAGAAAAAAAATACATGGCTTAAGATCTTTGCTCTAACCACTTTGCAGCTGTGTGCCCTTGGGTAAGCCCCTTAACCTCTCTGAAACTCCTCCTCATAATCACAGTATGGCCCAGGGATGTATGGATTAAATAAGATCAAGCCCCAGAAGCACTTAACATAGGGCCTAGTCTTGGTGAGGGAGGCAGTTGTTATTAATATGCCCAAAAGATCACATCTCCACACCACCACCAGCCTGGCTATTTATGAAAACCCCATCCCCTATACAAATTTGAAACAAATCAGAGAATTGTTTTAGTGTTTTGAGCAGTTGTTTGTTTAGCTTTTTTTTTTTTTTCCTTTCCTGAAACAATGCCAAAGTCCTTAAAAACAGCCACACCCCACCATGGACTTCCTGTGAATGGTCAGATGATCTGGGAGCGATGGGAGGGAGGCAGAGAAGTGGGTGAAAATCCAGCTTGACTTCCTTTCCCCAAGATACAAGCCCTGGAGCCCAGGGGAGGAGCCTCCTTCCACTGGAGAGTCTGCCTGGGCGGGGAAGGCTGCAGCCCGGGCTGGGCGGAGGTTTTGCTACAACCAGTAGTTGGGCCAACTCCACAAGGTGGACTGTGTACAAAGAGACAGACGATATTGTTTAGGGGCCCCTTGGGTATGGACAGATCATGGCACAAACCACCCTCTGGGGCCTGATTCTGAGCCTCTGCCCTGACAGAGGCTGCCCTGGATTCCTCAGCATCCCGTGCCTCTCTCTGTCCCAGCACTGGTCATCCATGCACTCACTTATTCATTCATTAATTCATGCATGCATTTATGTATTCACTCAGCAGCAATTGAACACTTGCCATATGCCAGACTACTGGACGCTGGAGCTATCAAGACAGTTTCTGCCTTCTAGGAACTCCAGTCTAGGGCACAGATGATAACAGACCTGCAAACCCCTAAACAGCTGAGGAAAAGACAACCTCATAATTGCCATAATGGGCCACATGCAGGATCACTAATCAGCCTTCCTTGCTTGCACAGGAGGCAACAGAGAGAGATGATTGACAATACACTACTAGGGTAGGCATCCCAGCTCTCTACTCACTAGCAAGTAGCTGAACCTCTCTGCGTCTCCTTCCTTCACTGTAAAATGGGGATAATAGAAGTTACATCCTCGTGGGGTTGTTATGAGGATTAGAGACTTAATAGTTCTGAATCTGGAATAGGGCTGGCCTGGACAATGTAAGTGGTATCTTTCTTTAGTATGCTGCAAGTTCTTGGTACAATGCTGGGGTTCTATACCCACACCACCCCCCAAGTGGGAGAATGTGCCCAATGGACCTCACCAGAAAATGAGGGGTGACAAGGACCTCAGAGATGAACTAAGGCTGGTGTTGACCTTCACAGTTACTGGTGGAATTTCTGAAAACATTTCTACCAGGCCCATTGCCTGGATATTCTAAGTCCAAACCACAACCCAGGCCACACAGAGGTATATCCCCTGCTGAAAACCACCAATGTGATTCAAACCCCTTCATGTTCCTAAAGTCAATCAACTTGACCAAGACAAGGTGAGCATTAGTAGCAGAGCCCAGACTGATAAACTAAGGTGCTGCTTTCTTTCAATCCTATTACTGGAACCAATGCCCCAGCAGCCCCTATAGCCAACGAGACAATGGCAGAAAGCACCAGAAACCAAGGAGGAAGCTGGGAAACTCCACGTGGGGCAGTGCCTGCTGCCCTGCCCATCTGCCTCCCTACTTGATTGCCCCTTCCCAGTTCAAGGCATACTTTAGGGCCCACTTCTTCAATTCCTGCCACTGAAGGCTAATTCCGTAGATAGTTGTGGACCTGCTCTTGGGCAGAACAAGGCCTGAAGAGAAGAGGCAGCTGCAGAGCCTGGCAGTCTCTCAGGGGCTCGGCCATCAGGACTGCATCTGAGCACACAGGGCCAGCCAGGTGGGGAAGGTCATGGCGGGAGCCCACACCCTACACTGGGGAACTGGCTGCCAGAGAGTTGGCCCTGTCTGCCTCCAGGCAGCTTGAACATCAGCTCCTGGTTGGGAGAAACCTTATTCTTAACTCTCAGAGTTAAGAGCCCATGGATACCCTCACTCCCAGAGAACAATGTATGCACTCCACATTTGGAATTTATTTTCCTAGTGTTGGATATAAACTCCTGGCATCCACTCTTGCTGAGGTTGTCTTCACAGACCTTTGTCCAGCCTGCCCCTGGTAGCCACAGGGGATCTTCCTAAAATGCAGATCTGACCCAGGCTGGGCCTTTAAACTCTTGACTGCCCTGGGCCCTCCCCTGTCTGGACCCTGTCCAATCCCTCCAGGCTTTCCCAAGCCCAGACCTCCTGCTCTGGTTCTTCTCCCCACTCTTCCATGATCCAGCTGGCCCTCCAGCCTCCTCCTAGGCCTGCTAAAAGAAATATATTTATGTTTTTAAAGAGAGAGTCGGGGCCAGGTGCGGTGGCTCACACCTGTAATCCCAGCACTTTGGGAGACTGAGGTGGGTAGATCACCTGAGGTCAGGAGTTCGAAATCAGCCTGACCAACATGGTGAAATCCCATCTCTACTAAAAATACAAAAATTAGCTGGGCATGGTGGCACATGCCTGTAGTCCTATGTACTTGGGAGGCTGAGGCAGGAGAATCGCTTGAACCTGGGAGGTGGAGGTTGCAGTGAGCCAAGATCGTGCCACTGGACTCCAGCCTGGGCAGAGCAAGACTCCATCTAAAAAAAATCAAAAAAATACAAAGAGAGAGAGACTCGATTTTTGAAAATATTAAGTAGTGAATAGCACAGATGATTGGCAGTTGTGGCACAAATTGTGAGAGTGGTTTGCAAAGACTAAGTTGGAAAAGCAATGCAGAAAGATGGAAGGGACAGAGGGAAGAGATCAAGGGGCCAGAAAGGGGTCTTGATCAGCTCTTTGGCATTGACAGTGTTCGTGTGCATGACTCTCTAGCTCCAGACCTGGAGGGCAGGCGGGGCCAGTCACATGTTTGTCTCTTAATCAATTGTTATGATTCAGAAACAATGAGTGGCAATGCTCAGGTGTGTCAAGGAAGAAAGGCTCTAGGTGTGATGTAAGTCTGGACAGATGACTATGAGTTTGCCAAGTTGGGTGAGGGGGGCAGTAAGGGTATCAGAGTATGAAGCAGTTTCCAGTATTTTAGGGAAACTGACACAATCAAAGCATAGCAGTGCAGGGACAAGGTTAGTTTTGCTTGTCAGCTATAGGACAGCTGGGAAATAATGTACCAGAGAGTGCAAGGCAAGAGGCAGGAGGAGCAGGGTGGAGGCTATGACATTATTAATATTCATTCTACTTTGCCCATGGTATTAATTATTATCATTTATAATTGCCACATCATGTCTCAGAACATTTTATTCAATGAAAATAATCATAGTTAATATTCACAGTCATGTATACCTCACCTATTCTACCTTCTTTAATTCTTATAATCCTGTAAGTTTGGTTCTACTCTAATCATCATCCTTATTTTACAGAAGAGGAAACTGAGGCACAGAGAGGTATATAACTTTCCCTAGGTTGCACAGCAAGTTAGTGCAGAGCTGGGATTTGAACCCAGCAGGCTGGCTCTAGGAACTGTGTTTCTAACCACTGCACTGCCTTTTCCCTCGCCTCACAGGTTCTCAAACATCTACTGAGGACCTACTATGGCCCACTGCCTGTCCTATGCTTTATGCATAGGGATAAGTCTGTGTATTGAAGGAGCTTTCAGTCTAATTAACTATTTCCCTGTGGGTGGACACTTAAAGTCTTTTCTCCTTTTAAAGATAGCTCCTCGAGGAATGAAGCTTTTGTAATCTCAAAGCTGGACAAAAACTGTGCATCTAGTGGGTCAGAAGTTCTGCTTCATAGGCTGGGCGTGGTGGCTCATGCCTGTAATCCCAGCACTTTGGGAGGCCAAGGTGGGCAGATCACTTGAGGTCAGGAGTTCGAGATCAGGCTGGCCAACATGGAGAAACCCTGCGTCTACTAAAAATATAAAAATTAGCTGGGCGTGGTGGCGCACGCCTGTAATCCCAGCTACCCAGGAAGCTGACGTGGGAGGATCACTTGAGCCTGGGAGATGAAGGTTGCAGGTGAGCCGTGATCACACCATTGTACCCCAGCCTGGGTGACGAGTGAGACTCTGTCTAAAAAAAAAAAAAAAAAAAAAAAAAAGGAGTTATGCTTCATAGCTCTTGTTCATGCTTTCAGATTGCTTTCCAACAGTGCAGAGTCCATTTAAACCACAAGCACCCGTGTGTATCTGCGAGTGGCAATCTCGCCAGAACCTCACCAGCACTGGGCATTATCTTGCCAAAAAAGTTTTGGTACCCCGTGAGTTCCACAGGCAGCTTCTTCCTCTGTAGTGTTCACATCCCCAGTCTAGTCACAAATGAAGGGAAAAGCTTGTTAAAGGTGGATGGAATATTAAGTTACAGAGAGGATGGAGGATACACGTACAACTGTGAAGTGGGCCAGATTCACGGGGCTTTTGCACTTAGACTGGGAAAAGTACTGTCTTTCTTGGGTCTAATCTGAAAATGTTCCCTTGAGGCAGCTAGATTTCAAGAGCAAGAGGCTCAGACAGAGAACATGTAACTTTGAGGTGAGATGTGTAAGTAAACAAGGAAAGAAGACAGATTGGGAACATTTCTCCCCAAACATTCCACAGATAATAAATATTCCACATTATCATTTAATGTCACCAACCTCTCTTGTTCCCATCACATTGTATTATAATTGTGTATACATCTGTCTTGTGAGCAGACCAGGAGTCTAGACATTTTTCCATCTAGTTTCCTGACGTAGATAGTGACGTACTTTGTGTGGCATGATGTGCCAGACACATGGAAGATTCTCTGAGAACACTCGTTGAACTGGTCTGAACATCCCACACTATTGTATTATGCTGGTTCCTAACACTCATACTGCAATATAATTCTGTGAAGAAGAATCACATGCACTCTTTTCTTAGCGGGGCAGCAGGGCAGGGGGCAGGTGGGAAAAGGTGAGCAAGAGGGAGGCAAATCTTGAAAGCTGTGCAGGGGCCAGGTGCGGTGGCTTATGCCTTACGCCTGTAAACCCAGCACTTTTGAAGATTGAGGCAGGTGGATCCCTTGAGCTCAGAAGTTTGAGACCAGCCTGAGCAACATGGTGAAAACCCGTCTCTACCAAAAAAATAAAGCAATCAGCTGGGGTGGTGGTGCACCCCTGCAGTCTCAGATACTTGGGAGGCTCAGCTGGGAGGATCACTTGAGCCCAGGAGGTGGAGGCTGAAGTGAGCTGAGATTGCACCACTGCACTCCAGGCTGGGTGACAGAGGGAGACCGAGTCTCAAAAAAACAAAACAAAACAAGTTATGGGCACGATGGCTCATGCCTGTAATCCCAGCACTTTGGGAGGCTGAGGCGGGTGGATCATGAGGTCAGGAGTGTGAGACTAGCCTGGCCAAGATGGTGAAGCCCCATTTCTACTAAAAATACAAAAGTTAGCCAGGCGCGGTGGCGGGTGCCTGTAATTCCAGCTACTTGGGAGGCTGAGGCAGTAGAATCGCTTGAATCCGGGAGGCGGAAGTTGCAGTGAGCTGAGATTGCACCACTGCACTCCAGCCTGGCGATAGAGCAAGACTCCGTCCCAAAAAACAAACAAAACAAAACAAAAAACTGTGCGGGTTATGGCAGAAGTCCACTGTAAGAGATATTCAGAAGCCCTCAGTACTAGGGAGAACATGGAACAGAGTTTCTGTTCTTTATTTCTCTTATCTCACCCCCCAGGGCCTGGATCAAAGCCCAGTGCACAGAGGGGCTCCACAAAACCACACCAGTCACCTGGCACCACCAGGGTGGACCCCCAGACCAGGGTAGGCCCCAGCCTGTATTGAGACAATAAGCAGACACAGTCCTGCAAAGCTAGGCCCAGCAACCCAGCCTGCAGCAGTGGAGATGCATTGATTTGCATCTGAAAATAAGCTGCATCTGTATCTGCCACTGCTTCAAAAGGAGAGAAAAAAGGGGTTGTTAGCAAAGCTGGTGGGCAGGGTTGCAAAAGGAGGCTGAGTCTGTGGCTAACTGGGTTGTGCGCCGCATCAGACATTTGTTCATCTGTCCTAAGAGCCTGAGGGTGGTGGAGATGTTTGATGACAAATAAGGTGGTTGAGGGGGTCAGGGGTGCCAGAAGGACCACAGAGGCCACACGGGAAGACAGAAGCTTTGGATGGGGCTGCTTCCTGCCCTGGGGATGAGGAACAGGTGAGGGGGCGGGTGAGCAGGTGTCGAGGGAGGGGTGACTTGAGGCTGACAGTGCACTCCTCAGAGTGGCAATTCCATGCAGCCTGCTGTGCACCTGTCAGCCTCTTGTCATCACAAACTTTTAAAAAGCCCAGAAGATGCATGCATGTCTCTGCGCTCACAGATCCACATGTAAAGTTATTCTCCATGGAGGTTCCCACAGCACGCACCCAGACATGTACCATAAAGCAAATCTCCCTAACTGTCCAGCCGTAGGGAGGGACAGGTTCACCATGTGGCAGGATGTTAGGAGCCTTTACAAAGAAAGACACGAAGCTGTAGGAAGAGAACACAGAAGTTCCAGAATGGTAGTTCAGTGATTATAATTGTATATATGTATATATACATATATACAAATGTGTATCTATATACACATATATCTATATTTACATATATATAAAATGTGTTGCAAAGCTTAGAAGGATGGATTTATACCAAACTCTTTTTTTTTTTTTTTTGAGGCAGAGTTTTGCTCTTGTTGCCCAGGCTGGAGTGCAATGGCGTGATCTTGGCTCACTGCAACCTCTGCCTCCCGGGTTCAAGCAATTCTGCTGTCTCTGCCTCCCAAGTACCTGGGATTACAGGCATGCACCACCACGCCCCACTAATTTTGTATTTTTAGTAGAGACAGGGTTTCTCTATGTTGGTCAGACTGGTCTCGAACTCCCGACCTCAGGTGATCGGCCCGCCTCAGCCTCTCAAAGTGCTGGGATTACAGGTGTGAGCAACTGAGCCCAGCCGTATACCAAACTCTTAATAGTGTGAACCCAAAATATATGAAACAGGTCTCAGTTAGTTTAGAAAGCTTATTTTGCCAAGGTTAAGGACATGCCCATAACACAGCCTCAGGAGGTCCTGATGACATGTGCCCAATGTGGTCGGGGTACAGCTTGCTTTCCTTTTTATTTTTTTTCTTTTCTTTCCTTTTTTTTTTTTTTTTTTGAGACAGAGTTTCGCTCTTGTCATCCAGGCTGGAGTGCAATGATGTGATCTCAGCTCACCAAAACCTCCGCCTCCTGGGTTCAAGCTATTCTCCTGCCTCAGCCTCCCAAGTAGCTGGGACTACAGGCATGCGCCACCACGCCCGGGTTAATTTTGTATTTTTAGTAGAGACGAGGCTTCTCCATGTTGGTCAGGCTGTTCTCAAACTTCTGACCTCAGGTGATCCACCTGCCTCGGCCTCCCAAAGTGTTGGGATTACAGGCGTGAGCCACTGCACTTGGCCGCTTTCATACATTTTAGGAAGACAATACATCAATCAATACAGGCAAGGTTTACATTGGTTTGATCTGGAAGGGCAGGACAATTCAAAGTAGGGTGCAGCTTCCAGAGGTCAGATTTTAAAACTTTCTGATTGGCAATTGATTGAAAGAGTTATTATCGGTAGAAAGGAATGTCTGGGTTATGATAAGAGGTTGTGAAGACCTAGGTTTTGTCACACAGACGAAGCCTCCAAGTAGCAGGATTTAGGGAGAATAGACTGTATTGTTTCTTATCAGACCTAAGGTCCCCGTTGGTGTGAATGCTGGAGGGTATAATGAGGCATCTCCCACCCCCTCTTCCATCGTGGCCTGACTAGATTTTCAGGTAACCCTGGAATGCCTTTGGCCAAGAGGAGGGGTCCATTATTTTTGGTTTACAACAGTGAGAAGTGAGTTGGGGGAGAATTGGACTTTTGTTTGGGTTCTATTTTATACACATCTCTATTGTTTGGATATTCTGCAGCAAACATTACAAATTTTTTTAAATGCTGAAGTCAAATTGATGCCTTCAAGTCTATGAACGCTGTCATCCCAGCAAAGCACAGTGCACCTGCTTTCCCATGTGTTCTGGGCATGTCCTCACAAGTTGGGGTGAGACAGAGTTGATCCCTCTGCCACTCTGCCCACTCCTGCCAATGGCTGTGCTTCCTGGCAAGTCATTGGCTCTTCTGAGCCTCAGTGTGCCCACCCATAATGCAGGCAGAGGCATCTCAGAAGCTCCAGAGTCACTGGGAAATGGCACATGGGGTGGCAGGAAGGTGGGAGGGGGAGAGAACAAGAAGGCACTATGTTAGCAAAACTCAGCATGAGGGAGGGCCAGCTGCAGCCCAGCTCCTTGGCTGCAACCACAAGGGAGGGCAGGGAAAGAAGAGGAAGGAAAGAAAAAAGGAGAGGAGCCAGGCCTGGTGGTTCACTTTGGGAGGCTAAAGAGGGCAGATCACTTGAGGCTGGGAGTTCGAGACCAGCCTGGTCAACATGGTGAAACCCCATCTCTACTAAAAATACAAAAATTAGCAAGGCTTGGTGGTGTGCATCTGTAGTTCCACCTACTTAGGAGGCTGAGGCAGGAGGATCGCTTGAACCTGGGAGGTGGAGGCTGCAGTGAGCCAAGATTGTGCCACTGCACTCCAGCCTAAGCTACAGAGTGAGACTCCATCTGAAAAAAAAAAAAGAGAGAAAAGAAAAGAAAGAAGAGGAAGGGCTACTGCACTCTGGACTCAGTGCCCTCCTTGGTCTCACACCCTTGCTGACCTCCCTCCTGGCACATGAGGTCTTCATGCTGCTCAGGCCCATGGCTGACCTCCTCTCCTCTGGAGTGGTCCATCCCTACCAGATCTCCTCCTGTCCAGCTGAGCAGACCAGGCCTATACAGGCTGCTTCTGGCTCCACTGAGGCCCAGGAGCTTACACCTTTGGACCGGGTGTCAAAAGTGTCCTTCTTATTAGCAAAAAGAATTTTGGAGGGAAAAACAAATGACATCCTCAGACATCCTAGGGCAGAGTCAGAAGCAGAGAGGAGACTGAATGGGCTCGGGTGGGTGTGGAAGGTCACTGCAGGCCGCCATAGGACAGGCCTGGGCTCACAGGAGCAGGATGTGGGGAGGGGGATTGCCAGGCAGGGGTGGGGACCAAAGTGAAGGCCACCTGGTGGGAGCCAGTCAGAGGGGTGGGGCAGGGTTAGATCACAAGGGAATCCAATGCCAGGGGGCCAGGGGATGTTTTGCAATGTGGGCAACTGAACCTGAGATGTGACAAGACCAGTGATTTGGCGACCTGCCCAGGCAGGCCCAGCCCCCAGGGTATTGAGATGACACATTCTAAACTCAGGTGACCCGGGCCTTGGGAGTGCACTAGCAACTGGCTGTCAGTCACGGGGCTCTTCAGATATTTGTCACGTGAATGAGCCAGACAGTAAGTGGAGATGCCCTTCCTAGTCACCTACTGCCGGCGTTCACGCTGTGAACCAGCGAACTAGGCCACCGGCCTGACCCAGTTTTCCCTGTGGCCTGCCAAGCCAAGGAGAAGCAGACGCGGCCGGCGCAGGCGTCCAGGGTGACTCGGAGGCGTGGCTCTGCAGTCGCGGCTCTGCAGTCGCCTTGGAGCGGCTGCCCTTCCGACCCCGCCTGGGCTATGACTCATCTTCGGTGGAGGAGAAAGGGGCCTTTGTGAGCGCCCAGCTCCGGCGTCTCCTGGACAGCACCGCCCTCCGGTGGCCGCGAGTCAGGAGGGCTGGGGAAGCCGCCCGAGAGGCAGCGCCCGAGCTCCCCACGAGCTGCTGTGCCATTGGAAGCGCCAGCGCCCTCCCCTCGGAGTCCAGCCAAGTCGGGGGGAAGACTGGGAGAGAAATCGTCACCCCCTAGAGGGCAAGTGGGCTCAGCCCTAGGAAATGCTTGTTTCTCCAGCCCCTCCCAGACGCCCCGGGGAAACGGCATCCCAGAGCTCCGCTCCCTGGAGGCCCCTCCAGAGAGGGACCCGGGGCCCCGCCCCGCAGCTGGAGAAGGGGTGAATGCCTTTCCTACCTAACGCCTGGTCCGCGGCCCTGCTTGTTGCGTCTCCAAGACCACGTGTCTGCTGCATTTTAAAAATAGTTGTGAACATCTGACTTTCTCCTTTTGTGAGTTGCCTATTCATATCCTTGGTCTGCTTTTCTATTTTCTATTTTTTCTCTTGTTGACGTACAGAAGCACTTTAAAAATGTCAGTTCTGTCGAATGTGTTGCAAATATTTTTCTAAGCTTAGAATTTTACCTTCTGATTTTGTTTTTGGTGATATTTGATACACCACACGACATTTTGATGTGGGATGACCTTTTGATGTTTTTCTTTTTCTTTCTTTAGTTTTTTATTTTTGAGTCAGCGCCTCACTCTGTCACCCAGGCTGGAGTACAGTGGCGTGATCTTGGCTCCCTGCAGTCTCCGCCTCCCGGCTCAAGCCATCCTCCCACCTTAGCCTCCCTAGTAGCTGGAACCACAGGTGCACACCACTACGCCCGGCTAATTTTTGTATCTTTTGTAGAGAGGAGGTCTCGCTATGTTGCCCAGGCTGGTCTTGAACTCCTGGGCTCAAGCAACCTGCCTGCCTTGGGCCTCCCAAAGTGCTGGGATTACAGGCTTGAGCCACTACTCCCGGCCTTGATGTTTTCCTTTATTCTTTCTCCCTTTTGTTTTTTTTTAATTGTAAAACTGCTCCCATCTGAGTATCACACAGACATTTCAGATCTATATTTTTTCTTTTCTGCTCCTCTTCCCCCCTTCCCTTCCTCCATTTCCTCTTACTCCTTCATTTGGCTTTTAAACCCACCTGGGACTAATTTTGATATAAACTGGAAGATAAAGATCTAAACTTATTTTTTTCTGAATAGTCAACTTTTCATATGTCATTATTCAGGCTTTCTCTCTTGTTTGTTTGTTTGTTTGTTTTGAGACAGTCTTGCTTTTGTCTCCCAGGCTGGAGTGCAGTGGCACAATCTCTGCTCACTGCAACCTCGGCTTCTCAGGTTCAAGCGAGTCTCCTGGCTCAGCCTTCCCAGTAGCTGGGATTACAGGCGCGTGCCACCATGCCCGGGTAAGTTTTGCATTTTTAGTAGAGATGGGTTTTCGCCATGTTGACCAGGTTGGTCTTGAATTCCTGACATCAAATGATCCACCCGCCTCGCCCTCCCAAAGTGCTGGGATTACAGACGTGGGTCACCATGCCCAGCCCAGCCTTTCTCTTTTAGTAGAATATTTCCTCACTGGTTTGAAATATCACTTTGATTATAAACTAAATGCTCGGGCCTATTTCTGGCCAGGACCCTGACCTTATACATTAAGCCAAAGGATATGGACTTCTTAAAAAAATCATATTAGGCCGCTAATTATGGATTTAGGACATTTATTCACATTGTTTTAGGCTCCAACTAAAAGCAGGCTTGAATGAAGCAGCTGCACAGGAAAACTGGATAGGAAAGATTTCATTTAAAAGGACATAAACATTTTAAATTCTTTTTAAAAATTTATTATTATTTATTTTTAATAGAGACAGGGTCTGGCTTTGTTGCCCAGGCTGGCTTTGAACTCCTGGGCTCAAGCAGTCGTCTTGCCTCAGCTTCCTAAAGTGCTGGGATTACAGGCATGAGCCACCACACCTGGCCAACATTTTCTTTTCTTTTCTTTTTTTTAATTTTCTTTTTTTTATTTTATTATTATTATACTTTAAGTTTTAGGGTACATGTGCACAATGTGCAGGTTAGTTACATATGTATACATGTCTGGCCAACATTTTCAATTCTTATTATACAAAATGTCAAACCTTCCTCCAGAATGGACATAAATAGACTAATGCATATCCTCCCAGAAGCATATGAGAATGCCCTTTTCACTACACCGTTCTGAGGTTGAGTATTATTTGTAAAACTATGTCCTAGTTTGAAAGGAAAAATAGGATCTCATTGTTCTCTCATAATTTGCATTTCTTTAATGCTTGAGAGTGAATTTTTTCATGGTCATTTATAAAATACCTAGATATAAGCTTGACACAAAATGTGCATGTCCTATAAACAACAAAAACTTAACTAAGAGGTTTTAAATAAAGTTTACATACATGGAAAGGCATGTGATACTCGTGAATGGAAAGATGCCAGTTCTGGCCAAATTAATATATAAGTTTTGTGTGATTCTTTTTTTTAACACATTTTTTCTTATTTTTAAAAAAATTAGAGACAGCCTCTTGCTGTGTTGCCCAGGCTGAAGTGCAGTGGTGTGCTCATGGCTCACTGTAACCTCAAACTCCTGAGCTCCTGTGATCCTCCCACCTCAGCCTCCCAAGTAGCTAGGACTACAGGTGCATGCCACCACGCCCAGCTAATTTTTGTATTTTTAATTTTTTTTGTAGAGATGGTGTCTTGCTGTGTTGCCCAGGTTAGTCTCAAATTCTTTTTTTTTTTTTTTTTTGGAAAGAGTCTCACTCTGTCCCCCAGGCTGGAGTGCAGTGGTGCGATCTTGGCTCATTGCAACCTCCACATCCCTAGTTCAAGCAATTCTCACGCCTCAGCCTCCTGAGTAGCTGGGATTACAGATGTGCACCACCATGCCCAACAAATTTTTTGTTTTTTAGTAGAGACGGGATTTTCCCATGTTGTCCAGGCTGGTCTCAAACTCCTGAGCTCAGGCAATCTGCCCACCTCAGCCTCCCAAAGTGCTAGGATTACAGGCATGAGCTATTGTGCCCGGCCTGGTCTCAAACTCTTGTGCTCAAGCGATCCTCCCACCTCAGTCTCCCAAAATGCTGGGATTATAGGTGTGAGCAACTGCCCATGGCCAGTTTTGTGCAATTGTATTAATAATAAAAATTCCAATATATTTTTGGGGAATTTTGCATAGTGAATCTAAAGGTCATAGACAAGTGGGGACAACCAAGAACACTTTGAAAAAAATGGCCAGCGAAGGAGAACTTGTTCATATTAGCAGGTGTTCTAGAAAGACCCTCTAATCTCCCTACCCAGCTGGGATTTTGAAGAGATGTTGTAGTGAAGTTATTATTTTCAGAGACATGGGCCAGGTTAAGGGAACCAAGAGGGGAAGTTGAAGCTTGTGCAACAGCAGGACTCCATTAGCACCCCAGACAGTTCGGAGGGTCGGCCACACCCAAGTTACAGCCCTAGGGCTGCAGTCACTGCCAGAACCACAGCAAAGCAGGGAGGGAGCAGGACAAATACATACCCCCTCCCCTCCTGTCACCTGTCCCCCTTGCTGTTGCCTCCTGATGGCTGAACCTTATTCAAAGTACCAGGGGAAGTTAAGTGATTCAATGCTTAGGGCTGGCTCAGTCTCCGGGGGCACAGAGAAAGGTAGGGGAGGCTGCAAAGAGTATCTGGGGACACAGAGATTAATCAGGACATGCGGTAAGTCCACCTTGGGACACTTTTCTAAGAAAATCATCTGCCATATGCTGAAATACTTTTTACAAGTATATGGACTGCAATATTACGTTCTGTTTCAAACAAGCCAACTTAAATGTTCAACAGCAGAAGATTCATTAAATAAAAAATGTTATGTCGGCTGGGCACGGTGGCTCACGAGTCATCCCAGCACTTTGGGAGGCTGAGGCAGGAGGATCACTTGAGGTCAGGAGTTCAAGACCAGCCAGTCCAACATCGCAAAACCCCGTCTCTACTAAAAATACAAAAAATAGCTGGGCATAGTGGTGCATGCCTGTAGTACCAGCTACTGGGGACGCTGAGGCAGGAGGATCACTTGAGCCCAGGAGGTTGACGCTCAGTGAACTATGATTATGCCACTGTGCTCTAGACTGGGTGACAGAACGAGACCCTGCCTAAAAAAAAGAAAGAAAGAAAGAAAGAAGACCTGAAAGGAGAGTCACCAAAAGGTAAAATATACTTATTTTGGAGTGTGGGACTGTGAGCAATATCAATTTCTTCTTTAAACTTTTTTTGGGTATTTTTCAATTTTCCTTTTATAGTCAGAAATAAATCCAAGAAATAGGTGCAACCTCGAGATAAACAGGACTCAGGATGCTGAGAATGTTTCCACAGCTCACCTTCAGGATTGTCCATGTTCCACTTTACTGTTGAACGTGAACTTCATGTGTCAGTTCTCTGTGGCTGTGCAGCAGATAGTCCCATAATTTAGGGGCTTTAAACAGACAATGATTTTTTTTTTTTTTTTTTTTGGCAGTGTCTGGTTGATTGGGCGGTCTTTGCCTAGGGGTGGCTCATGTGGCTGTGTTCACTGGCAACAGGCTGGTGGGAATGTCCAAGAAGGCCTCTTGTATTTGCCTGGGGCCTTGGGGCCAGGCACCTCTGTTCTCCTCCAGGAATCTCCTGGTTCCTCTCACAGGGGGATGGCCTGGACTTCTTGAGAGCATGGTGGCCTGCTTACAAGAGCAGGAGCCCCCCTGTGCAAATGTCTATCAAGCCCCTGCTTACATAGCTCTTGCTAATATCCAGTTGGCAAAGCAAATCACCCGGCCAAGTCCAGAGTCTGCATGAGAAGGGGCTACACCAGGGTGCAAGTAGTAGGAGGTGGAGTTGGGTGGGGCACTGGTTAGCAGTCCACCACATTTCTTCATAAGGCAAAAGCTGATTTCATCTGCTTATGTAAACTTCATCAAATATATCGCTAATGCTGTGTTAATCTTTTAGAAGAAAAACAATGTCCCCAAGAGTCCACCTCCAAGAGAACAAGCAACTTCCTAGCAGATGCTGAGGCTTGCAAGACTAATCTGGGCTTGGAAGTGTTAAAAGAAAAGATTTTAATTTAAAAAGCAAAGAAAGGGCCGGGCTCAGTGGCTCATGCCTGTAATCCCACCACATTGGAAGCCAAGGCAGGCAGACTGCTTAAAGCCAGGAGTTTGAGACCAGCTTGACCAACATGGCGAAACCCCGTCTCTACTAAAAATTGGCTGGGCATGGTGGCCTGTCCATGTGGTCCCAGCTACTTGGGAGGCTGAGATGGGAGAATCACTTGAACTGGGGACCCAGAGGTTGCAGTGACTTGAGATCGCACCACTGCACTTCAGCCTAGGCAACAGAGCAAGACTGTCTCAAAATAAAATAAAATAAAAAGCAAAGAAAGTCCTTGAACCCATTGGAAACATCTTTCAAGGAGCATGAAACCAACCCTTTTATCACGTAACAAGTATTAATGGAAAGACATGAGACGTTGCAAAGTATTACTAGATGCTGGAGTCTAGAGATTATCTATTTGACATTTAGGCAGAGAGCAAGGAAAAAACACAAAGTACTAAGGAAGCAGGGAGCCTCTCTAAATGCTGATAAGACGATGAACTGCGTTAGTCGGGGAACACTTTGGGAGACTGAGGTGGGTGGATCATTTGAGGCCAGGAGTTCAAGACCAGCCTGGTTAACATGGGGAAACCCATCTCTACTAAAAATATCTCTCAAGGCAGCCTCTTGGTGAGCGAAAGTTCTGAGGCAACCCGGTGGAGGGTTAGAGTTCCCCGATGGGCAGGCTTTGGTTTGCAAATCAACTGGTAACCCTCAAGAAGAGATCCGTCTAGGAGAACATATAATTAGATGAACTTGCCTTGTAGGCATCTGCTGAACTGCGAGGTAAAAGGTTATATTTGCATGTCTAAAGGAATGAGTAGGAAGTGGGAAACTGGGGAACCGGGGAGTGAGAAAAGAAGAGAGAAAAAAATAATTAAACCATCTCTTAGAAAAACGGGGCTACTCAGTTACAATCCCTCAGCTAAATACCCCCGGAGTGTGTTTGACCCAGGCTCACAGCCGTCCCTGGTGGGGTTGAGCCCCAGTTGCCCACTGCGGTTAACTCAGACTTGTAGGGCTTTCCTCTCTTCCGGCCTCACTGCTCCCCTTCCTCACTGCCTTTAGATTTCTGACCTCTACTTGCTGATTTACCTTGAGCAATTACTTCAACTCTGTGCTTAGGGACCTCGTTTGTAACATAGGGTGGTTACATAGTGGTAACATAGGTACCTGCTATGATGAGGAAAAAAGAAGGTAACATGCACAAAGTGTTTAGAACAGTACCCGGCATATAGTATGTCCTCAAAAATGTCAATCATGACTACATAAATAGAACAAGTACGCAGGCCACAGGAAATAAAACTCACCCAGCCAGCTTCGGTTTCCACCTCTATGAAATGTACATCAAAATGCCTATTTTGAGAGATCACTGTGAGGGGTACGTTGAATGACATAACCTATGTCAGGTACAAAGCACAGGGCTTGGCCCAGATGGGGCCACTGCTGGACAAGCTAACTGCTCTATTTTCATCAAGCGGCTGTGCTATCAAGAGAGAATGACCTCTACCAAGCAAGAAGGGCCAAGAGTTGGGGTGCAGATGAGACCACTTCTGACTCCCAGGCCACTTCCTCCTTTGTCACTGGAGAAAGGTGCGATTTCAGGCAGGTCATGTCCCTTGGGCCTTGGTTTTAACATCCCTAAAAAGGAGTGATTGGATTTGGGGGATTGCTAAATGACGTCCTACCGGCTCTAAAGATCTAGGGAGAGCCCCTGTCCTGAAATGGACACACACACACACACACACACACACATTCCTATACACACATAGACACACACATACACACTATATACACACATACATTCACACATACACAATACATACATATACTCACACATATACACACATGCTCATGTAACTGATGGGTTTTTCCTTCCTGCTGCACAAATAAAGAACACACCATAGCAGTAGGGAAAGAATTTAATTGACTTGTAGCCAGCCACACCACACAGGAGATGGAGTTATCACTCATATCAATCTCCAAGGCTCAAAGGCAGTTTGGGTAAGGGGTGGGGGTGGCCAGCCAATGGGTGCTTGCTGCTGATTGGTTGGAGTGGAGATGAACTCAGAGGGGGTCAAAGCTGTTGTGTTGAGCTGAGTCACTCCTGGGTGGGGCCACAGGAGTCATCAGGTCCAGGTGGAGTCATGGGTGTCAGACATGCAAAAAATATCTGAAAAGATATCTCAAAAGGTCAGTCTACAATAGTGATGTTATCTGCAGGATCCCCCTGGAATAATGGCTACACCTTATCAGAAATCAGATTCCTCTTCTCTCCCTAGTCTAATGGCCTTTCATCAGCTTTAAAAGGCAGTTGACTTTTGGGGAAGGCCTAGTATAATTTAAACTGTAACTTTGGCAGGGTGCTGTAGTTCATGCCTGTAATCCCAGCACACTCGGAGGCCAAGGTGGGTGGATCACTTGAGACCAGGAATTCGAGACCAGCCTGGGCAACATGGCAAACCCCATCTCTAGTAAAAATACAATAAAAGTAGCTGAGTGTAGTGGCACGGACCTGTCTCAGCTACTCAGGAGGCTGAGGCATGAGAATCACTTGAACTTGGGAGGCGGAGGTTGCAGTGAGCTGAGATCGCACGACTGGACCCCAGCCTGGGCAACAGAGAGAGACCCTGCCTCTAAATAAATAAATAAATAAATAAATAAATAAATAAACGATAACCTAAATGTCTCCCAAAGTTAGCTTAGCTTAAGCCCAGGAATGATTAAGGCAAATGCGAGATGGGGGTGGGTTAGATTAGATCTCTTTCACTGCCGTAATTTTCTCAATGTTACAATCTTTGCAAAGGCAGTTTCACTCACACACACACTGCAGAGAGGAAGCCTCTGTGGCCACACTGGGCCAGTCAGTCACCTCTGGAAGCCTTAGTCTCCAGGCTCAGTTGGCCTTGAAAATCACCCTAGAGAAGAATAACGTGTCTAGAAAACATTTCCAGGCACTTCCATGTGCTGTGCAAATGCTGTTTTCTTCTTAGGTCCCTCCTCTCCTTTTGTCACTTTGCAAATGTCTGCAGCTGCCTTGCCAAGTATGGGATCAGGTCACATTGCTCTGCCGAGGGCTGGGCTGGGGCCCAGGAAGCCAGACTCTCCAGATCTACCTGCCCTGTCCTCCCACCCACCTCTTCCCAGCCCCTGCAAGAATTCATTAGCCCGGAGGAAGAAGGCAACAGCCCTTGAGGGTGTTTTACTGGGCTCCTCAAACATGTCTGCAGCCCTTCCCAGGAAGCTAGGTTGAGAGAAAACTGCAGAACAGATGGGGCCCGGGAAGGAGGAAGCATTGGACTGAAGAGGCACAGAGACGAGCCAGGAGAGGGCTGAGTGATGCAGATGCAGCCCCTGGGCTGGCTCTAGGCCTTAGACACACACATGGCAGGCCTTTGCTCAGTGCCCGGACAGCTCCAGTGGGCAGGCAGAAAACTTTCTTGTTTTTCTGTACCTGTGCCCCATTTCTGATTCGGAGTTCCTTTGCCATCAGGCTGGTGGGGAAAAATATGTAATTTCTTTCTTTATTTTTTGGAGACAGGGTCTCACTCCGTCGCCCAGGCTGGAGTGCAGTGGTTCCATCTCGGCTCACTGCAACCTCCACCTCAAGGGTTCAAGCAATTCTCCAGCCTCAGCCTCTCGAGTAGCTGGGATGACAGGTTCATGCCCCTGTACCCAGCTAATTGTTGTATTTTTAGTAGAGATGGGGTTTCACCATCTTGCCCAGGCTGGTCTCAAACTCCTGGGCCCAAGCAATCCACCCGCCTCAGACTCCGCTGGGATTACCACCCCACCCGGCCTAAATATGTAACTTCTTCCAGGATTTATGTCCTAGTTCTGAGGTCTTTGTGCAACATCACGTGGTAGGAGGATGGGATTTTGGTCTTCAGAACACCATCCATGGCTTCTGATGCTGTCCTTGCCCCACCCCCAGGGCCCCTTCAGGGCCAATGTTTTCTTGTTACTTCAACGTGGTCAGCCTAAAGGATCTCACTGCCTCCCTGAGAACTGCTCCGGGGCCACAGATCTCTTGCTCTCTGTCATTCCTTTCTGGGACAGGAGACCCTGCTGGTTCTGGAGGAGTGTGGGGTCTGGTCTCCCCTCTGCTTCTGGCCAAGGTGCCTTGAGCATTTGCATGAATCTTCTCTTCCCCTTTTCTCGCTTCTAGACACCAGCTTAGTTCCCTAAGGGTTCAGGCCTTTAAGAAAGAGTTTTAGGGTACTCCTCAATCTGCCCCCGCCCTCAAAGCTACTTGAATGTGGAAAAGCAAATGGGAAAATACAGGGAGAAAAATGAACATCAATGAGTGTCTCAAAATAATATCCTGCCACATACATTATCCCATTTAATCTCACCACAATCCTCTGGGTTGTTTTATTTTAATTTAATTTTATTTTTTTTGAGATGGAGTTTCGCTCTTGTTGCCCAGGCTGGAGTGCAGTGGGGCGATCTTGGCTCACCGCAACCTCTGCCTCCTGGGTTCAAGCGATTCTCCTGCCTCAGCCTCCCAAGTAGCTGGGATTACAGGCACATGCCACCACACCCGGCTAATTTTGTATTTTTAGTAGAGATGGGGTTTCTCCATGTTGGTCAGGCTGGTCTCGAACTCCTGACCTCAGGTGATCCGCCTGCCTCAGCCTTCCAAAGTGCTGGGATTACAGGCATGAGCCACCGCACCAGCCTACAATCCTCTGATGTTATCCACATTTTATAGATGGGGAAACCAAGGCTTAATAAGGTCACGTAACTAGCAATTCTGTGTCCTTCCCATCTATACTCCTGAAAACACTGAAGTAGATCCCAAACTTTTTTTTTTGTACACAGAACTCTTTTCTTTTTTTCCTTCCTTCCTCCCTTCCTCCCTCCCTCCCTCTCTCTCTCTCTCTTTCTTTCGAGAGGAGGTCTTGCTGTGTTGCCCAGGCTGGTCTCAAGTGATCCTCCCACCTTGGCCTCCCCAGCGTACTGGGATTACAGGTGCACCCGGCCCACAGAACTCTTTATTCAAATGAATCTCCCTTGAAAAACCTGAAAGTGTGTGTTGCTGCTCTGGTCAAAGGCAACTGGGACGAGGAGCTCAGGGTTTGCCTCCTTATCTTCACCTCTGGATGCACCTGTGACACTTCTGTGACTTCACAGGCCCCAAGAGCACATTTGGAAACCTCTGGGCTGTATGACCTCCAGGCAGGTTCTGAGGCCAACCCCTCAACTCGCTATGCATGGATTGTGATACTCCTTGGTGCCCAGCCCAGCAGATTTCCTTGAAAGATGCTGGCTTCTTGGCACGTGTAGTCAAAACGTCCCACTTGGTTCTTCCCCAGACTGCTGGGCCCCACTCCTGGATGGGATGTCAGGGCCAGATCCATGGCTTCCTGAGAGAATCTGGAGGCTAGCCCACCTCCTGCTGCCCAATCCCTCCAGTGTGTCCAACATAATCAGCCCAAACTGCATGGGGCCAATTTATTTAAATAAATGTTAATCCTGCTCAGAGCTAGATGAATGGGGCCTTTGGAAACAGTGCTACAATTTGTTCCCTGAGGTAAGTCTTTTTTTCTTTTTTGCATTCATCTCTTCATTGAGGCTGCTGCCATCTCATCCCCTTCTGATTCATAAAATCAATATGCCTAGAAATGTTCAGCCTGGACAATACAGTGAGACCCTGTCTGTACAAAAAATTAAAAAAAAAAATTAGCTGAGCATGGTGGTATGTGCCTGTAGTCCCAGCTACTCAGGAGGCTGAAGTGGGAGGATTGTTTGAGCCCAGGAGGCAGAGATTGCAGTAAGCCAGGATCATGCTACTGCACTCCAGCCTGGGTGACATAGAAAGACTCTGGCTCGGAAGGAAGGAAGGAAGGAGTAATGCTCACAGCCCTTGGGTTTTCGTAGCTCATCCCTCCATCCATCCACTCATGGGATAAACATCAGATGAACATCTGAGTACTAGGTGCTGTGCTGAGCCCTTGTCTTCCACAGACAAGGAAGACTCATCTCTTGTACAGTGCCCAATTCCCAGTTCCCAGCTCGTGCCTCTGTGCTTTTCCAGCCCTGGGAAATTGTTGTGGACATTTGCTGGCACTGGGCCACTCAGCATTGGTTTCCCCTCACAGCTCTCTGCTCTCCCTTCCCATTGCCTGCCTCCTGCCAGCACAGTCTTGGTGAGACACTAAATCGGGGAGCCTTGCCCTCCCATCCTGGAAGCCAAAGGGGTCTCTGAAGGTTTTCCCTGCCCCAGTTCTTCCTCTCCCTGCCCCAGTGAGACCAAAGCATTGACACCTGACCTCAATCCTTCCAGTCAGAGCCCTTCCCAGGACTTTGAAACAAGGTGGGAGAGGCAGTTGACTTCTTCACCACAGCCACACAGCCTGACTGCCAAGAACCTCTCTGCTGCTTCCTGTTCTTTGTCCAGACCTAGTTCTCCAGCCTTCCTGTGGGTTCTGGGCATCTCCAAAATTTTCTTTTTAATTTAAAGACAACCAGAGTTGGTTTCTGTTTCCTGCAGTTAAGGATCCCTGGCCAGGCACGGTGGCACATGCCTATAATCCCAGCACTTTGGGAAGCCAAGGCGGGAGGATTGCTTGATGCCAGGGGGTCTAGACCAGCTTGGGAAACAGCGAAACCCTGTCTCTACAAAATATTTTAAAATTAAATCTTTTTAATTTTAAAAAGCTTAGTGGCATGGCCTGTAGTCCTAGCTACTCGGGAGGCTGAGGCAGGAGGATCTCTTGAGCCTCAAGAGGGTTCAAGGTTACAATGAGCTATGATGGAACCACTGTACTCCAGCCTGGTAACAAAACAAGACCCTGTCTGTGAAAAATAAATACATTTTTAAAAAAGATCCTTGACCAACATACTGGGTTCTAGCTGTTATTTCAATTGTATCTAACATGCTGGAAACATACTTTGCCAAGCACCTGTTCTGGGCCAGGTGCTGTGGATATATTGACCTGGAGGAAGACAGACAAGTAAACAGTCAGTGTTTAAATTAGGGGAAATGTTGTGGAAGCCTAGAGAACAACAGAGGAAGAGGTCGGCTCCACCTGAAGGGAGGAGGGGTCAGGAAAGCTTCAGAGAGCAGGTCATCCCAACGGGGGTCCCTGTTTTTGCCCCTGCCCCCACCTGCACCCCCTCAGCCTTCTCAACACAGCAACCTGAGGGATCATTTACAAATCAGATCAGGTCACGGCTGGGCTCAGAGCTCTCCAATGGCTCTCATCTCACTCAGAGTCAGAGCTGGGGTCCTGCTGAAGCGGTGTCATTATCTGGGGTAAATACCCGAGGTTCCTTGACTCACGCCAGGGAAATTGAAGACACAGACACACAAGAAGTGAGTTTAAGAGTGGAGGTTTAACAGGCGAAAGAAAGAGAAAAGAGAATAGGTTTCTTTCCTGCAGAGAGAGAGAGAGGCTCCCGAGCGGATCTTCTGGTTTTGTAGTTAAAAGCACGGGGTTTTACAGACGAACTTGAGAAGGTGGTGTCTGATTTACATAGGGCCTGAGCGATTGGTTAAGCCAGGTGTGACGTTTGCATAGTGCGTGAAAAAGCTGGCCATCCCACCCTGATCTTTTATTATGTAGATGGCGTCTCTATCTGGCCAGCGCCATGTTGTCTGTTCCTTACTGTACATGTGGTTGGCAAAGAAAAGGGAAGATGGAGCCTCCATATTGAACATGACATTTTGGCCCCCAGGTAGCATTTTCCTATTGGCACAGCTGCCAGCATTCACCCGTGCAAGTTTCCAGCTTGCTTATCTATGTCTGCAGCTCGATTTTACAGGCTCTTTCTTAGAAAAAGAAATGATTTGGGGGCTGCTTTTGATTAAAAGGAAAACCTTACTGAGGACTTCCTTACCCTCATTATCTGCCTGAGAAATTTCTTTTATTTTTATTTTATTTTATTTTGAGACAGAGTCTCTCTCTGTTGCCAGGCTGGAGTGCAGTGATGCGATCTTGGCTCACTGCAACCTCTGCCTCCCGGGTTCAAGCGATTCTCTTGCCTCAGCCTCAGGCACGTGCCACCATGCCCAGCTATTTTTGTAGTTTTAGTAGAGACAGGGTTTCACCATGTTGGCCAGGATGGTCTTGATCTCTTGACCTTGAGATCCACCCTCCTCGGCCTCCCAAAGTGTTGGGATTACAGGCGTGAGCCACCATGCCCGGCCAGAAATTTCTTTTTAACTCCTATATCACTACGATGCTCTAGAAGGCCTTATATGACCAGCAAAGACTACATCTCCTGGTCCCTGTGCAGCTGGGTAGGGCCTAGTGCCAACCTCTCAGCAATGGGATGAAACTGCAGTAGGTGGGTGCATCTTGCCCATCACTTGCCTAAGAGGAAATGCTGGACTTGAACTTGTTCACTGTACCTTCCCACTCCGCCTAGAATGTCCACAGCCGGAGCAGCCCCAGAACACACAAGGAGGGGTTAACTCCTGGCTCCTGAATGACCGTGTGGAACAGAGCTGCCTTCTGTCCATCATATGTGCAGTGGGGCCTCCAAAGGTTTCAGAAGTGAGCGGCCCCGCTCTGCTGCCCTCTCATTTTCCTGCAGCTGGTTTTCATAAGTATTTGGACTTTTCTATCTCTATCAGATGTTAGTTATCAGCATGTTTTCCTCCATGTTTCTTCTAAGTTGCAGCTGCTTTAAATCTGCTGTAGGCTAGGAAATCAGACCATCAAGTTTCCTGGAACAGTGACTAAAGTAAACAGGTTCTGAGGGAGGCCTGAGAAGACCACTTGTGACAAAAGTGGGTGTGATTTAGCACATAGGTTCTGAGGTGTCCAGAGCTTCTCAGAGGCTGTTTTGACCTTATTCTTATTTCCTCTTGTTTTCCAGACTTTGGAGTTTGCTGAAATGTAACCTCAGAATAAGTGGGGTATGACTGCCCTCTCCTTTGAGGGAAAAGAAAAAGTATTTTCAGGCCAGGCACGGTGGCTCATGCTTATAATCCCAGCACTTTGGGAGGCTGAGGTAGGTGGATCACTTGGGCTCAAGAGTTTGAGGCCAGCCTAGGTGAAACACTGTCACAACAAAAAATACAAAAATTAGCCAGGCATGGTGGCGCATGCCTGTGGTCCCAGCTACTTAGGAGGCTGAGGTGGGAGGATTGCTTGAGCCCAGGAGGTTGAGGCTGCAGTGATCCATGATTTCACCACTGCGTTCCAGCCTGGGCGATAGGACCAGACTGTGAGTCAAAAAATAAAAGTATTTTCATCCCTCCTTATTAACAGCGAAATTGTGACCCAAAGACAATACTCATCAAAATCCAACCAGTTTTTAGTGATCTGAGAGTTTGTTTTAAAAAAATAATCCTGGCCAGGCACGGTGGCTCATGCCTGTAATCCCAGCACTTTGGGAGGCTGGGGCAGGCGGATTACCTGAGGTCAGGAGTTTGAGACCAGCCGGGCAGGCCAACATGGCAAAACCCCATCTCTACTAAAAATACAAAAATTAGCTGGGCGTGGTGGTACATGCCTGTAATCCCAGCTACTTGGGAGGCTGAGGCAGGAGAATCGCTTGAACCTGGGAGGCGGAGGTTGCAGTGAGCTGAGATCACGCCATTGCACTCCAGCCTGGGCAACAGAGGGAGACTCTGTCTCAAAAATAGATAAATAAATAAATAAATAAATAAATAAATAAATAAATCCAACTAGTTTTTCTATGGAAATAAACAAGTTTTTAAAAAATTTATATAATAAAGGAATAAAGGGCCAAGACTAGCTAGGACACTATTGAAGAAGAAAGTGAGAAATAAGATGGGAGGGGCTTGTCCTACCATAATAAAGAATTATTATTAGCAAAGACAGACAAAGAGACCATGGGGCTGCACAGAGGACCCAGAGGTGGGCCACATATTGATGGGAACTTGGACTGTGATGGAGGTGGTTTTACTACACATCAGCGGGAAAATAAGACACCAATTTGTACATAATACCAGAACAACTGGCTAACAGATGCAAAATATAAAACTAGATTCCTTCCTCACATCGTACCCAAAGATAGACTCCGGATATATTTTTTAAAACTAAATATAAAAAGCCAAACTTTAAAACTTAAAAAAAATCTGCAAGCAAATACAACCATGAACTTGAAGGGGGTGGGTTTCTTAAATAAGATGAGAAGGACATATTTTATAAAGGAAAATGTTGATGAATTTGACTACCTTGAAATTTTAAACTTCTTTATGATGAAAGGTACCATAAATATGAAAAGGCAAGATATTGGCAATTCAGTACAACTTGTTTGTGTCCAGAATACATCAATAAAAGAAGAACAATTCAAGAGAAACAGGAAATTCACAGAAGAGGAAACCGGAATTGTCATAAACAAATGAAAAATGCTCAACTTCCCTAGTAATTATGAGAATTCAAATCAAAATAAAGACTTCATTTCACACTTATCAGATTGGCAAAAATTAAAAAGCCTAATAACACCATATTGGTAAAGATATGGGGAAATGAGAAGTCATAAGCGGCTGGTGGGAATACAAATTGGTAGAAGCTTAAAATCTTTTATTTGCAATTCCAAAATAGAAAAACTCTGAAAACTAAGTTTGCTCCCCTAAATTTGGTTTAAACTCCTTTATGTATGTATGCATGTATGTATGTATGTATGTATGTATGTATGTATGTATGTATTTTTGAGACGAGTCTCGCTGTGTCACCCAGGCTGGAGTGCAGTGGCGGGATCTCGGCTCACTGCATTCTCTACCTCCCGGGTTCAAGAGATTCTCCTGCCTCAGCCTCCTGGCAACCTCCACCACATCTGGCTAATTTTTGTATTTTTAGTAGAGAAGGGGTTTTGCTATGTTGGCCAGGCTGGTCTCGAACTCCTGACCTCAGGCGATCCACCCGCCTGGGCCTCCCAAAATGCCGGGATGACAGGCGTGAGCCACAGCGCCCGTCCTGGTTTAAACTCACTTTGTGACAAAACCTGATGGCAGCGGCGGGCCGTCCGCCGCGCTGGGGCGCGGGCGGCGGTGGCAGGAGCGGCTGCTGGAGCAGCAGTGGCGGCGGGTACCCTGTGCCCGCGTCCCCGAGGCAACCGACTGCGCCGCCCCCACCCTCGCGCGGCCGGGCGGGACGTGCCTCCAGATCAGGGCCTCCGGACCCTGGCCCCGCGTCGCCGCTCTTGCCCGCTGCTGCCGCCAGGAGGCCGCTGGGAGGAGGCGAAGCTGGGGCCGCATTCGGAAGCCCAGCGCCGTAAGGGAGAGGCGGCGCCTGCCCTACCAAAGGTGCGGAGTTCCTGCGCCTCCGGAGGAGGCTCTGCGCAGGGCCGCCCGGGGCAGCGTCCCTGGGGTCCACCCCTCATCGGGGTGACCGCGGGCCTGACACAACAGACGGCTGGGCCCTGGCCCACGATCCGCTCCCGGAGGCGCCCTGCCCCGGGCCGTGCGGCGAGCCGGGCGAGGGGAACTCCAGGCTGCCCCTGAGCGCCGGGGCCACGGGGCTAGGCTCGTGGAGAGGACGCCCCTGCCCCAGACCCGGCCCCGGCCCAGCGAGGACCAGGCGCCCCCGCCCCAGGCCGCGAGGGGTGCGGCTCGGGCATCACGCTTCACGTAGCAGGCGGGAGCCGGGAGCGGCAGCAGCCGCCCAAGTCCGGGCTGTGGACTCGGGCCCCTCTGCACTTTTGGGGGCCCAGGAAGGTGCTCGCCTTGTCCTTGCAGGCTTGGAGGTGCCTGTTCCCATTGCTTGGCCTCTGCTAGCTCCCGGCCCCCGCACGGATCTCGAAGTGGGGTTGGGGCCTAGCCCGAGGGCTGTCACACCCCCGCCTGGTGTGCGCATGCTAGGGGCAGTGCTGACACGCTCCACTGGTTTCAGATCAACTTTGGAGAATTTGGCGATAGCTAGTTAAAGCCGAAGATGTGCATGCACTGTGATCTAGCAACCATATGCCTCGCAAAACAGGCCGGGCGCGGTGACTCATGCCTGTAATCCCAGCAATTTGGGAGGCTGAGGCGGGTGGATCACTTGAGCCCAGGAGTTTTGAAACCATCCTCCTGGTCAACATGGCAAGACCCCTGTCTACAAAAAATTTAAAATTTAGCTGGGTGTGGTGGCATGCGCCTGTAGTCTCAGCTACTTGGGAGGCTGAGGTGGGAGGATTGCTTGAACCTAGGAAGTTGAGGCTTCAGTGAGCTGTGATTGTGCCAATGCACTCCAGCCTGGGTGGCAGAGCAATACCCTGTCTCAAAAGGAAAAAACACCCACACATCGATACAAGAATTTTCACTGCAGTGCTGTGTGTAATAACGAAAATGGGAACAACCAACAGTCCATTAGGAAAGGAACAAATAAATAAACAGGTTTATTCAAACAATGGGAAACTATGGAGCATTTAAAATTAACGAATCAGATCTACAATGTAATAACACGGGTAAATCTCAAAAATGAGTGAAAAAGCAAATTTCAAAGAGATTTACACAGTATGATAGTATATATGTACATATATTGTTAATGTATGTGTTATATTTGTGTATGTAATCCCAACACTTTAGGAAGCTGAGGTGCGTGGATCACTTGAGACCAGGAATTCGAGACTAGCCTGGCCAACATGGTGAAACTCCATCTCTACTAAAAATATAAAAATTAGCCAGGCGTGGTGGCTTAGACCTGTAATCTCAGCTAATTTGGAGGCTGAGGCAAGAGGATCGCTTCCTGGGCCCCCATATTTTATATACGTATGAAATATACATATTATCGATATGGTATTGTATACATTGATATATACCTCTGTAGTAAATGTGTATGTATGTATGTGTATATATACATGGTCAAGAAGGATCTACACTAACTTGAGACACTGGTTATCTATACAAGGGAAAATGGGAGGGCTTTAGATTTATCAGTTTTGGGGGTTTTTTTGTTTTGTTTTTTCGAAAAAAGAAATAGAAAGCAAATGTGGCAAAATGTTGACATTTGTTAAACCTGTGTGGGCAAGTACAGAGGTCTATTTAGTATTCTTTGTGCCATATTATATTATATTATATTATATTTTTTGAGACAGAATCTCACTCTGTCACCCAGGCTGGAATGCAGTGGCACAATCTCGGCTCACTGCAGTCTCTGCCTCCAGGGTTCAAGCCATCCTCCTTCCTCAGCCTCCCAAGTAGCTGAGATTACAGGCACCTGCCACCATCCCTGGCTAATTTTTGTATTTTTAGTAGAGACAAGGTTTCACCATGTTGGCCAGGCTGGTCTTGAACTCCTGGCCTCAAGTGATCTGCAAGCCTTGACCCCCTGCTCCCCCAAAGTGCTGGGATTACAGGCATGAGCCGCTGTGCCCAGCCTGGGTTTGTTATTAAAGGCAGTTTGGCTCTCAGTGCACCCCTTTCCCACGTGATGCCTTCTGACATGTTATGACATGAGGCCCTCCCCAGAGGCCAAGCAGATGCAGTCCCTTGACCTAGGACTTCCCAGCCTCTAGAATTGTAAGAAATAAATTCTTTTCTTTATAATTTACCCAGTCTCTGGTGTTCAGTTATAGCAATAGGAAACAGATGAAGACACTGTTTTCCACAGTGGCTGGAACATTTTACATTCCCTCCAACTGCACAAGGGCTTCACTTTCTTCACATTCTTGTCCACACTTGTTATTTTCTGTTTTTGTTTTACAGTAGCCATTCTGATGGGTGTGAGGTGATATCTCATTGTGTGGCTTAAAAAAAAAAACATTACTTTTATTGGAAACAAATAATGTGCCTCAAGATGTTGGCAACAAGTCATGATATAGACATATATTTCATACAGTGTGTTTCTCCCTTTAATTACATTCCAGCAGGAGGTGGAATACCTCCTTGGCTATGAGGAGCATAAGTATTTGATGGGTTGTGTAAGTTGGTCTCCTCATACTTGTACACACGCCAAGCATTTCCCCTCCAAAGTATCATATTCAGAAAGACAAAGATCACAGATACATTTAGGAATCCCATGCTGGTCACAGAGCCAAAATAACACATTATTATGATTTCTTACAAGCAGAAGTTCCTGAACAATATTTTGACCAGTAGTTATTTTAATATCTGCAAGAGCTTTTGCCCAAGCGAGCTTTTGAAGTGCTCACCAATCGCAAAAGATGGCAACAAGAGTAATGACAAAGCCAATCATGGGAAGTTTATGACTACCCTGATATAGGTTCCTGTAACCAACATAAAGCACGACAGCAATGCAGTACAGGAAGACAGAGACTGCAAATGTAATGGAATTGTGCAGAAGCACAGTCATCTCCTAGGAGGACTTGACTTTCCAATTTATATCATACACATTAATACCTGGAGGTGACTGAAATGATGCCTGATTTAACCTGAATGGATAATCAGAAGTAGCTGTAATAGTTTCGTCAGTAACTGTAGGAGGACAATTCACTTGAATTTCTGTTTGCTCTTAAAAACCTCCACAGGTGGCAAAAGAGAAGATGGAAGCCATCTACTCCAGGCCCTTGAGGAAGCTGAGCGGCTCCCTGAGTAGGGTTGAGGTGGATCCAGAAGGCAACATCCTCTGGAAGGAAGGAGAGTCAGGATGGTGGGGGCCTCACTATGGTTTTGATTTGCGTTTCCCTAAAGATTAGTGATGTTGAACATCTTCCCAAGTGCTTATTGGCCGCTTGTTTATTTTCTTTGGAGAAATGCCTATTCAAGTCCTTTGCCCATTTTTGAATCAGGATTGATTTTCTATGGTCTAGCTGTAGTTCTTTATACACTGTGGATATTGATTCCTTATCAGAGCTATGATTTGAAAATATTTTCTCCCATTCTATAGGTTGCTTTTTTCACTCTGTTGATTATACTCTTTGACACACCCATGGAGAAGATTTTAAAGGGCAGGTAGAAGTCAGACAGTTTGAGCAGCAGCGTAGTGAAGAGAAGGCCTTTCAATCGAAGGAAATAGTCTGTGCAAACACACAGAGGAGAGAACCGCAACATGCAGGTAGTTGGGTCTTGCTAGTACACTGGTGAGGGGTAGGAGGTGGGGACAGGTGAGACTGGAGGAACCACATGACAGAGGACGGTTCTAGGTCCGCCAAGTAGCAGGACTTCGTTCTAAGGTGGCACTACTCAAAAGAGTGGTCTGAGGACCCTGGCCCAGCACCCCCTACTAGGAGTTTGTTAAAAATGCAAATTCCGGCTGGGATCCTGGCTGATGCCTGTAATCCCAGCACGTTGCCGAGCTGAGGCGGGAGGATTGCTTGAGTCTAGGAGTTTGAGACCAGCCTGGGCAACACAGTGAGACCCCATCTCAATAAAAAAGGATAATTTAAAAAATGCAAATTCATGGAGGCCCAGTTTTGTCCTGCTGAATCAGAATCTCCGGGGTGGGGCCGGGGGATCCGGGTTTTAACCTGCCCCCGGGATTATTCTGAGGTTCAGTAGAGTTTAAGGGAAGTGGAGGAACCGCCAAGGGGTCGGCTAAGGTTTTGGAAACATCCTTGGTGAGAAAGACGGCCCGGGTTGTTCTTCAGGCCGGGCACCCTGGGCTTGGCTGCGTCCCCATCCTCTTCCAGCCACCCCGTCCCCACACGACCCCGCCTGAGTTCTGGCCGCCTTCCGACCCCTCGGGGCCCGCCCTGCGCCCCAGCCTCCTCCCCGCCGTGGGGTCCGGGGTCAGGGGCGCGCGGCTGCAGTCAGGCCCACATTCCTCTTACTTCCCGCCATTGTCCTGGGTTCCTGTGGCCGCGTCTCCACACTCGCTCCCGGCCGCCCCACGGTCCCAGGGAGTGATGACTCATTTCCTTTCCTCCGCTGACATCATCGTGCCCCCAGCGTGGCCCGGCCGGGGCGGCGGCCTCCGCCCTCCCAGGTCTCCTCCCAGCCCCTCTCGGCGAGCGGGCGCAGGCGCGGTGCGGCCCTTCTCGGCCGGCAGGGGGCGCCGGAGCCCGCCGGGGCCTCTAGGGCCTCCCCAGCCACGGCCCGGGCCGGCGAAGAGGGAGGGGCAGAGAGCCGCCGCGGTCCCGCTCTCCCGGGGAGAGCCTGGCTGGGAGTCAGAGCTCTCACGGTAACGGATAGGGAAGCTGAGTTCCGAGCCTTGACCAAGGCAGCACAGCCCACCCTGAGAAGTGGGGGACTGGAATTCAGGACGCTCGGCCCCAGGCCCGTGGTTTCCCACAGACTTGCAGGTGTTAATCCTCCCGCACCCCCTGGTATGTATTTTCAGCACAAAGTCTGCAGACAATATTCCCCCGATTTCCATCACTTGTGGGCCCTGAAGCGTGGTCGCCCCTGGAACCAGCAGGATCCGAGGGCCACTTGGGCTCCACCTGGGAAGCACGTGGAGCCTGCATTTATTGGGCGGCGCTGCCCCCGGCTGACCTGGCTGTGTCGGGAGATGCCCCTCACCCTCGCATCCACCCCGGCTTCCCAGCACCCACTGCTGGTCCTCAGGACCCGACCCTGTCCCCTCTGCCTTCCCTGTCAGGTTTCAGGGAGGCAGAGGAACTCACTCAGCCTGAAAATTTCAGATATTTCATAAGACCTAGAGCCACGTAAGAGTGCGTCCCTTTAAGACACATGGAAGAAGTCATGCAAGGCCACACGGTGAGCTAGAGCTGAAATCATACCTGTCCTGCCTCAGACCTGTCACCTCTCATGCTGCCCAGATAATGAATGCAAAATGCTCCACCCAGTGTCTGACAGTAGTGTAAGCACTCAATGAATGGTAGTCATTGTCATTAGGAAGCTAGTTGCCTAACTTCTCAGAGCCTCAGGCTTCTTCATCTGTAAAATGGACGCAGTAGTACGATACCTTATTGTGAGGATTAAATGAGCTCATGCATGGAAGGTACTTACAGCAGTGGTGTCCAGCAAGCATGCAACAGTCCACCAGCGCTTGGGCTCCATGAAAGGGGGGTTCTGTTGTCTGTTTCTTGTTTGTTTGTTTTGTTTTGTTTAGACAGGGTCTTACTCTGTCGCCCAGGCTGGAGTGCAGTGGTGCGATCATGGCTTACTGCAGCCTTGACCTCCCCAGGCTCAAGAGATCCTCCCATCTCAGCCTCCCAAGTAGCTGGTACTACAGGCAAGTGCTACCATGTCTGGCTAATTTTTACATTTTTTGTAGAGACAGGGCTTCACCGTGTTGAATCCTGACCAGACTGTCAGGCTCGTCTCAAACTCCTGGTCTCAAGCCATCCACCCGCCTCAGCTTCCCAAAGTGTTGGGATTACAGGAGTAAGCCACCGCACCCGGCCCCTGTTGTTGTCTTTTCTTCTTTAATTGACAAATAAAATCTTATATATTTATAATATACAACATGATGCTTTTATATATGTATACACTATGTGTGTCACTGGAAGGGCAAAGTGAAATTAATTAACATATATGCATTATTCTGCATACGTGTATGTGTGTTGTCTTTGTGTACTACTGTATCTTTAGCACCTAAAACAGTGTCTGGCACAAAGTAAGAACCCAGTAAGTGGAAAGAAGGAAGGGAGGGAGGGAGGAAGGAAGGAAGGGAGGAAGGAAGGAAGGAAGGAAGGAAGGAAGGAAACCAACCTATTATTACTGCCTCAGCTGATTTTCCTCCAGGATTTAGGCCTGTCAGAGCAGCCCTGGTGGACCGTAGAGGAAGATTCCTGAGGGCCTGTTTGCTTGAGGGCTAGAGGGCTCCCTGGGAAGCAGTCATCCTGAGGAAAGAGAGTTGAAGCGCATAAGAGCATTTCAAGGACAGGGCGAGGAGAAAAGAGGCATTTGGGGTAGAGCCTCCTCGGTGTTCACAGGAGCACTGTGGAAAGCAGTGGACGATTTCAGGAAGATGCCAGAACAAGCATCATCACAGTTAATCAGTGGTAGCTTCAGGACAATCTGGTGGCCTTGCACCTGCTTTGGACACTGATAATTTGGTGGCTTTGGTTATTGGTTTTGCTTTTATTTGTTAAATTTTTATTTACTTATTTAGTTATTTGAGATGGAGTCTCGCTTTGTCGCCCAGGCTGGAGTGCAGTGGTGCGATCTTGGCTCACTGCAACCTCCGCCTCCTGGGTTCAAGTGATTCTCCTGCCTCAGGCTCCCGAGCAACTAGAATTACAGGCGCCTGCCACCACGCCCAGCTGGATTTTGGTTTTGTTTTTAAATCAGCATTAGCTGTGAGTGGTTGAGTCCTGGGGGGCATCCCTCAGAAGGCCGTGAGACACCTGCTGGGCCTTCCCAGGAAGGTCTGCAGGAACTGCTGGCACAGAGCCAGAGAAGCCAGTTACTGTGAGGTGGAGGGGGGGTCTCCCTATGTTGCCCAGGCTGGTCTTGAACTTCGGGCCTCAAGCAGTCCTCCTGCCTCAGCCTCCCACAGTGCTGGGATGGCCTCCTTGTCGTTCCTCACCATGCCCTGCTCACTCCACCTTAGCACCTTTGCTGTTCCGTCCATCTGTAATCTCTCAGAAACAGCCAAGACTCACTTCCTCACTTTTTCAGATTTTATCTCAAGTGTCACCTACTCAGTGGGGCCCTCCCCACCCCACCCCATTGAACTCAGAAACCCTCACACCTCCTGACAGCCTGTCTGCCTTCTTTGACTTGTTTCCTTCCACAGCACATGGTCTGCAGACCCCACCACTCCCTACTGCCTCACAACCAGTCAGATTCATATATTTGCTTTGTTTGCTGGACCCCTGAGTAGGCCGCCTTTGCATTTCTTTTCCTTTTTTTTTTTTTTCTTTGAGACAGCGTCTTGCTCTGTCACCCAGGCTAGTGTGCAGTGGTGTAATCTCGGCTCACTGCAACCTCCACCTCCTGGGTTCAAGCATTTCTCCTGCCTCAGCCTCCTGAGTAGCTGGGATTACAGGCACCTGCCACCACCCCTGGCTAATTTTTGTATTTTTAGGAGAGATGGGGTTTCACCATGTTGGTCAGGCTGGTCGCGAACTCCTGACCTCATGATTTGCCCACCTCAGCCTCCCAAAGTGCTGGGATTACAGACGTGAGCCACCATGTCCAGCCTGCCTTTGCATTTCATAAGCGAGACTCAGAGAAGGTGACTCCTGGAGAAATCCCCTTAGCCTCCTCTACCAGGATGGTTTTGGATTCCTCTCCAGCCAGGAGTTGGAACATAGTAGCCTGTGTCGTCTAAAATCATGAGGTCATACCCAGGTGCCTTCCCTTTGGTTCTTGACTTGCCCCCTATTCTTCATACTCACCTCCTGAATAATGTCCACGTAGTTATAAGATGAGGGGAGGGAGCCAGCTGGCTGTTCCCTCTGCCAGGAGCATCCTGCCTCCTTAAACTGCCTGGTCAGTACCTGCTTAAGGCCCCTGATCCTGCATCACCTTCTCTGAGAAGCCTTCCCTGACTACTCCCCTGCCCTGCCCTGTCCACCAGCCAGCCTGAGCTGACCACATTACTCCCAGGATGGATGCCTGTCAGGGCCCCCTTCCCTCTAGGTTGGACTGATTTGCTCTGGGTCAGCTTCCCCCGCCAGACCGTGGGCTTCGTGAGGGCAGAGGCTGTGAGTTACTTCTCTTTGAGTACCTAGGGCTTGGCTGATGTGGTGCTCAATAAACGAGTTCTGAAAGTGTAAATAAAAGAATGAATGAATTGGCTGGGCATGGTGCCTCACGCCTATAATCCCAGCACTTAGGGAGGCTGAGGCTGGAGGATCACTTGAGCCCAAGAGTTCAAGACCAGCCTGGACGACGTGGTGAAACCCCAACTCTACAAAAAATACATAGATTAGCAGGGCATGGTGGTGTGTACCTGTAGTCCTAGCTACTCGGGAGGCTGAGGTGAGAGGATCAGTTTGAGCCCGGGAGGCTGAGGCTTCAGTGAGCAGACATCACACCATTGTACTCCAGCTTGGGCACCAGAGTGAGACCCAATCTCAAAAAACAAAAGCAAAAAGACAAAAACCCAAAGAATAAATAAATAAAAGGAGGAACGGTGGACAGAGGGAAAAAAGGAAGGGACTTATTAATTAATTTGCTCCTCACCTTCCGCACATTCGCTTGAAAGAGACCTGTTGCTTTAAATGCCACCCCCAAGGCTGGGAGTTTGTCAACCCCCACAGAAGAGGAACGCTGGGCTGGGGCCAGCCCTACAGAGACTCATCGCCATTCCACCTCTGACCATAGCATCACACCCAGTTTCTGCTTGTTCTGTTTTTTGTTGTTGTAAATTTTATGATTCAATATACATGCCCAAAATAATCAAAATCAGAAGTTGACAGTTTGATGAATTTTCAACGTGAGCAGATCCACGTAAGCGCACCCAAATTAAGAAAGAGAATGCAAACAGCTCCTGCCCTGTGCTGCCTTCAGGCACTATGCTCCCTAAGGCTGACCCTTCTTCTAACCCTAGCAGCATTAATTTTCCTGCTTTGTATTTTATTTTATTGTATTAATTTAATTTAATTTTATATTATGTTTTTTTATTATTTTATTTTATTTTGAGACAGAGTCTTGCTCCATTGCCCAGGCTGGAGTGTAGTGGCGCTATCTTGGCTCACTGCAACCTCTGCCTCAACCTCTGCCTCCCAGGTTTAAGTGATTCTCCTGCCTCAGCCTCCAGAGTGGCTAGGACTAACAGGCACACGCCATCATGCCTGGCTGATTTTTGTATTTTTAGTAGAGACAGGGTTTCACCATGGTGGCCAGTCTGGTCTCGAACTCCTGGCCTCAAGTGATCCACCTGCCTCGGCCTCCCAAAGTGCTGGGATTACAGGCGTGAGCCACCGTGCCCGGCCTACTTTATTTTATTTTATTTTGTGAGATAAGGTCTTGCTCTATCACCCAGGCTGGAGTGCAGTGATGTAATCACAGCTCACTGCGGCCTCCACCTCCTGGGCTCAAGTGATCCTCCCAGCTCAGACTACAGGCATGTGCCACCACGCCTGGCTGATTTTTTTGTCTTTTTGCAGAGACGGAGTCTAATTGTTTCCTAGGCTGATCTTGAACTCTTGGGCTCAAGCAGTCCACCCGACTTGGCCTCCCAAAGTGCTGGGATTACAGGTGTGAGCCACCGTGCCTGGCTGTATTTTATATAAATATAACATTACAATATATATTCTTTTGGCTCTAACTTCTTCTGGTTAATGCTGTGTACGTGAGATTTATTCATGTTGTGGTTCATTCATTCTCATTGCTCTATAATATATTCCATGGTATAAGTAAGCCACAATTTCTTTATTCATTCTGTTGCTGATGGATGTTTAAGTGATTTCCATTTGTTGGCTATTAAGCATATTGCTTCTGTGACCATTCTTGTACCTGTCTTGGGAAACATATGTGTGTATTCATGCTGGGTATGTACCTAGATGTGGACTGCTGGGTCAGAGGCAAGGTATATGCTCAACTTAGCAGAAACTTGCCATTTTCCAAAGTGACTGGAACAATTTTCGCTTCCACGGGCCATGTATGAGAGTTCCGGTTGCTTGTCGTGCTCACCAATACTTGGCCGTACCTGTTTTTCATTTGTTCACTTTATTTTTTGTGTTGTATGTTTTTGGCCAGCTATTCTGGTGGGCGGATTGTTCCATTTTTGACCACATGCTCCTTCCCCCTGGCAGTCTGCTCCAGCTCTGTTTCTGGTACATTCTGCAAAACCAACTTCTCTGGTTCTTGACTCTTGTCCTATAGTTCTTTTTGTTTTTGTTTTTAGAGGTGGGGCCTCACTCTGTTGCCCAGGTTGGAGTGCAGTGGCATGATCATAGCTCACTTCAGCCCTGACCTCCTAGGCTCAAGTGATCCTCTTGCCTGAGCCTTCTGAGTAGCTGGGACCACAGGCAGGCACCACCACTTCTGGCAAATTTTTTTTATTTTTATTTTTTTAGAGATGAGGTCTTGCTATGTTGCCCAGGCTGGTCTCAAACTCCCTGGCTCAAGCGATCCTCTAGCCTTGGCCTCCTGAGTAGCTGGGATTACAGGCATAAACCACCATGCCCTGTGCCTTGCAGTCTTGCTCTAGGGTTTGTCTTCAACCCTGCAGACCTGAGACAGGCCTCTCAGCTGCTCTCAAGAACGCCCTTCCATGAGAGGCATTCCAGCCTCAGGTGGCAGCTCCTGCAGGATATGGACCCCGGGGATAAGGATGGGGAAGAGGATGAGGGTGTCGGGAGCTGTCTCCAAAGCCTGCGCAGGCCCTTCCCACAATCTCATCTTACTCATTTAGCCACTTTGTGGGCCCCCATCTTATTATACTCAAAACGTTGGGTAGACATAAAGCTAAATATACGTGCTAAAACTATTAAACTCTTAGAAGAAAATAGAGGGGAAAATATTCACTAGATTAGGTTTGGAAGTCATTTTTTAGCTATGACATCCAAAGCATAAGCAACCCAAGAAACATTTGATAAATTGGACTTCATCAAAATTTAAAACTTTCATGCTTCAAGGGACACTGTGAAAAGAGTGAAAAGACAACCCACAGAATGGGAGAAAATATTTGCACATCATAAATCTGATAAAGGACTTGTATTTAGAATAGAGAAAGAACACTTGGAACTTATATGTTAGTGCGAAAGTAACTGCGGTTTTGCCATTAAAAGTTTGCCATTACCTTTAACAGCAAAACCGCAATTACTTTTGCACTAATCTAGTAATGTGATCTGATCAAAGCCACCAGAAGCTGGAGGAGGACTGTGGCCCTGCTGACACTTGGGTTTCAGGCTTGTAGCCTCCAGACCTGTGGGAGAATAAATGTCTTTTGTTTCAAGCCACGAAGTTTGTAGCAATGGCAGCCCTACGAAATGAATGCAGGAAATTACACTGATGTAGCAAAACGTTTGAAAGCCTGTTTCCCTAAGTACGTGTGTGTGGGTGTGGGTGTGGGGGTGTGTGTGTGTGTGTGTGTGTCCCTGTCCTTGCATGTGTGGCGGCTGCTGCCTTCCCCTCACTCCCAACTTCCACCATTCAAATAACCTCATCTACCTTTCAGCACTTTCCATAGAAACCCAGCCTGCCAGGCCTGGTGGCTCACACCTGTAATCCCAGCACTTTGGCCAAGGCAGGAGGAGCATTTGAGCCCAGGAGTTTGAGACCAGCCTGGGCAACACAGTGAGGCTGTCTCTACAAAATATTTGAAAAATTAGCTGGGCCTAGTGGTGCATGCCTGTAGTCCCAGCTACTTGGCAGGAGGATCACTTGGGCCCAGGAGTTGGAGGCTGCAGTGAGCTGTGATTGTGCCACTGCACTCCAGCCTGGGTGACAGAGCAAGACCCCATCTCTGAAAAGAAGAAAAAGAAACCCAGCCAGCGCCCCAGCAGTTCTCCCGCCCGCAGCCCACTATAAAGTCCAACAGTTGGGTGGGCCAACGCAACGTTCCTTAGTCATAGAAAGAGGAGGAGAACGGGAATGCCCATCTCACTCTTCCCTGTGGAAATCTTTCTCAGGGCATGGCTGCACGGTCCTCCTAACTGCCCTTGACTCTTCCCCCTCCCTCTTTCCCAACATCCATGCCATCACTGTTCTGCCTTCCAGACAACCCTGGAATCAGCCCATTTCCCTCCATCCTGCTGCCTCTCCTTGGGTTCTGGCCATACCCCTGGTGTGCTGCCCGACCTTCCTTCACTCTTCAGCCTAGGAGCTCTCTGGCAGTGCCATTCTGAGTGTGTACTCCTGCCATGCCCCTTCAGCACCTCCCCTTCACTCTAAGGCTGAAGTCCCAGGTCCCAATAGGGGTCTCCCCTGAATCCTGCCAGCCTCATCAGTGCACACCGCCTGGGTCTCTCCTCTCAAACCACACTGACCTCTGTTCCTCAAACTTCTCCTTGCCTTTGCACAGGCTGTTTTCCCTTCCTCCAACACTTTCCCACCCATCCCCATCACCCAGTGAACTCTTCCTTGGCCCCTTCCTTGTCCCCAGCAGACACTTCCTCAGGGAAGCCCCGTGTGACCTCTAAGTCAGGATTAGCTGATCCTGCTCTGTCCCCATGGCTGGGATCATCCCTAGGGCAACTTCATCACACACCACTTCACAATTGTTGGGACCTCACAAGGGCAATTTCCATGTGTTGTTCTTGTTACTTACTGGACTCTTGACTGCCCCACCTTGGAACATACAAGGCAATCCATAGATACTGTGAACTTTGTTATTTAATTTTATTTTTATTTATTTATTTTTTAGACAGGGTCTCACTTTGTTGCCCAGGCTGGAGTGCAGTGGCAAGAACATGGCTCACTGCTTCCTCGATCTCCCTGGCTCAATTGATCCTCCCCCCTTAGCTTACCAAGTAGCTGGGACCACAGGCTTGGGCCACCATGCCCAGCTAATTTTTGTATTTTTTGTAGAGACGGAGTTTTGCCATGTCGCCAGGCTGGTCTCGAACTCCTGAGCTCAAGTGATCTGCCTGCCTCAGCCTCCCAAAGTGTTGGGATTACAGGTGTGAGCCACCACTCCAGGCTCCATTATTTAATTAATGAGGGAAGCCATAGTGGGATTATTGACTCATTGTCCAAATTTTAGGAGAAGGGTAATATGCCACAAGAACAGATGATACGATTAATTTTGCTGGAATATACTATTAACTACATTTATTAAGAAACTTAAAAGCTTCAGGAGCATTTAAACATGATATTCATTTATTCTACAAACATTTGAGCGTCTACTATGGGTCAGTGACTAGGAACACCCATGTGAATAAGACAGTGCCTGTCCTCAAAAAGGTCATAGTCTGATGATCTCATTCTGTTGAATCGTACAGTGACCCACTGAAGTGAGTACTATCGATTTGTATTGATTAGGACATTTTTGTTCCAAGTGACACAGGACTGCTCAAACAGGCTTTAACCAAAAAGGGAACAGATTGGTTTATGTGACTGAAATGTCGAGGGGCTGGGTCTGGCTTCAGGCATGGTGGGTTTCTGGATTTGATAGTGTCTCCCGGACCATGCCACCCTGTCTCTTGGTTCTTTCCTCCTTGAGCTGGCACCGTGTTGTCACCCCGACAGCGGTGGGTTCTCTTCTCATGGTGGCCAGGTGGCTGTAGATTTATATCCCCAGAGCCCCAAGGCCAGTGGGAAAGTGAAAATCTCTTTTCCAGCAGCTCCTGCAGGATCCCAGTCATCCACCCTGATGACCAGCTCAGTAATTGTCCCTGAGGCAATTACTGTAGCCAGAAGAAAGCAATGTTCCCAGTGGTTTGAGGAACACACCAAAAGCTTCATGTCCTGAATGTGGTATGGGTCCGGCCTGAGAGCTGGGGAGGGGCGGAGCCCAAAATGAAAACCTACGGGCGTTGCTGTAAGAGGGTGGAGTGGAGGCCAGGGAGGCAGAGGACAAATGTTTTTATTTTTTATTTTTATTTCTATTTTATTTTATTTTATTTTTTATTGTACTTTAAATACTTTAGGGTACATGTGCACAACGTGCAGGTTTGTTACATATGTATACATGTGTGATGTTGGTGTGCTGCACCCATGAACTCATCATTTAACATTAGGTATATCTCCTAATGCTATCCCTCCCCACTAGCCCCACCCCACAACTCTCCCTTCTTTAGAGGCAGGGACATGAGGCACAGAGAGAGGGAGAGTAACAACCTCAAGCCAAACTGCTGGTGCCTGGCAGAGCTAAGACTCGAACCCTGCTCTGCTGACTTCAAGTAGCACTTTCCACACAGCTGCTCTTCCCAGGGAGAGGTCTCAGACACAGGAAGGACCCTGGAGTCCCTACTCAGAGGACTTCCTTTTATTCGTTATTTTTAAATTTTGTTTATTTATTTTTCTGCTGAGACAGAGTCTCTGTCACCCAGACTAGAGTGCAGTGGTGCAATCTCAGCTTACTGCAACCTCCACCTCCCAGGTTCAAGCGATTTTCCTGCCTCAGCCTCCCCAGTAGCTGAGATTTCAGGTGCCCACCACTGTGCCTGGCTAATTTTTATATCTTTAGTAGAGACAGGGTTTCCCCACGTTGGCCAGGCTGGTCTCAAACTCCTGGCCTCAAGTAATCCATATGCCTCCGCCTTCTAAAGCGCTGGGGTTACAACATGAGCCACCGTGCCTGGCAGAGGCCTTTCTTTTAAATAATGAGATGTTGGTGGAGGCTGTCCTTCTCACAAACTGGGCTTTAGTCAATGGCTCTGAGAAAGGAGAGAACTATACTTTTTGCCCTGGTAGTCTTCTATCTTTTCTTTGAAGAAAAATTCCTCTCCTTCCCAGTCATTCCAGCCCTTGCCAAGGATCCTTGGAGCTCCAGACAGAGTTGCTGCTTGACAGATGAGGTCAGTTCAGTGGCAGCTGAGATCTACGGTGTCTTACAGAGCAACGCTGTGACCTGCCCAGGGGTCATTGCAAATTGTTAGTGCAGGCCTCCCCATTCTGGTCTCCTTCATCTGCCCATTCTGCCTCCCGTCCTGCAGGCTGGAAGGCAGACACAGCAGCCAGGAAAAGCACAAGACAGTCTGGTGACCGAGAAAAAACCAGGTTTCCGTCTGGGGCTCTGTTGCTGGCCTGGGGCAGTCAGGCCTTCTCCCGGAGGGCTTGGGCTCTGAGTGTCGGCTCTGCCCTGCCCTCCATCACACCCTAAGCATAAACTCTCTATTCCCCATACATGACCATTACTGTCTATTCCCCATACATGACCATGTCTGTTCAGCAGCTTCCTCTTGATGAATTAGTTTCTTTTCCGTTTCTTTCTCTTTCTTTCTTTCTTTCTTTCTTTCTTTCTTTCTTTCTTTCTTTCTTTCTTTCTTTCTTTTTTTTTTTTTTTGTTGAGGCAGCATCTCACTCTGTTGCCCAGGCTAAAGGGCAGTGGCACAATCATGGCTCATTGCAGCCTTGACCTCCTGGGCTCAAGCCATCCTCCCACCTCAGCCTCCAGAGCAGCTGGGACTACAGGTGTTTGCCACAATGCCTGGCTAATTTTTGTACTTTTTGTAGAGACGGGGTTTCGCCGTATTGCCCAGGCTGTTCTTGAATTCCTGGGCTCAAGTGATCCTCTCGCCTTGGCCTCCACCACTGTGCCCAGCCTCTGAATTAGTTTCAGTCACATTTGGTATGAGATTGAATTGTGTCCCCAAAAAGGCATGTTCAAGTCCTAATACCCAGAACCTGTGACTATGGCCTTTTTTGTAAATAGGGTCTTTGCTGATATGATCAAGTTGAAATGAGGTTACACTGGATTAGTTAGACCCTAAATCCAGTGATTAGTGTCCTTATAACAGGGAAATTTGGACACAGACACTCACAGTCTGGAGAAAGAGGAGAAAAAAACAAACAAACAAAAACAAAAAAAGAGAGAGACAGCACAGAGAAAAGATGATGGGAAGCCACAACCCAGGGAGAAGGCTGCATGAAGATGGAGGCAGAGACTGCAGTGATGCATCTGTGAGTTAAGGACTGCCAAAGATCACCACAACCCCAGTGAGCTAGAAGGAGCAAGGAAGGGTCCTCTCCCAGAGCCTTCAGAGAAGGTATGGCCCTGCCAGCACCTTGATTTTGAACTTCCAGCCTCTGGAACTATAAGATAATAAATTTCTCTTGTTTTAAGCTTCTCAGCTTGTGGTAATTTGTTGCCGCAGCCCCAGGAAATGAATACAAGGGTAGAGAGAAGGTTAACAAAATCGTGCATGTCACAAGGAACCATAAAAAGGCCGAGACAATGCTGGGCTCAGATAATGGCTTGTTCACTTCTATTATTTTATTTATTTATTTTTGAGACAGGGTCTGGCTCTGTCACCCAGGCTGGAGTGCAGTGGTGTGATCTTGGCTCACTGCAATCTCCGCCTCCCAGGTTCAAGCGATTCTTGTGCTTCAGCCTCCTGAGTAGCTGGGATTACAGGCATGCACAATCACTCCTCGATAACTTTTGTATTTTTGGTAGAGATGGGGTTTCACTGTGTTGACCAGGCTGGTCTCAAATTCCTGGCCTCAAGTGATCCGCCTGCCTCGACCTCACAAAGTGCTGGGATTACAGGCGTGAGCTACCGTGCCCGGCCCACTTCTATTATTATTCTTTTTTAGACAGGGTCTTGCTCTGTCACCCAAGTTGAAGTATAGTGGCATAATCACAGCTCACTGCAGCCTCGACTTCCCAGGCTCCAGTAATTCTCCCACCTTAGCCTTCCAAGGAGCTGGGACAACAGGCACATGTCACCACGCATGGCTAGTTTTTGTATCTTTGGTAGAGACGGGGTTTTGCCATGTTGCCTAGGCTGGTCTCAAACCCCTGAACTCAAGTGATCCGCCCGCCTCAGCCTCCCAAAGTGCTGGGATTACAGATGTGAGCCACTGCGCCCGGCCTTGTTCCTTTCTTAGCTGCATGAACTTGGAAAGGCGACCTCACCTTCCATAGCCTGAAGGTCTACAGAGTGGTTGTCCATAAATATTAGGAGCTGGCTAGGGCCCTTGCCTGGATGCGGGGGAAGATGGACACCATCCTCAAACACTTGAAGGCTGTCATGAGGACAAGGCATTCAACATATTCTTCTATGTTTTAAGCACCTCTGGGGAGAAATTAAACTGAGGAAGAATAGGACTAAATCAGGGAAGACCTTCCTGTTAGTGAGACCTGCCCAGTGGTGGCCGGGAGAGGTCATGAGCTCTCTGTGACTCGAGGAGATGACACAGAGGCTAAAGGACTGATTGTGGGTCAGTGAGAAAGTCACCCACCACCCAGGGATGACTGTTATATGACAGAGCCAGGATTTAACCCTGAGCTGCCTGACTTCAAAGACCATTTTCTTAACAGTTAGCCTCACCTTTCTGAACTGTTAAATGGGTGGGAACGTGGTGAAAATTCAATGTGTGAGGTCCTTCCTAGCGCTAAAATTTTCTTTTTCTTATGAAATTCTCCACGTTTTAGCATCCTCTAGTTTCTTCTGCAGGTTGTAGGAAGGTTGGTTATTTGGAAACCAGAACAGTTTCCTAAAGAAACAAGTCCATGTTCAGTTCTCAGACCTCGCTTGGAGATTCATAACTCACCAGGGGCCTGAACCAAAGCCCCATCTCCCCCAGCTCTGAACCCTTATTAGGGACTCCCTAGGCCAGGCTCCATCTTGGGGCTGACTTACCATCTCGCCCACGCTCTCCCCTTCCATGTCACAGTGACCCACTGCCCCAGTTTACCCAGGACTGACGGGTTTCCTGGGACATAGGACTTTCAGTGCCCAAGCCAGGAAAGCCCTGGACAAGCTGGGAGGGGCTGATCACCCTACTTCGTGATGAGCCCATAGCAGAGGCCCTGACTGGGCTGCAGGCAGATGTGGAAATCCTGGAGTGGATCTGCAGGCAGAAGACGAAGTAGCCGTGTATGTGTGTTTTCCACCAGCTCTGAGACACAGGACCCAAATCGCTCTGCTTTGGGGCCTGGTGACAAGTGCAGCACAGACTTGGAGAGAAGAGACTTCTAACTTCATACTAAACATGGCTTGGCCACTAGCAAGGCCTGCAGGGCCAGCAGCACTATGAGGCGGGGCAGCTTTCGGACGTCACGACTGCAGGCCTTTATACAAGTACCAGCCTTCCTGGGGCACCAGTGGCCTGGCGGGAAGGAGGCACTGCCCTCACATAGCTCCTAAAACAGCTGAGTCAGTGAGGGGTTCTGTGGGGGAAGTGGGGGAGGTTTGCCTGAGATACATTCAGGAGCGCCTGGCTGACAAGGTAGGGGGAGAACCCTGCAGGCTGGGGCCTGGGCTGGTGAAAGGGGAGGAGACCTGCTGGCAGAGCCTGGCTGAAGCCACCGTCTCAGAGGCTGTGGAGTCTCAGTTACAATGTCAGTTCCGCCAGGCCTCTGAAGGCAGACACAGGACCTCCTCCTTGCCTTCTCTTTCTCCCCCACTTCCAGGCAGTCTAGAGCCCGGTGGAGTCTCCTGTCAGGACACCTCCAGAATGCTTCCAGTCCTTTCCCTGACCACTGCCCGCTCGGCACAGGCCCTGTGCAATATCCTAAACTGCTGAGCTCCTGACACCCTTCCTGCCAGCCTCATCCCCCGCCCTCTTCCCGTCATGTGCCAAGCCCCAGCCACTGTGCAGCCCTGCTTTTTCCAGAGGTGCAGGCTGCAGGCCTCTCGCCTTCGAATCTTTGCATAAGTGGGATCCTCTTCCTGAATGCCCGCTCACCTTCTTGACTTGGCTAACTTCTACTCAACTTAGAAGATTTATTACAGGTGTGTATTAGTCCGTCCTCACCCTGCTATAAAGAACTACCTGAGACTGGGTAATTCATAAAGAAAAGAAGTTTAATTGACTCACAGTTCCACAGGCTGTACAGAAAGCATGGCTACGGAGGCCTCAGGAAACTTACAATCATGGCAGAAGGCAAAGGGGAAGCAACACATCTTCACATGGTGGCAGGAGAGAGAGAGCAAAGGGGGAAGTGCTACACACTTTTAAACAACCAGATCTTGTGAGAACTCCACCACCAGAACAGCAGGGGGGAAGTCTGCCCACATGATTCAATTACCTCCCCCATAGGCTCCTCCTTCAACACATAGGGATTACAATTCGAAATGAGACTTGGGTGGGGACACAGAGCCAAATCATATCAAGGTGCCACCTCCTCCAGAAGGCCCTCCTTCATGTCCTTCATCTCTGTCCCCACAGCATCCTGGGCTTACTGCTGTGCACCAGCTCATAAATTCATGCACTAACCACAGACAGCGTCTGTCTCCTAACCAGCCTGGGAGTTGCCTGAAGGCAGGGAACAGGTTTCTTACTTCTGTATTGCCAGCATCTGGCGAAGAGTAGGTCCATAATGCAGAATGAATGAAGGAATGAGTGAATTAACACATTGTCCTGTTTAGTCCTCATGACTCTGGGATCCCTGTTCTGGGGCTTTGGGACCTCAGAAGCAAAGAGAAAGAGGAGGACCATGACTCCCCAGCTTACTACCTCCTGCCTTACCATGGCTTTGCTAGTCCCTGATGACCTTGAGCCCTAGCCAGGTCAAACAGGGGTCACGTGTAGGACTAATGTGAGTTGGGGGAAGTTGGTACAATCTGCCAGCCCAGTAGTGTGGAAGGGGACTGAGGGCCTGACAGTGTTGCATGCCAGAACAAAGCCCATGCAAAGAATTGAGGCTTTTTGCCCTTTTGGGCACCTGGTTAGGTTAAGAAGAGGGGAAAGGCTGAAGCAGAGGGAGGACAGAAGGATCAGGAAGTGCGAAGGAGACCCCCTACATTGTGAGAGCCAGGCAGGGTCCTAGCGGTCGTCTGAATGGCTAAGGTGTCCCTCCGTTGTGACTAGATAATATCAGTCCACTCCTCCTGGGCTGAGTGAGAAACTGCCTGCCTCCTCCCCACTCCCTTCCTCCAGCAGCCTTGCTCAGAGGCCCTGCAGCCACTGCCATATCTATCTCAGTCTCTCAATAGCTCTGTGAAGGGTGACTGTGTGATTCCCACTTACAAATGATGAAGACTTCTCCCCCACCTTCTTTTGATTTATTTGAAAATTCTTTAGAATTCCATTTTAATTGACTTATTGGTTCTGCATATCTTTTGTGGTTTCTCTAAGAATTACAATGTAATTCTTTGGGAGGCCAGGGTGGGGATTGCTTTGAGCTCAGGAGTATGAGACCAGCCTGGGAAACATGGTGAAACCCCATCTCTACCAAAAAAAACATATATACATATACAAAAATTCTATATACACAAAAATTAGCCAGGCATGGTGGCTTGTGCCTGTAGTCCCAGCTACTCGGGAGGCTGCAGCTGGAGAATCACCTGAGCCCAGGAAGCGGAGGTTTCAGTGATCTAAGATTGTGCCACTGCACACCAGTTTGGATGACAGAGTGAGACCCTGTCTCGAAAACAGCAACAAATATAGTATATATCCTTAACTTTTCACAGTCAACTTGGGGTTCATCTTGCATGATTTCACATGCTATTTCCAGCTCATATTTGCTACCCTCCTGTCTGTCTTTTCTTTTACCGTTACCCATATTTGCTACACTCCTGTCTGTCTTTCCTTTTCTTTCTTTTATTTTTTGAGATGGAGTTTCGCTCCTGTTGCCCAGTAGAGTGCAATGGCACGATCTTGGCTCACCTCAACCTCCACCTCCCGGGTTCAAGCGATTCTACTACCTTAGCCTTCTGAGTAGCTGGGATTACAGGCGTGTGCCACCACACCCCGCTAATTTTGTATTTTTAGTAGAGACAGGGTTTCCCCATGTTGGTCAGGCTGGTCTTGAACTCCCAACCTCAGGTGATCCGCCCACCTTGGCCTCCCAAAGTGCTGGGATTACAGGCATGAGCTACCATGCTGGCCCTTTTTTTAAAATAGAGATGGTGTTCATTACGTTGCTCAGGCTGGTCTCGAACTCCTGATCTCAAGATATCCTCCAGCCTCAGCCTCCCAAAATACTAGGATAACAGGCATTAGCCACCACACCTGGCTGTGTCTGTCCTTTATGCTACAACTGTCAGATGCATTATTTCTATATACTCTATAAACTCTCCAAGACAATATTATAGTTTTTTCTTTTCTTTTTTCTCTCTTTCTTTTTTTTTTTGAAACAAGGTCTCACTCTGTCACGCAGGCTGGAGTGCAGTGGTGCAATCACAGCTCACTGCAGACTCAACCTCCCAGACTCAAGCAATCCTCCCACCTCAGCCTCCTAAGTAGCTGGGACTACAGGTATGTGCCACCATGCCTGGCTAATTTTTGCATTTTTTGTTATTTTTTTCTTTAAAACAGTCATATGTCTTTAAATAAATTAAAAATAAAATAATCTTATATAGTTACCAGGATATTTACCATTTTCTATACTTTTCATTCCTTTCCGAAAATTTTCACGTGGTATCATTTCCCTTCTGCCTGAAGAACTCCCTTTGGCATGTCTTATGATGCAGGACTGCAGATGATAAATTCTCTTCACTTTTTCCCCTCTAATGTCTTTATTTGATTTTCATTCCTGAAGGAATGATTATTTCACTGGATATAGAATTTTATATGGAAATATTGAATTTCATTCATCATTTTAAAATGTTGTTCCACTATCTTCTGACCCCATAGTTTTTGAATGAAAAGTCAGCAGTCAAGCAAATTACTAGTGCTACCTAGGTAGTGTGTTGTTTTACACTGTCTTCTTTTCTTTCTTTCTTTCTTTCTTTTTTTCTTTCTTTCTTTTGAGACAGAGTTTTGCTCTGTCACCAAGACACCTCCAGGGTTCAAGCCATTGTCCTACCTCAGCCTCCTGAGTAGCTGAGATTACAGGCATGCACCACCACACCCGGCTAATTTTGTATTTTTAGTAGAGACAGGGTTTCACCATGTTGGTCAGGCTGGTCTCAAACTCCTGGCCTCAGATGATCCGCCCACTTCAGCCTTCCAAAGTGCTGGGATTACAGGCATGAGCCATCGTGCCTGGCTACACTGTCTACTTTCAACATTTTCTCTTTTTATTTATTATTATTATTTTTTGAGACAGAATCTTGCTCTGTTGCCCAGGCTGCAGTGCAGTGGCATGATCTCAGCTCACTGCAACCTCTGCCTCCCACGTCCAAGCAATTCTCATGCCTCAGCCTCCCAAGTAGCTGGGATTACTGGCATGAGCCACTACGGCCAGCCTCAACATTTTATCTTTATCTTTGGTTTTCAGATATTGGTTTGACCTGATATTTCTTGGCACAGTTTTCTTTTTCTTTCTTCCTTTTTTTAAATTTTTTTGTACAGACAGAGGTCTTAGTATGTTTTTGGCCAGGCTTGTCTCGAACTCCTGGCCTCAAATGATCCTTCTGCCTCAGCCTCCCAAAGTGCTGGGGTTACACAGGTGTGAGCTACTGTGCCTGGTCATTTAAAAAAATTTTATCCTGGTTGGGGTTTGGTTATCTTCTTGAAATTTGAAATTTATATCTTTATCAAATTTAGGAAGTATTTGACCATTTTTTCCTTCAAATATTTTATTCTGCCTCATTCTCATTTCTCTCCTTCTAGGACTCCAATTACATGTATGTCAGACCATATAATAATATCCTTTTGTATTTTTGGTGTCAGGACCTACAGGTCCCTGAGACATTGTTTGATTTAATTGTTTTTAACATTTTTTTCTCTGTATTCTTCAGATTGTGTAATTCCTATTCATCTATCTTCGAGTTCACCAACTAGTTTCTATTCCTCTCCATTCTGTTGTTCAACCCATCTAGTGAATTTTTTCCTCCTGAGCTGTGACACCAAGGATATTGTATATTTCTGTTCTCATATTTCTATTTGTTCCTCCCTATACCTCTCCATTACTACAATTTGGTTCTTTAAAAAAAAAAATTTCTCCAGCCTGGCCAGCATGATGAAACCCCATCCCTACTAAAAATATAAAAATTAGCTGGGCATGGTGATGGGTGCCTGTAATCCCAGCTACTCAGGAGGCTGAGGCGGGAAAATTGCTTGAACCCGGGGGGCAGAGGTTGCAGTGAGCCGAGATACTGCCACTGCACTCTAGCCTGGGCAACAGAGGGAGACTCCATCTCGAAAAAAAAATTCTATTTCTTTGCTGAGATTTTCTACCTTTTCATTTAGCCATACATCAGAAGGCTATAATTTTAATAAAGTACAATTTGTGAATTTTTTTTCATAGATCATACTTTGTTTGTTTGTTTGTTTGAGACAGAGTTTCACTCTGTTGCCCAGGCTAGAGTGCAGTGGTGTGATCTCGGCTCACTACAGCCTCTGCTTCCCCATTTCAAGTGACTCTCATACCTCAGCCTCCCGAGTAGCTGGAATTACAGGTGTGCACCACCAGGCCCAGCTAATTTTTTCTATTTTTAGTAGAGATGGGGTTTCACTGTGTTGCCAAGGCTAGTCTTGAACTCTTGGCCTCAAATGATCCACCCACCAGAGCCTCCCAAAGTGTTGGAATTACAGGCATGACCACCACACCCAGCCTCCATAGATCATACTTTTGATGTTATATTTAAAAACTCATCACCAAAACCAAGATTTATCAGATTTTCTCTTATGTTACTGATATGGTTTGGCTGTATTCCCACCCAAATCTCATCTTGAATTCCCATGTATTGTGGGAGGGATCCAGTGGGAGGTAATTGAATCATGGGGGCAAGTCTTTCCCATGCTATTCTCATGATAGTGAATAAGTCTCATGAGATCTCATGGTTTTTAAAAGAGGAATTCTCCTGCACAAGCTCTCTCCTCTTTGCTTGCCAATATCCATGTAAGATGTGACTTGCTCCTCCTTGCCTTCCACCGTGATTGTGAGGCTTCCTCAGCCACATGGGACTGTAAGTCCAATTAAAACTTTTTCTTTTGTAAATTGCTCAGTCTCAGGTATGTCCTTATCAGCAGCATGAAAACAGACTAATACAGTAAATTGGTACCAGTAGAGTGGGGTGCTGCTGAAAAGATACCTGAAAATGTGGAAGCTACTTTGGAACTTGGTAGCAGACAGAGGTTGGAACAGTTTGGAGGGCTCAGAAGAAGACAGGAAAAGTTTGGAACTCCCTAGGGACTTGTAGAATGGCATCAACAAAATGCTGATAATGATATGCACAATGAAATCCAGGCTGAGGTGGTCTCAGATGGAGATGAGGAACTTGGTGGGAACTGGAGCAAAGGTGACTCTTGTTATGTTTTAGCAAAGAGACTGGTGGCATTTTGCCCTTGCCCTAGAGATTTGTGTAAATTTGAACTTGAGGGAGATGATGGTATCTAGCAGAAGAAATTTCTAAGTAGCAAAACATTCAAGAGGTGACTTGGGTGCTGTTAAAGGTGTTCAGTTTTAAAAGGGAAGCAGAGAATAAAAGTTCAGAAAATTTGCAGCCTGATCAAATGTGGTAGGAAAGAAAATCCCATGTTCTAAGGAGAATTTCAAGCTGGCTGCAGAAATTTGCATAAGTAACAAGGAGCCAAATGTTAACCACCAAAACAATGGGGAAAATGTCTCCAGGGTGTCAGAGACCTTCATGGCAGCCCCTCCCATCACAGGCCCAAAGGTTTAGGAGGAAAAAATGGTTTTGTGGGCTGGGCCCAGGGTCCCTCTGCTGTGTGCAGTCTAGGAACTTGGTGCCCTGCATCCCAGCTGCTCCAGCTGTGACTAAAAAGGGCCAAGGTACAGCTCAGGCTGTTGCTTCAGAGGGTGGAAGCCCCAAGCCTTGGCAGCTTCCACATGGTGTAGAGCCTGTGGTTACACAGAAAGTCAAGAATTGAGGTTTGTAAACCTCCCCCTAGATTTCAGAGGATGTATGGAAATGCCTCGATGTCCATGCAAAAATTTGTAAGGGCAGGGCCCTCATGGAGAACCTCTGCTAGGGCAGTGCAGAGGGAAATGTGGAGTCAGAGCCCCCACACAGAGTCCCTACTGGGGCACTGCATAGTGGAGCTGTGAGAAAAGAGTTACCATCCTCCAGACCCCAGAATGATAGATCCACTGACAGCTTTCACAGTGCACCTGGAAAAGCCACAGACACTCAACACCAGCCCGTGAAAGCAGACAGGAGGGGGGCTATACCCTGCAAAGCCACAGGAGCAGAACTGCCCAAGACCATAGGAACCCACCTCTTGCATCAGTGTGACCCAGATGTGAGACATGGAGTCAAAGGAGATCATTTTGGAGCTTTGAGATTTGACTGCCCTGTTGTATTTCAGACTTCTATGGGGGCCTGTAGCCCCTTTGTTTTAGACAATTTCTTTCATGTGGAGTGGCTGTATTTACCCAATACCTGTACCCCCATTGTATCTAGGAAGTAACTAACTTGCTTTTGATTTTACAGGCTTATAGGTGGAAGGGACTTGTCTCCAATGAACTTTGGATGGTGGGCTTCTGAGTTAATGCTGAAATGAGTTAAGACTTTGGGGGACTGTTGGGAAGGCATGATTGGTTTTGAAATGTGAGGATGCAAGATTTGGGAATGGCCTGGGGCAGAATGATATGGTTTGGCTCTGTCCCCACCCAAATCTCATATTGAATTCCCGTGTGTTGTGGGAGGGACCCAGTCAGAGGTACCTGAATCATGGCGGCAAGCCTTTCCCATGCTGTTCTCATGATAGTGAATAAGTCTCATGAGATCTGATGGTTTTAAAAAGAGGAATTCCCCTGCACGAGCTCCCTCTCTTTGCCTGCCACCATCCACGTAACTTGTGACTTGCTCCTCCTCGCCTTCTGCCATGATTCTGAGGCTTTCCCAGCCATGTGGAACTGTAAGTCCAATTAAACCTCTTTCTTTTGTAAACTGCCCAGTTTTTATCTTTATCAGCAGCATGAATACAAATACAGTTAGCTTCTAGAGGTTTTATAATTTTTGCATTGTACATTTAGCTGTATGATCCATTTTCAGTTAGTATTTGTAGGAGCAAGATTTGTGTGTAGATTCCTTTTTTTTTTTTTTTTTTTTTTTTGCATGTGCACATCCAGTTGTTCCAGCATCATTTGTTGAACAGGCTCTCCCTTCTCCATTGAATTGCTTTGTTCCTTTGGTGTGGGTCTATTTCTGGGCTCTTCATTCTGTTCCATTGATCCATGGGTCTGTTGTTTTGTCAGTTCCATGCTGTCTTGATTTCTATGGCTTTGTAGTAAGTCTTGGAGTCAGGGGGTGTCAGTCCTCCAGCTTTATAGTTGTTTTGTGCTTTCATTTTTGGAAGGTTATCAATTATTGACTCAATTTCTTTAATAGATATAGGCTTATCAAGATTATTGTTTCTTGTGTGAGTTTTGGTAGTTTATATCTTTCAAGGAATTGGCCTATTTCATCTAGGTTATCAAATTTATGGCAACAGTTGTTCGTGATATTCCTTTATCATCCTTTTAATATCCATGGGATCAGTATTGATGACCCCTCTTTAACTTCTGATACAGTAGTCCCCCATTGTTAGTGGCTCAATTTCTGTGAACTTTAGTTATCTGTGGTCAACAAGAGCCTAAAAATATTAAATGGAAAATTCCAGAAATAAACAATTCATAAGTTTTAAATTATGAATTTATGCACCCTTTTTAGTATCATAATGAAATTTCGCGTTGTCCTGCTCCATCCAGCCCAGCTCCATCCCTTTTGTCCAACATATGCATGCTGTGTATGCCACCTGCCTGTTAGTCATTGACATCATTTGCTCCCGACATGCTGTCATCAATGTCAGCATGGTTTGATGATCCAGGATCACCTGAAGTAGATGATCCTCCTTCTGATATATTGTGGCCTAACAATATAGGCCAATGTTGAAATGGCCACTGCAAAATTATAACTGAGGCAGTGAAAAGAGATCTGACCTGGCCGGGTGCTGTGGCTCATGCCTGTAATCCCAGAATTCTGGGAGGCCGAGGTGAGGGAATCACCTGAGGTCAGGGGTTCAAGACCAGCCTGGCCAACATAGTGAAACCCCGTCTCTAGTAAAAATACAAAAACTAGCCAGGCGTAGTGGTGCATGCCAGTAGTCCCAGCTACTCAGAAGGCTGAGGCAGGAGAATTGCTTGAACCAAGAAGGCTGAAGTTGCAGTGAGCTGAGATCCTGCCACTGCACTCCAGCCTGGGCGACAAAGTGAAACTCCATCTCAAAAAAAAAGAAAGAGATCTGACCTAACCAATTCCATCTTACTTTTAACCTCCAAGCTATCCTTGTTCATTCCTGACCATAGGACAAACTATTAATAACTTTATTAATAACTTTGGGAGGAACTTAGTTTACAGTTTAAAACAAAGACAATAACAGCCTTTTCCCAAAACAAAGCCTCTTCTTGGCTGGGGACTAGACTGCCTTTGTAGGACTAATAAATTAGCCGAAAGATTAGAAATTATGGTTTAGGAGTCATGCAGCTGGAAGCTACAAGATTCTGACCATCCCCAAAGAACTACTGGGGAAATTATCACCATTGTAAAACCTGAGATCAGTGCTTGTGATATTTTGCAGGTCAGCTGGCACCACCCAGATTCATAAACTGAGTCATCTGATCTTATGGCCCCAACCCAGGAACTGACTCAGCGTTAAGAGGACAGCTTTGGCCCTGTTTTGTTTGTTTTTTTGTTTTTTTGAGACAGGGTCTCACTCTGTCACCCAGGCTGGAGTGCAGTGACACGATCTCGGCTTACTGCTACCTCTACCTCCCAGGCTAAAGGCATCCTCCTGCCTTAGCCTCTGGAGTAGCTGGGACTACAGGTGTGAGCCAACATGCCTAGCTAATTTTTGCATTTTTTGTAGAGATGGGGTTTTGCCATGTTGCCTAAGCTGGTCTCAAACTTCTGAGCTCAATCAATCAGTCTGCCTCAGCCTTCCAAAGTGCTGGGACTATAGGCATGAACCACCACTGCCTGGCCCTATGATTTCATCTCTGACCCAACCAATCAGCACTCCCAACTTACTGGTTCTCCACCCACCAAATTATCCTTAAAAACTCTGATCCCTGAATGCTCAGGAAGACTGATTAGAGTAATAATAAAACTCCAGTTTCCAGCACAGCCGGCTGTGTGAATTACTCTTTCTCTATTGCAATTCCTCTGTCTGGATAAATTGGCTCTCTGTAGGCAGCAGGTAAGGTGAGCTCACTGGGCAGTTACAATGCCTACATCATTCACTTCACTTCATCTTGTTGTATAAGCATTTTATCATGTTACATCATCACAAGAAGAAAAAGGATGGGCACAGTACAATAAGATATTTTGAGAGGAAAAGAGAAAGAGAGAACATATTCACATACTTTTTATTCCAGTATATTGTTATAATTGTCCTATTTTATTATTAGTTCTATTTTATTATTATTATTATTATATTATTCTTACTGTGCCTAATTTATAAATGAAACTTTGTCATAAGTAGGTACATACAGGAAAGACATAGTATATGCAGGGTTTGATACTACCGCCTATTTTAGGTACACTTCAGGGGTTTTGGAACATATCCCTTGCCATTAAGAGGGGACTACTGTATTCGTAATTTGTGTCTTCTGTCTTTCTTAGTTAGCCTGGATGTTGGTTCATCATTTTTATTGATCTTTTAAAAGAACAAGATTTAGATTTTATTTTCTCTATTTATTTCCTGTTTACAGTTTTGTTGGTTTCTGCTCTAATTTTTATTATTCCTTTTCCTCTGCTTGCTCTGAGATTAAATTGCCCCTTTTCTCTAGTTTTTTAAGGGGAAAACTTAGGTTATTAATTTTAGATCTTTCTTTTTTAAAATATATGCATTTAATGATATAAATTTCCCTCTAAGCATTGCTTTCACGGCATTCAACAAATTTTGAAGATTTGTATTTTCATTTTCATTTTCTTTTTTTTTGAAACAGTGTCATGCTCTGTCACACAGGCTGGAGTACATCGGCACGATCATGGCTCACTGTAGTAACCTCAAACTCCCGGGCTCAAGTGATCCTCCCAGCTCAGCCTCCCGAGTAGCTGGGACTATAGGCTTTCACCACCATACTTGGCTAATTTTTTCTATTTTTTTCGTAGAGATAGGTCTCACTTTGTTGCCCAGGCTGGTCTCGAACTCTTGGGCTCAAGCACTTCACCTTCCTCAGCCTCCCAAATTGCTGGGATTATAGGCGTGAGGCACCATGCCCAGCCTCATTTTCATATATTAAAAATATTTAAAAATTTCTCCTGAGACTTCTTCTTTGACCTGTGTGTTACTTAGAAGTGTGTTGTTTAATCTCCAAACATTTTGGGATTTTCCAGCTATCTTGCTGTTACTGATTTCTAGTTTAGTTCTGTTGTGTTTTGAGAACATATTTATACAGGAACAGGATTCTATCCTGGACATTGTTCATGTTACGCTGTAGAGGCTCTGGTTTCTGTTAGTCCTCCGAAACATGTTGATTTCTTTCTTTTTATTAGGCAATTAACTTCAAACTCTGCTCTTCGGTGGCAGCTCAAACCTCAGTTCAGTTATTTTCCTCTGCTAAAGTATTTTTCATGCATGTGTGGTTCAGGGAGCAGTGAGAGATTTGGGCAGAGTTTACAGATGGGATCTGGAGCCACCCCCTTTCCGAGCCTTTCCTTTATGGCACTCCCCACTTCACTTTCCAGTGGCTGTGGTTGCTCTAAACTTTGTACTCTGATTCTTTAGGCCAGAAAGACCGCAGGTTCCCCAAGTGTGCTCTGCTGACTGCAGCGCACCTTCAAGATCAAAGCCAGAAAAACAGATAACTCACCATATGTCATGCCCTTCTTCCAAGTGTTGACTCCCAGCCAGGGCCTACTTGCTTTTATTCACTCTTCAGTGCCTCGCGTTGGTTTTGGGTTTGTTTTGCTTTTTCGTTTTGTTTTGTTTTTGTATTTTGTCAACACTTTCTATCTGTGGGATGGTCAATTCAGTAGGATCTTAGTTCTCGTGGAAGAGAAATCCCCCAACCCAAGTCATAGAAAGGTAACGTCACTGACCTGTGGCCACTCAGCTAGCAAATTGAACGGGTATTCCAACCCAGGACTAAGCAACACCAGTCTCCTCCGCCCCCAACCCCACATACTTTTTATTATGTGGATCTGTCTTCCATCTCTTATTTGTCAAAAGTCCCAGAACTACTTACTCTGACTTTTCTCTTTGCATAAAATCCATCCAGATTTAGGAAGAAGTTTTATTTATTGCCTTTTGTGCATTGTCTCTCCTGTGAAAGGATGATGATTAAAGTGCCTCGGCTTTGAAGTTAAAAATACCTGTGTTCAAATCCTGCCTCTGATATATATGTGATCTTGGACAGGTCGTTCCAGTTTCCTTATCTGTAAAATGGGGGAAACAATAGTATTGACCTCAAAAAATGGTGGTGAAGATTAAATGAGATATTTCACATGAAGCTCAAAGAACGGTGACTGACCTCCAGTAAGCAGTCAATAAATGAGACCTCAGGGGTTTTTCCTACTCTGAGGTAGGGGAGTACTCACAGTGGGATGCTCCATCAGATATTTTTCCAAGAGGAGGGTACATCAGGGGCCTGAGCCCAGGACACTGTTTGAGAGGCTGGTCCTCTTGGGATGCCAGCCTTATTAAGCTGGGGCTGCTGTCATGTCAAATGGAGTAGCACAGGAGCCTAGAGTGGTCCATGTTTTTCGGGGAAAGAAACCCAAGCCCAGAGAGATTCAGCTCCCATCTGAGATCTGTGCAGAGCTGGGAGTGCAGCCCAGCTCCCCTGAGCTCTGCTTCCAAAATCAATGGTATTTTTCTTCTGTTGAATGCCCATGTTCCTCACCGGGGGAGCTTCGGGTGCAGGGCCTGGGCGCAGGGTGGGTGTGGGTGGCTCTCAGAGGCCAGGGGGCCCAAGAGGAGGAGCTGTGAGTACTGCCATCACAGAAGGTGGATGAGGAGGAGATTTCTGTTTTATTTTTCTCCAGCAGGCTGGAACGATTTCTAGAAGGAACACAAAGAGAGGCGGAGAAGCCACTGAAGAAAGAAAGAAAGGAGTAGAGGCTGGGAGCAGGGGGCGGCGTGGGGAATGCAAAGGAGGAAGAGGGGAGTGGCTGCTGCTGGCCGGAGCCGGCGTCTCTGGTTTTGGTCTGGCCGTGGGCCAGCAGGCAGCGGACAGCACAGCACGACGGGCTTGGAGAGCTGGCAGGGCGCTGCGACAGAAAGAGGACGCCGGTCAGGGTGCTGGGGGAGGGGACCCTCTGCCCACCCAACCCCGCCTGGCCAAGGAAATGTCCGTGTAGTGAGCAGTGACCACATGATGCCCTTTCACCCGCCTCACATGTTTAATTAAAAAAACAGAAAAACAACCTCCTTCTAGACAGTCTTATGGTCTCTGTTTTTAGATGGTGTCACAAGGCTCAGAGAGGGTAAATGAAGAGCCCGAGGTCACCCAGCTTGTAGGTAGCAGAGCGGGGATGCTCCTCACCCTGCACGGAGCAGCCTGTAGCATCATAAGCTGTTGCTTGCCCTGACGTGGGGAGCCAGGGGGATGGCGGACTTCTCAGGTTCGTTTCTCTGCCCACACCTGGCAGGCTGTCCCTGAAAGCTGTCCTCTTTCATCATTTATTCAGCCATTCATCCATTCATTCCTGAGCATTCGAGGCTGCGTGCTGAACCCTGGGGGACCACAGTGAACAAGCTAGATACCACCCTTCCTGCGAAGAGCTCGAGGCCAGTGGGGGTCCCTAAGGAGAGCCGGGAACATCAAACCTGCGGATTGGGAGTAAATATTAAATCCAGTTCCTCTCCCCGATTTACATGCACACACACGCACCCGCACAGTCCCTTCATCTTCTGAGTGTCATGGGAACGGGGACTTCTAGCCCTCGGCGGTGGCCAGCAGCACTGGCAGCCGCCCAGCCGCAAGGGGACGCTGTGAGGGCAGCGAGCAGGATTCCCTAGGCCCTCGCCCCCTGGTGGCGGCAGCGGCTCCTGCTCTGCTCACCACGCCCCTCGGTGATTTCTGGCCCTCCCCCGCCCCGGTTGAGCCTCTTGGGGGCCTCTTGGGTCACCACTTCTCTCCCTTCCTGTTCCAGCCCTGTGGGGAGGGCCTGTTGGCCTTCACCTAGGCCATGCCCTGGTGTTGCCACAAAGCGCCTTGGAGGCCGTATCTCACCAGCCGGCAGGAGGTCCCTGCATCAGGCCTGGGCCTCAGACACATTCTCTCCTGTGATCCTCTAGCCAGCCTCTCCCCCGTCCCCCCTTCTGATGAGCCAAAGGTTCTGCGCCATGCATGCTCAAGCTGGGACTGCCGCTGTCCTGGACAGAGACCAGCTCTAAATCAGGCAATTTAGAGCCAGGCGTGGTGGCCTGCGCCTATGGTCCCAGCACTTTGGGAGGCCCAGGCAGGAGGATTGCTAGAGCCCAGTAGTTCAACCAGCCTGGGCAACATGGGGAGAACCTGTCCTACAAAAATGAAAATAAAAATATTAGCCAGGCGTGGTGGCCAGCACCTGTAGTTCCAGTTACTCGGGAAGCTGAGATGGGAGGATTGCTGGAGCCTGGGAGTTGGAGGCTGCAGTTAGCCGAGATTGCACCGCTGCACACCAGCTTGGGCAACCAAGCAAGATCCTATCTCAAAAAATAGACAAATTTTAAAAATCAGGCAGTTTAGGTGAGACTCAACTGCCAGTCAGCTGAACTTGAAGCTAAGGCTGTCTTCCTCAAGTTGATCTCTTTTCTGAATGGCAAATCCTGGGGAAAGCAAGGGAGCAGTGGATTTGGATCTTTTAGCCTTCTGCGGTCCAGGGATCCGAGTTTAGGGGAGGTAAAAGGAAGACAGCAGACGCAGCAATTGCATGCCAGGCACTGTGCTGCTGGAGCTCCTCAAACGGTTTCTCAGTCCTGACAATGACTCTACAGTGGGACTTATTTTCTGTCTTTTACAGAGGAATAAATGGAAACTCAGAGAGGTTAAGTAACTTGCCCAAGGGCACACAGCTAGGAAGTGGCAGATGTGGGATTCCAGCATCAGCTCCTGCCCCTCACCACATTGCAGTGGCTTCTGGTTCTCCCGTCCCACTCTCTGCACTCTACAGACAGCACCGTGCCCTCCTCCTCCCTGTCTCCATGCTATTGGACATTCCTCCTCATCTTCTCCTCCACTTCCCTGCAGACAGTCAGGGCCACCTTGCCCCTTAGTACTAGTGAGGGTTTGAAAGAGAAGCACAGCACATTGGGGCCACCAACAGGCTAGGACTCTATGGTCTAGGTGACTGCAAAACAGAGCTATCTGGATAGATGAAATGACCTCTCCCTGAACCACATGGCCCGAGCTCCAGACCAGAAATGAGCTACCGATGCTTGAGAGAGAGCCAGGCACAGAGAAAAAAAGCTAGAGGGATGCTTTGGAAGATGAGATGCTCTGATGGGTGCCAGGGGCTTCGCATGTGATTGGGAGGCCAGATTTCTCACCACCCATTTAGCCTCAGACACAGGCTGCTTTCAGCCAGTGTTATAAGTAGCTGGGAATATAAAAGTTGGGCAGGGAGAGCAGAATCCAGCTTGGTCCTGGGCTGGGAAACATGGATTGGGGGTGGGGGGATAGTGGCTGGTCTGGTACCAGGCTTATGGTTTGCTGGAAAGATCTGTCTCCTCCAGCAACAGCTGTGAGAGAGAGCTGGGTTGTGAACTACCCTGCAGGGGAAGCCTCCATGGGACCCTGGGATTCACACGCACCCTGCTGTGGGTACCCAAGGGTACCTAACTCCATTCTAGATGTCAATGGATCCTTTGCAAAGGTTAGGGTGCTCTGAGACCTCTGCTGAAGGGAAGGAAACTCACATGCATTGAGCATCAACTCCGTGTTGGGCACTGGGCAGGTCATGATGCCATCACTGAAATAAAGGCATCAATAGCCACCACATCTTGAGCATCTGCTACATCAGGAAGCGTGTTAAGCACTTTGTTGTGTTATGATTGCTGACATCAACAGTAACACAGTAACCGTAGCTACAACTTCTTTTTTTTTTCTTTCTTTTTTTTTTTTTTTTTGAGATGGACTTTTGCTCTTGTTGCCCAGGCTGGAGTGCAATGGTGCGATCTCGGCTCACCGCAACCTCCACCTCCCAGGTCTAAGCAATTCTCCTGCCTCAGCCTCCCTAGTAGCTGGGATTGCAGGCGTGCACCACCACGCCCAGCTAATTTTGTATTTTTAGTAGAGACAGGGTTTCTCCATGTTGGTCAGACTGGTCTCAAACTCCCAACCTCAGGTGATTGGCCCGCCTTGGCCTCCCAAAGTGCTGGGATTACAGGGGTGAGCCACTGCACCCGGCCTTTTTTTTTTTTTTTTTTTTTTAATAAAGACAGGGTCTTACTTTGTTGCCCAGACCGGAATGCAGTGCCACAATCTTGGCTCACTGCAACCTCCACCTTCTGGGTTCAAGCGATTCTCCTGCCTCAGACTCCGGAGCAGCTGAAATTATAGGTATGCACCACTGCGCCCAGCTAATTTTTTTTATTTTCAGTAGAGATGGGGTTTCTCCATTTTGGCCAGGCTGGTCTCAAACTCCTGGCCTCAAGTGATTCACCTGCCTTGGCCTCCCAAAGTGCTGTGATTACAGGTGTGAGCTGCCATGCCCAGTCAGTAACTACAACTTCTTGAACATCTTTTATGCTTTAGGCACTGGCTTGGGCTTTACAGATCATTATTACCATCATCACCGTCATCATCATCACCATCAGACTACTGACAACTGCTGTGTTTGGCACTTATTAGAGACCCTTATGTTGTCTAGTTTAACTTGATTCTTAAATCCACCATGTGAAGGAAGTATTCTTACCCCATTTTGCAGATGAGGAAACTGAGGCACACAGAGGTTAAATGACTTGCCCAAAATCATTTAACTTTGAATTCAGGTCTATGACTGCAAAGCCTTAACTCTTCCCACCATATGTCCCTTCCTAAGGAAGCAGATGCTAAGGAATGTTCATTGGCTGAATGAATGAACAAGCAAAGAAACGCAGCTGTCCGAGGTGATGTGTGGAATTTCCAAGCCCCAGGAGGTTAAGCGGGTTGTTGAAGGTCGCAGAGCCAGACAGCAGTGAGGTAAGTAAGGAGTCCCGGCTCTGGTCTCAGTGCAGGCTTCCCTCACAAACCTCCTTGCTACTTTGAGCAGAAGCAACCTTGTTTTGGCAGCTGTTTTGCCCTTACTCATGCCTGGGATAACAGTGGACTCCCGATTTGCATGCCAACTCATTTCCTACCCTTCAGGGAGCTGGGCAGGAGGCCCAGCACTGGGTCCTGCCAATCCCCAGGCGAGCTATCAATGGCAACTGCCAGCTAGTCACGGGAGAGTCATTTCATTCTCTCTCCCTTTTTCTCTAAGTCCTTCCAGCAGGAGGACTCTCAGAGTTCCTGCTGGATGAGTAGGTATCCCCTGGGGCCGCAAGGCTGGACAGGCACCTTGGACCTCCCTATCCAAGCCTCCTGGGGCTTCCACCGAGGATCAATATGAGGGTGTGGAGACAGTTTTGTGGCCCTGGGCAAATTGAAGTCCCTTCTCCAGGTCTCAGTTTTTACGTATCTCCCAAATGGGGGATTGGGTGAGCTGGCCCTCCAGGTCTGCACTCTGTTTCCTGGGCTCTTCTCTAATGAGCCTGCCTGTGACATTGTGCAGTTCCCCCAGCCTCACTCTTGCTGGGAACAAGGCCCAATTTGGACCTTCTACCAGGGTGGGAAATGAGTCGACTGGGAAATTAGAGACTGCTGTGAATCCAATCATGAGTAAGGGTGAAATTGATGCCAAAAGTTTCTGCTTGAAGCAGCAAGGGGTTTTGTGAGAGAAATCCTGAGCTGAAAGCCAGAGGAGGCAGGGGGGTCTCTGACATAGGTTATCTGCTGCTGATCAGGGGTTCCCTGGTGGCAGGTGACAGAAACCCAATTCAAGCCAGCTTGAAAAAAGATGCATTTGTTGGCCCACAGAACTATGCAGAATAGGCAAGATTTAAACACCACCCAGCAAGCACTCTCCCCTTCCTCCTTAACAACAGAACCCCTCTATTGTTAAGGGATGGTGAGGTGTGTTTCACAGATTTCCCTGCACATGGGAATGGCCAATGAGCTAGAAATGGAAATCTTTGAGTGGGGCTTCTAGGATGCTCTTTAAAGGGCTGACCCCTGCCTCTTCCCTCATCTTTCTGCCTGGAAGGTAGGCTTGAGGACTGGTGCTGGGGCAGCCATTTTGAGGCTAAGATAATCATCTTGGGCTAAGAGAATCCCAAAGAACTTAGCCCTGACACTGAACCAACACGAGCAACTGCCTGTTTCTGAAGTTCTCTTCATGCGAAAAGCCACTGTGGTCAGGCTTCTGTTACTCATGGCTCAATTCAGTTTCCAGGTGATACACCTTCATTCCTTGGGACTGGCTTCTTCACTGGAAGAAAATATGTCTCCAGGAGCTCTGGGCTTACTTCCTCAGAGCTTTATAGCCAAAGAGGAAAAAGAGTGTCTCCCCCTGCTTCAATTTGAAAACTCATGGAGAAGAACTCTGATTGGCCCAGCTTGGGTCATGTGCCCCTCCCTTGGTGACACTGAAGCTAGAAAATGAGGCCCTTTGATTGACTCAACTTGGGTCACATGACCTCCCTGTGGCTGAGAGGATGGGGTCTGTTGAAGGAGAAAGGGAAAAGGGATGCTGGATAGGTAAACAGAACAGTGCTTGGAGCTGCACCTGACTCTGACTCCATCGGTTGCTGTGCCTCTGGCTTTCAGCCATGTTAGCACCACCCAGCCAGAGGATGTTGGGTCAATTTGCTCAGGACCCCGAGCAAAGTCTATATTCCTTCCAGCAGGGTTATTGCTACTATTGAATGATGGGGTTAGATATATTAAGTGCCTACCATCTTGCCAGGCACAGAGATAGTGTCCTTCCCATTCCTGTGGGTGGGAAGAGCCCTGAGATTCTCTCCTGGGCTCTATCTGTCTTGATGTGCCCCCATCAGAGGGAAGAGCCCCTCCCATCCTTACCTAAGCCCCTGGGGATTCAGGGCCAGGAAGCTCCCCTTGGGGGGAGTCCAGGGAACTGCCCAACAGTCAAGAGATGGGCCTGCTCTTGCTGGGTGCTAACCAGGTGATCTTGGGTGACTCGCTCAGCGCATCAAGTCTCAGTGTTTTGTCTGCAAATGCGGACGTGCTGTGGTGGGCGCACCGTGGTAAGGGCTAACAGACATGCTGTGTGGAGCCCACTAAGCACAATGCCTGTCACTCAGGGAAGTCCCACTAAATATTTGCTATTAATAATTGGTCTCGGTAATAGTTAGACTCAGGCTTGGCCACCACAGAAAGCATAGCCCCAGAGTGGCCCTGAGTGGAAGGGAGGTTTTTGTTTGTACCCTCCAGCCTGGTGAGGATGGAGGAGGCCTTCTCTGGCTCTCGCAGCCTGGATACCAGATGGCATGTGATCTGGCCTGTCCCTGTCCACAGGAAGCAAGTGATGAAGAAGAGGTTGAAAGCTCTTAGTGCTGCCAAAGCAGAGGGGTTGTAGGGAGGAGACTCAGAAGAGATGCAGGGTGTGGGCCACTGTCACTCACCCACTGAGGGCATCCTCTGTCGGCCACATCACCACTCCAGGTAGGCCAGCCCTGCTCTTGCACAGGTTGGCTGATTGGGAGCAGATTCTGACTACAGCCAACTGGGGCAGTCAGCCCGGGCAACAGGAACAAGGAGGCATGGCCACTGTACTGAGGGTTCCTTGCGCTCCAGCTCAGGGTTTAGAGCACGACTCTGCAGTTAGCCAGCCTGGGTTGAACCTGTTATTAGTTGTGTAACATGCACACTTTTTATTTTATTTTATTTTATTTTTGAGACAGGGTTTCTCTCTGTTACCCAGGCTGGGGTGCAATAGTGCAATCAGGGCTCACTGCAGCCTCCAACTCTTGGGCTCAAGCGATCCTGCCTCATCCTCTCAAATACCTGGGACTACAAGCAAGCACCACCATGCCTAGCTAATTTTCTTATTTTTTTGTAGAGATGAGGTCTCAATATGTTGCCCAGGCTGCTCTCAAACTCCTGGACTCAAGTGATCCTCTTGCCTCCGCCTCACAAAGATTTGGGATTACAGGCATGAGCCACTGCACCTGGCCTAACCTGGACACTTTATTTATTTATTTTTATTATTTTTATTTTTTTGTCACAGTCTTGCTTCTTTTTCTTTCTTTCTTTTTTGAGACAGAGTCTCACTCTGTTGCCCAGGCTGGAGTGCAGCGGCCTGATCTCAGCTCACTGCAACCTCTGCCTCCCAGGTTCAAGCGATTCTCATGCCTCAGCCTCCTGAGTAGCTGGAATTACAGGCGTATGCCACCACGCCAGGCTAACTTTTTTTTGTATGTGTATTTTTAGTAGAGATGGAGTTTCACCATGTTGACCAAGCTGGCCTCGAACTCCTGGCTTCAAGTGATCTCCCTGCTTTGGCCTCCCAATGTGCTGAGATTACAGGCGTGAGCCACTGTGCTCAGCCCTGATATAGTCTTTGATTATAAAAAAGAACAAAGTACTGACACATGCTACAATATGAGTGAATCCTGCAAACACTACCCGGAGGGGAAGAAGCCACACACAGAATATCACATAGGATTCTATTGATATGAAATGCACAGCTGGGCGCGGTGGCTCACGCCTGTAATCCCAGCACTTTGGGAAGCCAAGGCGGGCGGATCACGAGATCAGGAGATCGAGACCATCCTGGCTAACATAGTGAAACCCTGTCTCTACTAAAAATACAAAAAATTAGCCGGGTATGGTGGTGGACACCTATAGTCCCAGCTACTCGGGAGGCTGAGGCAGGAGAATGGCGTGAACCCTTGAGGCAGAGCTTGCAGTGAACCAAGATCGCACCACTGCACTCCAGCCTGGGCGACAGTGCAAGACTCAGTCTCAAAAAAAAAAAAAAAAAAAAAAAGAAATGCACAGAATACAAAAATCTGTAGAAACAGAAAGTAGAACTGTGGTTGCCTGGGGCTGCCTGAGAGGAAGGGATGAGAGGGTTTTGGAGGATGACAGCTATAAGATATGGGCTCCTTTTGTGGGTAATGAAAATGTTCTAAAATTGATTGTGCTGATGGTTGCGTAACTCTGTAACTATACTAAAGACCATTGAATTGCACACTTTAAATGTGTAAATTGTATGGTATGTAAATTTATCTCAATAGAACTGTTACCAAAAAAAAAAAAAAAAAAGCCTTTCCTCAAGGAGTTTTTTTGGAAGGATTGGTGTTTTAAGAAACTTTGGAAAACAAAGATGTAAACCAGGCCAACTGGGTCCCCCTGGTGGCCTGGAGGACAAGGTTCTCCAGTGGACCCTGAAGAACTACCCACCAACAGTGAAGCCAAAGGGGTTTTTTTGTCAAGAGTGCCATAGTCAGGGTAAGTGTCCTGCACGATGACATTCCCTCCTGACAGGCACAGAGCCAGGGCTGGGTAAGTGTGTAGCAAATCTTCACCCCCATTTATCTGTGCATGTGGCCGACAACGACCTGATGGCCGTGCTGAGCACCTGGGCAGCGAGGACAGGCCTTTCATGTACCAGCCTCACCTGGGAACCAGCAGGCAGTACTGTGCCCGTCCTGTAGGTACCCTCTGTCCTGGCCAAGGGAGCCAGTCAAGAATAGCGCAGGCTGGGAAACCAGTTGGGAAACCAGATGGGAAACTCTGGAGCTTGGGGAAGAGCAGACATGGGTTTTGTTCCCAATTCTCCTCCTTTTCTGCGTGACCTTGGGTGCAGTGTTCAGTTTTTCTGGGCCTTAGCTTTCCCCATGTGGAAAAGAAGTAAATCCTGCTCTTCTCCCTCAACAAGGCTGCTGGAGAAATCCAAACTGAAGACCGGCAAGGTTAGAAGGGACTCCGATGGTTGAATCTGTTCTCACTCTCCTCAGGTGATCTGAGGGATGCTGTCCAGTGCCAGGGAGTGTACTACCTCCCATTTCTTTCTTTCTTTCTTTTTTGAAAGTCATCTTAGTATTTCTTTTCTTTTCCTTCCTTCCTTCCTTTCTTTCTTTCTCTTTCTTCCTTTCTTTCTTTTCTTTCTTTCTTTTGAGATGGAGTCTCACTCTGCTGCCCAAGTGGGAGCAAAGTGGCACAATCTCAGCTCACTGTAAACTCTACCTCCTGGGTTCAAGCGATTCTCCCTCTTCAGCCTCCCGAGTAGCTGGGACTACAGGCATGTGCTGTCACGCCTGGCTAATTTTTGTATTTTTAGTAGGGATGGGGTTTCACCATGTTGGCCAGGTTGGTCTCGAACTCCTGACCTCAAGTGATCCACTGGCCTCGGCCCCCCAAAGTGCTGGTATTACAGGTATGAGTCACCATGCCTGGCCACTACCTCCCATTTTATTGCTAGACAATGTGGCACTCAGGAAGCCCTTCCTTCTATTGTACTGATTTCTGATTTCTGTGAGCTCTTCCCATAGCCTTGATTCTCCCCTTGGGCCTCATGAAATGGGACTACCCCCGCGCCATGATGCCCCACAGGGCCCACTTCACTCAGCCCTCTGACTCTCCTGATGCCAGGAGGCCACTGCACTCAGAGCAAGATTGCACATTCCTGCCTTGTTCAGAGTCAATGTCCTGTGGCATTCCAGCCTCCAGCCTCCTGGCCTGTCCCTCATCTCCCTGACCTGGGACATCTGCCCGGCCTCCCATCACCTCTCAGGCCTGCTGCTCTATGATGCCCCAGGCTGCTCCACTTCCCAGTTGTGACTTCCACTTGCTGCTCAAATGAACACTTATCCTGACTTCCGTAAGGAACTCAGCCTCCACCAGGCCCCAGGAGGCCCCTTCCCACCCCACTTTGCTGACATTCCTTTGGGGTAGTCCTAGCCTCTGCAGAGTGGCACCCTGGACAGCCCACCAGCTCCTTAGAGACACTGACTGCACCCATTCCTCTCTGTGTCCCCATCTAATGGTGAACCCCAAGTCCATCCACATCCTCCATGAGTGCAGCACCTCAAGCTGCTTATAGGCCCAAGCACAGCCTTACCAGGGCAGCCTGACTATAGCAGGGCCAGGCAGGATAGAGGAGCATTGCCTCTCTCTCCTTCTAGGAGCCACCTTTTTATTAACGCCCACCTGTCTAAGATCATGGAGAGAGAAATCACTTGTCATCTTGGACTGCCATTCTTCTTAGGTGGCCTGGTATACCCATGTGGCACTATTGTCTCTCTTGTTCCATGCCCTGATGGGTATGAAGTCCTATCAGACAAAATCTCCAAGACTGATCTCTCCCTCACTGTGTGGCTTCATCTGGTCCCTTCCTGTGTTTCCCAGAAGTTGGGTTCTGCCACTGTTGGGCCTCCTTAGATCTCCAGCCTGGCATCCAGGCCATCCTCACTCCCATCCTGCCTTGGCCTTTCCTGATATGTCAAGGGTCTCAGCCCACCATGGTCCCCATCTGGCTAGAAGCACTCACATCCCGCACATGGCTGCTGTCTCCGTGAGTCACTGCACAATGACATGTTCATTAGGACAGCGGGAGCTCATTTTGCCAACTCTGGAACCACGGGAGCCGGCTAAGTTTAGAACAAGCCTTGAGCGTGAGGATGCTGTGTTTCTTTTCCTTCTGGCAAGACACGAGACTCGAGCTATTCTTTTCATCTTCATTCTCCCAGACAAGCCCTAAGCTTCACTTACTGCTAGATCTGCCTACATCCAACATAAGCTCCTCTGTAATTAAGAGGAGAAACTCCCCCAAGGTTGAAAAGCATTGGGTTATGGGAATGTTTTAAGGAATATAATGAAGAGTCTGAACATGGGATGATTTAAAGACTTAATGCAGGTGTTCTTAACCCTGTTTCTGTGGATGGGTTTCATGGAGTGCAGAAACCCCCTTAGTTCTTGTATGACTGTGCATTTCCCTGGGGAAAAGGGACTTTATATATATATATATATAAGTCCATAGGGTGTGAAATTGTGGGAGGGGGAGTCTACCTGTCTAGTGTCCAACAGTGGTCAGGAAATTAGTCCCTGTGCTAACACCTCTGCCTTCCATTGCATAGTCTGACCATCAATGTGATGGCTGCTCTGTCTTAAGGGCCATTTGGGATCAAAAAGCCCAGAACTCAAATTTGAGATTGACCATTTGTAGTGTGACCTTGGGAAGGTCATCAAACCATTCAGAACTTAATTTTCCCAATTAAATTTTTTTTAATTTCCAGATTAATAAATCTGTGCCTCTACACCCAAAGAAGAGTTTGGGAAAGAAAAGAACTAACACTTATTGACTATCTAATGTATATCAAGCCTTCTGTTTGTAATCATTTTCCTTTTCAAACTTTACATGCCCCAAGAGTCTCCAAGAGTTGCTATGAGAGCTCACTGAGAACAAATATTTAACAACTGTCTAGGTACCGAGGATACAGCAGTGAGCAAAACAGATGAAGTCCTTGTCTTTGTGGAGCTGACAATCTAACAGGGCAGACAGACAATAAGCAAATAAATATGTACAATGTCAGGGCAAAGGGTGGGATAAGGGGAATGAAGAAAAGTGGAGAGGAATGAGAGAAGGCAGGATATGTATGCTATTCTGTGACAGAGTGACATTTGAGCAGCAAACTGAAGATGTTAAGGAGCAAGCCAGCCTCTGGTAAAAGATAATTCCAGGAAGAAAACTGCAAGCACAAGTTCTGAGATGGGAATGTGTCTGGCTTATGATGAGTGGTCAGTGGGGCTGGGGCAGAGGAACCTAGGTGAGAGAATGATAGGAATTCAGGACAAAATAAGACCCAATTAAGGGCTTTGGATGCTAGGACCACGGATGTAAACATGTATTGCAAGTATTAAGCACTATGCATGATAGATGCATCTCTCCATTCATCTGTCCTTCAGGACTTGAGAGTCTTAATTTTTTTAAAGCATATACATTTTAATTTTTATTTTTTAAAAATAGAAACAGAGTCTTGCTTTGTTGCCCAGGCTGGTCTCAAACCCCTGGGCTCAACGGATCCTCCTGCCTTGGCCTCCAAAAGGGCTGGGATTACAGGTATGAGCCACCACATCCAGCCTATTATACTTTATAAAGATTTATATTATATACAGTAAAATGCTATGGATTTTTAACACATCCAATATAACCACCAGCTAAATTGAAGTATAGAACATTTCCATTGCCCCAGAAATTTCCCTGGTGCCCTTTTCCAGTGGCTATCCCAATCCCACTCCCCAGAGGCAACCATTGTTCTGATTTCTGTCACTGGAGTTAATTTATTTCCCTGTTCTTGAACTTTGTATAAATGGAATCATACAGTATATATTCTTGCATAAGGTTTTTTTCATTTGTTTACTATATATTGTTCCTCAGTTTTTAAAATTTTTAAGTTTGTGGGTACATAGTAGGTATATATATTTATGGGGTACATGAGATATTTTGACACAGGTATACCATGCAAATAGTCACATCAGGGTAACTGTGGTATCCATCACCTCAAGCATTTATCCTTTATTTGTATTAGAAACAATCCAATTATTCTTTTTTATTTTAAAATGTATAATAAATTATTGTTGATTGTAGTGAATTCTAGACCTTATTCATTCTATTAAATTATATTTTTGTACTCATTAACCATCTTCACTTCCCCGCCACCCCACTACCCTTTCCAGCCTTTGATAACCTTCATTCTAATCTCTAGCTCCATGAGTTTAATTGTTTTAATTTTTAGCTCCCACAAATGAGTAAGAACAGACAAAGTTTGTCTTTCTGTGCCTGGCTTATTTAACTTAACATAATGACCTCCAGTTCCATTCATATGGTTGCAAATGATAGGATCTCATTCTTTTTTCTGACTGCATAATACTCTTTTGTGTATATGTTCCACATTTTCTTTATCTGTTCATCTGTTGATGGACACTTAGGTTGCTTCCAAATCTTGGATATTATGAATAGTGCTGCAATAAACATGGGAGTGCAGATATGTCTTCAATATACTGATTTCCTTTCTTTTGGATATATGCCTTGCAGTGGGATTGCTGGATCATATGGTAGTTCCATTTTTGGTTTTTTAGGGACCCCCAAACTATTCTCCATAGTGTTTGTACTAATTTACTTTCCCACCAACAGTGTAAGAGGGTTCCATTTTCTCCACAGCCTCACCAACATTTGTTATTGCTTGATTTTTGGATATAAGCCATTTTAACTGGGGTGAGATAATATCTCATTGTGGTTTTGATTTGCATTTCAGTGATTATTAATGATGTTTAGCACCTTTTCATATATCTGTTTGCCATTTGTATGTCTTTTTTTGAGAAATGTCTATTCAGACCTTTTGCCCATTTTTTAATCAGATTATTGGATTTTTTTTCCTGTAGAGATCCTGGTTATTAATCCCGTGATAAATGGATAATTTGCAGATATTTTCTCTGATTCTGTGGGTTGTCTCAACTTTGTTGATTCTATCCTTTGCTGCAGAAAACTTTTTAACTTGACATGATCCCATTTTAGCTTTGGTTACCTGTGTTTGTGGGCAAGAAATCTTTGCCGAGTTCAATGTCGTGGAAAGTTTCCCCAATGTTTTCTTTTAGTAGTTTCATAGTCTGAGATGTTAGAGTTAAGTCTTTAATCCATTTTTATTTGATTTTTTTAATATGGCAAGAGATAGGGGTCTAGTTTCATTCTTCTGCCTATGGATATCCACTTTTCCCAGAATCATTTATTGAAGAGACTGTCTTTTCCCAATGTATGTTCTTGGCAACTTTGTCAAAAATGGGTTCACTATAGGTGTATGGATTTGTCTTCAGGTTCTCTATTCTGTTCCACTGGTCTATGTATCTGTTTTCATGCCAGTACTATGCTCTTTGGGTTACTATAGCTCTGTAATATAATTTGAGGCCAGGTAGCATGATTCATCCAGTTTTGTTCTTTTTGCTCAGGGTAGCTTTGGGTATTCAGGGTCTTTTATAGTTCCATATAAATTTTAGGATTGTTTTTTCTATTTCTGTGAAAAATGTCATTGGTATTTTGGTAGGGATTGCATTCAATCCGTAGATTTCTTTGGGCAGTATAGACAGTTTAAAGATATTGATTCTTCCAATCCATGAATATCTTTCCATTTTTTTGTGGCCTCTTCAATTTCTTGCATCAACGGTTTCAAGTTTTCATTGTAGCGATCTTTCACTTCTTTGGTTAAGTTTATTCCTAGGTATTTTATTTGTAGCTATTATAATTGGAATCACTTTCTTGATTTCTTTTTCAGATTGTTTTTTGTTGGCATCTAGAAATGCTACTGACTTTCGTATGTTGCATATGATACATGACTTTTGTATCCTGCAACTTTACTGAATTTGTATTTGTTTTTCAGTTCTAATCGTGTTTTTGTGGAGTCTTTTAGGTTTTTCCAAATATCATCTGCAAACAAGGGTATTCGTCAATCTTCCTTTCCAATTGGGATGCCCTTTATTTCTTTCTCTTGTCTGATTGCTCTAGCTAGGACTGGCTATATCGAATAATAGTGGTGAAATTGGGCATCTTTGTCGTGTTCCCGATCTTTCAGGAAAGGTTTTCAGATTTTCCCCATTTAGTGTGATACCAGCAGTAGTTTAATCGTATATGGCTTTTATTATGTTGGGGTATGTTCCTTCTATACCAAGTTTTTTGAGAGTTTTTTTCGGGTTCTCATGAAGGTGCTTTCTTGTGTGGATAGTTGTTCAAATTTGGTGTTCCTATGGGGAAGATGATTGGTGGAACTCTCTATTTGGTCATCTTGCTCCACCTCCTCTTGCATAAGATTTCTTTCACTTAGCATGGAATGCTTTGGAGAGTCATCCATGTCATCACATTTAGCTGTAATTCCTTTCTTTTGTCATAGAGCAGTATTCCATCTACCCAACGCTCGAAATTGTCAGTCTTCCTTTTAGCCATGTGCAAGGATATGAAGTGCAACTCACTGTGGTTCTAATCTGCTTTTCCCCGATGACTAAAGATGTCAAGCACATTTTCATCTGTTTATTGGCCATTTATGTATCTTCTTTTGAGAAATGTCTGGTTAAGTCCTTTGCCCATTTTGAATGTGGATTGTCTGTCTTCTTGTTATGGATTTGTGGGAGTTCTCTATATGTCCTGGATATGAGTCCTCTGTCAGATATACCGCTGTGAATATTTTCTCTCAATCTCCCAGTAAAAATTGATGGGTCTTTTTGCTCACTAATTATGTCTTTTGAAGGTTTTATTTTCAATGATGACAAATTTATCCTTTCTTTTTAATGGGTAATGCTTTAGTGTCCTGTCTAAGAAAATTATTGGTTACCCCAAAGTCAAGAAGTTATTCTCTGTTTTCTTCTAGAAGCCGTATGTTTTTACTTTTACATGTAGATCCGTGATTCATCTTGAATTAATTTTTATATATAGGCCAGGTATGGTGGCTTATGTCTGTAATCTCAGCACTTTAGGAGGCCGAGGCAGGAGGATGACTTGAGGCCAGAAGTTTGAGACCAGCCTGGGCAACATAGCAAGACCCTGTCTCTACAAAAGTTTTTAAAAAGACTAGCTGGGCATGGTGCACTCTTGTAGTCTCAGGTACTTGGGAGACTGAGGATTGCTTGAGCCCAGGAGTTCTAGGCTATAATTAGCTATGACTGTGCCACTGCACTATAGGCTGGGGGACAGAGTAAGACCCAGTCTCTTAAAAAAATGTGTATGATGTAAGGTGGAGTGAAGGTTCATTTTTTTCCCCATACAGACATCCATTTGTAGAACATGGAAATCTTTTTGGCTGAATCTCACACATAAATTCTCCTGGTAAATTATGCCTGTTTTAAGAGTCTGTCTCCCAGAACTGATTTTCCAGCTGCTTCTAGTAGCCTCTGAATAGGCTTAGAAGATGAAATAATAATGGTGAAAAAACAAACACCTAGACTGAGTAAAGAAACAACAGCAGAAACAGCAATGGCCCATTTGTGATATTGTCTAGCCTTTAGCCTCCCTCATTGCCTAGGCTGCATTTGGCTTCCCACGGCCAGAGCCAAGGAGGGCAGAGGGGAAGGGGAAGCAAAACATGGAGCAGGATGAGGCAAAAATAGAAGCAAGTGTTGAGAAAGTCCCCACAGGGCTGAGCCAAGCTGGCCTGGAAGCTGGCTGGTTCTTTGGGGCCCTACTATAATTTGAATGCTTGTGTCCCCTCCAAAATTCATGTTAAAACTTAAATTCCCAATGCAACAGTAATAAGAGGTGAGGCCTTTAGGAGGTGATTAGGCCATTGAGGGCTCCATCATCATGGATGGGATTAGTGTCCTTTAAAAGGGCTGGAGGGAACTAGTTGGGATCCTTTTGCCCTTCCGCATCCATCATGTGTGGGCACAACAAGAAGGCCCTCACCAGACACCAAATGTTGGTGCCTTGATGTTGGTATTTCCAGCCTCCAAAACAGTGAAAAAATAAATTTTGTTATTTATAACTTACCCAGTCTCAGGTATTTTGTTACAGCAGCACAGAGTAAGACAGGTCCTCAGCAGGAATCTAGCTGTGCAGCTTCTCTGTGTCTCTCTCCTGGTATTTGTGGAGACTGGGAATATTAAGTCTCAGAGGCGCAAGTCAGATAAGAGGGCTGTGGGCCAAACTCTCCTCCAACAAGGCCAGAATGCCCTCTGCAGCACACAACCAGTGATCCAGAAGCTTGCTCATGGTATCTTATTCATTCAATTTGCCCTACCATCTTAGAAGAAAGATACTTATTACTTCAATTTTATAGATGAGGAAACTGAAGATCCAAGAGATTGAATATGCTTCCTAGCACCATAAGTTACATGTGGAGAATTAGGATTCTCTTTTCCACTTTCCTCTCCACTGCCTCTCATTTCCCCTGTGATCCAGCCCTTCCAAACCACGTGGTGCTGAACCAGTCAGACCACTGTATAACCACAGGCTTTCCCTCTTGAGAAACTTGCAAGCAAGCAAAAAAGAGATGCATGTGGGCCACTTCCTTTTCCACATTTTCCCAAAATAGCCTAAAATTCCTGTGAAACAGAGAGCATTTCAGGCCCAAGGCAAGGATTTGCTTATATTGCATGCAATCTAGTACAAAGAATTTCAACAAAGTGAAAACATTTGGACATTCCTTTGGACTTTATTGATTCAATCAACTCACAAAAGGATGGTACAAAATGGTATAAAAAACAGCCAAGCTTTTTGCACAGTGCCATACATTTGTCTATGTGGCACCTCCTCCTGCAAAGCTGGCTTTGCCAGGTGCTACTCTCAAGTATTCTCAACTGCCTGGCAAAGTTAGCTTCTCCTCTTTGATGCCTCTTTGGCTCCTGAGGTAGATTGAGCATCCCTGTATATCCCTCCACAGCCTTTTGTCCAAACCTCAATTTCCAACATCTCCTGGACTGTATTGTTTGCCTTCATGTCCATATACCCTGTTAGACTGCGAGACCTCAAGGCCAGGACCTGTTATCTTTTACTTCAGTATCCCAAGTACCTGTCACAATATCTCTCTAACTTCCCTCAATAAATGTTAAGTATTGAAAAGATGGAGGCTGGACGGGGTGGCTCATGCCTGTAATCCCAGCACTTTGGGAGGCCAAGGCGGAATACCTGAGGTCAGGAGTTTGAGACCAGCCTGACCAACGTGGAGAAACCCCATTTCTATTAAAAATACAAAATTAACTTGGTGTGGTGGCACATGCTACCCAGGAGGCTGAGGCAGGAGAATTGCTTGAATCCGGGAAGCGGAAGTTGTGGTGAGCCAAGACTGAGATCGCACCATTGCACTTCAGCCTGAGCAACGAGAACAAAACTCCATCTCAAAAAAAAAAAAAAAAAAAGAAAAGAAAGGATGGGCCAAAGAAGGTGCCAGAAATTGAAGAGAATTGCTGAGTCAGTTCAGGAGAACTTCTGAAGGCAGGAGCTCAAGTAACAGTCTAGATACGTGCTCCTTTCTAGCTGCGTGGTACTCAGTTTCCTCATCTGAAAAAAGGGGATGAAATTAGCAACTACTTTGTAGAGACGGTGTAAGGATTGAACGAGTTAGCACAGGAAAAGCCTTTAGAGCTGTGCCTGGCATGTTTCACACTCAGTGAATTTTAAAATCATCATAATCATTGTCATGATCATGATTATAGTGATAGTATCTTGCTTTCATTTCGGGACCAGAGGCGCTAGGCTCCAGCCCAAGTGGCTGATCACGAAGAGTACACATCCAAGGCTCCTTGCCTTCTTTATAACCTAGAGAGACACCTGCCCTGGATGAGGGAAAGGTGACAGTGGCATGAGGACCAGGAACCTAATGCCAGGAGGTGGCTCAGACAAGTCAGGTGGACCAAGATGGTCTCACTTGAATGGGGGAAAATGGAAGCCTATGGTTAGGAAGCCCAGAAGCCCACCAGCTGTGTGCGAATGTCCTCAGAGATGGTCAGCCCTCTAGCCACGTTCCTCAACCTTTCTTCCATATGGGGACTCATCAGTGCCTTTTAGTTTTTTAGTACCATAGATAACATTGGAACCAACGTCTTTGAATATAGAGCTTCCCCTCCTCTGTATTGGGGTTATTTTCTTGAAATAGATTACCAGGAAGTGGAATTACTCAGTCAAAGGTTATGTGCTTTTAAATGACCATTTTCCCAAAGTTAATAATCATAGTCTAATCTAAGTGGAGTACACAGCTGTTCCTTTTTTGGTCTGTCCTGAATTCCCTGTGTCAGGAAACGGCTGTTTTTCAGTCCATCTGATCCTGGTAAGCTGTCACTCCCACTGCCCACCCTCAACCTGGGTTCCCTGTCTCAGGAGTGGGCACACATCTAAATGGCCATTCAGAAGACCTCAGACCCTTGGGCAAAGCAACTGGCCTAGGGTAAATATGTGACCCCAGCAGGGCCAATCAGAATTTTTGAAGGGCTATATTTAAAAATTTTTTAAAACATCTTTAGGTTTGTAGAAAATTGCAAGTACAGTACAAAAAACCTTTTTGCTAAACTATGTGAGAATACATTTGCTGATATGATGCCCATCGCCTCCAAATATACTTTAGTGTGTGTTTCCTAAAAACAGGGACTTTCTACTACATCAACTATTAAAATCAGGAAATTCATGCTGATACATTACTATAATTAAATCCTCAGATTTCATTCAGGTTTCACCAACTGTTCCAAAATATTCTTTTTTCTTTTTCTTTTTTTCAGTTGCACCATCACAGCTTACTGCAGCCTCGACCTCCTGGGCTCAAGTGATCCTCCTGCCTTGGCCTCACAAAGTGCTGGGATTACAGGTGTGAGCCCACGCCCAGCCCGAGAACATTTTTTATAGCAAAGGGATCCATTCAGAATCACACACTGCATTTACTTGGCAAGACTCTTACTCTCCTTCAGTCTGAAAAAGTTCCTTAATCTTTTCTTAACTATCATGACCTTGGTCCTATAAAGATGACCAACCAGTTACTGTGTAGAATGAACCTCAGCCTGAGTTTGTCTGTTGTTTCCTTTTGATCAGATTTAGATGAGGCATCTTTGGCATGAACATCACAGAAGTGCAGCTGTATTCTTTTCATTGCATCCTATCAGGTGGCGCCATTTTGGATTGCCCCATTGCTGGTGATGCTCACTTTGTTACTGGATTAAGGCAATGTTGGCCAGCCTCCTCCACTGTGAAGTTATTAATAAAATCTGGGGGCAGTTACTTTGAGACAATGTAAATATTCCACTTTTCCTTTTTTTTTTTGAAACAGGGTCTAGCTCTGTCACTCAGGCTGGAGTGCAGTGGGACAATCACGGCTCATTTCAGCCTCTGCCTCCTGGGCTCAAATGATCCTCCCACCTCAGCCTCTTAAGTATCTGGGACTACAGGCACTTGCCACTATGCTCGGCTAATTTTTGTAATTTTTGTGGAGATGGGGTTCACCATGTTGCCCGGGCTGGTCTTGAATTCCTGGGCTCAAGTGATCCACCCACCTTAGCCTCCCAAGTGCTGGGATTACAGGCATGAGCCACTGTGCCTGACCCCATTACTCCTTAATCATTTCATTTATTTGTTTGCTTATTTATTTATATTAGTATGAACTCATTGCTTCCTATTTTATCCAAGGGTTTATAATCTATTACTCTCATTATTTATCTTGATGCTCAAGTTGTCCCAGATTTGGCTCGTGGGAGCTTCTTCAAGCCAGCTTCTGTGTCCTCCTTTAAGTGCTTCCTTGCTTTCTGGTTTAATAAGATATCTCGGGTTCATATGGTACTTTCCCAGGCTCGGCCTTGGAATTAGACATTTCTCTAAGGCATTCTAATTCCTTTTAGCATAGAGTTGTGTTTAGAAGTCAAGATCCATGCCCTAGGCAAACTCACTGCCAGGTGGCAAAAAATAAAAATAAAAATAAAAAAATAAAAAAGGATCTAGCCCCCCAGTGTGCTTATTGTGAATGGGGAACACACTCTATCTATGTCTCCATATTAAACACCACAAGTTTACATCCTTTTGGAAGTTTTATCATGGACTCTGAAACAGAGAGTTTCTCTCTAGAATTATAACTTCTAAGATCATATAGACCTGGAGATACTGAGAGACATTTTAGCACTGCTGAATAAGATCCTGTTGGGGAATGAAGTCAAGCAGAGGCAAGTGGATCTGAGAGGTGGACAAACCTAGGGTCCCAGAATACTACTAGATCTAGTCATGCCTGAGTCCCTTGAATTTCTTGGCTACATGAGCCAATGCATTTCTTTTTTGTTTAAAGCTAATATAAACTAGGTCTTTCACAATTGACGGAGTCCTGATCAATATACTAAATAGCTTACAAGTGACTAGTTTGCCTTTCTACCATGGAATGCTGGCTCTAGCCTTCAGGTTTGTTCCCTTCCAGTACTGGCGGCAGAGGGAGTTTACCTCTGTCTGGTTCCCCGTCTGTCAATGCTTGAGACTGTGACCACGCCAGAGTACTGGGCTCCCTAGAGTCACTTGGTTCCACGGGGACCTCGCCCACTTTGCTGCTAGTCTTTCATGAAATGGTGCTGCACCACCTTAGAGGCCTTGGAGAAGAAGGTGTGGGGGAAGACCATCAGCTCCTCCATGGGTCTGCCCTAGGTGTGGACGCTGGCTGCCTTTTAACACCCCAAAGCAAAGACAGGGCTGCAGTGGTCAACCCAGCATTACTGAAGGCTCAACCATAGCAGGAGGGAACTGAGAGGCTGGAGAAACAGACTTAAAACTGGAAGCCAGGTTGGGTGCGGTAACTCCTACCTATAATCCCAGCACTTTGAGAAGTCAAGGCTAGAGAATCACTTGAGGCCAGGGGTTGGAGACCAGCCTGGGCAACATAGCAAGACCCTGTCTCTACAAAAAAAATTTTTAAAAATTTGCTGGGTGTGTTGGCCTGAAGTTCTAGCTACTTGGGAGGCTGAGACAGGTGGACCACTTGAGCCCAGAAGTTCGAGGCTGCAGTGAACTATGATCATGCCACTGCACCCTCCAACACTGTCTGAAAAAAGAAACAAAGAAACAAAGCTCTACCTCTCCCATGATAATCTAAGAGAATCCAGATGTCTACAACCACACAGGAACCAAAGCCTATGGGTTTCCTTCTGCAGTGACCCCAGGGGACTCGGCAGTCCCCAACCAGCCCCGAAGGCACCCATCAACAACAGAAAATGAAGACAAACCTCAGCAGCCTTCCTGCAACACCAGCCTGATCTCCTGGGGGGCCTCCTGGGCAGAAAACAGCCCCCTAACACACACACACACGCACACACACACACGTACATGTCACTAGTACCACCCCCACACCACATCCACACACTCACACATGCGCACACACACACACACTTTTCTCCCAAGGACAGACCATTTTCTTTTTCTTTTTTTCTTTTTAAAAAACTCCCACGACAGCTTAAAAAGTATTATTATTATTATTATTATTATTATTATTAATTTATTTATTTAATTTTTTTTTGAGGCAGGGCTTCCCTCTGTCGCCCAGGCTGGAGTGCAGTGGTATAATCTTGGCTCACTGCAGCCTTGACCTCCTGACTTCAATCAATTCTCCTGCCTCAGCCTCCCGAGTAGCTAGGACCACAGGTGAGTGCTATCGCATCTGGCTAATTTTGTTCACTTTTGCAGAGAGCGAGTCTCACTATGTTGTCCAGGCTGGTCTCAAACTCCTGGGCTCCAGAGATTCTCCCAACTCAGCCTCCCAATGTGCTGGGATTACAGGCGTGAGCCACCGTGCCTGGCCCAGACAATTTTCAAGGCAGTGCAGTCCATATCTCTATACCGTCGGGGGAAGAAAAATGTTGGGCCTAGTGCGGTGGCTCATACTTGTAATCCCAGCACTTTGGGAGGCCAAGGTGACCTGATTGCTTGAGCTCAGAAGTTTGAGACCAGCCTGTGCAACGTGGCAAAACCCCATCTCTACAAAAAGTTGCTGAAGTCCAGGAAGTTGAGGCTGCTGTGAGCTGATTGTGCCACTACACTCTAGCCTGGGTGACAGAGGGACACCCTATTACAAAAAAAAAAAATCAGAAAAAGAAAATAAAAATAAAAAAAATTGTTCCCAAAGATTTGGGAACACCGTGCATTCGAGGTCGCCTTTCCTGCTGGGCCTGGTCCACTCCGGAATAAGGTCTGGTCTAACCCACAGTCAGCCAAAGCCCACAGAAGTGTTTCTCCCAAAACAAGAGGGGCCTGTGCCCAGAGGTTTATTTAAGACTTTTCCTCTCCCTCACACAGAAAACAGGGAAACGATAAACTGAGTATATTTTTCCCCCAAGAAAAAAAGTTTCCAAAGTCTCAGATAAATGTTTTCTTTGTCTCTTTTTCTTTCTCTTTTTCCTTTTTTTGAGACAGGGTCTCACTCTGTCACCCAGGCTGCTGGAGTGCAGTGGCCCAATCACACCGCTCACTGCAGCTTTGACCTCCTGGGCTCAAGCAATCCTCCCACCTCAGCCTCTGGAGTAGCTGAAACCACAGGCACGTGCCATCACACCCAGCTAATTTTTGTACTTTTTGTAGAGACGTGATTTTACCATGTTGCCCAGGCTGGTCTCAAACTCCTGAGTCCAGCGAACCGCCTGCCTTGGCTTTTCACAGTGTTGGGATTATAGGTGTGAGACACAGTGCCTGGCTAATAAATGTTTTCCACAAGGCTCAGGCTCAGGGTCCCCCATCCCCTTCCCCCGCTTTCCACTCTAGGGACCTCTGCAAGTAGAAAGTTGTCCCCACCCTGCCTTACTTGAGGGGAAGGTGAGGGAGTGGAAGAGGCCTCCCACCTCCCCAGAGCATAAGGTTGGAGCATCTCTATTGTTGTCCCTGCTCCACACACTGAAGACTGTGCCGGGTGCTGATGAAAGACTATGCTGATTTCCCAATGTCAATGGAGGCTCTGAACAAAGAAACCCAGGGTCACACAGTCAATGACAGGCTGAGCTGGTATTCCAACCCAGGCCGGGCTGACCTCAGAGCGATAGCTCTTAGCGGTCCCCATCAATTGGTCTCCACAGATCCTGCAAAGTCATCCAGTCCACCAGCCCACAGCTTCCTTACTGGTGCCTCCAAGGAAGTTTCCCTTATCTATCCTAAGTCTCTCTTGCTATCCCTCTTGCCTTGTTTCCTTTGCCTTGTGCAGAAACAACCCCTCTTCTGACAGTGTCAGGCCCTCCTGACCACAACTATGGCCATCTCTCAGCTTCCCTGTCCTCGCACAAGCAAGATCTCCCACCCTCAAGGCCAAGGGTTTAGATAAGACCTTCATTCCAAGCCATTCCTGATATCACTGGTGTTGCATCAGTTACACATCCCTCATCATCGAATGCTTTCAGTCTTATTTTCGTAAGTGATATAATTCAACCTGTTTTTTCCATCTCCTCTGCCCCAGATGCCCAGAGGAGGCTCCTACCATGGGTGTTTCTTGCTAAGGTGTTGGCTTCAGTCAGTCCAGGCCAAGGGCAAAATGTGTAAGTTCTTGGGCCTGAAAGATATGCATTGACACATGGACACAGGGAGGGGAACATCACATACTGGGGCCTGTCGGGGGATGGGGGGCAAGGGAAGGGATAGCATTAGGACAAATACCTAATGCATGCGGGGCTTAAAACCTAGATGACGGGTTGATGGGTGCAGCAAACCACCATGGCACATGTCTACCTATGTAATAAACCTACATGTTGTGCACATGTATCCCAGAACTTAAAGTATAATAAATTAAAAAAAAAAAGATGTGCATTGAATTCTGCCTTAGCCACTTACCAACTCTGTGGCTTTGTGGGGGGTCTCTGGTCCTCTCTGAACATCAGTTTCCTTGTCTCTGGCTCTCTTCTCATCGGACTCTTGTGAGGATTATTTGGGATGTTTCTTTCAGCCCCAAAATATTTCCTTTTGGAGAGAGCGATTCATTGGATGTCAAGCATTGTACCCTGTTTTCAGTTTAGTGGCTTATAATGAAGCAGCAAGGCACCTAGTGTGTGTTCCCAACACACATTAGGTGCTCAGTAAATGTGTGGCCCCTCCTCCCTCTCCAGACCAGGAAAGATCTCTTTATATTTATTTCACTGGAAATTTTCCCATTTCACTGTGGTTTCCCAGGAACAAGCAGTCCCTGGTGTATTTTGCAAATTAGTACATCCCTCTGCAGATGGCAGGCCTGAGATCAGAGAAGTACACCATGGGTACAAAGTCACATGGCAGGCTGGTAGGTGGTTGACAAGATGGCCCTTGTCAAGTCAATAGACTCTGCTTCCCCTCCTGTATTAATCCATTCTTATGCTGCTAATAAAGAAATACCCAAGACTGTGTAACTTACAAAGGAAAGAGGTTTAATTGACTCACAGTTCAGGATGGCTGGGGGAAGCCTCAGGAAACTTAAAATCATGGCAGAAGGGGAAGCAAACACATCCTTCTTCACATGATGGCAGCGAGAAGTGCCGAGCAAAAGGGGGAAAAGCCCTTTATAAAACCGTCAGATCTCGTGAGAGCTCACCCACTATCACGAGAACTCACTATCACGAGCACCCCCATGATTCAGTTGCCTCCCACCAGGTCCCTTCCATGACATATGGGGATTATGGGAACTACAATTCAAGCTGAGATTTGGGTCGGGGCACAGACATACTGACCTCCAAATCCTCCAAAGGAGATCACCTCCCCTTCCTGTCCCCTTTGGTGTCACTTGAGCAGTTCTAGGTCTTGCTGAGCTCCAAGTCTACCCTCTCATCTCCTCCATCCAGGTGAACTTACTTTTCTCCAGCTTATATCTGCTCAAGGCAAAAAGATAACTTATTGGCCAGACGCAGTGGCTCATGCCTGTAATCCCAGCACTTTCAGAGACCAAGACAGGCAGATCATGTGAGGCCAGGAGTTTGAGACCAGCTTGGCCAACATTGTGAGACCTTGTCTCTACTAAAAATGCAAAAATTATCTGGGCATGGTGGTGGGCACCTGTAATCCCAGTTATTTGGGAGGCTGAGGCAAGAGAATCACTTGAACCCAGGAGGTGGAGATTCCAGTGAGCCGAGATCACACCACTGCACTCCAGCCTGGGCAACAGAATGAGACTGTCTCAAAAAAAAAAGAACTTATTAACTCGTGGACCTGGGAAGTCCAAGCAAGGGCAATTCAGACATGATTGGATCCAGAGCTCAAACAAGGTCTTCAGAGTGGTCTCCATCTTATGTCTCCCTTTCTCCTTCCCTCTGTCTGATGGTTTGAGTCCATAACTGGCCTTCTGCACATGGCAAGAAGGATGTCCCATGGCAGCCCCAATTCTGTTTCCAAATTACTTAGCACCTCAGAGAAAAAGACCAATAGATTCAGCACAAAATCCAAAATCCAGAGGGCCTCTGATTGGCCCTGTCTGGTCTTTTTTTTTTTTTTTTTTTTTTTTTTGACACAGATTCTCTTTCTGTCACCCATGCTGGAATGCAATGGTGCAACCTTGGCTCACTGCAACCTCGGCTCACTGCAACCTCAGCTCACTGCAACCTCCACCTCCCAGGGTCAAACGATTCTCTTACCTCAGCCTCCTGAGCTGCTGGGATTACAGGCATGTGTCACCATGCCTAGCTAATTTTGTATTTTTAGTAGAGACAGGGTTTCACCATATTGGCCAGGCTGGTCTCAAACTCCTGACCTCAGGTGATCTGCTCGCCTTGGCCTCCCAAAGTGCTGGGATTACAGGCGTGAGCCACCACACCTAGCTGGGGATAGGTGTTCTAACAGGTGGATTAGGCCTGTTGCCACGGCTCACACCTGTAATCTCAGTATTTTGGGAGGCCAAGCTGGGAGGATCACTTGAGGCCTTGGGGTTCAAGACCAGCCTCGGCAACATAGTAAGACCCCCATCTCTACAAAGAAATTTTTAAAATTAGCCAGGCCTGGTGGCACGTGCCTGGAGTCCTAGCTACTCAGGAGGCTGAAGCAAGAGGATTGCTTGAGCCCAGGAGTTTGAGGCTGTAGTGAGCCAAGATCGCACCACTGTCCTTCAGCCTGGGTGACAAAGGAAGACTCTGTGTCTAAAAAGAAATTTTTTTAATTAAAAAAATTAAGAACAGAGGCATCTATCTACCTTTGGAATCTGAGGAGAAAAAAGGACAGGGTCAGCTCCCCAGAACCACATAGAATGAGTTACCCCTCAGAGAGAGGGATGTGCTGCCAGAAATGGGGATGGCTGTGGCACAGGTAAAAACAGCAGGTGTTGCCCAGCACTGCCCTGACTTCCACAGCCTCAATACTACACCAATAGCTGTTAGCAAGACCTCTGCCTCTTGTTCAAAGAAGCTACAGAAAAAGAACATGATTGTTGAGGTCAAGTGGAGCTATGACAAGCTGTAGTTCTGCCACTTGTTAAGCTGTATGACACTAACCAAATTCTTTATCCTGTTGAAGCCCAATTTCCTCACCTGTGGAATAAGGATAATGATTCCTACTTCACAGACTTACTGTGAAGATGAAACAAGCCAACCACCAAGCCCAGGACTCAGTGAGGAGGAGAGAATTCATCTACCTCTGATCTCTTTGCCTTTGGTCCCTGACCTCCAGCTTGGCTTCCGGGTCCCAGCTCTGAAACTGGGACCGGGTCTCTCTGTACTTGGAGGCCCACCTGCGTGGAGCTCACTCTGACGCAGTGGCAGGAGGTCTTACCAGGAGATGGAGCACATGGTGTTTTGTTTATTTGTTTTTCCATCTTGATAAAAAATGTGCAGTTTTTACACTGTCACAGAACAAACAGAACCTTGACATATGGGCCTCTATTTATGTGCATGATTTAATTAATCATGTTTCATGTTCCATCATCTTTCTATTATGAAGAATGATATTTTTCTCTGGGACTTCCTTCCTTCCTTCCTTCTTTCCTCCCTCCCTCCCTTCTTCCTTCCTTTCCTCTATCCCTCCTTCTTCCTTTCTCTCTCTCTCTGTCTCTCCCTACAATTATTCCCTAGTACTCACTCTGTGCCAAGCTCTGGGCTGGTCTGGTGGTGAACAAGATGGACACAGCTCTGCCCCCACAGGGGTTACAGTCTAGCAGAGGATTCAGATGTTAAATGACAGTCATTTAACTACAATTGTAGTGAATGGTCTAAAGGAGAAACACACAGGGCTAGGAGAAAGAAATTTGGCCTGATCTGGGGTATCCAGAAGAGCTTCCTGGAGGAAGTGGCTTTTGAGCTAAACTTGGGAATAGGTGGAGGTCTCCACTGGTTGTGGAGTTCAATGAGGTGGGTGTTCCTGCAGCAAAAACAGCGTAATGGAGAGGCCAGAGGGAAGGGACACCATGCCTTCTAGAACAAGACAGAGGGCCAGCATATGTGGAGTAAACAAGGACTTGGGAGAGCTGCTCAAGGCCAGGCTTGGGGGCAGGCAGGGGCCAGATCATGTAGGGTCTAAAGGCCACACTAAGGCTATTGGTCTTAATTCCAGAGCAATGGGCCTTACACAGTTCCAGGGCTGCACTCCGACTGGAAGTGGTGGAAGTGGGAGCTCTCACCAGGAGGTGGCACTTAGAGGTTTTGCTTATAATTTCCAACTGGATAAAGCGCTGTCTATTTCTTGCAGTCACAGAGCAGAGAGTGTGGCAAGCTCATGAACTGGGTGCTGGGTGCACTGTGCTTTTGTCTACTTTCCCTGGACTCCACCTCTGGCTAGCTGATCTATAGCCCCTGCTGGTCCCTCATCCTACTCAGCTGAATTCCCTGACGTGCCCCACCTGCCCAGCTCCAGCCTGCTGTTGTCTGTCTCCCCCACCTCCACCCCAGATCCTTGGACCTCACTAAGAGGTTTGGAGATGGGACTCCTCTCCCAGAAGCTCTGCACTGCTTTGTTGGGGCAGGAGTCAAGTTCCTCTTACATGCCCTCTGTGTCCCCTCCCTTCACCCCCTAGAACCTCGAGGAACTGATGTTCTTAAGCCTCCTTTTGTTCCAGAAAACTCCTCCTGTGAGAATCATCAATCTGTGAGTCAGAGGACTCTCAAAGTCTATCTAGTCCAGCTGTTTCTGGAAATCCTCCAAAGGCATTCCTGCCAAGGGGCCACCCAGCCTCGGAATGCCTCCACTCCAGGGAGCTTGCTGCCTGCTCTACTTGTAGCTTGGGCTTGGATCCAAAGCTTTTGAACAGGAGAGGGGACAGTGCCCCTCCACGTGTCTGTCTAGAAGTTATTTTGGGTAGCTCACCTAAATATTGTCTTTGCCATCTAAGCTCATTTTTTTGATGTCCTTCCAAGATACAACAGGGCCAGGGTCAGCTGCTTAGCTTCCCAAAGTCAAAGCCACCTCCTTCACCCTCTGCAAGAGGCCTTGCCTTTCACTGCACAAATGGGCAGTTCCTCCTCCCAGAGAAGCCTGGTCCCTTCTCTTTCTCCACGGACTCCTGTACCCAGGAAACAGGAAACACAGGCAGATGATGTGGGAGAAGGAGTGACTCAGAAGTTGCGAGGACCATCAGGAGCTCTCTAAGGACAGCAGGGAGTCTACTCCTGGGACCCGCAGTAGGGCACTTGGGGGTCTGGGGACTGGGCTTGAGGCTTGCCTGCTTGCCTGGAGTGACAGAAGTGCCAGCCTCTTGGCTCCACATCATTTTTGCCTCTGGGTCCCCTGCACCTTCCATGGAGGCGCTCTGCCAATGACAAATAATTTGGGAAACTCTCAGAGAACTCTTGCTCTCTCTCAGGCTCAGTGAATTGTTCTCTTTGCAGGCAGCAGCTCCTGAAGAAAACAGCTGTCATGGAAGCTTCCATCCATTTCATTGCATGTTCACCAAGAGAGCTCATTACATGCCAGGCCTGTTCCAGGCACTTGGCATACAAGATGAGCACCTGCCCTCAAGGTGCTCACAGTTTAGGGGGGAATCCAGGTGGGAGATGATCAAACAGATGTCCATGGTGTCCTGTGATAAGTGCTGCAAGGGTGAAAGGTTTCTGAGAGGCCAGAGGAGGAGGCTACCTCAGCCTAGGGAAGCAGGGAAGGCTCCCTGGAAGATGTGTCCCTTAAGCTGAGTTCTAGAAGATCAGTAGGAATTAACCAAACTGCGTCAGTAGGAAGGAAGAGATGGTGGAAAATTGGCTTGGGCCAGAGAGAACCTGGTGCATTTGGGGAATTGCAAGGAGTTGTGGGAGACTCCAGGTAACAAAAGCAGCTCAGGCCGGGGAAAGAAAAGCCTTCCTTATGGAGGCACCAGACCTTATTTCTGGGCCTTCCCTTTCCCCCCGTGATGTTTCTCCGCAGCCCTAGGCTGCGCTGGCTGCCCATGCTTCCTGATGTTACTATGTCCAGGCTGGAGGATTCAGCCATTACCCACAATTCAGCACTTAGGCTGGAGAGGAGAGAAGAGTTATTAGGTGCCACCTCGCAGTGGAGTCCGGGACCACTGACTCCTAGCCCATGGATCTCTAAGGAAACTTATAAGTGATGTTTAAAGATCCGTTCTTTGAAAAGCAAAATACAGACAGATATGCATTACAAAGAATCTGAGTTGATGTTGCCTGAAGATATCAACAATGATCTTAGCCATGGAAGTATTGTTTTTTTTTTTGAGACGAAGTCTCACTCTGTTCCCCAGGCTGGAGTGCAGTGGTGCAATCTTGGCTCACTGCAACCTCCGTCTCCAGGGCTCAAGCAATTCTCCTGCCTCAGCATCCCAAGTAGCTGGGATTACAAGCATGCACCACCAATCCTGGCTAATTTGTTTTTGTTTTTGGAAGCGTAATCTCAGCTCACTGCAACTTCACCTCCTGGGTTCAAACAATTCTCGTGCTTCAGCCTCCAGAGTACAGGTGAGTGACACCACTCCTGGCTTTTTTTTTTTTTTTTGTATTTTTAGTAGTGACGGGGTTTCACCATTTTGGCCAGGCTGGTTTCGAACTCCTGGCCTCAAGTGATCTGCCTGCCTAAGCCTCCGAAGTGCTGGGATTACAAGCATGAGCCACTGTGTCTGGCCTGTGTTTTTTGTTTGTTTTTTTGGTAGACACAGGGTTTCACCATGTTAGCCAGGCTGGTCTCGAACTCCTGACCTCAAGCAATCTGCCCTCCTCAGCCTCCTAAAGTGCTGGGATTACAGGCGTGAGCCACTGCGCCTGGCCTTGTGTCCTTGTTTTCAACTCCACCTAGGAGTGGAATTGGGACAGGTAATTCTGTGTGTAATTTTTTTTCTTTTTCAGACAGGATCTTGTTCTGTCTCTGCAGTGGTGCAATCATAGCTCACTGCAGCCTCAACTTCCTGGGCTCAGGCGATCTGCCTGCCTGAGCCTCCCAAGTTTCTAGCAATAGAGCTGCATGCCACCATGCCAGCTACTCGGGAGACTGAGGCAGGAGAATTGCTCGAACCTGGGAGGCAGAGGTTGCAGTGAGCGGAGACTGCACCACTGCACTCCAGTCTGGGCAAATACTTAGCACACCAATGTTCACAGCAGCATTACTCACCACAAGAAAAAGGGGGAAAGAAACCCACTGTCCATCAAAAGTTCAATGGCTAAACAATGTGTGCAAAATACATAAAACAAATTATTATTCAGTCATAGAAAGGACTGAAGCGCTGATACTTGCTTCAACATGGATGAAACGAAAACATCATGCTACGTGAAATAAAGGCAGCCACAAAGGACAAACATCATATGATCCCACTTACATGAGGTATCTAGAATGGGCAAATTCATAGGGACAAAGTAAAATAGAGGTTACTAGCAGCTGGGGAGAGGGGAAATGAAGACTTTTTGTTTAATGGCTATAGTTTGTTTCATGTGAGGTGAAGAAGAAGTTTTCAAATAAATAGTGGTGATGGCAAATTCTGCCAGATACCTGTGGTAATCCCCTTTCCTAAAACAAAACCAAATTAAAAAAAATTTTTTTAACTAGGAACAATGATTTCTAAAGGAAAATAAGCTAAAAGAGTTCTATATTTTCTAAAATATGTGACAAAATGTATGTAACAATTAGCAGGTATACTTCAATAATTTTAAACACTCTCAGGAATGTTTGACTTTCTTTCGTTTTTTTCCTTAGACATTTCATATTCAAAATATAAGTAAAAATCCCACAGAAATTAACTGGGGAGGCTCTAAAAATCAAGAAAATGATCACAGACTAAAATTAAACAAGCAAGTGGTTCCAAGGAGTGGCACGAGAGTTTATTAATTACGAAATAAAATTTCTATGTAAAACATTGAGACAGCACTGTGAAATGTATGGCCACTACGGGGAGGGAAAGGGGATAGGTCCCACAAAAGCAAAATTATATAAATAAGTAAAGCAAAAGCTAATGCATTTTTATAATAGCCTGACCATCTTTTTATTCCAACATTAACTATCCTTCTAACATTAAACAATTATTCTTAAATAAAAGTTGAAAACCTACACAGAAATAAGTCATGATTCTAAAAAGGTCAACATTTAATCTCACATTTTCCCTTCTAGTATAAAACCTACATTTTATAATAGAAAAGTTTGGACTCTGGCAGGGCACAGTGGCTCATACCTGTAATCCAGCTTTGGGAGGCTGAAACGGGTGGATTATCTGAGGTCAGGAGTTCGAGACCAGCCCAGCCAACATGGTGAAATCCCATCTCTACTAAAAATACAAAAATTAGCCTGACGTGGTGGCACACAACTGTAATCCCAGCTACTTGAGAGGCTGAGGCATGAGAATTGGTGAACCTGGGAGACGGAGGTCACAGTAAGCTGACATTGCGCAACTGCACTCCAGCCTGGGCAATAGAGTAAGACTCTGCCAAAAACAAACAAACAAACAAACAAACAAAATCAGGCCAAGCGTGGTGGCTCATGCCTGTAATTCCAGCATTTTGGGAGGCTGAGGAGGGCAGATCACGAGGTCAGGAGTTCGAGACCAGCCTCACCAATATGGTGAAATCCTGTCTTTACTAAAAATACAAAAATTAGCCGGGCGTGTATAGACCCAGCTACTCAGGAGGTTAAGGAAGAAGAATCGCTTAAACCCAGGAGGTGGAGGTTTCAGTGAGACAAGATTGCGCCACCACACTCCAGCCTGGGCGAAAGAGCAAGACTCTGTCTTAAACAAACAAACAAACAAACAAATAGAAAACCTTGGACTCGCCAGTGTTAGCTGCTGGAATGAGGTGTTTGTCCAGTACATCCAGAATGTTACAACAGATTAACTTTAGCTCAGCCTCAACCTAAAAAATGAAAATAAATTTTAAAAAATCGGATCAAGTCTAGAAATTCTGTAAATTATTACACATTCTATCTACCTCTGGTTTTCAATAAGAGAGCTTAGTATTAAACAGAATTCATATCCTCCAAACTTCCTTCTTCCCTCTTGACACAAAAGCCGAGAAAAGCTGCCTGTAGGTTATAAAAAGTATCTTTTCCTTTCTTCATTCTATTACATGCTACACACACACACACACACACACACACACACAGCCTCACAGTCCAGCTAGTCAATTACCACTGACTAAAATTGTACACTGGTGCTTCTTAGTTAATGCTGGTCAATTATATGAATTAACTTCTTTTACAAGGTAACAACTATTGTGTCCATTTACATGGGCAAACAGAAGCTAAGACATTTGCTCAAAGATCATCAGCTTAAAAGAACTTAATACGCAGAGCTAGGATTTGAACCCAGAAAGGTCGAAAGGAACAGAATAAAATTCAAACCCAGGCAGTTTGCCTTCAGTACTCTTATCCTAACAACGTTCAACAGGCAATTCCTTTAGTGGTAGAGATCCATAACTAGTTAAGACACCAAAAACCTATGGACCAAAGTAACTATTGCCACTCATCTCTATCCATTTATAATGCTGAAAATGTACACCACCTCTAAACGCACATACCCAGCTTGCTTCCTGTTTTCTATTAACTCATGACACTACTGTTGAAACTTTCTAGGTTCCTCTCATTCCCCTGGAACCTCCTTTCTACTATAAAACATTCTCTCACATTTCTTCCATAATCACATCCTTATCTTAGCTAAGCAAAACTATTTTCTGAATAAACTACCTCCCTGATGGCTTTTCAAATAGAGCCTGCTCTAGGAGAATGAAGATTCCCATGTTCTCCTAGCTCCTCACATACTCAATGACTGCTCTCCTGTCACTCCAAACCCTTCCTCTTCACAAGCTGATATTCTACATTCTGTTTCTCAGTTTCTATCATCGATAGATCTCTAGGCCCTTCTTCCAAATTCACTGAGTATCTACAGCCAACCTATCCAATACCTGAGATCACACCAAGGTATGGTGTGGCCATGTTCCATGCAAAAATGTTCTTTGCCTTCTACTCCAAGACATTCACTTGTCCACACCCGTAACTGTGCTGCTCCATACTAGAAGTCTGAAATTGTAATACTCCACTCTTGGCCCATGACTTCCTTTTTCAGTTCCTCTTCTCTGTCATTTCTACTTAGGAACTCATCAAGACATCCAGACTCTTTTTTGTTGTTGTTGTTTTCTCTTTTTTTCTTCTAATGCATGTATCTCATTTAAGATGTCCAGACTCTTGAACTTCTCACATCTCCTCCCAATTTATCAGCCGCTCTCTTGCTTCCTGCTTCCCTTTCCTAGCTAGCCCAAATCTCACGGTGAAGCGCATGGGCTTTTTTCTTCAGCACTTTCAACTTTCTCATTTCCTTATTCCTCTGGGACACAAAACTTGTCTATTGATCATCCAAATTCTTTGAACAAACAAACATATTTCAGGGTAATGGTAGCATCAGTCCCAGCTTACAACTTTATTTTTAGATACAGAGTCTCACTTTTTTGCCCACTACTGGGCTCAAGCGATCCTGCTGTCTCCATCTCCCCAAGTGCTGGGATTGCAAGCCATGAGTCACCATGCCAGGTTCCAGCTCACAACTTTCTATGTGACCTCACGTATGTTACTTAAACACTTAAAGCCCCGACTTGTGCATTTATAGGTTGGGATAATACCTACCCCTTCCAGTGCCATTTTAAAGATTTCATATAATACCTTGCACAAATACCTATGATAAAACTATTTCCCCACTCAGAACAGTGCCCAGTAGAGCTGGCAAGTCAGTAACTGTGGTTCCCCCACCTTGCCCTCTCCCTAGCAAGCTCACTTTCCACCTGCCCTGTAATTCCCTTCCCTGTTCTCTTTCATGTGTCTACGTGCCTGTCTCTTCCACTGGAATCGGTTTCTCAACAGCAGCGCTATTGACAGCTTGGGCAGAATCATTCTTTGCTGTGGGAACTGTCCTGTGCATGGTAGAAAGGTTAGCAGCATCTCAGTCTCCACCCACTAGATGCCAGTAGCACCTTCCAAGCTGTGACAATCAAAAATATCTCCCGAGATTGCCAAATGTCCTCTGAAGGACAAAATCACCTCAATTGAAAACCGCTGCACTAGAGTAAAGGCTATCAAACTTTTTGGAACGAGACCTGCAATAAGAAACATTTTGTATATGTATAAACACACACAGTATGTGAAATAACTTCCTTAAATCATTCTTACCCTTACAATGTCCCACTCTGATATGTTCTATTCTGTTTAAAAAAACACTGACTAGACTGAGCCTCCATAAGTATAGTAATCATATCTGTTTCATCTTTGCACTCACAGTACCTAGGCAAATTGTGTGGCACACAAGAGGAACACAAATACTTGTTAAATCACAATGAATCACTCTATCGCCTGCTTGCCCAGATGTCTTAACCTGGCTTTAGGAAGACAGAACAGATAACAGGGATGAGGCCCCGGCTTTTCCCAGGAAGATTTGGCAATACACTCTTTATTTAGAAGCAGGGGCACTGACAGGACCTAGGGATGACTGGGGGCTTGTCACCTAAACAGCAAGAAGAGCAAGGAGCCTGGTTTTATGCCTTCAAGCCTGGGAGGATGTGGCCAGGGCTCCACAAGGCCCTGGAGTTGGGGGAGGGGGTGTGTGCTGGCAGGAGAGCAGATCCACCCTCCTCTTGAGGAAGCAGCCACCACCCCCAAGAAGCAGCAATTCGGGGCACACAGGCAGAGTCCCCGCGTGCTGTAGAGCAGGGCCAGCAGATCTGCACTCAACCTCAGCCCCGAGGGAGCTGCAAGACAGATGGAGACCCTGATAGGTTTGGCTCTGTGTCCCCACTCAAATCTCATCTGGAATTGTAATCCTTCTGTGTCAAGGGAGGAACCTGGTGGGAGGGGATTGGATCTGGGGACAGTTTCCCCTGTGCTGTTCCCCGATAGTGAGTGAATTCTCAAGAGAGCTGATGGTTTTAAAGTGTGGCACTTCCTCGTTCTCCACTCACTCCCTCCTGTCACCTTGTGAAGAAGGCTCCTGCTTCCCTTTCACCTTCTGCCATCATTGGAAGTTTTCTGAACTGCGAGTCAATTAAGCCTCTTTCCTTTATAAATTACCCAGTCTCAGGTATTTCTTTATAGCAGTGTGAAAACAAATTAATACAGACCCCTTCCCTGAAATGCCTTCTCCTTAGGCCACCAGCTGCCCTGATGCTCCTCCTCTGCCCCCTGGTCTTTCCTTCCCCCTAATTAGGCCCAAGTGATCCACATGGCCAGGCCCAGCCCCATCCTACTGCAGGCCTGTGTGGCTGCTGGAGAGGCCGGGCTCCTTTCCTCACCCCGAGGCTGCCTGATATGCTCTCTGGATCCTGGAGGAAACTTACCCCCTATCCTTATACTGGTGCAACTTCTTCCAAGACCTCAAAGTTGGACAACGTGAGCCAGTCTTTTTTCTTGTCTCCACTTGCTAGGGCTGTCACTGGGACAGTCCTGGGGCGGGATGGGGTGGAGGGGCAATGGATGAATGGATGGATGAATGGACAGTAGTCCAGGGAGGATGTCCCTGTCTGTCCTGAACTGGGCCCTTCCTCCAATGAGAAGCCTTCCTGAGTGAGTTTATACAGTCAACCCTTGGTATCCATGGAGGATTAGTTCCAGGGTCCCCAGGGATGCCAAAATCCATGGATGCTCAAGTCTCTGATATAACATGGCCAAGTATTTTTTATTTTTTATTTTTTGAGATGGAGTTTCACTCTTGTTGCCCAGGCTGGAGTGCGATGGCGCAATCTTGGCTCACTGTGACCTCCACCTCCGGGGTTCAAGCAATTCTCCTGCCTCAGCTTCCTGAGTAGCTGGGATTACAGGTATGTGCCACCATGTCTGGCTAATTTTGTATTTTTAGTAGAGATGGGGTTTCTCCCTATTGGTCAGGCTGGTCTCTAACTCCTGACCTCAGGTGATCTGCCCGCCTCGACCTCCCAAATTGCTGGGATTACAGGTGTAAGCCACCGCACCTGGCCTAACACAGCCTAGTATTTATATATAACCTGTGCACATCCTCCCATATACATTAGACCTTCTCTAGATTACTTATGATATACAATACAATGCAGATGCTATGTAAATGGTTGTGATACTGTATTATTTAGGGAATGATGACAAGAACAAAGTCTGCACATGTTCAGTAGAGTCATCTAATCTCTTTTCCGAATATTTTCCATCCGCTGTTGGCTGAATCCACAGATGCAGAGCTCCCAGATACGAGGGCCAAGTGTGCTTTGAGAGTAGGATGGTGAGGTGGCTAATGAGTACAAGGGAGTAAGTGTCAGTCAGGAGGGCCCTGCACTGGGGCATCTGGATGCCCTATCTCAGGACTTGAGGCTCCAGGTTTGGATGGCACAGGCAGGCTCAGCCAAAGTCAAAGCCCTCCCCTTGAATGTTCTTTTTATCCCAAGCTCTTTCTGGCCCCTGGAATTTGGCATCCCCTAGGATGCCTTGGGTGGAATGACGAATAAGCCAGATTTTAGATAACATGTCTAGAAGAGTGAGCCCCTACTGTGTGCCGGGCACTTTCCCCACAGGATTCTCTAGCTGGAATAACCAAGGGTCATGGAGAGAAATACCCAGTTAAAATATCAGAAATAAAAAAAGACATACCATTAGAGATACTAAAAAGATCATTAGGTAATAGTATTCGCATTTTTATTCTGAGATCCAACAGCAGCAATCACTTCCCTCCACCCCTATGTGTATCCCAGGACCACCCTGGGCGGGGAGGGCTGAGGTTAGGGAGCACCCATGGATGCTGTGATGCTGGCTCTGAGCCCAGGGGGTGACAGTGACAAGGAACTGGGTGCACACATGGGTGAGGCAGCCAGGCCTGGCCAGAGAAGCAACAGACATGTGCACAGATGTGTTTACCTACATACATGTGTGCACACACATGTGCAAACACATGGCACGCAAGCATGATGATGCCTTAGGCAATGCAGGATGCTGACTTTGGGCCCTGCTGACCCAGGCAAGGCGCCTTTGTGATGCTTGCCTTTATCTCAGAATGTCACTGGTGCTTAGCACCCGTCCGCTCTCTGCCCTGCCTCTGTGTTCTACAGCAGCTACACACAGACAGTGGTATCTGTGAGCAGCTCTGTGGACTCAAAGGTTTTCTCCCTGAGAGGCGTAACCCAGGCCAGCTGATTCATCAGAATCAGGTGAGTGTGACCTGCTCTCTTCCCTCCATGCTGACTTGGGGACAGTGGCTAATGGTGTGGGTGGTGCTGGCCTCTGGGCACGTGCTGAGGAGGGTCATCCCTGAACACTCACCGGGTGCCCGTTCTACGCTGCCCGTGTGGACAGTTGTCTCTTTCATCCTCATGGTGGCTCCCGCATGTACCCATTTGACAGGTGAGATGTCTGGGGTCAGAGAGGCGGTAACTGGCCTGGGAATCCCAACAGGACCCTGGGTTTTGCTCTTGGCCCTGCCCTGTGCCATGTTGGACTTCAGGCCTGAACCCTGCGGCCTCCTTGCCCCAGATCCCAAATCTGTCCAGGGTTTCTGATCCCCACTGGGATGGGGCAGAGCCTCGCCATGGCAGAGCCACTGAGATGGATCCATTGTGGGTGAGGTGGAGGGGAGGGTCCTCAGAACACATCTGTGCCCTAAGCTGGGTCTTGATGGTCCCTGTGGGACCCACTGAACACACATGGTCCTTTGTCCGAGAGTGGGATGGGGAGCCTTCTGCCTTTGGGCAGTCGTGGAAAATGAAGGATCCCTGGTGAGCTGGCTGGAGGGAGACTGTCTTCCCTCCTGTTAAAAGGGGTCCAGGTACTGGGGTTCTCCGCAAGTATTTCTTTCTCTGTCTGATCCTCTCGAGGCCTCACCCTCCTTTTGCCCTGAGTGTTCCCAGGAGGGATGGTCCATCTAGGTGTTCTCCAGAACCAAGGACCCACTGTTCTTCCTCAGTGACCCAGGAAAATGAAGCCCCCTCCTGTATGGATAGCTCAGAATGGTGGAGTCCACCGTCCCTCCCCGAGAGATGTGGTTTCCACGAGCATAGGGGCTGCTTTGGAGACAGTAGATTATTTTCATCCCCCAAACCAAACACCCTCCTGCTTAACTGGCGTTGTTCCTAAAGTGGCTTCACTGGTGAGACTGAAGGGCCACAGTAGCCCAAGTGATGAGTGGAGTAGAACCGAGCAGTCAGGAGAGGTCTTGTTCCCGTAGGAAACTGGGCATCTCTGTGGTCCCTGAGCATCCCAGGAGGCCGACTGTACAGAGACCTCTGGTCCCTGACCCCAGTCTGCCTCCACATCCCTGGAATAGCCCATCATGGGCCCTTCAACCTTGGCAGGTGGACACCATTCAACATGCTGGGGCAGGTGTGTACCCGTTTCATGGCATTTGGGGACAACAGGATTCTCTGTCCAGGTCCCAGTATTCTCAAGTCCTTGGGAAGATGCCCACCCCTGCTTGGGGCTTGAGACTCCAGAGACCCATGCAGGTGTGGGCCACTGGGTCTGGCCCCTTTTCACCTGAGGGCAGTGGTGGAAGGGGGGTTACACCGCCAGGCAGAATCTGGGAGCCAGGTGGGAGCGGTTTAGGTATTCTCCGAAGGTCTCAGGTACAGTGTAACATTTAGATGATTTTGTCTCACAGGATGGACATGGTAGAGGATGTGGATACTTTGCAGGAGTGAGAGGACATCATTATGAAGTATGAGAACGTACAGGTCCGTCTGCTCCCTGGAGGGAGGCCTCTTCCAGTGTGCCCTGCTCAAAGGATCCTGGGCTCCCTAGGAGCACAGGGCAGGGACGGGTGGCCACTACCCCCAGACCCTTGCACCCGTTACCTTGGACCCCTCATCAAGGCTCCCTCTGGATTACAGGGACACCGAGCTGGGCTGCCAGCAGACACGGGGCCTAAAGCCTGTTGGAATCTACAGCAGCACTGATCGCTTTGGGATTCTGCAGTGAGTCCTCTGTGCTCCCCTCAGCCCCTAAAGCACTTATTTCAGCTTAGGGATGGGTTTACTTTTAGAAGGGACTTTCTGAAGCAGAACATGTCTGCCCAGGTCGGGCCAACCTCCTTTCCAGGATCAGAACTCCTCCCTGGCTCCCCTGCAGGTCCAGCCTGAGGTTGTTGTTAGGCCAGTGGTGCGGGGCCCATCTAGGGAGTGGGTGGGAATGGAGAGGGGGCTAGGTCAGGCCCCTGGGCTCTCAGCAGTTCTGTCTCCGAGTTAGCACAAGAGGAGGGGGGCAGCCTGAGGGTCTGGCCCTGTTCACTTGGAGACAACCCCAGTGAGATCCAAGGGTTGTGGCCACAGGGTGAGGAGACGCCTGGTCCAGCCTCGGGGCTGTTGTCCAGCAGGTCTCTGAGGGCCCACCTGCCCCTGTTCACCCCCATTTCCCTAGAGCTACAGCCCTCACTGTCCCCATGGGGAAGGGGGAAAGGCATGGGGACAGTAGGGGCTGTGGCCTTAGGGGAATGGGGGAGAAGATGGGCAGGGCCCAGTTCTGGGCATCTCACGGTGAGGCCAAGGAGGCAGCAGAGCTTGCAGCTAATGACCCTGGGTCTGGTGCTGGGAAGGGATCTGGGGCCAGGTAAGAGGAGCCCAGGCTGGAGCCCATCCCTCAGGGATCATAGAATGGAGAGATGGAGGATGCCAAGAGAGGTAGGGTGGGAGGGAGCTTATGAGCCATGCCACTTCTGAAATGCAGTGTGTGTGGCTTGGGTGCAGGGAGAGGCAGGTGGACCCTGGGAGGTCAGACCCTGCAAGGGCCTTGGGAATGTCGGGTGGGATGGGCCCCCGGTGTACCCTAGACCCTGGCAGGTCCACATCACGTGGTCACTCCCAGAGGGACTCCTGTCAGGGCCCGGTCACCCCATCCCATCTCGGGGCTGACCTTTCTCAGCTCAAGCACAAAGCATTACTTCCAGTCCAGGGGGGCAGCCCCCATTTTACACCCTGACCACCCCCCACACCAAGGGGCCCCATTAGCCTCGGCCAGGCTGGCCCTGCACTCCCTCTTCTCCCAGGTCCTGGACCTTCCTGGGAGTCAGCCCCACAGGAAGGCCCTTGTCTTCCCTTCCCTGTGCCTTCTCCTAGGCTGAGCCCTGAGCTGGATGGGACAGAGCCAGTCCTTTCTGGGGGTCGGCTCCCAGACCGAGATGGCTCCAAACCTTGTGCAAGTCCTCAGCTCTGCCTGGGCTGCATTACAGTGAGAAGGAACTGCCCGGTCAGAGCCCGGGAGGTGAAGGTAAGAGCCTGATCCATGGGGGGGCTGGTCCAGGGACGGGGGGACTCGGCGAGTGGTCAGTGAGGCAGAGAAAGCAGCGGGCCTGGGCGGTAGCAGGTGGGGGCAACACGCTGTCACTTGGAGGGGCAGCTGTCCCTGCTGGACCTGACCCCAGCTTACTGTATCTCTGGCAGTTTGATGAAATTCCAAAGTGAGAACCACAGTCCTGGCTTGGGGATGGCTGCCCGCTTGTGTCAGGACCCCACCTAGAGACTGGGACCTGACCTAAGACTGGTGTGTCTGTGGCCTGAGGATGGCACGTCCCAGGGTCCCAAGGCCAGCCCACTGGCACTCATTTGCTCAAAGGCCCTCAGCCTTTATGGTCTGCCCTTCCCTGGCTCCTTCTAGCTGGGTCCCACCAGGGCTCCAGAGCCCAAGACCCAGCATCCACGGGTGGCTCTGCGAAGCCTGGCAGCTCCGCTAACTCCAACATTCCTCATTTGACAGCAAATGCGGCAGGAGATGAGATGAAAGAGCAAGTGGATGGAAATGCTGGGAGAATGGGAGACATATCAGAACAGCAAAAAAGTAATGTGTGGAGGGAGAGGCCCCCAGAACCACTCTCTGCAGAGACAGGGGACAGGCACCCATGGCTGTGGCCTGGCACCGTCAGCCTCTCAGAGGGCAGGTGGCACACAGTGCTCACCCAGAGGACCGCAGGCCTGGTTGCCAGCTTTACTGCCCGTTCATGCAAGCATCACCTTGCTGAGAGGGAATCTGAATCTAGGGCTGGGGATGCCTCCTGCTGACCCGAAGGAAAGAAAAGGTCCAGATCAGAGTTCAGGACTCTGAGTGCCCACACACTCTTTCAATCCTGCGAAGGGAGACCCTGTCCCAGCTTGACCTCACCTTTACCGAGGAATCATGGGGCCAAAACCAAAGATTTCCAGGATCCTCGGGCTCTGGTCCTGGCTGGGGTCATCCCATGGCCTGTGACACCAGATCGTTTTCTGCCCACAGCTAATTGATTGAGTGTATAAGGGCATTCCCATGAACATCCAGGGCCAGGTGTGGTCAGTCCTCCTGAACATTCAGGAAATCAAGATGAAAAATCCCAGAAAATACCAGGTATGCTAAGCCAGAGCACAACAAACAGGCCAGGCTGGGTCAGGGCCCAGTTCTCCAGCTAGAGGGAATGTCTTGCCCAGCCTGGGGGAGTGGGTACCATGGTCAGATGCACATCCTAAGCACAGAAGGTGACATAGGAACCACAGACCCTCCCCAGCTTCAGAAACAAGCCAAAAAGCAGCTTTCTGCAGAAGGAAGCCTTTCTTTCCTTCCTTCCAGAAGTGCTGACTGTGGGCTGACTACCATTTGGGGCAGGGAGTCTTCCATCTGCTCTGAGGCTGTTTCTTCCTCTTGGCCCTGTCCTACAGGTCATGAAGGAGAAGGGCAAGAGATCCTCTGAACACATCCACCAGGTCTACCTGGACATGAGCTGGACACTAGGGAACCACATCTTCTTCAGGGATCGATATGGAGTCAAGTAAGCCTATGGGAGCCACAGGGTGCCAGCAGAGATGGGGTAAACCAGAGGGATGGGGACTTCCCCGGAGCAGAATCCAGGGTCACCCAGGAGGGACGACAGAGCTGCCAAGGGCTCCCCTGGCCCAGGGAGCAGCCGGCACCATGGACGGAGCACCTCCCAGGTTCTAAGCCCTGTGCCAGGCTGGAACATGTGGGGCCAGAACCCAGGAGGATCCTGCGGAGACAGAAGGCAGCAAAGAAAATCATGCACAATGGTGAAAGTTGCTCTCCCTGACCCACGGAGACCCATGGTAGGACCCACAGGAGGGCAGCAGGATGGAGGGCCCATGAGCCTCCCCAGGCAATACTGACAGCACCAAATGCTGGGGGGATTCAGTTTCCTGGAAATTATCATCCAGGTCTGCTGGGAACGTGACATGGCACAGCCACTTTGGCAGCTGGTTGGGCAGTGGCTCACAAAGCTCAATGGACTTGAACTCCACGTCCCCAAAGTGTCACAGATATTGAACCCACTGATTTGAAAACTGACGTCACATGAAACCTGCATGCCACATTCACTGCTTGATTCCTCATCACACATACATGGAGCCTTCGGGAACGACCTTCAACACGGGAATGCGGAGAGGAAGGCTGGTCCTCCCTAAAACGGTAGAAGACTCAGTGAGAAAAGGGAACGAGCCAGTGATGTCCGCACAAACGTGGGTGGATCCTAGATGCATTTTGCTAACGGAAAGAAGCCAGAGTCAACAAGATACCGCTGTAGGATTCCAATCATAGACCATTCTGGACAAGGCCAAACCATAGGGACTGAGAACCATTCTGAGTGGCCAGGGACTGACGGATCGGGGAGAGGCTGGCTGCATAGAGACCACCCTGGAGACTTGGAGGATGAAGGAGTCGCTCCAGAAGGCTCTGCACATTGGTTTAGAACCATGGAAGAACTGTATACCCAAAGACTGAACTGGCGTGCGTGCAAACCAAAAAAAAACAAAAAACAAAAAAAAAACAAACAACAACAACAACAAAGAAACAAAAAACAAAAATCAGAGCAAAAATGATCAGTCAACTCACTGTACAACTGGGCTATTATTAGCATTTCACAGATGTGGATTTTACTGAAACATTTCTTAAATAGTCAAAGGCCCTGAAGAGCTCACTGCTTATCTGGTGAATCATCTGAACCTGAAATTGGATTTGTTATTAGGGTTTGTAGACAAAGTGAAACTAACATCTGCACAAAAGAAACAAAAGCCCCCTGTATCTGTTTTTTAGGCAGCGGGAACTATTCTACATCCTCCTGGCATATTCAGAGTATAACCCAGTGAGTATTTCCAGGGAGTGACCATATTCCCATGTTCACGGCTATATTCCCGGTCCATATTTCCATATTCCCGGGCATGGGTGTCTGGTGTGGGTGTCATTGCTTCTTTTAAAGTTAGTATTTGTGACCCACCAGGATATAGGAGGTAGGACTCCAGCCCACTGCTGGCATAAACCTCCAAGCAAGGGGGGTGGTCTCAAGGGGTCTCACTGAGACACAAAGGAGTCGGGCCTGGACTCCTGGTGTCACCTGGGCCTGACCACCCCTTCTTGGAACAAGAAATGATGCCCTCCTCCTGGGGCTGCCCCAAAGCTCAGGAGCTTGGCAGTGTCACAAGCAGGACGGTGCTAACAGGAGACATTTTGGACAAGGTGCTAAAAGGCCCAATGGACATAGCTGTCGTCATAAAATGAATTTGCATCTTGAGGAAGCCTCTTCTTCAGAGGAAGCCTCCCCAGTCACCTCTGCCCTCTCTGATGACATGAGTCCTCCCAGGTGACCTCAGCCCTCCCAGGTGATGTCCTTCCACGGTGACTCTGGCTCTTGCAGGAGGTGGGCTACTGCAGGGACCTGAGCCATGTCACTGCCTTGTTCCTCCTTTATCTGCCTGAGGAGGATGCATTCTAGGCACTGGCGCAGCTGCTGGCCAGTGAGAGGCTCTCCCTGCAGGGTAGGTGGACAGCGGCTCCCGGGGCCTCATGCAGTCAGACCCGGGGAGAGCCACCCTGGCCAGGTGATCTCGGCTTTCAGTGAAGACACCTTCCTTGTGTCACCAGCTAACTGTTGGGAGCCTTTAGGATGTCTCTGCCTCACGCGGTCAGACCCAGAGAGAGCCACCCTGGCCAAGTGATCTCGGCTTTTATTGAAGACACCTTCCTTGTGTTGCCAGCTTGTTGGGAGCCTTTAGGATGTCCCACAGGAGCCCGGGGCTGACCCCCAGAGCCCAAGTCAGACACCTTTCATCTTCATCAGCAGAAGGCATCTCATCTTCCCCAAGGCCGCCCTGTGTATCATGGAGCCACGCCCTCTGGCTCTGATTCTGTGCAGCTGACTCTCTCCTCCCTGAGAGTCCTCTTGCCCTTCAGCTGCCCAGGCTCCAGCTTCCCTTGGTACCCACAAATGGGCCAACCAAGCCCAGATGGCAGCATCTCCCCATCCCGTGTCCCCTGGCCCGGCCCCACTTCCAGGAGACGACCACGAAGCCCAGCACCCACCCTATTCTGGCCACCCCCTGTCGTGGCCTCAAAGTCAGGCTTGCCCTCCCGGCACCCTGGCCCAGGAGGCCTCCAGGGGCACCTCCAGCCAGGCTCCAGGGGAAGCTCTCATCACCCTCCCCAGGGCCAAGGCCACATGGTGGGGTCACCAGATGGGAGGGTGGGAGGCCTCGGGGTCTGGGGGGCTCTGCAGCTGCCCAGCTCTTCCAGCTGATGGCTCCACATCTTGGGAGAGGGCTCTGATTTCATGATGGGCTGGGGGCTTCTCAGGATTCCACAGCCCAAATGGCGGGACAGTTCAGGGGCTCCAAGACCATCAGGAGCATGTGGTACCCATGTAACAACCCAAGACCATGTGTCATCTGGTGAGTTTATGGTTCCTTCGGCTCTTCCCCAGAGGCCCTGCATCCTAGGGGGCTGGAGGAGCAGCGGGGGCTGGAGCCCTTCATGGGGCTGGGGACAGGCTGAGTCCCAGCCAGGGCCTGACCTGGGATGTCGGGTTCCCCATGGGCTGGGAGTTGGGTTTCCTTTCCAGCCCTGGAGGCGACAGAGGCACAGGGATGGGGGCCCAGCTCCCACAGAGCAGGGCTAAGGGTAGTGTGTCTACCGGGAGTGCCAGAAGGGGAAGATGTTGGGGGGAGCCCGGGACACTGCCCAGTGTTCTGCACTTGGGGAAGGGTCTTCAGAGGGCCCTGGAAGAGGGAGGTTTTTAGGGCAGCCCATGGGGCCCTGAGTACCTCTGTTCCTCCCATCAGGACAAGGAAGGTCAATGCACACAGGGTTCCTCATTCAGCTGGCTTCTCTGGGTGCTGAATGATGGGGTAAGGAGGCACAGGGAGACCCTGGCTCAGGGACCCTCCTTGCCCTGCAGTGCCCTGCTTCCCCAGCCCAGGGGTCCGGCTCACCCCCAGCCCACAGGAGGCTCAGGCAGATCCCTACATGACACACAGGCAAGACCCTCTGCCGAAGAGGTGTCATTCCAGGGCAGAGGGTGGGGCTCAGGCCCAGCCTTAAGGGCAGACTGGGCCAGGGCCTGACTTGGGAGGGCTGAGGGGAGGCTCAAGCCCTGGGGAAGCCCCTCTCTCCACTGAAATGAGTGCCCCCCCATAAGGAGCTGCAAGACCTTGTCTGACCCAGCCTCCTGGAGGGGTCCGGTGACTCTCATGGGGAAGGTCACTGAAGCCCCAATGGGCTAGCTCGAGCCACCAGCCCCAGCCTGGAAGGGCCAGGTCCTCTCATGCCTACTTTCCCCACAGATCTCTCTCGGGCTCACCCCGTGCCTGTGGGACATATATTTGCTGGAAGGGGAACAGATGTTGATGCTGATAACAAGCACTGCCTTTAAGGTTCAGAGGAGCAAGTCCACGTGTGCCCAGTGGGGCCTGGGGAGCACTGGGGTCAGACCCCAACTAGCCCAAGGGCAGCTTCCTCACACTGTTCTCATGATTCTCTGTTCTGGCCCAGAGGGAGGTCTGGCCAGGTGGGCTGGGCAGGGCACAGTGACACCAAGCCCATCCCTCACATGACCCAGATGAAAGTCAGGAGTGTGATGAGCACTTCCCTGCCCAGGCTGCCTCCCCAGCCACAGCCTTCTGTGCACATCTGGACCCCTGGGGTGGCCACAAAAGGATCTGGCACTGCCCAGTGGGAGACTGAAGTGGTCACGGGGTGTGGGCTCTGACCCTTCCCAGGGAACTCTCCTGGCCTGATACCCACCTTGTCCCTAGAGCGCCACATGAAGATGTCCAGGTCTGGCCTGTGGGCACGTTTTCGAGACCAGTTCTTCCATATCTGGGCCCTGGATGATGACGCTGTTCTTTTTTTTTTTTTTTTTTATACTTTAAGTTCTAGGGTACATGTGCACAACATGCAGGTTTGTTACATATGTATACGTGTGCCATGTTGGTGTGCTGCACCCATTAACTCGTCATTTACATTAGGTATATCTCCTAATGCTATCCCTCCCCCTTCCCCCAACCCCATGACAGGCCCTGCTGTGTGATGTTCCCCTTCCTGTGTCCAAGTGTTCTCATTGTTCAATCCCAACCTATGAGTGAAAACATGCGGTGTTTGGTTTTTTGTCCTCGTGATAGTTTGCTGAGAATGATGGTTTCCAGCTTCATCCATGTCCCTACAAAGGACATGAACTCATCCTTTTTATGGCTGCATAGTATTCCATGGTGTATATGTGCCACATTTTCTTAATCCAGTCTATCATTGATGGACATTTGGGTTGGTTCCAAGTCTTTGCTATTGTGAATAGTGCTGCAACTAACATACGTGTGCATGTGTCTTGATAGCAGCATGATTTATAATCCTTTGGGTATACACCCAGTAATGGGATTGCTGGGTCAAATGATATTTCTAGTTCTAGATCCTTGAAGAATCACCACACTGTCTTCCACAATGGTTGAACTAGTTTACACTCCCACCAACAGTGTGAAAGTATTCCTATTTCTCCACCTCCTCTCCAGCACCTGTTGTTTCCTGACTTTTTAATGATCGCCTTTCTAACTGGTGTGAGATGGTATCTCATTATGGTTTTGATTTGCATTTCTCTGATGGCCAGTGATGATGAGCATTTTTCATGTGTCTTTTGGCTGCATAAATGTCTTCTTTTGAGAAGTGTCTGTTCATATCCTTCGCCCACTTTTTGATGGGGTTGTTTGTTTTTTTCTCGTAAATTTGTTTGAGTTCTTTGTAGATTCTGGATATTAGCCCTTTGTCAGATGAGTAGATTGCAAAATTTTTCTCCCATTCTGTAGGTTGCCTGTTCACTCTGATGGTAGTTTCTTTTGCTGTGCAGAAGCTCTTTAGTTTAATTAGATCCCATTTGTCAATTTTGGCTTTTGTTGCCATTGCTTTTGGTGTTTAGACATGAAGTCCTTGCCCATGCCTATGTCCTGAATGCTATTGCCTAGGTTTTCTTCTAGGGTTTTTATGGTTTTAGGTCTAACATTTAAGTCTGCAATCCATCTTGAATTAATTTTTGTATAAGGTGTAAGGAAGGGATCCAGTTTCAGCTTTCTGCATGTGGCTAGCCAGTTTTCCCAGCACCATTTATTAAATAGGGAATCCTTTCCCCATTTCTTGTTTTTGTCAGGTTTGTCAAAGATCAGATGGTTGTAGATGTGTGGTATTATTTCTGAGGGCTCTGTTCTGTTCCATTGGTCTATATCTCTGTTTTGGTACCAGTACCATGCTGTTTTGGTTACTATAGCCTTGTAGTATAGTTTGAAGTCAGGTAGCTTGATGCCTCCAGCTTTGTTCTTTTGGCTCAGGATTGTCTTGGCAATGCGGGCCCTTTTTTGGTTCCATATGAACTTTAAAGTAGTTTTTTCCAATTCTGTGAAGAAAGTCACTGGTAGCTTGATGGGGATGGCATTGAATCTATAAATTACCTTGGGCAGTATGGCCATTTTCACGATATTGATTCTTCCTATCCATGAGCATGGAATGTTCTCCCATTTGTTTGTGGATGACGCTGTTCTTAATCATCTTTGGGCCTCTATGAAGAAACTAACAAGGAAGCATGGGGACCTGCCACCCCCAGGTGGGCTCCAGTACCAGGTCCCCTCCTGAGTCACCCTCTGGGGCAGTCAATACTGGGGGAGTACCCAGGACCCCTAACCCTATTACTTGGGTCTTCCTCTTCACCTTTTCTTCCTCCTCTTCCTCCTGGACTCTAAGAAAATACAGGAGGCCCACCATTCCTCAGGGCAGGCGCTCAGTGCATATGTACTGGATGTGCTGTGCACGCAGGAGGGGGATGTGGGCAAGACCCTCCAACAAGCCCCCTCCCACTTCCCACGGTGGCCTGCTCTCCCCCTCACAGGGCTCTCAAGGGCACTGGAGGAGCCAGACCCATTTGTGAGAGCCTCCACTCCTCCCTGCAAGCGCTGACAGCCTCAGAGAGCAACAGAGGCCCTTCACTCCTGCAGACTCCTCCAGGGGTGCCAGGACAACAAGCCTTGAGCCAGGGAGACAAGGGAATCAGTGTCTCTTACCCATAGAGCATTCAGAGAGAGGGCACAGGTGGGACCCCTGGCCCAGAGCCAGAGCCAAGTGTTTAGCCAGGTGTGGGAACGGTCAGTCCTGGTATGGACGGGGCAGCCCAGGAGGGCAGAGGGTGACCCACGTCCAGGCCCAGTCACCCACTGTGGAGACGGGTCCCCATGTGAAGTGGCAAGGGGCTGGTGACATCCAAGGCCCCTCCCACCTGAGTTCTGACTGGGGGCCATATCCCAGGCCCAATAGCCCTGGGATGAGGGTGTGTGGCAGGAAGCCCCCAGCGAGGCTGAACCCTGGGGGCAGTTCCAGAAGCCACCTGCCATGCCCAGGCAGCTTCCCCACACCAGGCGGCACACAACCCTTCCTCTGGGATCAGCAGACTATAGGCATGTCATCAGTGTCAGACCACAGGGGCCACACAGAGACCCTGAGGACTCCAGAGACCCAGGCAGGTGGGGCCCAGCCCAGAAAGGCCTGCATGGGCTCACTGGAGACACTGACCACGTCTGTTTTCCTTTCAGCAAAACCCGAGAAAGGGTCCTCAGGACCCAGGTCTGTGCTGGCATCACATGGCGGGAAGACCCTCTGCAAGGGGGACAGGAAGGCCCTTCCCGGCCCACCAGCCCGGTTCCAGCGGCCCATTTGGTCCGCTTCTCCACCTCGTCCTACACCCTGTCCTGGTGGGGCTGTCCATGAGGCCAAGGCCCAGGAACATGTGGGGGCTTCTGGGGAGCCCAGGGCAGCAGACCACTCTCTGGGGGCACCTGGGACTCAGGGCATGCCCAGCCTGGCCCCGGCTCAGGGAGGACCTCGGCGTTCCTGGAGATTCCTGCAGTGGAACTCTATGCTCCAGCTCCCGACGGACCTGGATGTGGGGGGCCCTTGGTTCCCCCATGACGATTTCAAACAGAGCTGCTGGGTCCATGTCCCTTCTAAATGTGTCCTGGACAGCCCCGGGACCATGGGACAGGCCTAGCCCAGGGAGCCCAAGGGGACCCTGACACCGGGCCCAGCCCAGGCCCATCAGGACTAAGAGGGAGGTCGGGAGATAACCCCGCTGCAACATGGGCACCTGCATCTGGTCACCGAAGCCAGGGTGGCACCCCGCCAGCTGCCCTGCAGCCCCAGACACCTGGAAAATCCCATTCAATGGGGAGGCCGGTCCCACCAAGGCCACGAGAGACAGAGAGGTGAGCATGGCAGCCCCGGCCAGCCAGCAGCATGCCCTGGGGCCTCTGTCCCAATCTGCGGGCCTGTGTCCCCCTCCCAGTGCATAATTCCCAGGCAAGAGGGGCCTGGTCTAGACCCCAGCCCTGGGAAGAGAGGGGCACCAGGGGTGTGGTGGGCTCCCAGTTGCAGTCAGTATGACCATGCAGGGGACCCTGGCGCTGCAGAGCTCTGCCACTGTCACAATTCACCTCACAGAAGCCGGGTGAGTCCCGAAGCCTTGCAGCCACTGCTGTAGCCCTTGCAGACACCACGACCAGGTGCCTTCCAGCTGCCAGTGCAGGTTTTCCTGACAGGAGGGCACCCTGCAGCCCTGGCCTCAGCAGCTCAGACTCTGAAGGTATCTGTTATTCATGTTTCCAGTACTCCCACCAAAGAGAATTACTATGGAGGATGATGTTGGTCCTGAGTTGAGCAAAACAGCATGCCCTGTGGATGGAGCCGGCTTCTTTCCAAGCCACCACACTTGCTGGATGGGCCCACGGAGCGAGTGGCCTTGAGACCGGCATGAGGATGGAAGAGGCTCAGCATCCTGCACATGCCCTTTCCAAGGCTCACCAGGCTGACACCACATTTGTGGATGAGAGACTCACACCCAGTCCCTGGGATGGCACAATTTCCCAGGAGGATCAGCTGGCCACCTGCTGGCAGGCTGACCACACTGCGAAGGGGCTGAGATTGGCTTTCACTGCACTGAGCCACAATATGGACATGGACTTGTGGGCCCTGCAGTGCACACAGCATTGCCTCCGAGCAGGACACCCCATTCACAGCTAGGGACAAGCAGCAGTGCGCTTCCACCTCGGGGCCTTGGCTCTGCCACCTCTATTTTGAATGTTCTCAGTTCCCTCCAGGCTACTAGAAGCATCTGGGCCAGGGCTCATGGCTAGATAAGCACCCGAGATCCCAAACAAGCTTCCCATCCTCGTTTTACTTTTTGTTAAACTTATGAAAATTTATTAAGATATGACTTACATCCCTGGTAAGTGCACAGCTCAAAAGACATTCAGAGATGGAACACACCAGCCCCCAGATCACAAAGCCAACCATGCCCAGCCCTTCCCAGCACCCCCAGCCCTGAAACCTGACTTCTGACGACACCATGAGCCTGCCTTTATACTTTACACTCATGGAAGGATAACCATCTTCATGTTGTAAAATAAATGTTTACTGTTGAAATGATTTTACACGTACACCTTCCATCCAGCTGCCCTTAATAAGGACATTTTGCAGTACCATGGCACATAAGAAATTTAGGCCAGGTGTGGTGGCTCATGCCTGTAATCCCAGCAATTTGAGAGGTCGAGGCAGGAGGTTCAGGTTCACTTGAGCCCAGGAGTTTGAGACCAGCCTGGGAAACATAGGTAGACTCTTTCTCTAGAGAAAAGTAAAAGAAATTGCCAGGCGTGGTGGCGTGTGTGTGTAGTCCCACCTAGTCAGGAGGCTGAGGTGGGAAGACTGCTTTAGCAATTGAGTTCCAGGAAGCAGTGAGCTATGATCACAGCACTGCACTCCAGCCTAAGTGACAGAGTGAGACTTTGTCTCTTAAAAAAACAAAATAAGAAATTTAACATGGGTGCAATCCTATTAACTAAATGATAATGTGAACTATTATCTAAGGTTATTAATGCAGTAATTATATGAATAGGGTGAAATTTATTCAGACTTCACCCGTTTTCGCCTAGCTTCTCATACCTGTCCAGGGATCCCACCTCTGACTCACCCTCTGCCTTTAGGTCATGTCTCCTTAGCTTCCTCCAGGTTGTCCAGCCAAACACACACCTGGGCTGAGTGGTAGAGCTGATTGCTCCTGGGCTCCAAACCTCTACAGCATGTTACCATATTGAGTACTGTAGGAAATGGTAACATAATGGTGGCTATCTGTGTATCTAAACACAGAAAAGGATCATAAAAATACAGTATAAACAATACAAAATGGTACACCTCGCCAGCTGTGGTGGTTCATGCCTATAATTCCAGCACTCTGGGAAGCCATAATGGGAGGATCACTTGGGCCCAGGAGTTCAAGACTATCTGGGCAACATAACAAGGCCCCATCTCTTCTTAAATATCAATTTTTAGAGATGGTACACCTGTATAGGATGGATCCATTATAGCCTTATGGGAACCACCATCCTATATGCATTCTGGCATGGACTGAAATGTCGTTATCTGACACATGATCACATAAGTAATCTAGAGATAATTTTAAGCATACAAGAAGATGTGCTTAGGTTATATACAAATACTGCACCATTTTATATCAGGACTTTGGTATCTGTGGGAGATGGGGAAACTGATTCCCCACATACATTGAGGGGCAACTGTAAACATTTCAGGCCCCACAGAAGGCTCAATTCCCTGCACCCCCACCCCGAGGTAAATTCTTTTACTGGAGATTAGTTTGCCTGATGATAACTTCATATAAATGGAATCACACATTATCTATTCTTATAGATATTATTCTTATAGACCTATTCTTATAGGTCTAACTTCTGTCGCTCACACATGAGCTGTGTGAGATTCATTCATGTTGTAGCCACAATTTACTCATTTTCTTTGCTGTATAGTATTCTAGTCTTGAATGTCCCATGGTTTTTTATTTATTCTTCTGTGATGGGTATTTTGGAAGTTTCTACTATGAGGCTATTACAAATTGTGCTGCTATGTGGGTTGTTTTACTTGTATTTTAGTGAAGATATAGACACATCTGTGTAAGGTACACACGAAGGGAGGAAATTGCTAGCTCATGGGAGGCAAATGTTTAGCTTTGGTGAATATTGCCAAATCATTCTAAAGTGTCTGTTCCACTTCACCTGTTCATCTGTGAGCTGGAGCATTCCATCCACAGCTTGGGCTGTCTCAGAAAGACCCGGGTTCAATCCCATTCAGCCACTTAGTAGCTGTGTCCCTTTGGGCAAACCATGTAACTTCTCTGAGTCTCAGGGTCCTCATCTGTAAATTGGGCTGCTGGTGGTCCTTACCTCACAGGGCCACTGTGAGGACTAAGTGAGATGAAAGCTGACTCCCTGAGTGGCACCACTTCTCTCTCCCTCAGACTGAACAGGAAGATGCCTTCACTGCCCAATGCGAAGGCCATGGGGAGGACGCGAGGCCCCAGGGCTCCTCTGTCCCAGGAGCATAAGCCCTGGGTTTTTGTTTCCAGAAACAACCACCCCTGGGGTCAGGATGACTCTCAAGTCCCCACAGCCTGTTCTCCCACCCCACGAAGGCGCATCTTCAGCAGTGGGGAAAGGGCTGCACTGTGCCATCCTCACCCTGGCCACTGTCTGCCCTCATGACTCAGAGCACAGCGAGGTCACCAAGCAGAGCAGTGCAGGGTCCGGCCCCAGCCCTGGGCTCTAGACATCCAAGTCACCCCCACCTGCCCCAACCCTGCCCCCTCCATCCCTCAGCCCCCGCTTGCCACTTTCACAGCTCAGGACATTTTAGCTCCTTACATTTTAGCTCCTTACATGACACCATCATCTGTCTCCTCAAGCGGAGTGCAGCACAAGGGCAGTGAACTCAGTCAGTCTATGGATGTGTCTCTGGTGTCTGGGAGATGAGAAGCTCAATACATACTTGCTCAGTGTCTGCGTGCATTTCATTGAGCAGAAGACAGCTTTGGAAATAAGAAGAGACCCTCCCGAGGTGACAGTGCGTAGCTGGCATTTTCCAGGTATTCTCAGCATGCCAGGCGGTGGGCTGGACCATGGACACGGGAGCTCTGGAGCCCGTGGGGTGCCAGGTTACAGGCCGCGCCTGGACGGAAGTATTGTTTATTTCTTTATTAAAATTTGTACTTTCTGAGTTTATGTAATTAGCAGGTGTTGCCTTTGTGATCAGAAACAGTAAAGGTATAGAAAAAAATGTGTAGAAAAAAGCAGAAAAACAAATCACATCTATAATAAAATCCTTGCTTTTAAATAAAATGTGCAGAGAAGAAAGATGGAAAAGAAACGCAGTGAGCCGGGCATGGTGGCTCACGCCTGTGATCCCAGCACTTTGGGAGGCCACGGCGGGAGGATCGCTTGGGGTCAGGAATTTGAGACCAACATGGTCAACGTGGTGAAACCCCATCTCTAATGAAAAAAAAAAATTAGCAGGGCATGTTGGTGGGCACCTGTAATCCCAGCTACTCGGGAGGCTGAGGCAGGAGAATTGCTTGAACCTGGGAGGTGGAGGTTGCAGTGACCCAAGATTGCACCACTGAACTCTAGCCTAGGCAACAGAGCGAGACTCCGTCTCAAAAGACAAAAACAAAAAAAACCTTAATAATTGTCATCTCTGAGGGCTGGGGATATCAGGAAACTTTGCTTTTCTGTCTAATTTTGTATATGCTCATCTCCAGATTTGAATGTATTCTATTAAATTCCCTTAGCAGCCTCCTCATTAGTCTCTCTGCCCCCATTCCTGCCCGTGCCTGCCGTGCAAAGGCTCCCCTGGCATTGTGCTAGAGAAAGCAGGTTGCTCCTAGAAAAAGTCTCCGTTCTCTATGCCTAGTTAACTTCCGCTTACCCATCAGTACTGTACTCAAGGTCTCCCCAACTACTTTATGGAAGACTTCTGTAGTGGATACTGTGACCTGCCACCCAGACGTCCACTTCAGGATCAGGGCCCTCATTCCCTGGCTGCTAGGAGACTTGGAGGTGGATGCTGGCAGATGAGTCTTACTCTGGGAAATGCCCTGGCTGAACGGAGCTGCCTGGGGACAGTCTACATCCATTGCCTAGTTCATTGGAGCAGGGAGATGGGGTGGGCAATAAAAGCCCAGACCCCTCGCCTCCATTCACTGCAACTTTGAAGGGTCATCTGCCCTCTAGAGCTCCCTGTGGGAGTGGCTGAGACCTCTGTTGCAACTGGAGTGCAGTCACTCTGTCTGGCCAGGCCTGCCAGCTTCACCCTCTCACAGGTGCTGGTCCTGAGGGTACTTCCCAAGGAACTTCCTTAACCAGTGACAACTAGGGTAGATTCCTTAACTATATGCTTTTTCAGGGCACATATCGCCTTTGTAAGTTTTACATCCATTTGTGGTATCTGGCTAATGTCTGCCTGTCCCATCAACTGTAATAGCCACAGAGTGGGAGCTCTATCTGATTTTATTCACCATTGCATTCTGCCATGCTGGCATGCAGTTTAAAAATATTTGTAGAGTGAACAAACAATTTTATTACCCATCTAATCTAATCCCTTAGGAGGCCATCAGCTTTACTTAGGGCTGCAGAATGTCTCATTCATTCATTCAATAAATATTTACAAGGAGAAGCTGGATTCCTACCTCTCAACACCAAAACAATTCCAGATGGTTCAAAGATGGTTATATGTAAGAAAATGAAACCAATAACTTTCTAGAATAAAGATGAGTAAGTTTTAGAAAAAAAATTGGTGGGCCGGGTGGGGTGGCTCACGCCTGTAGTCCCAGCACTTTGGGAGGCCGAGACGGACAGCTCATGAGGTCAAGAGTCCAAGACCAGCCTGGCCAACATGGTGAAACCCAGTCTCTACTAAGAATACAAAAATTAGCCAAGTATGGTGGTGTGTGCCTATAATCCCAGCTACTCAGGAGGCTGAGGCAGGAGAATCTCTTGAACCTGGGAGGCGGAGGTTGCAGTGAGCTGAGATTCTGCCACTGCACTCCAGCCTGGGCAACAGAGCAAGACTTAATCTTGAAAAAGAAAAAAAAAGAAAAAATTTGGAATATTAAGGGCCTTCATAAGCATGACCACATAAAATTCTAAACCTTTATAAAGCGAAAATAAAGATTAATAAGCTGGGCCAGGCCCAGTGGCTCATGCTTATAATCCCAGCACTTTGGGAGGCTGAGGCGGGTGGATCACCGGAGGTCGGGAGTTCAAGACCACCCTGACCAACATGGAAAAACCTTGTCTCTACTAAAAACACAAAATTAGCCGGGCATGATGGCACATGCCTGTAATTCCAGCTACTTGGGAGGCTGAGGCAGGAGAATTGCTTGAATCAGGGAGGCGGAGGTTGCGGTGAGCCAAGATCATGCCATTGTACTCCAGCCTGAGCAACAAGAGCGAAACTCCATCTCAAAACAAACAAACAAAAAAGATTAATAAACTGGCCAGGTATGGTGGCTCATGCCTGTAATGCTAGAACTTTGGGAGATTGAGGCAGAAGGATTGCTTGAGGGACCAGACAGGGCAACAAAGTGAGACCCTGTCTCTACAAAACACACACACAAACAAAAATCAGCAGGTCATAGTGGTGCATACCTGTAGTCCTAGCTACTCGGGAGGCTAAGACAGGGGGATAACTTGAAGCCAGGAGTTCAAGACTGCAGTGAATCATGGTTACACTTGTAAATAACCACTGCACTTCAGCCTGGGCAACATAGAGCCCGTCTATATTTATATTTGAAAAAATAAGACAAGTAAAGAAAAAGCAGCCAATAAGGAATATTTCCAGCTAGGCACAGTAGCTCATGCCTGTAATCTCAGCACGTTAGGAGGCCGAGGTGAGAGCATAGCTTCAGCCTAGGAGTTTGAGAACAGCTTAGGCAATGTAGTGAGACCCCAGCTCTACAAAAAATGCAAAAATTAGCCAGGTGTGGCAGTGTGTGCTTGTAGTCCCAGCTACTCAGGAGGCAGAGGAGGGAGAATCGCTTCAGCCTGGAGGTCCAGGCTGCAGTGAGCTGTGGTCATGCCACTGAACTCCAGCCTAGGTGACAGAGCAAGACCCTGTCTCTAGAAAAAGAAAGTAAAATAAAAAATTTAAATGAAGAGTGTTTGCAATGCCTATATATGACATCTAATATACCAAGAACACTTGCAAATCAAAAGGTTAAAAAGCCTACAGAAAAATGGGCAAAGAATGTGAAAAACTATTGGAAACCTTATTTCTATTCTATGAAATGCAAATTAAAATAATAATACAGTATCACTTTTTCTATAAAATTGACTGAGTTGAATGATTAACAATACCCAGTCTTGGCATGAGTGTAGATAAACAAGAAATTTAATTCACACTTGTTGGCAAAAGTTGTCCTGAACTCTGGAGAGCAGTTTGGCAATGTCTATTAAAGCATTCACTATTTTTGACCTCACAACCCTACTTCTAGGAATTTATTTGTCTAAGGTCATGTTTTTGTACAGTCTGTACAACATAGAGCATTGCCACTTTTATAATTGCAAAAAAGATGCCTGGGCAACATAGTGAGACTCTGTCTCTACAAAAAAAAAAAAAAAAAAAAAAAAAAATAGCCAGGCATGGTGGTGCTCACCTGTGATCCCAGCTATTCAGGAGACAGGAAGAAGGATCACTTGGGCCCAGGAGGTTGAGGCGGCAATGAACTGTCATCATACCACTGCACTCTAGCCTGGGCAACAGAGTGAGATTCTGTCTCAAAAAAAAAAAAAAAAAAAAAAAAAGAAAGAAGAAGAAGAAAAAAGAAAGGGTGGCCAGGTGCAATGGCTCATGCCTATAATCCCAGCACTTGGGGAGGCCAAGGCAGCCAAGGTGGATCAGTTGAGGTTAAGAGTTTGAGACCAGCCTGACCAACATGGTGCAACCCATCTCTATTTAAAAAAAAAAAAATACACACAGAGAAAAATAGCTAGGTGTGGTGGAGGGCACCTGTAATCCCAGCTACTCGGGAAGCTTAGGTGAGAGGGTCACTTGAACTTGGGAGGTGGAGGTTACAGTGAGCTGAGATTGTGCCATGGCACTCCAGCCTGGGCAACAGAGCAAGACTCCCATCTCAAAAGAAAAGAAAAGAGAAGAGAAGAAAAGAAAGAAATAAAAAAGAGATGGAAGGTTTATTAATGCAGATTGTTTAAATACATTGTGATTAATCTATACACTCAAACTCTAAAGATCTATCTTAAAGAACAAGGCACCTCTCTGTGTACCGAAATGCACTCACTGCATGTACATTTGTATTGAAATATAAGCATAAGCAAGTATGTACTCTCTATGTATGTGGAAAGGGTCCATAATACATTAAGAGGAAAAATCATGCGCTAAAGGAGGTATTTCCCATTTTGGAGGCAGGGAGGAAAATCTGGTGTGTGCATGTGTGTGAGAGCAAGTGCATTAGAATATGCACAGAAAACACATCTGCGAACGCATAGTACAAATGCTTACTAATGGAGAGCAGGGGTGCTGGCCAGCTTCTACTCTGTCATGTATTTCCATTGTGTTCAACTTACTGATAATGAGCTCATGTGACTTTTGTAATCCTAGAGAGGGGACAGCATGTGTGAAGGTCTGAAGCTATAGGATGCATTTGGGAAAATACTAAAATTGGCCCCAAAAGGATGGCAGGAAGAGATGAGTCTGGAGAGGAAGGCGGCAGGCAGTTGGCCCAGGTTAGCCCACGCTCTGCCGAGGAGCGTGGGGTTCATCCCGGTGCAGCAGGTTTTCTTTGTCCTCGCTGGCAGCTCCTCTCAGTCTCTGAGGCTGCCTCCTCATCTTCTGCCCACATCCGACTGTGGAAGTTTCTAATCTAATCCCTTAGGAGGCTGTCAACTTTACTTAGTGCTGAAGAATGTCTCATTCACTCAATAAGTATTTACAAGCCCAGTGAGGTGGCTCATGCCTGTAATCCTAACACTTTGGGAGGCCGAGGCAGGCAGATCACTTTCATCTAGGAGTTGAGAGTAGTCTGGGCAACATAGCAAGACCCCATCTCTGCAAAAAATAAAAAATTAGTCAGGCCTGGTGGCATGCACCTGTGGTCCCAGCTACTTGGGAGGCTGAAGTGGGAGGATCACTTGAGCCTGCAAGGTCAAGGCTGCAGTGAGCTGAGATCTTGCCACTGCACTCCAGCCTGGGCAACACAACAAGACCTTGTCTCAAATAAATAAATAAATAAATAAATAAATAAATACTTACAGAGAGAAACTGGATTCCCACAGGCTCAGTCCTGATGAGGGTCAGTCCTGCTTCCTCATCCCTTCTCTGTCTACACTGTCTCCTGTGACATCATCCGTGTTCCTGGTTGTATAAAGCATCTTTGTGTGCCCCTCCTATGTCCTCTCTCCTGCTTGGTCTCCCTCTGAGCACAGACTTGGGGATGTAACTGCCTCCTTGGCACCTTCATCTGATAGACATCTCACATCAAAAACTCAACTCTGGCTTTTAGTCACCCTGCCAACCTGCTTTTGTTCTAATCTTCGTCTCAGTAAACAGTGCCACCGTCCACCCACTTGCCAAGGCCAGACACCTAGGAGTCTTCTTTTTTTAATTTGATTTTAATTTTTGTTTTTTTTTTGGGACAAAGTCTCACTCTGTTACCCAGGCTGGAGTGCCATGGCACGATCTTGGCTCACTGCAACCTCCACTTCCTGGGTTCAAGCAATTCTCGTGCCTCAGCCTCATGAGTGGCTGGGATTACAGGAGTGTGCTGCCACGCCTGACTAATTTTTGAATTTTTAGTAGAGACAAGGTTTGCCATGTCGGCTGTGACTGGTCTCAAATTCCTGGCCTCAAGAGATCCACCCACCTCAGCCTACCAACGTGTTGGGATTACAGGCATGAGCCACTATGCCCAGCCTCTCTAGGAGTCCTCTTGATGTCCCTCTTTTCTTCCCTGCCTCCTGCTCCTCCTTACAATCCATTATCGAGTTTTGCCTGTTTTATCTCCAAAATAGACCTCAACTTGTCCCCTTGTTCCCATGACTCTTGTTACTCCTAGTCCAAAGTGCAGGAATAAACAAAGAGCACTCAAATGAGAACAAGCAAAGTTACTTACTCAGAGTTTGCCACAGAAGGAGGTCAGCAACCATCACCTGCATTTGGCAGAGCCTCAAGGGTAGGGCAAAGTGAGGGAAAGCTCTTTCTTTCTTTTTTTCTTTCTTTCTCTTTCTTTCTTTCTCTCTCTTTCTCTTTCTTTCTGTCTCTCTCTCTCTCCCTCTCTCTCTCTCCTTCTTCCTTCTTTCTTTTCTTTTCTTTTTTTTTTGACAAGGCCTGGCTCTGTTGCTCAGGATGGAGTGCAGTGGCACAAACAGAGCTCACTGCAACCTCTGCCTGCCTCCCAGGCTCAAGCCATTCTCCCACCTTAGCCTCCCGAGTAGCTAGGACTACAGGCATACACCACCATGCTCAGCTAATTTTGTTTATTTTTTTGTAGAGATGAGGTTTCACCATGTTGCTCAGGCTGGTCTTGAACTCCTGGGTTCAAGCAATCCACCCTCTTCGGCCTCCCATAGTGTTGAGATTACAGGTGTGAACCACCATGCCCAGCCTATTTTTTTTTCTTTCCCTCCCCCCCTTCCTTCCTTCCTTCCTTCCTTCCTTCCTTCCTTCCTTCCCTCCCTCCCTCCTCTCTTTCTCTCTCTTTCTTTCTTTCTTTTTCTTTCCTTCTTTCCTTCTTTAGGGAGTTTCACTTTTGTCACCCGGGCTGGAGTGCAATGGCGCGATCTCGGCTCAACGCAACCTCTGCCTCCCGGGTTCATGAGATTCTCCAGCCTCAGCCTCCTGAGTAGCTGGGATTATGGGCATGCGCCACCACTCCTGGCTAATTTTGTATTTTTAGTAGAGATGGGGTTTCTCTATGTTGTTCAGGCTGGTCTTGAACTCCCAACCTCAGGTGATCTGCCCACCTTGGCCTCCCAAAGTGCTGGGATTACAGGCGTGAGCTACCACGCCCAGCCCTATTTTCACTTTCTTTCTTTTCTTTCCTTTTTTTTTTTTTTTTGAGACAGTGTCTCACTCGGTTGCCCAGGGTGGGGTGCAGTGGCATGATCTCAGCTCACTGCAGCCTCTGCCTCCTGGGTTCAAGCAATTCTCCTGCCTCAGCCTCCCAAGTAGCTGGGATCACAGGCACCTGCCACCACGCCCGGCTAATTTTTGTATTTTTAGTAGAGACTGGGTTTCACCATGTTGGCCATGTCAGTTCTGAACTCCTGACCTCAGGTGATCCAACCGCCTCAGCCTCCCAGAGTGTTGGGATTACAGGCGTGAGCCACCACAGTTGGCCTATTTTCACTTTCTTAATAGTGTCTTTGGAAGTGCAAACATTTTGAACTTTGAAGAAGTCTAATTTATCAATTTTATTGTGTTCTATCTATCTATAGATCTATACATACAGACACTTCCTGATTTGCAGTGGTTCAGCCTAACAATTTTTTGACTTTACCATGGTATGAAAGACATATACATGCAGTAGAAATCATACCAAGTAACCATAAAACCATTCTGTTGCCCAGGTGAGGTGGCTCAAACCTGTAATCCCAGCACTTTGGGAGGCCGGAAGCAGGCAGATCACCTGAGGTCAGGAGTTCAAGACCAGCCTGACCAACATGGAGGAACCCCATCTCTACTAAAAATACAAAATAAGCTGGGCATGGTAGTGCATTCCTGTAATCCTAGCTACTCAGGAGGCTGAGACGGGATAATCACTTGAACCTGGGAGACGGAGGTTGTGGTGAGCCGAGATCATGCCATTGCACTCCAGCCTGGGCAACAAGAGCGAAACTCTGTCTTAAAAAAAAAAAACACCACACACACAACAACAACAACAACAACAACAACAACAACAAATCCTGGCTAGCACAGTGAAACACTGTCTCTACTAAAAATATAAAAAATTAGCTGGGCATAGTGGCACCTGCAGTCCCAGCTACTCAGGAGGCTGAGGCAGGAGAATCGCTTGAACCCGGGAGGCAGAGGTTGGGAGGTTGCTGTGAGCTGAGATTATGCCGCTGCACTCCAGCATGGGCAACAGAGCGAGACTTCGTCTCAAAACAAAAACAAAAACAAAAACAAAAAAAGAATAAAACATTCTGTTTTTCACTTTCAGTACAATATTCTATAAATTACGTGAGATATTCACCACTTTATTATAAGACAAGTATGTGTTAGATGATGTGGCCCAACTGTAGGCTAATGTATGTGTTCTGAGCACATTTAAAGTAGGCTAGGCTAAGCTATGATGTTTCATAGGTTGTGCACTAAATGTATTTTTAACCTGATTATTTTCAGCGTACGATGGGTTTGTTGGGATGTAACCCCATCATAAGTAGAGGAGCATCTGCATATAATTTTTTTGTGTGTGCACATATTTTTAAAGTCTTGCTGACAGGATTTGCTAATGAATTAGATTTCGGGTAGTGAAGAATTAAGAATGATTCCAGTGGTTTTGGTCAAGCAAGTGTCTAAGATGGGGGAAGGCTACAGAAGCCAGGAAGTTGGGGATGGGGGATCAGGAGCTCTGTTGTGGATGCACGGAGTTTGAGCTTGTCTGTTAGAAATCCCTGTGGAGATGCTGAAAGGCAGGTGGAATCTGGAGTTCAGAGTCATTTGATAGATTAGGTGGATGGGTGAGGTGGCAGAAGGCCAACAGGGGTGAGAGGGTGGACTGAAAGGAGGAGAGAATTGAGGCCTGCCCGGGGCATCTGCACTTAGAGGTTAGACAATGAGGTAAACCCAGCAGGAAGACGAGGAGTGGCCAGTGAGGTGTAGTTAATCTTCCTGAACGTTAGTTTCCTTGTAATAACTAGGCAGTAGTCATTAATAGTACTTCCCTCATAGCATGATGGTGAGGTTCCTGGAATGTGCACTAAAAGTGCTTAGAGCAGTGCCTTGCACGTAGGAGCTGCTCAGTGCGTGTTAGCTAAAAATGAGAATCTTCTCTAAACCTTCTAAAGAATTGTCAGACCTTGCCTGCTGGCCTTAGTTATCAGGTGAGAGCATCTACAGAGAAACTTGGAGCCCACCTCAGCCAGGTGGCCTGGGCACTGTAGGATGCCAGCTGCTCAGGGGGAAGACTACTGCCCACAGCCTGGCACCATCAGGCTGGCCAAGACACATCACCAAGCCAGCAGGTTTGTGCAACAGACTTGGCTTCCAAAAGGGAGGCCCTGAAGGCCCAGAGACCCTCAGGGATAGGGCCTGGCTGAAGACTGTGGTTAAGGAGGTGAGAATTTCGAGTCTGGTAATTCTTCTATTAAACAGAAATGTGACTTCATACTCCTGAGCCTCGAAGCCTGGACTTAAATATTAATCCCCAGTGGGTGAGGCTGTGTACCAGGTCTAGCTACATAATTTGCAGACCCCACTGAAAAAGCAAATGTGGATCTCTTGGTCATGTGTCATGAGGAATGTAAAGGCAGTTATAGCAGAGCATTAAACCAAGTGTGGGGCCCTTAGCACCAGGGCCCTCTGTGACTGCACAGGTCATAGGCCCATGCAGCTGGCCCTGTCTGGCCCTGTCTTGTTTCCATCCACAACGATGGGGGAGGACAGAGTCTGGAAGGTTGAAGAGGGAGGCACTAGACACTCGTGGGTAGAGAGAGCGCTCTGGGTGCAGTGTGAAGAGTGGGTCACGGTGAGCAGGGGTGCTCGGGGCTGTTGGAGCTCCATGCTGAGATGGGATAAGGTCTGCCCAGATGGGTGGGGAAGGAATGGGAGAGGAGCGGGACCCTCTCTCTGGGGAGGTTGCCCTGCAGCTTTCTGGCCCTCCCTGTTTCCTGCTCAGTTTTTTTGCCTTCTCCTTGGGAATTCTCCTGGGACTGCCATTCTGGGATATGCATTTTTGTTTGTTTGTTTGTTTGTTTGTTTTTGTTTTTTTGTTTTTGTTTTTTTTGAGACAGTTTCACTCTTGTCGCCCAGGGTGGAGTGCAATGGCATGATCTCGGCTCACTGCAACCTCTGCCTCCTGCGTTCAGGCGATTCTCCTGCCTCACCCTCTGGAGTAGCTAGGATTACAGTTGTGCACCCCCACGCTCAGCTAATTTTGTATTTTTAGTAGAGATGGAGTTTCACCATGTTGTTCAGGCTGGTCTCGAACTCCTGATCTCAATTGATCCACCCTCCTCGGCCTTCCAAAGTGTAGGCATGAGCCACCAGGCCCAGCATGTTCTTTTATTCCACTCCCTTTGGTAGAGAGGGAAGCTTCCCCACTGGTGTGGGGGCTGAGAGCAGATTTCCCCCACTGACAGAAACGTAGACACCACAACCCCTCCCTCATGGCACCATTGCTATCCCTTCAGGAACTGCGGCTTGGGATGTCCTGTTGAGTCACATCACACCCAGCCTCTCACTGGCATTGACTGTCTATGACATTCAAAGGCAGAAAAAGTACAATATGACTTTATTTCTTAATTTAATTTAATGTTCATGAAGCAAGGATTGAACAATAGAACTTAACAAAAGTTTTAGACAACCTCTGTCTTATTTATTAATTATTTTTTATTTTTCAGATTGGGTCTCACTGTGTTGCTCAGGCTGTAGCACAGTGGTGCGATCTCTGCTCACTGCAACCTCCACCTCCTGCCTCAGCCTCCTGAGTAGCTGGGACCACAGGCGGGCACCACCACGCCTGGCTAATTTTTTATATTTTTGGTAGAGATGGGGTTTCATCATGGTACTCAGGCTGGTCTTCAACTCCCGAGCTCAAGTGATTTGCCGCCTTGGCCTCCCAAAGTGCTGGCATTACAGGTTTGCAACACTGAGGCTGGCCAATACAACTTTTTTTTTCTTTTTTGAGACGGAGTTTCACTCTTGTTGCCCAGGCTAGAGTGCAGTGGCATGATCTTGGCTCACTGCAACCTCCACCTCCCAGCTCAAGGCATCCTGCCACCTCAGCCTCCTGAGTAATGGGGACCATAAGCATGCACCACCACGCCCGGCTAATTTTTTGTATTTTTAGTAGAGATGGGGTTTCACCATGTTGCCCAAGGGTCTCGAACTCCTGGGCTCAAGTGATCCTCCCACCTAGGCATCCCAAAGTGCTGGGATTACAGGCATGAGCCACTGTGCCTGGGCAACAATTTTAAAGAAAAAAATAATAAGAACGGTGTCACCAAAACTTTGGCATAAGGAACCTAGATACTGAGCAACTAAGCATTCCTCTCAGATGCCCAGGGCACAGGGAACAGATGAGGCATTTCAATCTCCATGAAATGGGGAGCATAGCTGCAGGAAGGGCAATCATCATAAGCCCTAGTGTCTTTAGTTTACCCCTCCCCGCCTAGGCACTTAACCACCCACCCACATCACTCCAGTCCCACCTGTCCAGGGGAACAAGAATGTCAGAAGACAAGAAACGATTCTTGAATGGTGGAATTTCAGGCACCATGGTTATCATAATATGTGTTGTGTTCATGGGTGCGTGATGGCGGCAGAGGGATCTTTGTCTCCTACCGGGGACGAGATTAGTGTTGCCTCTACTTACCATAAAATGGGTCCTCCCAGGATATTAAATCCAGCTTGTGAAAGATCTCTGTGTTAAATTGACCCACTCAATTCAATGATGAACCGCAAGCTTTTTGGAGCACTGTGATATGTGAGTGGGGCCCTTTCTGCAAAGAGCTCACAGGCCAGTGCAAGAGTAAGAAAGCAGAGAGTTTTGAGGCAGGAGTGTCCCCTGACACTGAGGACAAGCATGGGAGACTTTGGTGGCTTGGAAGAAATGAGCTGGGCCAGCCTGGAGGTGAGGGAGGGTTTCCAAGAAGAGGTGACTTCTGAGTCCTGAGTGGTATATCGCTATGTAGGAGTGAAAGTGGTGGTGGTCTCCAGGCAAAGAGCGATTTCAAGGTCAATTGGCTTGTGATTGGAGCACCTTCTGCTCGGACTCTGGATCCCACGACTCGAGCAGATTCGAGGCCTCCATTTCAGCGAGTATCCTGCTTTTCTCTGCACTACCATTTTATCCCTTTTATTCTCATTTGCACACAAACATGTTCTAGTATCTCCCTTCAAGAAAGAAAGAAGGAAGGCAAGACAGAGGAAGGGAGGAAGGATGGGAGGAAGGAAGGAAGGAGGGAAGGAAGGAAGGAAGGAAAGAAAGAAAGAGGCGGGGAGAGAGAGGGAGGGAGGAGGGAGGGAGCGGACCTCTCTATCAGTTAGGGTCCTGGCAGGAATCATAATCGGCTCAGATGGCTCAACTGATGTCAAAGAGGTCTAGGCTATGTTTCTGGTTATTCTATGAATAAAACCCACTGAGCTAATACTGATTACCTTTTGACTACCACTGTGGCATTCAAGCAAGCTGATATAGGTGAAAGGACTTCAAAGAGTTTAAAAAACAATGGTACAACAGAAAATCAACTCAATCAATGAATGATCATCATCATGACTTATATCACAGATGTGAAAGTATCTCATGGCATTCAGATCCCAGGAATTTTTGTTCCTGGACTCAAACACTTGCTGCATTTCCTGCAGGCAGGCAACAGAGCAAGGGCATTGAAAACATGAATTCGGCTTCAATGAATTTATCTGGAATGGTGCAATCGGAACATCTAGAAAGAGACTGTTTTCATTTCACCATACATTTAGATTTCGTGTTTTGTGGTTTTTAGTGTTATTTTTATTTTGACTCATATTTGTGGGAATAGATGCCATAATCCCTTCAATGCTTTGACCCTGGAAAGGACATTACGTCATCCTTCATTTCTAGTCACTCCTCATCCCCTTCCAAACAACCTGCCAGAAACAGCTGCCAGCCCTCAACTCACTGCCCCAATCTGTGTGCATCACCTCTTTCTGTAGCCTGTGATCATTGGGAAGCTTCTGGAAAATAATATCCTAGCTATGGAAATGATTGGCACTGTTCCAGTGTGCTTACTCATGCAGGGCTCAGAGGCTGGGGGCTTTCTGTGTATTGCTCACTTAATCTCTGTGACAACCCTACTCAGGCAATTTTCAGATAAGAACCCTGAGGCTCAGAGAGATAAAGTGACTTGGTTAAGGTCACATTGCAAAGGAGGGTTAGAAATGAAATTTAAACAATTTCCGCTTCTGCAGCCCTGGCCTTTAAACCATTCTTCATGCTGCTGCCTCATGGAGGCTGGAACCAGAGGGGGCAAAGAGATGACCTCATTCTGAGTCTTCACTTTATGGAATTATATGTCAATAATACGAGACCTCATCAACTCCCAAATCCAGGTTGCCAGATCCTCTGTTCATATTTCACATATATGTGTAATATATGTGACTATAAATTTAATAGGAAAGGAAGTTTCCTTTAAAAGACCCAGTAGAATATTTAGGTGCCTATGAGGAAATTCAGTCTTGCAAAAGTAAAACAGTGGAACTTCTTTTTTTGTGTTGGTTTTTTTTGTTTGTTTTGAGACAGGGTCTCACTCTGTCACCTGGGCTGGAGTGCAGTGGCATGAACGTGGCTCATTGCAGCCTCAACTTACCAGGCTCAAGTGGTCTCCTGCCTCAGTCTCCCAAGTAGCTGGGACCACAGGCACATGCCACCATGCCTGGCTAATTTTTGTATTTTTTTGTAGAGATGGGGTTTTGCCATGTTGCCCAGGCTGATCTTGAACTCCTGGGCTCAAGAGATCCTCCTGCCTTGGTCTCCCAAAGTGTTGGGATTACAGATGTGAGCCACTGTGCCCGGCCAAGCACAGACAACTCTTCCAAGACGTCTTGCTATAAACGTAAGCAGAGAAAGGGCAGAAGCTGGAAGGGGATTTGGGGATGAGGGAAGGTGTGCTGGCCATTATCCCATCCAAGGTCCATTCACTGTCCATTTGGGTCCCACTCTGGGCCCCGGGGGAGAGAGACCCTTTTGCACTGCATTACTGGGGCTCTTCTGGTTAGAACACTTCCATATGGGTTCAGCCAAGGGGAAGCAAAGGCAGGAGAACTGAAGGCTGGAGGAAAGAGAGAGCAGGTGTTCTGCCCATCCCTCTCTGCTTCAGTGCCCTGTCTCGGGCAGGAGCTGTGTCCCCCTCCATGCCTGCAGTTCCTTCCAGGCTGCCCTTTTCTCAATGGCTCCTGGAATGCTATTTCTTCCCTTGGTCCTTTCTGGGCCAGGAGTTGTCACCCTACAAACCTTCATTTGTCTCTGGGTGCTGCAACATCCTTGTTTGTTCCCTTAACTTTGTTAGTAGCCTCTTTGAATCAGTTGAACCAACTGAGAGAATCCTGATTTCTGCCAGGACCCTAACTGATAGAGTGGTCCCTCCCTCCCTCCCTCCCTTCCTTCCTTCCCTCCCTCCCTTAAGGGAGATACTAGAATATGTTTGTGTGCAAATCAGAATAACAGGGCAGATGGCTGGGTGCAGTGGTTTATGCCTGTAATCCCAGCATTTTGGGAGGCTGAGGTGGGCAGGTCGCTTGAGGCCGGAAGTTTGAGACCAGCCTGGCCAACATGGTGAAACCCCATCTCTACTAAAAATACAATTAGCCAGGCATGATGGCAACATGCTTGTAATCCTAGCTACTCGAGAGGCTGAGGCAGGAGAATTGCTTGAGTCTGGGAGGCGGAGGTTGCAGTGAGCCAAGATAGCACCACTGCACTCCAGCCTGGGTGACACAGCAAGACTCTGTCTCAAAAAAAAAAAAAAAGAATAACAGAGCAGAAAGGGAGAAAATGATGATGCAGAGAAAAGCAGGATACTCACTGGATCAAAGGCCTTGAGCCTGCTCGAGGGCCTGGGATCCACAGTCCCAGCAGATAGACATTGCCTTAGACTCCAGCAGGATGCCTCTTCGGCGGTTGCAGGAGGAAAGGCAGGAAGCCTGGGCGCAGGGGCAGGAGGGTTGATAGATCTGGCCTGAGGGCTTTGAGTTTCTCAAAGGAGGGCGAGCCATGCCCATCAGCTGAGGAGTGCAGGGGAGTTTGTGCAGATAGAAGACAGTATGAAACAGCCATCTCAGGGAACTGGAAAACTTTCTAGGAAAGGTTGGTGGGATTGCCAGGTATGAGGAATGCCAATTTGAGGTTTGTGGTCACAAATTTACTTATTTATTTTTATTTTGTTATTATTATTTTTTGAGACAGAGTCTCGCTCTTGTTGCCCAGGCTGGAGAGCAGTGGCACAATCTCAGCTCACTGCAGCCTCTGCCTCCCGGGTTTAAGAGATTCCCCTGTCTCAGCCTCCTCAGTAGCTGGGATTACAGACGTCTGCTACCATGCCCAGCTAATTTTTGTATTTTTAGTAGAAACGGGGTTTCTCCATGTTGGTCAGGCTGGTCTTGAACTCCTGACCTCAGGTGATCCGCCCTCCTTGGCCTCCCAAAGTGCTGGAATTACAGGCGTGAGCCGTGCACCTGGCTGGATCATGAATTTAAAGAGCAACCCGTCAACAGTGCTGTGCGCTTTTCTCCAGCACCTGCAGCTGCTCTGGCACCGGCCTGAAGAAGGTGAGGGTTAGGTTTTGGAAGAGTTGGGACTTAGCCAGGTTTACGTGATGGACAGAGAGGGGCAGGTTTATTGAGGGTTTCAGCCGGGGAGTGACAGTCATGGTGGAGCGTGGGATCTACTCGGGGTTAGAAGGGAAGCAAGCACATGAGTGGGTGACAGTGAAAAAGGTGATACTGAAAGAGGATTGGAGGCTCTGATGAAGCATGGCATGGAGGGGGAGCTAGAGCCTGTGATAACTGAGTTGAAGTGATTGGGAGAAGACTGCAAGAAACAGCAAGTGAGGGAGCACAGGGTGTACCCTGATGGTATCAGCTGGGCAAGGGTTTTGAAAGCAGAGGAGGAGAAATGGCTCAGAAAGTAACTGAATGAAAAGAGGGCACCCACATCCCCTCCTGGCCTTCCCAGGACGTTTCTCCCTACGTCTCCCAGAGCAGTTCTGTCTCTTGCCAGGTTGCCTGAAAAAGCCCACAACAACTTGGGTGGCTTCAGTTTTAGGCCAAATCAGGCCATTTTTCAACTTTGTTTCTCCTTACAGCCTGATCCACAGCCTGGTTCTGACTGCACTGCACAGGTGGTAGTAATGTGTCTTCTAGGACGGGCACACGGGAGTCAGATCTCTAGACAGAAGGCCTGGTTTCTTCTCCTGTAAACTGCATTCCCTCCCTCATTTGTTTATTCAAACATGTGTTAAGCACTACTGCATGCCAGTCCTATTTGCTTTATTTTCTTTACCTCTCTCAGCCACCCTGAGGGGAGGGATTATTTTTTATTTATTTTCATTTTTATTTTGTAGAGACAGGGTCTCACCATGTTGTCCAGCGTTGTCTCGAACTCCTGGGCTCAAGTAATGGGGGGAGGATTATTACGCTCATTTTTACAAATGAGGAAATAAAACTCAGAGAGCTGAAAAATTTGCCAAGGTCATATTGGGTCTATCTGAGTCCAAGGAGACTCACTATCCAGATAGGGAAAGAATCAGGTAGGGAAATAATAAAACATAAGTCGTTGTGCAAAGTTTTAAGGGAACATGGAAGTTAGAGAGATTACTCCTGTTATGGGAGAAGAGGTGGGGTGCATGTGAGTTAGACTTCCAGGATTAGTAGAAATTTACATATGGAGCTGGAGAGGAAGGACTGCAGGCAGAAGTGATAGCCTGAGCAAAGACATCATGACATGAAACTCCATGGTGTGACCAAGATTGTTGAGTTAAAGGCAGAGACAAGATTGTCTATAGGCCTGGGGTTCATGAACAGCCTCAAGGAGATGGTCCACAAACCCCCAGACATTTGATCTCAGTTGTGGGTGTCTTTTTTTTTTTTTCTAGAGAGAGGCTTTTTATTTTCATCGATTCTTCAAACCGGGACATTCACTCAAAACAGCCTTGGGTAGCAGATAAGCTTGGAGACATCAGCAGGGCCCGGGAACACAGGACCTTGTAGCCCTGGTTCAAGAATTCATACTTCACTCTGAGGCCAACAAGGAACCCATGGTGTTTTCTAGCTGGGAGAAAGCACCCACCTTAAGCACCCTTTCTAGCCTTAGGAAGACAACACAGTTTACTGTGAGCTGAAATAGATGGAAAGTTCTTCTATAAACTAGAACACAATCTACTGTTTACTGCCGTATCCCTAGAGTTGGGCACAGTGCTGAGCACATATTGGGGGTTCAGTAGATATTTGTTGAATGAATGAATGAATGTGCACAGGTGTACATCATAACAATAAAAAGAATGTATATCTCCAGGGTGGCTCCGTGCATTTCTTGACTGATTTAACTGAAGGTGAAATCCACGAACCATAAACTCTAGAGCTTCAGGCTCTAACAGAAACCTACTGAGTCCTGAGATGATGCTAGGAGTGGCGGGGCAGGGGTGGGTAGGGGAGAGTGGGTTTGGCACCTGAGGGTGTGGTTACACCTGGCTGCAGGATAGGGCTCTTCCCAAAGTGCCCTTTGGCGTCTTTGGAGGAGTGGAGGCTACACGGTCAGGATGGCCGGAATTCTTCTTTTCCTCCTTCGACATTAAATCCATCTGCTTGTCCTGTTGACTCTGTCTCCAAAACATGTCCTCTATCCCCTCTATTTCCTCCCTCTCCTCCACTCTCACCCGGTTCCTGCTCCCCACCTGGCCTGGGCCACCGCAGCTGTCTCAAAACCAGAGCCATGGCTGTGCCCTTGCCTCCCTACCATTGGCTCTCCATGTGGCAGCCTGAGGGATCTTTAAAACTCTCCACCTGAAAAGAACGTGACTTTCTTAGAGTACCGTGTTTCTAAAAATTTAATCTATTTTTGGGTCATGTGGGAATTTTGCTAAGATGCAGTTTGTGATTCAGTTATCTGGGGTTGGGCTCAAGACTGCGTTTCTAATAAGCTCCCAGGCCATACAGTTGCTGCTGCTCCTGGACCGCATTAGGAGTAACAAAGGCTTGGAGAAAAACCCAAACTTCCTTCCCATGTCCCACTTTATCTGGCCCCTGCATAGCTCTCCCACATCATCTCCAGCCCTTGCTCCTCTCCCTCATCTTGCTATGGCTTCTCTGGCCTTCACTTTGTTCCTGGAGTATGCCAAGCTGCTCCTACCTCAGGGCCTTTGCACATGATGTTCCCACTGCCTGGAGTGCTCCTTTCCTGGAACATTCCACATGGCTTGCTTTTCCTTATTTACATCTTAGTTCAATGGTCAGATAATAATTCTCTGTCCACTTCACCTAGTGAAGTACCTTAGCCACCAGAGACTCTCGGCTATTTGCTTTCTTCTTCTTCTGCGTAGCACTTATGATTCTCAGTTTATTTTGGTAATATATTTGTTGACATTCATTTCCTGTCCTTCCCTTCATGTATGTTCCACAGGGATAAGGACTCGGCTTCCTTCGCTTTGAGCCTACCCCAGAGCCTGGCGCATGCTAAGTGTCCTCTTCATGTTTCTTGGGCCTGTGCATGAAAATGCTCCCACCGCTGCTGTTGGTGTTTGGATGCAGACAAGCTCGGAAAAGCAATGAAGGGACCCGAGACAGAGGAGAGGAAGGAGAGAGTAAGCAAACTTTCTCTACTGAGGTGCCTCAGAAAAAGCCTCAAGAACCTGGAGATGATGCTGAAACCCTGAATCAACACATAATAGATCAATTCATCTAACTAGAAGAGATTCATTCTGGAAGGTGAGGAAGAAAGTAATGCATAGTTCAATGAGTTAAGCATTTGGAACAGTTTCAGTAGACATACAGTAAATATTTATCAAATAAATAAATATGCCGAACCCTTATTTTATGACCATTACTTTGTGTTATATAATCTGTTCATCCTCATAAAACATTATCACCATCTTGCAAATAAGAAGCTGTGCTACCAGATTAGGAGATTTGCCCGAGGTCATATAAGACTCGTCAAAGGTCATACAGCGATTCAGAGACAGAGCTGACTACCCTACTCTCTAAAACAGCTCTATTCGAAGTTGTAAAGGCCATATTCCCTGTCCCCTTCCCTGCAGTGCCATACCACCTGTTACCACTGACACACTGTGCATTTATCTGCTTGTCTGTTTCCTCTCACCACAGCATAAATTCCCTAAGGGTAAGAATCTTCATTTTGTTCACTACCCTTTTCCAGAGCCCAGAACAGGGCCTGCCATGTAAGTGGCACTTCATGAATGCTTACTGAATGTTAAAAGGATGAATGAAGGGATTATTTAAAAATCCTTATTTCGGCCAGGTGCCATGGCTCATGCCTGTAATCCTAGCACTTTTGGGAGAGTGAGGCCAAGAACAGGAGTTTGAGACCAGTCTACATGACACAGCAAGACCCTGTCCCTACAAAAAATTTAAAAATTAGTCAGATGCGGTGGCAGGCACCTGTAGTCCCAGCTACTCAGGAGGCTGAGGCAGGAGGATGGCTTGAGCCCAGGACTTTTGAGGCTGCAGTGAGCTTTCTCGCACCACTGCACTCCAACCTGGGCAACAGAGCAAATCCCTGTCTCTTAAAAACAAAAAACAAAAACAAAAAAGTTTCTCCACCTCTGAGGGGCAGTTCTGTAAACTTGTGGCTGACAGATGACTCAAATCCAGGCAAGAAGGCTGGAGGCCATCTGTGAGGAAGGAAAACTGTGGCCTGCTGAATGCTCTGGATAATCAGAGGGAAGACTGTATCCACAGAGGACAGACTCGCTGCATGGAACCTGGCGGGAGAGTAACCAGGGAGCTGGCATTTGTCCAGTCTCAGGCTCTGACATCACCCCTGTGGTGACATGGGTGGGCATGAATGCCACAAGCTGGCAGTGGCTCTTCTCAGGATGTGGCTTCCCACATAAAGTGGCCCTAGAGGGAGAATGTGATGACCAGGTCCCTGTGGCAATAACAAGTTTGATGTAAGTGCATAAATAGGCACTTACCAGAACATTTCTTGTGAGCCAGGCATGGTAGTTCACGCCTATAATCCCAGCACTTCAGGAGGCTGAAGGGGAAGGATTGCTTGAGCCCGAGAGTTTGAGACCAGCAGCCTGGGCAACGTAGAGAGACTCCATTTCTAAAAAAAAGGAAAAAAAAAAAAAAGTTAACGTTAGCCGGGCATGGTGGCACACTCCTATAGTCCCAGCTACTTGGGAAGCTGGGGTGGGAGGATCGCCTGAGTCTGGGAGGTCGAGGCTGCACTGAGCCATGATCATGCTACTGTACTCCAGCCTGAGTGACAGAGCAAGACCCTGTTTCAAAAAAAAAAAAATCTTTTGTGAATTGTGTTAGAATGAGTGAGTCGTTCAAGCCTGGCAGCTCTGGCTGCTGGACAGAGGCTCTGAACCAGCCAGGTTGGGTTGTGGATAGTCCCTTGAGATAGTTCTCTGCCCACTGACCTTCCTCTGTGCCTAGGCTTCTCAAAGTATAGACTTGCGACTGGGCTCAGACTAACCACATCAGTACCACCTGAGAACCTGATAGAAATGCAGATTCTCCTGCCCTGTCCTCTGATCTACAAAATTAGAAACTATAGAGGTGAGCTCCATGGTTCTGGGAATTAACAAGCCCTCCAAGTGATTCTGATGCATGTTCAAGTTTGAGAACCACAACTAGTTTCCCTTTCATAATAGTTACTACTTTGCAAGGAGTCGGATGGGGTTAAGGTAACAGGTTGAGAAATTCATAATATCGTGCAGGCGGTCTTTTTATAAGTTGAGTGAGGACTGGATCAATGACTCTCAATGGGAAAGGCCAGGGGTTAGGGAGGAACCTCCTTGCATTTGGAAAATCTCGAGGAGGGGTTAATTTGCAAAAACAAGTTTTAAAGTTATAGTTTTGCTTCCTAGACCTGATTTTTAAAAATTTATTATTTTTTTTAGAGACAGGGTCTTGTCACATTGCCCAGGCTGGTCTCGAACTCCTGGCTTTAAGTGATCCTTCCCCCTTGGCCTCTCAAAAGTGCTGGCATTACAGGCATGAGCCACGGTGCCCAGCCCTTAATTTATTTCGAAGGCTGGTGTAATATAAACATTAAAGGAAGGTGTAATACAAACTGCCATCCATTATTGATTGTTTTAGTGTCTACAAGGTTTGGATCCCACCTCCTGTCCAATTCTCATCCTCAAACACAAAAACAAAACCAAAAAAACAACTGTCTATCTACACACACACACACACCCTCGGCTGGCCTGAGAGGTAAAAGAAACATCCCATAGGACCTGCTGAAAGAGCTCCTGAGGCACGCTGGAGCCTTTCTTGTGTGCCATGCACTGTATCTGGCACTATAAAGAGGGTACAATAGCTAGTGGCTTCTGCAATCAAGCAGCTTACAAGAGAAAATTGAGAGGGGAGACATTTTTTCTGGTTGACAGATGTCGAAAGCATGAAGGTGTGGGAGCTTTGATCAGAGACTTGGTTTTTCAGTTTTGCCAGATAATAGAACGCATGGGGTGAACTAATGGGAGAGGAGGGTGAACAGATGGGCAAGGCTTGATTGCTGGGTTAGGAGGCACAGAAATGCACAGAGGACAAAGGACTACCAGTCCTTGGCAGTACTGTACTGCTCCATGGCCACTACCTGGGTCCAGGGCCACATTCAGATCTGAGGTTAGATAGTAAGAATTGCTAACATTTATCCAGCGACCACATGTGCCAGTAATCAATCTAGGTGCTGTACATGTATTAACTGATTCTTCATAGGAACCCTATTAAAGAGTTATTTGATGAGGAGAGTCGGGCATTCACTGGAAATCGAACGTGCCCAAAGTCTCACCCTAGACCGTGGTGGAGTCAGAATTTGAATCCTGGCCACTTGCTCCGAAGCCACCGACAATTCAGTGTGCTGTCCCCCGTGTCTGGGCTGGCTTGGTGGGCTGGGAATGGCGGGGGAATGGGACACTTATTTTGGCAGGTAAATGTGGTTCAGAAGAAAGCTCTTCGTCTTTCTCCAAGCCTGAGCAATCGTTTTGGCGCAGGCAGTCCAGAGTAGAGCGCTTTGTGAGCCAGCTACAGAAGTGCTGTAAGCCCCTTCCCACTAGATGGCAGCCCCTAAACCCACATACAAATCCTGGAACCTCCCTGGTCCCCATCTTCCAGGGCTGGGCTGCAGCTGAGGAACTGCGGGACGCACACCCGCCGGGCGTCCAGGGGGCGCCGCCCCATCCGGGGGTCGCGGGAAGCTCCTAGGCCGGGTGGGGGACGGAGGCGGACGGGGAGACGCTGCTCCCCCGACTCTCGGCGCCTGGGGGAGGAGCTGGCGCGGAGCAGCTCCACCCGGGGCTCCCGGTTGGGGCCGGCCCTCACCGCCTGCCTCGCCGCGGCCGCCGGGAGGGGAGGGGAGAGGAGGGCAGGGAGGGCGGCGCGGGCGCGGTCCGGGGCCCCGAGGGCGGAGGCCGGCGGCAGGTGCGCGGCGTGGACTACAAGTCCCAGCATGCCCGGCCGCCCTGACCCAGCCCCCGCCGCCGCTTAAAGGCTCCGGGAGCCGCAGCCGTCGGGTCGCCGCGGCTTTCGCTTTGCTGCCGCGGCTGGGAGGGTGGAAGCGGCAGACTCAGCGGCCGGCTCTACCGGCGTCCCGGCTCGGGCAGCGCCGAGGGGCGCTCCTGGTCCAGCTCTCCTGGCTCGGGGGTTCCTTGCCGAGGCGCCCGCGCCCCGGGCTCCCAGCCTCGGCCGCCGCGGCCCCGATGCCGAGGCATGGATAGAGCAGCGCTGCGCGCGGCGGCGATGGGAGAGAAGAAGGAGGGCGGTGGCGGGGGGGATGCGGCGGCCGCGGAGGGAGGCGCAGGGGCCGCGGCCAGCCGGGCGCTGCAGCAGTGCGGGCAGCTCCAGAAGCTCATCGACATCTCCATCGGCAGCCTGCGCGGGCTGCGCACCAAGTGCGCTGTGTCCAACGACCTCACCCAGCAGGAGATACGGACCCTGGAGGTAAGTGGGTCGGGGACCAGGCTGGGCTCGAGGAGCGGGCCCGGACACCTCCCTCCGGGCCCCAGTACTCCTGGCCGAGTTGCATCCTTGAGCCCGCGTCGCCCCCCTTGGAGGCTTCCCCTCCCTCCTGCACTCGCTGATGCGGCAGCCGGAGGACCCGGGACCAGCCCTCATCTTGGGCAGGATTTGTGGGGCGGGTGCGTCGTGGGAACTGGGATGGAGGCTCGAGGGGCCCGTGCGGGGTGGGCTGCGCGCGGACATCCCCTTTCCCCCCTTCTCCGCCCCCACCCCATTTCCAGTTTGCGGGGCCGCAGGACTCGTTGTCCCACCGAGTCACAAGCTGGACTTTTCCCCGTGTGACTGAGCCGAGCACCCGTGGGCCAGGGTGACGGAGGAGGTTCCCCTGAAGCGTGATCGCAGGCCTGCCGTCCCCTGTTCCCCTCACGCCCCAGACGCCGTCCTGTCCCTTCCTTTCCTCTCCTCTCAGGTCTTGTCTGCCGCCTTTTCAAAAAGTGTTGCTGAAACTGCATTTTTGTTATTCAGGCGTTTGGTGCTTTCCTTTCACGTTGCCACGGAGGCTCGCTGCTTAAAATGTATTAATAATTACCCGCTGACTCCCCCTGCTTCCCCCCAAAGATTGGATTTAGGCTTAGGAAGGATTATGCTGGGAAGCAAGCCTTTGGTGGGAAGATGAAACTGTTTAAAGGGTTCTGATGGAGACAGTCTGGAGTGTAAAGAAGAAATAAGATATGCGGGCCTTCCTCTCTCAAATTATAGCTGGGGAAGTATCTGAAGGATTTGGAAAAACCAGCCCGAGGGTTGTTGGGGCACCCTGTCCATACACAAATGAGGGCAACTAGTGGATTCTGAATGTGATTTTGGCCAGGGACGGGGCGGTGAAACGTCAGACCAGTTAATAGCTGCCCCGTCTTGAAGAAGGAACCTCTCACCATCTTGCCCTGCCACATCTGGCCTCCTGCAGGTCTGGGGATGTTTTGTTTTATTAGATCCTCAATTTCTCCTCCCCCAAACCCTCCCCCCGCCCCTTATTGCTAATTGCCTCTGCCAGCTGTCATAAGGCCCTCTGTGATCGCGGTAATTATTACAAGACCAATCCTTCCTCCAGGCATGCCACAAAGCCGAATCCTTGTTTGATTCCAAATGCTCGGGGGTGACTCTCCCTCAGTTTTATTTTCTTAAAAGCTATAAAACCACAGGACATTGGAAGAATACAGTCAGTGCTGGGTATTATTATTTTTTATTACAGTTGGCTAAAGCTGTACTGACCAAGGCTTTGCTTAAAAAACAAACAAAACCCCCTACAACTGGCCTTTCTGCATGCATGCTGCAGTTTTCCAAGTATTGAGAGAAACTGATTTTTTGAACACAGCTGAGTGTGTTTGCTCAGCAAAGTTCAGTTTTTAAGCTGACAACAATAGGGGGCCTGTGAGGCTCAGTTCCGGGAGGAGGGGTCGCTGTCTGGCAGAGTGTGCGTGGTTGGACTTCGGTGTTGCTGGGCTTGGAGAATGCTCTCTGTGTTGGCCTCTGTGGGATTGTCCCCACGTTGCTCTGAAGTGCTCCTGGCTTCCAGAGTGTGTATATAGGAGAACCACTTGCTGTGCATTCTCTGGAATGGCCTTTTGTCCTACCCTAACTTCCGGAGTCCCTCATTTTGATGGCAGTGTGGCGTTCATGACACCCCAGAGCATCCAGCTATTTAAGTGTTGGAGCTGGTTTATTCAGTGGCTTCCCTCCTGAGTGTTTGTTTAGACGATCATCCCTGGCAGCAGAGAACCCATCCAAAGGCCCACAGGGGATCTGCAGCTCCCTGTTCTTCCCACCGTGATGTGGATTCGGGTTCACTCCACTTCCTGAAAAGGCAGGGCCTGGGTTGTTTTGGGGGATGGGAATTTAGACCCCTGGAGTGAGTTCCATGGGGCTGCCACCAGCTAGTTTAGATGAGTCACTTCATCCCGGAGGCCTCAGCCTCCTCACCTGCAAAACAAGGAGGCTGGAGTGGATCTCTGAGGGCTCTGGAAGCTCGAAATTCTCTAGGTTAGAGAAGGAGACTTGGTTGGGTGAAATCAAATGTTTGTGATTGTTTTTATACTACCCTGGTTTAAGAATAACCCTCTTTAAGAATGGTTCTAAAATCCAGATTTACTGAACCCATAACATAGGGGTTAAGTTTATTAGAAGAATCTTTGCCATAGGAGCAGCGTGGTGAATAGGAAGCCCCATGGCTTTCATACTGGGCCTGGGTTCTGTCTGTGTGACCTTAGGCAAGTCCCATGACTTCTGAATCTCAAGCTCTCCTGTCTGTAAAATAGGAACGAGACTGCTCACACCTGCAGCATTTTGTCTGTCAGTCCGTGCTGATACTACGAAAAGAGTCTGCCTGGCAGCTGCCCCTAGTGAGGGTCCAGTAGCATTTATGGCACAGGCCACCACTAGGGAAACTTAACCCCTACTGGACCCTTGCTAGGGAAACTTAACCCCCTACTTTATGGGTTCAGTAAATCTGGATTTTAGGGAAAGGTACTTCTGCAGCTGCCTCTCATTTCATACAGGTGGGTGACACAAGCCAGGAAACAATCTCAGCAAGCTGGGTGGGACCGTCCACCGCCAGCAGCATGTGTTGGGGCCAGGCAGGCAAGTGGCAGTGTCCACTCCAGCGTTCTTTCCTGTTCTGTGGGCTCCCCACACACCAGGCCGTGGCCCCAGAGACTGTGCTTGCAACACTGGATTCCTGGCTTTTGAAGAAGGATCTGACCTGGAGGGCTTGGCCTGTGCAACTGCATCGGACTTATCTAGAATCTGAGGAGCCCCAGCTCACTCTGGCCTTCATTAAATAAACACTCAGTGGGAGAAGCAGCACGTGAAATGTCCGTGGAGGTCCCTGACCAGGGATGGGCTGCTGCTGCCTGAAATTGGGTTGTGATGGGGTGTAGTGGGTCAGCGTGTCTGGTTGTCCGGGGATAGCTTTTCTCTGTGTGGTGGTCCAGTTTGGATGGAAAAGGGTAGAAGGAGCTGAGACTTAACGTTTGCTGCCTGTGTGCCTAGCAGCGTGCCTGACTCTTCTCAAACTCACACACGTTCCTGGAGATCAGCAGTTTTCATCATACACATTTTCCCTCTCTAAATATAAAGGGAGGGAGGCACAATTTGAAACCAGGGTATTAATCTGTAAACAGAAGTTGTGAGGCTACTTCATCCTGGCAGGAGCTGGTGTTCTGTCTCCGCTAGACCCTCCTAGGGGTCTGAAAACTCCACCGAGGCAAACGGGAATGTTCTTATGCCCCAGTGTACTCACAGAGGGACACTTGGCCTGCCTAATAGCTGGGCCTGCAACCTATGCCAGTAATAATTACCTTCATTCCTTTGAATCTGCCCAGCGCTGGGGAGACAAGGGTGTGTAGAAGCAGACACATGTTGCCTCATGGAGATTTATGTTCCAGGGACATTGTGACTTGCCCTTTCCTGCCAGCCTACTAGTACTTTCCAGAGACAGGCTCTGCCATGCTGAGTCTCCCCACCTTGTGTTCTTGTGGAGAAAAATCCCTCCTAAGCAAGCTGGCGTGGAGAAAGGGGCTGAAGGACTTTGACCATCAGGCTTTGCTGGGGGAGGTGATGTTGGCAACTGTGGTAGGTGCAGAGTCAGGCTGTGCTGGGAGGCGATGTTGGGAACTGTGGTAGGTACAGTCTCTGCCCTTGGGCTGCTTTCCTGAGCAGTTGCCCTGGAGCCGCAGGGGGTCAGAGGGGAGGCCCTCCTGCCATCTGGAAGGTCAGAGAGGCCTGGCCCTCACACAGCTCTGCCGTGGCAGAGGTCAGAGTCCCACCGTGTGGGGGACCTGAGCTCTCCCTATGCCTCCCAGGAGCATCTGATGATGGAACTGCTGGGAGAGGGGAGGGGTGGCATTCCTGCAGATTGGGTCCTTAGGGTGTGTTGAGGCACGTTCCCTGGACAGACCTTTAGTTACTGTTGATGTGCTTACCTGGCTGGCAGCCACCTAGCAAGGGCTCTGAAGTAGGTGGGCTGTTCTCCCAGTCTTTGGGGTCTAGGGACAGTTCTAGTCTAGTGAAGGAGCCAGGCAGGGCACAGTAATGACTTTAGTAGCACAGCTTGCAGGACCCTGCATTGGGAACCCCACTGAACCCTTGGCCCATCCAACCTCCTGGTTTTTTTGTTTTGTTTTGTTTTTTGTTTTTGTTTTTGTTTTTCTTTTAGTCAGAGTCCCACTCTGTCGCCCAGGCTGGAGTACAGTGGCATGATCTCGGATCACTGCAATCTCAGCCTCCCAGGTTCAAGCAATTCTCCTGCCTTAGCTTCTGAGTAGCTGGGATTACAGGCATGCCCCACTATGTCCAGCTAATTTTCGTGTTTTTAGTAGAGATAGGGTTTTGCCGTGTTGGCCAGGCTGGTCTCGAACTCCTGGCCTCAAGTGATCTACCCACCTTGGCCTCCCAAAGTGCTGGGATTACAAGTGTGAGCCACCTCCTGGTTTTCTGGGAAATATTCCCAGAGTCTTGGGGACTTCTCCCAAGTCACAGGTCCCTGGCAGAACTGAGACTGAAACCTGGTTTTGCTTTCCCACCCAGCCACTGTCTCAAAGTGTGGCGTTTCTCTGCTTCTGCTCTGTGGCCACAGTTGTAACCCTCTGGCCAAGTGGCTCCAGCCGTCTCTGAAGAGATACAGAGCTGGGGCTCTGGCCCTTTTTTGTGTCCACTTTCACCCGGGTAACTTTTTCCCTGGTGAAACCTACCTCCCAAATGTTTCTTAGAGGCAGCCTGGAGGGAGACCCGCAGTGGCTGTGAGCCTGGGGAGGGCTGGGTGGTGCTGGAGAGAGGTCTTATCAGATCTGGAGGTGTGGTTTGCTGCCTGCAGCTATGGGAATGCCTTCTTCCACGTCAGGGTTGTTTCCTCTTCTTGGAGTGGTCTGGGCTGCCTCAAAATCCAGGAAAGTGCGCCGCAGGTATTCTACTCCTGCCCGCTGGGTGTGTCTGGAGATGGACCATGCGGAGACGCTGGCCCACGGTGGCAGTGTCTGCAATGCCGGGGAGAAGCAGCAAAGCCTGTGGCCAAGTCTCTCTAAGCTATGCCTTTTTAAAAGGCCATCCTTTCAGAAGAGGCTGGTTGAGATCTCTTTTTTATGTTTAATTCAAAGGGAAAGCTGCATAGGTGCCTTTGGGGTTAGGGGAATGATCTTGGAGTAGAGAGGGCAGACACAGATGAAGAACGTGCTTGATCACCTGTTCTATGTTGAGCACTCCACTAGGCTCTCGGCATATGTTGCACCTTAACATTCACAATGATGCTATGAGGCCTTATCCTGATGTTGCAGATGAGGGAATTGCAGCTCAGAGGGATGGAGAGACTGTCTTAGCAGGTGGTTGAACCCAGGTTGACTGGTCTTGAGAACTTATGTTCAGAACTCCACAGCTGTTGCTGTGGCGGGGAGATTCTGTGCAGGGCCATGGTTGCTGAGACCAAGGAAATGGCCAATAATAAAAAGGGCTGGGCCGAGGGCATTCCGTGGCTCAACTCTAGATGTTTGGGCTTCCTGGTGGCCACCCAGGCTGTGCAGCCTCAGGGTTCGGGCATGGGTCTGCTTCCCTAATGTCCAGGCTAGCACATCCTCAAAGACAGGACTCTCAGCACCATGATGCAGCCCGCTCTACGCTTGTCTCATTCTGAGAAAGGAGAAGCTGCCTAGAGATCAGTTTACTCATAATTTTTTAAATGGCTACCTGTCTTATTCTTTCTGAACAGTTCCTCTGATAAACAGTGTATTCTTTAACTTTCTACTTTTAATTAAAATATTTACAAAATACATAATGATATATGTTCACTATAAAAAAGAAAGTACTAGATGTACAACAGTGAAAATCACCCATAATGCCACCTCTCAGAGTTAATTCCAGTGCACATTTTGTTGTATATTCTTCCTGCATTTGCATATAAATGTACATGTGTATATTTGTGGCACATACCATGTGCATTGCCTTGTAAATGTCTTCTGTCTGTATCAGCACATATACATATGCATCAGCACTATTAGTGGCTGCATTGTGTGGTCATACCACAAATTCATCTAACCGGTTTCCCTGTGTGGGCCATTCAGGCTGTTTCCAAGTCTTGCTTTTATAAATGGTGCTGCAACGAGTATCTTCCTACAAGTGAGATTTGCTGGGTCAAAGTATATGAATACATTTAATATCTGTCCTCGTCTTTAATATCTTTATGGCATCATAACTCCCCCTCTCCTAAGCAGGAATGGCAGCCTTCATACATTTATCCATTTGCCACTGCATCTGTAATCACACTGACGGCCAAGAGTTTAAAAGGAGGCTGGGCCTGGGTGCGGTGGCTCATGCCTGTAATCCCAGCACCTTGAGAGGCTGAGGCTGGTGGATAGCTTGAGTCTAGGAGTTCGAAACCAGCCTGGGCAACATGGTAAACCCCGTCTCTACAAGAAATAGAAAATTAGCCATGCATGGTGGCACGCTCCTGTAGTTCTAGCTACTCAGGAGGCTGAGGTGGAGGTTGCAGTGACCTGAGATTGCATCATTGCACTCCAGCCTGGATGACAGAGAAAAAAAAAAAAAAAAAGAGGCTGGACATGGTCCTCTGGCTGAGATTCTGGGATAAGTGTCAGGAACTATGGCTTCTAGTTTTGTGGTTGCTTGTGTCTGAGGTTCTGGGCTATGTGTCAGGCATTGTGGCTTCTAGTTTTTGTGGTTACCTGCAGCAAAGGGGGGCCCCCTGGGCTGACCAATTAGAAGAAGGCCTTTTCCTTGCTCCAAGATAGCGGAGGGAGGGGCTGGATTTCAGGTCTCCCTGTCCAGAGACTGATCAGCTTTGGTAGTACATAATCATATGGTGAGGTCTTGATCACTTGAGGCTCATGAAAGTCACTTTAACTGCATTCTTGGTTGCATCCCTAACTACAAATACTGATCACAGTGCTATTTGGGGTGCCTGGCTTTGGGGATGATTTAGTAGAGTTGTGGGTTCCTAGGGCTACAAAGGGTCTTGGAATTTCCATGTGGTCCAGCCCTCTCATCTTGCAGGTGAGGAAACTGAAGGCCTGAGGGAGAACTGACTTGCCAGGAACCCCTGTTAAGCAGAATTAACAAAGGGTGGTTATTAAAGGAGCACTGAGTTGGGAGTCAGACCTGGAGGCCCACACCCTTGATTAAGACATTATACCACCTTGAGTCTGGCCTGTTGACTGAGGGTGAGCCACTCCATCCTCCTCTGATTGTGGGGTGTTGACCTCAAGGGGTTTCCTGCAGGAAGAAGCAAATGGGTTTGCTTTCCTAGCTCTGTCCCAGTGCCTTAGGGGCCCTGAGGACTGGAGAGATTCTTGGAGCGCCATCTGGGGTATGTCACGGGTGGACCTTTTTTGAAGGTCAGTCTGCTCAGTGGGCTGGCTCAGCCCGAATGAACTGTCTTGAATCTTTGGAGTTGTCTGTTTACTTTTAAGGGCTTCTCATCCTTGCACCAAAAGATCCCCTGGAAATTAGGTGGGAAATCCTTAACTTTTATGGGGCCTTGTGTTTGTCTTAAAAGTTCATGCGCATGGCCAGGTGTGGTGGCTCACACCTGTAATCCTATCCTGGATCCCTTGAGTCAAGGAGTTTGAGACCAATGTGAACAACATAGTGAGACCCTGTCTCTACAAAAAATAAAATATTAGCCAGGGGTGGTTGTGCACACCTGTTGTCCCAGCTACTACAGTGGCTGAGGCTGGAGGAGCACTTGAGCCTGCACTGAGCTGTGATCTCACCAGTGTACTCCAGCCTGGGCCACAGAGCAAGAACTTGACTCAAAAAAAAAAAAAACCAGCAAGAAAAATCCTTGCAGATTTTGCATTCTGTGCCACTATCCATTGGTTTTCATGTCAAGATAATGTAAAAATTCTTTACAATTGCTTCCAGAAGGAGTAGCCTTTTAATCTAGTGCACAGGTGTCCAGTCTTTTGGCTTCTCAGGGCCACATTGGAAGAAGAATGCTCCTGGGCCACAGATAAAATACACTAATGCTAACAATAGCTGATGAGCTTAAAAAAAAAAAAAAAGGTTTGTGCATAATTTTCATGATACCCACCACCACAGATAGGCGGAAAAGTCCTTGTAGTCAAAGGGTTGGACACGGCTGATCTAGTGTCTTGTCCGTTTTGGCTTTCTCCCTGATTCCAGAATGCAGGTAGAGATGTAGAGACGTGCTCTCAGGACAGCTGTTGAGATAAAAAAATTTGTTGTCATTTATTCCCAGGCACAGCTGTTTGTCATTTGCATTGAAAAAGTCTCCATTCAAACTGCTGTCACATATAAAATCTATTTATGTAAGTCTGTATTTTTCTGTTGTCTTGGCCTTGGTGGGCAGTAGTGTGTTTTAACTGAGCAAACTGTCTTTCCAAATAATGAAGCTGAAGTCAGCCTACCTGCTTGCCATTTTTCTTCCCCTTCCATTTTTCTAATCTCCGGATAATTGTAAGAATGAATTAAGATTTGTGTTTAAGGCCGGGCACAGTGTCTTAGGCCTATAATCCCAGCACTTTGGGAGGCAGAGACGGACGTATCGCTTGAGCTCAGGAGTTCCAGACCAGCCTGGGCGACATACTGAGACTCTGTCTTGTATAATTAAATTAAAATTTAAAAAAAGAAGAGATAAAGACCCGTGTTTAAAATTTTTAAAAAAGGGGGGAAAGTGTAATGCAAAATGTGGACTATGCCAGCTATGATTGGGAAAAATAATTTTTCATACAGCATTATCTATAGATTTGTATTAGCAGCATACTGGTCATAAGCGTTTTGCTTTCCGCAAATATGATGTGGTAAGCTACTTTAAAGTGTGGTGGGGCTTTCTTCCGCATGGCTCCTTGAGGGGTTGAGTCCCAATTTATCCAATTAATTTGGGTTTAGTTTTGATATGGATAAGGGAGACCAGCTTCATTCATGGTGCACACACAGTTTTGCCAATAAGGAAAAAAAAAAGCCACCTGAATGTTCCTACTCATTAGGAGCTATCTGGAGAGCTCCTACCCCACTCCCACCAAGGCCTGGGCCCTTAAAAAGGCTCAGTGCAGCCTTTCTGTATCTCACTGTATTCTGCAAGATGCTCCTGTGAAGAAAGTTGTGCTGCATCAGCCATCTCCCTCCTGAAGATCCCTGCGGATGAGGATTTGTGTTTTAAAGGTTCTGAGAAGTACTGCAACAACAGTTCTCAAACTTATTTGTCCAGGGGATCTTTTCTTCCACTGAACGTAGTTGGGGAGACATGGCCTTAAGCCTTGAGCAGAGAAAGAGACAAGAAACTGTTGGCTCACTTACAACCAAGTGTTGTGTTTAAGTTTTAGGTTTTTATGAAACTGAGGTGCTGTTTGAGTTTCCAAATAAAATTGGGTGGTTGAAGAGAGGCTGGTATCCCTGTAGACTTATCCAGCCATGAGAAATTGCCTTTTTTACAAAGGGAAATAGGGTGTCTCCTGGGCATCACATTAGCACTTAAATACATGTATCACTGAATCCTTCTAACAAGAAGAGGAAACTTGCCGAGAGAGGTGTGCCCGCCTGCCTGCCTGCCTGCCTGGAGTTTGCACTTCCTGCCTCCTCCTGGCCCTGGGTGCATTTAGTTGGTGTTAAGGGCATGGTCTGCTCAGTGTCTACCAGGAACCTCATGATCCCCCTGATGGGCAGAAAACAATCCAAGAGAAATGCAGATGGCTGTGGGTGCATTTGAGCTTGGGCTGCAGGGGGTTTGGGGGAGAGGGCTGGGCTACAGATGAAGAATGCTTTTCAAAATAAAAAAGGAAATGCTGGCTCTGAATGGAAAGGAAAGGAAGCAGCTTCCTGTTTCTCGTGGTGGCTTTTTGAAAGGAGGAGCTCTTTCTGGCCTCTTGGCCAACGGAGGCCTGGGCCGGCTGGGGCCACTCTAGGTGCGCTGGAGTCGAGGCTCCCACACTGCTGCCTGAGGTTTCAGAAAGAGCGCTGGTTCCACCCCGTTTCATTTTCCCCGGTCGCTGAGTCAAATGGATGCATGTGGTTTCCAAAACGAATATCTGTACCTGTTACAAAATGGATGTGTCATAATGGGTGACATTTACTTTTACGGCAAGCTTGCTTTGTGCCTGGCCCCCTTGTTAAGCTTTATGTAGCATTTACTTTTCACAACACCCTTGTGAGGAAGGTCTTCTCGCTGTCCCCATTTTACAGATGAAGAAACTGAGGCACAGAGGGGTTAAGTGACTTTCCCAGAGTCACATAGCTAAGGAGAGACTGAGCTGTGACTTGAACCCAGGCAGTCTTAATTCCTTGCCTTTATGACCCAGCTTGGATTTGCAAACTCCTCTCTCCGTCCAGCTGGAAAATCTGTTAGCATAGGATAATTTTGAAGACTCTGGTTGCCTTTGTCTAGGCTCTGGGGGGTAGCCCCAAACCCTGGGCCAGGCCATAGTGATTCCTTGGTGTGTAGCGGGCAAGGGAGAAACTTACTTTTTGCCCTCTGAAGGTTTACTGAAAAATTAACTCACAACATATAGATGACTAAGAGAAATGGCATATAAATTGATTCTCCCTGGTGTATCACAGAATCACAGAGCGATTACTTAATATCCCAGTGGGACCCAAATATTTCTTTGAATGTTCCTAAGAGATAGACATTATCTTGTGAATGGGTCTCTTAGGGTGTGGTTGCGTTTTTGGTCTTTTTTCCTGCAATAGATAATGAGATAACAGTGAGGGGAAGAAAAAACAATCCTTGGTCCGTGGTGGGTCCATCTGGTCATTTTATAGACAGGGGAAATGTCTCTTTCAGTGTCTGTTAATCTCTAAGGGCCTTTAGTTTAAAATGCTCATTATATCAGAGAGCTATGTTTTGAGGTCAAGTTCCCTGTGCTCCATCAGGTGAAATGCCTAGGTCTGAGTTTATGTTTTGTTTTTTTTTTTTTTTGAGACGGAGTCTCGCTCTGTCCCCCAGGCTGTAGTTCCGTGGCGCAATCGTGGCTCACTGCAAGCTCTGCCTCCTGGGTTCCATTCCATTCTCCTGCCACAGCCTCCCGAGTAGCTGGGACTACAGGTGCCTGCCATTATGCCCGGCTAATTTTTCGTTTTCGTATTTTTAGTAGAGACGGGGTTTCACCGTGTTAGCCAGGATGGTCTCGATCTCCTGACCTCGTGATCCGCCCGCCTCGGCCTCCCAAAGTGCTGGGATTACAGGCGTGAGCCACTGCGCCCGGCCATATTTTTTTTTTTTAACTTTATCATGGAAAGGTTTAAACTTGTACAAAAGTAGAGAGAATGTTGTGACCACCTCTGTGTAGTGATTACCCAGCTTCAGCAATAACCAGCTGTGGCCAATTATTTTTTTTTTTTTCTGAGATGGAGCCTGGCTGTGTTGCCCAGGCTGGAGTGCAGTGATGAGATCTCAGCTCACTGCAACCTCTGCCTCCCGGGCTCAAACAATTCTCCTGCCTCTGCCTCCCAAGTAGCTGGGATTACAGGCACACACCACCATGCCTGGCTAATTTTCTTATTTTTAGTAGAGACAGGGTTTCACCATGTTGGCCAGGCCAGCTTGTGAGCTCAAGCAATTTACCCACTTTGGCCTCCCAAAGTGCTGGGATTACAGGCGTGAGCCACCGTGCCTGGCCTGTGGCCAATCTTGAGTGATCTAGGGTATTTATGCTCTGTTTTGGCGATGGTGGCCCTGGGCAGTTCGTCTCTAGGAAGCAGAGTGACCCAGGGCGGTCTTCTCCAGCCATCCGCTTCCAGGCTGAGCTGTACCTATCTCAGCAGGCTGGGAGGAATCTCTGTGTTTTCCTATGAAAAGGCAGTTTTGATTATTTTCTCCTAAGCTTGCTCTGGCTTCTGGCAGCAGGTACATTGCAGAGTGTCCATCTCACTATCTAACCTGAGTCCCCCGCCGCACCTGAAACCTGTTCTCAGACGGCTGGGTGCTTTCCCTGTCCCACAGCAGTCCTGCCAGAGACTGAGATGAGAGTTTTTAACGAAGCAGGGCCCCCAGACCCAGCGGAATCCCACTGTGCACATCCTGATTTCCAGTCCATTCTTGCCCATGCCTCTAGTGTCTCTTCCCTTCCTTTTCCTTGTTGCTTGTTCCCATTATGAGATAAGTGTATTTCAGCTAACATTGATTAAGCTTCACTGTGTGTGGGCCCTGGAGAGAAGAGCTGCTGAGTACAGGAAGGTGCTATTCTCTGGGAGCCCCGGGCAAACCCTCATTTCTGCGGTTCCAGCCTGGAACCCGGATCCAGCACCTGTAAAAGTCTTCCTTGCCCTTCCCGGCTCTTCTCTCGAGGCTCTGCACAGTCCTTCCTGAAGCCTAGCTTTGTTGACCACTTTCTCATTTCTTTTCTCCGTGGTCTTTTGATCCCAACAGGTAGTTTTCTTTTGGTTGTTTGTGCTTTATTTTGGCTTTTGCTGTATTCTCTTGCAAGCATTTCTCAGGTGCCGAGTCACTTTTTGCTGGCTGTTTCAGTCTCTGAGTTTGGCCTCCACAACACAATCGTGATGTCACTATGGGAAAGAGCCCCTCAAGCACTTGGTAGGACATTGAGGCGTGCATTGAGGGCGCCAGGATGTGCGGGGACTCTGGGGTGAGGATGACATATTCGTATTCTGACTCCATTCCTTGCCAGCTCTGTGACCTTGGGCAAGTTCTTTAGCTCTCTGGACCTCAGTTTTCTTGTTAGTTAAAAGGGGATAAGAGTAGGTTAATTTTGGATTCTTTTGAGAACCAAGATACAGAAGGAGTGCTGGACAGTGCCTGGTACTTAGAAGGAGTTCAGTGTTTCCCCCACTGTCCCCCGCCTTTCACGTAGCATTACTCCAAAACACTTTTCCATGTTTCCCTATTATCTTCCTTTTGGTCATTTTAGTTGCCACATGAGAGTGTGTCTAGTGGATCTGCTGTAATTTGGCAAAGCATTTTCCGTGTTATTGGACATTTCAGTAGTTTCTAGATTTCTGCAATTATAAACAATGTGAATGGAATCGTCTTTATATAGGCGCTTTATTTTTGTTCCTATTCTGAATTTGTTTTCTTGGGATAATTCCCAGGAATGGAATTACTGGATCAAAGAGCATGGAGATGGAGTGTGTGTGTGTGTGTGTGTGTGTGTGTGTGTGTGTGTGTGTTAAGACTTGCCAAACTGTTCTCCCATTTTTTTTTTTTTGAGGCGGAGTATCGCTCTGTTGCCCAGACTAGAGTGCAGTGGTGTGATCTCAGTTCACTGCAGCCTGCACCTTCCAGATTCAAGTGATCCTTCTGTCTCACCCTCCTGAGTAGCTGGGATTACAGGTGCACACCACCATGCCCAGCTAAGTTTTGTTTTTGTTTGTGTTTTTTTTTTTTTTTTTTTGAGACAGACTCTCGCTCTGTGGCCCAGGCTGGAGTGCAGTGGTGCGATCTCGGCTCACTGCAACCTCTGCTTCCCGGGTTCAAGCAATTCTCCTGCCTCAGCCTCCTGAGTAGCTGGGATTACACGTGCCCGCCACCACGCCCAGCTAATTTTTATATTTTTAGTAGAGACAGGGTTTCACCATGTTGGTCAGGCTGATCTCAAACCCCTGACCTCGTGATCCACCCACCTCGGCCTCCCAAAGTGCTGGGATTACAGGTGTGAGCCACTGCGCCAGGCCTAAGTTTTGTATTTTTAGTAGAGACAGGGTTTCACCATATTGGCCAGGCTGATCTCAAATTCCTGACCTCAGGTGATCTGCCCACCACAGCCTCCCAAAGTACTGGGAGTACAGGCGTGAGCCACCACACCTAGCCCCTCCATTTAACTCCTGTTGAATGATAGCTGTTTTAAAAATTGTACTCCTGGGTAAGTATCTCATATTTTTTACAATTCTTTCTGACCTTTGTACCTTTCTTCTTCTCTCCTTTATTCTCCCCATTTTTTGACCTTGTTAGATATTCCTTATCTTGAATTTGCTATTTCTCTCTTCTGTGCATTCATTCAGTGACTTTTTTTTTTTTAAATTTCAGACAGAGACTCACCCTGTCCCCCAGGCTGGAGTGCAGTGGCACAATCTTGGGTCACTGCAACCTCTGCCTCCCGGGTTCAAGCGATTCTTGTGCCTCAGCCTCCTGAGTAGCTGGGAGCACAGGCACGCACACTACACCCAGCTAATTATTGTACTTTTAGTAAAGACAGGTTTTGCCATGTTGGCCAGGCTGGTCTCAAACTCCTGGCCTCAAGTGATCTCCCTACCTTGGCCTCCCAAAGTGCTGTAAAGGCGTGAGCCACCGTGCCGGGCCCACTCCAGTGACGATTTATTGAGCATCTGCTCAATATCAGGTTTGTTTTAGGCACTGTTTTAGGCACTGAGGAAGGAGCAAGGAAGAAAATAGAGGGCTTCCTTCAGTGGAAAGAGAAAGATAATACACATGCCAAACAGACAGACGTGCTCTCAGAAGAAAACTGGAAGTGGGTTAGAGAGAGGTGGGGGTATGGAAGAGGTGACTTCTTTAGATGGGGTGATCGGGAAAGGCCTTCCCAGAGAGGGTGACTTTTGAGCTGAGTCTTGAAAGATGAGAAGGCCACTGTAGCCTGGAGGAGTGTTCCCGGCAGAGGGACTGGCTTGTGCAAGAGCCCTGAGGCAGAATCGAGCTTGGTGTGGTCAAGGGCCAGGAGGAGGCTGGTGTGCCTGGAACACAGTGTCAGGGGAGGATGGTTGGCCTTGGGGTCAAGGAGGTAAGCAGGGGCATGGGGCTGTTTTTTCAGTGCTGGGCCGCAGGAGAGAATTAATGCACCAACTCAGCAAACAGGTGTCCTCCTACTTCCCCCTCCGCCCTCCTGGCCGGGTTTCGTGCCAGGCACTGTTCTGGAATATAAGAGTGAATGAGAGATGTATTGTGCTCCAGAAAGCCAGCTTAGTGGGGGAGTTTGTGGATGAGTAAACTCATAGAAGGTGCTGGTGAGGTGTGAATGAAGGCTCATCAGGCCGCGCAGCTGACTCATCTCTGTACTGAGGTGTGTAGGGACTTGGGAAATGTGTCTTGATTTGCACGGAACTGTGCTCTGTGCTGTCAGCCTTCACCGTGGTAACTGAAACTCAGTTCTCTGATGTAAAGCCTGGCAGTCCCGGCCTGCTTGGGGGCACCTGGACCCCTGCCAGGGAAGGGGTCCTCAGACTTGAGGTTGCCAGCTCAGATGTGGGGCTGCTGATACTAGGTATGAGTGTCTAGGCTCCCAGTTATGGGAAACAAGACCAAGAGACAGCCATGGGAAACCCCCTTCTTACTGAGCTGCCTGCCCTGACCCTTTCTCCCCTGACTGCGGACTCTGATTTGTGGCTCTGGTTGGGAATGTAGATTTGGGGACATTGTGCTCCTCATGGGTTTCTTCCCGTAGGATGGGGCAAAGAAGGGGTTATGAGATTGAGCAGATGCTTCTGGGAGTCTAGAGTGTACTCACATAGCGAGGTGTGGACCTCATGAGAGTGCCTGGAAATAGCCTGGTGGAAGATGTTGGCACCATTTCGTTTGGAGGAGGCTGAATGACTCATAAGCCCCGGGGGGCTCTGATGTCATTGAATTAGGGGCCTCCTTTGACCAGGGTTAACCAGCACCTTGGGTTCCTTGCATGTAAGCTTGTTGCTATTAAATAAATGGGAAGTGGGCTGGGCCCCGTGGCTCATGCCTGTAATCCCAGCACTTTGGGAGGCCGAGGTGGGCCGATTACCTGAGGTCAGGTGACCAGCCTGGCCAACATGGTCAAACCCCGTCTCTACTAAAAGTACAAAAATTAGCCGGGCATGGCGGTGGGTGCCTGTAATCCCAGCTACTCAGGAGGCTGAGGCAGGAGAATTGCTTGAACCTGGGAGACGGAGGTTGCAGTGAGCTGAGATCATGTCACTGCACTCTAGCCTAGGCAACAGAGCGAGACTCCATCTCAAAATGAAAATAAAAAAAAAATGGAATGGAAGGCCAGAATCCTGGGAATGTATCAGTAATAACTCAGGGCCCTATCCCTTCCTCCCACAGTTATGGCTAATGTGAAGTGGACCTGCCCAGGTTTTTTGAGACAGGGTCTCGCAGTGTTTCCTAGGCTGGAGTTCCATGGCACCATCATGGCTCACTGCAGCCTCTGTCTACCTCTCTGGCTCACCTTCAGCCTCCCAGATAGCTGGGACCACAGGTGTATGCCACCATGCCCAGCTAGTACCCAGGTTTAAGGCAGCAAGATTCTGACAGCAGTTCTCTCAGTTAATTTCTCAGTAATGATAACTTTATGAGCCCATGTAGGTGATGAAATAAGGCCCAAAGTCACACAGTAACTGGTGGAGCTGAATTGTCTGAATTTCCATTTGTGTTCATTTCATTGCCCTCTTTAGAAATTTGCTTGATCTTGGGTCTTGTTCAGGGCAGAAAGAGATAATACAAGGCTTTGGTGATGCTTAGCATTTTAGAAGAAGTAATGCTGGGTGGAAATGGATTTGGCAGTCTCGTTTTTCGCATCATTGGAATGGGAGTCCCTCACAGTTGGAGACAGGATGAAGTAACAGAGCGTGGGGATCTGGATTAACAGGTGGCCATTCGCAGAAAGGAGGCTGCAAAGCAAGAGGTGGGGGCTTCTGGCTGAGCAGGAAGGTGGGAGAGGGGCATCCTTGTGAGGAGCAGCCTGTAGGGCTGGGGTTTGGGCAGCAGGCAGGCAGAGGACTTTATCTGATCACCTCAAATAATTTTGCCTCTGCTTGGAAGGGTTCTAGCTACAAAGGCAACATAGCAGGTAGTGCTTGGGTGTGATGGTGATAGGCACAGCGGTATTTTAAATACTGGTGGTACATTTTAGGAGAAAGAAGGTGACGAGTCCCTGGGGAGAGTCCCTGTGGTGGCCATGACTCACCGTGGCACAGGGGACAGAACAGAACAAGGAAGAATCCATCAACGAATGGAAACTTGTCTTTTTAGGGGACAGGAAGCTTTTTTTGTGTGGTTGGCCTGGTGGCTTATGAGGAGAGGTGAACATTTGAGACAAAACCCCAGGCCACTCTTCCAGCTGCATCTTTGACAATTTTGAGAGTTTTAGGAAGTAGTTAAAAAAAGAAAAAGAGAAACCAAAAGCCAAAGACCTCGTTTACTCACAATACCTGTGTACAGCCAGCCATGTGGGCTGCGATCGGCCATGTGTCTAGAGGAAACTCCTTCACTTGCATCCCTCCCTCCTAGACCCCTAAACCAGAGGGGGCTTTTGACTATTCTTAGAAGAAGACTTAGGCGGCCTCAAATGACCAGACCTTGTCTCAAGCATCTAACAGCTTAGGCCAAACTTCCTCTCTGGCCCTGTTTGGTTTAAGCAGTTTCCTGGTCTGGCAGGATTTGTTATCTTAGCACCCAGCTTGTCAAAGCCGTAGTGCTACTTGTTATAGCAAACAGGCCCCTGTCACCCTGTGGCTGCAAGCCAGGCAATGCTTATGTTCCAAAAGTCAGACCTGCTGTTCTTACTATAAAGCTCTGCTGGACCATGGGTGGCTTCTATCTTTGGATGTAAGGATGGGAGGATGAGCAGCACCTCATGCTGTGTAAGAGCACAGGTTCTGGTGGTTGACAGCCTGGATTCAGGCTGCACTGCCTTTCTGGCTAGCTGTGTGTCTTTGGGCAAGTTGCTTACCCTTTCTGAGCAATAGTTTCCTCATCTGTGAAATGGGGATTATAATGGGGTCGTTTTTCATAGTAAGTAAGATGAGCCATGGAAAAGCACAATGCCTTGTGCAGAATGAGAATATTTTTATATTATAATATTACTATTTATTTTATCGACAAGTGTTTAATTAGCACCCATTAGGGACTGGGCACTATTCTTAGCTCTGGGGAAAATAGCAGTGAACAAAATGGACACAAATGTAGACCTTGTGGAACTTACGCTTCAGTGTTGGGAGGAGACATTCAGATGACAAGTAAATATCACCTGGAATCCCAGTTACTTGGGAGGCTGGGGCAGAAGGATCACCTGAGCCAGAGTTCAAGACCAGCCTGGGCAACATAGCAAGATTCCCATCCCTAAAAATACCACACACACACTAAGGAAAATGTGTTATCTGTTAAGTGGTAAAAGTGCTGTGGAGAAAATGAAAGCAGGGAGGGGTGCCTAGATGGTGGTATAATTTAAAGTGAGGGGTCAGGATGGGTTTGCAGAGGAGGTGATATTTGAGTAAAGACCTCAAAAGGGTAGAGAAGGGCTCCATGGGGATACAGCTGGAAAAGAGCTTTGGAAGCTGAGCTCATGTGGAAGCCAAAGGGGAGTGAACCAGGGTTGTTGGAAAACCCTGGGGCCAGGGGTGAGGCCACAAGGGGCCCTGGGCATGACATTTAGGGAGGTGCTTGCTTTCCAGTACCCACTGCACTCACGGGTCTCTGAGCACAGGTGTGAAGGAGGGAAGAGTAATGAGAAGAGAAGGTGGTGAGAGGTGCTGTGTTTATGTGGGCTCTGCCTCCATCCTGTAGGATCCACAGGTGATTTTGAAACTTATGTCTTACTAAAAAATGGAGTTTTGGGGCTGGCACACTAACCTACTGACTTACAGAAAGTCACTTTCTGACTGCGTGGGCAGGTGACAGAGCGCTGGCCCGGGGCAGGCTGAGGCTCTGCCACTCACTGAGGGCGTCAGGTGGGTGAGCCATGTTTATTCATCCAGCAGCTTTTACAGAGCTCCCACGGCAGGAGATCATGCTGGCACCTGCCCGGTATTACTCTCTTCATCTATGACACGGGGACAGCGATGCCCTTCCGTCCACCCCATCCTTACAGGGGTGTTCCTCCTGAGGCAAGAATGCAATAGAAAAGCAAAACAGAATGTATGAGGCTATTTGCATTATCCATAATACAGAAAAAAATGAAAATAAGGTAGCTGTCCAGTGGTAAGGGGAGGTTTGGCAGACCATGGCACAGCATGCGATGGGTGGGTCATCACACACACAGATGTCAGTGACAGAGGCTGGGTAAGAACATGAGCATATTCATACTGTTACATCGAGGAAAAATACACAGTATTTAAGATTGCATGTATGTGGCATTTGTAGTCCTGTAAATATGTGATGATATGTATGCATATGGGGAAAACTAGAGGTGAAATTGAAATGAGTTATTTGTGGTGGGACTGTTTTTCTTTTGCAAAAATTCCTTTATTATTGCTATAATTGCATTCCTTCATTTATTAAAGTAATGAATATTTGAGCACCTCCTAGCTATCAGGCTCTGAGAAGGTGCTTGGGTAGAGCAGTGGACTGGACTGCACGGCTCCTGCCCCGGGGGGACCATGCTCAGTGAGCGATTCTTGAGCCCCCACCCCTTCTCAGCGCTCAAGGATTGAAGGCTAATGAAGTGGTGCAAAATTCAAACTTTCTGGAATAAAACGGAGAGTTGGTCCTCCAGGTTCTCTGCAGGGCGCTTGTTGAGCCAGTCCCAGATTCTGCTGAGAAACAGGGAAGTTTCCAGAGTTGCCACCCCCTCCTGAGGGTAGAGAACTCAGGGGTAGAGCTGGCTTGGCACCAAAAGGGCTCCCTGAGTCTTGGCTGCTGGGACTTGAGCAGTGCTGGGGCGCTGCCGGTGAGCTGTGATCCCATCTTCTCAGGGAGCGCCCCTGCCTGTTTGACTGTGGTGCCGTTGGTATGAGAGGTTGCCCCAGGAAGGAGACCGCAGCTGTGGGCTCATCTCCTGGGTGCCCAACACTCACAGGGTCCACATTGCCCGTGATGTGCCCTGGGAAGCCCATGGTTGACTCAGAAGGACTGAAATGTTAGACAGCCACAGATGGTCCCACTGCCCCCACTCTGAGAAAAGCCCTCTGGCTGTTTGGATGAGGGTGGTGGCGATGAGGACATTTGTAACTGCAGCACACATGTAAGGCCTGCTGTCTATGTTCTGGGCTCTCAGATAGCACTGGGAATACTGTACCCCACCAGTCCCCTCCATGACAGGAAAGGGGTCCCGATCCAGACCCCAGGACAGGGTTCTTGGATCTCATGCAAGAAAGAATTCAGGGCAAGTCCATAGAGTAAAGTGAAAGCAAGTTTATTAGGAATGTAAAGGAATAAAAGACTGGATGCTCCACAGACAGAGCAGCCCTGAGGGCTGCTGGTTGCCCATTTTTATGGTTATTTCTTGGTGATATGCTAAATAAAGGGTAGATTATTCATGCCTCACCTTTTCAGACCATACAGGGTAACTTCTTGACATTGCCATGGTATATGTAAAGTGTCATGGCGCTGGTGGGAGTGTAGCAGTGAGAACAACCAGAGGTCACTCTTGTGGCCATTTTGGTTTTGGTGGGTTTTAGCTGGCTTCTTTGCTGCAACCTGTTTTATCAGCAAGGTCGTTATGACCTGTGTTTTGTGCTGACCTCCTGTCTCATCCTGTGACTTAAAGTGCCTAACCATCTGGGAATGCAGCCTGTTAGCTCTCAGCCTTATTTAACCCAGCTCCTGTTTAAGACGGAGTTGCTCTGGTTCACATGCCTCTGACACCTCTAGCTGCCCTGGAAACACCAGAGTTTCGTTCTTACCTCCTATTATACAGGGAACTGAAGCCCAGAGAGGTGAGTTAGACTCTTGAGGGCACACCAGTGGTGACAGGCTGAGATTAGAATTGTAGTCTGGCTGATGACCAAGCCCATACCTTTGCAGTTTCTTTGTCACAGCTCACTGGACTGTGGGGTGGTACAAGTTAAAAATCTGTCTACATAGGGAAAACGGTGATGTATAGACCCCTGTCTGCCTCCTGCTCCACTTCCGGCCCATCCCTCCCAGAATGCCATCATAGCCCCTCCACTTCTACGCCAGATGCTTCAGGGGAAGTTCCCTGTTCTCTTCTTTTTTTTTTTTTTGAGACAGGGTCTCACTCTGTCACCCAGGCTGGAGTGCAGTAGTGCAATAACAGCTCACTGCTGCCTCGATTTCCTAGGCTCAAGCAATCCTCCTGCCTCAGCCTTTTGAGTAGCTGGGACTATAGATATGCGCCACTACACATAGCTAATTCTTTTATTTTTTGTAAAGATGAGGTCTCACTATGTTGCCCAGGCTGGTCTTGAACTCCTGGTCTCAAGTGAGGCCAAGGCAGGCCTTGGCCTCCCAAAGTGCTGGGATTACAAGGCGTGAGGCACCACACCTGGCCTTCCTGTTGTCTTTGAGGGAGACTAAAGCCCTCTAGCTTCAAAGGAAGGAGTTCTTCTTTCTTTAAGGACAGACTATGTCATGACCTTTTTACCCAGAAATTCCAGGGCTTAGCCCAGTACTTGGCACACAGTAAGTGCTGAGGAATTGAACGAGGGTTCTGGAGTATGTGCTTTAATCAGGGCTAAACTAACCTCACAGCATTCCTAGGAAAATAACACAAACCGGTATAAAAGGGGATGGTGTCAGGGTTAGGAGTGTGGCCTCTGGGGTCAGACAGCCTGAGTGTGACTGCGCCTGTGCTGTGGACCCTTCTTACCTTGGTCAAGTTATTTTGCTTTTCTGGGTTCCAGTTTCCTCATCTGAGGAATGGGGACATACGAATGGGGACAATGTCATACCTACTGTTTGGGGCTGTTATGCGGATTATTTATTGTTTTTTGCATGACGTCACCACATTGGTCATGAGATGTTGTGAGGATTAAATGAATATGGTAGGTGGAGTAGGGCTTTGTGCCCAGTAAGCGCTTGATAAACATGAGCTGTCCATTATTGTTCTCTGGGGAGAATCCTGTGCCCCCAGGTGTGGGTTCCCATCCTGTCTGTGGCTTCAGAGTCCAGACCTAATGCCACCGACCTCCTTGCCCTTCCTGCACCCCTACCATGGATCACCATTGGAGGAGTGGGGTTGGGGGCTTATCACCCCAGGAAGATTAGATAAATTGGGAAGTGGGGAAGTCTTGGGCAGACTCAAGACCCCTGAGTCCCAGCTTTGTCATGCTGTGACCCTGGGCAGGTCCCCTCCTGGGAATCCATTTCCTAATCTGTGAAATAAGCACGACTGTTGCTGGTGTCACGAGAACATGGTCAGTGCCATAAAGCATGTGGCGGGTGGACTTCCATCCATGCTCCTCCCTTCATCCATGCTCCTCCCTCCATTCATGCTCCTCCCTCCTTCCATGCTCCTCCCTACGTCCATGCTCCTCTCTCCCTCTGTGCTCTTCCCTCCCTCCGTGCTCCTCCCTCCATCCATGCTCCTCCCTCCATCTATGCTCCTCCCTCCCTCCATGCTCTTCCCTCCATCCATGCTCCTCTCTCCCTCTGTGCTCCTGTCTCCCTGTGTGCTCCTCCCTCCATCCATGCTCCTCCCTCCATCCATGCACTTCCCTCCCTCTATGCTCCTCCCTCCATCCATGCTCCTCCCTGCATCCATGCTCTTCCCTCCGTCTGTGCTCCTCTCTCCCTCCATGCTTGTGCATCTGTGCTCTGCCCCTCCTCCCCCATCCATGCTCCTCCCTTCATCCGTGCTCCTCCCTCATCCTGGAGTGCCAGACCCACTGCCAATCTTATGTGAGTTCACATAACCCACATCAATAAGGCGAGAGCAGATGGGTGGCTGGGTTCCCGTTCTCGCTGCAGCATCCCAGGTTGCACCCCTCACCTCTCTTTGCTCTTCCTTTTGTTCCTTCTGAGGCGGGTGTAGGGAAGGGAGGAAGGTGCCGCTCCTAGTGCAGGTGACAGGGATGGGCTGCTCTGACCCACACTGGCCCTCCACCTGCTTTCTTTGCTCAGTTGAGACCCCTTCATCTCCTTCAAGTGCTGCAGGACATGAGACAGACGCTTGGACTTCCCTTGAGAGCTGGGCATCCCAGACCTCTGTTGCGGCCTCCAGGGAGTGGGTAGGTTCTGGTTGGAAGGAGGAAGGGCTTCAATGGGATGTGAGCCTCAAGCACGGGAGAGAATTACATCCCTGGGTCCAGATGGTTGAAAGGGGCCATTCCTGAGCCATCTGCAGAACAGGTGCTGTGGCATGAGAATGACTGACTAACAGAGGGGTGGCGGCACCACACAGACATTAGAGGGTGACCTGTGCTGCGGGGGCACCTGGGTTGGACCATATTCTCTCGGGTGTGTGTGAATGTATGTAGGTGTCTGCCTGTGTGTGGGTTTGTCTGAATGTAAATAGGAATTCTTGGTGACATTCAGGGAAAAGTTTAATGATAAAGGGGTCTTTTAAAATGCAAGTCAGCTCTTTTGCATCATCTGCAGAGACCATTGACTCTCATTCCACTTGGGGCAAAAGCCAAAGTCAAGTCCCTAGCTTCTGTCCTTCACCCCATTGCTCATCCTGCTCCAGCCCCTTGGGCCACCTTCCTGTTCTCACATCCCCTAGATGCCCCCAGGCCTCCTCCCCTTGCCTCCACTCCCAGAGTGAGGTCTTCTCTAAGCAGCCCATGTAATTGTGAACCCTCCTGCCTCCCCCACCTAACACATACTGTGGTATTACTGACTTGTTCATTGCGTGCCTCACCTCCCTAGAATGAAAGCTCCACAGGGTAAGGATTTTTCTCTTTCATTCACTGATTTTCTTTTCTTTTCTTTTCTTTTTTTAAATTTTTAAGACAGAGTCTTGCTCTGTTGCCCAGGCTGGAGTGCAGTGGTGCGATCTTGGCTCACTGCAACCTCCACCTCCCAGGTTCAAGTGATTCTCCTGCCTTAGCCTCCTGAGCAGCTGGGATTACAGGCATGCTCCACCATGCCCATCTGATTTTTGTATTTTTAGTAGAAACAGTGTTTCTTCATGTTGGCCAGACTGGTTCTCAAACTCCTGACCTCAGGCGATCCACCCGCTTCGGCCTCCCACAGTTGTGAGCCACAGCACCTGGCCTATTCACTGATGTTTTATCCTCAACTCCTAAACAGAGTAGATGCTTAAATAATATTCAAATGAATGAAAGAAGGAACAAAGCAAGTTACTAAGAAAACTGCCAAGGCCTAGTGCAGTTTGACACTCAGAGCCCAGTAGGACCCATTGAGTAGTTTTCCGATGTTGGAAATAACACCAGTGGATCTGGGCTCGATCCTCCTTAGTCGCATGCGTGTGTGTTTTCTTCTTTTGTATCAGCCAGGATAATGCAGGGTGTGTTCCAGGCCTCTGTGATTAAGGTTTCAGTAACACTCTGATGTCATTTTACAAAACAAAACTACCTTTGATGGAAACAGCTTATTGTGTCTTTAGCTTTTGTTGTTTTTATTATTTACATCTCTTGACTTTGTTTTTTGGTCAAATATGCCAGAGACATGAAACCATATACCTCAACAAAGTCCTGTAAGTTAGATACTCAGCTTTGTTTACACTTCAGGTAGTTTTTTTTTCTTAAAATAGAAATTTTATTTTTGGGAATTTTTGTGAGTTTCGTGATTCACATACTGCTGTGAGTTACTGCTTGGACTGCTAGGTTGGGAGGCTGTAGACCTGGGTCTGCCGTGAACTGCTTTTGTGACCCAGCGTCCTGAGCCCCAGTTTTCTTGTTTGTGGAAACAAGGTGAGGGAATTGGACTGGCTGATTTCTTCTGAAGTCTCTTTCAATTCTTTAATTCTGTCTCTCATGGGCCAAACTCACAGAGATAGTAATTTAAGTTCATAGCACATACGTGCCATATTTTAGCTGATAAGGCATGCTGCACCTTGTACATAAGATACACGTAGGTACTGTGGCCCTTCAATCACGAGTCAGCCTCATGGCTTCCTGTCGTGTGGTTGTGGACTGTGGAGCCACCAGCCTTCCTGCTTGACTCTCTGGTGACTGCCAGCATGATGAGTGGGGCCACCTGCACTTATATAGCTATCTCCATGCCATGGAAACTCATCCTTTTGGGGGTTCAGCTTCAGGGGGTGCAGTGGTTTTAGGTTACATGGATGAATTGTAGAGTGGTGAAGTCTGGGATTTTAGTGTACCCATTTCCCAAGTAGTGAACATTGTACTCCAATATGTAGTTTTTCATTCCTCACCTCCCTCCCACTGTCCCTTCTCCTGAGTCTCCACTGTCCATTATACCAGAACTGTAGATTTTATTGCCAGAGTTTGAAGCTGGTGCCCTTGGGCTTTGGAGACGATTTGGTTTAAATCCTGAGTGCTATGATGCTAGTTGTGTTCATTGATTGGACTCTGTATGTTGAACCTTAATTTCTGTCATCCATCAAATGAGGGCAACAGCTTCTCTCTGAATGTTTTTGAGGGTTAAATGTTATAGCGCATGCCAGCTGCTTAGTAAAAAGCATAAATGTTGTTGGTGGTGCTGAGAAAGAAGAACTATTATGATGTGGGGGTAAAGAACATCTCCAGGCCAGGCGTGGTGGCTCATGCCTATAATCCCAGTACTTTGGGAGGCCAAGGCAGCAGGATCTCTTGAGACCAGGAGTTCAAGACCAGTCTGGACAACATAGCAAAAAAAAAAATTATATGTATATAAAAATTATATCCATGGCCCTGGGGTTGCAGGAGCAGGGATTCACTGTCTGCAGAACACCAGCAAGGAGAAGCCCCCATCTTTTGGAGTTGCTGAGGCAGATAGTGAGCCTGAATGTGTACGACCTCTGGTAACTGTGCTGCAGGTGGGAACAACCCATTGTTTACGTTTATAAGATGCTAGCTCAATAAAGTTACATGAGTCTCGGCACTGGAGATTTGTGTTAAGGACCAACTATGATTTAAAAATAATTTGGCCCCAGGATGTTAATTGCAGCATTATTTTATACTGATGACGAATTACAAATCACCTAAATATCCAGTATCCTATACCTACAACCTTGGGATAGTGTGTAAGTAAAAGTAAAACTGGAGCACATTTAGACCTATGGCACTTAAAAACAGCAAACATTTGCTATAAAGAATTACTACTTGAGAAGATATTAATGATGAACCACTAACAGGCAACAAAACAGGTTACCAAACAGTATGACCCCAGTTAATTATTATAAATGAAATAAGTGGAGGGAAAGTGAAGGAAATGCATACAGTTGTTAAAGGTGAGTGGTTTGTCCACCATCAGTGGATAGTGGCCTAATACTTAACTTATTTTCCTTTTTTCTTTCCCAATTTTTCAATAAACCTACATGTCTCGTGTTGGGGGGAAAATCATGTCATCCACAAAAAAATATTTTGGCTGGATTTTCAGTACTTCAAAATGTGACAGACATTTCTCCCATGTTATTTTTGTGCCCACTGCCAAGTTTTAACCATTTCATTGCGCAGGCCTTGTCCCTGGCTTAATGTGGTTATCTGCTCATGTGATGTGGTTTGAGTCTACAGGTAAAAAAATAGATTTTTTTTTTCAAGTGTGTGAACTAGGAACTTGAGAATGATGAGGGAGAAAATGGAAAATTCACATAGCAACTCATCAACAGGTTTTTTGAAGTGAAATTATGTGCTCTTAAAAATAATCTAAAACCAGGAAAGAGCACGTTAGAGCCTATCAGCTCAGTTGTGAGGTAGAAATCACAGACCCAGCTGGGCACAGTGGCTCACGCCTGTAATCCCAGCACTTTGGGAGGCCAAGACGGGTGGATCACCTGAGGTCGGGAGTTCGAGACCAGCCTGATCAACGTGGAGAAACCCTGTCTCTATTAAAAATACACAATTTGCTGGGCATGGTGGCGCATGCCTGTAATCCCAGCTACTCAGGAGGCTGAGGCAGGAGAATCGCTTGAACGTGGGAGGCGGAGGTTGCAGTGAGCTGAGATTGCGCCATTGCACTCCAGCCTGGGCAACAAGAGCGAAATTCTCAAAAAAAAAAAAAAAAAAAGAAATCACAGACCCATGCTTTTCCTCTGTGACTTTATGTGTCATTTCTTTCTTAGGTGACTGGACTGATGTTCTGTTCTAGATGAAACTCCTTGAGGGGACCATTTGAAAAGGCTTGATGTGCTGCCCAAAGCCCCCTTCAGAGCTGACTTCTCCACCCCCAGCTGCCGTGAGCCTTGGCTGCTGACAGCTCATAGCTGAGTCCCTCCCGTGAAGTCACCTTCTGCTGAAGGGTACATCCTCTCCCAAGGTGACCCCCTCCAACGTTTAGTGTCCATTGTAATAATGCGTCTACAAAAATAGACCTTTTGAAGGAAGAGATAAGGAAAGCTCTATTTTCTTCCTGCAGCTCTCTTTGAGGGCCTCTGGATGGGAATTCCTAGATGGAGAACTCCCTGTGTTGCAGTGGTGGAGGGTGGGGAGCTGGGGATGTGTCTCTCTTGTATCTGCAGTGCCAGGTTTAGAGGAGGCTGACTTGGGGTGTGAGAAATATTTGCTGGAAGCAGACAGAGAGCAGTGAGGTGCCAGTGACCTTGGTCAGTCCCAGTGTTGGAGGCTCCAGTGGGGAGCCGCCCTTCCTTCGAGGAGGGTTCTGTCCTTTTCACAGATTTCAGAGAGTGATAATAATACTTGTTATTTATTTATTTAGAGACAGGTTCTCGCTCTGTCGCCCAGGCTGGAGTGCAGTGGCACAATTTCGGCTCATTGCAACCTCTGCCTCCCAGGTTCAAGCAATTCTCCTGCCTTAGCCTCTGGAGTTGCTGGGATTACAGGTGTGCACCACCATGCCCGGCTAATTTCTATATTTTTGGTAGAGACGGAGTTTCACCATGTTGCCCAAGCTGGTCTTGAACTCCTGGCCTCAAGTGATCTGCCTGCCTCGTGCTGGGCATTACAGGCGTGAGCCACCATACCTGACCCCGTTGTTATTTATTTAGTGAACATTTATTGAGTACCTAGTGTATGCCAGGCATTCTGACACATGTCATGGGTACAGAAGGAGGAGCCCTGATCCCCAGCATACACACAATTCCTATCCAGTGTGATGGGGAGGTCCCTGGGGAGCTTGAGGTCCTGCGAGGGAGGGAGGGCGGGCAGGTGCACAGAGAGGGAAACAGCCTGCCTGCCTTGGGGCTAGGGGTCAGGATCTGCCTCTCAGAGGAGCCGAAGCTTGAACCTTCTTGATCAGAAGAGCACGGAGGATGCTCCAGGCAGGGGATTAACCGGGGAGCTGCGCAGTGTTCGTAGTGGCTGCAGTGTGCAGGGAGTGGTACATCAAATCTGTAAAATGTGTCTCAGAGCTTTATTAGGAAGTGTATGTGAATAGGCTCCTTTACCAACACTGTCCTCCCCACGGAGTTGGGGATGGAAGATTATCCCCACTTTTACAGGTGAGGAGACATCCCAGAGAGGTTAAGACAGTTTCCCCAAGAGGGTTATTGGTCAAGCCTGGATTGAACCTGGCTTCCTATACCTGGCCCACTTCCCCAGCCTGGCAACACTGCCCCTGCCTAATACAAGAGAGTCCACCAGCTCTCGGGCCATGGCTGTCTGTCATGGGGGCAAGTATGCCCACCCTGGACTGTTCTCTTCTCTCACATGAGTCATCTCCTGGGTTGTCAGCCTGGCATGGTGTCCACATGTGGGCTGATGGGTCACCAGGACCCTTGGTCTGAGCTGAGGCAGAGAGGGCAGGGTGATGGGTGGATGCTAGGCTCTTGCTGTGTTTGGAACTGCTGGGGAGACACTCCCTCTCCCCCACTGTCAATCTGGCTTGCACGCTCCCATTCCTGGAGTTCAGATGGGTGGGGTTGGGAGTCTGGGAGCAGGAAGTAACAGGCCTGACTGGCCCTCTGCAGACAGAGTAGATTTAGAGGAAGCCCAGAACCTCATGGAGGGGACACAGGGCTATGTCTTTCACAGTGGGTTTATTATAAATGAAATAAGTGGAGGGAAAGTGAAGGAAATGCATACAGTTGTTAAAGGTGGGTGGTTTGTCCACCATCAGTGCCTAATAGTTAACTTATTTTCCTCTTGGTACTTTTTTTTCCTTTCCCAATGTTTCAGTGAACCTACCTGTCTCACGTGTTGGGGGCAAAATCGTGTCATCAATAGGGCTTGTGCACAGGGCTGTGTCTTGTGTAGTGGGTGGGGAATGGGCCTTGGAGCCAGCCAGACCTCACTTTGCCATTTGCTGGCTCTGTAACCTTGGATGAGTGACTTAACCCCAAAACCTTGATTTCCTTTTTTGTAAAATGCATCTCTCCCACCCAGGGCTGCTCCCCCGAGGATTGAAAGAGGCTCTGTGTGCAAAGAGCTTAGCTACAGAGCTGCTATATCTTAATTCATAGTGAGTGTTCTCCAAACGTTAGTTCTTCTAATTAGTCTTCGTGCTTCTTAGTGTGCCTGGCTCACAGTGGGGTAGGATTTGAAAAGAACGTATGAACTCAGGTTTATGAGTGTTTGTTAAATAAGGAAGTATTAGAATTTGGATTAAGTTGTTTCTGGCCTCCAATACATGAAGCAGGCATGGTGGATTTTTGCTGCAAGCAAAACCATCCTGCTTTCTTAACTTCCCCTGGCTCTGAGCATTTGTGATTCTTCTGCACAGCCCTTCGAGGATTTTCTTTAATGTAAACACACTGACAAGGGTGGTATTTAACAACTGGAGTCTGGTTTGGCTCCGGGTACCCACCGTTGTCTTGGGTCTGGCATCCAAGGCTGCTGAGCTGGTGAGTCTGGTGCCTGGTTGGCATGAAGGCATCAGGGTAAGTGCTCCCCAACCCCATCCACCCCGCCAAATGTGGTTGTGACTGCAAAGTGGCCAGTATGTGGAACTCCCTAGTGGGCTTGCTTGGCATCAGTTTGCTGGGAGGATCTCTGCTGAGGACACAGGAGTGGCCATGCAGGCTGACAATGCCTGGAGAATAAGGATGGGAAGTGGGGGCCCTGGAGCCCGTCCACCCATCTGGGTGTACACAGGCTGGAGGCAGCAGCCCCGGGGATGGGGTAGGGAGGCTTCAAAGCTCGGAGTGCCAACCTTGACTGTGCCCTGTGACTCCTACCTTGGGATTTGTGGTCCCCTCCCTGAATTCTCCCTGCCCACCTGAGACTGCAGTGGGGGAGGGAGCTGTAGGAGGCACAAGCAAGGCGGGTGGTTTGGGGTTGGAGTGGCCTGGGAATCCCTGGTTGAGAGAGCAGGCTAGATAACACGGGACTGCAGGTGGGACACTTGGCCTCTCTTCCCGAGTCTACCACTCACTTGCTGGGCAGCCTTTGACAGGACATTCAGACCCTCTGCGCTGCAGTGTCTTTAGCTGTAAAATGGGGAAACTGTCGCCTTGGGTACTTTCCTGATCTATGATGCTGAAACACACTGGAGAATTGCCAGTGACCTTATTTTTTTAGATAGGAATGTGGTAAAAGACACTAGAAAGCTGTAAAAGAATATAGAATGAAAGAGTAAACCTCCCTTATACTGTGTTAGTCCATTTTATGTTGCTATACAGGACTACCTAAGACTGGGTAGTTTATTTAAGAAAGAGGTTTGTGGCCGGGCGCGATGGCTCACGCCTGTAATCTTAGCACTTTGGGAGGCCTAGGCGGGTGGATCACCTGAGGTCAGGAGTTGGATACCCGCCTGGCCAACATGGTGAAACCCCGTCTCTACTAAAAATACAAAAATTAGCCAGGTGTGATAGCGCACGTCTGTAATCCCAGCTACTCGGGAGGCTGAGGAAGGAGAATCGCTCGAACCTGGGAGGTGGAGGTTGCCATGAGCCGAGATCGCGCCTCTGCACACCAGCCTGCGTGACAGGAGCGAGACTCCATCTCCAAAAAAATAAGAATAAAAGGGGTTTATTTGGGCTGGGTGTGGTGACTCACTCCTGTAATCCCAGCACTTTGGGAGGCCGAGGTCGGTGGATCACTTGAGGCCAGGAGTTCGAGACCAGCCTGGGCAACGTGGTGAAACCCCATCTCTTTTAAAAAAAAAAAAAAAAGGTTTATTTGGCTCACAGTTCTGCAGGCTGTACAAGCATGGCTGTACAAACATAAATTTTATGGTTTTTTTTTAGAGGCGGCGTCTCACCCTGTCGCCCAGGCTGGAGCAAGTATAGTGGAGCATCTGCTTCACTTCTGGTGAGACCTCAGGAAGCTTTTACTCCTAGCCGAAGGTGAAGGGGGAGCAGGTGTGTCATGTGTCTAGACAGAGACCGAGAGAGGAGGAGGTACCAGGCTCCTTTCAACAACCAGCTCTCACCTCTTGCTTGAACTAATAGTGTGAGAACTCACCCATGACGGTGGGGACAGCACCAAGCCATTCATGAGGGATCCACCCCCATGACCCAGCCACCTTCCACCAGACAACACCTCCAACATCGGGGACCACATTTCACCATGAGACTTGGAGGGGACAAATATTCAAACTATATCACATACCCAGTCCCACTGCCTCCCAGTGTCCCTGGTCAGAGGCATTCATAACAGCTTTTAGAGATTTTTTGTGCATGTGCACCCATAAATGTGCACATGTGTTCCAGCCTTTAAAATTTTTGAATTGTGAAATATCATACATTCAAAACATATATAAAGTTTAAAGAATGATAAACTGAACACCCATGTACCCACAACTCAGGTTAAGAAGTGAAATATTCCCAGTCTCTAGACCCCTTCTGTGTTCCACAATCCTTTTACTGAAGTGAGAATATGCTATTTATGCTCTTTTTACTTTTTTTACTTCTGTCTGGCTCACATGTCTTGTTTTTTTTTTAATAGCTGATAACATTTCCTCTATCTGGATGTACCATTATTAGTAGTAGTTTTTTTTAAGCAATTTCCTCTTGATAGTTACTTAGGGTGTTTCCAATCTTTTGCTGTTACCAACAATGCTGCAATAATTTTTCTGGCTTCCAAGAACTGACATTAATTAGAATGTGCTATGAGAAGTCCTATTAGCTGAGCATGGTGGCTCACTTTGGGAGCACTTTGGGAGGCCAAGACAGGAGGATTGCTTGAGTCTAGGAGTTAGAGACCAGCCTGGGCAACATGGTGAGTCCCTGTCTCTATTAAAAAATAATATTAGGCCAGGCGCAGTGGCTCACGCCTGTAATCCCAGCACTTTGGGAGGCCGAGGCAGGTGGATCATGAGGTCAAGAGATCGAGACCATTCTGGCCAACATGGTGAAACCCTGTCTCTACTAAAAACATAAAAATTAGCTGGGCGTGGTGGCGCATGCCTGCAGTCCCAGCTACTCGGGAGGCTGAGGCAAGAGAATTGCTTGAACCCGGGAGGCGGAGGTTGCAGTAAGCCGAGAATGTGCCACTGCACTCCAGCCTGGCGACAGAGCAAGACTCCATCTCAAAAAAAATTTTTTTTTAAAAAATGTCGTGTTGTCTCAGCATCTCTGACCTGTCAGTCCTTTCCAGAGCAATACAGAAACATTTGCAGCACGAAAGCCCTGCATGGCTCTAGTCTCCTAACATGTTGATGTCCTGTGCCACTCTCCCTGTACCTGGGTGGTGCCAGCATTCCTGTCTGATGCCATGCCTCTCTGGAAGCCCCTGGGGGCCGGGCCCGTGGGAGAGTGTAGGATCCTCATTGGATCCTCAGCTGGGTGTCTGCCATGGGCGTGCCCACATGCAGGGTGTGGAGAAGTATGCTGATGGGAACTCAGCTGCAGGCTTGGCTCCAAGCAGAGTTCCTTTTCTTTTGATTGTGCAACATCCCTGCGAGGGATCTGGGTCTGCCCTTCTGCTTTTCTTCATCTTCCTGCAGTGGGGAATGAGGCAGGGGGCCTGGTTTGGGGGTTCAAGCCCAGGCCACTTGAGCTTTTGAGACGAGGCTCCTTGTTTTTCTTTGCTTGCTCCATCTGCCACTTTCCCTTTTCTCTTCTCTTTTGTTCTTTCTCCTTTTCTCTTTCTTCATCCCCTCTTTAGACTACAATTCCTGGTAACCCTGGCTCATTCTTCCATCCGTGTGTACAAAAGTTCTGGCTCTTCTCTTTCTCCCCCATCTGAATGAGATTTGGGGGCAGTAGAGTGAAAGTCAGAGACAGTGAATTGGAGGTTGGGGCCCTAGCCTGCTTTTGCTTCTTCTCTCCCCTGTGGGGCTGCTCTTCTTGGTATCCTCACTGCCTCCTCATTCAGGTGTGTGGCTGTGAAATGAGACCAGATCTGCCCAGGAGGAGGTCATGAAGAATCCACAGTAGGGAAGATGGGGGCCCAGGGGTTGGGAGGTGGCTGGGAGGTCCGCAGGGAGAAAAGGAGGGGCAGCTGCGTTCTCAAAAATGACAGTGTTTCCTTGCTTCACCAATCTGGGCAGAAAGGGCTGACCCAGAAGCTTGTTGCATACAATTGGTTCAAAGAGGCCAACAGGCCAAGATCTGGAAGCATTGTGTGTGTGCATGTGTGTATACCTGTGTGTGTGCTCAGACCCTTCACTGGAAGATGGTAAGGTGTCGGGCAAGTGTGTGGACTCTGGGATGGATTGCCCAGGTCCATTCCTCTCTACCTGTTATCAGCATCCTGGTGGGACCTTACAGAAATAACTTCTAAGTCTCCGTTTCTGCATTTGTACAAGGGGGCTGTTGAGAGGATCAAATGGGATTATCCTTAAAAAGTTAAGCATATAGTAAATGTTATGTAAATGCTAGCTATTATATGAGGTGGTTTTGTTGATACTTACTGTAAAAGACCACAGCAGACTATCTCATTTATCATGGAAAATAAGGTTTTGTTGTAAAATTATGAGAAAGTTATTTTTACATAAAACCATTTTATCTTCCCCATTGTTAAAGAATGAAGATGAACGGAACCTTAGAGTTCATCCTGTGGTTTTCAAAAACCTTCGCCAGAGCAATCCCCCTTTTTTTCCCGAGTGAAATCTTACATGGAAAGCCAATGTATAAATAAGGTGAAATGGAAGCTGTACTGGTAGGAGGATCAGGGGTGGGGGTTACAGAATGTAGGCAGCAAAGACCTGGGGGGTCTTCCTGCTGGCTTCCTGAGCCTCATTCTTGTGGTCCAGGGAGCAGTTTGCAACTCTAATACATAATTGAGTTGTACAAATAGGTACTGCCTTTTTGGACGGTAATTGATAGTATTACCCTTAGGCAGCTGACCCCTGTAAATTACCATCATTATTGAAATTGAAAATGTATGTTCCTTAGGATTCAGCAATCTCACTTGTGGGACTCTGACACCTATAGAAACGATAGGCTGTACACATACAAGCATAAGTACAAGGTTGTTCATTGTGTAAAGGGTTAGAGACACCTAAATGTCCAGTAACAGGGGAAAGGCTGAGTCAATTTTGAACTTGCTTAGGTAACCATAAAAGGGACAAAGTAGATCTATGGACTGTCTTGGACAGATTTTCGTGATATATTCAAGATGCAGAACAATATATATAGTATGATCCTTCTTTTAAAAAACCATATGTATATGTATCTATAACTGTGTGTGTATCTATACACACACATACACACATATACACACAGATACACAAAGCACTCTAATTTTTATGTTTATTTTTTTAGAGGTGGAGTCTCATTCTGTCGCCCAGGCTGGAGCAAGTATAGTGGCATGATACTAGCTCACGGTAGCCTCAAACTCCTGGGCTCAAGTGATCCTCTGGCCTTGGTCTCCTGAGTAGGTGGGACTATAGGCTCATGCCACCAATCCTGGCTAATTTTTTGTTAGTGGTGTGTGTGTGTGTGTGTGTGTGTGTGTGTGTGTGTGTGTGTGTGTGTTGGGGGTGGGGTAGGGGCGGGGGTGGAATGTCTCGCTTTCTTGCCCAGGCTGGTCTTGAACTCCTGACCTCAAGTGATCCTTGTGTCTTGGCCTCCCAAAGTGCTGGGATTACAGGCACGAGCCACTGTGCCTGGCCACAAAACACTCTAATGCTCATTACTTTAGGAACCAGCTGGGAAGGCTACAGACCAAACTCCTAATAGTACTTACTTGGGGGGATAGAGGGGAAACTGGTGTTTTTTACTTTATAGTTTTCCCCTGTCCACAAAGGGTGGTACTTTGTGTAATTTATTTCCTAGTTGGTGTTTTCTTTCAAATTAAAAAGGAAGGGAAATAAAAGTATGCTGGTCATCATAGAGGTGAGAAAATGACTCACAAGGGGGCGGTGGATTTGCCCAGGGTCGCCCAGGTCTGTGTGGGGAAGTGGCCGGCTGTTTAGTGTGTGCAGCAGGAGAGCTCAGGGGCTCCGACTGAAGTTAGTCTGCTGGGAGGCCCCTTGCTCCTGCCTTGTTTTTGCCCTCACAGGCTGGCTCCAGGGCTACACTCCTGCTATACTCTGCTCACCATCTGTTAAGGGAGCAGTTGGTAGGCTGTGAGCAGCGCCTGCCTCCCTCCCATGTCTAATTTAACCAGTCACCCTTCTCTCCGTCGGCCTCCACCAAGGCTGTGGGATCATTCTTTAATTACTTACAGGGGTCAGTCACCTGATGGGACGCCTTTGCTGGAGACAGACGGTACTGACAAGCAGATTAGTTGCACGTTGGGAGGTGGGAGGAGGGAGGAGACGAGGAGAGTGTGTGTAGCAGATACGAGTGGGTGGCTTCAAAATAGAAATTCATGAAGGCTCTAGGAAAGTAATTTTAAACACTGTTCATTTAGAGGCTGTGGTTCAGGGGTGAGCAAAGCTGGAGGCAGCCCACCCAGCACATGTTGACCTTGCTTTCCCGTCAGACTTGGGAGGGAGGAAGGCAGGAGTCTCCTCAACTCACCTTTGCAGAGCTCTGAAACTGGGTCTGTTCAAAGTTACACCTGCTCGTTTCTTGTGCCCGTGAATTCCTTTCTAGGAATGATCAGGCATCCATAGGCAAGATCTTCCTCGAGAGTCAATAGACCTGAGCCCAAATGTCAGCTCTGTGTCTGAGCTGCCATGTGACCTTGGACAAGCTGCTTCCCTTCCCTTGCTTGGGCTGAGTTTCTAACATTCCCAACTCAGGGGATCAAAAGAGGTGAGTCCTGTGGACTTCCACAGCTCTAGAATGTTCTGTGAGTAATATGCCCCTACTTGCTGTTTGCAGGGAGGCAGCCATGAGTTAGATAAAGCCCCGGAATTCGAGGCATCCATCCCTTCATGCTGGCCACCAAGCAGACCTGTGGATGTTGACTTGTCTCTTGTCTGCCCATAGATGTTGGCTTGGAATAGGGAGGAGGTGGGACTTATTTTGAGCCCGAGTTCCCCATGTACAAAATGGGGCTAACAGGATTTGTCTTGCAGGGTAATGAGGATTTGTGAAAACATGGTTGAATTCCTGGCACATGGTAGGTGCTCATTAAATGGTGTTATACACTTAGTACTTGGCATTCCCAGCCTTACTTTTTGTCTTTGCTGGAAATATATTCCATGCGGGGAGGGAAATGGGAATGATCTTACTTTATAGATGCCACTTCATAGAAAGCATTGGCACTGGGATTGCCAGCCTTTCCCAAAGCAGTGTGTGTTCCTTCATCATTCTGCTGATGATGATCATTTATGGAGCAATTTACTATGTGAGGTACATGATAACCCCAGTCTCCTTTAATCCTCGTGAAACCCTATGAAGCAATAAGGGACTATTATTATCCACACTTTATACATATAAATGAAGAAAGTGAGGCTTTGTGAAGTTGAATGATGTTCCCAAGGTCACCCAGTTAGTAAATGCTGAAGCTGGAGTCCTCAGTCTTAGTTATTAATGTAAGCTTGCTTTTCAGGACAGAGAGGGCTTTGGAGGACCAGGAAGGGCTCCAATTCTGAGGCAAAGGCTGTGAAACACCGGGGTCAGGCAGGAAATCATGCCCTTGAATTCTTTAACAGGGCAGATTTTTTAAGTCAGAGACATTAACGATCAGCTCCGTATAATGTTTATGGCCTGTGTGACCCTGCCCCGTGGTGCTCGGTAGACCCCACTGCCCATGTGTGCCTGATGATTCCATTTCTGTCTTGCTTATTGCAAGTGACCTTGAATTACCTAAAACCCAGGGAAATGTGTTCTTAATCTGCCCTTTTAACAATGCTGATTTTACCCTTCCAACTCAGATTTAAATAACCTTTCCTTCTGTGTTGTCGTGAGTGTAAAGAAGCAGCATCATGAAAAAGCCCAGCCCTAAACTCTCTGTAATTATGGGGTATGGTGGAGAGGGAGGGGCACTGAAAAGGAAATAATGGGGTCGTGAGACCATTGGAAATTGCACTGGTTATATTCAGTAGCAGAGCTGGAGATTTTTGCCTGCTGCTGGGAAAAATTTAAAAAGCAAAACAACCTCTGCCTCAGCCTTGGAGGTTTAGCTGTTGAATTTACTCCCTTTAATTTGAGGCACCTGAGGCTCCCATTTTGTGGTGTGATTGGCTGGACTTTCCACCACTTCTTCCTCTCTCTGGCCAGAGAGAAACTTGGGGACGCTGAGGTGGTTTGTAGCAGCTGTCATCAATGTCCGCCTTTCATGTCCACAGTGGTTTGGAGCAGAGGCCCAGAAATGCTTGGGGAGTCTCTGTGAATTCAGAAGAAGTCTCCTTCTCCCACTCCGCTGTCTGACAGCAGGTTAAAAAAAAAAATTACAAAGAGCTTCCAGGAACAAAAAGTGGAGATGATTTTTTTTATGGCCCTTAAAGACTTGAAATTTGCAGGAGAAATGCCGTGTGGTTGCGTAATTCTATATGTGGAGTATCTGGAATTATTCCTGGAGAGGCGGGCAAGCACCCAGATTAGAGATGTGTAAAGTGCAGTTTTGTCTTGCAGTCCAAGCAGGTGAGCATTCAGGCCTGTGGGAAGGAAGGAAGGGAACAGCAGGTGGCAGTAACTGGGAAGCTTGCCTCTGAGTGAGATTAACTAGAATGTATTTTTCCGCTGCATTTAAAGAGCCAGTGAAAGGGGCAGATTTACCCAGGGTCACGTGCCTGGTCAGTGCCTTAAATGGACCCAGGGTGTCAGCCCCCTCTGCCTCGACTTCAACAGAGTTAATGTTTCCCCAGAGACTAATAGAGGGACCGATATTAGGGATTCCGGGGACAAGTACGAACAGGTCTTTCGATTTACATTTAAAAGCAGTAGAGAGCAGGAAGGAGATTTCTGGCATTTGTGCAGTTTAAAAACCAACTAGACAAAAAATCTTGATGGAGCTGTTTCCCAATCAGCCTGGCAGTCCTCTCAGCATTGACGTCGTGAGAATGAAAGCTTCTCTGAGAGTGCCATTGGGCGGTGTCCCTTCCAAGTTCTCCAGGAAGCAAATTTTGGACCCTGGCCGCTGACTCAGTGTGGCCTGCTGGGTGGCTCCCTGTGCCTGGGAGGCGGCCCTGTCAGTGTCCCTGGGCTCAGCCCATAAGCAAGTGCCCCAGGTGATCCTGCTCCCATTCAGTGACTGGAGAGGCAGAGGGAAGGGGCTCCCGGGCAGTGCGGGTTCCAGGTGGGCACAGCTGGTAAGCCGGGCGGCTGGGCAGGGCTCTGCTTCAGGTGTGCAGAGTGGGTGTGAGTTCTGCACAGCACAGGAGGTGGTTTCTGCCCTTACCCATTGGGCAGGGAAGGAAGCTTGAGAAATCAGACTTGATTTTAGCAGGACAGGAGCTTGTGGGCTTCTGAAAGAATGCACGCCTCAGTGGTACAGGGTTCTGGGGGTATATGCAGCGGCTGCTCCTCTCCTCCTCCCCTGAGCCCTCTAATACTGATCTCGCACTTTCCTGGCCTTGTCCAACATCTTGGGAGGCAGAAAAGCATAGTTTATATGTGTGCTTGTCTTTATACAAGGCTCTGTGTGTGAGTGTGACTGTGGGTGTTTATTTAACTCAAGAAAAGTCCAAGGGACCCCTCACACAGAGGAGGTGAGGTGCATTGGACAACCTGGGCCAGGACTTGGAGGACATGTCTGCCCCGATGATGACTTAGGCCCAGTCCCTTAGTATCCTTGGGATATAGCCCCCTGATCTGCCCCAAAGGTGGAGTTGGGCGACAGGAGGGAGGCTTGGAGATCATTTCTCGTGTCCCTTCCAGCTCTGAAATCTGTGAGCAATGTTGTCCAGTAAGGCTGTCTCTACCAGGTAACACATGACTGCCAAGTGGGTATTTTAATCACTGTGATTTCAGAATAACAGGGCGAGCTCTCACAGAGCATTCATTGCTTCATCGATCATGCAGTCCCTGTGGAACCTGAGTTGATGGCGGGTCTACAGTCAGTTCAGTTTACTTGTAGCTGTCATTGATCAGGTGCAAACATGCTTTTCAAAGCCTGGAATCATTTTTTTTAAGTTGGATCATATTTGCTTATTATAATTGGTAAAATTTGAGTGTTGCCCCTAGGCTCTCAGAGGGAACAGTTTGGAAAGTGCTTCCTTCCAAGAAGAGACGAGATGGTACTGCGCATAAGCCTCCTTTAGGGTTGGGTCTTTATGCAGGCAGATAGTAAGTGCTTCTGGAACGTTTTGAGTTCTGCCCCCTACTCCATGAGCCGCCGCAAGATCTGGCTTGTTGGGACCTCATGGGCCAGTGGTCAGGCCCAGCATTATGAATCTCTTTTGGCCAAGTTCCTGGGATAGGCCTGTTTCTTCTTTAATAACTGCAGTGTGAAACAAGTCTTATTTTGAGTAAGAGAGTGAGGCCCCGGGTGGCGTTTTTGTGTTTGCCTAAGGGAGATGCCTCATCTCCAGCCACCCAGATGTGACTGGAGAGAGCCATGATGCTGCTTTTGTTTGTCTCTAATTACACTTAATAAGATGGGGGCAAGGGAGGAAGGCATAAGAGTGCCATAGAAACTCCAATTTCCCCTAAAATTAGAAACCCTGAAACTCATGAGTTGAATAGAAAAACCTAGATAATTTGCCGCCCCCTTTCTCTATTTTGTTCACCTTGCTGGCTGATTCTGCCTGATTTTAAGTATTTGAAATATGTCTCAGCCAGATTTTCTGGTCCTCTTTCCTCACCTCTCCCCTCCCTTCCAACAGAAGGGAGGCCCCCATGTGGTCTTCTTGCCTAGCTGGGCCTCCTGTGCCCCAGAGCGAGAATCTGAGAACGCAGGAATTGGGTTGGGACTGTGGGAAATTTGCATGTGCCATGGTAACCAGCAAGGGGATCCTGGGGGATCTCAGGTTAATGATTAAGCCCTGAGCCTTCATTCAAGCCAGGCAGTGGCAGTGGCCCTCAGGATTTGCAGCCACCTGCCAAACGCAGGGCCTCTTACTTCTGTTAGCTTTTCAGGCCGAGTGAAGATGGAAACTGTCTTGGAGGGATACCGAGGGGCTGGCCGTGTGCTAGTGAATTTGCTAGCAGCCACAGCCCTGCCGTGTCCTCCTCTGAGATGAGAGTGTGGGCCAGCAGGTTAGAACTCTGAGGTTCAGCTTTCATCAATTGCACTCAGTTTTAAAAGCTCACATTTGTCTTTCTTTTTGCGTAAGCAGAAAGCATCCGACCCTTCCTGCTCTGGTGTTTTCTAGGGGCAGCAGTAAGTGGGCTTTTCCTCCTTCCCTGTTGGGCAGGAGAATGCGGAGCTGCTCATTAAAGTCAGCAGATGAGCAGATATTTGGTCTTCAGCTCTTTCATTTCCACCTCTTTGCGATATGAGACAGCAGACGTTCCCAAAAAGGGCTTGCGGTTTATGTTATCGGTAACCCATTTCATTCTTCCAGATGGTGAGTGAAGGACCTTAAACTCCATACAGAGAAACAGAGGCTGAAGCTGGGGAAGATTGAATAACCAGTGCCAGGGTGGGCTTCATCCTCTTATCGTGGGACCAGCTGTCCCAGTGACTTTCACTTGTCGGTACTGCAGTCCTTTCTGGAAAATGTCCTGGGACAAGGATGGTGCCCAGATGTGGCTGCATTAATTACTGTAAACCCCATAATGAAGAAGATGTCTCCTTACAGCCCCCTTTCAGTCCTTGAATGGCCTCTAGGAGAAAGTCTGAATGTGACCTCCCTTTCTAAAAAGCAAGGAGTGGGACCAGGAGGAAACAGGCCGCAGGATCCCGGCCTTCTGCAGGCAGTGGGGCCCCAAATATATAATAATGTTGTTTTGTTTCAGTTATGCTTGTTTTTATGGAAATCTTCTGTATGGCACAGATACTAGTGTCTCCTTTATGGCAATGAGATAGTTTCTTTTTTAAAAAGTGAGTAGATTTAAGAGAAAATATTAAATAATAGTACTGGTGGCATATGCCAGACTTGATGAACAGCCCATGTTTGAGAAACCCTGTTTGGCTGCAGCAACACATGTGCAGCAAGGAGGGCCAGCAGTATTGGTGAGGAAGCTCCAGGAGTGACTGAGAAAGAGATCTTACTGGAAAGTCTGGCAGAGTCAGTGCGTGCACAGCAAGACCGTCACGGTGGCAGTTTCTTTCCGGGATGGGCAGGCAGGTTTGTACAGGTTTTGCTGCAAAAATGAGGAGTGTGTGTGCATGTGCATACTGTTTTTTCCTTCAGTAGCAGTAATATTTTACCCTTAAAAATGCCTCTTGAGGCTGGGAGCGGTGGCTTATGCCTGTAATTCCAGCACTTTGGGAGGCTGAGGCAGATGGATCACTTGAGGTCAGGAGTTCGAGACCAGCCTGGCCAACATGGTGAAACCCCGTCTCTACTGAAAATACAAAATTTAGCCGAGTGTGGTGGCGGGCGCCTGTGGTCCCAGCTACTCGGGAGGCTGAGGCAGGAGAATGGCATGAACTCGGGAGGCAGAGGGGCGGAGGGTGCAGTGAGCCGAGATTGCACCACTGCACTCCAGCCTGGGCAATAGAGTGAGACTCAGTCTCAAAAAAAAAAAAAAAAAAAAGGCTCTTGACCAACCAACTCTACTTACACACAACTTGATGTGACAATTCTATTTAGATAATTTCAACCACAGGGAAACAGCTCAGGAGTTTCCAAGTAAAAAGCCCAATGGGGAAAATCTCCTTTTCAAATTCTCCCACTTTCCGGACAGTCCAGTGGTTCTCAAACTTTTGTCATTGTCAGCATTGCTTGGGGAAGCTTATAGAAGATGGAGGACCCACCCTGCTGCACCCAGCTAGGCCTCTGTGCGCTGTTTCTCCCAGGGTGATCCCGATAACACTAGTGTTTGAGATCGTGGCCCAGGTTGTGAGTCCCAGCCCTGGCTGCCATTAGAATTTCCTGGAGACTGTTAAAGCTATTGAGGCCTGGATCCCACCCTAGCAAAGCCCCACTGGAATCTTGGGGTGGGGCCTGGGCATTGGAATTTTTAAAATGCGCCTCAGGTGATGCGGTTGTGTGGGCAGGTGGAGACTCACTGGCTTTGATGGAGACTCTTAGGGAAACTTTAACGAACATGTGGGAATGCTTTGAGGAAGAAGCAAAGGGCGGCATGAGGCACTGAAAGAAATGAGTGCAGCTGCAGAGGAACCCTCAGATCTGAGTTAGGTTTTGAGGACTTCTATGAAAAAATGGAATTAGAAGTCAAGTAAGCCAGGGTGAGTGGGAGAGCAGCACCAGCCTGTTGGTTTTAGAGCAGGGCCAGGAGGGTTAACAGCTTCAGGATATGCCAAGGGCATCAGAAGGGTTCTTGAAGATTTGTTCAGAGCAAGAGGAACAAGGGTGCGATCAGCCTGAGGCAGAAGCCAAGCAATACACCATTAACTCAGGGAGGTGGAGGGAAGCAGCGCCTCTCTGTTTTCTGTTGGGCCCCTGGGCAGCAAGTGTAATCCAACCAGGAGCAAGAGGGAACTGAGGCAGAAACCACAGTCTGCTTTAAATGAAGTCCACCCCTAGGACTTATTTTCCTGGGCACTTGGGAACCTGGTTATTACCATCACAGGGTGGTTTTATCAGTCAATTGAAGTAGCTAAGAAGGGAGATCAAGGCACCGGACAACCAGAGGGGGCAAAAATTATCCCAGCTTTTGGGAAATTAGGAAAACGTGAATTCCAGAAACTATAGTCTGCTAAGGCTGGGCTTCATTTCTAAGAAATTTCCAGAAAGCATTATTAAAGCAGTTGCTTTGTGAGCACATGTTGAGCCCAGTCTGGGTCAAAGTGATGGCCCCTTCCTATTTTCAGAACAAGGTGTGCCAGGCTAGCCAGGCCTGTTCTGGTAGGTGGCAGACAGCCGGCCCTTGGCAGAGCTATTGGCAAGGCACTCATGATGTCATCTTCATGTGCTCCCCACAGTGAAGATGGGTCTGGCTCTCAGGTAAGCCTTCAATAATGTGTTAGTGAAAATCCTGTGGAGAGACGGGGACTGAATGAACTATTGTGTGTCAGAGTTTAAAATTCATCAGCCACCACCAAAGCAGAGGGGGTGTACGAGGCCTTCTGTTTGGAAGGGTGTCAAAGGGAGTTTGTTGCAAAGTACTGACTGTGGCAAGCACATGGTTCATTTGAGTGCCTGTTATCTGAGGCTGGTCTGGGAGGACTGGCAGCGATTGTAGGGTGGAGTCACCTGCCACATCTGCACCAGTGCTGCTGTCATCTTGAGAGTGGACTCGTGTCAGATGGGAGAAGGCACCTTCGGCGTCTGCCGTTCTGCGTTATGGCATCACCTTGGATAAAGGCACATTACTGGAGACCCAGGTCTGGGGGAGCTGAGCCAGGATGGATGACCAGCAAGCTTATAAAGAGTGCAGGGGTCAGTGGGACAAGGGAGGTTCCGTGCAATGCAGTGGGTGTAAAGCTTTGTACCTGGTCAGAAGCCTCCTAGAAATGAAACCCTTGAAGCCTTCCCTTGAGCATTAGGGTCCAGAGTGGCCCTAGTGATCTTTAAGATGATGAAAGCTGATGTTAGAAGTGATGTTCCCAAGGCCACCCAGCTGCTAAGGGGTAGCTGTGCAAGTACTGACGGGATAGTGTAGGTTTGATGGTATGAAAAGACAGGTTTCAGCTGCTGTCATGCTCCAGAAGGCTCTATGGAGGTGTGGTAGCCAGCAAGGACAAGGACACCTTGGGCCATAGCAATACAGGTTTGATGCTTAGCCATGCACCTGGACCAACCAGGCCTCATTGAGATGTTCATGTTCTGTTCTGGGTACCACATTTTATTTTTAGCTTATTTGGTTAAATTAGAAACTAAAGTTGTTTTGGAAGAATATTTTAAAGTTCTAAAAGTAGCGTTACGACAACTGAAAATTTGGGAGAAATTGAGGAGTACACATTGGAAGAGATGTTGACAAACTTGTGGGTCATTGGGGTGCAGAGTTATGAGAAATAGGAGGTTTGTGGAGGAAGGATGGCACTCACCACCTTCAGGGATTGGGGCCCTCTGCGAGTAGCGGGGGCAAAGGGTGCTGCTGGGTCCGGACCCTGACTCTGCCAGGCCTTGCACCAGCCCCTTTACATGGGTTGACTCCAAATCCTTGGCTTTATCAGGAGATCAAGCTTATGTGAAGCTCCAGGATGCAGGATTCATAACAAAGGGTATGCAAGTTATGTGATAATGACAATGGCGGATGTTTTTCAAGCCCTTCCTATGTACCAGGCATTGTGCTAGGTTGCATGAGCTCCAGGATACAGAATTCAGACCAAAGGCTGTGGGAGTCTGTAACAGTAATTGCTGATGTCTGTCAAGGCCTGAGCCCTTCACTTTGTGCTAAACTCCTTTCATACATTGTTTCATTTAATCCTTATTGCAGCCCTGTGATGCAGTATTTAGGCTTGTGGTTGCTTTAGAGTCAGGACCTTGACCAAGGCTATATATTAGGTCATCAGGAGTTGTCCTAATTTTCTTTTTCTTTTTTTTTTTTTTAATTTCTTTTCTTCTTTTTTTTTTTTTTTTTTTTTTTTTGAGCTGAAGTGCAGTGGCTGTGATCTTGGCTCACTGAATCTCTGGTTCAAGTGATTCTCCTGCCTCAGCCTCAGGCTGCAGAAATTTGCATAATTAAGTAAGAGTTGAATTTTAATAGCTGAGACAATGGAGAAAATGTCTCCAGGGCATTGCAGAGACCTTCGTGGCAGCCTCTCCCATCACAGGCCTGGAGGCCTAGGAGGAAAAAATGCTTTTTGGAGGGCAAGCCCAGGACCCTGCTGCTGTGTGTAGCCTCAGAGCATGATGCCCTACATCCCAGCTGCTCCAGCTCCAGCAATGACTAAACAGTAGCTGGGATTACAGGCATGCGCCACCACGCCTGGCTAATTTTTGCATTTTTAGTAGAGATGGGGTTTCACCATGTTGGCCAGGTTGGTCTTGAGCTCCTGACCTCAAAAGATCCGCCTGCCTCGGCCTCCCAAAGTGCTGGGATTACAGGCGTGAGCCGCTGCACCCAGCTTGTTATAATTTTCATCACAATGATTGCTGTTCCAGACACTGCTAAATACTTTCCATACATTGTCGTTAGTTCTCATAATAACTTGATGGAGATTTAGGAAACATTTCGAGGTAAAGGAATTGAGGGTCAGGTGGGCTGCTGTAGCAGAGCATGCAGACTTTGCACAAATTACTGAAAGTTGTCCCTCAGGTGGACTGTGCCAGGTACTGGGCTTGGTGGAGATTATGTAGGCTGGATTGTGCCTCCATGCCTGCCTCCTTGATTGGTACCTTAGCCAAGGGCTCAGACTGCATGACAGCTGATGGCTCTGAAGAGTGAGCAAGGGGCTGAGAACTTGGCAGAGCCTTTCAGCTAGGAAATGGCAGAGCTGGAATTCCAAGCCAGGTCTGCTGATTCTGGAGCCAGTTGTCATAAACCACTGTGGAGGGGAGAAAGCTGTATGCCTGTCAGAAGCATCCGGTGTAGCCTCGACCATCCTGAGGCTTGTCTTTGGAAGTGGTCCTGCGAAGACAAGGTGGCTGTCCATCAACACCGCAAGAGGAATCCCCCAGTGGGTGGAGGGAGAGTGGGCTTGATGACCCTGAAGTATCCCCTCCCTGATTCCGAGACCCTGTCTTACATGTGAGGCCATCTGTCAAAACTTAATGTCTTAAAATATGACATTTTCCCTGTACAATCTTTTCCTTTTGCTAATTTAAAATCGACTCCATCCTCTCCTTCCATTCTCTAGCCCTTGGTGAAAAGGCAGAGGCCGGCCTCAAGCCACGTGCAGCCTCACAAGTGGTCATTGTAGGCTTGTGGGTGACCTAGTCCCATGTCAGGAGCCCTCCTCGGGGGCAGGCACTGGTTTTTCATCTTTCTGTGCTTGCTCACACTTGAGCGTCAGCACATTCCAGAACCTACCTCAACCGTAATCACGGCACAGATGTCGTTTGACTTCAGTTGTTGGGGGCTGGGGTGCAAATGGCAAGAATTCTGCAGCAGCCTTCCAGCGTTGGATTCCTGTCTGGGGCCAGGATGACCTTGGGCCAAGCGAGTGGCTCCCTTGGCTCTCTGAAAAAGAAATCTCTGCCTGGCTGTTCCCATCACTTCTCACGGACAGTAATGCTAGCAGCTGTGCTGATGGTAACAGTAACACAGTGAGCCCCAGTTACTGACAGGCAATGCCACTGCTGCCTCACCCTTACCATTTACCATGTGCCTGGGCTGAGTGCTCTAAAGGCATTTGCCTGTTGAATCCTCACAACGACCCTTTGAGGTGGGTACCAGCATTCTTATATTGCAGATGAGAAAACTGTCTCTTAAGAGAGTTCTGAGTAAGATATTTTGAGGGAGGAGGGTGATGTCATTATTTTCTTTGCTCTTTAATAAAGAGTATACTTCTTGTAAGTCTAAAGCAGAGGTTCTCAACTAGAGGTAATTTTTGTCCTCCAGGGACATTTGGCAATGTCTGGAGACATTTTTGGTTGTCACAATTTGGAGAGGGAGTTTGCCACCAGCATCTCGTGGGTAGAGGCCAGGGATGCTGTGCTGTTCAACACCTTGTGATGCACAGGACCTCCTGCAACAAAGAATTATCTGTCCCCAAATGTTAATAGTGCAAGGTTGAGATTCTCTGATCTAGGCCGGGTGGCTCCTGCCTCTAATCCCAGCACTTTGGGAGGCCGAGGTGGGCAAATCACTTGAGGTCAGAAGTTCGAGATTCTCTGATCTAAAGAGAAGACAAAATCATATTCAGCCTTTTGTCCAGTTTGGTATCGTTAACTCCTGCTCAAATCCTGCTTGTGGTCGTTGGTGCAGTTCCCATCTATTTCTGGTTGTCTTTCTACTGAGCACGTGGAAGCATTGCACTCTCCTACCTTCTTCAGTTAGGTGTGGATGTGTGACTTGTTTTGACCAGTGAACTATGAGCAGAAAGAAACATGACATTAAAGTGGGGAAACTTTTAGTGCTCATGTGATTTGCCACATTCCTTCCTCCTACCCTCTCGTGCTCCTAGATGGTGGAGGCGCCGTCAGCCTAGTCCTGGTGTAAGGAGGTGCGGGTCGGAGCTCCTAGTCAACTCACGATGAACACGTAGTATGAATGAGAGGTAACCTCTGTTGTTTATACTACTGGGATTTGGGAGTTGTTTGTTACCATGGCATAGCCTATGCAATCCTGACAGATGTACTCTAAGAAGAACAAAACAAGAAGTTGGCATTTGGATTAGGCAGGTGGGTATCTGGATACTGTGGATAAAAGCCCAAGCATCCAGTATTTTATGGGTTGTTTCCTATAGTGAAGATGTTGTGCTTGGCCCCGTGGGAAGTATAGAGACCCTGGCAGGTTGCTTCATAGAAGAAATGGAAGGGAGTTTAAAAGATGAGTCTCTGAGGTCTGGAGAGGTTTAATGACTTACCCAAACATCTGTGAAGGCACCTGCCGGGATCCAGCAGCTGTGCCCAGCCTGGCTCTGTGAGGCTGGTCCGCAGTCAGCCGGCCATTCTTACCCACCTCAGTCAGTGGTTTCAACTCAGTTGCAGGTCTGTGAATATTTCCAGGGCAAAGTCTGTCTTTACCTTCCCAGGGCCTCTCGCAGGCTGTGGCACAGTCACGTTTGTTGAGTGAGTTGGGATATGGGGGGGAGAAGGCAGACAGTGAGCAGTGCCATGATGGGGTGCAGCTGTGGGGTTTGAGGGTTCCGGGGAAAGAGATGACCTGAGGAGGCCGGCAGAGACCCTGGAGCCTGCTTGAAGGGTGGGTACAGACGGGGATGGGGCCTGGGCAGGGAGAAGGGCTGGACATTTCTCACTTCTCTCTGAGTTTCACATGGGCAGGAAGCACCGCAGTCCTGAGGGACTCCATGAGGGAGGAGCACTGTGGCGGGGGGATGCCTTCCCTGAGAGGACATCCCTGCCGCCATCTGCCTGAGCAGATGCTGCCTTACCTGAGTAGCACGTGCCCTTGGGAGGGCTGCTCCTTTGCAGGAAGTGCACTGAAGGCTCATGAATTATGCTCATCTCCTTCAGCGGCTTGGAGAATAATGATTTAGTGCCAGGAGCCGGCTTATCCTGGCCCAGAGCCAGAGCTGTTCCCAGCAGCACAGAGCAAAGTCAGCTTGACTTACACTCCCAGGTGCCTCAGTGTTCCTGTCTATAAAACGGGCATAATCTGGAAAGCTCTGCCTGTCTTCCACTAAGGTAAGCATGTGGGAGGGCTCTGTCCCATAAAGCCAGGGAAAGATGCCCTTATGGGTCAGAAAGGGATGGTTCAGATCTTCAGGGAACTCTTACCTTGAGAGGGATTGGGACGGGAGCCCTGGGACAGCTCTGATAGCACCTGTGGAATCAGTACCTGCTGACTATGGCCACGGGCTATGACACTTCAGGAGGATAGTCCGTTTGAATCCTCTGGGAGCTGGCCAGTGAGAGGGAGCTGTTCTCTCACCTCCTGGTTCTGGGTGCTCCCAGACCGAGGGGTTGACCTGAACTCGTTGTGGGCTCTACAGTGCAACCCGTTTGCCCCTGAGATGGCCATCCCCCAGGGTCCACAGGCCTGCGCATGCATGCTTCCTGTGACTCTGCCCCTTCTCTGTCCTCATTAACCCAGGAGGGATTAGTTCTTCATCCAAGAAGGTGCCTGCCTGCAGTCTCCACCTGAGCTGGGTGATTTGCTCGGATGCAGGCAGCAGAGGTTTGTTATTAGTGCTCTAAGAGAGGCAATACGGCAAACAGCCCTGCTCTGGAGCCAGACTGCTTGGGTTTGAATCCCAGCTTTGCCACTCCCTGGCTGTGTGGTCTTGAGCAAGCTGCGATCTCCCTGTGATTCAGTTGCTTTATCAGTAAAATGGGGATGGTAGCAGTATCTCCCTCAGGAGAGTTATTGTGCGTCTTAAATAAGTTAGTGTAATTACCATAGGCAGAATGCTTATACCAGTGCTGGCATATCATACACATGTTTGCTGTTAATATTTTTTGTTGATGTTTCTTCCATTTTGTACCAGGTATTGGTGTCACCAAGGGGTTGCCATCAACCATGCTTCCAGTTGGTTCTTTGATAGAAACAGTGTATGTGTTTTCAATCTTACTTGAAGCACCGTGGTTCTAGTCTCAGCCCACCCACTATGGGGGAGCATGGGGCATCAGACCTCAGGGGTGACCAGGATGGCTTGTGCATAGTTGATGTTCTTGGTACTTTTCTCATTTTTTTCTTTTCCTAGAAGATAGCCTTTAAAAAACGATGCATTGCCTACACACCATAAGAATGTAAAAACAACTGGTTCAGGGCCCCCACCTAACCAAACTTTTCATATTTCTATGCTCCCTCTTTGTCCTTGTCTGCAGGTGGATATGTATCTGATTCACCTCCTCTGCCCCAAAAACACCACGGGAAGGCAATAGTGTAGTAATAAGGTCGGTTTTGGGTTTTGGAGTCTGAGGGGCTTTGGCTCAGTGTGGCCTTGGCCCCTTGCTGGCTGGACCATCTTGCTTAAGTGAATTTTAGTTTGAGGAACCTCACCCTCACTTTCTCTCGTAGCATGGGAATAATACTACCCTAACTCATGACTCCACTGCAATAATTACAAGAGGTAGTTTAGGTAAACATTCTAGCTCGATGTGGTTGTTTAACAAAGCGTAGTTTTTATTATTAGTTGTAGATGTTCACTGTAGAGTTTTTAAGCACTGCCTGATACTCGATTATGTGGATGTAGTTGGATTTGTCCAACCTGTGTCTGGGGTTGCACATTTCGGTGATTTCCACCTCCCCTTCTTGGTCATCTCTGGAGAGAGCAGACTTGCGGGCCGGCAGCTGGGAGTCCCCTGGAGTCTTCCCTTTGCAGTTGGTAACTTGGTGTTCTTGGGGATTTGTCCAGCCTTTATCTCCCATCTCCCCCTCCCACCCCCTCCTCCCACCCCCAAGCTGCATTTTTCTGTGGTGCGAGTGTTGGTTCAGCTCCCTAGGGGATGCTTTGGGCTCCGCAGGTGTCATGAGTCATGGAAACCCCCAGCCCTGCCCAAGCCTGAGGAAGACCGAGGGGAAAGCTTTTTCATAGCCTGACAAACAGGTATTTCCTGTCAGCCCCCAGCTGTCAGAGAAGTTGGTCCCTCTGGTAATTCAGAGAGAAGAGCCGCACACATGCCAGCCTCCCACCCCTCAAATCTCGGGATCTGATGAAAAAGGTCAGCTGCACTGTCTAGAACTTTCTGCAATAATTGAAATGTTCATTCTGCTTTTTCCAATGCGGTAGCCATCAGCCACATGTGGCTTCTCAGCACTGAGGCTGTGGCTAGTCCTAGTCGGGGTGTGCAGTGTAAAAATGCTTGGTGGATTCAGAAGACAATATGAACAAAAGAATGTAAAAGATCTCTTTAGGCTGGGCAAGGTGGCTCATGCCTATAATTCCAGCACTTTGGGAGGCCGAGGCAGGCAGATTACGAGGTCAGGAATTCAAGACCAGCCTGGCCAACATGGTGAAACCCCGTCTCTACTAAAAATACAAAAATTAGCCAGGCCTGGTGGCAGGGGCCTGTAATCCCAGCTACTGGGGAGGCTGAGGCAGAAGAATTGCTTGAACCCGGGAGGTGGAGGTTGCAGTGAGCCAAGATCATGCCACTGCACTCTAGCCTGGGTGTCAGAGCAAGACTTTGTCTCGAAGGAAAAAATATATATATTTTTAATGTTTTATATTTATTTTTGTATGTTTTGTGTGATTATGTGTTGAAGTGATATTTTGGGTATGTTTGATTAAATAAAATAGATCATTAAAATCTTTATTGTTTGGCTTTTTTTTTTTTTTTTTTTTTTTTTTTTTTGAGACAGAATTTCACTCCTGTTGCCCAGGCTAGAGTGCAATGGTGCGATCTTGGCTCACCGTAACCTCCACCTCCCGGGTTCAAGTGATTCTTCTGCCTTAGCCTCCCCAGTAGCTGGGATTACAGGCATGAGCCACCACGCCTGGCTAATTTGTATTTTTAGTAGAGAAAGGGTTTCTCCATGTTGGTCAGGCTGATCTCGAACTCCCAACCTCAGGTGATCCACCTGCGTCAGCGTCCCAAAGTGCTGGGATTACAGGTGTGAGCTACTGTGCCTGGCCTTTGTTTGGCTTTTAATATGGCTACTAGAACATACCAAGTACATCTCTTGGATAGTCTTATTCTAGAGCGTGTAGCCTGGCAGCTGCTGTCCTGCCCTAGAAGGGGCTATCTTGGCTTCAGAGGGGAGAAATGAAACCCATCTGGGTACCTCCCTAATCTCCCACGTGCCCCCAGTCTCCTGCTCCCCAACCTGCCACCTTGATTACAAAGGAGCAAGTGCCCTGGGCAGTGTTCACTGTGGCAGCCACCCTGCTAATACATTACTCTGGGGTCTTGGGTCAGCAAGTTAGGTTACTGAGGGAGCTTCTGTTGGGGTGGAGTGGCTTGTTAGGGTGGACTTTGGAGGCGTGGACATGGGTTTGAATGTGTCTAACTGGACAGAGGAAGCCATGAGCCCTGTGTGGAATCCTGGCTCTGAGCAGTTAGAATAATGGTTATCATTGACTGGGTGCCTATGGCCTGCCAAGCCCTATGCTGGGAACTTTTATCATCCCTCTGAATCCTCCCACTGACCTGGAAGGTGCTGTGATGTCCATTTTGCAGATGAGGATCATCAAGGGCCTAAGTTGTAACATACTAGCCTGGAGTCCTGCTATTTGTAAGTGGCAGGAGCTTGTAGTGAAGCCCCTCTCTGACTCAAGATCATGCTCTTTGCCCCACATCACTCCTCTCTGGGCTTATTGCCTCTTCTCTCCAACCCTCAGTTTCCTGATGAAAACAAAGGGGACTGGACACTTGCTCACAGGAGGTGCAGGAAGGGCAGGGACAAACACAGGCTTGAGATTCAGCCTGTCTTCACTGGGCCCTCTTTCCTAGGTTTGGGCCTGAATTTTTTTTATTTATTTATTTATTTATTTATTTATTTATTTATTGAGGTAGAGTCTTGCTCTGTTGCCCAGGCTGGAGTGCAATGGCGTGATCTCGGCTCATTGTAACCTCCACCTCCCGGGTTCAAGTGATTCTCCTGCCTCAGCCACCCAAGTAGCTGGGATTACAGATGCCTGCCACCATGCCTGGCTAACTTTTTGTATTTTTAGTAGAGATAGGGTTTCACCATGTTGGCCAGGCTGGTTTCAAACTCTTGACCTCAGGTGATCCACCCACCTTGACCTCCCAAAGTGCTGGGATTACAGGCATGAGCCACCGTTCCCAGCCTGGGCCTGAAGTTTGAACAGACCCAGCAGAGAAGCCAGGTGCAGAGGGTTTGGGCAGCCAGGCCTGATGCTCCAGTGGATCCTCTGCAGAGTGAGCAAGGAAAGAACAGTTTCCTACATTCCAGGCATTTTTCTGCAACCCTGCTTCCTAGGCCAAGTGGCTTTTAAATACCAAATAAATATTAAAGAAGCCAGAGCAGTCTGGGTGCAGTGGCTCATGCCTGTAATCCTAGCACTTTGGGAGGCTGAGTCAGGAGGATCTTTTTTTTTTGTTTTTTTGAGACAGAGTTTCGCTTTGTTGCCCAGGCTGGGGTGCAGTGGTGCGATCTTGGCTCACTGCAAGCTCTGCCTCCCGGGTTCACGCCATTCTCCTGCCTCAGCCTCCCGGGTAGCTGGGACTACAGGCACCTGCCACCACGCCCGGCTATTTTTTGTATTTTTAGGAGAGACGGGGTTTCACCATGTTAGTCAGGATGGTCTTGATCTCCTGACCTCGTGATCTGCCCACCTCGGCCTCCCAAAGTGCTAGGATTACAGGCGTGAGCCACCACGCCTGGCGACTCAGGAGGATCTTTTGAACCCAGGAGTTTGAGGCCAGCCTGGGCTACACAGGGAGAGTTTGTCTCTAGTTTAAAACAAACAAACAACAACAAAAAACAAAATAGCTGGATGTGGTTGTGCATGCTTATAGTCCCAGCTACTTAGGAGGCTGAGGTTGGAGGATTGCCTGAGCCCAGGAACTTGAGGCTGCAGTGAGTTGTGTTTGTGCCATTGCACTCCAGCCTGGGCAACAGAACAAGACCCTGTCTCAAAAAATAAATAAATAAAATAAAAGCCAGAGCCCTTCATTGTGTGTGAGAGGCCACGTTGGGCGAGCAGGGGCAATACCCAGCCTTGGCTTTAATCTCCTTACCTAGAGGTGGGCAGACTTGGCTCAGAGGTAGTGGAGTTCATCATATAATCCTAGTTTTGGGGGCCTGAGGAGGGTAGTACCCTAAGTGCCAGCACTTCACCTTGTCCCTCCTCTTGGCACTTGGGAACTGGGGAATCTCTCTCTTCACACAAGTTCACCTGGGCCCTGCCTCAAAGCTTGCTGCACCTTGTCCGGAGAGAACCTTTCTGGTTTTCCCTTTTTCCATGGACTTCTGATCCTTTCTTCTGAGGGCCGTGAGTTGTGGCAGAACCAAGACTCTGGAAAAACCATCCCTGATTAGACTGGGAAGGTGGCGGTGCTGCCCCACCAGGGCTCTTCCTGACCGTGGTTATCCCAGTGACCTCTGGCACGTCACTTCACCTCAATGAGCCTCAGTTTCCCTCATCTCTAAAAGGGAGTGTTGGTGGTGATAAAACTTATTCACTGAAGAGTTATAAGGACCGAGTGAGTAGACGTAAAAAGGCTTGGTTGCCAATAAAGCATGAGGTACCAGCATGAGTGGTCATTTTGTGTAGTTTAATGGATGGTTTTTAGACACGATGAAATTGGAAAGAGTGTGGGAGCTAGAGAGAAATCTAAGTCCTAACACCGAAGAGCTGAGTGGCCTTAGCTTAAGGTAATTTAGGTAACTTAACCTCCCCAAGCCTCAGTGCCATCGTCTGTGAAATAGGGCATTTGAGAGGATTTGAGTGAGGCTGCACTGCCGTCCGTTCAGAGCAGATGCTCTCTTGCTGGTTCATTTTTCCAAATGCATGGGTTGGGGGTATGATGTGCTTGGCAGAAGCCTACCAAGAATGCTTATCTAATGTCTTTTAAAAGTGTACAGATAACCATTTCCTGGCTCAATTCTCTGCAGCAAATGCACTTTGATCCTCCTCTGAGCATCCCGCATTGCCTGCCAGGCACCCTTCTGAGCCAGAGTTATCTTGGTATGGAGCGCCGTACCACCCAGGAGCCATGTAGCATGTTCCCCATTCCTTGATTCTCACAACTGTCTTGAGAGCAGGGAGAAAGCTATTATCCCCATCTGAGAAGACAGAGTCTCAGAAGGTGGGGATGAGCCTGCCTGTGCACACTGCACACAGCTCTTGGAAAAACAGTCTAGAAGCTCTAAAAACACCTTTTCTGTCCACTTCCTCTGCTGTTTACTTCTTTCTTAGGAAAAAAGTGAGAAGGGTGAGGAGTTTCCTGGCTAGAGATTCTAGTGCATCTTGCTCCTGCAGAATGTTTGGCTGTGAAGAGGTAGGCCAAGAAACGTGGGGACGCCTGGCTGGGGCTGGAACACTGGCAGGCAGCTGACTGGACTGTCATGACATCTCAGAGCCAGAAGCCTCTTACCTTTCTTCCAGTCTGAGTGCTCTGGAGGTGCACTTGCTCACCAGTGTGGAGAGGTAGAAGGCTGGGAGAGTGTGGAGGGTGGGTGCTGCTGCGCATTGAGGGCTGTCTGTACTTGGCTGGGAAGAAACTGAACAGTGCCAGAAGGTAGGGAGGGGGAGCATTGTTGGTCACTTGGAATCTGGAACTGAGAAAGACAAGAAAACAGCCTGCTCTCTGGAGCAGTTAGACCCCACTCAGGAGGGGCCTGTGGAGCGTTGGGCCAAGTTTCCTGCAGGACCTGGGGCGAGGTGGGAGTGGGATGCTTCTGGGCTGGCAGGGCTGGGCTGTGGCTCCATGGCTGAGGTATCTGCATAGGGAGAATGTGTGATTTAGAGGCAGCTTGGTCAGCTTAGGAAATGGAGGTTCCTGAGGCAAACCTTTTCAGTGCCCAAGCAGGGTTGCCTAGGTGAGGGGGCTCTCAGGGTCAGACTCCTCTGCATCCCGTCTCACCGGCGAGACCGTTGGTGTGATGAGCTGCAAGCATCCAGGTTTGTTTGCTTCCTGCCACACGTGGCAATTCTTAAAACTAGTTTTTGGTGTTAGGATAAGCACACCCGACAAACATCTGCTGAAGTGTAAGCTTGCTCATCAGGGAGAATACTCTGATTGATGTGGACTTTCTAGGATAGCAGAGCCCAAGTGGCTTTGTGCAATTGATAGTAGTCATGTGTATGTTAAGTTAGCTTGAGCCGACTCTTCAGGGCTGGAGTAGACCAGATCCTGAACCCCTTATCCCCTCATCAAGGTCCTGGTGTGTCTCTAGCCTTTGTTTTGATGACCCCAGCAAAATTCCCTGCTCTTTCTCCCTGTAGTGACTTCTTTGTTGCTTTCTGAGCTAGGTTAGGTTTCCATCACTAATCTGTGGAGAAAATGTGTATATCCCAAGCCATTTCCTCCTTCAGAGGAGCTTATGATTTTGGCTTGGAAAATAGAGATGAATATACTCGAAGCATCCAGGGAAGGATGAATTGCTGTACCCTTGCCAGTTTCCAGTGGAACATAAATGTGAGCATTTCTTCTCTGAAGAGGAGGATTCCAGGCATCCTGGAGGGGTGATAAAGTGGCATAGGATTCAGGTTCAATCAAGATGTATTGAGAATGGCCAGGTGCAGTGGCTTACGCCTGTAATCCCAGCACTTTGGGAGGCCGAGGCAGGTGGATTACCTGAGGTCACAGGAGTTTGAGACCAGCCTGGCCAACATAGTGAAACCCCGTCTCTACTAAAAACAAAAATTAGCTGGATGTGGTGGCGTATGCTTGTAATGCCAGCTACTCGGGAGGCTGAAGCAAGAGAATTGCTTGAACCTGGGAGGCGGAGGTTGCAGTGAGCTGAGATCACGCCACTGCACTCCAGCTTGGGCAACAGACCAAGACTCCGTCTCCAAACAAACAAAAAGATGTATTGAGAACCTACGGTAGGCTGGGTTTGTTTGGATCTAGACATCATTCCTTTTCATTTTTACTTTGTTTATATTGTAAAATATTATACAGACTCAGAAAAGTACACAAAACATAAATGTACAGCTTGGTGAATTATCACAAAGTGAGTACCCTTGTAACCACCGTCCAAGAGAAGGAACCCTGCCAGCGCCCCCGGAGGCTCCCTGATCATGACCTCTTCTCTTACTGCCACGCACAACATTAGCTTGACTTTAGTAGTAGTTGCCTCCCTGCTTCTTAAAATAATTATTTACCCAAAATATGAATCCCCAAACACTGTAAATTTAGTTGTGCCTGTTTTTTGAACTTCCTACAAGGATAATCATGCTGTATATATTCTTTAGTGTCTGGTTTCTTTCATGCAACATTGTTGTGAAATCTGTGCATTTTCGTTGCATGTAGCTGTCATTTGTTCATTTTCATTGCTGTGTGTTATTCGATTGACTGATTAGCACAATTTTTCTATCCATTCTCCTGTTGAACATTTTGTTTGTTTACATTTTGAGGATATTCCTAAAAAATGCTGCGGGCTAGATGCGGTGGCTCATGTCTGTAATTCTGACACTTTGGGAGTCTGAGGCAGGAGGATCACCTGAGCCCAGGAGTTCAAGACCAGCCTGGGCAACATAGCAAGACTCCTTCTCTATAAAAAAAAAAATGCTGCTGTGAGCATTGTTGGACATGACTCTTGGTTAGCCTGTATTGTGTATGTGCATGCACACACTTGTGTTGGGTGTACCTGGAGGTAGCATCACTGCATCTCATCCCATCTTCATATTAACCTTGTAAGCCGATGGGGAGAGTGGCTCACCTTAGCAAGGGTGTGTCTGCTGGGACCCCAGGGAAGCTTTGCTTACTGTCCTATGTCTATACCCCTTGGGTTGTCTCTGAGCTTCTCTTGGGGACGCATCGTTTTCCAGGTGTTGTGAGGAATTACAGCAGTAAAGCTTGCTTGATGCTTATGTTTAACCCCTGCAAGGCAGAATACGGGAGTTGCATGTAGCCAGTGTCGGGGGCTGGTGAAGAAGGGTGTAGGGCTGTGTTGGGGCACAGCCTGCTCATCACACAGGTCCTCCAGAGTGGACCTGAACGCTCAACCCCTTTAATCTTTGGTGTCTGCCTGCAGTGTTTCCTCCCAAGTGGGTTTGGTGCCCTTCCAGCATATTGAGTGGAGAATCGTCGGAAAGGCTGAGGCTTCAGCCGAGTCTCCAGGCCACTGCTTGCGGTGCAGCTAAGCTCTTAATGTGTTTTCATAATCAAAGCAGAAAGGTCCCATTGTGGCGCTAACGCCTTTGCCATAAAGCACTTTTTGTTTCCTAACAAAATTCCAAGTCTCAAAAGCAAGTCAGCTTAGCAAAAACACAATACCAATGAATGGCCATTTGCCACTTGCAACAGCTAGGCAAGCTCCCAGTAAATAACACTCGGTCAGCCTGTGTTTTATTGGGGCACCCCAAAGACATGAAAATACTTTGCAGGCTACTTGGAGGAAAACAGTAAGATATTAGGAGTCATATTTATCACCGGGGAATTATAACCTGATATTAAGGTGCCAGTTAGGGTTTGCTTGGCTATATATTTCAGAAAATTAAGTAAGGCTGGGGACAGTAGCTCACGCCTGTAATCCCAGCACTTTGAGGGGCTGAGATAGGTGGATCACCTGAAGTCAGGAGTTCAAGACCAGCCTGGCCAACATGGTGAAACCCCGTCTCTATTAAAAATACAAAAAACTAGCTGGGTGTGGTGGCGTACGCCTGTAATCCCAGCTACTCAGGAAGCTGAGGCAGGAGAATCCCTTGAACTCAGGAGGCAGAGGTTGCAGTGAGGTGAGATTGTGCCATTGCACTCCAACCTGGGCGACAGGAGCAAAACTCCATCTCAAAAAAAAAAAAAAAGAAAAGAAAAGAAAAGTAACACTGGAAGTAAGGGATTATTTTTCTTATGAAACAAAAAGCCCAGAGGCTGACAGTCTTACGGCTCCACGTTGCTGCCTCCTGTCTTTTTGCTTTATCATCTTCAGCACAAAGCCTCATACTCCCAAGATGGCTGCTATATCTCCAGGTTTCACATTTGCATTTCAGGTAGGAAGGTGGCTTTTGTCAACTGCCTCTTATCCATTTTAATGAGGAAAACTAACTTTCTGGAAGTACCAAGCAATAGGCTTTCCCTTACATTTCACTGGTTAGAACTGGATCACATGGCAACCACTGGTTGTCAGGGTGGCTGGGAGCTAAGCACATTGTTATTTGAACAAAATCAGGGATTCCCGAGGTTAAGGAAGGAAAAGGAGGATGGACATGGGGAGGCAGCTAACAGCAGGTGCCATGATTCACTGGATAAAATAGATAGGAAACAAGCTGTTTCATAGAAAGCGAATTTATATTCAGTAACTGAAACATTCTTGTAAGCACTAAAATGTATTTTAATCATTTTAATTGCAGTCATGTGCCGCATTGTCAACAACAGACCACGTGTATGACAGTAATCCCATAAGATTATAGTACTGTATTTTTGCTGTACCTTTTCTGTGTTCTGATATGTTTAGATTTGTCTTACAAATGTATTACAGTTGCCTACCATACTCATTACTCTGATGTTCACACAAAGCCAAAATCACCTAAGGACATGTTTCTCAGAACGTATTTCTGTCGTTACACGCCGCATGACTGTAGTTTGAGAAGACACATTTTCTTCTAAACAACTTAATGACTTTTTCGGTGTGGCTGGGAGTCTCAGTAGGCTCTACTGAGGTGTGGTTTGAACGGCCACTTTGCCTCTCATATAATGGTCCCAGAAAATTATGCTTTTTAAATCTTGGGTCTGCTTCGTAGTTTTTTTTTTTTTTTTTTTTTCATTTATTCCATTATTGCTGCCAGGTCTTGTGGCCTCTGTGCATTTACCTCTAGAAACCTGGTTCTTTTCACCTTAAAAATGTTCTGCTTTACTATAATCTATGGATGGGAGAAACCAGAGAACCCAACATGGTAGAAATGTGGATTGAGGAAGGAGGCTCTGGGGGAAACCATAGACTCTCCTCTAGGTTAGGTAGGGCTTTCATGAGCAGGCTTAGTCTGTTTTATCAGCTCTGATCTCTTCTGGCCTATCAGATAAAAGAATTTGCCTTTTTTTTTGTTAAGGGAAGGAGTTTGAAATCTTCTCCAGTCAAGGCACTATTTAACAATTGGCTCTCCATGGCTGACTTAATGCTAATTTTCTCATCACCATTCAACATAGCTTCCTCCTTACCTCATCTGTCTTTGTGAATGCAGCCCCCATTTTATAAGCACAACCTCTAGAAAACCTGGTTTTATCTAACTAAGAGACCTATCACATCCAGGAAGTTGCCAAAGGAGAAAATCGAGAAAAGGTAGTTGTGTGACGTTGGGCTAGTTACCTGATCTCTGTCTGTTTTCTCATCTGTGAAAGAGCAATCGTAATGATTGCCTTATGGTCATTGTAAGAAATGAGGATGAGTTAAATGGAATAGTGCCTAGCATGTAGTAAATGCTCAAAAAAGCTATTATCATTAATATTATCATCATTATCACAGATGGGGTGTGTTAATCACAGATTAACACTGATGTGGGATTGGGCCACCCTGGGAGGGTGTTTGGACAGAGGCCAATGTGAGCCATATTTACCTGATGAGAGAGATCAATCCATTGTTGGAACAGACGTCTTCATGTGCCTTTGTCCTCGCTCCCTTTCTGTGATAGTGCAGAGTAGAGTCTCCCTCCCCCTCCTCCTCCTCCCCCTTTCATCCTTTCTTCCTTCCATCATTTTCATATCTGATTACAAGAGTAATATATGTTCCTTGTAGAAACTTTGAAAAGCATGAAAGAAAATTGAAACACTCTTAAAAATGTATATATAGAGAGAACTTTTCGAAGCTGAGATCATCCTGTACTTTTTGCTCTATAGCCTGCTTTCATTTTTTATTTTCTTTCTTTTTTAATATTTAAAGAGATACATTCTGAGCCAAATGTGAAGACCATGACCCATGACAGCTTCAGGAGGTCCTGAGAACATGTGCCCAAGGTGGTTGGGTTACAGCTTGGTTTTATACATTTTCGTGAGACATAATGACTAGTCTAAACATTAAAACAGAGATCTTAATACAAAAGAGACCCTTTGTGGCAATGAGATACCAAATTCCAACCTGACTCTAGTATAACATCTTAACATCACATGACAGATAGCAGGCCCTGAAAGAAAGAAACAAAAACAAAAGTATTTTATCCTAAAATAGATTTCTTTGATATATTTTGAAATGGCCCTGCAAAGCTGTCTCTTGTGGGAGAAATTTACATTCTGTAGAGAATCCCCTTCCCTTTCTAGGTAATTTTCTGATCCTGAAAAGATTAACTGAGATCCTAGCACCTTTTAAAGGTCTGAATGGGAAACATTTGTCGTCTATTGCCTTTAAGGGTGGCTACCTATGAGACTTCATCTACATAATAAGAACCTTGTGCTCCACAACCCCTTATCTTAACCCAGACACTTGTTTCTATTGATTCCAGGTCTTTAATAACTCTTTTTCTTTTTATTTTATTTTTATTTTTTTTTGAGCCAGAGTCTCACTCACTCTATGGCCCAGGCTGGAGTGCAGTGGCGTGATCTCGGCTCACTGCAACATCCACCCCCTGGGCTCAAGTGCACACCACCATGCCTGGCTAATTTTATACTTTTAGTAGAGATGGGGTTTTGCCATGTTGCCCAGGCTGGTCTCGAACTCCTGATTCTGAGCTCAAGCAATCCGCCCACCTTGGCCTCCCAAAATGATGGGATTACAGGCTTCGGCCACTGCACCTAGCTGATAATAATTCTTTCATTTTCATTGGACGATAAACTATGAGTGTTATTGAGTACCGCTCCTGTGTAGCATTTCATCAAATGGATTTCAACCTGGAGTTGGAAGAGACCACTGAGGATTGAAGGTAGATTGGTTTTCCTGGGTGAGCTCAGAGAATCCACCCTTGGCCCACTTCTGTATTGTAAGACTTGCTTTTTTCTAACTGAGGGATGGAGTGCATTGCAGTTGGGTCCCTATGTTATGTAATTGTGGGGGTTGTAAGCTTGGATTGTAAGTGGAAGATTTGGGGACTTGGGATGATTTCAGATATAGGCAAGAATGGAGGAAGAATGATTGTAAGCTAAAGCAGTAACACGATTCAAGCTATTTATTCATTTGGTCATTATTGAGGACCTGCTGTATGCCACCACATGAGGCCAGATGCTCTTGATACAGAAATAAATAAGAGGACCTTCTAGTTTCAGACAGCATCTGTCTCAGTGAGTGAAGACTTAAAAAACCAATTCATGCAGTAGGCTGTTAGAGATGCTCTCATTGAAATCTATCCTGTCCCCAAAAGGAGTCTGAAGGAGGGAGTTGGCAAGGGGGGAGCTGGCAAAGGCTTTGTAGGGAGCAGGGCATTCTAGGTGGAGAGAGCCTGTAAACAAGGCCCCAGAGGTGTGAAACAGCTTGGATGGATTAGCTTAGCAGTAAAGAAGCAATAGCTACACCTTTTCATTTCTCAATCCACTTAATACTGGGTGGAGTAGCTGCACTTGTGAAATTTGGCGAACCTTAATATTCTTAAAGAAAAAGGCAGAAGGTATGTATTTCGAAAGCATCCTATAGTTTTCTTTCCGTCCTTTCTTTTGGAAAGTGTAGCTCACCCCCTGAAAAGCATAGAATTGGTTTCTGTTAACTCTGGTGTTTGCTGTCTGCCTGCCCACCCAGTGCCCATTCATCATCTGAGTGCCCCCTCTCTACAAGGCACTGTGTCGGGGAGCTCAGAGCCTGACCTTGCCAGGCTCTTGCAATCTGGGTCGGTGGACATCTATGTTGATAATTGATGTTCTGTGCTGACAAGTTCTGTGGGAAAGTGGACGTAGGAGCAAGCACTGTGTTGGCAGGAGTCGGGAAAGCTTAAGGCTGCGATGCTCAAAGGAGAGGATAAATGGTGGACACTCCCTAGACCCTCCTCCCTCTCCACCAAAGGCATAGCCTTCATAGTGCTGGAAATGTTCCATATCCCTCCATTGTGCCGTGGTGGGAAAAAGACAGGGAAAGAGCCCTCCAGGGAACTGGCATTTGTTGTGGCCTGCACTGGCTGGTTCCTGGAGTAGGATGTGTGCATCATTAGCCCTGCATAGCACAGTAGCTGTGAGGAAGTGACCGCTCAGGTGTTGGGTGATGTGTCTAGGGTCACATTGCCTAGAAGAGTGGCAGGGCTGCGCTTGCTGCAGGCTTGCTTGATCCTGAAGCCCTGGTTCCTCTCACCATGCCCTGGGCTGCAGAACTCACTTCTGGGCCTTGTAAGGCCGCTGGTGGGTAATGGTGACAGTGGGAGGAGTAATACCTGAACAGAGGCTGCCCTAAATAATGGCTTGTGGTGGTCAGCGCCTGGAAGCCCTGGGTGTGGTTCCCTGCAGAAAGGAATTCTGAGGCCTCAGAAATGAGGTTTTGTTTTGTTAAAATTGTCTTGGGCACCCACTCTCCAGTTGCAGGTCAGGGCCTGCCCTGTGGCTCAAGTGTGGGGCCACATGGAGGTTGAATCAACTGCTCCCTTAGGGCTCCCAGGGGTGGGAGGACAGGAAATCCCTCCAGGATTGTTTAGTTCAGCAATACTCCTCCCCACACCCGTGTTACAGCTGAGGAAAGGAGTCCCCTTCAACCCCCGGCATTTAGTGATTCTATCATGTCGGCATAGTTTCTTCTCTGACCTGGCCATGGTGCGTTTGATGCCAAGAATGGGCAGCCTGAGTGGTGATGGTCAGTCAGTGCCACTCTGTCAGTCCCGGGACCCCAGCTGTCCCCGTTCTCTGCACAGCCCAGCCTTGGGTGCTTGCTTGTGGGGCCTGCAATGTGAGTGTTTAGAGCTGCCAGATTTGTGGGGGATTTCTGACACTGTTAAAACCAAACAAAAAGCAAGGAGCTCTACTGAGCTGTATGATTATTTAGGCTCTAAATTGGGACGGGTTGTGGTGAGGGACCTAGAGTCTAAGACCAAAGGAAAGTCCCTGGTCCATGGCACAGGCTTTGAATGTGGGCCCCACCACCTGAGAGCTGTGAGCTTTGGGAGGAGCTCTTCATCCAGCCCAGCTGGGAGTGGGGATAGTAAAACTGTTTCCCCAGCCGGGAGTGGGGATAGTAATACTGAACCTGGCAGGGCTGCTGTTAGACCATGGGTACTCAGTGCAGCAGAGTCTCTGTAAATGGCAGAGGTGGTGCTTTGCAGATGGGAGAAGGGAATAAACCTGTAGCTGATGTCAGGCCCTTTGTTGCACCCTTTATACCGAATGAATTATTTCATTTCACTCCATAACACCTCTGAAATAGGCTACACTGTTCCCATTTGACAGACACCAAAATGAGTTTCGGAGAGTTTCTGAAACTTGTCCAAGTTCATGTAGCAAATGGAGTTTAACTTCCAAATTCTTTCCACCTTGCCATGAGAAAATTTCCATTCCTGCAGAAGATGGCCTTCTATAAAGGGCACCGAAGGGATTTAAGTCACACCTTGGGACACATTCCTAGATCCAAGTGGTTTCTGTATGTTATAGGCCAGACAGTAGCAAATGCAAAGGTAAATTTATGTGCCTGTGGAGGGGGAGAATTAATTTTTTCCCCTCCCTGGACTTTAACTCTGGAAAGCTTAATCTTCTAAAGCTTAATCTTTAGAAAGGGCTCAGAAACTCTGCTTGGTGCGCATAATAAGTGTTGTGTCCCCAAGGCATTTGTTAGATAAAACGAAAATTAAATAAATAAATAAAATGCTAATCGTGCCACCAGCCCTGAAGTCTCCTTGTCTCTGCTGGCTTTTCCGTGCAGAACGGGCACAGTGGAGCTTTGTTCTTCTGCCCCTTTGTCCGGACGAGGCCTCTCAGGGGCTGGCTCACAGGCAGGGAGGCCAGGCTGTGCCCGCCCAGGTTTCCCAGGCCCCGCTGCCTCCAACTCTCACTGGCCTCCTTTTCCCGAGGGTGGGGCGGCCCCCTGCCAGTGGATTGGAGGGGTGCTGCCTTCCCCCTTACCCATTTGTCCCAGTGGCCAAAAGGGGCTGAAAGCAGGTAGCTGGAGGATGCGGGAGACGTGTGATTCCCTGTTTGCCAGTTGGCCTAACTGGAATCTTCCTGAAATCATTGTATCCCTGTGAGCAGACAGCAGGCACTATGGGCTGTTTGGCCTTGGGTTCGCTTCCTGCCTTGGGCAGTCTGTGGAATGGGGCCCGGTCCTCAAGCACTTGTGGCTGTCACCAGCAGGAAGTTTGTTCAGCACCGTGGTTCTGAACCCTGTCCTCATGTTTGAATCATGGGTGCTTTTAAAACACATCCATATCAGGAGCACAGCCCTGGGCCAGCTGACTTAGTACCTCTGGGGTGGGAACTGGCCCAGGCATCTCTATATGTATACCCGCTCCAAGTGATTCTGATACACAGGGAGGGTGGAAAGCCCCTGGTTAGGATACCCAAGCTGAAAGGACTGCTCAGGAGTTGCTTGTTCCACCCTTCAGTTTACCCATGAGGACAGTGAGTTGACAAAGGCCATTCCTTTTTTTTTTTTTTTTTTTGAAACAGGGTCTAGCTCCATTGCCCAGGTTGGAGTGCAGTAGCTCACTGGAGCCCCGACTTCCTGGGCTCAGGCAAGCCTCTTGCCTCAGCCTCTTGAGTAGCTAGGATCACAGGGTCTAGCTCCATTGCCCACGTTGGAGTGCAGTAGCTCACTGGAGCCCTGACTTCCCGGGCTCAGGCAAGCCTCTTGCCTCAGCCTCTTGAGTAGCTAGGATCACAGACATGAGCCACCACGCCTGGCTAGTTTTTGAATTTTTTTGTAGAGATAGGGTCTCACTGTGTTGCCCAGGCTGGTCTCAAACTCCCTAGGCTCAAGTGATCCACCTGCCTTAGGCTCTCAAAGCGTGGGGATTGCAGGTGTGAGCCACCACGCCTGGCCTGCAAAGGCTACTCTGATGGAGGCAGGTGGGTTAGAACCAGGTCTCCTGACGTCTGAGCTCCCAAAGCACCACCTGTTGCCCTGTTAATCCACACTCTCATGGCTATGGGAAAGGCAGGCAGTTGGAATTATGATGTTGATGATAAAAATGTCTGCTTATCACCCATGCTGCTAGGGAGACCAGGCTTAGTTAGGTTTACTTTCTCTGTTCTTTCCTTTCTCTTGCACATATTTACCATTGCATCTTTTCACATGACATCACAAGTATTTATTTTCTAGGCCATGAGTTCTCAGAGGTCAAGTTCTGGATAATGGCTGGGTTTTTGTTACAGCCATTCTTATACACTGGTACCTGGCCAGAGCAAGCTTTCAATAAATGTTGTGGAGTGGAAAGGTGGATACCAGACCCCAGCCTTGAGCCCGGTGGAGTGTCTCTCTGAGCCCCTGGGTTAAGTGGGTCAAGGCAACTACCCTTTGCACTTGGGGCAAGTTGACATGAAAAATCCATAGACAGGCAGAGTCAGGAAAAACAGGACTGAGAAGGGGCTATGAACTTGATCCTAGGAATACTGGCTTACTTGAAACTAAACAACCACGCAATCCTCCACACAGCTTTGGCCCCCGCTCCCCGTGGCCCTCCCGCCCAGCTCGCCTTTGCAGTGAGCAGATCCAGTATACATGTCACAGCTGGAATCTGGCTTGTGTTTGGAAATAAACAACTTGGCCCCTCTCTCTGCCTGGGATTTTCCTTTATCAGGAGATGCTCATGAGCCACCACCAGAGATGAGGTGTTTCTTTCCAGCAGAGATGAGATGTTCTTTTCAGCAGCCTGCCTGAGAGCTCCAGGGAAAAGTGGGAGGGCTTTGTGGTGGGACAAACACCTTCACATTGTCCTTTTCTGGTTGGTATTGGAGAGGGCTTGAGTGAGTAGGCTGGATATGAAATAATTTGAGGGGTGGTGAATGCAAAGGACTAATCCACCAACCCCCCAGCAAGTTTGCAATGAGGGAAAGTCTCTGTCTTGCAAGAGGAGACACCATAGATAGAAAGCAATGGGTGCACCACTCTGAATGCTGGCTGCCCAGCTAGGTTGCTTTTTGCAGGGTGGTCTGTCCTCAGGCAGCAGCCAGACAACATTTTGGGGAGAGTAGCTCAGGGGATTCCTGTGTTTCTGCTGTAGCTAGTTCAGGGTACTAAGAAAGAAAAAAAGGATCCTGCTACCATCATGTTAGGTAGAAATTGGCAGTTTAGAAATACAGCATGGGGAGGGGCCTCCTCTCTCACACAGGGCCCTGGGGAGTGTAAATTGGTACAACTACTCTCAAGAGAACTTGACTAGATGTGGTGAAGTTAGGGATACACATACCCTATAGCCAAAAATTTTACTTCTATTGTCTGTACTGGAAAAACTAGCATGCAAGTGCTCAAGGAGAAATAGATGTACATTGTAACATTTTTGGTGATGATGAAAAACTAGAAGGAAACTAAAAGCCTATTAGCCAGGAAATATATCAATAAATGACGGTTTACACAGTGTAGTACTTTTCACCAGTTCCATCTGACTTACATGAATCAGCCCGACTACATTTAAGAAAAACGTTGGTAGAAAGGTTGCAGAATATCTGTAGTAATGATACCATTTCTGTAAGGTTAAAAAAAAAAAAAAAGGAAAGATACCATTTTTGTGTGTTTGAATTATTTAGAAAATGAGAGACATGTTGCTGCCATCAAGTTGCTCGCAGTCTAATGGGGAAAGTTGGCAAATAAACAGCTGGAGGCTTCCAGATAGTGAATGTTGATGTTATTGACCAAGTTCCTTGTCTTGCAAGACATGACCAGTTTGGAGGGGATATTAGATAAAATAGAGTTCAAATAACAGTAACTCAAGCAAGTTAATTTTTCTCACACATAAAAGAAGTCTGGATGTAGGTAACCCAATGTCGGTGTGGTGGGTCCACAAAGTCATTAGGAACTCAGGAACCTTCCAGCTCACCCTTCTGCCATTCCTTATCCTTATGTTCCTAGATGGCTGCTGGAGGTCCAGCTTTCACATCAGCTTTCCAGGGAGCAGGATGAATGAACTGGAGAAGGATGTGTCATGTATATATTCCTTTTGAAATTACCATGTGGCACTTCCATTTATGTGTCATTGGCCAGGTATTAGTCACACAGCTACACCTGCCTGCAAGGAAGGATGGAAACGGGCCAGCTAAAACCTCAGCATTCTGTTAGGAAGAAAGGAGAGTGGAAAGTGGGAGGCCACCACTAGATGATGAAAGATGAGATAGTGAGTTTGGGTACCTCTGGCCCATGCAGGCTGGCCATCCATTTGGGGGTTAGATTGGGGCTGGAGCTTATGAGTGGAGTGGGGTTCAGAGTTTTCTAAATTGGGAGGCATAAGCGTGTAGGTGATTGTGGGAGTCCTGGGAAGGAGGCTGCTGAGTTGTCAGAAAGGTAGGAGAACTGGGAAGCTAGGGGTGGGCATGTCTGGGAGGAGAGACCACTTGGCCAGATGCCCCAGTGAGGTCAAGCAGGATGAGGGTGGGAGTGAGAACATGGACTCTGGGGGCTTCTGCAAGAGCAGTTTTGGTGGAGTAGAGAGACTAAGATCAATGGAGGAGTAATATTGAACAGCTGAGGAAATGTGTCAAGATCTTTGAACTTGAAGGGAATGAGAGAGAGAAGGGGGAGCTGAAGAGAAAGTATTTATTAAGGCCAGAAAGATTTGAATGCAGGTTTGGAGGCTGAAGGACAGCTAGATCTCCCCTCCCCATCCCCTTCCCAAGGAGGGAGGTATTGATGGGAGGTGAGGATAGGCAAATCCAGCAAGTACAGGCCGGTGGCCTCCAGTATCTCTGCAAAGGGGCTTGTAGAGCATGAAACTGGTAAGATGCTGCCCCAGGAATTGGGGAAGAGCAAGGAATTAGATAGAATCAAATCAAAGAGCTGCTAAGCCAGAGGAAGTAGGTCAAAACCTAAAACTTTGGATGTCCCCAACCCACCTGCACATTGAGTTTTCTCCAGTAGCAATTATAGGAGCAGAGAAAAAGAGATTACCCAGGATTAGAAGGCTGCAGGCAGAGCGGCAGGAAAAGGCAGGGAGGGGGCTCTGGGTTCCTGGAGTGGCAGTGGTGGTGTGGAGTTCAAGCAGGGTTATATTACATTATGCTGTAAGGTGGAAAACGGTGGGGCACATTTTAGAAATATTCCCATTAGAAATGGTAAGAAAGAAAAAATCTTATGCCCATGAAGTTGTAAATGTCAGAGCATTGTCTCATCATTACTGAAAATGTGATCATTCTAGACACACAGAATTGTGCTCTCAGTCACCCGCATCAGTCCTTCTGTATATTTTGAGTTGCATTAATTTGCAGGCCACTTATTTAATATGAAACTGTGCCTGCTTGTTACTTGGTAGCAGACCTGGGAGCCAGGTGGCCTGGGTTCAGATTCCAGCTCCGCCTCTTACTTACTGTGTGAACTTGGACAGGGCTGTGTACAGTCAAGCAGGTTGTGCACTGCACAAGGGGGTGAAGGGTTCCTTAAATCCAGACTGCCCCTATTGCCAGGAATATGCCTTTTGTGGGTCTGTGCTGTGTCTGTGCAGAGGATGGGATGCACTCTTTCACCTTGCACAAAGGCACTGCATGGGTTGGTTCTGGCTCTGGCTTTGGGCAAGTTGCCTCTGTGCATCAGTTTCGTTGGAGAGAATAAATGAGTTACCGCATGTAATGTGCTTGGAACAGGGCCTGACACATGGCTAAGAACCATGGTAAGGATTAAATGCTGATTATATGTAGTACTGGAATGAGCTGAGCCTTCTGGGTCTCCTCTGAAGGCTTATCTTGAGTTTCCCAAAGCCTGGCATTTAGGAGAGGATACAGCTCTCCACCCCTTACAGTTTGGTCACTGAGTTTGCATTTTTTCCCAAAGGTTCCAAAGGTTTCCAGAGGTTCTCTCTAAACCTTAAGCTTTTCCAGGTTGCAGCTGCTTAATCTTCAGGCAGCTGACCTTGGTGTTCCTGGTGCCTTCTTCATCTGAAAGAGGATGAGGTAGTTGGGGCCAAGGACACCCCGGGTAGTCTAGCAAGATTTGCCCTTCAGACATTTGTGTAAATCTTCTCCCTAAACATCAAACTGGAGAAATACAGGTGTGCTATAGGGAGAATGAAAAGAGCCCTTTCCAATTTGGAACAGTTTGCGTGGAAGGTGGGGCCTTGCCCCTATGGCATCCAGATCTGTTCGGTAACTGCAACTAACTTTTCTTTTCTTTTCTTTTCTTTTCTTTTCTTTTCTTTTCTTTTCTTTTCTTTCTCTCTCTCTCTCTCTCTTTCTTTCTCTTTCTTTCTTTCTTTCTTTCTTTCTCTCTCTCTCTCTCTCTCTCTCATGGTTCTTGTATGAATTCTAATTAAGAGACATTACATTCAGAATTATAGCACTCATGGTGATAATTTTCAGAAGACTGTAACAGCTTCTTTGCCACTTAAGGGGTACAAAGGGTGCAGCTGTTTCCCTGAAGGAATTCTTAAGTTAGTGACTACTACCACTCAAATTTTCCTAGTTGTCGCTCTGTTACAGGTTACTGACCGCAAGTCCATGTTCCAGACATTCTTTGCCAACACAATTAATTACAAGAGAGCCACCCCCAAAGTCTTAGGGTGAATTGGGAAAGGGCCGGTTAAATGAGGAAGCAGGCCATTCCTTGGTAAAAGTTTGTAGTTTTTTTTCCCAATACATCTTCTCTTTATTGAGAACTTCATTTTTATCCTGTGTTCCTCCTCTGCCATCTCACACTCTCGCTCTGTCTGCTGGATTTTGGCCACAATGCACCTCATTCATTTGTATCAGTTGCAATTGTAAGATGGACATTTGTTGATCATGTTCAGTCCTCGTGCATCTTTTTTAAAGCACCTTCCTGAGAGATTTTGCTCATGTAGTTTTTATTGGCTGTTATTCTGACAGCTGAACACGAGGGTTCAGGTTGAGAGGTCCTCTCACGTGTTGGAAAACGTATGAACTCTTTCTCATCATCGCACAGTTCTCTATTTGAAACAGCAAATGATTCTTGGGCCGTGGCGTGGTATTTGGGCTCCTCCTCCGGGGGGAGGGGTGGAAGGAGTGCTCTGCAGGAAGTAGAGCTGCTCCAGCAGCATGCTGGTGATCTCCTTCCCTAGGACTTGGTTACTCAGGAGGGGGCTGACGCTCCCTTTCACCTTCTCTCTCCTTTCATGGGCCATAATTGTTTTAGTCCAAGCCTTGATGTTCTCCCAGCCCTTCTTCAGCTGTTTGAAATCCGGCAGGGACAGCTCGGCTGAGAGTTGCATTCGTGGGTCAGCGCCTGCAGGTACATTGATTGCTTAAGGGCAATAGTTCACACATCACTTTTCTTACATTCCAGCACATATTTGTACTTTTCTACTAAAATCAGCAGGGTACTCTTTTCTAGTTCTGAGAAGTATTTGGCAGGTTTTATAATTTCATTGTTTTGCATTTTCCACTATATTTCCCCTGGCCGCCAGCTATCCTGTAATCCCAGCTACTTGGGAAGTTGAGGTAGGAGGACTGCTTAAGCCCAAGAGGTCAAGGCTACAGTGAGCCATGTTTGCACCACTGCACTCCAGCCTGGATAACAAAAGGAGACACTGCAGTGGCACACCCGCCCCCCCCCCCCCCTTTTTTTTCTTTTTTGAGACAAAGTCTTGCTCTGTCACCTAGGCTAGAGTGCAATGGCGTGATCTTGGCTCACTGCAACCTCCGCCTCCTGGCGATTCTCCTGCCTCAGCCTCCCGAGTAGCTGGGACTACAGGCACCAGCCACCAAGCCTGGCTAATTTTTGTATTTTAGTAGAGATGGGGTTTTACCATGTTGGCCAGGCTGGCCTTGAACTCCTGACCTCAAGTGATCCACCCACCTTGGCCTCGCAAAGTGCTGGGATTACAGGCGTGAGCCATGCCCGGCCTGACTTCTTGTTTGGGGCACAAATCAGACTGTATAAGAATCATGAGAAAAACAATAATATCTTGGGCTTTCACCAAATGTTTTATCCTGGTCAGCAGTATCTTTAGAAGACACAAATTTTCATAGTTTCTTGATTTTAGGATATATTTCATAGTTTAATATTTCTGAAATTGGGAGGCTTTGTACGATGTCTTTAATGTAGTAATTCTTTGCTCTCCCCAAATGCTGTTATTACATTGATTATGTGTCTCATAAATGAACATCCCTACCTCTTGTGGGTCATCCAGGATGGAATTTGTTTTATTGGTCAGTAGAAAAGGCTATGACCTAATTAGTGTATCGAGTAGGTATTCTGTGTAAGTTAATGCATTTATTTTGTTTTTTATTATTTTTGAGATGAAGTCTCACTCTGTTGCCGAGGCTGGAGTGCAGTGGTGCCATCACGGCTCACTGCGACCTCTGCCTACTGGGGTTCAAGCAATTCTTGTTCCTTAGCCTCCTGAGTAGCTGGGATTACAGGTGCGTGCCACCATGCCTGGCTAATTTTTGTATTTTTAGTAGAGAGAGGGTGTCACCATGTTGGCCAGGCTGGTCTCAAACTCCTGACCTCAGGTGATCTGCCCACCTCAACCTCCCAAAGTGCTGGGATTACGGGTGTGAACCACTGTGCCTGGCCAAGTTAACACGTTTAGTCTTTAACACATTTGGTCTTTGGAAGAAACTGAAGCTCAGGAATGGATCAGTAATTTGTTAAAGGTCACACCGCTAGAAAAGAGTGGATCCAGTATGTGAGCCCAGCTCTGTCTAATCATGATGTTCAGTTCTTTCTCCTTCCCAGGAGAGACCTGTACTTCTTCACTTCTGGCTCCTGCTGTTTTTTTAAGCTGAGGATGTCCTCTTCTCTTCCTATTGAAACTCCATTTCTGGGCCAGGCATAGTGGCTCACGTCTGTAATCCCAGTGCTTTGGGAGGCTGAGAAAGGAGGATCTCTTGAGCCCAGGAGCTTGAGACCAGCCTGGGCAAGATGGTGAGACTCTGCCTCTACAAAAATTAAAATAAAAAAAGTTAGCTGGGTATAGTGGTGTTCACCTGTAACCCCAGCTACTCAGGAGGCTGAGGTGGGAGGATTGCTTGAGCCTGGGAGTGTGAGGTTGCAGTGAGCTACGGTCATGCCACTGCACTTCACCCTGGGTGACAAGAGAGACCCTGTCTCTACTGGAAAAAAAAACCACAAAAATCCCAAAACAAAACTTACACCACCTGTTCCCCAAAAACCTATTGGATAAAAAAACTCCATTTATTATTCTTTCAGTTTGGATAACATTTTATGATTATAAAAATGACACCCGTTCTTTAAAAATACAAAAAAGTAAATAATAAAACTTTCCAGTGTTTACATTTTGAGATGTTAATTTTGCTATAAAAATAGAAATTGACCTCAAAGTTGAAAAAAGAAAATTAATGCCTTAAATTAAAATAAAAAAGATATGTGAAGATCATACTGCAAATGTAGTTTTCTTACCTTGAGTTGTTAACTTTCTAGAAGATTATGGGCATTGCCTCATATGATTAAGTACACTGTTAAAAGGGACTTAAAAAAAAAAAGTTGCCTCATAGTGTTCTGTGATTGACACACCAGAATGTAGTTACCTACTTCCCCATGTTTGGCTATTTTAAGTTACACTTCCGTGAATAGGCTTATGCTTACACTTAATTGTTTCTTTAGGATAAATTCCTAGAAGTGGAGTCTGGCTCAAGGGGTGAGGGCCACCTGGTGAGGCTTCTGTTGCATCATCCTGTTTCTCTGCTGCCCTCCAGGGGGGCGATGCCGCTCCACGCTCCTGCCATGCTCCTGCCACAGCCACACTGGGGAGTCCCTCTGCCAATGTTGCCAAACATCTGCCCATATGTTTCCATTTTGTATTTCCTTGCTTATTATTAAGGTGGGAGGTTTGTTATGGTTGCCGGCAGAGGTAACTTTCCTTTGAGATAAACATGTATATTTCCTTGGCCTGTTTAACTGACTTGTTTGTGCAACCCCAGTCATTCTTCAAGACCCAATTCAAAGCTCATCTTTTCCATGAACTCTTTCCCGACACCCGTCTTTTCTCTGAAGCTGGAAGCTTTAATTTTCATATCTGAATTCTCACAGCCTGTGTGTATCTGAAAACCCTTGTCAAAGACACTTTTGCATTGCAACTTGATATCTTTGGCCCCCACTTGAATCTGAGGTCTTTAGGGTAGGAGATGGGTCATTCATTTCTGTGTTGTTTGCAGGGCCTTGGCACCATACTGGGTAACTAGTGGGTACTCGATACTCTTGAATGGATGGATAGATGGACACACACTGTTCTTAACAAACCAACCAACCCATCCCACACCCGTCAGCAAAATGAGTTTAATGCCACCTTATGAAATTGCTCTCTTCCTTTCCGCATCTTTGCCTTTGGAATCAGTGAGGTTTTGCTCCATCTAAAGACCCAGCAGGGGCTGGGCGCAGTCCCAGCACTTTGGGTGGCTGATGTGGGTGGATCGCTGGAGCCCAGGAGTTTGAGACCAGCCTGGGCAACATGGTGAAACCCTGTCTGTACAAAAAATACAAAAATTAGTTGGGTGTAGTTGTGTGTGGCAGTGGTCCCGGGTACTCAGGAGGCTGCGGTGGGAGGATCGTTTGAGCCTGGGAGGTCGAGGCTACACTGAGCCGTGATTACACCACCGCACTCCAGCCTAAGCAACAGAGTGAGACCCTGTCTCAAAAGAAAAAAAAAAGACCCAGCAGGGCAGATGGAGTAACCAGCAAAGCCGACCTTAGTGGTGAGGCTGGGCATGGCGGCCTGAGCAGGGATCGGCTCCAAATAGTACGTCTACCGTGGGCTCCTGGACCTTTCTCCCTTTGCTAGAAGAGAAGCACCAGCACCCTCCCTTTTCCTCTTGTGACATTTTAAAATGTATTATTCCCATTCATAGCCTTATAAAATCAGTACGCAGTAATTAGAGAACATTTGGAAAACACAGAAAAGTAGAAGGAAGAAAATAATTACCTATAGCCTTCCCACTCAGATCAGCCCATTCACAGATGACATTTCTGCTGTGTTTTCTTTCAGTTGTGTTTTCCAGGCAAAGACTTTGTGTGCGAGGTTTTGCTTACGTAGTTCTTGCCATCCATCATGTAGATTTTTTTGTCCTGCCTGTCGCTTAGTAAAATAACACAAAAAACTTCCTATGTTTTTGTAAACCTGCTCAGTGGCTCTGTCATAGTTTAGTAAGTGGTTTTACCATCACCTCCTTAGCTGTGCTTCCATTGTTGGGGCTTTGGGTTGTTTGCACTGTGTCCCTCTTGTAAACAATGTCGGGATGGACAAGTTTGTGCTGGGCGTTTCCTTGTCCCTTTGGCTGGTTACCTCAGGCAGACTGGCCCATACCAGCCCTTCCCCGCTTCATTCTCCTCCCTTGGGGCCAGTGCCCTATTCGCCTCTCGGTTTGTGTTTCTCAGTCTCCATGTGTAGCAATATGTTGAGAAACAGCTTCCTTTTTCAGGAAGAAAGCTCAAGATGTTGAACCTCGAGGAGGCTGTGCACAAAGGTGCAGAGTCCTGCCTGCTGGGTCATGGCCTTGGCACTGCAGGGCGGCCCCCTTCTGCCTCACAGGCCCAGGGTTACAGAAGGTGCAGGTGACGGGGAGGCCACGCCTTTGAAGGGGCTGCCTGGCAAACCTTTTCCCCTGACAGTAAGCTGAGGGGGTGGCCCTGGTCACATGTTGCAGGTCTCTGGAGGGGGTGTAGTGAATACCTGAGTCCATTTTCTGCCTGGTCCCACACTCGGATCCGTCATGGAAGATCTGGCCCCTGTGTTCTGTGGGCGAGTGCTTGGGGGAGAACCCCTCCTGTGGGGCTGCTGAGATGTGTGCTGTGCTGGAGGTGGCTTCAGCCCTGCTCCTCTGAGCAGCTGCTTGGGGCATGCTGTTGAGCTCCAGAGAGCACTTCAGCATATAGCCAGCAGCGCCCTGAGGAGCTGCAGTGACAAAGGCCACTGTGGCACTCAAGGCTCAGGTTTGGATGGTGGAGTAACATTGCCTAGGTTCACCTCCCACCCTGGACAGTTACTTTATCTCTCTTTCATCTCCACTTGGGGATAGTAATAACACCCACCTCCCCAGATGAAATGAGTTAGCATTTTATACACTTCTCAAAACAGTCCCTGTTTGTTAAATAAAAATAGGGAACCAGCGTTACCAGCTAGACCACTCGCTCACAGCAGGTTGAACCCAGGACTTCTGCCATCCAGTATGGGGGAAAGAGTGCTGGACAGAACCAGGAGACCGTCCTGGCACTGCCTTCTACTTTGTGTGAGTTTGACTAAGTCGTTGTCCCTCTCTGGGCCTCAGTTTCCTCATCAGTTTTTCATCTATTTCTGTGAGATGACCTTAGGCCCTTCTTGTCTTAGAACATCCAAGGATTTTGTAATTTAAAGGCATTTCAGACATCTGAAGATGGGTCTGGTCCTGCTAATAATCCTCACTGGTTGACGTGGTCCTTAGATGGGGCCAATTGCAAAGGTCAGAGGGCAGGAGATGCAGAGCCCTGTGGGGTTTGCCCGGTTTTTCTCAGTGCGGGTGAGCTATCCTCCACCTGGAGGGTTATGGTAGCTGGGTCACCTGGGAACAGGCCGTGGGAGAACTGGCCTCCTTGGGAATGTGTTGTCCTGCGCGGCAGAGCACTTTCAGGTACGGGCTGCTCTGTGAGGCCACCCTGTGCTCCAGCCCGCAGCACTTGAGACTGACTTGCCCTGAGGTTTGTGTGAGCGAAATCGGGTCTTATGCAACAGTGAGTGCGTGCATCTCCGCTTCGAGCTGTTACATCAGAAAGCTAAACACAGAGAGCCCTTGCAACTGGAGAACTAGCAGGAGGCCCTCGCTCTGGTTCTTTGTCAGCGGGTGGGACGGGGTAGGATGTGGCTTACAGGCAGCTGTGGAGGAGAGGACTGTGCTAGGAAAGAGGTTGGAGCTGGTGGACTCTCTCCCAGGCGCTGCTTTTCCAACAGGCTTTCTGGAAGGTTCTGGCCTCCTTCTGATCAGGTGGCAGAGCATCCCTGGGGCTCCTCACCAGTATTCGTGTGCTCTGGGTCAGTGATGTCTCCATCTGCATCACTGCTGGTGGAGCACAGTGGGAAAGGTCAGCCTTCAAACTGTGGAAGGTCAGACCCAGCGCCTCAAGCCTGGAGGGGCAGCGTGGGGCATCAGCCTCTTATGAGTTTAAGTTGGCTCTGACACATACCAGCTGGGTGACGTTGGGTTGGCTTCCTGACCCTCTGAGTCCTTTTTTATAAATGAGAACATTTGTACCAAGATGCCCAGCATTGGCCTGATGGACAGTAGGCACCCCAAAAGTCTCAGTCATTTAAGGAAGTAATGTAGCCCATGGTTAAGAGCATGGGCTGAGCAGCTGAACTTCCTGGGTTCAGTTTCTTGCTCTGCCACTTACTAGCCGCATGACATGGGACTGTTCCTCATCCTCAGTTTACGCCTCTGTACAATGGGGATAGTTGTGATAGGGCGTCTCTCACAGGTTTGTTGCAAGGATTAAGTGAGTTAATTCAGTTGTCCCTTGGTATCCATGGGGGAGTGGTCCCAGGAACCCCTGAGGATACCAAAATCCACAGATTCTCAAGCCCCCTTAGTACAGATGCAGATGCAACCATTCTTTTTTTTTTTTTTAAGATGGAGTATCACTCTGTCACCAGGCTGGAGTGCAGTGGCATAATCTTGGCTCACTGCAACCTCTGCCTCCCGGGTTCATGCAATTCTCCTGCCTCAGCCTCCCGAGTAGCTGGGACTACAGATGCACACCACCATGCCCAGCTAATTGTTGTATTTTTAGTAGAGACAGGGTTTCACCATGTTGGCCAGAATGGTCTCGATCTCTTGACCTTGTGGTCTGCCCGCCTCGGCCTCCCAAAGTGTTGGGATTACAGGTGTGAGCCCCCGCACCCAGCCGCAACCATTCATTTTTTTAAAAAGATTTCTGATCTGCCGTTGAATCTATGGATGCAGAACCCACAGATCCTAAGGGCTGTCTGTACGCATAAAGCACTTAAAGCAGTGTCTAGCGCATAATAGTCACCCTTGTTGGAGTTAGCTGTCATTGTCTAATTTCTTCAATAAGGGTGGTCAGTTGATTTCTTGAGAGCTTGGCAGCATACCGCCTCTCTTTATTTTGAGATGCATCCCCACCCTGTTCAGCTAGAGCTTGTCCAAGGTGACAGGTGCGTGTGCGCACGTGTGTGTGTGTCTTTTTCAGCCATGTCACCACTATCCAGGTCTGGAGAGTAGCTCCCCTTGCAGCCTGGGGGCCAGGCCTCTCCTCGGCTTGCTTCTTCAGGCTGTGTGCATCTTGTTACCCATCCTGGTTTGCCTCCCTCTTCTGCACAGACTGTGCTCAGAGGTTCGTGTTGCACAGTTTGGCTCGGGTGTGCCCAGCTCTTGACCTGAGAATAAAGTAAGGGCCAGGAAAGCCATCCTTTCAGTGTGAGTGTGTTCCAGCCACGCCTGGCCTTGTCTACGTTTGCCCATTTTCAAGGAATACACCAGGGTAGCTTGGGACATGCCATGTAGATGGAGTCATCCAGGAATGTGTTTAAGAATCTTAAAGCAATAAACAAGTCAGACTAACTGCTTTCAAAGAGTACAAGAGACTGGAATTTTCATGATAGAGATGGCTGACAATGAGTGTTAATCTATTATAGCAGGCCTGATGTCTTCAGCAATAGACATCCCCCTCTTCCCCCATTTTGCAGATAAGGAAACTGAGGCAGAGGGTGGTTAAGTAATCTGAGTTAAAGCAGCTAGTCAGTGGCCGAGCTGGGATTTGAACCCGGGTCTGTTGGCCTCTAGGCCCCAGCACCTGACTATCCATCACTATACTGCCCCTGGCTGGCATTCCTGGGATTATACAGCAGCGGCATCCTGTTGCCTGAGCCCTTTCTCATCCCCCGCTAATGATAGTGCTAGTAATGTGAGTCCAGTTACAGCTGTGTTGCCTGAGGTGCACAGGGCCTAGGGGGATAACTGCGTTGTCTTTAGCCATTGCTTGTTAGAGAAGGTGGTCTTGCCTTCTTTCTCCCTCCCAGAGCTGATGTCACCTAAACCCTGCTGCAATATTATTCCTGGGTTTCAGGTCTGATTTTTATGTCCCCTACATCCCATATCTCCTTCCTCTGACCAGACAAAATGGTCCCTCAGGAAAAGAGCTTTGAAGATTATTTAGTGGAGATGGCTGTGGCTAATCAGTGACCTTCTCAGATCGCTTAGGAAAAGCGTGTGGATGTCCTTGTCAGGGCTTTCTTCCCTGAGAGGCATCTGAGAAGTCCCTGGGGTCACAGCTGGGAGTGACCCTGGGTGGGACTCAGTGTTTCAGGGGTGCTTGGTTTTAATCTATGAATTTAAAATCATGCTTTCCTGGGTGGGAGTTGGGGTGGGCAGTGGTTGTGAAGCTGGCGCCACAACATAGGATGGTGTGTAGCCTTGGCCATGTGCCTTTACCCCTGAGCCTTGGTTTGCAGTGAGGATCAGATGAGGTGCTGTCTTGCCAGAGCGCTCCGTAAACTCTGTAGTGCTGTGACTGAGTGTGAGGTGCTGCGACCAAGTATCCATAAGATACACAATCATCACATTGGTGTGCGCCACAGAAAGAATGCACAGTCATGTCACTAGGAGTAATTCTGGTCTCATTTGAAACTCAGCATGGTGGTTTGGTGCCAGAGGTGTTCCTTGGGCCTCTGGTACAAGTGAATTGTTAAAAGGGTGTGGATGCTGATCTGCCCTAATGCATAGAGCTTCATTTCACAGCCGGTTGCTCTCCTTGTTCCACGGGAAGCTTGCAGACACATTAACAGATCAACAATCGTGATCCTTCATCTGGACGCTTTCCTTCTGCACTCTTCCCCAGTCACCCGTCCTGGTTTTCCTATCAGCTGCCAAAGGCACAGCTTTGATGTTAAGATTAAGATTGCAGCGAAGGAAGATGGGAAGGAATCTTTGCTGGGAGCTCGCAGTCAGCCAGCAGCTGTGTCATATTGTTTTGTCTTCACAGTGATCTTTTGAGGCTGATCTTTGCCCCTCATTTATGGCAGAGGAAGTGAAGGCTCAGACATTTAATTGCCCATGGGCCCTTAGCTGGTAGGAGTCAGGGCTGAGTTTCAAATGAGACCAGAATTACCCCTAGTGACATGACTGTCCATTCTTTCTGTGGCGCACAGCAATGTGAGAGGGCCCTGTGGGGTCTGGCCATGATGGCAGACACTGCCTCTCTCCCATTGCTTTCTGTCTGACCCACCTCCACGGGTGTGGGGAAGAGTTGGAGATGGTACTGTTGGAGCAGCGGCTTGTGCTGTTGGCAAGCATAGGGTTCCCCTCTGTCTGGGAGACAGGGCAGGCACAGCGCTGAAGTGAGAGACGGCTGGGCTGGGGCTGCCTGTGGGCTGAGTGCCCTTTGAGGGTGGAATCTCCAGCCGAAGGGCCCCTCCCCGAGAAGCACCAAGTCCTAGTAAATTGAACAACAAACAGGGCTCTGCTTGGGTGGCTCATTTGCTGGAGAAACTCAGTGCTTCACCTTCCTGCTAAAGTATGCCGGTATGCCAGAAATTCCCTGGACAAGCAAGAAGGGAAGTCATGTCTTTATAGTAAAAACACTAATAAAACAGCTCTAGAATCTTCTCCTTCCTTTACACCCACACTGCCACTAACTAAATTACCTTTTGTTCTCATCGTTTGCTGAATTGCAGTGCTTCTTAAATGATTTTCCTGTCTTTGGTTTATCCACACGCACTTCAGTCTGTCCTCCTTATGGTTTCCAGAATGAGGATCGTTCAGAAATGCAAATCTGATCACGTTTTTCCCTTCGCTTCCCGCCCCATGCCTGCAAGATTGAGTGCAGATGCCTGAGTGTGGCATTCCAGGACCTTCTGGAACTTTGTAGGACCTGCATGAACTGGTCCTGGTCCCTGACTGAAACAAAAAAAAAGTGGCACCGGCCATTGATCTGGAGGGTCTAAGAAGGCCCTGCTCATGCACCTGACCCTGGGTGGGGACCATTCCATCAGGGGCAGGCCCAGGGCCACTCATTATGGTCTCTTCATCACAGTAGTCAGGACTCTAGGAGACTCTATACTCTGTTGGACAAAGTAGCCACAGACCAACCCAGGTTCAAGGGGAGAGGAAATAGACCTCTAGATTGGAGGAGTGTCATATACTTTGTGGCCGTCTTCAATCTGCTGTGGTTGTCTACACTCGTATGGTAGACTCAGATGATCCTGTGACTACCCAATGGGGAAGAAGAACCCTCACCACCCACTGCCAGGAGCGGGGGCTCCCCCACCTATTCTTTTTCTCTAGCAAATGCAAGATCCTACATAGCCTGCTTTACCCCCACCCTTACCTTGTGCACTCTGGGAAACTGAGTCATCATGTATCTTCCTAAGTGCAGTGGTGCAGCTGGGGGTTGTATTCCCAAACACTCAGCATCAACTGAATCAGGGTAGAACAAGGATTCCATATCTCCAGCTCGTGGCAAATGTTTGTCTGTATTCCAGGTCTTATATAATAGACTCGAAGGTACTCTAAGGTACTGCATGTGGTTTACAGTATGCTAGGGTCCTTTTTCAAGGATATGTAACTCTCTCAGCCTCAGTTTCCTCAGCTGTAAAATGAGATTAATAATAGTACCTGGCTGGACGCAGTGGCTCACACCTGTAATCCCAGCACTTTGGGAGGCCGAGGCGGCAGATCGCCTGAGGTCAGGAGTTTGAGACCAGCCTGGCCAACATGGTGAAACCCCATCTCTACTAAAAATATAAAATTTAGCTGAGCGTGGTGGCGGGCACCTGTAATCGCAGCTACTTGGGAGGCTGAGGTGGGAGATCGCTTGAACCCGGGAGGCGGAGGTTGCAATGAGCCGAGATCAGGCCACTGCACCCCAGCCTGGGCAACAAGAACGAAACTCCATCTCAAATAAATAAACAAACAATAAAATAAAAATACCTATCGGGATTCATGTAGGTATTAGGTGAGATAATATAGAATGTATAGCATGATGCCTAGTACCTAGGAATGCCCAGTTAAAAAGAATATATCCAGTTGTGGTTAAAACAGTCCTGGAATACAAAAAATAACTCAACGTGCATCAAAAACCTAAATAAAAAAGATACAACAATAAAACTTCTAGAACCCAGGAGAATATGTTTGTGAATATGGGCTTGACAAATATCTCCTAGATAGGAAATAAAAAGCACAAACAAACAGACAAAAAGATTGTTAAGTTGGACTTCATAAAAATTAGCTGCTCTTCGAGATTTAAGGACTTTTGGAAGAATGCTTTTGGATGGCATGTGGCTCAAAGAAGAATGAGGGATACCTTCTTTTTGCTGTTGTAGGTTTTCTGGAAGCCAGCAGGAAGCCTCAGCCTTAGAAACATTAGCGGTAGAAGGAGGTTTGGAATACTGCGGACTTAATAGAACTACTTTTGGTTGCAAGTAACAGAAAATGTGACTGGAATAGGCCATTATGTTTCTCCTACAATGAGTCTGGAGTTAGGTGGCACACGTGTGCTGGTTTTGCAGCTGAACAGGGATACTGTCTCTGGTTTTCCAGGCAGCTCTTGCCATCCTTGTGGTTGCGAGATGGCCACTGCAGCTTGTCTGTTTTCAAAATGGGCAGGAGGTGTTGGGCAGCCCCAAGATCTGTCCCATGCTTTCCCAGCAGGTCCCCTAGCAAGCAAGTCCTCATGCCTCATTAGCCAAAACTGTCACAGGTAACCAGCTTCAAGGGAAGCTGAAAGTGGGGACTGAATCATCATGATGGCTGTGCAGGGACCCCATTCCGGATCAATTATGTCACACTCGCTGAAGCCAAGGCTCGTGGGTTGTGATGTGAAGACTGGGCTGCGAGCCACTGACTGAGACCAGTTCATCACTGGGCACAGTGCTACCCTGAACAAAACTGGGTCCTGTGGGCAAGGGAGAAGCTGGGAGCTGATATTAGGTGGAGATGAGCAGTCTGAGCATGGTGCTCCACAGGGTGTGGCGGTTCGGGCGCCCCTCATCCTTCTGGGGGAGTTCACAATGCATTCATTGATCCCTGGTGTCTGGGGCACTCATCTGTCATTGCCCCTTGCCCCTGTCCAGCCCTTTGTCCTTTTCTGTGATGGCCTGAGTTGCTAAGCCAACAGTCACATCCCTGGAAAGAAAGCCCTCTATCTTTCCAGCATTGGGCACAGTCTCCTTCTCATAGTTGGTGCATATAGGTCAGAGTTTAAGGTGCCTTGCCTTCCCCATCCCTCCCTTCCAGAGTCTCCCTAGGGAACAGGCCTTAAGGATAGGTAAGGGGTTTGGCCCATTGGCAGAAATCTACTTTTGCCATTAGGTGCAGCCTCTGCCTTTTTCACTAGGCCCCTGCTTGGTAATTCACACCCAGGTGCCTTTCAGTTGGCAATGTCAGGAATACTCCAGGATTACCTGTTGTGATTGAGGGGTTGAGCTGAGGGGGTAAACTAGTTCGTGGCTGTGCCCTGTGGGCCTGGTGACCTTCAGACAAACACATGGAGTGTGTGTTTGAACTGGGACACAGGCCGTGTTGATGAAGTATCTGGTCTGTGAGCAACACCACACCTGTGGCTCCTGACACCTGGGCCAGCACTTCCCTCAGCCTCCCAGCAGAAGCACCGAGCAGCAGGGCTGCTGTGTCATGGACGCTTAGACCTGCTGTCTGTTGCTTTGCCTTTCCTAGCCCTCGGTCAGGTGTCTGTGCGGACACATCTGTTCCCCCAACTTGTGTGGGTTCCTGAAAATTATGGACCCCTGCCGCTTACGACCGTTGTCCTTGGAGTCCAACGGTGCCGGGCATTGGGAAGAGGTTTGGTTGTTGAATGACTGGATGATGGTCAGAAGTCCTTTGTTGCCGTTATTCAATTGCTTCAGGCACAGGGGAGTTAGGGGGTAAAGTGGGTGTCTTTCTTTCTCATGATTTAGTCCTGTTGGTCCCCACAGCCCCTAAGGACTGCTGGTACTAACAACACATGAGATATTGGGGGGTTACATCAATTGAGGCAGGAAGGAAAACTTGAAAGGCAGATCAAGACAGATCATTTACTGACTTTTCAAATAATTGCTTTCTGAAGAGCAGTGTTTTGACTCACCTTGGCTTTGCAGGTGGGAGCTGTATTAGGCTGTTAGGTCAGGGAAATGCCTTCCTCTTTGGTTCTGCTGCATCTCACAACCTCCGTGGCACATAAAATGGCCTAGCAGTTGTTGCTGAGAAAACTCGGGCCCTTGGCCATTCACTCTGGCCCAGCTCAAGCTTTGCATTTCCCAGGAAGCATCATGGGTGCTTTTAAACCATAGTTGACCTCATAGTCTTCTTTCCCTGACTGCTCATGCTTAGTACTGGAGCAGTGGGAACAGGTGATTTATGTGATTTATCTAAGGTGGGTGCTTAGTTGCACAGAGGAGCTAACTCATCAGTGCTTCCATACAGGGTCTCCTGCACCCACTGCTGCACCAGCCAAAGGCAGTCAGTCATACTCTTAGACAAGTGAGCTCGTTTTGTCTCAGCCTGGGGTTGAATCTCCCATCTACAGTCTGTTGTCAGGTCCTCAGACTTTGCATTCCCAGTGGAGCATAGGGAAGGGTAGGAGGCCCTGAGCTCCCAGCTGTGGCCGTTCTCACCCCTGGCCTCCTTGGGAATATCTCCACTTGTGGTCTGGGTTAGACTTGTTTGTTTGTGTTTGAAGTTCCCCGACTCTGAGTTTGACGTCAAGGCAGGATTGCTAGTGGGAGGCTTGGCGGGGAGGTTGTCTCTACACAAATGTAAAAGCCTGGCAGCTTCCCCAGGAGAGTGCGGGTATGGGCCGGGCCGGGAGAGGGCTGGCTGTTGCGAAATGCCCAGCTCAAGGATTGAGGTCACTTGTACTTTCTCCTCTCCTTGCCCCACTTTCCCTGTGTGCCTCTCCTGCTCTGTCCCATGCCCATGAATGTCAGCCCCCGTGGGCGCCCTTGAGGGCTGGGCAGTGCTGGGAGCCAAGGGGCTGCCTCTGGTCCCCTCGGAGCTGGGTGCTATGGTCGCTGCGTGCCTGTGCGTGGAACTGTCAGCTGCATCACAACCTCCAGAGGCCTCCTTACATTCTCAGAAATCATTTTGCAACAAGTTGGCCATGGCAGCCAGGCTAGACTGCTTAGCTGGCTGGGTTGGTGGGAAGTCCCCAGAAATGCACTCCAGCTTTGGGAAGGAAGTGGAAGATGTAAGGGGAGCTTCCCCGAGGCATGGACAGAATGGGTCAATAGTGGAGGAGGAGCAGCAGCTTCAGGGACCACTGGAATGAAGGCTGGAGTAAGTTGCCAGGGCTTTGGTGGCATCCTGAAGTTCGGGATGGTATAGTCAGGGACTTGGCAGGAGCAAAGACTGCTGTGGGCACCACGTAAGAGTCTGGTGCTGCCTACTGAGGAGAAAGGAGTCAGGGTCTTGTGGGTGCTGGTGAGCTGGAAGCTGGTCCACAACTGCACCTGCCACAGGAGGACTAAATAAAACAAGAGGCAAGTGATGGACGAATGGAGTGGCTGTCCAGTTACTTCGTGTCACTCTGTAAAGCATACTAGGATCTTCTTAAAAGGGATGGCCTCAGGTTATAGGCAGCATGATGGCTAGTTTTAATGAATTTAATGCTGGCTTAGAGCCAGGGGTGGGGTACAGCCCAGAGGGTAGGTTATTGCAAGTCAGGACCAGAGGTGGTGGCCCAGTTGGGTGGCTGGATACATTTAGAGGGTGTGGGCAAGCCTGTGGCTCTTATTCACAGGATTCACTGCCTGGAACAGTCTAGGCGTGGCTGGATTTTGGGCTTTGGATCGCAAAAGAGGTAGACCCTGCCCACTGCCATCCTGCTTGTACCAGTCAAGACAGCTTAGGGTGTGGGTTGCAGGAGTCATTATTTTGAGAGGTGCATAGAGAGCATTAGATTGAGGTTGGAATCCCTTCTTTAACCACAGGATTCAAGAAAGTTACAAAGGCTGGTGCCTTGGTTTCTTCATTGTAAGATGGGAATGATGAAGTACACCTTTAAGTCTTGTGGGTTTCACATGAGAGGTTTCATGATTTGTGAGTGACGGCAAAGGATGAGCAGTGACTTGTCATTTGGCTGAGGCTGGACTCGATGGCAGGCATGCAGGTGAGCATCCCTGAGCCAGTGAGTGAGCCCAGTGTGCTGTCCAGCACCCACATCCCGATGTAGCTTTGTTTTTCTTTACTCAATGTTGAATACACAGTACATCCCATCAGAAGTCTGGAAGGGTCTGTAGTATTTTCAGTTACACATGATTGTATTTTGTGGAGGGAATGATGTGCTTTAGGGACATTGCCAGCTTTGGGTTTGTGTGTGAAGATTGGGACATCAGTCACCCTTGTGCTATCAGGGATCTACTCTAATTCCTAGCCTCTGAAATTTTCACTGACAATCCAGGTAGAGGAAGTGATATGGTACCATACATAAGGAAAAGATTGTTAACACTACTAGGTTGACAAATGAGTATTGACATGATTCTGTAACTGAGGGAGCCTGCTACTATACATGGGAAACTGGTGTCCATGTTAGCCTGTGCCTTGGATTCATTTACTCATTTATATGTTAACATCTGTGACATCTGTCACAACAGATTTAACCCCCTGCCCTGCTTCTGAGACATGAAGATCTGGGCCACTGAGAGGGTCCTGTGGCAGCCAACGACCAAAGTCAGGGTTAGGGTGACAACCTATAATAGGCCTTGGCATCTGGCTGCTAACATAGCCAAGATCATGGGTTTGAGAGTTGCCCACAGAAGAGATCTCCCCATCTCAGGCCCTGCAATTTTAGGGTGGAGCTGACTTTGTTTGCAAAGTCAGTCGTCTGGAAAGAGGTGTTTTTTGCAAAGGTGCAAAAAAGCCTGGGTGGGGTATAATCCAAACGGCACCTGCCAAAAGTCTTCATGCTCCTCCTTTTCGAGGTCATTCTGCAGGCTGAGCAGGAGTAACACTAACAGAGTTCTATTTAGTGAGCACTTTATATGTTCTGGACATTGGACTAAACACTTTGCATACATGAGTCTGCAGCAAATTCTCAGCAGTGCTATGGGGCATGTATTATATTTTCTCTGCTTTACAGAGAAGGAGACTAAGATGATATGATCTAGATCCTGCCACACAGCTGATGTGTGATGGTGCGAGGGGTAGAGCCTCCTGGCTGCCAAACCCAAGCTTCTCGCAGAGGAGATGGGACCACTAACTAATGGTAGGCATGACCTCTGACCAGTCAGAACAGGTGCTGGTGGTAAACAGGAGGCGTGGCTCATCTGCCTGTCACTGCTGCACTTCCAGCCAGTCCAGCACAATGGCTGGCCTGTCCCTGTCCACACACCCTGTGGAAGCCGCCCGTGGGAGCTCTCTGTCTAGACTGCCATTTTAGCTGGTGCTAAATGGTCTTGCTTTTAGAGGCAAGGCAGCTATTGCTCCAGCTCCACTGTGGCAGCCTCCAAGGGATGGTTGGTTCTGTGGCCACAGAGGAACCCAGCCTCCCAAATCAGACTGGCCCATGGGTAGGTTGCCTGGGACAGCCATGACACACCATGGAGGATGGGCCCAGGACCCATGCTATGGGGCACCAGCTATGGAGAGGCAGGTTGGGGCGCAGTGTAAAGGAAGGATGACAAGGAAGGGACCTGCAGGGTAGGGGTGTGAGGCCTCCATGTTCCTGGGGATCCCTGCAGTTCTGGGGGCTGTGTCCTTTACCTGAAGAAGTCTCTTTCCTCAGTGGCACGTGCTTCTCCTTGGCACAGTATCTGCTCAACCAGGCCCGTGCTCTCCAGGGATGTCTGACAAGCCTCACCACCATCCAAGTGATACTCGTGGAGCCTCCATTTGGGAGGCCTGTGCCAGAGTCATACCCGAGCAGCTGGGGTGGCAGATGACACTGAGGCTGATCAGGATGCCAGGTTACGGGTGCAGATGTTCCTTTGGGCAAGTGGAGCCGATGTCATTTCATTCCCGTCACATCCTCTGGTGCTGAGGTTGGAGGTGAGCACTCAAAGGAGGATAGGATTGGGTTCCCTGGAGTCAGCTGGGTGGGTACAGGTCTTGGCCGTCTCGCCTTTAGAAGAAATATATCTGATGCGTGGGTTCCTCCAGCATTGTCCTGAAGTCAAGACCAGATTTCAGGGTCTTCCTTAGTCCCATCTCTGACACGGGCAGATTCCCACCCATATCTTCTGTATTGCCTAGGGAGGTAATAAGAGAGAACCTGTCGGCTTCGCCTGAGAAGAACACCACCCACGTCCGCTGCCGCCGCAAGAGTGTTTTCTGTGTTCCACACGTTTTGCTGAGCACTTTGCATTCATATTTTTCTCATGTAAGCCTTCACAACAGCCTTTTGAGGTAGATCAACCCCATTTTACAGGTAGGAAAAGTGAGGCTCACTGGTTAGATCCCATGGCTATGTTCACCCAAGGGAGTGGTGTCAAGGGACTTTAGGGCTAGAGATGTCCTTCATGGAGCCACACTGACTCCTAGGTATGGCTGGATAGGACCCGTGGTTTGTTTTTTGCTTGTTCCAAGCACTTTGTATACGGCAACTCACTTGGCCTCAACCTCCATAAAATGATACTCTTTTTATAGGTGGTAAGACTGAAGCTGAGCCAAGGGGGATTTCCCCAAGATCTTTGATTTTAGATGTTAGAGCTGGGACTAGAGCTGAGCTCCTTCGGCCCCAGATACTTAGTGAGCGCCTGCTGTAGTATCGGTAGCACCCACCAACTGTTTGTGGCTGACCTGATACTATTCTCTTTCTGTAAGTCAGACTCTGGTCAGGGCTGGGGTGGGCCCACAGTACATTCTTGAAGCAAAAGAATATTGGGGTGTGAGAGATGTTGGTTCCAGCCCAGGGCCTCCCCTGTGGCCAGAGACGTAATGACTCTTTCCTTCTTGCTGCTGGTCCCATCCCTGAAACCCCAGGTGCTTGTCTATTCCGGAAAATTTATATCTTGCGGTTTTGTGGTTAAGAGAAAATGACGCTACCAATGAAAGGTCCCCTTTTAGGCCCCCAGGGCTGGGCTAGCAGGCCCCACTGTGGTTTGTCTGGGAAAGTAGCCCCTTGGCGCTTCTGTGACTGCAACCAACTTTCCAAGAAGTGAGAGCAGCTTCATTTCACTCTGACGGGAGTGGCTGCCTGTAGGCCACCTCCATCCTTTGTCAACCAGAGAAGTTTTGCTCCATCAGCAGAACCCAAATCTGTAGAGGTTGTTTCTTAACAAGTTCTGGGAGATAGCAGCTGCCAGGACACCAGACCTGCCAGTAGCTGGGTCGTGCTGCACTGCATGTCTTCCCTTTTCCTTGTCTCAGGCACAGCTAGCCAGGTTTATGGGTTATCTGGGTGCAAAGAAGAATCACTTCAAGTTCTGCACAGTTCTACCCATGGGCCTGCTTTGGGCTGTCTAGCGGGGATCTCTACCGGCCTTTAAAAAAAGAAACCGCTTGCTCCTCTTCTAGGGAAGCTGTCCTGGCTTTTGAGATGTTCAGACCCCTGTCTCATCACTTGCCCAGTTGGTGTTTGTTTTTCGCTGCCATTTGATAAACTTTGTGTGCCTGTCTGGCACAATGTATTGTGTTTGTGTGTTCATCCTTTCAACAAAGGTTTTAAAATAGCAAACCAGGCCAGGTGTGGTGGCTCATGCCTTTAATCCCAGCACTTTGGGAAGCTAACACAAGAGGATCACTTGAGCCTAGGAGTTAGAGACCAGCCTGGGCAGCATGGCAAGACCCCATCTCTATTATGAAAAAAGAGAAAAAGCAGCCCATGTGCTGGGTGCTGTGCTGGCTCCTGAGGTCTGCTGGTGACCAAGAACACCAGCTGGACCCCCACCTCCCAGAGTTTCCAGCCTGAAGAGGGAAGCAGACAAGCGTGAAAAATCAGAACTGCGATATGTGATCTGGGCAGGGGGCTGGAGGGCTTGAGGAAGGCTTCCTGGAGGAAGTGGTGTCTGAGCTGATCCTTGTAGGCGGAGAGTCACTGGGAAGAGCTTGCTTAGCAGGGGACCGAGTGCCTCAAAGCTGAAAAGGGCAGGCAGGTTGTGGGGAGGCTGGACTGGGGAAGGCCCAAACGCTGGCTCAGGCTAAGGCCAGGTGGGCTAATCTCAATGTTGGCCTGTGGTGGCGAAAGTCTTGTGCAAATGGCATATGTTAGGAATCACTCCCAGAGGCAGGACCCTTGAAGGCCATGTGCCAGTGACAGAAGGGCTCTAGTGCTGCTGCTTTTAGTGCCAGCAGCCTGACCTCTCCAGTTAATGTGGAAAAGAGTGGTTTTGAGTTTGCACAGCTGTTTGATTTATAGTCCTGTCTCTGGTCAGCCCTTTGAAGTGGTGGTTTCAGAGCCGCGTGGAATGGAGGGAAGGGCTGGCTGTGAGAAACATGGGGATAAGAACCACACATTTTCTTCCTCTGGCACTCCTGAGCATATGTTTTATGCCAGGTGCTGTAGTAGGAACTGGGGATATGAGGGAAATACGGTCCCTGCACTGATGTGTAATTATAGGGAGATCTAACCTAGTCTTTTGGAGGTCTCCATGCTGTAGTTGAATATGAGCTAGGTGTCATCGTTCCTGTTTACAGGTGGGTGAACTGAGACTCAGAAAAATTAATTATCTTCCTTGGGGCAGTGCAGCCTAGTATATGGTGGATTTGAACCCAGATGTGTTCAACTCAGAAGCCTGGGAGCTCGTGTCTATTGGGGGAGACTGAGGCAGAAGCTGTTAACTGTAGTATGATAGTAACTCCATGATCAGGGCTCTGAAAGAGTCACACACAACACACCAGGAAGGGGAGAGGCGGACTCTGACTTGGCCTGGGTAGGAAACTCCAGCAGGTATTGGAGGAATAGCTGCTGGGTGAGTGCGTGCCTGGTGGGCAGGGCCAGGGGCTATGGAACGGAGCTGGGGGGCTGGGGGAAGTTGGAGCCCTGGTTTTGGAATTTGCCTCTGGTCTCACTGGGCGGGATGGATCAGAGTGGGGTAAGCCAGGATAGGGCACATGAGTGCATCCTCTTAGACCTGTAGGATAAAAGCTCACTCGTGTGTCTACGGTTGTGAGCTTCATGCTCTGTAGGTGCTCCCCAGGGCTTAGGTTCCATAATAGGACAGCAAGTAGACTCAGAGTCCTGAACCTCAGCAGTGTGTTTGATTAGCAGGGTCTGCTCTGGGCACCTGAGGGGCATGGGGTGCAGGAATGTCAGGGGATCAGCCTCTGGGTCTGTGGTTTCATCAGACATAAAAACTGTACAGTTGAGAGTGTGGAATTATTTTGATTCTGACTCAGCGCTCCCTCTCCAGCAGCTGTCTGCACTTGCCACTGAGCCCCTAGTACCCTGAAGGGAGCAGGGGCCATGGGAGAGGGGTAAGTAACCCCAAGGGGGTTGAATCTGGCTCTGTCAGATTGTTGGTGAGCCTGGGGCCAAACTAGTTTTCTGGGGGAAATTTCAAAAACGCTGATGTGGTAGCAGTGGTTTCATTATTATGGGTCTCATTTCATGCTCACATCTCTCTAGCCACAGGAGTTCTTGACCTGGCGTCTGTGGATAGAATTCAGGGGGTCCATCGATGAACGTAGATGGGGAAGAAAATTGCACTTTTATTTTCATTAACCTTAACTGGAATTTAGCATGTCATTCCACTTGATTGTAGGCAATGAGGCACAGTTATCTTAACAAACACCTGTGACTCGGTCACCAGTAGGAATCACAGTTGTGGAGCTATCTGAAAAAGCAGTTTCCACTTGTCACAACTTTAAAGTTATGGCAGTTATTAGATGCACTGTTGGATGTTTAATACTTTAATAAAGAAGCTTTTATGACTCTATCACAGGTTTTTTTTGTTTTGTTTTGTTTTGTTTTTGAGACAGAGTCTTGCTCTGTCACCCAGGCTGAAGTGCAGTCAGACAAGGGATACTCAGCCTGTATCTCAATATATTTTTCTTTTTTTTCTTTTTATTTGAGACGATCACTAAGGCTGGCAGGCTGGGGTGCAGTGGCATGATCTTGGCTTCCTGCAACCTCTGCCTCCTGGGTTCAAGTGATTCTCCTGCCTCAGCCTCCCGAGTAGCTGGGATTACCGGCGTGTGCCACCATGCCTGGCTAATTTTTGTATTTTTAGTAGAGGCAGCATTTCACCATATTGACCAGGCTGGTCTCGAACCTCTGATTTTAAGTGATCCACCTGCCTTGGCGTCCCAAAGTGCTGGGATTACAGGCGTGAGCCACCATGACTGGCTGTCTATCACAGTTTTCAGTAATTTGATAAATGTGTTTAAATAGAATTGATTTCCTTTATAATTCGAAGTGTGTCGTTTTATACATTTCAAAGTATTGTTCTGTCCAGGTGCGATGGCTCACGCCTGTAATCCCAGGACTTTGAGAGGCTGAGGTGGGAGGATTGCTTGAGCCCAGGAGTTCAAGACCAGCCTAGGCAACATAGTGAGACCCCATCTCAAAAAAAAAAAAAAAAGATAAAGATAAAAAAAGAAATAAATGAAAGTATTGTTCTTTGAAAGAGATCATGGGCCTCCCTAGATTTCTAAAAGGGTCTATGGCCCCAAACTGGTTATAAGCTTTTATTCTAATTGAAAATTTGGAGCCTTTCTAGATATTTGAAATTAAAAATTATTAATTCATCATTTTTTTCTTCGTAAAATATTGTGACTCTGTTAACAAGAGTCCTTGCTCTTTAGAAAAATGTGCTAAGGTCCCGGTGCAGTGGTCCTAAGTGTTTTGTTTTATACTCAGATCAAGTGATCTGCCCACCTTAGCCTCCGAAAGTGCTGGCTCATGCCTGTAATCCCAACACTTTGGGAGGCAGAAGTGGGCAGATCATCTGAGGTCAGAAGTTGGAGACCAGCCTGTCCAACATGGCGAAAACCCGTCTCTACTAAAAATACAAAAATTAGCCCTTTATGGTGGCATGCGCCTATACTTCCAACTACTTGGGAAGCTGAGGCACAAGAATCACTTAAACCCAGGAGGCGGAGGTTGCAGTGAGCCAAGATCGTGCCACTGCACCCCAGCCTGCCAGCCTTGGTGACCATCTCAAAAAAAAAAAAAGAAAAATATAGTGAGATACAGGCTGAGTATCCCTTGTTTGAAATGCTTGAGGTCCAAAGTGTTTTGGATTTTGGATTTTTTAGAATTCTGGAATATTTGTATTATACTTAATGGCTAAGCATCCCAAACCCAAAAGTTCAAAATCCAAAATGCTCCAGTGAGCATTTCTTTGGAGCATCATGTCAGTGCTCAAAATGTTTTAGATTTTGGAGAGGTTCAGCTTCTGGGTCTTTGGAAGCGTTTCGGATTTTGGGTTTTTGGATTCGAAATGCACAACCTATATTTACAGATGAAAGGAAAAGGAATGAATTAACACCACAACCATGAGGGACAGCAGGGTTGAGAAGTGTCTCCAGAAGACAGGTTCCTGTAAGAGACTGTGAAGGTGGTACTTATTTTGGGGGGACACTTGGAAGTCACCATTAGGAGGCCACCAGAGTCTTAGCAACATTTCAGGAGCTCTCCCTGGGTCCCTGGGTCACTTGGCCGTAGCCAAGCCAGGCAACTCCCTGGTCTTCTGGCAGTGAGCTCGTTTCCATCTGTCGAGCCTAACTGGCCTCTGTTGGGAATGCGAGTCCCTTATTTTTCATCAGAACTGGGCCATGCCCTCCTTGTGCTTCTCTGTATCCCGTGTTCCCCAGTCCAATGCTGGGCACCCAGCCAGAGCCCAGTGTTTGTCGGGTTTACCCAAGTCAGGCTGTCCTTGTGTAAGCTTTTCTTATTTGAAGTTTTAGCCATTTGCGAGTCTTTTGAAAGCTTTGGACAATAACTCTAGAAAATACACAGACTTGCATATCTGAAATTTGCATACATTTCAGGGTGTGGATCCCTGAAAGCCTACTGGGAATCCGAGTCCAGGACCCTGGCCAATACTGCTGCTGCTCAGTGGTCATGGCTACACTTGTGGTGCTCACCATGTGCCAAATGCGTCATTTCTTCCGTCTCTCTGAGAGTCAGCTTCTATTATCCCCATTTTTCTGGAGGACAAGATGGAGACCTTTGACAAGATGGAGACTTTTATAGGGGGTTAAGTAACTTGTCCAAGGTCACAGAGCTAGGGTGTGACTGAGCCCTTGGATCCCAACCCAGGCAGTTGGATTCTTCGCTGGAAGCATCCTAGGTGGGAGGTTACCCATTCTCCCCAAACCAGCAGGTCTTCCATATTAGCAATTACCAACTCCCTGACCCCACCCTGGCAGGAAAGCCTTCTTTTTTACCCGAGACAGGGTCTTGTTCTGTCACCCGGGCTGGAGTACGGTGGTGTGATGATGGCTCACTGCAGCCTTGACCTCCTGGGCTCAAGCGATCCTCCCACCTTAGCCTCCCAAGTAGCTAGGACTACAGGCATGCGCCACCATGCTTGGCTAATTATTGTATTTCTGGTAGAGACAGGGTTTTGCCATGTTGGCCAGGCTGGTAGGAAGGCTGCCTTTTATTTAACCCAGCTCTCTGTTCTGACCAGTGTTGCCCATGACGCTCATGTCCTGAGGTGGGCAGTGTCAGCCGCCCTGGGTAGGGCAGGGGGCTCATGGGTGGCCACCAGCCTCTGCCTGTTCTCCCAGACCCTTCTCCACCCTTTCCCCTCCCCTGCAAACAGCAGAGAGGAGAGCCAGCCCCTTCCCTCATCACATTGCTTGTGTCTGCCTGAGCTCCTCTGTAGTGTGCTTGGGCCTGCCATATGGTTGGGCTGCAGATGAACACAGGCTTTTCTTTTTTGGACTTTCTGCAGGCGAAGCTGGTCCGTTACATTTGTAAGCAGAGGCAGTGCAAGCTGAGCGTGGCTCCCGGTGAGAGGACCCCAGAGCTCAACAGCTACCCCCGCTTCAGCGACTGGCTGTACACTTTCAACGTGAGGCCGGAGGTGGTGCAGGTATGCAAGCTGGTTCTCAGCATAGGGATAGGCATGAGGGGCCAAGCAGAGGGAACACACACAAACCCGAGGGCTAGCTTCCCCGTGGCTAAGACTAAGGGTTGATGCTCTCTAGTCTTGAGAAGGAGGATGGGGAGGGACAGCAGCGCCAGGAGGGATCCAGGGTACATGTGGCTCCAACAAGTGCCCTGGATGCTATTGCCTGATGAACTAGGGCAGCCCCACGCTGGGCATTGATTTGTTCATCATACTTACAACAGCCAACGTATCTGGAAGCATTGGCTGTGTGGCAGACACTGTGTTAAATGTTTCTGTGTTTTGTAAGATAGATAATCTCACTTCTCATGAACTCCTATAAGGAAATTACTATCATTGTTGCCATTTTATACTCGAGGAAATTAAAGCACAGAATGGTTAAGTAAGTTGTTTAAAATCACACAGCTAGTAAATGATAGCTTGGAATTTGGAAATAAGAGTCAGAATTTAGTTTAATCTTCTGACTGCTACAATATGCTGTCTTCCTTCCATTGTTCTCTCTTCCTGTCTGTGCAGCCTACCCACCTGCCAGCCAGCCAACTAACCAACCAGCATACTCGGAGTGTGTACTGTGCCAGGTGCCAGGGGTGCAGGTCAGCTCTCATGGAGTGCGGATTAGTCCTACTTGGCAGGCATGGTTCACCCAGTCAGATCTCATAAATCCCCTACTTCTATCCTAAAATTGAAAATATTGGCTTTTGCTGCTGTGTAAAAAGTAGCATGAATTCATTATATATAGATACTTTGGAAACAGAGAAGGAAAGAAATCACATACATACTCCTAACACTCAGAAAATCTATGATCATTAAGGTCTTTTTTTTTTTCCTTCCTCTCCCCAATATGGAAATCTTTTAAAAATTTCTATCTGGACTGTCCTGTAAGGTAGTCACAAGCCTCATGATTATCAAGCATTTAGAACATGGCTAGTCCAAATTAAAATGTGCTATAACTTCTTCCCTTGCTCTTACCTGTGTGGGCAAGGCCCTGTGGCTCTCCCCCAAGGCACACTGCAGACCCGCCTGCCTCTCTCCCTCCCTGCCTCCAGCACCACGGTCCAGGCCGCTGTCACCTCCTGCAGAATCTCTGCAGTGGCACCTCGCCCCTTGCATTCCATTTTCCACCCAGCAGCCAGGGTGCTCACCTAGAAAGGTGACTTGGATCCCATCCTTTTTCAGTGCTTCCTGTTTCCTTCAGGATAAACGCCAGATGCCTTCCTTGATCTGGCCTCTCTCGCCTCTGTTTGCTCACCTTCTCCTTTGCTCGGTAGACTCTAACCTTTGCACTTGCTCCCCACTTCCCTGGAGTGCTCTGCCCATGACTCATCCCTTGAATATTTTTCTGGTGTTGAGTGTTGTCACCGCCTCCAGGCAGTCGTCCCTGGTGATGTGATCTAAAGATCATCCCCTGCCCATCATTCTCGCCTGCGCACCTGAGTTTATTTTCTCAATGACACTGACCACTTTCTGGAGTGACCTAACCGATTTGTTGTCTGTGGTCTGTCTGCTCCCCCTGGGATGCGAGCACCATGAGACACGGCCTTGCTGTTTGGGTTTGTTTGCCACAAAATCCCCATTGAGTGTCGGGCCCAATATGGCAGTTGCTTGGTTGCGACAGATATAAAAATAAATACCTATTTATTTACTGAATAAGTAGATTTCATCATGACATGGTGGATGTCTCCAATAGCCCAGGGTTTGGCCCCAAGTGGGTGGTGACACAGGTTACTCTTAGCTCTGGCTTTCAGTTAAGTCCTGCAAGAGAGGCCAGTGTAGGGATCATAGCCCCAAAGAACCCCCTTCCCAGCTATGCCTGCTGCCATGAGTCACCTCCATGAGTCACCTGCCATGAGCCCTGGGAGAGTTGGTGCCCCCAGGGGAGATGGCCCTCTCCAGGAAGGCTAGGGCAAGTGACCCAAAGATTTCTTAGATGCAGTAGCACTCCCCTCTTCCCATGCCAACGTCCTTTTCATTCATGAAGGGTTTGTGCTGCCAGGAGCCTGAGCAGCCCTTTCCTGGGAGGCCTCTGCTATCTGGTTATTGAGCTGCACTGGTGGCCACAGTGGGGTCCTGGGGCCCCTGAGAGCCTCTGGGTTCTTTTGCCTCAAAGTTGACACATAGCACATCTGGCGTGTCATGATGGGTACACTGATGTGTTGTTTAATTATCCCAACACCCTACTTAATAGAGACCATTTTCCCCACCTCACAGTTGAGGAAGCTAGCACTCAGTGGGTATAGAAACTCACCAGGGTCCTAGAGCCACAGAGGAGTAGAGCCGGGTGCCCCTCCACACCTGACTGTGAGTCCTCCGTCTCAACCACTTCTCTCTCCTTCTTCTTGGAATGCCTGGATTCAGGCACCTGGCCAAGCCCTTTCACCTTCCAAAGCTTCAGTCTCCTCCTCTTGTGAAATGGGAATAACCCATGTGCTGCTTGCTGGCACAGGCAGTTGTGAAAGTCAAGTGCGGGGGTGGAGGAGGAAAAATTAACAATTTCCCACCTCTCTCTTACCCTCAGCTGCTGTTAATCCCAGGTGAGAGCCAGACCCAGCAGAGGCAGCTAGAGAGGCCTGCACATACGGCAGCTCTCAACAGCCTCCTGGGGAGTGAAGGAAGGCTGGGAATGGCTGACTAGAGGCAGTTTTCTGAATCAAGAGAGATAGCGGGAGTCAGCCCAGAGCTTAGGACAGAGAGGGCGGCACACCAGCCTGACAGAGCTGGGCCAAGTGTCCTCCTTCCGTCCCCCCAGTTGGTACCAAGGGTGTCCTCACCAGCAGGGCCAGGAGGAAGTGAGGCTGGAGTGGATGGGGAGCAGGAGGGCAGACTGGGCTGCAGGAGCCTGCTGGAGGTACCTGGGCCTGGCAGCTTTCTTCCTGGGCTTTAAGAACCACAAGGAACCATTAGCTGCTGTCATTCCATCTTCCCCAGACTCTCCAGAAACCCCTTCTCAAGATTTCTCTTTTTCTTCCTCCCAAATCTCATGTCAGTTCCTGGGCTATAGCCAGAGTATTCTAAAGCCCAGAAAGAAAAGGCTATTTCCTTTAGTAAACCCAGCTTCAGCTCCTACAGACTGGGGAGAGGGCTACCTTGGTTCAGTTCTACCTCTGAGAGTTTCTCCTTGTACATGTGTGGAAGCCTAGTGATGGGGGAACCCTGAGTTAGAGCAGCTCTCCAGGGCTTCAGCTGCAAGGGCTGGCCCCAGGGGTGTGGGTCTATTTTATTCTGTTTCTTAACCCAGACAGTTCTTCGGACTCTGACTCGATACCCACTGCTGCCCCTGACCCCTACCCTGGCCCTGATGGATTCTGTGTGCTTTCAGTGGGAATTGGCTCTGTAAGTTCTGCCCATCAAAAATAGGTGCAGTATTCAGAAGCCAGAGTTCCAAACCCATGTCTGTCATGCATTAAAAACCCACGTCTGTCAGAGAATCTTTTGACTTCTTAACCCATTTATGCCAGAGGTTGCAGTTTTTTGAATTTTTGCGGTCAGACCTTGGCAATGACCTTGAGCAGTAGGATATAAATAACTCCCATGTGCTTAGCATTCCAACAATGGAACGCTAGGCATACGTGGGTTGTCATCTAAAACAGGGGACCCATCCCCCAGGCCACTGACAGGTACCGGTCCACTTGGCCTCTTAGGAACTGGGCCACACAGCAGGAGGAACGTGTTTACAGTTGCTCCCCATTGCTCGCATTACCGCCTGAGTTCCGCCAGCTGTCAGATCAGCAGCAGCATTAGATTCTCACAGGAGCACAAACCCTGTTGTGAACTGCACACGCGAGGGATCTAGGTTATGTGCTCCTTGTGAGAATCTAATGCCTGATGATCTGTCACTGTCTCCCATCACCCCCAGATTGGACTGTCTAGTTGCAGGAAAACAAGCTCAGGGCTCTCACTGATTCTACATTATGGTGAGTTGTATAATTATTTCATTATATATTACAATGTAATAGAATAAAGTGCATGATAAATGTAATGCACTTTAATCCTCTGGAAACCATCCCCCGCTCCCTGTCCCTGGAAAAATTATCTTCCATGAAACCAGTTCCTGGTGCCAAAAAGGTTGGGGACCACTGTTCTAAACCATTGTTTATTTTCTTAAATAAACTTTTTATTTCGGAATAATTTTAGATTTACAGAAAAGTTGCAGGGATGTACAGAGAGTTCTCGTATGTACCCCTCACCCAGTTTCCCCATCATTAACGTTGTCGTGACCACAGTGCCTTTGTCAAAACTGAGGAAATGACACTGGTATATTACAATGAACGCAACTCCAGACTATGTAGGTTTGACCAGTTTTTCCTTTACTGTCCTCTCTCTTTTCTGGGATCAATCCAGGGCACCGCATGGTTTACATTATTTTGATTTATCATGTCTCCCCAGTTTCCTCTGCTCTGTGACAGTTTCTCAGTCTTCCCTTAATTTCATGACGTTGACACTACTTTGTTTTTTGGAAGTGAGCCCTCCCTTAGGATTGGGGGGTATGAGGGGTAGGTGGGTTAAGCTCCATCTCCTCTGGGGGTGTATCTACACAGATTATTTGGAACTTTTCTGTAGGAAAGAGTTGTCTTTTCTCCTCCGTTTATTTATTCATTCAGTCATTTATATCAGTATAGGCTCATGTCTTTTTCTTTTACACATTGGGTTCTAATCCAATACTACATGATTTATTTTGTTTCTCAAGTTCTTCCAGCTTTGGCCATTGGGAGTTCTTGCAGGTTTGTTCCTGCACTCTGTGACATTGCCCATCCTTCAGTTTTGTTTGGCGTGTGTGTGTGTGTGTGTGTGTGTGTAGCACTTCCGTGTGTAGCACTTCCTTTGCTTTCTGACACTACAGTATGCTTCAGCCCCCTCTGTTTTTTACTAACCCCACTTCTAGAATCAGTTATTTCCCCAGGGAGCCTGGTGAGTTATTCGCTCTGCTTTGTTTTGATTTTATTATTTTTATTTTTTAAAACTGTGGTGAAATACGTATAACGTAATTTACCATTTTAATCATTTCTAAGTTTACAGTTCAATGACATTAAATACTTTCACACTGTTTTGTGACTGTCACCACTGGAACGTTTTCATCTTCTCAAATGAACCATTGGTTTTATTAGAAGAGATGTGTTTATTGTAGGGGGTAAAATGAAACAAAGGAGATAAAGTGAAAGAAAATTGCTGCATCCCATTTCCCTGAAGCCTGCTCATCTTTCTGAACATTTTCTGGCCCTCACATTCCTCTGCGTGTTGTCTCTTTTGTACACATGAGATCAGGCCAGACGTTTGGTTCAGGAACCTGCTCTTTCCCCTTAAAGACCTGTATTTCCATGGTTACAAACACTGCTACCAAGAACATCTTTGTGCACCTGTGTATTTCTACAGGGAAAAAAACCTAGAAGTGAACTTGCTAGGCTGGATTTTAGTGAATGTTTCCAAAGTGTCTTTTAAAATACAATAAAAGCAGTCTTTTTCTTCAACGGTTATTTATTTATTTATATATTTTGAGACAGGGTCTCGCTCTGTTGCCCAGGCTGGAGTGCAGTGATGCGATCCTGGCTCATTGCAGCTTCAATGTCCTGGGCTCAAGCGATCCTCCCGCCTCACTTCCCAAGTAGCTGGGACTGCAGATGTGCGCACCACTGCACCTGGCTATATATATATTTTAATTTTTTTGTAGACACAGGATCTCTCTATGTTGCCCAGGCTGATCTTGAACTCCTGGGCTCAAGTGATCCTCCTGCCTCAGCCTCCCAAAGTCCTGGAATTACAGACATGAGCCACCGTGCCTGGCCTGCTCAACTTTTTAATGAGACTCTCATTCCAGGTGTACCTGGACCAGACAGTAAACTGCACATATACCTTTTCTAAACTTGTACTTGGCTGGGCAGTAGTTAAGACCCCCAGCTCATCCCTGTTCCTGTCCCTGTATGTTTCCTAAGAAATTGCGTAGGGCCATGCCCACAGAAGAAGACTCAGAGTCAGAGGAGGGAACAGGGTCCCTGGGTGTGTTGAATGGTCAGTGTGGTGCAGGGCCCAGATTCCAGCCTGCCCTAGTCCTGCCTCAGGAATCCCTCTAGGGTGCCCAGGCCTTCATGGGTTGGTGTGGCCTCTGCTATGTCCAGACTGGCCTGGTGCCTTGGAGGCTAGAAGCAAAGTTGTATTTTCTCCCTGGCTGTCCTGACTTAGTGCCTTAGCCCTCCTGTTGTTTAGGAAACTAGAGAGCCCCTAAAGGGCCAACAGGACAGCTTGGCTCACATGGAGGGGGAGGAGTGCCAAGGTCCTGCCAGTGGCCCCATGGGACAGCCTGATCCAGGTCTGTGGGGAAAGGGACTTCCCTTTGTCAAGCTTCGGGAGGGACCTAAAACCCAACAAGATCTCCAGAAACCTGGCCCAGGGGGTGGGGATAGGTCCTTGGGGATTTCTGTGGGGCAGCTGGTCTGGTTTGGAGGATATTAGAGCTAGACCCCTCTCTGCCTGACCCTGAAGTTTGGCCTGGAGAGAAGTCTCCTCCAAGGTAGCTCAGACTGCAGAGATTGGCACCCTGAAGGAATGGTTCCCTGTACGTGTGAGAGAGGTTGGACCAAAAGACACCACCAGCATCAGGAGGAGTCCTGGGGGGATAGCGGAGGCCAGAAAGTCATGGCATCTGTCCCCTCTTTCCAGGCAAGAATTAGACATAGCACGCTCACTTGGCTGCTGGTGCCCACTGTGGTGGGCACTGCAGGGAGGTAACCCTGCCTCCCAGAACCACTGTCCAGTGGAAGCAGGATGGACCTGCATGGCTGTGGCCATGGTTGACCCAGGCAGGACCTGAGATCCTATGGGTATCTAGAATGGGCCTATCTGCCTTTTACACAATGTGAGATCATGGGCAAGTGACTTCATCTCTCTGGGCCTCAGTTTATCCATATGAGAAATGACAGATTAAGTGACCTTTTAAGTCCTTTCCTCAGATGGCTGCTGCTTCTGGACAGTAAAGAAGCCTAGAGTAGAAGGAGTTCTGTCAGGTGAGGTGGTTCGGAGAGACCATGTGGAGTGGTACCTTCCCCTGAACCCTCCAGATGGTGGCTTTGCCTTGCCTCTCAGATGTGTCTGCCCTCCTGTAAGTTGTATACCATGCTCTCTTCGAGGTATTTCATCATGTGCTTTTCCCACTGGCTCCTATGTAATGTTTGTGTGCAGCAGTTGGAGCTCTGCCGCACGGATCATGGGGTGATGTTTTTACTCCTGTATTCTGTGCCCCCGAGTCAGGCTTTTCTTCCATGGATTTTGGGCAAAGCTTCCTTGTGTGTCTTCACCCATTTTTTTTCCTTTAGCCCACACAAGATGTGATCAGCTATCCATTGTTACTGAGAGATGGGAGTTTTAAATTTTTCAACACCAAGCAAGTACAGAAGTGTTAGAAAGCAAGCAAAGGCCCTCCTCTTCCACTTCGCGGGGATAACACCTTGTTAACAGGTCAGTGGGTGCACCTGCCAGACCTCTTCACGCATTTTACAGTCACTTAAAATGACGTGCAAATTTACTCCCTTCTCTCTCTTTTTTTTTTTTTTTGTTTGCTGAAATGGGATCATATGATAGATATCATTTTGCAGGTTTGCAGTCTTAACGTCATCTGTGTTATCCATAAAAATTCATGTTATCCTTCTTTAACAGTAGAGTAGTAAGAGATACAGTTTCATCAAGGTATGATATGAATGCCTGTGTCTGAGGGATACCCACCTGCTCACATACATGCGCACACAGTGACATCAGGCAACTTGGTGGTTCAGGTGACTCAGCACCTGAACGAAGATGAGAGCCCGTGCCCAGAAGAGGCCAGGTGCCCAGCTGTAACGCCTGGCACATGGAGGCCCTGGCAAATACTTACTGGGTGAAGGAATGTACCAAAGTCACTGCAGGATAGAGGTCAGGGATGCCAGACTTGAAAACAGGACTCTTTCAATATTTGTCTGTCTGTCTTTCTGTTTTTTGTTTTTTTTTTTTTTCTTTGGAAGGGAACAAAATCCGTGAAGTCTCTCTGTTTCCTTTTGCTAACCTGATAGTGCTGAAGGACCCCCGCATCTTTGCAGTCAGTGCCTGAAGATGATCTGCCCAGGGCTGCCCCCTGAGGCTTCCTGGGGGAACTTTGTGTGGTGGGATTTGTCCCTTCAGTCACTTTGAGTTCTCTGCTGACCTTGACTCTTCATGGCTTCATGACTAGGACTTTGATTTTTCCCTTAGGAAAACATACGTGGATCGTTTGTGTGTGCAGCCGTCTGTGTGTGTAATCTCCTCCTTCCTTTTCCATATTGTTTTCCTAAGGGCCATCCCTGCAGGGTTATCTAAATACCATTTCAGATTTTGTCTTTTGGTTGGATAGTGTTTGCGGTCTTAAAGTTTCCAGGAAATAATGCCTTTTCTACTAGAGGAAGAGAGGGGATAGACATGGATGTGGTCACACAGTACGGCAGCTGCATTTCCAGGTTCCTGGTGTGGCTGAGGTGGCCCTGCGTGGGTTTCTTTCTGTTCCCACCTGAGTCAGATGCCAGCCCTCTGCGGCTCCGAGCCTGCTGCGGCGCTGCATGCCTGACCTTTGGTTCCTCGTCCCTTCCCTGTCTGTAGATGTTGGAGACAGAACTTGGGCAATGCCTGCATGTGTTTGCCCAACCACTAGATCTTCATCTAGAGCAGCGCTGTTCAAAACCTTCTGTATTGTCCATTCAGTGTGGCAGCCCTTAGCCATATGTGGCTTGGGGACACTTGAAATGTGTATAGTGCAGCTGAGAAACTGAAATTCGTGTTTTGTTTTATCGTAATGAATTTTAATTTGAATAGACATCTGGCTATGACTGCATTGACCAGGGCCCTGTGGTGAGAGCTGGGATGCTGAAGACACCTTCCTCTGCCCCAGGAGCACACAGACTGGGGTGAAACAGGAAGTGAGAGCCCCAGATGCCCTGATGGCTCCGGGATGGGATCTGTTGGAGCCAGTGGGCCAACTCATCCTGGGTAGTCAGGGAAAGACGGATGTCCGGGAAGGCAAGAGCACACCAGGCGGAGGGAAGAATATCTGCAGAGACCCTGAGGATGAGGAAATCAGAGCGCTTGTGAAGCGCGTGAGGAGGAGTCTGTGAGGAGGCTGGCGGGGAGCCGGGGTGGATTCCTGCAGCTCTCCCTGTGTGCAGTGTAGGGGTTGGGGCTCCTCTTAGGGGATATTGGAAGTGTGTGTGAGAGAGGGGCAGGAATTCCAAATGAACATTAGAATTGTTTAAAGGAAAATAAAACTAGCAAGAAGGCTGCATTCACATGGGGATGGGCTGAGAGTGACGGGGTGAGGAGCGCTGCCTCCCACGTGGCTGGAGGGTGGAAGGGTCGGGGATAGGAAATGAGATGGGAGGGAGCTCAGAGGCGGGGCCCTGCCCCGCTCCCAGTCATTTGGATTTGCACACTATGGCTGTTTCAAGCGGCCCCCTGTCCCACAAGTTACGTCTAAAAGTCTCAGCTTCATATTCTGGCAGCAGCTGGGGAAATGATTTCAGAGCCTGCTGGCATGGAGCCATTTTTTTTTTCTTTAGCAATTTCCCGGTTGGAAGTTGTTGAAAGGAAGTGGCAAGCGCTGCCTGAGCAGTTCTAGCTGGGAGAGGTGGGTGCTGCAGAGTCTGGGATTCCAGGGTGAAAGCCACAGGTTCCCCTGAATAAGCTCTTACTGCTGGTGGTTCCTGAACTGAAGATGCAGGCGGATCTGGTAAGGGGATTTTTGTTGTGATCCTGACTGGACATGTTTCTCTTTCCGCTCTCCTCTACCCTTGCGTTCCTGTGTTTAAGATGAGGCCTTCTCCCAGAGATGGGGGACAAAGCTGCCTTACTCCTGCCACCATTTTGGTTTCCCAGTGGCTGGGGGTGGCCAGAGCTCTGTGTGGACACCAGGAATGTAGGCTGTATGAGGCAGTAGGATGTGTGAGACCTAACCAGGAAAGCGAACCCGCATTTGGCTCCTGGGGTGCAGCTTGAGTCGGCATGACTATGGCCCTCATTCCTAGCCTCTCCTTCCCACCCCTCCTCCTGTCGGCCCCATACTCTCTCTTTGAGAGCCAGAGGCCCAGCTGTTCTTACAACCTTGCTCTTTGGCAACTGGGAGCCTCCCCAGGAAGCAGCACACACCCTCACCCAGCCTCCTGGAGGGATCTGTGCCAATGTGTCAGCCCAGCAGCACAGGGCTGCCTTGGTACCAGCCCAGTGGGGGCTGGGCCACACAGCTCTCCACTTAGGATGGGGAAATGGTGGCAAGTGGTGGACTGGCATGCCTGTATCACCTGGCCAGTCAGGAGAGGAGCTGAAGTTGGAGCATGGAAGGAAGGGGCAAGCTACAAGGCCAGCATTGTATAGATGTCATCCTGTTTCATCCTTATCCCTGGGACAGGAGACAGGGAGATCTGATGATCCCCTGCAAGCTGATGGCAGGATGAAGATTCAAACCCAGGTCCTTGTACTTCCTTCTCATACACAATTTTGTCATCTAATATCTTACCCAGAATAGCACAGTTTTGGGGCTACTGTATGATATGTAGTTGTGTAAATGAATTGACTGCCTGCCTTTGTGTGTGTGCACGTGTGTCTCTCTCTTCCCCCCTCATTTCTTCTTTCCTTTACATTCACTCGTTACTCATATGCACCCATTGATCACTTACCTTTTACCTGGTACCTTGATTAATTATCACAGAGGATTAATTGATGAGCAAAATAGTCTGTCCTGGATGCTTACAGCTAGTGTGATGCACACGTCTGCAAATAACTAGGGTGCGTAGCTGACTGCTGGCCCCAAGGAGCGGGGAAGGGATGAAGCATGGTCAGGTACAGAGCTGAGGTCCTACTTCCATTCAGTTATTTATTCACTCACTCAGTGTGTATTTAGCACCTGTTGTGTGCTCGGCACTGTTCTAGCCACTGAACATGAGTTCCTGTCCTTCTGGAACTGGCAGACATCACTTTCTCCAATAGATGAAGTCATTAATTTTTCTTATCTTGAGCCAAAGGTACCCACTTTTCAGGGTGGGGGTTCCCCTGGTTTCATGAAATCTGAAAAATCATGAGCATGAATGTCCTGCTTAGTCCTGTACTGCTTGGTGTTTGTTTGTTTGTCTGTTGTTTGTTTGTGGCAGAGTCTCGCTCTGTCGCCCAGGCTGGAGTAGAGTGACGCAATCTTGGCTCACTGCAACCTCCACCTCCCGGGTTCAAGTGATTCTTGTGCCTCAGCCTCCTGAGTAGCTGAGACCACAGGAACATGCCACCACACCCGGCTAATTTTTGTATTTTTAGTAGAGACGGGTTTTTTCCATGTTGGCCAGGCTAGTCTTGAACTCTAGTCCTCAAGTGATCTGCCCGCCATGGCCTCCCAAAGTGCTGGGATTACAGGCATGAGCCACCAGGCCCGGCCTTGCTTGGTGTTTTTGATCAATCCTTTGGATTTCTGGGCTGCCCAGTCCAGTGAAAACTGACTAGACTAGAAGCACCATGTTGGCAGGGACCTGGCTATTTCATTCACAGCTCTATCCCCAGTGCCTGGCATGTGGTGGGTTTTCTTGTTGAATGATTGGATTCAAATAACATTATCCAAAGAATTTTGGTCTCTTGGCCCAAGGCGTCTCAGGAGCTCTCACCTGGGCCAGTGAAGGTTGCGTTACAAGGATCTCTGGGGAGGGTGAAGACGAGGTGGCTGCCGGTGGCCTGCTGAATCCCAGGGCTCCGAAACTGCCTCAGGCTTCTGTCGGCCACAGAACTTGAGCAGGACTGTGTGCCTATAGCCCTGCCATGAGATGGCTTTGGTGTAGTGTGTGCCTGAGCCCCCTCTGGGGACTACCTGGCTCCTGAGTGGTCAGCTTGTGTGTGTTCCCTCCTCCTCCTAGGACCACCTCAAAGGCAAGATTGCTCTAGAACAGATCTGACTATGGCCAGATATCATTGGGAAACATTTATGTCAACACTGCACTGTTTTAAATATTATAAAGCAGCAATCTCTTATTACCCTTCTTTTAAAAAAATAGCACATAAATTTCAGTGGCCCCTGCTCCTAGCTATGTACCTTTGGGGGAGGCCACAGGATTGGGAAACAAAATTGTTTGAGTGTCACCTCTGGAAGTAAATGGCCTTGGAGGCAGACAAAATTTTGACAAAATTCTTCCTTTGCCACTTGCCAGCATTGTGACCTTGGACAGGTCCCTTGACTTCTCTGAGCCTGCTTACTGTCTTAGCTGCTCTTGCTGGAAACCTGGGAGTCGTTTCTGACTCATTGTGCTTCCTCAATGCCCACGTGGAATCAGCTAGCAAATCCTACTGGCTCTATGTCCAAGTATGGGTCTCAAGTCCTTTTGCATCTCTTTTCCATCACTGCCACCTCCCTGGTCCTGACTAGTCCTCGGACTGTTGCAGTTTCCCCATTCGCTCCCTATATCCACTCTTTACCCTCTTGATTTCATTCTTCGTGAGCTAACAGTGGTTTTAGCAAATCCGGTTATGTTACTTTCTTACTTTCTCTTTTTCCTTTCTCCTTTCCTGTTTCCTTTCCTTTCCATTTTCCTTTTCTGTTTTTTTGCTGCCCAGGCTGGAGTGTAGTGGTGCAATCATGGCCCACTGCAGCGTTCAACTCCCGGACTCAAGTTATTCTCCTCCTCCCCAGTAGCTAGGACTACAGGTATGCACCACTGTGCCCAGCTATGTTTTTATTTTTTAGTTGAGATTGGGTCTCACTCTGTTGCCCCAAGCTGGTCTCAAACTCCTGGCTTCAAGTGATCCTCCCACTTGGCCTCCCAAAGTGTGGGGATTACAGGCACGAGCCACCGAGCCTGGCTAGATAGTTCTGAGTTAAATATTCTGTCAGTGTCTTGTTACGCTTAGCACAAAATCCAAACCCTTCACCTACCTTTGAGGCCCCTTAAGTATTCAGTATCTGCCACCTTCTTCCACGTCATCTCCTGCCTTTCTGCACTCTGCCACTGGCAGGAGAACGCATCAGATGGTTTCCTGTCTTAGCCCAGGGCCTTTGTATGTTCTGTTTCCTCTGCCTGGAAGTTGCTGTACCCTTGTGGCTAGTGCCATCTCATCCTCTGACCGGGACTTAGAGGTCAGCTCTTCAGAGAGGCCACCTTGTCTAAGCTTAGAGGCCTGCTATACCTGCCGCTTTATCTCAGCATGCTCTTTCCTTTTAGCACTTATTCACAAGCTTCAATTATGTATTTTAGCTATTTTTTTATTTGTACAGTTGGTATTCGGTAGCTTTTTTTTTTTTTTTTTTTTTTTTTGAGATGGAATTTCACCTTGTTGCCGAGGCTGGAGTGCAATGGCACGATCTCGGCTCACTGCTACCTCCACCTCCCAGGTTCAAGCTATTCTCCTGTCTCAGCCTCCCAAGTAGCTGAGATTACAGATACCCGTCACCACACCCAGCTAATTTTTTTGTATTTTTAGTAAAGACAGGGTTTCACCATGTTGGCCAGGCTGGTCTCGAACCCCTGGCCTCAGATGATCTGCCTGCCTCGGCCTCCCAAAGTGTTGGGATTATAGGCGTGAGCCCCCGCACCTGGCCTTCAGTAGCTATTTGTTGACTGGATGGGATGGATAGATGGACAAATGGAAGAATGACATGGCACCAGGGCTCATAGTAAGTACTTACTTAATCGAAGTTATATTCTTCTATTCCTAGTTAGAACTTTTTTCAAAGCAAGTTCAGATACCTGTTGGCTTAAAACAGAGACTTACCAGTTTAGGCAATACAAATCCAAGGAAGTCTGGATGCAGGGGCTCAGGTGATGCCATTAGGATGTGCCTGTGGGACAGGCTTGCTCCGCATGGCAGGTATGAAGAGCACAGGCAGCTGAGCCTCACTACCTTCTACTGTAGTCATGCTTGTCCATGAAGGGCTGTTTCCCTTGGCTGAAAAATAGCTGAAAAATCCCAGAGAAGGCTCTGATTGGCTTGGCTTTGACCACATGTTCATACTGTAACCAATCACTGGGCTAAGAAGATGGAAGACCCCCCCCCCCCACCTCCCCCACCCACAGTAGGCTCAGGAAATGGGTTCTTGGAGGAAAGACAGCCCTGATAACAGAAGGCAGAGACGTGTAGAAACTTTTCCTCCCTCAGAGATGATTTGTCAGAGGCTTTGCAGCTCCACAGGAAGGGTCTGCAGAGATCATGTTTCTAGACTACAGTAGGTGAGCCCACCCTCCAGTTTTTGTTTTTAATAACATTTGTTATTTCTCTCACTATGAAATCAATGTTTATTTTAGAAAATAATAGAAAGGCAAAGAAAACCCTACTCAGAGACAACCATTGGCTGTTAGCTTTTTAGGTGTTTTCTTAATATCCAGTAATTTACATATATGTTTATTTTCAAAGTGTGTAAAGTATAGAAATTATAGAAAACAGTAACAGCTCCCATTTATTATGGTTTGCACTGTAATCTTACTACTCAAAGGAAACACTGTAAACCATTTGATGCATTTCCTTCCAGTCAACCAACTTTGCTAGGCTTCTCTTTTTCTTTTTCTTTGTAGTTTATTTATGAATTTATGCTGTAATTCTTTAGCAGGCACTCCCATTGTGCCTGGGACTGAGCTGTGAGCTTTATGTGGAATCTCATTCACTCCTCTCAGTAACTGTATGAGGAGGCAGTGCTTTTATCCTCAGTATAAAATAGAGATGGAAAAACTACGTGAAATTATGTTTATTTAGTTTTGAGATGGCATCTCACCCTGTCACCCAGGCTGGAGTGCATTGGCACAATCTTGGCTCACTGCATCCTCCATCTTTTGGCCTCAAGCAATCCCCCTACCTTAGTCTCCCAAGTAGCTGGGACTACAAGCACACCACCACAGCAGGCTAATTTTTTTGTATTTTTGGTAGAGACAGGCTTTTGCCATGTTGCCCAGGCTGGTCTCAAACTCCTGAACTCAAGCAGTCCACCTGCCTCAGCCTCCCAAAGTGTTGGAATTACAGGTGTGAGCCACCACAGCTGGCCACTAATTATTATTTTAAAACAGCATTCTGTGAATCTAATTATGAACATCCATTGTAGAAAAATTTTAAAATACAGAAAAGTTTAAAAATAAAATAAAACCCCCACATAACCCTGCCAGCCACTGATAGCCAGCACTTAACTGTTTTCTACATTTTTTTTTTCATTTGCATGGACTCCAGTTCACGGTTTCTGGTGTAGACCTCTAGGAGTTTTGACAGCTGAGCATCCTTTTGAAGGTTGTCCCATGAGCCATCCCAGGCATCTGCTGCAGTTCATAGGGTTCTTCCTGTTGGTCTCCATACCACTCACCCGAAGCATGCGAGAAGCTGCAGGGGCTTGGGGGCAGTTGGAGTTCATGTGGGGGTGGGGGTTCCCCAGATGATTCACTGGAAGGAGGGAGATGACCGTGTTCTTATTGACTCAGGTCCTACCTTTTGGAGGGAGGTGGCAAGGCAGGGAAAACCTCTTGGTGGCCTTGCATCCTGGACATCCTGGGTGCCTGGTCCCCAGCCCCTGCTGCAGGGCCTGCTGGAGCCTGCACATCTCCCACCCAGCACCTGCCCCGGGAAGTATGTGCTGACTCCCCAGCTCCCAGGCACAAACTATTTTTGGCTGCAGTGACTGTTCACTACAGTCATGAAAACAGAAACCCCTCTCCCTGCCTCCTTCTTCCCTGGGACACTGCACTGGGGGCCAGGGCTGCCGGGGACCCTGGGCTCAGGCCCCCTTGTCATGAATCGCCTGTGGAGCTGGGTGACAGCCAAGGTGTCCAGGGGCACAGGGCCCCCACCTCTGGGGATGCCAAGAGAAGCCCGAGGCGTGAGCCCACCTGGGCTGGAGGATTATGAGGTAGGCACGGGGGTCTGGGCGCAGGAGGCCATTCCACAGCTCCCTGGAGTTGAGTCTGTTTGCTAGACTCTGAGTCCCTGCTTTGCTACCTGGCTGTAGAACACGTGTGGAGAAATCGCATGTTGGGGCAGAAGGTGCTTGTTTCATGACTTCATTCGCTGTCTTCTGTGTGATAAAGTCACTGGGGATCAGTTAGAATCTTCCTGAAATAGATCCTCCCCATCCTTCTAGTGAATAGTGTTTGGTCATTTCCTGCTTTTGAGTAGGACACACACTTGTTCTGAGCATGCTGCTTTTTTACAGGGAGCTTAAGAACGTGGAGCTGTATAGGCTGATCCAGCTCTACCTCTCCATGCTTCTGGTTGACCAGGCCAGGGAGGCCGATGGTTATAGAGACTGTGAGTGCTGACTTTGGGGTCACACAGACCAAGGTCCAAATCCAGGCCCTGTTACTCAGGGCTTGCAGTGTCTTAAGGTGTGTAACTTAATCTCTATGAAGCTCAGTTCCTTAGCTACCAAGCAGTTGTGCCTAGGCTACTTACACGGTGGTGATAATACCAATAGTTGTTATTTTTATGATTAGACTGATTGTGAAAAGGGAAAATACTTCAAGAAGCTGTGTAAGAATCCATGTGCCATGGCCCTGAGTGGGTCTCAGGACCTGGGCGTTAGGGTGTCGCTGGTGACGTGGGATCTGTTTCTTCTTTTCAAAAAGAAGAAAAGTGCATTGTCACCAAAATGGGGGTGGGGCTCACATCTGTAATCCCAGCAATTTGGGAGGCCGAGGCAGGAGGATTGCTTGAAGCCAGGAGTTTGAGACCAGCCAGACTGACATAGTGAAACCTCGTCTCTTTTTTAAAAAAAGTTGTAGTGGGTAGGAGTGGGCAAGAACATGGACTTGAGGAGTTCCGCCCATCTGCCACCTTCTAAGCCACTGAGGCCTAGGACCTGGCTAGGCTTCAGGTGAGGCCACGAGCCCAGAGCCGCATTGCTTCTGGATTGCACAGGGCTCTGGGCCCACAAGGCACTCATGTGACTTGGCGTCCCTTAGGCAGAGGGAGGTGATTCTCAGGGCAGACCTCAGGGACATCTTGACCTTGGCTCCCTTCTTGGACTAGTGCAGAAAACCTGGAAGGAATGAAACCTTTGCACTTGGGCAGGGAATGCGTGCTGGAAACTGGCTCGCCCTCCCGGGGGCATGGTATATCCTGGCGTTGGTTACTGGCAAGTGTGTCTGGACACCTGGATCCTGGTCCTGGCACCATTGTTTGGGGTGACCCAGGCAGGTTTTCTCCTCTGTGAAATGAGTGCTGACTAGATTGTCCCTAAGTTCCCTTTGGAGCCTGCCTTTGATCTCGGCAGAGAAGGGGTTTCTTCCCATCCCCTTGAAGATCCATTGGCCCCTTTCGTGCCCCTAGAGCCTGGTAGCTGTGGCATTGGTCTCCCCAGCTTCTCCTCGGCCATCTGCTCAGGGTCTCTGTTGAGGTCCCATAGCTTTGATGCCTGTTACTGCTGTGGGGCAGAAGTTGTTTTCAAGGTTTCTGGAAAACCACAGAGGGGCTGCCTGAGGGGAGCAGGAGCTCCTGAGACACCTGTCTCCTAGTTGGACCCCCATGGGGCAGCTCCAAAACCCGACAGCTCTTGTTCCTAGGCGGAGGAGCCTGGTTCTTCTGTCTCCAGCTCTGGGCTCACTTGCTGTGGCCTGGCTCATCTCCCATCTGAATGGACAGACCACCCCAAAGGACAGACCTCACGTGCTAAACACTGGGACATGTCCCTCTGGTGGACGGCATCTGTGATTTGGCTTCTGGCCCCACAAGGGACCCACCAGACTCCAAGGCTGGTGCCCGAGGCCTATTTGATAGTCTGGACGCCCTCTGGCACCAGGGCCCTCACTGGCTGAATTCCGAGCTCTTGCCCTGTGCATGTGGAGGAGGAGGGGACTCGTCTGACCATTCTCTTTTTCAATGGTGTGTCCGAGCAGGGGAGAATGGGGAGGGGGAGCAGTAAAGATGCCGGGGACATGGCCACACCCAGGAACCCCTGTTTAGTTCTGTCAGTGCCTTGACCCCCAGGAGAGCTGGGGTCCCCCATGGGGAGTTACATCTCTAGCCACACCTAGCACCCTGCACCCTCCTCATAGGATTACCGCATCCCAGTTTGCCGGCAACAGTCCCAGCTGAGGCCTGCTGTCAGGGCTCTGCCTTCCGTAGAGGAATAGTGTCCCTGTTGAGGGGCACGTCCTGTCCCTACCCTCCTCTGTAGCCCCATCCTCAGCCAGCTGCCATCCCTGAAAGGGCCTCTGATCCCAGGCCCTCAGCTTTAGCCCCTGCACATAGCCCTATTTTGTGCAGGGCGGGACTTTCTCATTTGCCAGTCCCCTAGAAGTCAAGTGTCACCCAAGGTTAACGCAGCTTTTTGGCTGTGGCTCACCCTCCCACGTTCCATCCTGACCCACTTTTCCTTTTGAATGTTCTTTAAACATTTAAAAAATTTAATGTATTCATTTTGACTCAAGTTCTAGTGTGGGATCTTGTGGATAATACTGTTTCTTTTTTTAAAAAGAATTAAAATTTTACAATCACGCATTTTGTAAAATGTTACAAAACATCCTGGGAGTAGGGAAACCCACTCTGTAGAAGCCTTCCCATCTCCTCTCTACATTTTGGGAGTAATTGGGGGACACACCAGTGCCCAAAGCTGGAGTAGCTGTGTGTGTTTCTCTAATGCAGGACACATCCGGCCATTTTCACACAGGAGCCTGGTTTTAGAAATGTGTGTTGATGATGCAGAGAAAGGTGACAAGATGTGGGTGTGCCCGCAAGCCTGTCCTGCTGACTGTGTGCTGGGGGTTAGGTGGGGAGGTGGGAAAGGAGGAGGAGCCAGGCCCAGGGCCACCAGCAGGTGGAGCCCAACAGCATTGCTATGTGTTTGGGGGTTGCCAAACTCTGGCCCTTGGGCCAAATCTAGCCCAGCACTATTTTTTGTAGAGCCTTGTGAACTAAGAATGGTTTTTACATTTTGAACTGGCGGGAGGAATTAAAAACAACAGAATATTTCGTGACCCGTAAAAGTTACATGAAATTTGTTTCAGTATCCATAGTTAAATTTTATGGGAGCACAGCCACACCCATTTGTGTACGTGTTGTCTGTGGCTCTGGTGGTGCCACAGCAGCAGAGTGGAGCAGTTTCGACAGAGACCATGTGGCCCACAAAGCTGAAGAGACTCTGTGTGGCTTTCAGAAAAAGTTTGCCTATTCTCACACTATGTATTATACCTCTGGATTTATAGAAGGAGGAATGGGGCCTTTCCACGCTGATAGGGAGAGCAAGGAGGCAGCCACAGGACAAGCTTTCCAGGAGGGTGGGCTGGCCTGGAGAGAAAGTGGTGGCTGTGGTGACAGCGGGTGCAGCTGGAAGCTAGATATCTGGTCCCAGGCAGAGTTGAAAAGTGCCAGCCTCCTCCAAAGGACTGGAGTGGAGGCTAAGTGGGATTAAAAGGGAACATGGAGAGACCTCCTTGGAGGAGCCTCCTGCAGCTGCTTTAAACCCCACTGCCAGAGCTCACCCTAGCTGGGCCCAGGGATAGAGCGGTGTGGGGTCTGGAAAGTCATATGTGACCTGTGATGCCAGTGGTGGCAAATAAACGCTGCCCTGGGAAAAAGGGCTCACTTCATAATGCAAGGCAGTGGACACAAGGGCTGGCTGGTGGTGGGTTGAGATGGCCTTGTTCTGTGTGGCCTTGAGCAAGTTACCCGCCCTCTCTCAGCCTTATCTCCCATCTCAGGCTGTTAGGAGGATTGCATGTGCTGACCTCTGTGGTTCATCTGACAGTGCCTGGCACGCAGGACATGTGTAATAAATGCTTATTGCCCTTTCTTGAACCCCTCTCATCTCTTTCTCCCCTTTGACCTCTATTCCTCCACACCCACCACTGTACCTTCTTTCTAAACAAGCTTTCAATCCCAGGCTTACCAATGCATACGTGAGAAGAAGCCAATCCTGAAGGTTCCAGTTCAAGCCCAGCTCCCTACTGTGAGCCCCTATTTGCTTTGTGGAGAGGGAGGCAGGGACCTGGGCACAGGAGAGGACGTCTCCTGGGACAGCTGTGAGTTTGGGCTGGGCTCGAGTTCAGTGGAAGGAATGTGGCCTCCTGAACACAGCCGTGCTGTGGCCACATCTGCCTTCTGGTCTGGACATCCCCAGACCTGTTCTGTCCTGGGCTGCCTTAGCCAGACTTTGGGCCCCAACGCCTGTCTGCCCTCATGGTCCGCACCTCCAGAAATTCTGATTTGGCCGGTCTGAAGTGGGGCCCAAGCATTGCGATTCATTTTTAAAGTCCCTGGAAAATTCCAGGGCACAACCCGGATTGAGAGCCGTTGATTTGTTCTAGGCAGAACCACTCATTTTATAAATGGGAAATCCGAAGCCCAAAGAGGGGCGGGGACTTGTCCGAGGTCAGGGGCATTGCGGGGACCCAGTCTGGCTCTTTGCTTCACTGTGTTGGCCTCTAGGGAATGGTGTTAAGAGGGGAGTTTGCCCTCAAGGAACCAACTGACTCTCCTGGGAGGGGGTTTTGTTTGCCTTGCTTCCCAGGGGTGGGGTAGTGAGGAGGCTGGGCCCGGAACTGGCCACAAGCAAAGCCAACATCCCCAGGCTTTCTGCTGATTTCTGTGGAAGCCCCTGGAGGCTGCCTGACCTGGGCTCTTGCCTCAGCCCTTCCTGTGCCTCCCAGAATATCTGACTGTTACTATCCAAGTCTCACTCCTCCCTCTCCATGAGCCCCAATGGTGGGTGCAGGTAGGAGAAACATCTGTCAGGTGCTCCCTTGCCAATTTGAGACATGTGGCTCCCAGCCTGGGCTGCCATAGAAACCTTCTCCACTTGCTCCTCTCTCTCTCTCTCCTTCCAGCCCCGCTGGGCTCTGGCCTCAGAGGGATGTGCAGGGTCCTATGTCACCACCCACAGGGCTCTAGGAGCCCACCTTTGGCCTCTCTGGTCTGACCAGTTCCTGGGGAAAGGTCTGGGGTTAAGGATCCCTTTCATCACCCATGCACACCAGTGATCCAGGTTCCACAGATGGACCTGTGTTCCAGCAGCACTGCCTGAGGCATGTTCTAGGGATGCAAAACTGAACAGAAACACAGAGCCTGGGTTTGCTTCTTGATCTTCCTTCAACCCAGCTTTCACCCGTGTTCTTGCGTGAAGTGCAGTGTGTTTGTATACGTGGCCGGTACAGCAGCGGTGCCGCCCCTGGCATTTTCCTGGTCCACCTGACTGGCCACAGGGAGTGTGGCGCCTCTCAGTGTCAGCAGGCCCAGGTTTCTAAGTATAGACCCCAGGCAGCCCCGTGGCTGCTAGTAAATCCCTGGATACCATTTGATACCTAACTGGCCCTGAGCTGCCGGCTTACCCAGCATGGCCTGTGACGCCAGCCTCTGCCAGCTGCTGGGGGAGGGGGTAGCACGTTGCCCAAACCCATCCTCACCCTCCACTGGAGAGAATGGAGACCAGCAGTCTCCTGCTAATGACATGACTGGATTGTCACAGACTGGGAGTGACCTCAGCACTCAACTGGCCCTGCTCTCCAATTATTATCAGAAAGAATAACTTAATCCCACCTACTGGAGAACATATCTCCTGGTTTGAGAGAGACAGGCAGAGGCAGGGAGCCAATGATCTCTGATGCTGTCACTCTGCTCCTCATTCCTGCATCCCCACCTGTGTGCACCCATGCTAACCCTGAGACTTGTCGGAGCTGGGACTGGGCATCTCTCAAGATGGATTGGGCATCTCCTATGATGGTCTGGGCATCCATGTCTTCCGTTTTTGGTTTGTAGTTCCATATTTTGTTCTTTAGACAGAAGCTGGGGTGGGCAGTAATTCCTTGGAGGCAGTACGGACTCCCAGCCGGGTTCTCCAGAACTTTGGGGTATGGGCAGAGAGAGGGGCCTTTTGCCCTTGGCTTTGAGACAACTTAGCATCTTCTGGGCACCTCCTGGCAGATGGGATGCCCTCCTGGGGCACTGGAGCCTCTCAGACCTGAGAAGGTTTCAGAGTGGCTTCACCTGCGAGTTCACCTTCAGCAGGTGGCAAAACTGATTCCCTAATTTGTTTTTGGTTTAGAGATGATCCAGGAAAGTTGTGAGTTACTCTGCTTTGAAAACATCTTCCTAAATCAGACTTGGCTGTGCCTGTCACTGTGGGTGGGCGAGTCACATCCATGTGTGAGGTTTCGGGGGTGCTGAGTTGCTTTGGGGCACTGTTGAGTCATGATACTGGGAGATATCAGGGCCCCTCGCAGGGGCCTTCACAGCCACGCGACCGTCCTGGTAGCTTTCCTTTCTTGATTAAGTTAACATTGGGTCTCAGAGTCAGTTGTAGAGTTGGGAGGTGGGGCACTTTGTTTCCAGGGTGGGCCCCTCACTGAGAAAGCCTGGTCCCCTGGAGTACTTGCTACTGGGCCTGCATCCTCCCCCGTTTGCCTACAGAAATAAAGTTTTAGATGTCACTCACTGATCAGATTAACCTTGGAAGGCATCAGATTCTTCCCATGGGGTCTCCGCGCTTAGGCCTGGAAGCCCCATGTTCCTCATGGACATAATTTGTTTTGTTTGCACAGATTTGAATTAGTTATCACCATGTAAAAGCCAGCCATTTAAAAATAAAAATTCAGATTTCTTTAAAACCAGAAGTTCTGGTGCCCCTCCATTGCCTGCCCCTTTCCCCAACACCAAGGGAGGAAAGCGGGGGTTTTCTGTTTAGCATTGCCATTGCTGCCGTTGGGTTTCTTGTTCAGTAAAAAGGCAGAGAAGTGTGTTAAATCAAGTTTAGCCTAGAGCTACCTCCTTAGATATTTTAAGTTCAGCCTAAAGGTTTTTCTGTATATCATGAACTATAACAAGTGGAGGTATAAAAACACTGTAGACTGCACTTGTGCCAATCAAATGTAGCCAACTGTTCGAATCTTGTTCAAATAAGGCAAAGGAGCTGTAACCAATCCAGCTGTTTCTGTACCTCACTTCTATTTTCTGAAAGTAGGTAGAAATTAATTTACTTCGAAAAAAATAATTTCCCCTGAAAGGTAGCTGCTGTATCCCAAGGCTTTGCCAGGTTAACAAGTGGACAGCATGGAATATTTGGAGGAGGTTTGGAATCGTGCGCACGTGGGTTTCAATTCTGCTCAGCCACTTGTTAAGCTGTGAAGTCTCTGAGCCTCAGTAAGATGGACTTAACTCCATCTACTTGCGGAGTTGATTAAAGATAAAATAATGTATACAAAGCCCTAGGCATATTGTTCTGGCAAATAGTTTGTAATAATAAATGTAGTTACTTTGAGAACTTGAAACTTGGTATGGGTGAGGAGGAGATGAATAAAAAGAAAGAAAAAGAATCCCTATTTGCATTATAGTTAGGTTGAAGATTGGGTTTCCTCAGCCTGGCTCCCTCCCCAGCCCCATTAAACATCTCTATCATCATCTGGGCAAACTGCTGAGTCATCACAGCCTTGGAGTATGTGGTGGAGAGACAAACTGAGGACACCCTTCCGGACAAGTAGAGGATTGCTTTGTTCAGATAAGGTGAAGGTTGCTCTTGTGCTTACCCTGACGGTATCGCCAAGGTGCTCTTAACAGTCAAATGAGGGCAAAGATATCCAAACCTCATTTCAGTGGAAGACAGGCTAAGGGAAAGAAAGCAAGACATGTTGATTGTATAGAAGCTTCTGCATGGCACCATTTGTCTAATCTGCCTCCCCTGCTGGTGCCGTTCTCATCAGTGGTTCCTGTGACACTTTAGTTTTATCTTCTGGAAGGCAACCAGGGTTTTGGCCAACCAGTGATGAGCTTCTTGGTACAGTTATGTGTCTGGCTTTATTTTGGTGTGATCATGCTAAGTGGTGATGTGATTCTTGCCTACAGCCCTGAAGATTGAAGAATATACTGAAAAGCTACAAAAGCATCTGCCGTCAGCGGGTACAGTAAAAAACAAACAAATACAGAAAGGCAGGCATCTAGCTCCAGCCTTGCTATGGGAGAGAGGGGTATGGGTTGGGCCTCATACCTTCAGGACTCAGCCAGTATCTTCATTAGGGTTAGTTTTGACGCTTGAGACAAGGAATTACAGCATGTAAATGGAATGACAATGAAATTAGTCCTTAAAAGTAAAATTAGACACAACTTGCTAAAAATCAGGATTGGCTTAGATTCTCAAGAACTGTGAGCTTTATAGCAGTCATTTGATGTGGAATGTCTGGCCTTCTCTGTTACAGAAAATCTGGAAAATATAGAAAGGGTTAAAGACAAAAAAAGGTCTGATCTGGTCCCATAGCTCTTTGAACTCTCTCTGCTCTAGTGCGCATCTTACTGCATTGTAGTTACCTGTTTAAATGTCTGTCACTCCTCCCACTGGGCTGTAGGCCACTTGAGACCAGAGGCATGTCCCATTGGTTTTTTATATTTGTCCCAGGTTTGGTATTGTTGCTGGATATAGGGGTCCCATTCTGGATCCCAAAAGAGGGTTCTTGAGTCTTGCACAAAAAAGAATCCTGGGTGAGTCCACAGAATAAAATGAAGGCAAGTTTATTAGAGAAGTGGAGAAACAAAAGAATAGCAACCCCGTAGGCAGAGCAGCCCTGAGGGCTGCTAGTTAGCTATTTTCATGGTTATTTCTTGACCATATGCTAAACTGGGGTAGATTATTTGTGAATTTTCTGGGAAAGGGGCAGGCAATTCCTGGAACTGAGGGCCCCTCCCCCTCTTTAGACCATATAGGGTAACTTCTGGGCATTGCCATGGCATTTGTAGACTGTCATGGTGCCGGTGGGAGTGTCTTTTAGCATGCTAATGCATTATAATGAGCATATAATGAGCAGTGAGGAAGACCAGAGGTCACTTGGGATACCATCTTGGTTTTGGTGGGTTTTGGCTGGCTTCTTTAGCTCATCCTGTTTTATCATGGGGTCTTTGTGACCTGTATCTTGTGACCTTCTCTCTCACCCTATGATTAAGAATGCCTGACTTCCTGGGGATGCAGCACAGCAGGTCTCACCCTCATTTTACCCAGCCCCTATTCAAGATGGAATGGCTCTGGTTCCAGTGCCTCTGACAGTGTCATGTGGCTCAAAGTAGTCAGAGCTGGAGAGGTTTCCTCCCTCCCTGATGAGAGGAAAGGGCACAAGTTTTGAAGTCCACTGAGCCTTGATTCTACCATTCATTCTTTGTATTTTCCATTGCTTCATAACAAATTTAGCAGCTTAACACACCACCCGCTTATCATCTCATGGTTCTCTAGGTGGAGGAATCCACTCAGGCTCTGCTTATATCCCTACTTGGGATCTCACAAGGCTGAGGTCAAGGTGTAGGCCAGGCCTTCCTCTTACCTGGAAGTTCTGGAGAAGAATCCACTTCACGTTCATTCAGGTTATTGGCAGAATCCATTTCCTTGTGGCTGGAGGTCTGAGGTCCTCATTCCCTCAATGGCTGTCAGCCAGGGGCTACTTTTTTTCCCAGAGGCCACCCCCATTCCCCTCCTCCTTCAAAGTCTGCTTTTCACGCTTCAGGTCTCTTGACTTCTCTGTTACCAGCTCAAGAGAACCCTTTGCTTTTAAAGGGCTCTTGTGATTGGATGAAGCCTACTTGGATAATTTCCCTTTTGCTGTATATAGTAATACCCCCTTTTCTGTAGGGGATATGTTCCAGGACCCTCAGTGGATGCCTGAAACCATGGATAGTACTGAATATATATATATATGATGTATACTGTGTTTTTTCCTATACATACATACCTCTGATAAAGTTAGTAAGTTGGGCACAGTAAGAGATTAATAATCAACAATAACAAAATAGAGCAATTATAACAATACACTATAATGAAAGTTACAGGAATGTGGTCTCTCTTCTCTCTCTCAAAATATCTTACTGTACTGTTCTCACCCCTCATCTTGTGATGCTGTGAGATGATAAAGTGCCTATGTGGGGAGAGGTCGTGGCAGTTGATCTGATAACCAAGATAGCTACTAAGTGACAAACAGGCCGGGAGTGGAGACAGTGTGGAGACGCTGGACAAAGGGACAATTCACGTCTCCGGTGGGATGGAGCTGGATGGCGCAAGATTTCATCACATTACTCAGAATGGTGCATAGTTTAAAACTATAAATTGTTTATTTCTGGAATGTTTCTGGCATTTTCCATTTAATAGTTTTAGGCTATGGTTGGCTGCTGGTAACTGAAACTGCAGATAAGAGGGAGACTTCTGTAATGTAACAAGATCAGGAGCAACACCAGGGGACAAAGGTCACAAGACCACCTTAAAATTCTGCCTGCCACTTTCTTCACCGTATGGCCTAGTGACCTCGTGCAGGTGACATAATCTCTCTGAGCCTCTTTCTTCATCTGTCAGGTGGGGCCAGTGAAAAGTTTTGATAGAAATCAGGTGAGGCAGTAAGTGCCTCTGCAGTGTTTGGTGAGGTTTTTTTGTTTTTTTTTTTTAAATCCTTCCTTTCTTGAGCCAGTTTGATTTGAAATCTCTCTTATCTGATTCAGATACAACAAAATTGTGAAGGGCCATCTTTGTCTGAAGTACTCGTCATTCTAAAAAGTTGTTATGACTCGCTGTTTTTTTTCTGTGCAGAGGAGTAAGAAGAAACAAGCTGGGCAACATGCCCTCGTCCAAACCTTTCTGGTCTTTACTTCCTCCCCTCACCCCCCACCGAGTCTGCTTCAGCTGCTGTCTCTGGGAGCCTGGAGGGTGGGGGCCAGGGAGCTCTGCTTGTGTCCCCAAGCACGTGGTGGCTCTGGTCAGAGGCCGGCCCAGCCAGCAGCTGGCCCCTGCCACTCAGCAGGAGGCCAGCCTGAGGCTGAGGGGCTCCCGGCCCAGCCGACTGCTCACCGCCTCTCTGCCTGTCCCTCTGTCCCCTTAGGAGATCCCCCGAGACCTCACGCTGGATGCCCTGCTGGAGATGAATGAGGCCAAGGTGAAGGAGACGCTGCGGCGCTGTGGGGCCAGCGGGGATGAGTGTGGCCGTCTGCAGTATGCCCTCACCTGCCTGCGGAAGGTGACAGGCCTGGGTACGTGGGGCCTGCCACCCTCTCCCTTGCCTGGCCTGGTGCCCTTGGGGCTGTGGCCTTCACTATGGTGGGTGATGGAGCGGGGCAAGCGTGGCCCAGGGTTTCTGGGGCAGCCTGGAAAGGCCAGGGTTGGATGTTCACAGCCTCCTGAGAAGCTCTCCCAGGGTCCTCAGGGCTCTGGATCCTGGTGGGTCTGGCCAGGCCGAATCTGAGGGGTTTCAGCCATGGTTAGAAATCCCAGGCCTGTCTGCTGGGCTGGGCTGGCCTGGCATGGTTTCCTCTCTGTTGAGGGCTCTGTGTACCCTCTGCCAGCTTCCCACATTCCAGCCCCCAGCCCTCTCCCCGTCTTCTCCTGTCCCCATTGCTGGCTGGGTTCTGTGCTCAGAAGGCACATGCTGATGTGGGCCTGAGCCAAGGGTGATTAGGGAAACTCTATGGCTCTTTAGCTGGGAGTGTGTACGTGGCTGTCCCAGGCAAAGTGTGTAATCCTGGCCTTGCCACGAGGTCCTTGGGAATTATTCACAGGCTTTCTAAATCTTGCGTCGGAAACAGCTTCAAATGCCTGACTTAATGGTCCCACTACCACATAGATAAGGCATTAAAATAAGCCTCATGAATGGAATCAGGCCTGGTTTTTAATTATCTGAGGCCCCTGTCTTATCTCCGTCTGCCTGAGGCTTAAGGAAGGCACCAAGGTTTATATTCTGCCTGGTTTTTTCTTCCCAGAGAGGATCGGGCTTAATTTCCTCTCTGCCCTCATTGTATCAAGTCCTCTGAACACGGCACAGTGTAGAAAGTTGCACTCAATTCAGAAAATCTTGACCTGCCAGGTCTCCCGGCAGATGCTGAAAATAAACACAACAGAAGTGTGGCTGGTGTTCTTGTTCTCACATATTACAGGAGACTGAGCTCAGAGAGGGAAAGGGCTTGGGTAAGGGCACACAGCAGTTGGTGGCTGAGCCAGAATTTGAACCTTGGGCCCTGATGGCGATTGGTTTGTCCCCATGCTTGCCACCCAAGCTGAGATCTTTGGGGTAATTTGTCAGCCCTTCTTTGCTTCCTCCTTATGCCTGGATTTTAAAGAATTGTGGAAGAGTCAGCTTTTAAGTGGTAGTGACCTATTTGTGTCATGCAGGCTGCTGTCTACCTGTCCTAGATGCCAAGAGAGGGAGATCACTAATTTATGCACCTACTGTGTGCCAGGCGTGTGACACACATATTGTGGCCACATCGTTGTAAGAGGTAGTGTTGAGCTCGCTTTGTAGCTGAGGCCTCTCTGACCACTGGAGGCGTTGGATGAGTCATCTGGGGCCCCACACCTGGCATGGAGCAGAGCTGGGCTTTGAACTCAGGTTTCTTGTTCAGAGGGTGCTTTTTCCAGCAGGCCTTAGAGGAGGCCCCTGAAGAAGAAGCATTTTCTGGGTTTCTTCTCTCTCATTTAGTCTCAGCTTGTGGTGCCTCTGCATCCCCAGCAGAGTCCTAGCCCCATCACAGTCCAGGACACCGGCCTTTCGTCTGCCCAGTGCTGGCTGCACTTCACGGGCACCTGCTGGGATCCGCTGGGTACCAGTGATCCCATTAGATTGTGCATCACAGCATCTTCATTGCATCCCCATGGGGCTTGGTGAGAGCAGTCTAGTCAGAGTACAGGTGGGCTATGGAATGAAACCACCTGGGCCCTGCCTGGGCCCAGCACTCTGCTCGGCCACTTAGAACCTGTGGGACCTTGGTGAGTTACTTCACCTCACTCTGCCTCAGTTTCCTCATCTGTAAAATGGCAGTGATAACGACACCTCTCTCAGGGTTGTTGTGAAAAGGAAATGAGTTAACGTAAAGTCCTTAGATCAGAGCCTGGCATGTATTAGATGTTCTTTTCAGTGTGAGGCCTATGAGGTGATAGAAAGTGTTGAAGTCATTTCCTTTGCAATCTCTGGTCTAAAGAAAGGTGAGTGAACAGCTGGGCATGGTGGCCCAGGCCTGTAATCCCAGCATTTGGGAGGCTGAGGCAGGCTGATTGCTTGAGTTCAGGAGTTCAAGCCCCCCCTGGGCAACATGGCAAAACCCTGTTTCTACAAAAAATACAAAAATTAGCCAAGAGTGGTTGTGTGTGCCTGTAATCCCAGCTACTCAGGAAGCTGAGGTGGGAGCATGGCTTGAACCTGGGAGATAGGGGTTGCAGTGAGCCAAGATCATACCACTGCACTCCAGCCTTGGTAACAGAGCCAGATGCTGTCTCACCAAAAAAAAAAAAAAAAAAAAAAAAAAAAAAAAAGTGAGTGAAGGATGGTTGTCTGTGCTGGTGAATAGGAGATGAACATTCCTGCTGATCCTCCCAATCCTTCACCCGAGGCAGATATCACTAACCCACAGATGTTTCTGTGTGACTGTAGTGTCATTCTCAAGCAGCCACTGCCAATCAGCTGGTGTCGGTGCACACATCAAGACCCACTGGCCATCCTCAAGTGGGCCTAGAGCAGTGGTGATTAAATAGGCAACTTGCAACTTTGGGGCTTGTTTCCTTTGGTGGCAAGCTTGCTCCCTTTGGTAGCAGGCTTACTCATAGATTCATGAAATTCATCCTTTCATCTGCTCAATAAGAAACCTGTTTGGTGCCTCCAGTAGGCCAGTCTATGAGCTACAGTGTCAGTCATGGCTGTAGCTCGTAAGGAGCAAGCGGTATGGGAGCACAGGGACTGAGCAACTCCTGTCTAGTCGGTTCCTGAATAGAAAGTCACTGCAGTCAGGTGGGAGGAAGGGTGTTTGAAGAGGGGATGGGATGTGCAAAGAAACTTATGAATTGGGAAGGCTAATTCATCCCCCCTATTCTTGAGAAGTGGCTTGACCACCTCTGATGGAGCTTGTTACCTCCCACAGCTGTTCCGCTCTAGGTTATTCAGAATCAGTAGCATTGTCGGGGGCAAGGTGGGGAGCACGGTGCTGAGATCGATGTTTTCAATTCCCATCCCACCACTTTCTTAGCTCTCTGGCCTTGGGCAGTGTCTGTGGCCTCCCTGAGTCACAGTGACCTCCACTGTACACTGGGGAGAAGAACAGATATTGCGGGAGGGAGGAGGGAGGCAGGGCTTGTGCAATACAGGTGCGTCAGTCCCTTCTCACAGGCTGTAAAGAAATACCTGAAACTGGATTGGTTATTTATTTATTTATGAGACGGCCTGGAGTGCAGTGGCGCGATCTTGGCTCACTGCAACCTCTGCCTCCCGGGTTCAAGCGATTCTTGTGCCTCAGCCTCCCAAGTAGCTGGGACTACCAGTATGCACCACCACACCTGGTTAATTTTTGTATTTTTAGTAGACACAGGGTTTTGCCATGTTGGCCAGGTTGGTCTCGAACTCCTGACCTGGTGATCTGCAGGACTGGATAATTTATATAAAAAAGAGGTTTACTTGGCTTATGGTTCTGCAGGCTCTCCAGGAAGCATAGCAGCTTCTGGTTCTGGAGAGGCATCGGGAAGGCTCCAGGCATAGCGGAAGGCAAGGGGGAGTGAGGCGTCCCACAGTGTAGGAGCAGGAGCAAAAGCAAGAGCGAGAGGGGGCAGGGAGGTGCCACACACTTTTAAACTCACTCTCTCGAGAACAGCACCAAGAGGATGGTGCCAAAACAGTCATGAGAAACCACGCCCATGATCCAGTCACCTCCCACCAGCCCCCACCTCCAACATTGGGATTACAATTCAATATGAGATTTAAAGTTCTTAGCAAGACATTCAAGGCCCTTCCTGATCTGGCCCCACTAGGCTGACCCCCCCAGCTTCATCCCTTGCCTCTCCCCAGCTTGTCCTTACCTCTGACAGCACACAGAACTCTTCGTAGTGACCAGAAGGTGCCGTATGCCCTTACCTTCCCATTATGCTGTTCCCTCTGCCTGGTGCTCCTTCTCCACCTTCTTCCATAGCTGGCTCATGTGGAGCTAGCTTCATAGGTGGCTCCCAGGTGCCACCTCCTCTGGGAAACCTTCCCTGGCACACTCCCTCTCTCCACCCCCACAGCTGATTTAAGGTCTGCTCTTCTGCAGAGCCCCCTGTCCTGGCACAGAGCATACATAGTGTGTTATGTGCCTGTCATGCCCATTCGACTCTACAAGCACAAGGATGGGTCTTTTTAGGCCTTTCCACCCAGCATCCAGCATGTGCTTGAATGGCTGTAGCTCAAACACTACAGAGCCACACAAGCCTCGGGGGCCTCAGGCACAGGATCATGGTAGGGGCAGCCCACAGTCACTCGAAGGCTGGTGTAGAAGGAAGTGGCTGTTGATCCCTTTCTTCCTGGATCTTTTTTCACAAGCCCCAGAGCACTTTGCTGTTGGATGCTCAGAATAGCCCCTCGTCCCAATGTTTGAATTTTCTTAAAGTGGAGTTTTTCCTTCCTTCACACACCCAGCTTCCCTTTCCTAACTCTTAAAGATTGGTCACCCCTTCGGTTTCTGAGGTCACCCCACTTTTGGGGTGGGTTTCCTGGATTGCTCCCCCAAGACCTGCCCATAAGAGCCCTGCACGAGCCAGTTCCTCTCTGGGCTGTGCTTCCTCCTCTGTAAAACAGAGATCCAGGTTGAGTATCCCCTATTTGAAATGCTTAGAACAAGAAGTGTTTTAGAGTCTGGGTTTTTTTAGATTTTGGAGCATTTGCAGTATGCCTACCTGTTCAGCATTCCCCATCCCCAAATCCAGAGTGCTCCCATGAGCATTTCCTGTGAGTGTCATGTCGGTGCTCAGAAATTCCCAAGTTTTGGAGCGTTTTGGATTTTGGATTTTCAGATTAGGGATGCTCAACCTGTGGTAGTATCTGCGCCGAGGGCCTCATGGTTGGCTAGATAATGTGTGCGCATGAGTGAGCGGCCTTTATAAACCAGGTAAAGGTTGGTAGTTGAAGCCTTCCCTTAAGAAACAGTGCAGCCTCACACCAGGTGTTGAACATCTCTGGCCCCTAGCCATCTCCCCTGTGAATTCCTTCCAGCCCTGACCATCTGTGACTCCACGTCTTGGTCCACAGGAGGGGAGCACAAGGAGGACTCCAGTTGGAGTTCATTGGATGCGCGGCGGGAAAGTGGCTCAGGGCCTTCCACGGACACCCTCTCAGCAGCCAGCCTGCCCTGGCCCCCAGGGAGCTCCCAGCTGGGCAGAGCAGGCAACAGCGCCCAGGGCCCACGCTCCATCTCCGTGTCAGCTCTGCCCGCCTCAGACTCCCCCACCCCCAGCTTCAGTGAGGGCCTCTCAGACACCTGTATTCCCCTGCACGCCAGCGGCCGGCTGACCCCCCGTGCCCTGCACAGCTTCATCACCCCGCCCACCACACCCCAGCTGCGACGGCACACCAAGCTGAAGCCACCACGGACGCCCCCCCCACCCAGCCGCAAGGTCTTCCAGCTGCTGCCCAGCTTCCCCACACTCACCCGGAGCAAGTCCCATGAGTCTCAGCTGGGGAACCGCATTGATGACGTCTCCTCGATGAGGTGAGTGCTCCTTCTGGGCAGCTACCAAAAGTGCCCTCTGTGGTTTTCTAATCATAAAGATATATGGAAGGACCAATAAAATCAACCCCTATAGACGTGTGTAAAGTCAAAAGTAAAAGGTGCCCCCATCTTTCAGTCCATTCCTCAGACTACTTTAGTGGTGTGGGCTGAATCCTTCTAGATTTGGTTTTGTATGTACACGTACATGCACATGACGTGATGCCACGTATGGGTCAGGGTAGGCCAGGTTACACAGAAATAACAGATATGCCCAAATCACCAGGTCTTAAAGGAACAAAGATTTGTTTCTTGCTCATGCCGCCTTGTCCATCTTGTCCATCATGGGTCAGCCTCCTTCCGGGCCCAGACTGTCTGAACATTGCTGGCCACGGTGGCAGAGGGAGAAGTGAGTTCCAGATGTCATGCCCTGGCAGCTGCGTACTCCTTCTTGGAAGTTCCACCCACCATTCCTGGCCCAACCTGAACAGGAGAATGAAACAGTGCTCTTTGCCCACACGCCCAGGAGGGGAGAACTGGAATATTTGGCAGAAACCACTAGTGACTGTCAGATACCATACCATCTACTCTGTCCCATGACTTGTTTTTTCAACTTCCCTTGGTATCTCTGAGAACATCATGTCAGTACATCTTGGAATGTTTTACTCTTTTGTTTAGTTTTTGACTTACAAATTTTTCTATCTATATATTTTGAACAAGTGAGACAGTCACATGGTCCAAAGCGCAGCAGCTCTGTGGCTTCTCAGGGTACGTGGTGAAAACTCTACCCCACCATTTTTATTCAGTCACAGGGTTCCCCTTTCAGGAGCCAACCAGGCTAGCAGTTTTGTGTATGTCTATAATTAATTAAACCCCATTTGTTTGACTTGTTCATATTATTTCGTTGTATAGTTTATCTTGTCCCTTCTTGATGGGCGTTAGATCATTGTCTTTTTTGTTACAAAGATTGCCCTTGTCAGTATACCCTTGGCAGCACAGAAAGAAAGGGAGTGTTTTCCTTGGGTGCCTCTTACCTTCTTGTACCCCTGAGGATTGGGGCACCTGGTTTCTCTCCTCGGCATGGGCACCCCTTTCCTACGCTTGATCTTAGCCAAAAGGCCGAGAAGCAATAAGGGCACCCTTTTTCTAGGGGGTTCCTTGGGCCCTGGTGTATCTTGGGCCTTGGAGTCATCTTTGGAACGGGCCTGATCCCCTCTCCCAGTGCATGCTGTTAGGGTCCTTTATGGGATGGAGCCTGGACAGCTCCGATGGGTTTGAGTATGCTGCCCAAGGAGGAGAGATCCAGGTGTCACCGACCCTGCTGCTCCCACTCGGGCTGTCCTGCTGGGGCCTGGGTCCCACCCAGAAGGGGCTGTAGAATGCAGTGATGATGGCCACACGAACATGGGTCAGTCAGAGGAGGCCTCACAGTGGGCTCAACCCAGTCCCTGTGTTTCTGTCTTCTCCCAAGAAGAGCATTAGGAAAGCTGTGGTCTCATTCCCATGCTAGAAGGTGGCAGGGACACAGCTTCAGGCAGATGACACAACTAGCCTCAAACTCCAGCCAGTGACTGAGCCTCAGACCCTGGGATTCTGAGTCCAGTCCCTGCAGAGCTACCAGAACCAGCACTGACGTGACGCTCAGGCCACCTCGCTGTTCTGGTGACCCCTGAGTGCTCTGCTTCCTCCAGCTCCATGTGTTCTCAGGGGCAGTGGCTGCCCCCTGGGGAGGCTCAGGGTGTGTCCCTGCCTGACTCTCCTTTCAGGGGCTACCTCTGCTCTGCACAGCTGTTATCTCTGCCCTCCTGTCCAGCCACACCCTTGCCAACTGATAGTTATTTTTTCTTTTTCTGAGAAGGAGTCTTGCTCTGCTGCCCAGGCTGGAGTGCAGTGGCGCAATCTCGGCTCACTGCAACCTCCACCTCCCGGATTCAAGCGATTCTCCTGCCTCAGCCTCCCGAGTAGCTGGGATTACAGGCATGTGCCACCACACCTGGCTAATTTTTGTATTTTTAATAGACACAAGGTTTCATCACCTTGGCCAGGCTGGTCTTGAATTCCTGACCTAGGTGATCCACTCGTGTCAGCCTCTCAAAGTTCTGGGATTACAGGCATGAGCCACCAGGCCTGGTCTCTCCAGCTGACTGACCCCTTTTCTTGCCTGGCTCTGGGCCAGGCTCTCCCACTGTGAGCCATGTGACCTACTGAGCCTCCTGAGGCTCAGTTTTCTTGACTGTGAAATGGGCTGAACTCTAATTACCATGCTTGGTTGCTGGCGAGGCTTACGTAAGCTAATGTATTAAAGTGCACAGCACTGAGTTTAGATGTCCCCTGGGGAGGCCTGGGGAATGCCCTTCTAGTCCTTTCCATTGAGGAAATGTCCCCACAGAGATTGCAGGGGTTCCCAGAGTCAATCAGCCAGTCTGGCCTCAAGCCAGGCCTCAGAGTCCTACGTCCCAGCCCCTTGCCTGCTCCCGCCCAAGGGTAGTGTTCTAGGAACACGCCGAGCCAGCGTGGTGACGTAATCCCCCTCTCTGCTTTTTGTCTCCTCCAGGTTTGGTAAGAGAGATTCATTTCCATCCCCTCTACCACCTGGGAGTCGTGTGTGCGTTGCTGTCCCCATCGGGGGTGGACCTCTTTGACCCACCTCTTAGCCCGTTCAGCCTCTCCATAGTCCAGAAGCAGAGGTGCTGGTGACCACCTCAGGAAATAGCCCTAAGACAGGTGGCCTTAAAGTGACTGGCTGGCTTCAGCCCAGCTGGTGGCTGCTCTCTGAGAATCAGAGACCTTGAGCACATCTCAGCCCACAGGCAGCCCCATGAAGAGCCCTGTCTCCACCTTGCCCTTCCCCACCGAGACTCTCCAGCAGGGACTCTGGCCTGCTGGGCTGCCACGGTAAAGCAGCACCCCTGGGAAGGCGGTGCCATCTGCCTGATTTCGCTAGACTTTAGCCATCTCCAGAACCCCACCTGATGTCCTGGGATCCCACTCTTCAGGAAAGGGACATTCCTGGAGGCAGAAATGTAGCGCAGCTCTGAATGAGGCCCCAAAAGATGGGAGATGCAGAAGCCCCTTTGGGAGGAGAGGACACCTGGGCAACCCTTGACCCCCTTTCCCACCCCCACCTCCAGGTTGGGAGCACGTTCCTGCACGTGGCTATGCTGTGGGGCCTCTCTCATGAGTCAGAGCGGAGGGAGACAGCTGTGCCTCTGGAGTCTGCTTTTAATTGTCTGGAAATGCAGAGATGTCTGGTTTTTGCCTGAGCAAAATAGGAGTTTATTTTTGTACTATCCCGAGCTGGCTAAGGAGAGTCACGTAGCTGTGGGCGGGGTCTTGGGGATGAGGAGGGGTACAGCAGGCAGGGACTATGCTGAAGTGGAGCTGGCTGTAGGAACCCCAGGGAGGCACAGGGGGAGCATGAAGAGGAGCTACACTTCCCTCCCTTAGTGCCCGGGCAGAAACTCCCAGGGCCCTTCACAGAACCTTGGAGGAACATTCAACACCCCCATCTCTAGGACAGCCCCAGCCTTGTCATCCTCCAATTGCTGTGGTAACACGGGGACTGGAGCAGTGAGATTATTAGGCCTTCAGGGCCAGTGTCTCCATGCAGATCAGATGGAGGCGGTGCTTGGCACATACACCACCTCACTGCCCATGCCCCCAGAAGTTGGTGCAGATCATAAGGTGGCTTTTGGGGCTAATTGATTGAAGTTCCAACATAGTCTGTTTCTCCTAGGCTGGTAGCTGGCACCTTTGGCCCCATGTGTTTTTTAATTATTTTTTCTTTTGAGACGAAATCTCGCTCTATCACCCAGGCTGAAGTGCAGTAGTGCAATCTCAGCTCACTGCAGCCTCTGCCTCCCGGGTTCAAGCAATTCTCCTGCCTCAGCCTCCCGAGTAGCCAGGATTAAAGGTGCCTGCCACCACACATGGCTAATTTTTGTATTTTTAATAGAGACGGGGTTTCACCATGTTAGCCAGGCTGGTCTCAAACTCCTGACCTCAGGTGATCTTCCTGCCTCAGCCTCCCAAAGTGCTGGGATTACAGGTGTGAGCCACTGCGCCCAGTCATGCCCATGTGTTTTGGTGGTCTTGGCTGCTGATGGGTGGGGTGAGCCCCAGGAGGAAGTTGGGACAAGTCAACCTCATGGCAGATGTGCCAGGGAGAGCTGCGGGTGAGATAGATTGTTCCTATCCCCCTCTCCTTGATGTGGGAGGACTCAGTACCTCCAGCACACCCTTCTCATGGAGGTTGGTTATGTGGTACTTGGCCTCAAGTGAACCAGCACTTCATGAGTCCAGCTTTGTGCTAGACCAGCACTTGGGATTGAGGGGGGCAGTGGCCACCCTCGGGGGACCTTCTGACTCAGAGGACATGAGATGGCCACACTCGAGCACTGTGTTCCTGACCTTTCTGGGTCACAGGTCACCTTGATGATTGGATGAAAGTCTTAGATCTTCTTTCCAGAGAAAAGTCTACAACATTCTACTGAACCAGTCCAGAGGGTTCCCGGACCCCCGAAGCCCACCCATGGGCTGGCTCTGGGAGGCAATGGCGCTGAGTATGGGGGCGTGAGTTGAATGTGCGGGCTGCCGGTGGGTGGAGAGAGTGCTTCCAGCAGCTTGTCTACTGCACTAGGGATGCCTGTTCTTACGGGGAATCCCAGGCTGGGAGAGGGAACGTCCTCCGGAAGGCCAGCAGCAGGGGCATCCCAAAGCGTATGGCCCTTATCTCAGCAGAGAAGGAGGGTGCCCAAGAAGTCCCCAGAGGCTCAGGCTTGTACCTGGGTGGGGCTGGCCCACTCGAGAATGTGGTAAAGCTTCACCTTGTCCTCGTTCTATCTGCCCATATCTGGCAGTGGCCTCTCCCAGAGGAATATCCTCCAGGGGCTTCTGCCTGGAAAGGCACTGGATGGGCTGGCTAGCCTCGGCCCTCCACCTGAGGTAAACAGCTTCAGCCATTTACCAGGAAATACCCAGAATTGAGCCCCTGCACACTGGGGGCCTGTGGTGTGTCGGTGAGAGGTTGCAAGAGGTTGGGCTGTGTAGAAGCTTCTGCCCTCACTCTGGCTTTGCCTTCTGCCTCTCCAGCCTGCCTTCTTCCTCATCTGGAAACATCACAGGGGCAGCTGACTGAGCCATCCTCAGAGGCCAGGAGCAAGCTAGAGGACCAAGCGAGGCGAGGGGAACCACACCATGCCACTGGGCTAGCCTGGCCTGCTCCTGTGTTGATGGACATAGATCAGGGAGATGCTTATATAATAAACCATTGCGCCCCCCTCTAGCCTGTGGTCTCTGAATTAGGAAGTCATGGGCACGAGCTGTCGCCTGCGGAGTTCCTCAGCCTGCCCATCCGGCCTCTTTCCCTGCAGATCTCTCGCATGGATCCCCACAGATGGTACGGAGGGATATCGGGCTGTCGGTGACGCACAGGTAGGCACAGCGGGCCTGGAGGGGGAGCAGGGCACAGCCGGGCTGGTACCCAGATGGGGCCAGGAGTTCTGGTCACTGTTTCTCAGCGAGCTCTTTGCCTCTGACGGGCCTGTCCATTTCACCTGTGGGACATGGCCCTGCACTTACCTGGAGCCCTCACCTTGCCAGGGTGGCCACATGGACTTGCAGCTCCCTCATCTGCACCTCCTCGGGTCTCTTCCTCACTCTGCTTAGGGAAAACACTTTCCTTCTTTCCCAGGACACAGGTCCCGGGAGAAATAAGGTCAGGGTCATGGGAAGGAGTCACAGGAGCTTCCCTACATCCAGTGCGATGTCACATGAGTCCTGAAACTGGCCGCATATCAGAGTCCGCTGTAGAGCTTGTTGAAAATCCAGATTCCCGGGCTCCACCCCTAAGGTTCTTGCTCCCCTCACCCCCAGTGTTGATGTGAGAAGTAATTAAAACCCAGTGAGGGAGACAGCACGTGTGCATGTGTGAGCCTCCACAGACCTGGTTGCATCTTGGGGAGGCCGGATCGCAACTCCTTAAAAGGCACGCCATGCAGTTTGGCGTCCCCTGCCACCGGAAGCTCCCATCTTTGTTGGGTGGAGAGAGTAACATTTATGGATCTCTGCTACCTTCCATTTACACGGCGTATCTGTGATCCTTCCCAAATCCTGTGAGGCTTAGCATTAACCCTATTTGCAGAGGTGTCTGAGGCATCTTACAGCTGGTAGTAGGCAGAAGGCAGAATTCAAACCTAGCTGTTTGCCCCCAGAGTCTGTTCTCTTTCCCTTGTGCTCGGGGCCTTTTTTGGCCTCTGCTGGACCAGTGGAATCTCTTACCGAGAAGCTCTGTAACTCTTAAGTTCAGAGAGCTGGGATCCAGACCCTGTTACACAGCATCCCAACTGTGGCACCTTGGGAACATCACCTGACCTCTCTGAGTTAGTTTCCTTGGCTGCACACTAAGAATCCTGGACCTGCCTCACTCCCTGGCATGGGCATAAGAATCAAATGAGCTAGTGTTGGTGGATGCATTACAAACTACTTCCTAAATACTGTTGGCATTCATTCTGTTGTTACTGTGATATACGTTAAAAAAAATCTGTGTTTCCAAAAATATGAGTTATTTCTGCTCTTAGGCCTCCCCACCCTGTGGACCAGCCTTGCACTTTTTTTCTGGAGGACACCACCCACTCAGCCCCCATCCTTCCTTCAAATCTATCTTTCGTGTTTTCTTTAATGTTCTACATTTTGGATTGAAAATACACTGATACGTTGAAACGTCAACAGAAAATTGCCCTCTTGTTCCTGTCCCCAACTCCTCAACCCCCTCTTTAAAGAGGTCTTAGCTGTGTGTTGTCTTCTAGAGATATTTTATACAAACAAATATGTATATATGTTTCCTCCTTTATTTTTTACTCAAATACTGCATATGTTATACACAATCCTATACTCTGTTTTTTCAAAAATGGAGATACAATTTATGTAGAGCAAAATGCACAAGTGTGTGTGTGTATGTGAATTTATGTATTCATACACACACACCTGTGTATACCATCCAGATGAAGATGAAGAACATTCCAGCACCCAGAAAGTTACCTTTAGTTCTCCCTAGTTGACAGTGCTACCATCCAGTGGTTACTATTCACTTCTATTGTCATAGCTTAGTTTTTTTCCTGTACTTGAACTTCGTGTGAATGGGATCATATCTTATTGTACCTTACTTTTTTAACTTGACAATGTGATTTGGAGATCATTCCGTATTTGCACAGAAAGAGCGTCCTTGTTTTAGTTTCTTGCTGCATAGTATTCCATCGTATGGAAAGACCATATTTTAGTCAGCTCCTATTGATGGACACATAGGTTATTTTCCGTCTTTATGCTGCTAACATGCTGCAGGCATACCTTGTCCATATATCTTGCAACACATGTGGGCCTATGTGTTGGATAAATTCCTAAGAATTCCTAAGAACTGTGGGGTCAAAGGGTATGCGCACTTGTACTCTTGATTGCTGCTGCCAAATTGGTACTGCCAGATGACCACACCAACTTCAGCATATTGACAATGATGACTTTGCATCTGGGAAATTTAAATGTGAGGGGAGAAGCAGTGGCCCGTGGGTATCTCTGTCCTCTCTGGGAGGGGGCCAAGGGGCTCTGGGATGGAGCCAAGACTCCCAGTTGCCCTGGAGCTCCATGGGAAACCTTCTGTGGCTGGGCCTTGGCCTCCCAGCTGGTGCAAACATGTGCCTGTGTCCGCCCTCTGCAGGTTCTCCACCAAGTCCTGGCTGTCGCAGGTCTGCCACGTGTGCCAGAAGAGCATGATATTTGGAGTGAAGTGCAAGCATTGCAGGTGATGGGAAGAGGAGTGGGGGTGGGGGGAGCAGACACTTTTAGTTCAGTAAATCAAATGCGCTTCCCTATGCTTGCTATTCATAGTCCTATTCAGCACACCAGGGAGTGATCAGGTCTCTTCAGGGAGACTAAGCAAGTTACTCCTGGAAGAAGGGAATACTTGAGGTGGGCTTTGAAGGATGAATAGAAGTTTACAAGGTAGACCAAGGGGAAAAGAGAATTCCAGGCCATGGGTGCATCTTGTACTAAGGCCTGGAGGAATATGAGGACTGTTCTGGGACCTGTAAGGAGTTCTGAAGTTTAGCCTTGCATTTTGTAGCCCTCGAGAGGTGGCAGACAGGCGATGGTAAAAACAGGGAGTTGGCTTGCGGAAGGGGAGAGTGAGCAGAGGGTACAGATTCTGTACAAGTCCAACTTTATTTTCTCATGCCTTGTGGTTTCTGGTGGGAAGGAAGGTCAAGGATAGGGAACAGTGTGGGCTAGGCAGAGTGTGTCCCCTGCTGTCCGGCTGTCCTCACCTAATGCAGGGAGGCCTCGGAGGCTCGGTGCCCAGCCCACTCTGCCCCTGCATTGCTGTGTGATCTGGGGCAAGGCACTTGCCTTTCTGGGCCTGATTTTTAATGTATACATCAACCATGGGGATGGCTCTGAGAACCTGAGCTAGTATGTGTGATTGCATCTGGGCTCCAGTCAGACCGTAGATGGTGGGTCTTGTGCATATCAGCTGGACCCATTACTTTCCCAGCGACTCTCCTGACCTCTAGGGAGTTGCTGAGTTTTCTCTCTAGTCTGGGTCTCCTGTGGCTCCTGGCCACTTGGTTTACATTAGGGACCTCTAGCTCCCATCATGTGGGGAGCACAGGATGACCTCTGAGCCCAGGGCTGTCCTGCGGTGCAGTATGAGGTTGATAGGACACCCTCAGCCCATTAGTGAGAAATCTAAGACTCAGTGCAGAAGGCAGGACCACAGTGAGAATCCAGTTCTTTCCAATCCTGGCCCGGGGCTGACCCTCAGACCTCACGGTCCATTGCACAAATGTAGCCGGAGGGGCTGCCCTTTGGGTCCCTGGGATTCTTTGGTAAAGCAAACATTATCTGTCTAATTCTTTTTTTGTAAGTTCAGATTTGTCTTGAGCTTTTTCAATATGGGTAGAGGGTCTCCTTTTCTTTACAAAGGAAAAATAGGTGGGCAACCTGGGGCAAGTCGAAGTGGGCATCATGAGACCTGCTTTGCTGTGAGGATGGATAGATGACAGCAGAACGTGGTAAATGCTCAGCATAGTGGCTCAGTGTAGCAGCTGCTATTACTATTAATATCATGATGTTCTCTACTTTCGAGCTAACATTTGTTGAGAAGTGTGTGAAAATGGAGACAGTCCTGAGTGAATGCTACACAGAGCTACCCCTGTGTGCCTGAGCCCCCCCATGTGGTGCTTTGCACACCAACCTCCCCTTCTTTACCAGGTTGAAGTGTCACAACAAATGTACCAAAGAAGCCCCTGCCTGTAGAATATCCTTCCTGCCACGTGAGTTTTCTGCCTTCCTCTCCTCTGCCTTCTGGATTTGGGTGAATCTTTAGCTTGACCTGTTCCCTGGTGATGGGTTTTCCCTCTTTTCAAACAGTAACTCGGCTTCGGAGGACAGAATCTGTCCCCTCGGACATCAACAACCCGGTGGACAGAGCAGCCGAACCCCATTTTGGAACCCTCCCCAAAGCACTGACAAAGAAGGTACGCTGGGTAATGCTGGGGAGGACGCCCTTCTGCCACTGGCCTTCCTTCCTATAAAGCACCCCTGCCTCAGAGGCTCAGTGGGGAAGTTTGGCATGACACCACCGTCTCAGATTTGTGGCCAGAGGGTGGCCTTGGGGATCATATCTTGAGCCACTAGGAGGCTTTACATTTAAGTTGTGGTGGTACAGCCGTGATTCCCAGTCCCTTCTCCTTTGAGCTAACACTTCCTGTGTGCTTAGTGTGTACTGGAAACTTCTTCCATTGCTGTTTCATTTGAGCCCCACAATAGTTCTGAAGGGTACATATGGATCCATTTCACAGGTGAGAAAACAGCACAGCATCCCGAGAGCAAGAGACAATCCCAGAGTGGTAGCCTCGGCAGCTGCCCAGCCCCAAAACCTGGGCCCTTAGTCACAGTGCAGCAGATACACCTTCAGTTGTTCATTAAAGCAATTGCCATGGCAGCCACCGAGCAAGGCTTTGCTGCCCTCACAAGAATGCACCCAAAAGTAATACAAAGAGTGCATTTCCATCCATAGCCAGGTCAGGCTTCTCTGCTGAGGCAGACGGGTGTCCTCTGCAGCTAGACAGAGTCTGCAAAGCCTGTGTCCCCCAGGAGGGTTGGCACACCTGTCATGGGCCTCTTTGCACAGGTATGCCTGGCATCTGGGAGGTGCCAGTGCTGATGGCTTCTGACAGCAGCTCCCATCCTGGCTGGCTGCTGGGTGCAGGCTTCTGGCTGCTGTGGTTTTGGCTGTGTATTTTTAAGTGTGTTCTACCTGCAGCCCCAGACCAGGGGCTTAGCGTGTGCCCCCCCGATGAGCATGTGCCCAGTTGCCCCGTGGCTGTGGCTGGCCATGTGGCTCAGGCCGGAAGAGAAAGACAGGCAATGTGGCCAATTCATACTGGGGACCCTGAAGATACAGCTTCAGTGGCTGCTCTGAGAGAGCCAGGGCCACCTCTTACTGTCAGACAAGAAGGCCGGCTGCCCCAGGCCTGACAGTCTGCCATGGGCCTGCACCTGTCCTCTCTCCTGCCTCTCGTTTCCCTCTGGTGGTAGCTTCTCACCCAGAATGGGGAGGCAGCGGGAAAGATGATAGGGTCCTGTCTTAGTGTGTTCAGGCTACCGTAACAAAATATCATAGACTGGGTAGCTTAAAAACAACAGAAATTAGTTTCTCATGGTTCTGGAGGCTGGGAAGATCAAGGTGCCAGTAGGCTCGATGTCTTGGGAAGGTCCACCTTCTCACAGATGTCACTCGTGCCGCATCCTCCCATGGTGGAGGGGCCCAGCAAGCTCCCTCGAGGCCTTCCATGAGGGCTCCAGTCCTGTTCCTGAGGGCTCTGCCCTGATGACCCAGTTACCTCTCAGAGGCTCCAGCTCCCAGTACCACCTCCTTGGGTGCTAGGGTTTCAGCATGTGAGTTGTGGGAGTTCACAGTCATTCAGACCACAGCAGCTGCCCAGCCCTGGCTTTGAGTTCCAACTCCTCTCTTGCTTCCATGACCTTGAGTGAGCCACTTGACCTCTCTGAGCCTCACTTTCTGCTTTGTAAATTGGGGTTACTAATGCTTCATTCACAGGGTATTTGAAGGGTAAAGAGAGAATGTTCATGAACTTGTAGGGAGCAGTACCATATCATCAACTAGTAATTATTTTCCCAGCCCGTCACAGATAGGATCAATTCCTCAGCAGGAATGCAGTGCCCCCTGCCCCCATTGCCAACAATGTCATAATTGCCCCTGCCTCTCCTCTCCAGCTACACCAAGCACACCCCCCATGCCTGTGGGTCCTGCACGACCACCTGCCCATCATGTTCAGTCCTGCATCTCCACCCACCTGGACACCACCCCTCAGCCCTCCTCACAGCACTCTCTCTCTGTCCCAACTTCCCCATGAGCCCCTCCTGCGTGCACCTGCTCGACCTCTAAGTCCATACAGTGGTGGTGCCAGAGGCCTCTCATCTCTGAGAGCAGTGGCCCTCCAGGATCCCACTGAAGGTTGCTATGATAACATAAGCTAACCATTACTGAGTTCTCACTAGGGGCCACACATGGTGCTGAGAGGTGTTTATCCTGTTCCCCTTTGACCTCTTTTCCCGCTACCTGCCCCTCCACCCCTGCCCACCCCACATTCCCCTTCAGCACAGATGCTCCCTGAGGGCCCAGTGATGCTGTCTTGCTCTCGTTGGCACCAAGCACAAAATAGGCAGTCAGGAAACCAGCATATTGATTGTTGAATGATTGAACAACGCTATGACCTGGCAGCTGTTACCCCCATACTATACAGTGGCTCTGAAAGGTTGGATCATTTGTCCAGGATCACAGAGGGACTGATGGAGGGTCCTGAGCCTTGGAGCATGAGTGAGAAGAGGGAGGGCTCAGTGGATCCAGCTCCCACTTCTAGCTTGGCACCACATGATGTCAACTATCCCTGGCCAGTAGATTCCAGAGGTCACTGTGTACCCCAGAGCCTTCACAGCCTGCAGCAAATAAACCTGTTGAACTTAGCATTTAACCCAACTTGGCCTCAACTTCTTTAACCAATAATTCCTCTCCCACCCCCAGGGGAATTGATGTTTGCATTCAGGAAGCACTGGTCAGATCCAGGGTCCTGCCTAATGTAGAATCCCCCTGGAGCCCTCTCTCTGTTGGTCTTTTGGCCTTGCTGGGACCCAAACTTCTGGGTGCTCCTAGCTAGCAGGTCTGCAAAAGAATGTGGAACAAACATGTATTAGTCACCTGCTATGTACCACACACTCCCACCTTTGTGATGCTACTGATCAGCGCAGTAACGCTCTGACATAGGTGTTGATGTTTTATTTTTGTGGTTGAGGAAATGGAAGCTCAGAGAGGTGGAGGAAGTTGCCTAGAGTCACCCAGCTAAGTGGTGGTGGAAGCTGGCTGAGAATTCCAGTCTGTCTGCCTCCAAACCCAGTGCTCTTTTTGGCCACAGGGAGAAGCTGGAGCTTAGGCCTCTCTCCCTGCCCCCCACTTTCTCCCTTCACCCCCCTTTTCTCATTTCTAGTGCAGCAGCCCTCCCTTCCCAGGGCTCCCTGCCCCCCACATTCTCCCTTTGCCCCCCTTTTCCATTTCTAGTGCAGCAGCCCTCCCTTCCCAGGCCTGTCTGGTGGTGCTTTGCTCCCACAGGCTCTTGCTCGGAGCTGTGAGATGCTGGTGCCGTTCTCAGGGGTCTCCTCTGTGCTGTGGCTGGGGAGCCATGGCCACAGGCATCCTGAAGCCGGGATCATGCCAGGCCCATCTCCCATGACCGTGGGCAAAGCCCTTGGCTTCCCTGGGCCCTTCTCCCCTGAGCTCTGCAGTGGGGCCATGGTGGCACGTAGCGTGGATTGAGTTGATAATCAGTGCCGCCCAAACTTCATCAAAGCTGAAAACCATCTTTATGGTTTCTGTCTGAACCAGGTACCACCTGGGCTAATACTTACTTATAACACTTCATTTTTATGTAATCATCACTATCGTAATTGGAAAAACCATGATCCCTACAGATAGAAAGTAATCATTAAAACAAGCACAGTTAAAACCAAAAAGTTACTAAGCTTCATCTGGTTATCACACTTGCTTAAGGCTTGGAGCTTGAAGCCCTCACTCTGTTGAATGGGCAATGAGCCAGTGTTGGAGAGGCATTAAAGACATAGCAGCTCAGGCCGAGGCCTTCTCTCAGGCAGAGCAAGATAGGAAACAGAGTGCCCCTCCTCCCTGGCGCAGCATCCTCTGTGTTGTGTCCAAGGGCTTCCTAAAGATGTCTCACTAGGCACCAAACGTGTTTCCCATGGCAAGCACTGGTTGATGTGATCCATTAGCAGGGGGAGCATGCTTGCTTTGAGTGTGGAAGGGATGACATTAACATTTAAGTTGGGACAACATGAGTGAACCAGGCCTGTCCTGACAAACCAACTCCTGTGGTCATCTTCTAGAAAGTTCTTTCTAGCTCCAGAATTCTTACCCCTCCAAAATGGCAGACCGCACTAGCCCAAGCCATCACCTCTTTCAGGGTTTTGTAGTTTGACTCTAAGACTTCACAGTGCCTTTGATTCAGCCAGGTTTCCAAAGAAAAGGACTGTACACCTCTCGCTTATCATTGGTCTCCCTACTTCTGGCAGAGTGCCTGGTGCCTAGCAGACATGATATAACATTTATCAGAGCCTGAACTTAATTCATTATAAAATGCTAATGTGTGCCCAGCTCAGAGCCAGTCACTGAGTATGTGACGGTCACCCTGGCCTCATGGAACACACAAGGTAGTGGGAGAGACTTTCATCAGGAAAGTGCCCGTGGACATCTGCAGTAGACACGGTGCCCTGATGAAAAACTGCTGGGAACTGTGCCAGGATGGAGAGGAGGAGCGTGGTCCCAGCCAGGGTGCAGGAAAGGCTTCTGGGAAGAGTGTGCTTGAGCTGAAATCAGAAAGCTGAGCAGGAGCCCCCCGGGGAGTGAGCACTGAGGCGAGGGCCTCTGTGCGCTGCCCTTCCTCAAATGTTAGATGTGTAAAATGTCAGACCCTGAGGATTCCCTGGGCTGACTGCTTCCTTTCCAGATGGGGAAGGGAGGGTGTGGCTGGTGGGAGGCAGGTGGGGCCAGGACAGCCCTGCCATTCCCAACATCTCTGGTCCTGCAGGAGCACCCTCCGGCCATGAATCACCTGGACTCCAGCAGCAACCCTTCCTCCACCACCTCCTCCACACCCTCCTCACCGGCGCCCTTCCCGACATCATCCAACCCATCCAGCGCCACCACGCCCCCCAACCCCTCACCTGGCCAGCGGGACAGCAGGTTCAACTTCCCAGGTACCACATCTCCAGGCTTTTCTGGGTTCTAAGGGATACAGTCAGATCCCCTTCTCAGCAGACCCAAGTTCGGCAGATTCAAGGTCAGACATGGCCACAGCTAAGAGCTGATGTTTATGAAGTACTTGTCCGGCGCCCCAAGCACAATAGCTCTGAGGTTGATGCTGTTGTTTTACAGATGGGAATACTGAGGTTCAGAGAGAGGGAGGGGCTTGCCATGAGTTGTACAGCCTGTAAGTGGCAGAATGGAGATCAAACCCAAGTCTGTCTGACATAACATAATCCTCGCACTGCCCTCCTCTTCATGGGGTGGCCTCTCCTGGGCAGTGCTCACTTTCTCGGGACTGGCTTCTGAGCTCCCAGGAGGCATGGCCAGCAACACAGGGAGCTAGAAGGCCTCAGGGAGGGAATCTGGGGTCCTGCTGCTTCCCACTCGTGATCTGGGTAAGCTCCTTCAAGGAGACCTCTCGTTCCCTTTATAAGATAGGTGACCATGTAAAGTTGGAATTAGGTTGTTCCCATTGTGTGGATGAAGACACTGAGTCCCACAGGAGTTTAAAGCAGAGTAGACCTGAGCCAGAGCTGACCTCCAGCTCCACCCCAGCCCACTGCCTGGTGTCTGTGGGGAGAGGTCAGGATTCCAGCCTCTCCTGCCCTCAGCTGCTGGCCTGGGGGTGTCTGCCTCTCCAAGCAGCAGAGTGAAGCCCACCTGCCCATTTTGGGACTGAGCTGCTGCCTCGGCCTCCCTGGCAGCTCCTCAGAGTCAGTCTCAGCCTTCAGTTTATTACAGTTCGCAGTCCCAGAGGAAGGAAGGTGACTGTGACACTCCTGTTTGCTCTGGACCCAGCCACAGGCCGTCTCCAGCCCATAGAGTCCAGGTCAGGCCCCTGTCTCTGGCCTCTGGAGCTCCAGGTCCATGAGGACAGGCACAGCTCTCCCTGTGCCAGGAGATCCCCAGCTGGAGCCATACCCAGCCAGCAGGAGGCCAGGGAGCTTCTCCTGGGACTTCTTTTGGGGACGGTGGAGACGGAGATCTTGTAGGAATCTCTCTCTTTGCCTTCACCTCAGCACGCACGTGGCTGGATATCTCCTGACATTCACGCGTTGTCCTGAGCACACCCCTCCCCTCCCTGCATTGAGTGATGGCCCATTTGATTAACCTCCTCTCCCATTCTGCTCTGTCTTTATTATGCTCTGAAACTGTGCCTTTTGCTAAACCTCCCAGTTTGGGTTTTTGTAAAAGCAAAGGGTGTGTTTGGAACACGGCAGTCACAGAAAAAGTTCTTTTTGCACAATCAGCCAGACCCTTGCTGCTTTCCCTGATGTCCCCAGATTGGGCCTTCATCGTCCCCTGCACAGAGGCCTCACTCTCTCCAAGATCCTGTCTCTTTGGTCGTGGCAGCACCAATGGGTCAACCCTCCCCCCAACCCCCACTGCCCGCCCGGCTGGCCCGGTGGTTCAGCTGGAGAAGGCACGCCTCCTATCGTCCCCTGCTCTGTGCTGTGCAGGGGCATTGCACTTGAACTTCAGGGGTAAACCTGGGAAAAGATTATAGTCACGTGCTGCTTCACAACGGGGAAATGTTCTGAGAGAGAGATTCCGTGATTTCATTGTTACGTGAGCATCATAGAGCGCACTTACGTAAACCCAGATGGTATAGTCCTCCACACGCCTCGGCTGTGTGGTGTAGCCTGTTGTTTCTAGACTGCAAACCTATGCAGCATGTGACTGTACTGAATATTGTAGGCAATTGTAGCACAATGCTAAATATTTGTGTATCTAAACATCTGAACACAGAAAAGCTACAGTAAATATACAGCATAAAATATTAAAAATAGGGCTGGGCACAGTGGCTTATGCCTGTAATTCCAGCATTTTGGGAGGCCGAGGTAGGCGGATCACTTGAGGCCAAGAGTTCAAGACCAGCCTGGCCAACATGGTGAAACCCCATCTCTACTAAAAATACAAAATTAGCCAAGTGTGGTGGCACATACCTGTAGTCCCAGCTACTCAGGAGGCTGAGGCATGAGAATCGCTTGAACCCAGGATGTGGAGGTTGCAGTGAGCTGAGATTGCACCACTGCACTCCAGCCTGGGTGACAGAGCAAGACTCTGTCTCTAAATCAGTCAATCAGTCAATTGTTCTTTATTTGTAGGGGACTGGAAGCTGCTCTGGAAGAATTCCTGTACACTATTGTAGACTTTATAAACACTAAACACTTAGGCTATACTAAATTTATTTTAAAATATTCTCCTCAATAATAAATTAACCTTAGCTTACAACTTTTTTACATTATAATCTTTAAACATTTTTTTTAACTTGGACTCTTTTGTAATAACACTTAGCCCAAAACAAACATATTGTATAGCTGTACAAAAACTTTTTTTTTGAATTTTTATAAGCTTTTTTCTATTTTTAAAATCCTTATTTTTTCTTTTACTTTTTAAACTTTTTTGTTAACTAAGACACACACGCTAGCCTAGGCCTGTGCAGCCTCAGGATCATCAATATCACTGTCTTCCACCTCCACATCTTGTCCCACCGGAAGGTCTTCGGGGCAGTGACATACATGGAGCTGGCATCTCCTGTGATAACAGTGCCACCTTCTGGATACCTCCTGAAGGACCTGCCTGAGGCTAGTTTACAGATAACTTTTTTTTTTTTTTTTTTTTTTTGGTAAGTAGAACAAGTATACTCTAAAATCATGATTAAAAGACTGGATGTGGTGGCTCACGCCTGTAATCCCAGCACTTTGGGAGGCCAAGGTGGGCGGATCACCTGAGATCAGGAGTTCAAGACCAGCCTGGCCAACATAGTGAAACCCCGTCTCTACTAAAAATACAAAAATTAGCCAGGCATGGTGGTGGGCTGGGTGCCTGTAATCCCAGCTATTTGGGAGGCTGAGGCAGGAGAATCGCTTGAACCCAGGAAGCAGAGGTTGCAGTGAGCTGAGATTGTGCCATTGCATTCCAGCCTGGACAACAGAGCAGGACTCTGTCTCAAAAAATAAATATATAAATAAAAAAAATTTTAAAAATGATTAAAAGTACAATATAGTAAATACATAAACCAGTAATACAGTTGTTTATTCTCATTATCAAGTAAGATGCTACCGTGCATAATCGTGCGTGCCATCCTTTTATACAGCTTGTAGTTCCGTGGATTATTTCCCGCCAGCGTCACCACAGACACGTGAGGAATGCATGGTGCTGCCCTGTTACCACAGCTACCACATCACTAGGCAAGAGGAATTTTCCCACTCCATTATAATTAGGGCCACCGTCATGTATGTGGTCCCTTGTTGACCAAAACAACATTCTGTGGCACATGACTGTATTTACACCCCCATTTGACAGTGAGACAGCTGGAGAGGTTAGCCAACTCCCTAAGGTCCCAGAGCCTAGTTATGTGGCAGAATTGAGGTTGGAACATGCTGTCAGCTTCCAGAACCCCAGTGTATCCTTTTCAGTCACCTATGAGAGAGAGAGAAAAAAATGTGGGTAGGGAGTGGTAAGGTTGAGACACTCTGGAGGTACAGGTGGGGCTCAGGGGGAGGAGGCCATTCTTCCGTACATAACACTGTTAAACTTTTCAGAATCACTGTTTCTCTCCCATTGTATTTTGCCCTTCTGGGCTCACATGCATTTCACAGAGTGCTGGTGACCGGAGACGGGGTCTTGGAATGCCCAATCCTCCAGTGCAAGCCCCTTTAGTCCTGCAGACTCCTGCCAGGGCCCATTTTCTCCCAGCTCTTTTCCTCCTTCCTGCATGGTTTGGCCTGTCCTTGCCAGGTCCATCTGGGGTAGGGCTGTCCCAGCCCAGTAACAAGTCCCTGCCTCCCAAGCCGGTACCTGCAATTCCGCTCCTCCCTCCTGCGTTGGCCGTTCTGTGTGTGTGACTCACCTCCTCTTCTGTTTAAAGCTGCCTACTTCATTCATCATAGACAGCAGTTTATCTTTCCAGGTGAGTCCTTTGCATGGTTCCATTAACTGCCCTTTGCTGTGACCCCTTCTGTCCTGCCCACCTGGGCAGGGCGCCCTCTCTCTGGGTACCTTTGGAGATACTTGAGTCTCCCTCCACCTGTTCTGAGAGCTGACTGCCCATAGAGGATGGGAAGAGGGCAGGGCAAGTGCCCTGGTGGTAGGCCTCTTACGTGAGAAGTTCTTGCTGGGAGGGACCCTGGAATCCATCCCATCCAGCCTCTTGGCACAGAGACTGCAGGCAACCTTTTCAAGGTCACACTGCTAGGAGATGGCAGAAGGACTAGAATCTGGGTTTATAGAATGGGGAGAGGACTTTTTGCTAATGCCTTATGAGCATATGTCACCGTATCCTCCCTTGCACAATGATGGGAGGATATCTTATGCACAATGTCTTAGAGAAGTAGAAACCCATTTGGGAAGGTCTGCGGGCTTCTCTTAGTGGGCTTCACCCTTCTGTGCCTTACCACACAGTGCCATCTGCTGGCCATTGCTGGAAATGCCTCCTTATTGCAGAAAGTTTAAAGGAAAACGCTTTCAGTAAGTCAATACATTGAGTCCCTTCTGCAAAAGTTGTTTTCTACACTTACTATGTACCAACCTTTTCATTCCTGCCCCTAAAGTGCTTGAGATCAGTGCTTTTTACTGTAACTGAAGGTGATGAGCATAATGGTGTTTAAAACAAAGACTGTAGCTGTTTTTTTTTTGGATTGAACAGGACTGTCTTGAAGTCACAGTATTTTGGTTACTCCAGGCTTTTCTATTCCCTAAGCCAGCTCCATTAGGGGGTTGACTTGGAGCATCTGTGAGTCCTTAGAGGACCATCCATATGGCGTTGCTCAGGTGTGTGCAGGGCAGCAGTCAGGGCCCTGAGAACCCGCCTCCCGGAGGCTCCCTCTGAACAGCTGAGCAGCCTCTGCAGTTTCACACCGGTTTTTTGTTGTGGTTCCCCTGGTTACTAGCTCTAGGATGCACGCAGGGAATTACCCCAAAACATTGGGAAGATATGGCTCTTCTCCCAGAAGGGTCCATTTTCCCCCGAAGATATGTCACAGGGAGGGCAAGGAAATACATTTTTATTAAAGCAAACGTGGACACATTTTGGAGCAGAATGCATGATACACTCTTAACTTTTAAGCAAAAGCATGAGGATTCAGAGAGGCATTTTGCCTTCCCATCTGGGGTTTGGGGAGAAACCACACCCCAACTCTTACTACTTCCCTCATGCTTTAGGTGTGTGTTTGCCTCCTTTGGAACATTTGAGCAGTGTGGGATGGGTGGAAATGCCAGGCCCCTGCTGGTAGTCTGCAGACACACTGTGTCCGGGGGAGGCCTTACCGGTAGAGGCTTCTAAGGTTCTGATCCCCCAGAAATTGTGCACAGGATGTTGGGCACATGTGTGCATTTCCCTGATAAGAAGGCCCACGGCCTCTATCAGATTCTCCAAGTCTGTGAGGTCCCAGAGATGTTGACAGCCTGTGGTTCAGATGACCTTCAAAGGCAGAAGAAAGCCCTAGAAGAAGGTCGAGGGAGGTCTTTTGGCTGAGCGGGGAGAGTCTTTGTCCACACAGGCAGGAGAGAGGCCTTTGATAGCTTCAGCCACTGCCACTTCCTGTCTCTCTTTTTGCAGAAAAGAGCGGGGAGTGAGCCGTCCATGGCGGCCCTGGGGCCACCAATCTCCCTGTAGCACTTTGGTTCCATGCTGGAGTAACCTTTGGTTCTGGTCTTCCTGGACGTGGGACTTTTAGCGCCAAAACTGGGAACACCCCAGGCTCAGGGATCAGCCCCAGCTGCCCACTCTTGGGCCCCTGATATGTGGCGTTTCTTCCTCTCCCCTGAGAGCTGCTCCACCAGTGACCCATACCTGAAGCCGAGGGCTCGGGGCCTCTGTGCTGGAAATTCCCAGCAACTGTATCAGCCACCAGGTGTCGCTAATGAGCCACCTGCATGTCCTGCCACCGGCCTTGCTGGCCAAAGTGAGGGAATCTCATTAGTTTCAAGGGTTGTTGCAAGCAGCCCCTGCTTCCAAACAGCAGCTTTAGCCAGCCTGTCCAGTAAATGAGAGCCCAGTTTGCTTTTACCACTTGCTTGGTGGGGGGCAGTTTGGCCACAGGGGCGTGGTGGTAATGAGAAGTCTCACCCTCCCCACCTGCCCAGATCCCCTGCCCAGAGCCCCTGCCCAGAGCCCCTTCCTGAGACACAGCTGTGTATGCAGAAGCAGGTGCTGTGGAGGCTGCGTCCTTGCAAAATTTATGGAAGGGCCCAGGCTGGTCCTTGTGGGAGTGTCTGGGGAACATGTGGCAGTCCACTCAGGGGAAAATCAGCCTCTCTGGGGGTGCTGGGTTTCAAGCACGGTGTCTCTTTGGGGAGAGGAAAGCAATCTCATGCTTTGTGTTTGGTTTTTGTTTCCTCCAGACATTTCAGCCTTTGCACACGCAGCCCCGCTCCCTGAAGCTGCCGACGGTACCCGGTAGGCATCCCTAGGTGGTGTCCCCTTCGCTTCTTTGGGGAATTATTAAGGCTGGATCCATATCCCTGGCCACCTCCCACTCCACCTTTCCATCTCCAGCCAGCCAGATGCAGAACTCCCTGGGCTCATTCACCCTCTGGGCAAGTGAACTCCACAGAGGGTTTTATTTGCCTCCTATCAGTGCGGTCAACATTGGGTGGGGCCGCATGTGAAACTGGAGCAGTCTTGGGACCCAGGCGGGTTGGATAGAGGGCATTTGGAGTTAGAGAAGCCTAAGAATAGCTCCTGTGCAGAGCCCTTTCTCTACCAGGCCATGCTGAGCACTTGACTCACATTCCCGCATCTCACCCTCAGCGCGGTGGTAGGTATCAAAGTAGGTGTCATTCTTAACATACAGCCAGCCCAGAGAGGTTAAGAAATTACATAAGGTCACACAGCTAGGAAGCGATAGAGCTGGTTTTCCAAGTTGAGGCCGTCAGATTCCGAGTCCTGTGGGTGTGCTCTGAGACCCTGTGTAGCAGTGTCACATCTGAAAAGGGGCTTTGGGGATCACTGCCCACCTCTCAGCCCCCACCACCCTCAAGTTAGCCTAGGGAAGGCTGAGGCTGCACAAGGGGCAGGTCTGGCCCTCAGCCTCCTGCCTATTGCCATGCTATCCACGCGGCCTTTCCCCTAGCCAGGTGTGAGTCAGAGTAAGTACCTTTGTCTCAGATCTCTCCCGGGAGTCCCCGCTAGCTGAGAGCAGAGCGGTGTTCCTCAAGGTCTCCTTGACAAACCTTGTTTACTCTTAGGCTCGATGACCAGCCGAAAGCAGATGTGTTGGAAGCTCACGAAGCGGAGGTGAGGGTGACACACACGTGTCCACAGATGGCCCCCCCTCTTTTTTCCCTTCCCCATCTCAGAATGCGCAGGGGGCTTGAGGGTGAGTGGGTTCTGGACTTTGGCAAGGGCTGTCCCAGGCACCCATTGCAGAGGTGCATGTCAGGGAAGAACGATGAGGAATGCAATGGAGCAAGCTTGTCCAAGCTCTGTCTTCCCCACACTCCCCAGGTGATTGTAGCCAGGGTCAAGAACCACTGCCTTGACCCTTGAACAAAAGTGTCAGCCAAGGCTGGATCCCTCCATTGCATTATGGCTTGGAGAATGTTAACAGACTGATTTACTCCTGCCCAGGGGAGAGTCAGAAACTCTGTGTTTAAACAAGAGTTCCAGAAGGATGGATGCAGTGAAATTCTTCTATGCCAGGGATGCTCTTGCTCTTTCCTGGACAATTAGATGTTGCTCACAGGTAGGTATTGGAGTATTAGCATGATGAAGGGCCTCAGGTCACCGGGGCCAGCCGCCACATATTGTGGATGAGGACATTGAGGTCCACTGATGCTAAGTGAGCTGCACAGCAGGCCAGTGCAGAGCTGCAACTACAACCTGGGTCCCCTGGCAGGATGCCTCTCTCCCCTGTTACCTGGCTAGGGCTCCAGGAGAAGGAAGAGACGTCGCAGAGCCCAGATCTGCTGCCCATCCCTGTTCTTCCTGCTCTCCTTTCAGGCTGAGGAGCCAGAGGCTGGCAAGTCAGAGGCAGAAGACGATGAGGACGAGGTGGACGACTTGCCGAGCTCTCGCCGGCCCTGGCGGGGCCCCATCTCTCGCAAGGCCAGCCAGACCAGCGTGTACCTGCAGGAGTGGGACATCCCCTTCGAGCAGGTAGAGCTGGGCGAGCCCATCGGGCAGGGCCGCTGGGGCCGGGTGCACCGCGGCCGCTGGCATGGCGAGGTGGCCATTCGCCTGCTGGAGATGGACGGCCACAACCAGGACCACCTGAAGCTCTTCAAGAAAGAGGTGATGAACTACCGGCAGACGCGGCATGAGAACGTGGTGCTCTTCATGGGGGCCTGCATGAACCCGCCCCACCTGGCCATTATCACCAGGTAACCAAGCCCTAGGACCTCATGCTGGATGGCCAGCTCAGCCTCCCCCTTCCCAGGGAGCCCTGTTTGTGTGGATGCCCTAGAGGGTGTGGAAGTTCTAATAGAGGCATAAAGAAGAAAACCAAAAATGGGGTATAACTTCCTAATCACATAACCGCATTGACACTAAAAAATAAATAAATATGGGCTGGTGCAGTGGCCCATGTCTGTAATCCCAACACTTTGGGAGGCCAAGGTGGAAGGATTGCTTGAGCCCAGGAGCTTGAGACCAGCCTGGGCAACATACTGAGACGCTGTCTCTACAAAAAAATTAGCTGGGCCTGGTGGCAGGTGCCTGTGCCTGTGGTCTCAGCTACTTGGGAGGCTGAGGCAGGAGGATCGCTTGAGCCCAGGAGGTCAAGGCTGCAGCGAGCCAAGATCATGCCACTGCACTCCAGCCTGGGTGACAGAGTGAGACCTTTCTAAGTTTACAGAAGATCAAATGTCCATAAAAGGTACAGAGTGAAAGCCAGTCTTCTCCCACTGCAACTGAGCGCTTCTCCCCAAAGTCAGAGACACTATAAACAGTTAACATTCCTTCTGTTAAAAGGAAGACATTTGCATATACTCACGTTTTTAAACTGTTTATTCCTTTTTGTAAAAATACAAAGGAGAGATCATGCTGGCTCACACCTTGCCTCCTGCACCCGATTGTGGGTCTGAGGTCTACTCTCTTCTAACACCTGCACAGTATCCCCATCACGTAGGCTGAACCCAGTGGTGTGCTGGTAAATGTGTAACAACCAGTTTTGGGGCAGTATGGAGGGAAGCCCTAATTTATAACATCCATCACTTCCTGTGGTGTAAATACTCTCACCATGGTCAATTTCAGACTACCAATGTTATCTCCTGGAGTGGAGTAGAGTTGGGAAGAGTTGTATAATCAAGAGCTGATCACTGGTGGTCCCGTAATTTATTTACAGAACAAGACTCCATCTCAAAAAAAAAAAAAAAGTAGTTAATGAAAAACAAAACAGGTAATTAATTAATGATAAACTAGACAGGGTCTCGCTCTGTCACCCAGGCTGGAGTGCAGTGGCGTGTTCTTGGCTCACTGCAACCTCTGCCTCCCAGGCTCAAGCAATTTTCGTGCCTCAGCCTCCCAAGTAGCTGGGATTACAGCCGTGTGCCACCACGCCTCGCTAATTTTTATATTTTCAGTAAAGATGAGGTTTCACCGTGTTGGCCAGGCTGGTCTCAAACTCTTGACCTGAGGTGATCCGCCCACCTCAGCCTCCCAAAGTGCTGAGATTACAGGCGTGAGCCACTGTGGCCTGCCTGAAACAGGAAAATATTCATTAACAAAAAAATCTTACTTTGTTTAGAATACGCTGAAGAAAAGTGGGACACAGATAAGGAAATCACCAACCAATATTCTCTACCCCTTGCCTGGTTTTCAAAGGCTCTGAGACTCCAAGAATATTTTCCTAAAAACATAGTCCCTTCCTAAGATAGCTCCCTTGGACCCACATTCTCTCTGGGTCCCTCCTCACCCGGGGTTTTAGGAGTTGATGCAGGTGGCGACCCCAGAACTGAAGCTCCTTTTCCAGTAGTCACCTTGACGCCCCTAACATCTACCCCACCCCCTTTCCCTCCTTGCACACTCCTTTATTGTAATAAAAACCCTGTGATCAAGAAAAAATGAAAACTATAATGAGATTCTTGACAGTGAGCCCCAGAGCCTTGATGTTGCCTGTTGATGCCCTTAAATTAGCCAAGTTCTTCCCCATCAGAGTGGTCCTGCCTTGAACCCACCAAGCATGGCTACTCTGAGTTCCTGAGAGCTTTGATGCACTGTTTCCTGTTGTAGGATGGGCAGGCACTGGCTCTCAGGGAATGGGGGTTTGTGTGCGTGTACGTGTGTGGTGTCATGTGTTTCTGCACGTTCAGGCCAGGCCCCAGCAGGACTGGGCTGGGTTAAAGAAGATTTGGCTCACAGTCGAGGGGCTGGAGAGAGTCCTTGCAGGCAGACGGGCACAGTTCTCCCCATGGGCTCCACCAGGGTTGGGGTCAGGCCGCACCAGCCCCAGACTTGTGCTTGACCCCCACCACCCTCGACAGCTTCTGCAAGGGGCGGACGTTGCACTCGTTTGTGAGGGACCCCAAGACGTCTCTGGACATCAACAAGACGAGGCAAATCGCTCAGGAGATCATCAAGGTGAGGGGGTGCCCAGCTGCTGGGGGTGGGTTTCTGGCCGGTTCCAGGGCTCTCGGCTGTTCCTCTCGCCCTGTTACTCCCTGTTAGGGTGGTTTGGGCAGCTTTGCCTCTCCTTCTAGCTCAGGCTCCTCAAGGGTGGGACCCCATCTCTTCCTCCCTGTCTCTGTCTCATTCATTCAGAGCTGGGAGCTGATTGTCCACATGATTAGGCTTGATGGAATTGACTTGGTTGGGAAGGAACTTGGCAGGCTTTAGAGGCCAGTTTCAATCCTGGTCACACCCTTTGTGTGACCTTGGGTAGGTTTAGCCTCTCTAAGCCTCAGTTTTCTCCCCTGTAAAATGGGGATCTTCATATATCCTCCCTCTCTGGATTGGTGTGAGGTTAAAAACGCGATAATCCATGCTGTGGGGTACACAGGAGCCCTGGGTCTGGTGTTTGAAGACAGCTTGACCTTGGATGAGATCATGCCTATGTCAGGTCACCCACGCTCCATGCACCTGACTCATCAGTGTTAGTTCAAATAGAGCATTGGTTAGAAATCACCCACTGCCACCTCTTCGCTTGATAGGTGAGGAAACCAGTCTTCAGAGAAGTTGAGCACTGTGTCCAAGGCCACAGAGTGAGTGAGAATCTGAGCTGAGATGGAGTTCAAACCCCAGATTTCTTAGTCCAGGGCTCCTTCTACTACAGCTCAGACATTAGGAGCACTCAAAGTTGGGGACCCCGCTGTGGGAATGCCTCTCTGTTCCCCCACCTTGAGCCCTTGTCCTGCCTGAGAGCACAGACCAGCTGTGCATATCCTGACAGAAAACCCCAGCTCATTTAGGCCCTTTATGACTGTACACTGATAAATCTCACTGTCCCTGACCCCCCGGCTCCCTGCCCATCACCCTGTTCACACCTCCTACCTTAGCCAAGGTTAACATGGTTGTTTAGAAGCATGGTAACATTAAAAGAGCATAGACCGGTCTGGGATCAGATCTCAGCTCTGCTTCTTCACTGCTGTGTGGCTTGGAGCAAGTGACTTTCCCTCTCTGAACCTCGATTTCTTCTTCTGTAAAATGGGGACAATATACTGCATGGAATTGTGAAGATCAAATATGGGGATTTAGGTAAATCATCCAGCCCAGGGTGGCACCTCCGTCATCGTTGCACATCTTCACTCCTCCTGATGTGTCCTCCAGGGCATGGGATATCTTCATGCCAAGGGCATCGTACACAAAGATCTCAAATCTAAGAACGTCTTCTATGACAACGGCAAGGTGGTCATCACAGACTTCGGGCTGTTTGGGATCTCAGGCGTGGTCCGAGAGGGACGGTGAGTTGGTCTTGAGTGTCTGGGTGGGTTGTGGGTGCTGGATGGGGAAGAGCAGGGCTGAGGTCTGGGCACTTTCACTGTTTGTTGCTGAGCTGCAGCCCTCCCTGCAGGGAAGCCCAGGTCGCTTTGGTCCTGCCCTCGTAGTTCTGGTTCAGAATCAGATTTGGGTCGCGTTTGGATTCTCAGGCCGACTTCCACGGAAACCAGGTCCCCACACTCACATTTGCCCTGGCTGTTCACCCGCTTGGCCAAGGAACCAGGTCATTTCCCCACGATGAGGAAGAGTGTCAAATTTTATTTCCCCAAATCTTGAAGGGATTGGCATAGGGAGAAAGGCCCCTCCCCTCACATCTAGGGGAACCCAAAAGGGAGCATGGCAGCAAGGCTGCAAGGCCAGCCCCAGCCAAGTTTGAGATCCACAGGCAGATCAGGGTTCCTGGTTAGAGAGGCGCCTCATTCTCCAGCAGAGGGAGCTGGGCACCTTCACCAGCAGCTCCCTGTCAATATTTATCCATTCTTGCCCTGCTTTTCTAGAAACAACCGGTCATGACTCCTTTGTAGAATTCCTCAAAAGCACCGGTGCCTTTCCCAAGTGCAGGGTCAGTGTTCTGGGTCTGGGTGTGTTTTCTAAGCTGTGTGTGGGTGTTCTGCCGGCCCTGGGGCAGACCTGTGCCAGGCAGGCCTCTTTGCTGCCTGCTGAAAGGCCTGTGTCCTTGTCCCGGCTTCCTGGTCTCCAGGCGTGAGAACCAGCTAAAGCTGTCCCACGACTGGCTGTGCTATCTGGCCCCTGAGATTGTACGCGAGATGACCCCCGGGAAGGACGAGGATCAGCTGCCATTCTCCAAAGCTGCTGATGTCTATGCATTTGGGTGAGTAGGCCCCTGGTGCCCTGAGGCCAAGTGTGGCCAAAACAGAGGGCCCTGGTGGCCATTGGGGGCAGAGGGAGGCATGCTTTTAGGTGTTGAAAACCCAGGCTCTGGAGTAAAAAATCAACCTTGAGTCCTGGCTCTGCCGCTTGTTGAGTGCATGGTCTTGAGTCCTGGCTCTGCCGCTTGTTGAGTGCATGACTATATCCTTGACCTGGAATAGCTCCTCCCAACAAGGTCATTTCATGAGGACTAAATCAGGTAATTGTGTGCAGTGCTTAACACTGGCTGTCAGCCCCACCCAGCTGATCTGGGAGGATGCTCACCAGAGCTGACCAAGAACTGCTCCTCCCAGTCTGGGGGAGCTGGATATCCTGCCGGCTCTGCTACCCCACAAAGACCTGGGTGCTGACCAGTAGCAATATAATGTGAGCCCGATATAGAAGTTAAAGTTTTCTAATAGCCACATTAAAAAAGAAATGGATGAAATTAGTTTCCCCTGTTTATGTTTTATATATTATAAAACGATATATTTTATTTAACTCAATATATCCAAAATATTATTTCAACATGTAATCAATATACAAATTAATAAGATATTTTATATTCTTTTTTCCTACTAAGTCTTTAAAATCTGGTGTGTTTTCTGCCTAGAGCACCCCTCCATTCAACTGTGCACATTTCAGTCACTCAGTAGCCCCCCTGTGGCAAGAGGCTCCCACATTGGACAGTGTGGGTCTGATGGAGAAAGTCCCATCCCAAGTGAAGAAAGCCAAGGGGACGTAGAGAGGCCAAGGAAGGCTCACCACCCCGGTCACCTGTGCTGTATCTGGGTATCCTTCCCAGTGGGGTGGCCTTGGCGCCATCCTTCCTCCCTGACCTTTAACTGTATCCTTTCCTGAGCACCCATGTGTGCCAGGTGCTGGGCTTGGCAATTTAGTACTCCTCAAACAACCCTGTGACAAGAGACATTAGCCCCACTGAGGTGAAGCAGTTTTACTGGGATCTTGCAGCTAGAAGGTGGCAGAGCTGGATTTGTGCTGAGGTCAGAATGACCACCAAGGCTCCGGTCAAACCTGCGCTGTCTCAGACTTCCCACCCAACGAGAGCACAGGGCCCAGGTCCTCTAGGGCTGGGAGGAGCCTCCAGGAGCCCACTGTAGCATCCCCTGAAGCCAAGTGGGTGAGGAAGGCTGGAGAAGGGTCCTGATCCTCTGGCTGGGCTATGGCTCAAGGGCCCCTGGGCTTGAGCTGGGCACAGCGGCCCAGGAGCTCACAGACATGGCTGGGTCTCTGCAGGACTGTTTGGTATGAGCTGCAAGCAAGAGACTGGCCCTTGAAGAACCAGGCTGCAGAGGCATCCATCTGGCAGATTGGAAGCGGGGAAGGAATGAAGCGTGTCCTGACTTCTGTCAGCTTGGGGAAGGAAGTCAGTGTAAGTAGTACCTGCCCTGGGTGGAGCAGTAGGGCTGGAGGTGGGGTGGGGCATGTGGCATGGCTGCCCTTCACTCACCCACCTGAGAAATGGGGTCGGTGAGGAGCTCTGCCACCTGCACGTGTCTAGCTAGAGATGAAAATGATATGCATTGCCCGGGAATGGGGAAGGAACAGGGAGGCATAAATAAGAAAATATCTATCCTCACCCCACTGCTCACCCTTTTCATTCCTTTCAGTCTTTTTTTTTTCTTAAAGATAATGGTTTTCATTGATTTATGAGATGAAAAGAAAGTAAAGCCCCATGTTATTTACATGAAAGAAGATAATTTTTTTTAAAAAAATCACTGCTGAAAATACAAATAGTTGTGCTATGCTGTGGTATTAAATCTTTCCTCATAATGTTTTTCTTGACTATTAAGAACAAATCAAAGTTTCCACAGCAAACTTGTTTTCAAAAAACCAAGTCTTAATTATAGTGGCCGACTTCTCATTTCTACATGGTTTCTCCTTAATGGATTCTCTGTGTTTGTAAGTTTTGTCAGGCTAAATAAGAGAGAGAGGCTCTCAAAAGATGTTTATTTGGAAATAGAGCGTTGCACTGGGAATATGCATGCCATGGTGAATGGCTTGCTTATTCAGGGAGGTAAAGGAAAAAATGAAGAGGATTACACAATTATTTTGACATATTTAGTAGTTTTCCCTGGCTACAGAGATGAGTAACAAGAGTGATGTCAGTCCAAGGTTAGACAGGTTGTTTGAGGCAGATGTCCTTGTAGGAGTATTTTTGTATAAGGTTGCCATGGCCTTCGTACAAGGTTGCAGTTTTTGCAGTCTTTAGTGGTAGTTTTTGTTATCAGACATACAAGCCCAAGAAGCCTCTCTTCATGGCTTTCCCAGGCCCGATTTGTCAGAGTTTTCTTCACATTTGTGACTCTCTTTTGATTCTGACAGCTTTCAGTTTCCTTTATCACAGCACAGTGATATATAAAGAAACTCCAGGGCTTGGTGTTTTCAGTGCCATCAGTGATAGCCATGTGTCCATGAATCAGATAGGATTGGGACAGAACAGCCTTGATGTTAATAAGCAACTCCAGTCAGTATTTGGGCAGCATAACAATTGAAGTCTTCAGAGGGACCACCCAGCACTTGTCCAGGCTAAGATACAAACAGGCTGTGAGCTTCTTGTTAAGGTCATGAACATTGCTGGCAGGATCACTGTCTGTCTGCAGACTCTGTCTGCAAATTTGCAGTGATGAATTCAACCTCATCGTCCTCCAAGTTCTTAATAGATGGTAATATTTTTCTCAATTGACTGGTGGCAAGCAGCTAGGGCGTCTTCAGAAGGCTCACTCAAGATGACATTATATCTGATCTACTTTATTCCACAGTAGTATATGTCATCTTGTTGAAGTGCAAAATATTTGTACGGGGATGCCCCTCCAAAGATGACACCAAAATGCTATTTAACAACACGAACAGCAGGCTCCTCTTTGGCCAGTTGATACCATTTCATCTGGGGTGCTGGGCAAGGGCCATGGGTGATGAGCACTTCTCTGACACTCTGAGGCCCGTCCTTCTTGGCCTCCTTCTGGGCCAGGGCCAGTTAAACACCACCTTCACCTTGGTGCATCCTCGGGTGCCTTAGGAGCGTGTGGTGGTGATGCAGAATTTTTTGCTCCTTAGCTCAGCTAAAATCCAGGTTCTTGTCTCATGACCAGGAAAAATTAGGCATGCGGACACATTGAAAGGTGAGGAGAGTGGAATTCATTAAAAGAAACCTCTCAGCAAAAAAGAGGGGGTCCTCCCAACAGGCTCCCATCTCACAGATTGAATATCAGGCCACCACACACGAGCTGAAGAGGCCAGGCTCCTCCCCTGCATAAGGCGCGAATTCCTGGTGGCTCCACCCTATTCCCCCAGTGCATGTGGGTCTCCAGTCCATTGTGGGTGTACCCAGGCAAGACCCTGTGCAGGTTCCCTCATCTGCACAAAAACATCTGTTGTAAACACTTGTGGGGCAGGATGGAGGTTCTCCAGGGACCCTTCTTTATCTGCCTCCTGCAACTGTCAGTGGGCTCAAGATACAGGTTTTGGGCTCCTGGCTGTGGCTGCAGCCTCCTTGGCTGAGCTCTGGGGCAGCTCAGATGGCAGCTGAAGTAACCACTGCTTTCCAGTCTTTTTAAATTTTTTTTGAAGCAGTTTTGCTCTGTCGCCCAGGCTGAAGTGCAGTGGCACGATCTTGGCTCACTGCAACCTCTGCTTCCCAGGTTCAAGTGATCTCCCGCCTCAGCCTCCAAGTAGCTGGGATTACAAGCATGCACCAAAATATCCAGCTAATTTTTGTATTTTTAGTAGAGATGGGGTTTCACCATGTTGGCCAAGCTGGTCTCAAACTCCTGGCCTCAAGGGATCCATCTGCCTCAGCCTCCCAAAGTGCTGGGATTACAGGCATGAGCCCCCATGCCTGGCATAGTCTTTTAAAAAAATATTTAAGACATACATATCATAAAACCTAGCTGATTTTTTTATTGTGACTTTTTCCACATGACATTTTATTATGCTCATTACCTCAAATCATTAACAAATCCTTATTGTTAAGACTGTCTGCCCTTATGTCCTGTGGCCGCACCATAATGTAACTACTTCTGTCACTGGACATGGGGATTCTTTCCAGTTTTAACCTCTCTTTACAAGAGTTAGCAAGGACATCTTTGTATAAACCAGAGTATTATGTATATTTGTTGCATCTGAGAGAAAAGATATTCTTCGTTCTGCCCTCCTGGCAACAGTTTGTTTCCTTTCTGCATACTTAGCATCTTGGAGCAGAGAATGGTAAGTGCCATCTTCAGGGAGGCAAAGGCTGGAGCAGAGCTGAGCAAAGGGCTGCAAGGGAGTCAAGGCTCGGCACTGGCTGCAAGTTGGAATCATCTGGGAGCTTTATAAAAATGCCAGGGTTAAGGCCTCCCCCACAGAGGTACCAATTAAATTGGCCTGGGATGGGAATAAGATCATAGTTTTTTTATTTTTTATTTTTAAATAAAGCTCCTCAGATCATTCTAGAGCACAGCCAGAGTTCTGAACTAATTGGAAGGATTTCTTTTAGTGCGGGGTGATGGTTGTTTTGAGACCAGTGTGGGATCAGGGCGTGGGGAGTGGGGAGAGAGCAGATGCTCCGGCAGCAGCTTGTGGCTCACAGGAGTTCCCTTTCTTTTGTCCAGTCTTGCCTTCCCTTTTTAACACATTGCTATTAGGGGTAGGGGAACATTGGTCAACGCAATAAAATTATTTTCTGTCATAGACAAAAGCTGGGAGTGCCCTCTGAGTGATGCCTTTCTCTGTCTCTCCAGCCACACTGCTGTATAGTTCACCACCAGGCACTGCTTTATGTGCTGAGGCAGCCAGTGAGTTATTAATCATTGTATTTAAGGGTCCATGCATATGGGAAGACATCAAAAGACCAGAGGGTTCTTAATGAAAACCAGCAGTCCCTCACCCTAGATCATTCTCCAAAGGCATCACCTGGGTCTATCAGCTTTTCACTCTGGCACTCCGTTATTTCTGCTGCACCACTTTGGTCAGCTCTCCCATTACTTATTGTTAAGGTTGCCATGATTAAATCTTCCATGCTGTGCCTGTTGATGGAGGCTGAAAGTGAAAAGATGATGAACAGTGTATACACTACTATAGTAGACTGTAAGTGGTATTAGCCACTGGTCAGATGATTCACTGGGATTACATTTTCTTTGTGGGTCCATCTCTTCCACTTCATCAATTACTCAAAGGCTCACAATTTTGTTGGCTTCACATTTGGACCATGGCTTTCTTGTGCAGTTTAGGTTTTTCCTGTAGTTTCTAATTGCCTTCTTTTTTCCTTCTTGCCTTTTCTTATTGCTGAGAGAAGAAACAAACACCTTTCTCATATTCCTGAGGTCTTTCAGCTTCTGCATTCTGCTTCCTAAATGGAATCTGTTACATTCTTTTCAGAGTCCACTGGTTTCTTGTCGTTGGAATCAATGGGATATTAGGCCTGCTGCACAGCTGTTACCCTTCTGTTTTCTTTTCATTCACTCCTGGGTCAGTTGCACTATTCTTTATGTCTCATATCGTGCCCTCTCTTTATTTGCACTCCAGCAAATAAACTGCGAGTGAAACCTGAAAAAACTGCCTCCCAGTGGAAGAATGGGAGATAATCTTTGAATCCTTGCATGCCTAAAATAGTTATTATTTCATCCTCATATCAGGAGTAGAATTCCAGATTCATAATAATTTTCCCTGAGAACACAGGGATTTTGCCCTGCTGTCTACTAAGTGTCCAGTGCCTTGTTGAGAAGTCTGGTGTTGGTCTGATTCTCAACCATTTGTGGATGCCTATCTTACTCTTTCTGGAAGCATCTAGGATTTTCTGTTTATGCCTGCTATAGTGAAATTTCATAAACATATATCTGAGGGTAGAGTTTTTTTGTGTGTTTGTTTGTTTTTTAACTGTTTTTAGTGAGGTCCCTTTATTGGACCTTTTCAGCTGAAGACAGCTGCTACCTTTGAAAGCTTCTGGTAAATTTTCTTTTATTATTTCTTTGATAATTTCCTGCCCAATAGTCTGTTTACTTTTGTGGAAATCCCCATTAGACAGAATTTGGTTCTTCTTAGTGAGCCTACATTTCTCTTACCTTCTTTTGTATTTTCCATCCCTTTCTAGAATTGAGCCTACAGTCTGGGGGATTTCCTTGATTTTTATCTTCCAGCACTTTTAATGTTTCAGTTCAGAAATTATATTTTCATTTCAAGCACTTTCTTATTTGTTGATTTCTTTTTTATTGCAGCCTGGTCTTGTTTTATGGATAGAGCAGCTGCTTCACACAAATGTACACACACACACATGTACACCCCATATCCTCCAGAGACAGTATCTTGATCTGCTTATCTTTGATCTCTCTCTGGTTTTCCTGATACGGCAGGCAACCCCATGGGGTCCAGTTGTATTTAAGAGCAAAAGCCTGAGTTGCTGAGTCTGTGTGGGTGTATGTGTCCTGCCTGGTCGTATGTGCAAGAAATAGGCCTTTCCTCACAGGCAGCTCTGAATCAGAAGGCTGCAGGGCCGTGCTGGTACACATGTGGATCCTGAGAGTAGGCAGCAAAATGCCACAGCAAGAAGGGCTTTGCTCTGGGGGCAGTCGGGACAGCTGTTCTGCTGACTCTTAGCTGCTGCCCGTATATCGAGTCTTCTTGTCACTCCAGCCGCCATTCTAGTAATGCTGAGGCTCCCTCGTCCACTGCAGCCCCGCCTTGCGCATATTCCGAGCATCTTGCATTTCACCTGTGAACGTTGTACCTTGCACTTTGCATCTTCAAAAAACCAACAGCCCCATTTCTGATCTCTTTCCCATTGCTGGTGTGTTCATCATGGTTACTCTTATTTTGGGGTGAGCATGGATCTAAGAAGGAAGGAGGTGAGGTAATCTCATGCATTCCATGTTGAACCAGAAGCATGAGTGGTTCTCTGAAACCCAGTTACTTCTCACCCCTTCATGTCGGCAGGGTGTTCAGGGGGCCGCCAGTTAGAGGGCACTTGAGAACATCAAAGGGACCCTTTGTGGAGCACCCCTACTGTGTGCCCCCTCCCTCCCAGCCAGCTCACACACCACTAATGGCAGCTCCATTTGCAGGAGATCCTGTCGGCCTGCTGGGCTTTCGACCTGCAGGAGAGACCCAGCTTCAGCCTGCTGATGGACATGCTGGAGAAACTTCCCAAGCTGAACCGGCGGCTCTCCCACCCTGGACACTTCTGGAAGTCAGCTGAGTAAGTGCCTCTTCCATGAGCCAGACTGCCAGCCAGGCCCTCGCAGCCTCACCTGGGGTCTTAGAGGGCACCTTCTGATCTTTCTGCCCAAGACTTTGTTTTTTGGGGTTTTTTTTGAGACAGAGTCTCGCTCTTGTCATCAGGGCTGGAGTGCAGTGGCACGATCTCAGCTCACTGCAGCCTCCGCCTCCTGGGTTCAAGCAATTCTCCTGCCTCAGCCTCCCGAGTAGCTGGGACTGTAGGCACCTGCCACCACACTTGGCTAATTATTGTATTTTTAGTAGAGACGGGGTTTCATCATATTCGCCAGGCTGGTCTTGAACTCCTGACCTCAAGTGATCCTCCTGCCTCAGCCTCCCAAAGTGCTGGGATTACGGGCATGAGTCACCATGCCTGGCCTCTGCCCAGGAGTTTGATCTGAGGAATACACACAGTAGGTCACCCAGAGGTGACTAGTCCCCTTGCCCAAGTGATACGAGGATTTCGTTTACCACATTTATTTTGGAGACTCCCTTTGACAGGTGAGCACCTCCAGTTTGCCGCTATGAAATACTACATCATCACTATTAGCAGACCAGCACTGATACCAGGCCAGGCCAGGACTAGAAGGCTCTGCTGAGGGAGGGGCAAGATGGGGCCAGTTAGATAGAAATTAGAGTGATGTGGTATTATAAGCTTCACTGAAATAAGCAGAGTCAATATTGCTTACAATGGCACCCACCGAAACACAAGAAGCCAGCCACCTCTTATGGGGACCACAGTCACTTGGGTTTAGAAGCTCTCTCCCTCCTGGTTTAACACACAGCCCTTTGCACCCCTTGGTGCAGGGGTGATGTCCACCAGGTCACAGGCCACTGTCGTCTCTCCTGCATTCTATCTCATTCCCTTTTTCCTTTGTCTTCTGGCTGCCTCTGCTAGAACACTCAGAAGAGACCTCTGCTCTGTCACGAATGCTCTGTGAGAACCTGGGAAGTTTGTTCTGGGCCTCAGTTTCCACGGCATTAAAAAGTCTCTGGGCTAGGGGTTGGGCCAGGTCTAGGGCAGGTAAACTGGCTGTAAGGGGCCAGGTGAATATTGGAGGCATTGCAGGCCAAGAGGGCAACTCAAGTCCTCACTCTGGGGCTGACTTCGGCAGTGGGCCGAGCACCATCTCTGTCACAGCATCTCAGCTCTGCCGTCGCAACACGGGAGCAGCCACGGACAGCATAAACCAGGGAGCTGGCTGTGTGCCAGTAAGACTTAATGCTGGAAACTGGGATTTCACATGTCATGAAATAGTCTTCTTTTGGTATTTTTGCCCCCCAACCATGTAGAAAGTGAATCGCTTCATCTCACCCAGGAGTCCAGCCTGTAGGTCAAGTATGGCCTGCCACCTGTGTCTGTACAATCTGCAAACTAAGAATAGTTTTAACTTTCTGAAAAACTTTCCAAAAAAAATTTTTGTATACATAGAGATGAGGTCTCACTATGTTGCCCAGGCTGGTTGCAAACTCCTGAGCTCAAGTGATGCTCTTGCCTCGGCCTCCCAAAGTGCTAGGATTACAGGCGTGAGCCACTGCGCCCGGCCAGTTATAAACTTTAAGGAAAAGGACACTTTCTAAAAGTGAAATCTCCCACAGAGTCCCGCTCTATAAAACCCATAAAGTGGAGCTGCTCTTGATGAGAGTGAGGGGAAGAGCCTTTCTGCCACCCGCTGCCAAGAAAGCCCCTGAGGCCCCCGTCCCTGTGTATGTGTGTCACTGAGTGCCTGGAGAAGCTGCATCCCCAACTCCCATACCTGGCGCCAGGTGTGGTGATGGCAGCATTCCTTATCCTAGGAAGGGTCAGGTAATAAATATTTTGGGCTTGCAGGTGGCACAGTCTCTGTTACATGTTCTTTGTTACTGTTTTTTAACCCTTTAAAGTAGTCAGAACCTTTCTTAGTGTGTGGCCAGATTTGGCTTGCACATTGTTTTCTGGGCTGTATCTTTTTTTTTTTTTTTTTTTAAAGGCAGAGTCTTGTTCTGTCACTCAGGCTGGAGTGCAGTGGCACGATCTCAGCTCACTGTAACCTCCACCTCCCGGGTTCAAGCGATTCTCCTGCCTCAGCCTTCTGAGTAGCTGGGACTATAGGCGCACGCTACCACACCCGGCTAATTTTTGTATTTTTAGTAGAGATGGGGTTTCACCATATTGGTCAGGCTGGTCTCGAACTCCTGACCTCAGGTGATCACCCACCTCAGCCTCCCAAAGTGCTGGGATTACAGTCGTGAGCCACTGCACCCAGCCTCCAGGCCTTGTCTTTTATTTTTTTGTTTTTTCTGAGACAGAGTCTTGCTCTGTCACCCAGGCTGGAGTACAGTGGTGCAATCTCGACTCACTGCAACCTCCGCCTCCCGGGTTCAAGCGATTCTCATGCCTCAGCCTCCCAAGTTGCAGGGATTATAGGTGCCTGCCACCACACCTGGCTAATTTTTGTGTTTTTTGGTAGAGATGGGGTTTCATCATGTTGGCCAGGGTGGTCTCAAACTCCAAACGCCTTGGCCTCCCACAGTGCTGGGATTACAGGCATGAGCCACCGCGCCCGGCCTTCGGGCCCTGTCTTGATAAAGAACCAAAGTGGGCCCCAAGCTGCAGTTGAGGAGAAACTCAGCATGAGTTTTCTCTCCTGCAGAAGTCACTAAAGAAATGCTTGGTTCTTCACTGATTCAGGCCAGGTAGAGGGATGGTCTGGAGGAACGACTGTGTGGGGTTAGGGAATACCATGTCTCATGCAATACTGGGTTCAGTATTTTGCTCTTAGGATGGGTCGGAGTCCAGTACAACTGTGGGGTAATGGATCGTAGCCATAGAGGTATACATTTTAGGCAGCCATTGCTGCACACCTGCCGCATGCCTGCACACCTGCCGCATTGCTACACAGATGGCCGAGGCCAGGGTTCCACCAGCAAGGAGATTGCAGTGTCCTAAAGACAAACAGACACACTGTAATGAAACCTGCACACATCAGGACTCTTTCTTGTCACCTTTGTATTCCTGGCTCCTAGTACAGTCCCAGGAACATTATAGTTGGGCACTAAATATTTAATGTGCATGAATGAATGTGAGCAAAGGGTGATACCATGCCAAGTGCTGTGATAAAGCCCAGATGGGGGCCTCTGCATCCACCTGGGGGACAGGAGGAAGAGTCTCTGGAAGAAGGTCGTCAGGGCTGGGTTTTGAGCCAGAACTATCCCAGCAGAGACCAGGAGCATGGGGCTCTTAGCAGTTCAAGGAGGGTGATGTGAGGCAGCGAGGCCAAGCTCTAATCAGACCGTGGGCAACTTGCTTAACAAGCTGGGCCCTGGTTTTCTCCGTGACGAAAGAAAAGGCTCCACTAGGTGGACACTGGCATTCAGAACATCATTCCAGATTCCCCAAAAACCATATAGTCCCACCTTCTCATTTCACAGGCAGGAAACTGAGTCACAGATGGGGCTGTTCCCTGCCCAGCCCCTTCGAGGAAAGCATGCGGGCTTTCCTTTCCTGAATGAGTCTGTGTCAAAGCTTCCTGTTCACAGTGTTTACTTTCTACACGCTTGCCCCCTAATTCTCACTTTCTCTTTTCTTTCCATTGATCTTGTCACTTTTTTATTTTCGGGGGGTGGCGGATGTGCTGTTCTGTCATCTCCCACTTTCCCATCACCTGATTCCTCCACCTGTCCACACGTGCCTGACTCCATCACATGCCGGGGCCGGACTGCGCTCTTCCCACGCCTGGTGGAATGGTCGCTGGGCACTCCCAGTCGCTGGAGGAGCCGCTACTATGGAAAAGGACGCTACGGCCACCCTGACTTTAAGAGCTCCTGTCCGATTCTGGAGGAATAGTGTGTTCCTGTTACTTCCTTCGCTGGCTGCCTGTCTCTGGTTTTCCTGACACAAGCCCTGCTTCCTTTCTGTCGCCGCTTCCCAGCTTCTCCCATCTTTGTGTCATTTATTCTCGCAAACCAAAGTGAGGTTTCTGCAGCTGAAATGGCTTCCAGCAAGGGTCACACAGGCTTGCATTTTTCGCTGGGTGAGAGAAGAGCCACAGCATGTGGCGGGGCCTTTGTCCACACCATGAGTGAATGGGTGGCTTGTCCCTGGGTCGGAGAAAATTCTGGTCATTGATTTGAGCCCCCAGGATCCCAGTCCCCCTGGCCAGAGCTCAAGAGAAGAGAATCCAGTTAAGCAGAAATACTCTTGGAAGTAGATTTTACTCGTCAAGGGCTAAGGAGCTGTGGGCATGTTCCATCCTCTTTATAAACGTGCTGCAACTGTGCCCTGCGGGAGCTTAGAGAGGGTTCTTTGTGCCCAGGATCCCTTCTGAGCATGCAGTGCAGCCAAGCCTGGGGGATGGAGTCCAGGATGGCCCTTTCTCTCTGGAAGAGAAAGGGAGTCCCCTGCCCAGCTGCTCTGGCCAGACCTCTAGCTCCCGACAGGCTCTGCATTGGGGCTATGATTCTGATGCTGTTCTTTGCTTTCTTCTCTTTCCCTCTGTAGGTTGTAGGCCTGGCTGCCTTGCATGCACCAGGGGCTTTCTTCCTCCTAATCAACAACTCAGCACCGTGACTTCTGCTAAAATGCAAAATGAGATGCGGGCACTAACCCAGGGGATGCCACCTCTGCTGCTCCAGTCGTCTCTCTCGAGGCTACTTCTTTTGCTTTGTTTTAAAAACTGGCCCTCTGCCCTCTCCACGTGGCCTGCATATGCCCAAGTAACTGCTCTCAGAGGATCCCACTAACTGAGCTCCCTCCAAGGCAGTCTGGGCAGCTTCTAACTACCTTCCTGGACATGACTGATTGCTCCCGTGTTCTTCTGAGGGCTGGTCTTGTTTTTGTTTGGGTGGCTCTGTCTCACTGCTAACACCTTAGTGAGATGCCTTCCACCCTCCTGAGCACACCAGCCTCCCACTGGGTGTGTGCCTAGTGCGGGGCGGGCGGAGGTTGGGAGGGTGTTGGCTTGGCTTTTAACCTGTGGGGATTTTGTCCAACAAGGAGTGGAATGATTTCAGAGCTGCCCTGAGGCTGGCACCCTGGTCACAGGAACCCTCTGCGCTGGCTCCTGTCTCAGTCCCCTCTGTAGAGTTAGATCAGAAGACACAGAAAGTTCTGTGGCCATGAAAGATACCAGCTTGGAAGGGTTGTGTCTTCAGTGGCACCCTCAGAAAAATTGTCTTAAAGCAAAGAGGTACCTGGCTCCAGACAATTTTTCTGATGAAAACAAAGTCTCTGCCCCGTCCCCACCCTGCCACCCTGGCAAAGTTACTTCCTTTACAGCTGCCCAGTGTACCATAGACCAGACCCCAGGTCAGCATTTGTCAAGAGCATGGCTGCTGAGTCCCCTGTGGCAGTCAATGCACTGTTTACCAAATGCAGGTTTCTGTTCTCCCTCCCCAGCAAGACCTGCTGAACCCAGATCTCTGGAATGGGGCCCTAGGAATTTGCATTTCAACCTGCTTCCCAGGTGGCCCTGATGCACCCCAGTATTAGAGTTTATTGCTAAAAGGAACATGCCCTGTCACTCCTGGTATCCTGGGAGTCATGTTTCTCTTCTCTCTCAGTTCTACTTGGAGCAAGAGCTTTCCTGGGCTGCAAATGAGAAAACAATTCCTAGGAACCCACAGCAGTACTGAGCATGCTGGGAGCTTGGGACTTGGAGATGAATGAGCCACCGTTGCTGCTCCAAGTAGGACTACTTGGAGTGTAGCTGAGGCCTTGGACGCAGTATGACCAGGGGCAGCTCTGCCAGGGCTGTTGGCCAATCAGTCATTTTCATTTCTTGTTGGAGGCCAGGTCCTCTGCTGAACTCATTTCCTAGCTAGTGTTACCCTAATTCTGATGAAGATCAATGGGGCTATAATTCTTGTTTTTGTTCCTCTTTGCAGCATTAACAGCAGCAAAGTTGTACCCCGGTTTGAAAGGTTTGGCTTGGGCGTCCTGGAGTCCAGTAATCCAAAGATGTAGCCAGCCATATGGTTTTTCGCTGCTGATCTCTTTCTTTTTAAAATGTGTTTCTGAAACATCCCAACAACCACCACGACAAAAAAACACTGCCTGCCCAGCGCTGCAAACCAGGAGCACACGTCCTAGATTCAGACTGTTGGCCATAAACCCCACTCGGGAGATGGAGCTGCACCTGCTATTTCTTAAAATGACACCACCAACAACCAAACCTGTCATGACAGACAGCAAATGTTTACACGTATATTTCTCCTGAGTGAACCTGATGTTTTACAATAGGTAATAATAAAAACAGTCTGTGCAGATGCACTGGCACTGACGGCCAGGATGGCGGAAATGGCCATCCCCTCTGAGGACCTTGTAGGCGGTGAGGGACCCATGCTGGGCCAGAAGGAAGACAAACATGGTAATTGCAGCTGTTCTTGGGGTAGGGCGGGGAGCCCAGAAGGTCTGATCTGGCCTCTGCTTTTTGGCCCAAGACTCCATCAGGGAAATCTATCTAGGGCTCTCCCCTTGTCCTTTCAAAGGGATACTGCCCCTTCCTCGTCTTGCAGAGGAAACCCTGGCTAGGAACTGAGCTAGTTTATGGAGTCTGGAATTCCTGGAGAGCTTGGGTTCACCTTCTCACCCCTGTAATCCAGGCTGCTCCTGCTGGAAAAGTAGAAACAGAATCCAAAAAAGGTCTGGACTCACCCGGTGGTTCCCAGCCAGGGTTTCTGCTGCAAGGTGAGGAAACATCCATGGCTTGTACAGATGTGAGTCTTTGATGAAGCCCCCAGGCAGGCACCAAGGTGATGGGACTCAGGGCCTTGGCTTTTAGATACATCCCAGTCCCTGACTGACATCTGACCATGAGGGCTGGATGGGTGGGAACAAGGAGGAGTAGATGGCAAAAGTACCTGAGCCCACTTCCCAGCCACAGGGTGACCCTGGCACTGTAAAAACCCTTTGTCAGTCATGCCAGAAGGTTCTAGAACTGCCCACCTCTTCCATTTCAGTCCTGCTGAAACCCCTTAGCCTATTTCCGACTCCTCTGTCCATGCTCTGAGTTCAGCTGGGCAGTGTGTGGGCTATCACCCCTTTCATTTAGACCTACCTAGCTGGCCCCCATCTGCAGAGCCTTCCTTAGCACCATTAGGCCTTCTACTTGTGTCCATTTGAAGCAGGAGGGGCTGGATTTGGAAAAGTCTTTGAAGTGAGAGCACCACGCTTGTCTTCGTTAGAAACTCTTAACTGCAGAAAAAAGTTCCAGATGGCAAGGGAGCCCTTAAGTGGAGATTAGGTTGCATTAGACTCCAAAACCAGAAAGGAAAAAGGGTGATGGGAGTGGAGACGTGATTGGATTCAGGCCCAGAACCTGTGACCATGCTCTGAGCTCAGACTTGGGGAGGGAGGGGTGTGGCTCCCACCCCTTCCAGTTAAGACCTGCCTAGCAGAGCCCCAGTCTCCAGCCCCTTCCCTAGCACCAGAGTCTGGTCAAAATGCCACAGAAAATGAGCTGCTCTGCCAGCAAGCTGTGGAGCTGCCTCCTCTCCAGGCCTGGCATCCCTTGGTCAGCCCCTCCTGGGAGGGCACAGCCGTATTACAGTGCCAGTGTGCCTGGCCATCAGCATCTTCACCCTTCCCAGTCTGTGTGGGGAGGCTGTAAACCCCGTGGATTCAGCTCCGTGTGGAGTTTCTGTGCTATGGTGGGACTGCTCATTTTGCCCCATCATCCCTTTGGCCTCCCACACACCTGCCCCTTCCCAGGGATCACGTGTGTCTCCAGCCTTTCACCTTTCTATTGCAATGGTGGCCTTTGTCCAGGCAAGAGCAGGCCTGATGGATGTACTGGTGAGCCCCACAGTTGGATGTCAGCTCAGCCGTCCAACTGGGAGGAACAGTAGGCTCAGTTCCTCCCTGACCCCTGACACCAGGCCGCAGTGGGCATGCACAGGCCCACAGAAAGTCAGTCTGGGTTTTGCTTTTCTCGTGAGCATCACAGTTAAAGAAGCGCTCATTGAGCAACTACAGTGCACTTGGTCTTCTGCAAGTGCTGGGCACCTAGAGATAGGAACAGTCATGGTCCCTGCTCTTAAGGAACTGATGACCTGGTGGGGCCCTGTTGTCTTCAAGGAACCCAGAAGCCACTGGGCCCCAAAGGTGGAACTGAAGGACTGGGGGCAGCTGGCTCTCAGCCTGCCACCTCTGCACTGCCTGCCTTTAAAGAACCCCACCCCACCCCATGATGGCCCCCTCTGTTCCCCTTGTATTTCAGTGACTGTGAATTGAGGTTAGGAAGGCACACCTGCCCTTCTGTGTGCTCTCTCCACACGAAGGATGACAGATACTGTGAATTCAGCCCTCACGGCCAACTGTGAAGGGGATGGAGAAGGCTGGGAGGGCTCGGGGAGAGCTCTTAGGGGCTGCGGAAGTCCCCACGGGGGTCTGAGAGTGGAGCCCAAGCTTTGGCCCTCCAGGCATCCCCAGTTTCCAGCCTCACCTCTGAAGCCCTGCTGCCTTTAACCACCAGAGCCGCAGCCCCCTGGGTTTCTGTCTAACTCGAAGTCTTGAATCCTAGCTAGTTTGGGGTTGTGAGCAGTGTGTAGCAAAGTTGATCTCTCCATGTCACCAAATCAAAACACCCTCTGTCATCCTACGGCATTTCCTCTTGAGGTCACAGAGAGGAATGGCAAGCCCTGGAAACCTGTGTTATTCTGTGTTGATTTGGTGTGGGGGGAGGGTGGAGACGTAAATGTGAAGCCAGTTGGAGTTTGTGCTATGCAGCAGTGTTAGCCAGGATCTCATCAGCGTGCAAACCTAGCATCTTCTGTGGCCACAAGCCACACACTTGCTTTTTTTGAATGTGATGTAAAATTTGTACAGTAAAGTTTTTATATTTTCTATCAACTACATTTGTCTTCCAGACATGCTATTAATTTAAATTAAAATGGTTAGTATTAACAAACATGCTGTATCGGGTTTTTTTGCCACTGGCAAGAACATGCCCTCTGTGCTAAGCCAGGCCTGGGTGTCTGGAGTTTGTGAATAAAGTTATACCAAGGTGTTCTGGGGCTTGTCTTTGCTTTGGTCAGTTCCAGCTGAGTCCTGGGGACCATTTGGATGGGTGGCATGGGAATGGATAGGTCTGGGGTGACTGAACCCCTGGTCTATAGATTAAGGAGCTCCTTCCAAAGGAAGAAGTTATGCCAGGACCTCAGTGGCAGGTGTTTCTAAACAGATGGAGGAATGGAGAAGGCACAGCGTCAATGGCCCACAATGCGCAGAGGAAGATCATCCAGGCCCCAGCAGCAACAAAGCCATGAGCAGGCCCAGCATCTCCTGAGCTGGAGATGCCTTAGCCTTATGGAAGCCTTGGAGGGATGAGGTGGTGTTCATCTGAATCCAATATCTAGGAGCCCCTCATTGCCAGTTATATATACAGATAGGTGGAGAAGAGGTACTTTCTAAACACCATCTCACTTTAATCCTCACAAGGCCATGAGGTAAGAATTGTGATGTTTCAGCTGAGGAAAATGAGAAACGGAGAGGTTAAGGTATTCACCCAAGATCACACAGCTGCAGGGTGGCCAATCCAGGACTCAGGCCACAGCTTTCACTCCAGAATCTCTCCAGAAGTCTAGGAATTTGCTGGTCAGACATTTACTGAGCACCTACTATGTTCATAAGACAGTGCTAGGTTGTGGAGCATTTTCCAGGATAGGCCGCGTGGTAGGCCACACATTAAGTCTCAATAGATTTAAACATAACATACAAAGCATCTTCTCCAACCACAATAGGATGAAGTTAGGCAGCGGCACTAGATTCTCATAGGGGCACAAACCCTATTGTGAACTACACATGTGAAGGATCTAGGTTGTGCGCTCCTTAGGAGAATCTGAGTCTAATGCCTGATGATCTAAGGTGGAAAAGTTTCATCCTGAAATCATTGTATATCCCTTTCCATCCGTGAAAAATTGCCCTCCATGAAACTGGTCCCTGGTGCCAAAAAGTTTGGTGACTGCTGCCTTAAACTACTACTGGATTTACTGAGTGAGGCAAACCAAGTACTGTTTTGTCATAGTCTGTTTACAGGAGAGAGTTGCACTGTTAATTTGCCATTAGGAAGCAGTTAGAACCATATATCTGACTTTATGGAGGTAGAATACGCTCAAAGAGAATGTTCTCAGTGGGGGGGATGTGCATGCATGTTTTAGTGATTAATGTGGTTCAGTACGGCTGTACCAATACAATGAGGTTTCCAAAGGGAACTGGACAAGACGACCCAGGGCCCCCTGCATTGTACGACAGGACTCAGGTGTCTGCGGGCATCACTGACTGCCCTGCCGAGGCCCTCTGTGCTGGAGGTGTCACTGCAGATGGAAGGATTCCTTCTTGAGGAAGTCTACTACTGGCGAAGGTGAATGGGTCTGGGCGCAGGATCAGTGCAGTCCAGGAGTGACTCTAAAGGTGCTGGTGTGTGGGCACTACGTGCGGAGCTCAGCCCCAAGTCCTTTTCATGCATTAGCCCATTTAATCCCCACAGCATCTCTCTAAGGTTCACATTCATTTGCCTCATTTTATGGGTGAGGAAAGGAAGCTTGGAGAAATTAAGGAACTTATTGAAGATCACACAAGAATTAAATGACAGGGCCAAGATTCAAACGTGGGCTATTTGTACTATCTATAGAATTGTATGTCTGGCCCACATTTTGTTGACCACTCATCCATTGATGGACATGCGTTGCTTTCACCTCTTGGCTTTTGTGAATGATGCTCCTACAAACATGGGTGTTCACATGTCTCTTTGAGTTCCTGTTTTTGGTTATTTGGGGGATATACCCAGAAGTGGAATTGCTGGATCATATAGTAATTCTATGTTGAGATTTTTGAGTAACAGCCATGCTGTTTTCACAGAGTTCCAGTTTACCCACAATCTAGCCAACAGTTGTTATTTCCTGGATTTTTTTTTTTTTTTTAATCACAGCCATCCTAATGAGTGTGAGGTGGCAGACTCACATTTTGAAAAGATCCCTCAGTCTACAGGGCAGAGAACAGAGCCTCCGAGACAGGTCTGCGACTTTGAATACTAGAGCTCTGAGAAGAAACATTCACGAGGGCTGCTTCTCATCTCCTGAAGACCAGGGTTAACCACTGCGAATGGATTGTGGTGACTGAAGGGTGCCGGCACTGTGCCTCAAAGTGTCTCCCTACTGTGTTGATTGGTCTAAAAACACATCAGCCTTTGGGTATGACCTTACTGGGGCCCCTCCAGGCAGGGTGTGGAGCAGAGGACCCTCCTTTATAGGCTGGACTCAATAGTGAGGCTGCTTACCTGTGACTCACCTCCAAGGCTCAAGGTGATGCTAAGGTGCTGATTTGCTAGAACTCTGAGCTGTGCCTGTGTCTCCTTGGGCTCTGGGAGATTTTTTCTTTTAGCAGTATTTTATGGAAATATTGTCTAGGTAGAGTAAAATGTACAGATCCTGGTTTTCTGTTTTGAGTTTTGTTTTGAGACAGGGTCCTGCTCTGTCACCCAAGCTGGAGTGCAGCGGCATGGTCATAGCTCACTGTGGCCTCAACCACCCAGGCTCAAGCAATCCTCCTGCCTCAGCCTTCCTGTAGCCAGGACTACAGGTGTGCACCACAATGCCCCACTAATTTTTTTGATTTTTAGTAGAGACAAGGTCTCGCCATGCTGCCCAGGCTGGTCTCGAACTCCTGGGCTCAAGCAATCCTCCCGCCTCAGCCTCCCAATGTGCTGAATTACAGGTGTCAGCCACTGCACCCAGCCTCAGCCTGTTGTTAATGGATGTAAATACCTGTGTGATCGCCACCCAGAACCAGATCCAGAACATTTCCAGCCTCTCAAAGACTCCTTCCTGCCCCTCCCAGTCAGAGACCCCCAAGGGTGACGCCATTCTGGCCTGTTGTTCAACTTGACTTGAACAACACTTCAAGTCAAGTTTGGATCTGGCTTCTTCTGCTCAGTTGCGAGGCCCATTGATGTTTCCTGTGGCCTAGCTCCTTTTTATTGCCGAGGGCTACTCTGTTGTATGAAAACCACAATTCATTTCTCCCTTCTCCTTTGGTGAACATTTGCACTGTTTCCAGCCTGGGGCAATGATGAGTAAAGCTGTTAAAAACAGGCACATATGTTTTCCTTTCTCTTGGGTAATTTTTTAGAAGTAGAAAAGCCAGAACATAGAAGTAGATATTTGACTGTATTACAACTCACCAAGCAGTTTTTCTTTTTATTTTTTATTTTTCAATTTTTTGAGACAGAGTCTTGCTCTATTACCCAGGCTGGAGTGCAGTGGCGTGATGAGGGTTCACTACAGCCTTGACCTCCTGGGGTCAAGTGAGCCTCCCACCTCAGCCTCCCATGTAGCTGAGACCACAGGTGTGCACCACCACACCTGGCTAATTTGTTTGTTAAATTATATGTAGGGACAGGGTCTTCCAACCTTTCCCGAGCTGGTCTCAAGCTCCTGGGCTGAAGTGATCCTCCTGCCTCAGCCTCTCAAAGTGCTGGTATTATAGGCATAAGCCACCACGCCCTGCCCATTTTTCTAAGTTGGATTATTTTACACTCCAGTCTGCTGTGAATGAGAGTTCCAGTTGTTGCGTATCGCAATCAATTTGTGATTGCCTACAAATGATGTGCCGTGATGAAATTGTCCCTGGTGTCCGAGAGGATCGCAAAGAATTTCCCTTCCTTTCTCTCCTTTCTGCTCCCCTTGTACTGTCTACTCCTTAAACTGGTACTTGATCCAGGAACATAATGGGGATGGACAGTGCAGATGGCACACATGGCCTCAGTCTATTGGAGCATCTCAAAGGAATTAGTCTGCAAATTCTAGTGCATCTAGGTGGAGCACAGGAAGGAAGAGAGGTGCAGACTCACGTATGGCCCTGGGGCACCTGCCATCCTCTCGCACCCGTACAGCCCTTACCTGCCAGCACTTACCCTACCCAGCTTGAGTTCTGGGCCTTCTCACCAGCACATCGCTGGGACCTGGTCGACTTCAGGTAAGTTTATTTCATGGCTCCCTCCCCCACGACCTGCACATGCCATATGTTCCTTCCCAGCCCCATGTCACTTGAAATGTTCTATCATGTCCAAGACTTCTCTCCTCATCCTAAAGTGCAGAAAATAAGGATGGAGAAGAGAAGGAGAAGAGAATCAAGAGAGATTCATTGAGAGGGAGGATCAGAAGCTCCTGGGCACCCCATACTGTAGAATAAAAATATTCATTATGGTGTTTTTCTTGCAAAATATTCCCCTCTACATAATTATGTTTTTACATGAATAATATAAATTTAAACAGGAGAAATACTTTTTGAAGAGTCTGAGAATCTTCATAAAGTTCAGGCGGCCACGAATTAGCTGTGTGACCTGGGGCATGCCCCTTAGACTCTGAGCCTCAGCTTCTCTGTATGTAAAATGGGTTGAAGCCGCCCTTCCCCACAAGCACCCTGTGCACAGGCAATGCCCAGCCCCATTATTTTCTGGACTCCGTGGCCAAGCATGCTTAGGACACACAGCCACATACTTCTGGGCAGTGTCATCTGGCAACTTGCTGTCATGTCAGTGTGGTCAAGCATTGTAGACCTCTATGAACCAAATATGCTTCAGGCTTGGGTTGAGCACAGGAGAGGGAGGAGGGAAAGGTCACTGGGGCTGGGAGTGCCTACTTCCCTCTGTGAGTGTCACCCCAGTCCACCCAGTACCATACCTTTCTCTCTCTGGACCCACTTCCTTTTGCTGCCGGCTCCTCCCCATTGAATAACAGCCAAGTTGCTTTGGTTTCTATTTCTTTGTTAAGTCGTTCCCTCTACAAAGGACTTCCTAGTGGGTGTGAAAGGCAGCGGTGGCCACAGAGGCGGCGGAGAGATGGCCTTCAGCGGTTCCCAGGCTCCCTACCTGAGTCCAGTGAGTTCCAGGGCTATGGGCACAGGGCTGCCTCAGCCAGAGGGACACAGCTCTGGGGCTCTGAGGAAGCAACTCCTGGGTGGCAGGGGATGGGGGTGGGGGCATCCCAAAGAGAACACAAGCAGGGCAGAAATATCAGAGGAGGTCATCCTGGCACACCTGTGCCGTGCTGAGCTCACTCATGCCTGGAGGGATGCTCCTTCCCACGAGTCATGGCTTTGACAGTGTTGACTGAGCTGTCCTGTCCTGTCCTGTCCTGTGTGCTCAGGGGAAGACATGTAGAGCGGGGTGGTTCATGTAAAGAGGAAGCAAGCACGCTTCTGGGACAGTAAGGACGCTACCCGGCATGGTAGTTAAGGGTGCTTACTGTGAAGGTGGCCTCCCTGGGTCCAGCTATTTACTGGCTGGTGGTCTCTGGGCCTCAGTTTCCATATCTGTGAAGTGGGAATAATACTTGAGCCCCCCACTCCCAGGGTTGGGATATGGATTAAGGAAGTAGTGTATCTAGTGTGTTTGAACAGTGCCTGACACACTGTAGGTGCTTTGGGAGTGTTTCATGTTATTGGGTGTCTGAGGGCAGCAGGGAAGACCTCCCGAGGAGGTGTCTGTGCTCTGAAGGTTGGGCATGGGCATGTTCAGGGCATCTGTGGAGGGGCAGTCTCAGAGGTGAGAGGGGGGTGAGGACTGTCCCTGCAGCGTGGGGTCAGAGGGCGGCAGGTGCCTTGCTGAAACCCTGTGAGGTTTATGAGTCCCCTTCATACACGGAAAATCTGAGGCTCAGGGAGGCAGAGGCCAGTTGCCAAATGCCTCCAGATGGGAGTGGCAGCCCCAGGAGCCCAGGAGACTTCAGGGGTCACTGTGTCCTGGGCCGGCTCCTGTCATAGGATCTCACCCCGCCTTGGCAAAGAGCTTCCCGAGGGGCTGGAGAGGGTGGGCTGATGGGTCCTTCCTGGGTGGGGAGGCAGGGTGGGGAGGGTGGGCAGAGGCAGGGTACTGAGGGAGGGAAGCTGCCATGGCCCACCTCAGCAGAGGCCAGGGTCGGGCTTGAGTGCCCCCTGGTGACACTGAGTCCAGAATGAGGCTGCCTACGTTCTGGTCTGCAGAGCTCGGCTCTGCTTTCTAAACTCCAGAGAGAAAGAATGGGGAAAGGAGGCCTGTTTCCTCCTGGCTGTCACCAATGACACCTCAGCCACCCTGTGGAGGCCCCTGAGGTAGGACCTGCACAGAGGGGGCTGGGGGAAGCTGGAACAGGCCGCTGGTGGGGGCCTTAGGGTCAGCAGGTGCTGCCTTGGGCATGTCACCCTGTCTCTGGTTTTCTGTCAAAGAGGGGATCCCAGAGCTTCTTCCAGGTTCTGACATATTATTATTCTGGTGACTGGTTTTTACTTTCTAATCCTTGGATTCAGAAGGAAAATTATCCTACGGACATCAGAGAGTTAAAACAGGGCCTTGGAGTCCAGACAAGAAAGATGATCAGTGCAGCCCCTATGGGTGTCCAGAGTACCCCTCTACCCCACGGGGGCTCCCCTGGGTTGGGACAATTAAGCCTCACTTGGTGACCCATCTGGCAGTCGGAGCCACGCTTCCTCCACATGCCGACAGTGGGGGAAGGTCACGCGGTTCGCTGTCCTGCTGAGGAGGGCTGAGTGCCATGAGGGCCTGGCTTGGAAACCTCACTCCCACTTCTTGTCTGGCCTCATCTAGCCCAGCCTCTTTGGAGGGCCTGGGGGAAGCTGGAACCACGTGCTGTGTGGTCCAGGAAGCACTGGGAGAGCCAGGAATAAGGATGTTCTCAGCTTACTCATGAGAGGAAGCCTGTGTGGTGGTTAGAAGCGTGGGTGCTGGGGTTCAAATCCCAGCTCTGTTGCTGACCAGTTGTGTAACTTTGAGCAAGTGACTGAACTTTTCTGTGCCTCAGTTTCCTCATCTGTAAAAGTGGCCGGGGTTGCTGTGAGGATAAATGTTCCTAGTCATGCCCAGAGCCCTCATGGACACACATGGATCCAAATGCCACAGCAGCCTTAGCTGGTCAACCTCAAAACAACACATTTGTTCTTACAGTGTTGGAGGTCAGAAGTCTAAAATCAAAGTGTCATGGAAGGTGGCCAGCAGGACCATGGAGCCTCTGAGGCAGCGGGGCACCTTGGCTAAGAGCCACGTACTGGCCTCCTGCTGGCACGCAGTCTTGGCCAGCCAGGCTGAGCTCCCCACTTCGGGGTCGGGCCTGGGTGTCCTCTGGTGATGCTGAGTCCAAAACAAGGCTGCCCACATTTTGGTTCACAGGGCTCAGCTCTGCTTTCTAGACTTCCAGATAAGAAGAGGAGGAAAAGTCCCCGGTCTCTGGGCACTATCAGGAACAGAGAGCAAGTCATGACTCAGCAGAGGGATCGATTTGTTCAATGCAAAGAGCTGCACTGTCATGTCTGACATGAGCCAGGGGCTCAGCACACGGAATCGCACCCAGTCCTCTCAGAACGCTGCCAGCCAGGGGCTCAGCACACAGCGTTGCACCCAGTCCTCTCCAGAACACTGTCGGGTGGTGTTACTGTCCTGCCATTCAGAGGAGGGAACTGGGGCACAGGCAGGTCAAGTGACTTGGCCAGTGTCAGAATTGCTAGTGTACAGAGCTGGGAGGCAAGCCCAGTCCCGTGGGACCATAAATCCAGTGTGAAAATCCATCCTCCTGCACCACATGGAACAAAAGCAGGTCCGGTTGTTTTCCTGGGTTTTCTGGACACACTTATCCAAATTCCACAGCAGCCTTGGCTGGCCAATCTTAAAACAACAAATTTGCTCTCTTAATGATTTTGAAGGTCAGATGTTAAAATCAATGTGTCAGCAAAGTTGTTTCCTTCTGGAGGCCCCAGGGGAAAATCTGTTTCTTTTCCTTTTCCATCTTCTAGAGGCTGCCTGCAGGCCTTGGCTTATGACCCCTCCTGCCATCTTTAAAACCAGCAGCTTTGGCTGGGCCCAGTGGCTCATGCCTATAATCCCAGCACTTTGAGAAGCCGAGGCAGGAGGATCTCCTTAATCCAGGAGTTTGAGACCAGCCTGGGCCACAAAGTGAGACCACGTCTCTACAAAAAATAGACAAACATTAGCCAGGTGTGGTGGTGCATGCCTGTAGTCCTAGCTACCTGGGAGGCGGAGGTGGGAGGGTCACGTGAGCCTGAGGAAGTGGAGGCTACAGTGAGCTGAGATCGCGTCAACACACTCCAGCCTGGCTGACAGAATGAGATCCTGTCTCAAAAAAAACAAAAAACAAAAAACGAAAACAAACAAAAACCCCCCAAAAACGCAAACCAGCTTCTTCTTGCTTCTGTGCTTCTGTTGTCACATCTCCTACCTCTGACACTGATCCTCCTGCCTTCCTTTTATAGGATCCTTGTGATCACATTGGGACCACCTTTAAAATCAGGACAATCTCCCCATGCCAAAATTACTAATTTAATCACATCTACAAAGTCCCTTCTACAACATATTCACAGTTTCCGGGGATTCGAATGTGGATGTTTCTGGGGGGTGGCCCACTGGTAACCAGTGTTATAAGTTTCTTATAAATCCTTCCAGATATATTTTATCTATAAATAAATAAATGCAAGTCCATAGACTTCCCCCACCCACTTTTTATACAAATGGCATCATTCCATATCAGTGCTCAGAGTTCTGTCTTCCTCTTTTTCTTTTCTTTTTAAGGCTACACAGAACCTATTAAATGGAAATACCCTAATTTATTTCACCTTTTTCCTGTCAGAGGACTTTTAAGCTCTTTCCAATGCTTTGCTTTATAATCCTTTGTGTTATAATGCTGCAATGAATAACCTTGTTTGTAGGATGATATTCAATTTAAAAACTCATTTTTCAGGCCAGGCATGATGGTTCATGCCTGAAATCTTGGCCCTTTGGGAGGCCGAGCCGGAAGGATCACTTGAGCTAGCCCAGGCAACACATAGAGACCCCATCTTTACAAAAAATATTGTAAGATTAGTGGGACATGGTGGCCTGCACCTATTTTGTCCCAGCTATTCGGGAGGTTGAGGCGGGAGGATTACTTGAGCCAGGGGGTGGAGGCTGCAGTGAACCATGATCACAGCCCTCACTGAACTCCAGCCTGGGCAACAGAGTGAGAACCCATCTCTAAATAAATAAATAAATAAATAAATAAATAAATAAATAAATAAATAATCTTGTTTTTCCGAATTTTGGGGGCACTATTTAAGATATTTTGAAACCTCACAGAGCTTTTTTGGGGAACTTGTTGCCTTGGAGATTAGCCTGTCCTGTCCCGCCCCCATGATCTGTACTTCCTCTTTCTCCCTCCTGGCTTCCTTAATTAAGCCTTGTGTGTACTTGCCAGCCCATGTCCATCACGCTCTGCCTTCAATTCTAGATGCTGTGCTGTGAATACACTTAAGTGGAGGCCGCATGCTTCCCAGGAGGGTGTGTATTTTCAGTGTTGTGTCTCATGATAGTATGAAAGGCTCTGGAGAGAATCACAGGCTTCCACAAACAGGCAAGGAGAAAAATGTTCCACAGACATGTTTCAGGGAAAACAGGCTTCCCAATCCTAGGCCGTGCTGGTCCATAATTGGATCAGGCTGACTCTCCTTCCCCTACACTGCTGGTGTAGACAGGGACAAGAATGAGAAGTCAGAGACACAGAGAAGCTGTGATTTGCTTGAGGTCACTAAAGTACTTAATGGCAGAGTTCAGACCTGACCTGAGGGGCAACAAAAGACACCCCCCTCAAATCCATGGGGAGCAGAGTCTAACTGAATCAGATCCCAGATTTCCTGGGGCTCTCACGGTGCCAGGTGTGTACACTGAGCTAGGATGGGTTTCCCAGGGTTCTGTGTGGTCACACAACTCAACAATACAGACCAGAAAGCAGTGGCAAGTAGGCTGAATTTGGCTGGTGGGTGTTTTCTGTTTGGCCTGCACAGTGTTTCTTTTAACGTTTTATTATAGGAAATTCAAACATGCAGAAGGAATTGTACCATCAACAACACACACCCATCACTCTGCTCCAACAATGATCAACTCAGGCCTATCTTGCTTCATCCTATACCCTCCCTCGCTTGCTTCCTTCCCACCCTCAGATATGTGGAAGCAAATCCAAAGATACCATTCCATTTCAAATATTTCATTTTGTATCTCTATAATATGGGAATTTGGGGGGTTTCAAGACAGGATTTCACTTTGTTGCCCAGGCTGGAGTACAGTGGTGTGATCATGGCTCACTGCAGCCTCCACCTCCCAGGCTCAAGGGATCCTCCCACCTCAGCCTCCCAAGTAACTAGAGTTAAAGGTGTGCACCACCACACCTAGCTATTTTTTTTTTATTTTTTGTAGAGATGGGGGTCCCATTACGTTGTTCAGGCTGGCCTCAAACTCCTGGGCTCAAGTGATCCTTCTGCCTCAGCCTCCCAAAGTGCTGGGATTATAGATGTGAGCCACTGTGCCCAGCCAGGAGCTTTTACATAATCCTTTTTGACAAATTTTCCCCCAAGAAATTAGAAAGTTTTATAGAAAAAAAAAATCCGGACTTCTGTCTTCTCTTAAAAATTTGGAAGCTCTGCCAATACTGGGCCCAGATGGCAATCACTGCTTAGCACGGAGTAGATGTTGACTTTTCAGATGAGGGGTGTGACATCTACTTTGCCACAGTCCCCACCACTCCCCCACCTGGCCATCTCACCCATACACATCACCTGCCTGGCTCCTTTAGGCATTTAATTTGTGTAGGAAATTGACCTAAAGGAGATATTAGAGAAGACATTAAAAACTTGAAGAATGTGAAAATCAGCCAGGAGATAGAACTGTGCTTTAATGCGGGTTATAGAACGACATTGGATATGAAGCATTTTGGGAATAAACTTTGAAAATTGGAAGTACCAGTTTGTGAATTTTGCTGAGAGAGATGAAGGTGGGGGGTGGGTGACAGTGGTGAAGCATCTCCTATGTGCCAGTCTCTTTTACCACAGGCTGTTTCTCACAAAATCATCAATCATATGCAGCAGGTGAAACACCTTCCTATTTTACAGATGAGGAAACTGAGGCACAGAGAGGTGAAATAGGCTTCCCAAGGTCACTCAGGTCATGAGCAGCAGAGCTAGGATTCAGACCTGGAGTTGGCCTGACTCTAAAACGATGCATGCCTCACCATGGCCCATCACTCCTTTAAAGAGCACCAGAAGAGAGAATTTGACAAAGTGGTTGCCCGTGGGGCCTGGGATGGGTGGGGAAACCACGCTAGGCCTCGGGGCTGCTGAGGGCCTGAGGGAAGGAATGGGGAGCCCGGGCACAGAAATAGAGGAGGGGGCTGCCCCACGGCTACAGAAGGCATCTGGGAAGACGCTCTGCTGAAGGTGGCCAGGAGGGCAAAGGTCACAGTGGCCATTGTTATATGGTGGTGGTGGGGAGAGGGGGATGGCTTCTTCTTAACCTCCTCGGGTGAGTCGAAGGTTTACCCTCCAGACCCTTGATGGGTCCCTTTGGTCCCTTGGGCTTCCTGAGTCTCCAGCCAGGGCCTGGGACCTTTGCTGGGAGCTTAGCATGGGGTCCAGCAGCCCCCATTGCTACCTAATTCCTTAGCAGCCCAGGGTGTCTGCCTGCTACTTCCCTGCCTGGAAGGAAGGCCTTCTGCCTGGTGCATTCCTGCTGCAGCCTCCACTGCCTCTTAGACTCTCACACAAGCTCAGCTCCCTGTCGCGTCCTCTCAGGGCCAGGCTTCTCCTTATCACAAGCTTAGACTGTCTGAGTAACTAATTGGATTTGTGTTTGCCTCCACACAGGACCCTAAGACCCGTGGGGCTGCGACTCCCTCTGTACTGGTCACAGCCGCACCCTATCCCCTTGCATGGGGCTGTCAAACCCAGGCTGGCCACTGACTAGCGCTGGAGGGGAGCAAACGGGAGGCCGGCCACCTGACTGATGTTCCCACACCTTCTCCCTGCAGGCTGTCCCCTTTTCTGGGACTATTCAAGGAGGTCTCCAGGACGGACTTCAGATCACTGTCAATGGGACCGTTCTCAGCTCCAGTGGAACCAGGTGTGTGTGTATATGGATGGAAACGTTTCACTCCAGCCTCGTCCCTTAGTAAACCACTGTGCCTGTGAGCCTGGGTTAGTTCAAACAGCAACATCCAAGCTCACGTGCCTGGCTCAGGGGAGGCCCAATGCGTCCCTAACCCATGCCACAGGGCAGCACTCCACAGGCACAACCTGCACCCAGGGGTGCCATTAACCTGGACTCCAGGATGAATGGGGCCCTGGGAGCTGACGGTCTAAGGAGGGCGTGGGATGGTCAGAGTTGGATGATTATGTTCTGGGTTGAACCTTGCACACTGTGACTAAGAGTTGCAAAAATCAAACTTCCTCCATTTCCCGTAACTGCTCTCATCCACTCTGAAGCTCTCCTTCTGCTGATGTGAAAATATTGAAAATTGCCATCAAAAGTAATTTGGTCTCTTTTGGTTTCAAGGCCTTTTCTAGAAACTACTAAGTCAATTCAACATACTAACATTGTATCAGGGCTGTTTCCCACCCCCTCCTCCCTCCCAAGGTGGGCTGTCTGGGAACAGAGAAGAGCTCACATGGCTTCTCAGTGGCTGGGAGGGCTCTAGACCCTCACTCAGGCCTGGCTGACCCCTGCCGAGGCACCCCGACCGGGTGGCACAGAGGTGTGCAGCTCTCTCCTGGTTTAGTGGGGGACCATGGGTGGCTGCCTGCTGAACTCTGCGGGGCCCACAGAAGAGCCTCTGGACTCATGACTCTCTCTCGGAAGCCTCTCTGCCTCAGTCCCAGGGGACCTCTCCTTAAGACCTTCTGGGCCTCACAGATCCCAGCTAAACCTCAGCTTGGACACCTAGATTCTTGGTGACCTCCTCCGCCATTGCCATCCTGCTGTGGGACTTCTCTGAGAGACTGCGGTGCCCTCAGGAGATGCCAAGGGCAGGGAGGCCCCGATCTCCCTGAACCCTCCAACCAGGGGAATCAGGACCATGACCCTGATCTTCCGCCCCTTCCTCTCTCCCTCTCCCTCCACCTCCCCCACCCCCCAGCACCAGGAGGGCTTCCCACTCCCATCCTGTCATATAGAGACAGATCCTACCTCAGAGGGCCCTCTCCTCTTGGGAGCTTTCTGTCTCTCCCTTCCTTGGGGCAGGAATTTCGAAAGGACTACAGGGATGAAGCTGAAGGACTCCAAAGGAAAAAATACATGCAGATATATTTCAAATGCAATCTTCTCCATTTATTCATTTAATTAATTAATTTTTTTCTTTTGAGACAGGGACTTTCTTTCACCCAGCCTGGAGTTCAGTGGTATGATCATAGCTCACTGCAGCCTCAAATTCCTGGGCTTGAGTGATCCTCCCATCTCAGCCTCCGGAGCAGCTGGGACTACAGGAGTGCACTATGATGCCCAGCTAATTATTATTATTATTATTTTGAGATGGAGTCTCGCTCTGCCACCAGGCTGGAGTGCTGTGGCGCTATCTGGGCTCACTACAACCTCCGCCTCCTGGGTTCAAGTGATTCTCCTGCCTCAGCCTCCTGAGTAGCTGGGACTACAGGCTCATGCCACCATGCCTGGCTCATTTTTTGTATTTTTAGTCGAGACGGGGTTTTACCATGTTGGCCAGGATGGTCTCGAACTCCAGACCTCGTGATCCACATGCCTCAGCCTCCCAAAGTGCTGGGATTACAGGCGTGAGCCATCATGCCCAGCCAATTTTTTTTTTTTTAACTAGAGATGAGCTCTCACTATGTTGCCCAGGCTGGTCTCAAACTCCTGGGCTCAAGTGGTCCACCCGCCTTGGCCTCTGCGCCCAGCCCCAATTTCACATGCTCTTTACATTTGTTCTCTTCTTTCCCATTTAATCAGGCATGTGCTGGCCTCCAACAAGTGTCCACTGGCACAGAAGGCTCTCTCTTCTAGGTGTGCTTAACAACTTCCATCTTCGGTATCAATTGGTAATCACTTTCCAAGACCTATGTTTCTTGTTTGCTAATACCAGCACTTTTCCTTAACCGTTTTCTATTTGCTTTTAGCAAATCATGCTGTAAAGGCAAAATCCAATAATTAAAACAAAAACACATTAGATCCCAATTAGAAAAACAAAAACGATGCCAACAAAGCAGTCTCTGCCATACAGGTTGTGTGCAAGATCCAGACAAATGCAAAGCACAGGCGCCGAGGCCCTCCTGTGCCTGTCACTGGCAATAATCCATGCCACAGAAGACTATTTGCTTTCCCTGGGCCTAGGTTTGCTGTGAACTTTCAGACTGGCTTCAGTGGAAATGACATTGCCTTCCACTTCAACCCTCGGTTTGAAGATGGAGGGTACGTGGTGTGCAACACGAGGCAGAACGGAAGCTGGGGGCCCGAGGAGAGGAAGACACACATGCCTTTCCAGAAGGGGATGCCCTTTGACCTCTGCTTCCTGGTGCAGAGCTCAGATTTCAAGGTGAGCAAGAATCCCCTCCCCACCTCTCACCCCTGGGACCCCCAGCCCTATCAGGTGAATGGCCTTTAAGTAATCACCTAAATTGACATTCAGCCAGAGTGACACCACTATACAGATAACACGCTCATTTCCTTGTGAGGTGTTACCCATGGCTGCCTAGTCTCCTTATGCACCTTCATCTGAATCTACAGGTGCACCTGCTGCTTCTTTTACTCTGAAAATAAGAACTAGAGGAGTCATCACGTTGCTATTTGGTGTTGTGTGTCTTTGAATTCCAAGCTCATTCCATTCCTCTGCTATAGCCATTCCTCCTCTCCAGGTCACTGGTAACATTTATTTTTCAGCGACATCGTTCCAGCCTTTATCCAGGGTCTATTAAGGGTATAGTTTTGTAAGCACATTGCAAATTACCCTTGCAAGCAGAGTAGGTCTCTGGGCTTGAGAAGCCTGTGGGTAAGTCAGTCCAAGTATGCTTATCTGAGATAAGGATGTCCCCATTCGTTCAGTATGCAACCTGAGGTCACCTCTCCTCTGCTCCCCATGAGCATTTTATGCATATATAAATAATACCGCTGCAGCCATAAAAAGGAATGAGATCATGTCCTTTGCAGGAACATGGATGGAGCTGGAAGCCTTTATCCTTAAACTAACGCAGGAGCAGAAAACCAAACACCACATGTTCTTACTTATAAGTAGGAGCTGAACGATGAGAACACATGGACAAAATGGGGGGAAACAACACACCCTTGGGCCTGGTCGGAGAGGGAGAGCATCAGGAAGATTAGCTAATGGATGCTGGGCTTGATACCAAGGTGATGGGTTGATCTCTGCAGCAAACCACCATGGCACCCGTTTACCTAGTTAACAAATCTGCACATCCTGTACTTGCACCCTGGAACTTAAAATCAAAGTTGAAGGGGATGGAAATGGCAGATCACGCCTATAATCTCAGCACTTTGGGAGGCTGAGGAGGGCGGATCGCTTCAGGTCAGGAGTCCAAGACCAGCCTGGCCAACATGGTGAAACCCCATCTCTACTAAAAATACAAAAATTAGCTGGGTATGGTGGTGGGCTCCTGTAATCCCAGCTACTCGGGAGGCTGAGGCACGAGAATCACTTGACCCACTGCACTCCAGCCTGGGCGACAGACTGACATTCCATCTCAAAAAACAAAAAAAAACAGTTGAAGGAAAAATAAATAATTAATAAATGAAACCCCAGGTGAGCTAAGACTAGAAAGACAAACCTACTGCAGGAAACAACCAGAAGAACGAAAAGTCCAACTGGAGCCTGGTAGAGACTCGGGTTGATGCACTTTGGGTCACACACACGTTCCTGTAACTGGCCCCACACTGAAGACCAGACTCAGGTCTTCATTTTCTAGAAAGAGGGTCCAGGAGCTCAGGGGTGGTCCCCATCCCAGCCTGGGATGCCTCCCCCAGAACATGTGCTCTCCTCTGGCAGGTGATGGTGAACGGGATCCTCTTCGTGCAGTACTTCCACCGCGTGCCCTTCCACCGTGTGGACACCATCTCCGTCAATGGCTCTGTGCAGCTGTCCTACATCAGCTTCCAGGTCAGACTGTCCACCTGGCACCGGTCCCAGGGGCTGGGATGCAGGGCCCAGCGTAGCTGTGTCTAAGCCCTGCTGGGTGGGCCCAAGCCAATCTCCTACCCAGGTCACTCTGGGGACAACCTCTGCTTCCCTGTCCCAGTACCTGCCCGCCCCTTCTCCTCTGTCACTCTGCCCCTCCTTCTGTGTTACTGTCTCTGTCCGGAACACCTGCCTTGGTCTCCCAGACTCCTCAGCTGCCCCTTTCTCTTCATCCCTCAGTTTCCATCCTGGTAAGGAGGGCATATTGTTCTAGAAAGAGCCCAGGCTCAAGAACCAAACTGAATCCAGTTCAAATTCCCAGCTCTGCCATTCATCATCTGTGGGATCTTAGACAAGCAACTTCACCTCTCTCAGCCTTGGTTTCTTCATCTGTAGAATGGTCATTGCCTGCCCCCCATGGGTGGTTGTGTGGTTCAGTGAGGAGACAGATATCAGAGGTCACACAGTGGCCCCCCTGGGCCCACACCAGGGTCTGTTTGACCTCTGTGTTTTAACAACTTTGAATGTGTTGCCAACATCTAAAAGGTCAGGAGAGTCAGGTATGGTGGTGGAGGTCTGCAGTCCTGGCTACTCAAGAGGCTGAGGTGGGAGAATTGCTTGAGCCCAGGAATTAGAGTTCTGTCTGGGCAAAACAGCAAGACCCTGTCTCCAAAAAACTTTGTTTAAATAATAAAATAAAATAAATAAAACTAAATAAGGTCAGGAGATACCAATACCATGTGAAAAATGGGAAGATTAGGGTATGCTGGGCCCACATTCCCACAGGGCACCAGCAGCTGGGTGGGAGCTGCTGTTACCCTTTTGGCATTCGAGGCTGCTCCCTGAGATCAGCGAAGCACACAGTAGGCCCTCAGCAAATCTGGGCTTCTCGCCCTTTGGTCCTCATCTCTCATTCCCTCCTTCCCTGACTCTCTCCCCTGCGGGTGGTAGGGGAGGGAAGAGCTGGAGGGAGACCGCACCCCTGCACTGCTCACCAGAGCCTGGCTCTTTCCCATCCCATCTTGGCAGGGCCCTAACCCCCTTGCCTCATCGCCCTGCCTGCCTGGTCTCTCCCTCTTGCCCCTGCCTCTGCCTTTCGGCTTCTCCTTGGCTCTATTAATGCTTCTCCTCACTGCCCGGTGCCTTTTGTTTTAACAGAACCCCCGCACAGTCCCTGTTCAGCCTGCCTTCTCCACGGTGCCGTTCTCCCAGCCTGTCTGTTTCCCACCCAGGCCCAGGGGGCGCAGACAAAAAGTGAGTTCAACACAGAGGCCCTGGGTGGCCGAGCAGACAGTAGGAAGGACCGAGGGTCTGAGAGGCTGGCCCCAGCCAGCAGGCCACTCAGGGCCTACAGGCCGCATCTTGCCCACCCAAGAGTTCCCTGTCTCTGTCCGCTGGGCACCCAGAGCTGGGGACCTGGGGGTCACCCTGGATTCTTCACTCCCTCTTCTTTACGTCTCTCCAAGGCACGAACGTGTCTCCCTCCTGAAGCCACCGATGTGGTCCAGGCCTCTGGGATTCCTCACCATGACGACAGGGGTCCAGTTCCCCACCCCCTACACCCAACCACTGCCACAGTGACCTTCTTATAAGCAAATGTGATCACACCCTCTCCCTGCTTAAAAATCTTCACAGCCCCCAGCCCTTCAAATAAAGCCCAAATTCTCCAGCAGGGTATATGAATTCCTCCCCAGTCTGCCCCAATCCACGTCCCTGCCTCACCCCCAACCCACGAAGCTCACGCAGCCTCTGCAGCTCACTCAAGGCCCTCTTGGGCCACCATGCTTTTGCATATGCTGTCCCTGGTCCCGGAAGCACCCTCTGCCAGCCTGCCTCGAGCACATGCCTAATTGCCCTTCCATGCTCTGCCTAAGTGCCGCTCCTCTGGGAGTCCTCCCCGCCTGGAATATTGTTGGACGCTCCCCTGGTGTCCCCACAGAGTCTGTATGTATCTGTGCCATGCCAGTTCACAGCACCCCATTGTAACTGTATTTGCGTGTCTGTCCCCGTTACTCCACCCCCATGTCCCTATGCCCATGAGGCCCCAGAGGGCCAGGACTGTGGCTTGTTCATTTGCACTGTGCCTGGCACTCAGTAGGGACTCAGTGAATGAATGTGGAATGTGGTTCACACAGCCAGGGAGAATGGGATACCAGCCAGGGCAAGAACAGTCTACTGGGTGGGGCAGGATCCAGGACAAGGAGGTGAGCAGCCCTTCCTCCGGCCACTCAAGTAGTGGGGACTGGGAGGAGGGGCGCTTTGTCTACGCAGTCTTCTTATGGCTCATCACCGTACAGACAGGGCACCTGCCTCCTGCCACGCTGACTTCAGGACTGGTCGAGCCCCAGGGAACATTTGCAGGGCAGCCCAACTTTGGCCCTGGCCCTGGCGCTGGCCCTGGCTCTGGGGAGGATAGAAAGTGTGCTGGATACAGTCAGACAGAACTGGCTGCCACTTTGGATTTGATCCCTTCCACCTTGGCAAGCTTGGGCAAGTTGCTTAATCTTTCTGAGCCTCGTTGCCTCACTAGGGACACAGGAGCTGAGGCTGCTTCCCTTGTTGGAAAGCACTGAAGCCCAGGAATCGACCCACAATAGGCCTTCAACAAATACCACTTCTCACCTTATGGGTGAAATATGGCACTGGAAGTAATGCTCTTCGCTGTGGGAGCTACAGAAAGCAATGAGGTCTCTATCAAACCCAGTCTCCTCTCTCTCGAGAGGAACCAGTGGGGATACCCTACCCCCCAACCCCAAAGCCCTGTACACCTGGGGGTAAAAATCTGGGTGCCACGGGCTCAGGAAGGCTTGCTTGGGAGCAAGAGGGAGGTGGGTGTGTCCGGGGAGGCATTTCTGAGCACAAGAGCCTCCCTGGAGTTTTGCCACCATCTCCTCCCATTCTGTGGTGCCCGCGATAACCACCATTCTGACTCTCCTCACCCCTCCAGCCTCCCGGCGTGTGGCCTGCCAACCCGGCTCCCATTGTAAGTCTCTTGCTTTCTTTTTGGATCGTCCTCATTTTGGCTTTTCTGGGCTCATGGAGGAGGCAGGGCCAGGCATTGGGCCTCTCCCATTGGGAGTGGGGAGGGCACAGACCAGACCCTTGACCATCTGCCCGGCCTGGTGAGGTTGGGGGTTGGATGTGGGGGTTGGATGAAACAACCTGAGTTGCCACCCCGTGGGCAGCCACGGAAGACCATGCCCCACATTCACTTCTGTCACCTGCAAAGGGAGGCTAGGCTGAGAGACGTTTCCCCGAGAGGAAAGATGGGCCAGAGCCACCAGCGTCCCCATCTGTCTTCTCCAGGGTTCTAACCTTTGCCCCTCGCTCATCCCCTTGAGAGAAGAGACACCTGGGCCCACCCTCTGTGGGGTCTGTGGGGCCATTGGGCTTGTTACGCCCCCTGGAGGGTGCCTGCCGTGTGGCGCCCTCTGGTGGGAGCTGGTGGTTTTCACACGTGAGAGCCTGGGTGAGACCTGGTTTCTTTCTTCCAGACCCAGACAGTCATCCACACAGTGCAGAGCGCCCCTGGACAGATGTTCTCTGTAAGTCTACAAGTTCTGGTCAGTTCACAGCTGCACAGTGTCCTCCTTCACCAAAAACTAAACTCCCTAGAGCCCTAGAGTCGGGAAGAAAGCGGTTTAGCAAGGAGGATGGGGACACTAGGGGCTGAGTGCTTGGCTCAGGTGACATGTGGCTAAAGCTGTCCTTGGGACAGCAGAGATTCTGGAAGAAGCAGGGTTTATCCAGTGGTGGAAGAGACAAGTCCCCTAGAGACCGGGAGGGAAACTGGTCCATCTGTCACCAAGTGGGGAGTACAGTGGCCCCAGCACCCGGATGTGAGGTTCCTGGCCCTGCATCCTGGGTCCCCAGGATGTCACTATTGATCACAGGCTTAAGCTCTTCTCCTGATGGTGCAAATGAGGCAGGGGGGCTTAGAATTAGTGGGGCTGCCTGCGGAGGGGTTGAGGGGCAGGTGACCGTGGTGTGGTCTGGGAACACGGCAGGAAGTTCCAGGAAGGCTAACATGAAAAGGGAGGTAGACGGGCGAGTCCAAGGGCCAAAGGCTCACGAGGTCAGCCTCACAGTGGAGTCCTCTCTAGAACGCGTGGGTGCGCCTGGGTGAGTGCTCGCGCACCCATGTGCTCTCCCATTGAATTTCCTGGTTTCTTTTCAACAGACTCCCGCCATCCCACCTATGATGTACCCCCACCCCGCCTATGTAAGTGGTTTCTCAGGGAGGGCAGAGGTTCTGTTTGTGGTGGGCAGGCTGGGGGTGAAGGGCCGCTGTGGGGGGATCCACTGGCCTTGAAAAATTAAAAGCAGTCATTTGTTAAGCTGAAGGGCTTCAAAGCATCCCAGCGAATTAGAAGGCTGTGGAGAGGAGCTTTCAACCTTAAAACTGTCGTGTCAATATGAGCACATTGCATGTCCCTCCCTTTTCACCCCACGAAACGAGTCTTTTTGTGTTTGGCCAAAGTTCCTTTCATGACACTAATCTAAGCCCATTAATTTGAGGAGCACTGGAAAGTTTTCCTTTGGCTTTTATGGAACCAAGTAAAGATATCATGGGCTTCTTCTCAGCTGACAGCCCAAATTCATGGGAACTGGTACAATCTTCCCCTTCCGCGTGGTGGCTGACCTGTCCCCCTTCTTCCGACAGCCGATGCCTTTCATCACCACCATTCTGGGAGGGCTGTACCCATCCAAGTCCATCCTCCTGTCAGGCACTGTCCTGCCCAGTGCTCAGAGGTAAGCCAAGGGCTCCAGTGACCTCTGGGAAGAGAGAGCCCTTCAAGGTCAGTCCAGCCATTCCCCTGGCTTCAGGAAGGCTACTGATGATGGGGAGGAAATGGGACTCAGAATTCGGTGGATAAAGGTTCAGGTGGGCTGCCCACCCCAGGTTCCACATCAACCTGTGCTCTGGGAACCACATCGCCTTCCACCTGAACCCCCGTTTTGATGAGAATGCTGTGGTCCGCAACACCCAGATCGACAACTCCTGGGGGTCTGAGGAGCGAAGTCTGCCCCGAAAAATGCCCTTCGTCCGTGGCCAGAGCTTCTCAGTAAGGCACCGCAGTCTGGAGCTTGGAGAGGCTCCCATGGGTGCACAGGGGGAGGGGGTAAAGGAGGTTTGAGGTACCTTGAACAGTATGGGGGCTGATTCCTCTGGGATGAAGGCCCAAAAGAAGAGAAGGTGGCCAACAAATTATTATTATTATTACTGTCCCGCATGAAGGAAGTGCTGGGATCTGCTTTTTCAGATGAGGAAACAAACTCACAAGTGCAGGTTACTTGCTTGTGGTCACACAGTCAGTAAGTGTCAAATCAGACCCAAGAAGGAGGTGTTATTCATTTCTTCATTTACTCAACAACCATTTTCTTGTCGCCTGCTTTGCGCAGGAAGCACCCCACATGCTGGGGGCACAGTCATGAAGCACACAGACAGGGTCCTGCCTCCAGGGAGTTTATAATTTAGGTGGGGAAAGAACAAGGAAAGTAAAGCATGGACAGATTGTCACAGATAACGACAGTGCCACGCACAAAGCAAAACAGAGCGATGAGATAGAGCGAGCCTGGGAGGGGCAGCTAGGGCCAACGTGCAGAGGCACGGGTGTGGCCTGTCCAGGAACAGCAGGCAGGCGTGCTCCACCCTGACTACATATTCAAATCACCCAGAGAGCTTACAAAGGAAATATCAGTGCTGGGACCCCAGCCCAGGCCAATGAGGCAGTCAGCTGGGCATTCGTATTTTAAAAATATGCCTTAAGTGATTATACTCTGCAGTCAGAGTTGAAAATGACTGATGTAGGGCTTTGCAGCCATGGAAAGGAGCTTGGATTTTAACACAGTGAAAAGCCTCAGGAGTGTTTCAAGCCAGGGAGCAACATACTTTGATTTGTAGACAGCTGTGTGACCTCGGACAAGTGACTTAATTATTCTGTGCTTCAGTTTCCTCATCTACAAAATGGAGCTAATAATCATGAATTTCCTAGAGTTGTAAGAATGGAATGAGACAGTATCTGTAGTATGCTTAGGACAGTGCCTGGCAGGTGGCATGTGTGATAGGAGTGTTAGCTATTGCAAAGGGAAGGAGGTTTTAACATTTGTACCCTGACTGCTTCGTGGAGAAGGCATTGGGGTGGAAAAGACAAGTTAGGAGACTGATGCTGCAGGAGCCCAGGCCCAGAGCACTCCTGTGTGCTGGGCCTGAGGGATACAGACGGCACAGGCCAGTGCTCCTGTCCCTGATGGGGTGGGAACAGTATTCTAGACCAGGGAACAGTACAGGGGAAAGAGCACGCACAGCCTGTTTAGTGAAGAGCCGTCGTTCAGTGGGGATAGAGTGCAGGTGAGGGGCTTATTAACAACTGAGGAGGGAGGGAGGGTGGGAGGGAGGGAGAGAGGAGGCTGCAGTGAGGGTGGAGGACTTCCCAAGTGTAGTGCAAACGGCATGATCTCTGCACAGGTGTGGATCTTGTGTGAAGCTCACTGCCTCAAGGTGGCCGTGGATGGTCAGCACCTGTTTGAATACTACCATCGCCTGAGGAACCTGCCCACCATCAACAGACTGGAAGTGGGGGGCGACATCCAGCTGACCCATGTGCAGACATAGGCGGCTTCCTGGCCCTGGGGCCGGGGGCTGGGGTGTGGGGCAGTCTGGGTCCTCTCATCATCCCCACTTCCCAGGCCCAGCCTTTCCAACCCTGCCTGGGATCTGGGCTTTAATGCAGAGGCCATGTCCTTGTCTGGTCCTGCTTCTGGCTACAGCCACCCTGGAACGGAGAAGGCAGCTGACGGGGATTGCCTTCCTCAGCCGCAGCAGCACCTGGGGCTCCAGCTGCTGGAATCCTACCATCCCAGGAGGCAGGCACAGCCAGGGAGAGGGGAGGAGTGGGCAGTGAAGATGAAGCCCCATGCTCAGTCCCCTCCCATCCCCCACGCAGCTCCACCCCAGTCCCAAGCCACCAGCTGTCTGCTCCTGGTGGGAGGTGGCCTCCTCAGCCCCTCCTCTCTGACCTTTAACCTCACTCTCACCTTGCACCGTGCACCAACCCTTCACCCCTCCTGGAAAGCAGGCCTGATGGCTTCCCACTGGCCTCCACCACCTGACCAGAGTGTTCTCTTCAGAGGACTGGCTCCTTTCCCAGTGTCCTTAAAATAAAGAAATGAAAATGCTTGTTGGCACATTCATGTGGGTTGACCATGGCTTCTTTAATTCATTTGGAGACATTTTGGAGTCTGTGGAATCGGGCGGGGGTGCTGCTGAGAGGAGTGGGATGGGAAAGCATGGACTCCCTTTGGGCAGGGGGTCCTGACCTCACACCTCCTCCCAGAGGGTCTCTTGCAAATCCCACGAGGGTGTTGGAGAAAGCAGGCTGGGGCTCTAGCCTTTTGGGCAGGAGTCTCGGACACAGGAAGGGTGGTAATGGGGGACACCAGGAAACAGCCCCATGCCTCCGAGATGGGAGAGGGGCTGGGGCAGAGCCTGTGAGGGCCACAGCAGGGTCAGAGCTGCCTCCTCAGACCTGGCGTCCCAGTGGGAGGAGGTGGCTTGGGGAGGGGGGTCAGGAGAAGCTGATCCGAAGCACCGTCTGGGTGTGTGTTCCATTGTGGGTCTCCCCGGCATTAGGGGTTAGGGCTTGCGTGGGAAAAGTGGCTCAGTGTTCATGTGTGGGGTTCTGCCAGCCACTGGGCCACTGCCCAACAGCCCAGCTCCGCGTCCACGTGATGCCAACACATCCTGCTTGGCTCAGCAAGAATCCAGTTCCTCAGGCCCCAGTGTAGTCCTCGGAGCTGGCAGCACCAGCAGCAACTGGGAGCTTGTTGGAAACGCGGCATCCCGCGCACCGCCCCCCTGCCCCGTGACACACACACATACCTACCTGAGAGATCAGAGCCTTCGTTTTCACAACACCCCAGGTGAGACACACACATTAAAGCTGAGAAGCCGGCTGGGCATGGTGGCTCACGCCTGTAATCCCAGCACTTTGGGAGGCCGAGACAGGCAGATCATCTGAGGTCTGGAGTTTGTGACCAGTCTGGCTAACATGACAAAACCCCGTCTCTACTAAAAATAATAATAATTTAAAAAAAGTAGCCGGGTGTGGTGGCGGGCACCTGTAATCCCAGCTACTCGGGAGGCTGAGGGGGGAGAATCGCTTGAACCCAGGAGGCAGATGTTGCATTGAGCCAATAATGCGCCATTGCACTCCAGCCTGGGTGACAAGAGTGAAATTCCGTCTCAAAATTAAAAACAAAACAAAACAACAACAACAACAAAAACACAAACCTGAGAAGCCCCGGTCCGGGAGCGGACTCCTGGCTGTGTTGCTGAGATGCACGGCTGTCGCGCAGGGCACAGAGCTTTTCTGGAGCCTGAGGTTGACACTACACCTTCTCCTGCCACCTGAGACTCTGCTGCTAGAAGAGGGAGGGGAGAGAGAGGGGCGAAGTCGGCTAGGGCGGCCAGGAGGCAGACACCAAACCCGAGCTGGGAGCCGTGTGTTGCTAGGACCCCAGCGTCCCCTGCTGAGCTCCTTCCTTGGTTCTGACCAGGAGAAGGAAATGGGGCTCAGTCTCTTAAGAAGCCTTCCTTGGCCAGCTCCAAACCCGGGAGGGTCCCCAATCCCTCAGACGAGGATGCTGTGGCCCACACTTGCCTCGACATGTTGCCTTCCCAGGGACCACATCCGTATGAGACAAACTCACATGGGACAGGTGGCCCCAGAGCAAAACGCTAAGACAGTGTCTAAGAAGAAGCTCAAGGCCTTCCCAGAAGCGCTGGCCTCATGTGAGAATCCCACCCACGCCAGACCCCGTTTCAGATCCTTTGTGAGGGAGGCAGGCCTGTGCCCCCTGCCCTACCACAGGTCTTTGGACAAGCAACGAAGCTCCATCTTCTGCTGTCACACCTGGCAGCCATTTCAGAGGAGCCATGGCCTGCCTGGGTTGTCCCTCTGTGGGGGATCTGTCCAGGCTGCGACACCCACCAGCTCCCCACTCTGTATAACTGAGGGCCACATTCCCTACAAAACAGCCCCCAACCCCCCTCCCCCGCCACACACACATACAGTGTGATTAAAGTAAAATGCAATTCATGTAAATATCTCCATCAAGGAATCATACAGGGAAGACCCAAGTGGCCGTTGGGAACAGACTGGGTGTTAGTTTTTTAAATACAGAGGCATAAATAACTGTACACAAGGCAGTTAAATACACAGTGGTGTGACAGCACCTCCTGGTGGTCACTTGAAGTGGTGCACTCAGCAGCGGGTTCCATCTTTCACCCACTTGCCAGGCCTGGCGTTGAAGATTTCGTCTCCAAGGGACCAGGAAGGCCCCAGCTTGAGAGAGGAGGCTCTGATCAATCCAGGGTGCTACTTGGTAGGAGGTCAAGTAAAGGGCTTGATGGGGAATGAAGTGAAAAAATAAGATGTGAGGCTGGGGGATATCACTTTCCTCCATCTCCCCAGGCCCTGTGACCTCGGATAATGCAGAGCTGGCTCCGTGGTTAAGTTCTGTGCCGGCAGCTTTAACCCCTCCTACGGGCCGTCAGAGCGCTGACATCTCCAGGCTCCTGGGCTGCACTGCCGCCTTGTCTGCTTGTAGGGAAATACAGCACCAAAGATATCTTCGTGATAGCACTTCTGGCTCTTTTAGGTGGAAACAGAGACCAAAGTGTCAAGTCCAGGCTGGGATGAGCCCCCGGGGTTGCCCAGCTTCCCTATCACATGGACCTCCATGAGCCATCTGTCTTCCCAACTGTCATACTAAGATTGTGCTTGAATCTGGTTTAGACTCTAACGGCCCTCAGCACCTGCTCTGGTGCGGGCCCTCTAACCATCTCCAAAGCTTTACTTAGCATACCCATTTCCTGCCCAGCACTCATCCCCCACCCAAGATACTCCAGGAGGTGTGAGCTCTGAGATAAATATGTTTGGGAAATGCCACATCCTTTCTTTCCTTCCAGCCTTGAAGGGTCCTGATGAGCAGCAGCATGCTGAAGGCTTCCAGAAGTCTTGTAGTAAAGCAACGTGTTTGCCTTGCCTTAACTAAGCATGTCCCAGGCTATTCGACCTTGGAACCTTTTTGATGCCAACTGTCTACCGACCCATTCAACGCATTTGGGGAAATGCCTGTTATCTCCTCACTGTTCTTCAAACACACCAGCTTAACTCCCACCCCCGGGGCCTTTGTACCTGCTGCCCCTCCAGAACAGCCCAGAGTGTTTCCTTCAGTATCCACAGGGCTCCTCCTCACCATCTCAGGTTTATTCTCAGATGCCGCCTTCCAGCTCCGCCTTCCCTGGCCACCCTATTTAAAATTACACTCCCCAGCGTTCTCTGGGCTGTTTCCTGCTGTTTTTCTCTGAAGCACTACAGCTCTTCCTTGTTTGGGTTTGTCAGCCCCAGTAGAATGTAAAGAATTTTTGCCTGATTCATTTACTGCTCTATCCCTAGCACATAGTAGGTGCTCAAAAAATGTTTGGTTGAACGTACGAATGTGTCTTAGGGAGAGTATGGAAGTGACAATCACAGGCTTTGGTACCACAGAGAGGCAGACTGAGCTCTAGGCTTTCATATTCACTGCTGTGGTCCCCGTAGGCCCCCTTCCCTCTGCAAAATGGGGTGCCTCCCTCACAAAATCCTCGGCAGCACTGAACAAAATGTCACAGCAGAATCTTTGGCAAGTAGTATGCCCAGTGTAAGCCCTTGATAAATATCACTATTATCTTCATCAATAAAATGCAAGCCCTTCCTGCTGGGGGGATGAGGGTGAGCAGACGCCAGCCTGGGTGTAAATAAGAAGTGTGAGGTTCACACGAGGCTGACAAGGGGCAGCCTTGCTCTCCCCTGTGTTCACAGCCTTGCTTTGGCCACACAGATACTTTCTGAAAGGGGGGTTTGGGGAGAGGCCAGGGAGACTCTCCTGCCCCCATTCTACAGATGGAAAAATGGAACACATTCCCCCGACTTCTCAAAGCTGCCAACTGGTCCAGGATGTGCAGTAGGGCCTTCTGACAGCCCACCCAGCTCAGATCTCAGCCACTGCTAAGATTCTCTTGGGGCCCAGAACTTTTCTGGGCCTGACTCCCCTGGGTCTACCTGCCACCCCTGGTCCTGGCTCCAACGGCCTGTGCCCTTGGCCGGCACCTTCAGCCCACACACCCACTACTATACCTTGAGCTGAAAGAAATAGTCCTCGACCTGCTCCTCATTCAATTTCAGCTTGGCAGCCACCAGCTGCTTCAGGGTGTGGGCCACATCCCAGGCCATGCGCATATCCCAGCAAACATAGAGGTGGCCTGGCTCCTCGTGGAGTACACGGAGCACCTTGCTGGCCAGCTGCTGCTGCAGGATGTCCTGAACATCGACCTGAAACCAGAGGAAGTGGTGGGTTCAGTCCCCAGCTGCTGGGGACAAGGCTTGCAGGCAGGCCTGCTGTCCTCAGGGAAGTGGGGAGAGGGCACTAAGGGGTGAGGAGTGAGTCCCCTCCCAGCCAGGACCTTGCATGGGGCCAGGCTTAGGATGAGGCGCACAGATGCCCCTGGGGCTGGGCTGGGATTAGAGAGATAAATGCTGGACACAGTCCTGCCCTCGAGGGGCTGACCATCCAGTGGGGATCCCAGACTGTCTCTGAATTTGCCATGCCTCAAAGAAGCATCAGTGAAGCCAGTCCCCCTGCCCAGGGCTCTGTCTATACTCTGGAAAAGGTAGCCTCTCAATGCAGACTGTCCATCAGGTCCCTGCAGGGTACGGATCCCGGGCTTCGCAGTTAGAAGGTCCAGGAGTCAGTCGGGGACTCTCTGCTCCTGCTCCACACAGGATGCCCAGTGGCCCCAGCACTGGGCACAGAGCACTGGACCCGAGAGGTGCCCTGATGGGACAAATGTGTGAGGACCGAGAGTCTGTTCTGACACCTCCGGCTCAGGAGACAACGCGGCCCTGGGGGCAGCAGAGCCTGTCTGAGGGCCGTGGTGGAAGCGTTGGCCGCCCTCCAGTCTTGCTGGGCTTGACACAGCCAGCCTGGATCACCTCTCCCTGGGCAGTCGCATGTCCCAGGGGTCCTGCTGGGGACCTTCAGCAGGCTAAGCTCTGGGCTTAACCCGCGTGTGACCTAGGTTAGTCCTGAACCTCTCCGGGCCTGTCGCTTATGCTGTATGAGAGGGTGTAACGCTCTTCATAGCATCACTCTGATGGTTGTGAACTACCTGCATTTTAGAGCTCAAGAGCTGAAGTCTCAGGGAGGCGAGGGGCCCGTGGGGACCCAGGGCTCATACTGAAGCCTGTGTGTGTAATGGCTTCACCAGCTTTTAGGCTGCATTTACCTTAGCTTGCCAGGCAGGAGGGAATAGGCGTGTGCACCGCATGCAGCACCCGCTTCCGGGTCATCTCTAGCATCTCCTCCCGGTAGGTGGCGGTCCTCATCTGGGCGGCGGCACCAGAAGACCAGGGTCCTGCGGCCTTCCAGCACTACTGCCGGGAGTCCCGGGCTGTTGTTATCATGTTGGCCACCAGAGGGCGCAACGGCTCCAAGCCCAACTGGAATTCTCACTTAACTCCCACAAGTATCCTAGCTAGTTAATAGCATTATCCCCACTTTACAGATGAGGAAACTGAGGCCCAGGGCATTCAGATCACTCATCCATAGTCACACAACTGAAAATGCAGATGCGGGATTCCCTCAGCCCATCGGAGCTCAAAAGCAAGGACTTTCCCATTATCCCCACTACCAGGAGAGGGAGCCCCGGCTCCGGTGCCGGAGACGTGAAGGCGGCCATTCTAACCCACAAAGGCCCGCACAGGGAGGCAAACTTGGGAGATCTTCCCTCCAGAGAGGTCCAGGAACCGTTCGTGGGGCTGCGGTTCTGATTCTAGGCAGGCGCTGCCCCTGGTGCCCCTGCCACCTGGGAAGCCTCCAGCCTTACCCTTCCGCTGGGAGTCATGGAGCCGCTGCTGCCAGAAACTGTGGAAGGGAGCGATACCTGTGCCAGGCCTGACAAGGATGCGAGGATGGGAGGGATCCTCGGGGAGGTGGAAGCCGCTGACACGGAAGAGGACAGGAGAAGAGGGGGCCAGTCCTCAGACACCCCAGGCCCACGCACACACAGGATGGCTGGGGAGCTGGGCCTGTGGGGGGTGGTCGTGAGGAGATGGAGAGGACAAGAAGCTCCTATTTGATTTCCCATGTCCTGCAGGCTGCTTCACTTCTGTCCAGGCACCAGCACCTCCCCCAGGTCCTTCTGAAAAAGGGCCATGCTCACTGGACTCTGGGCCCCTCCAGCACTGTTGTCATCGTTGTCCCTGCTAGAGACAGGCACACCAGTGTGACCCCAGTGTCTTCTTTATGGGCCACGGGGCCCCCGAGTGGCACCTAAACCCCAGATCCCTCCCTTTCCTCCCGGAACCCCCAGGGGTCGGCGGTCCCACAGGGGACAGAGTGGAAGGGGTGCTTACTTCCGCACAAAGCAGGGCACTGGGTTTTGAGGCTTCAGTTGTTGAGCCATGTGCTGCAGACGCCGTGGTGCAGGGGACCCTGGCCATCTGCTACGATACCACAAAGTGACCAATGTCCCCTACTGCCCATGTGCAAACTGTACCAGCTGCTCCGCCCACACCACGGCCTCCTTGGACGCCCCCACTCAGGCACTCTCAGGACTCAATGAGCAGCTGTTTGTTCTGGTTCTGAGATCCACCCTCTGTAAGCGCGGAGCTGAGGAACGTTGAAAGGGACTTAGAGAGGTTGCAGGTTGTCCCGTCTGCCCAAGCAGAAACTGAGTTCCGGAGTGGAAAAGTGACTTGGAGAAGGTCACTCAGGTCGCGGTGGAATCAGGTGGACAGCTCAGCTTCCCTGACTCCTACTCCAGTGCTCCTTCCAAAGACTTTCTCCGGGAACACTCCCAGCTCACCACTGAGCTCCACTGACAGCAGCATGAAGTGGCCCCTCAGGGTGGCTACTGCTGTGCGTGCTCATGAGCGTGGCCCTTGCTGGTAGCAACCCTGGGTGGTGGATGAGTTCCGCGCATTTCAGCCTGCTCTGGCACCTTGCTTTCCTCCTCAGTGGGCCCTCCCGGGCTTGTAGAAACCCAGGAGGTTTCTCTGGGTTCTGTTCCCCTTACAATGGCCCAGCACTTGAAGGAGGCCTCCAACCAACTGCAGAGGTCCCCCTGGTTTTCCTCGGGATTAAATTTTGCTCTCACAAGACATGTAGGCCTCTCCTCTCCTGGTCTGGGTGGCTGTTCTCTAGCAGGGCAAACAGAGTCTCTGGCCAGTTTTTAGAAACTGTGTTTGTGCTTCCTAGAGGACAGAGGACTCAGAAGTGTGGGCAGCTCCCAGCTTTGCCCACCCAGGCAACGCTCAGTTACAGAGGGCAGGGCAGGGGGCAGCGGCCAGTGGTGGAGCCGAGACCACCTGGACGAGATGTTGGCCTCCCGCTCTATGGCAGCATCACCCCGCCCCCTGCCACCCCGGCCCACTTTGCTTCCCTCAGTGACCCTGACCTTTCCTTCTTGGCTTCAGCACAATGAGAATAATCTAATTATTTCTATGCCTATCTCTCCACTGCCGCCTCTAGATGCTCCCTGAGGGCAGGGCTGATGTCTGCTGTATTTCCACACCCACCCCAGTGCCAGGCATGAGGAGGTGTGAGATAAACCATCACTGAATGAGCTGAGTAAGTGAATGAACAATCAATGCAGAATCTCCCTTGTGTTCAGGCTGCACGACCAGGAAGACTAAGAACCACTGGCCTCCCACCAAGCATTGGGTGCTCTCCACGTCTGATCTCATTAAATTGTCCCAAGAGTAGTGGAACAGTGGGGTGGTGGAGGACTTGGACTTAGCAGTTAGACTAATCAGGTCTGAATCTCTGCTCTCCACTTACTAACAGTGTGACTTTCTGTGCCACCTGTAAAATGCACACAGGGCCTACCCCACAATGTAACTGATCATATACATACAGAAGGCTTGGTTTAGTGCCTGGTTCCTACAGATCTCTCCCACACGCCTCCTATTACGGTTAACAACTCTGGGTGGTGGGTGTTCCCTCCCTCCTTGAACTGATGAGGGAGCTGAGGCTGAGTTGATGAACAGATGCCCAATAAGGGGCAGACTGCGGCTGTTCCAGATCCTCCTCCCTGGGCTCACCTCGGGTGTGGTACATGAGCACGGTCACAGTCAGGTGGATCTCCATGGGCATGTGATCCCAGGAGGAGCTGATGGAGTAGAACCTGGGATTCAGAATGGGGAGCTGGGAGAGCAGGAAGCTAGCAGACACCCACAGGGACAGAAACTCCTCCAGCACCTCCAGGAACGTGAGGCTGTTGGTGAACTTCCACTTGCTGTACTCTGAGAGTAAGTGGAGGGTGATGTGAGCGACTCAGGGCACCTGCCCCACTTTGGGGGAAAAGGCTTTCACAACCTAGTAGTCATTCATTCATTCACTCACTCACTCAACAAACAAGTCCATGTGCCAGGCACTGTCCAGGGTGCTGAGACTACCGAGCTTGAGAAGAAATAGTTCCTGTCCTGGAGGAACTCAGTCCAGTACATTTATCTAACTTATGTGACCTCCTCCACTGTCGGCAACTCGTGGGCAGGGGTCAAATTTTTGTTGCAATTTAATTTGGGGCAAGGCTTTGGAACCAATCAGACCTGGGTTTAAATCTTGGCTGGGTGTCCTCACTAGCTGTGGAATCTCATCCCAATTACTTAACCTTTGTGAAACAAGGATAGTATTGCCTGCCTTGTGGGGATGTTATGGGAATTAAATGAGAAAGCATGTGCCAAGTTAGTACATTGCAGCCACAAAATAATGGTGGTGGAGGTAGTTGGAATCGAGATAATTAGCTATAATGATGACAATAATAATGACAACCAGTGCCTTTTGCAGACTTGGAACCAGACAGTTGCAGGTGAGCTAATGCATTCTCTCATTAACTTATTAATTCAGCTCTCCATCTGTCACTCTGCCCATTATGCCCATTTATCCATTCATCCACACCATCCATCCCCCAATACATCTTAAGTGACAAGTTTATTCCAGTTTTGGGGAAAGCAAAGACGGATAAGGGCGGCTCCCCTTTCTAGCTAATGTTCAAGGCAGTGCACTCTGGTTGCATCCTGCAGACACTTGGAAAAATTCAGTTCACTCAACACAACTGTGTCCTAGACATGGGCCAGCGGACGATGCCTGGCTTCCCACCAGCCTTTGACAAGTCTCACTTTGGGAACCTGGTGTGGATCCCTCTTGAAAGTTAAAACCAGCTCTGGACTCTGGCTCCCCACATGCTGGGACCCCCCACATACCCCCACTGCCCACCAGCCCTGATCTTCACCTGGCACAGGGCCTCCAGCCTCGTCTCTCAGGCTTTTCTGTGGCCACCTGGGCCAGCTTTTGGAGCAGCAGCTGGGTGGGGGTGTGGTGATGTCCAGGAAGTAGGTGAGGGCCTGGCTGAGTGAGCAGGGGGGCAGCCTCTTGTCACTGACCCAGTAGCTGCCTGGATGGGGAAGGAAGGTGTCAGGATGGAAAAGAGGCCCCATTCAGGATTCTCAGTAGGTAGCGAGGCCCCCAGGCAGACACCCTCTATTCTCCAGCTGCAGGGGAAAGGAGGCTCTAAAGACCTGGCTCTAAGAGCAAAAGGCAGGAAGAAGGTGGCGCATGGAGAAAGGACTGCCAGGGAAGGCTGATCACCAGCCCCCAAAGGGGCAGTAAGTTGGCGTGGTCCTGATAAACTAACCACGTCCTTTTCTGGCCCAGACCTGAACTTTAGCAAGACACTCACCGGTGATCTACAGACTCACAATGACTAAATCCACCAAAGACTAATGGATACCTCACAGGCCAGTTGTTCACTTGGAGAAAAGCCCATGACTGCAGTCCCTTGGGTGCTGTACCAAGAGGTGCTGGGTGAGCAGAAGATGAGCTCAAAGGGAACTCCCAGGGGGCAGCATGCAGGGCAGTCACAGCACAGACCCTGGGGCTGGAAGACATGGGTTCAAACCCTGGCTCTCCACTTCCGAGGTGACTAAAGCCTCTGGGCCTTGGGTTCCCTCCCTGTGAAACAGATCTGATAGCACAACCTATCTTGCTGGGTTGGCATGAGCGCTGAATGAAATTGCGCACATATAGTTGGTGCTGTGGCCAGGTGTGGTGGCTCACACCTGTAATCCTAGCACTTTGGGAGGCTGAGGCGGGTGGATCACGAGGTCAGGCATTCAAGACCAGCCTGGCTAACATAGGAAACCCTGTCTCTACTAATAATACAAAAATTAGCTGGGCGTGGTAGTGGGCACCTGTAATCCCAGCTACTTGGGAGGCTGAGGCAGGAGAATCACTTGAATCTGGGAGGCAGAGGTTGCAGTGAGCCGAGATCATGTCACTGCACTGCAGCCTGGGCGACAGTGTAAGACTGTGTCAAAAAAAAAAAGTTGGTGCTGTGCCTGGTAAACATGTTCCCTAAATATTAGGTAAAAATATGAGTATGACGTTATTTCCTCTGACCAGGGTCCTGATGAACCACATCCATCACCCTGCAGTCACAAGGACATGTGTCTCCTCGTCCTCACTTTCTCCTAGATGGTGGCGGACACTGCCAGGCTCTGCCTCTCTGATCCCACTTTTTTTTTTTTTTTTTTGAGATGGAGTCTTTGTCACCCAGGCTGGAGTGCAGTGGAGCAATCTCAGCTCATTGCAACCTCCTCTCCCCGGCTTCAAGCGATTCTCGTGCCTCAGCCTCCCGAGGGGCTGGGATTACAGGTGTGCACCACCATGCCCAACTAATTTATTTTGTATTTTTAGTAAAGATGGGGTTTCACCATGTTGGCCAGGCTGGTCTTGAATTCTTGACCTCAAATGATCCACCCGTTTTGGCTTCCCAAAATACTGGGAATACAGGCGTGAACCACCACGCTCAGCTGATCCCACTTTCTGACTTTGGCCACTGCATTGAGGGGGATACACTGGTGGTGTCATTATCACTGGGGAAACTAAGGCCAGGGAGCCATGCCTGTGGCTGGGACTGTTTCCACAGCTGCTTTCACATAAGATTTTGGCAGCCCACCCTCTCAGCAGGAAGGACAGGGATGACTGTCACTGGCAGGCCCAGGCTCAGCCCCTCAGCCAGATGGGGTGGCCAGAGGATGCCAGGCAGCACTGGCTCCCTGGCCCAGGGCTCACTGCTCTCATCCAGAGCCTCCAGGTGCCCTGTCTGGTGGGGTGTGGGGCCATCCACCACTCGCTCCAGCATGCCTTGGACCAGGGCCAGCTGGTTGCCTGGGCAAACCCCAAGGTGCTCCCTTGGCAGGTAGTTCAGGCCTTGGCCCTCCTCACAAGAGAATTCCACCAGGATGGTGGTGTGGCTGGGTAAGGAAATAGAAGCCTCAGGTGGGCCGGGCGCCATGGCTCATGCCTGTAATCCTAGCACTTTGGGAGGCCAAGGTGGGTGGATCACCTGAGGTCAGGAGTTCAAAACCAGACTGGCCAACATGGTGAAAGCCCTTCTCTACTAAAAATACAAAAATTAGCTGGGCGTGGTGGCAGGCACCTCTAATCCCAGCTACTCGGGAGGCTGAGGCAGGAGAATGGCTTAAGCCCGGGAGGCAGAGGTTGCAGTAAGCCGAGATCACGCCACTGCACTCCAGCCTAGGCAACTGAGTGAGACTCCATCTCAAAAAATAAAAATAAAAAAAGAAGCCTCAGGTGATGTTGCAGGATTTCCTCCAAGGATCCCTGATGGGCAAGAGAGATTCCCCAGGAAATGCACTCTCCTTTCACTTACCTGGCTGGTTCCACAAGCCTGGGCTGCCACCCTGAGCTTGGGAAGCATCCCCACAGCCAGGGGTGCTTGAGAGGGCCCTGGGAGCTTCCCTCTGGGGAGGAGAGGGGCTCACCCCTTCCCAGCAGCCCTCTGAGCCCCCCGAGCACTTGGCCACAGCCTCTGCCTGGAGAAAGCATCCCTCTTGGAGATAATGGACATCAGAAGAAACCTTTCCTTGTCACCAGGACAAATGCTGTTCTTATTAGAACCAAGGCCAATTTTCTTAATGCATGTGGGGAGGACAGCACAGATCAATGAAACCTGCAGATAATCCACAAGGCTTATTTCCCAGAGCTGGGAAATTTCCTTCCCTGCCAACACTTTTCCTGAAAGTTCTTAAGAATGAGTCAAACAGTTTAAGTCTCTCTTGCACTCTCCTTTTAGTGAAAGAGTTCAATGAGGAAGGAGAGGAAGTGGAACAGACGCTTAGAGTCCAAGCTGGAAAAGTGGCCCGTGGTTAACCAAGAGTAGATGTAAAAGCACAGGTGGCCACAGGTTACCAGGTGAGCCAGTCCTACCGATGGCATGGCTGCTAATGCCAGCAGATGCTCCTCTCCTCTCCCTTCAAAGACTGACTTCTTCTGGTCTTTCATTCATTAAAATAAAATCAGTAGAGCATCACCCGAGAAGCCCTGCACTTTCCCTTACCTGGATGTTGGACTCTGTAGCTTCTGCTGAGATTTGAGCCTCGTGGTGAACATGTTATTGGCGTGCATGCTGCTGAGGGCTGTGGAGGACACAGAGACGGTGAAACGGCAAAGTGGCTCTTGAGCGTGGGTGGCAGAAGCCCCCACATGTCTGAGTCAGTGACACCAGAGCACTACCCTTGGGGCATCCTCCTGAGGTGGCTGTTGGGGTTTTCTTTCCTTTCCTTTTATTCCACTGTTTCTGAATCACAAATAAAGGTCCTTGGTCTGATACAGGGCAGCTGGGTTGCTTCTAGGTGTTGGGAAATTCAATTTAGGAACCTAAAATGGAAAGTCCCAGGACATCTCCACAGCTTGGGATCCACAGGAGAGCATCGTTGACATTGGGGATATCTTAAACATGTAGAAACCTTCAGGACTATCTAATCAGGGCACAGGGCACAGCACCTGGGGGTGCAGAGTGGAGAGTTCACCACTACAGCCTGGAATCGCCTCTGTGATGCCTTCTTCATGACCCTTTGCTGCCTTTGTGGCTAGAAGGCTGGCGCTCAGATCCCAAAGTGGCCACAGGCTAGCAGCTTGCTTCACCTCCCTGAACTGCAATTTCTCCATCTGTGCCTTTCTCCCAGGAGGAGTGTCCAGATTCACTTAGCCCATGTGGGCCAGGAGCCCTGGACAGTGCCTGGCACACAGTAGGCCCTCGGCGGATGCTGTCCCCTTCTCTCTCCACCATCCTTCTGCGGCTCCCTCCTGAAACAGCCTCCCTCAGCGCCTTGAGTCTTGTGCCCTAACAGGCTCTTGCATGCAGTGAGAGGGAGGCCCCGAGGCCAGCTGTCTCTGTTCAGAAGGACCTGGGGTTCTCCTTGACCATGAGCTCAGGGCTCAGACCCCAACACAAACAAGCCCCATGTGCTACAGAGAAGCAGGTCCCTTAGCTGAGGTCCAAAGGCTGTGAGTCCTGCACGAGCCTGAAGTGGTGCAAGCCCCAGGTCACATTGGAGGTGTAGAGCTTGGGGATCTGAATGTGCTGTTGGCTTCGGACATCAAACGTTTCACAGGCTGCCTGGAAGAAGGTGGAGCAGATGGGGGTTAATGGTCAGCAGCAGCAGCAGCATCCCCACCACTGGGGCTACCACTTTTTAGGCCCTTACCATGGGCCAGATACTAAGCCATCTGCTTCGTGTAACTTCGAAGCACACTTACCTGATAGGGTGACAGCAAGGACTCAAAGAGGTGTCTGGGCTTGGCACATAGTAGCTATTGCTACTATTTTGAATGTTGTTTTGCCTTTGTTTTTGTTTTGAGATAGGGTATCGCTCTGTCACCCAGGCTGGAGTACAGTGGTGTCATCATAGCTCACTGAAGCCTCAGCCTCCCTGGGTTTAAGCAATCCTCCCACCTCAGCCTCCCAAGTAGCTGAGACTACAGATGTGCACCACTAAGCCTAGCCAATTTTTTGTATTTTCAGAAGAGACTGGTTTTGCCATGTTGCCCAGGCTGGTTTCAAATTCTGGGGCTCACGCCATCTGCCCACCTCAGCCTCCCAAATTGCTGGGATTACAGGCATGCGCCACAGTGTCTGGCCATTATGAATGCCAATATTGACATGATCTTCTTGTATCCTCATGACCACACTGGAAGAGGTCTGATTGTTCCCTTTTCCTGTTGTGGAACCACATGGAGGAGGCCTGGGCTTTGGAACCAAGCCTGCCCCGATGCAAGCTGATGCTCCTAAGCACCACTGCTGAGTGACGCTCTGCATGAGTGATGAGTTCCCTAAATGACTGGGGCCAACCATAGCAGTAAAGAGCTATGGAGATACTGAGTGGATCCAAAGTGGATCTGCCACTGTGTGGTGCCTGTCCCTAGGCTCTCTATGGCTGTGAGACTGAAACAGACACAGTAGTTAAAAGGTGACCTAGGTAGTCAGTGGGGGAGACCTTAAACTAGAAGCTCCCTAAGGGCAGGGGGGTATCTGTGCCACCTTCTCCCCCAGAGTTGTGTGCACAAGGTGGAGCTCTTCTAAGGGCCTGAGGGAGAGCAGCAGTGACCTAAGCCCTCAGGCCTGTGGCCCTGGCTCATGCCTGGGACCACATCTACAGGACCAGGGGCAGAGGTCATGGCACCTGGGACACCCAGCACAGATGTCCTAGGTTGAATGCACCCTGTCATGTCCCTGCTGTGGAGCAGCTCTGGCTGGGAACCGACCTTGAAGGTTTGCATGGCCCAGCTGCGGAAGGCATCCTCTGCCCACTGACCTCATCCTCTTCCCCCATCGGGGTGAGCTGAGAGGCCCCCAGGTGGGACAGCTACTGGGTGAGGTCATGAGCAAAGGCACAGAACTGAGGGTACTTGCTGGAGCTGAGGCCAAACATGGCATACCTGCCCAAGGAAACACACAGAGACTCATGTCCCATGCAAGCAACACCTGGCACCCAGCACCCAGCACCAACAGCCTGGAGGGCCAGCCACAGACTCTCCCCATCCAGCTGGAGCATGGAGCTGCAGCCCCTTCTAGTCCTCCCAACCCCTGAGCCTTGTCACCAACTCCCATGACCACCCCATGCTTGGCCTGCAGACCCGTGAGAGGGACTTGGTTTCTGTGGCTTGACCCGTGACACACTCCGAGGGCAAACCTCTGGCCCAGGGTCCCTCTGTGCCTGGTCAGCTCTGAGAAGACCCCGTATGCGCACCCAGTTCCATCCCCTGAGCCAGACTTTGGGTCCTCAGGGCAAGGTTAGAAGTTGCAGGAGGAGGGAAAAAGCTTTACCTGAATTTGTTGGTGAGCTCTTTCAGCATGAAGAGGGATTTCTTCAGTTTCTAGAAAGAGAGGAAATGACAGAGTTCTCAGGCCAAGATGAAAAAAAACACCGCTTTTTCCATTCCTCTGGAAAACTGGCCACAGATGGCAGGAGATGGCTCCTGGCCCACAATGGAAGTTGGTTTACATATGGGGCCACCTGGCCAAGGACCTGGTTGTCAGGTGAGAATTTTAGCTTGTCTCTCACTCCAGCTAAACTGTAGCAACTTGTGTGGGCCCTGTCCCCTGGTGGGAGACCCAGAATAGCCTGGCCCCCTCCCATCCAGCCCTGGGCATCTCCAGAGGGCCTCCTAATAGGCCGTGATTCTGTCTTCTTGTTTGGAACCTGGTAAAAGCAACAACAGTTGGTCCTACAGTCTCTGAAATAAGGCTGGCTTTCCAGGAAGCCAAGATGATTCCAGGAGGTATGTGACCCAGCAGAACTAGCGTCAAATCCCATGGTGAGTATTTACTCCCTTTTCCATAATTTATTTTTTAGTTATTCCCCTTCAATTACATTTTCATTCTTTTGAGCCCTGGAGAGACAGTCTTGAGTTGGTGCTAATAGACCTTTAATGCCTCTCTCATTGCCTAGTACTCTTTTAAAAAACAAAGAAGGAGCAGGCCTTGGCCAGGGAATAGTATCTAGCTAAAATTCATTAACTTCATTTTGTTTTCATTGAATTTAAGTTTTGCTGCTTTCCATTTGTGAGAGTGACACAAGTTTCCTTTAAACATGAATTTGTAAATACAAACAGGTAGGCCATTCACAGAAATATATTAAATATGTCATAGGAAAGGGGGCACTCCCATATGGCAATAATTACAATGGAGGCCGGCAAATGACCTGAGTGACCCAGATGGCCTGAGCACTGACTCCCAAATGCCCTCTGTAGGACCTGCTTCATTCCCCGGACCCTTTCCTGGGTCCTCCCACACCCTACAACCTCCTAGACCAGCCAGACCTCAGGCCACCCACCTCTCCATTGCTGGGGAAGTCTCCATTCCCAAATGTGGTGGTCTCCACCAGCAACAGCTGTGCCTCCCTGTACTTGTCCATGCAGAGAACCTGGATGGTACCCAGGTGGACATCAGCCCTCAGCTCCCAGTAGATGCTCTGGGCTCCCTCCCACACCTCCCCCAGGCCAGGGCTTCTGTGCTCATCTGTCTCTTCCAGTGCCCGGCACAGGTGTGGCACGGAGGAGGTGAGTGAACAGATTTGAACACATTGTCCTCGGTTCTCCTTCCTTGCTCAAGCCCTGAAGCTAACCCGTCAGGAAGCCCTGGATGCTCTGCCTGTAAAATACTGCCTATCCTATGTCCAAGCTCCTCTCAGCACATCCATTGCTATTTACAGTTTTGTGTGTGTGGAAATATTTCCACGAAATTGGAATGAGCAGGTCACAGCTGTGCCTGGAGGGAATGGCTGGGGAAATGTGCCCTCGCCTTGCTGTTCTATCCAGGCCCACCCAGCTGAGGATGGGGGACCTGCCACCACTCTCCTGGCAGTTCCGGAGTCCTGGGAGCTGGCAGGTGAGGACCCAAGAGTGTTTTCAGCAACCTGGCTGACCTGGTCATCCGTCAGTCCCACCTTAGCCTAGGCCTCTACACAGCACAGATCACAGCTCATCCCATTGTGGCATTACACTGGCCTGTGCCCTGTCCTCAGGGTCACATCCGTCTCCCAGAAGCCATGTGACCCTGACCCTGGAAAACCCATCAACCTGTCTAACAGTCAGGTTCCTCCTCTGTGCATTAACAATGGCATTGACGCCTGCTTTGCAGGGCGCTGGGAGGGGAGAGGGAGGTGTATGCTGGAAAGCTCCCCAAGGGCAAGGCCTGCCTCTGCGTCACTCACTGTCAGATCCTCATAGCCCGGGGCTGGTCCAGCACGTGGCCACCATTCCCTAAGTATTGGATTTGCTTCATCAGTGCTGAAGGCAGGGGATAGAGCTTAGACAGACCCCCTGTGTTCTGTCTTCTTTATCTGCAGCTTACTCATTCTTGCCCCTTTCACATGCACCCTGTAGAGCAGACGTTCACTGAGTTTGAACAAAATTCAGCTAGAGCAGCTGATGTATATTGAGGCCTGAGTTCACCTGCCTGGGTCTCTGGAGTCCTCGGAGTCTCCGTGTGGTCCCCGTGATCTGACACTGAGGACACACCTGTAGTCTGCTGATCCCAGAAAGAGGGGTGTGTGCTGCCTGGGGTGGGGAAGATGTCGGGGCATGGCAGGTGGCTCCTGGGACTGCCCCCCAGGGTTCAGAGAGGCTGAAGGCTTCCTGCCACACAACCTTATCCAGGGCTGTTGGGCCTGGGATATGGCCCCCTGTCAGAACTCAGGTAGGAGCGGCCTTGGCTGTTACCCAGCCCCCTTGCCACCTCACATGGGGACCTGTCTCCGCAGTGGGCGACTGGGCCCAGATATGAGTCACCCTCTGCCCTCCTGGGCTGCTCAGTCCATGCCAGGACTGACCATTCCCACACCTGGCTGAACTCTTGGCTCTGGCTCTGGGCCCGGGGTCCTGCCTGTGCCCTCTCCTTGAATGCTCTGGGGGTCAGGAACACCCAATTCCCTTGTCTCCCTGGCTCAAGGCTTGTTGTCCTGGCACCCTTAGAGGGGTCTGCAGGAGTGAGGGGCCTCTGCTGCTCTCTGAGGCTGTGGGTGCTCTCAGGGAGGGGTGGGGGCTCCCACAAATGGGTCTGGCTCCTCCAGTGCGCTTGAGGGCCCTGTGAGGGGGAGAGCGGGCCACCAAGGAAAGTGGGAGGGGGCTTGTGGGAGGCTCTTGCCCACATCCCCCTCCTGCACAGCATGTCCCGTACACACGCATTGAGCGCCTGCCCTGAGGACCGATGGGCCTCCTGTACTTTCTTAGAGTCCAGGAAGAAGAGGAGAAAGAAAAGGTGAAGAGGAAGACCCAGGTAGTAGGATTGGGGGTCCTGAGCACTCCCCCACTATTGACTGCCCCAGAAGGTGATTCAGGAGGGGACCTGGTACTGGAGCCCACCTGGGGGTGGCAGGTCCCCATGCTTCCTTGTTAGTTTCTTCATAGAGGCCCGAAGGTGTTTCAGAACAGGATCATTGTCCATGGCTCAGGTATGAAATAACTGGTCTCGAAAAGGTGCCCACAGGCCAGACCTGGACGTCTTCATGAGGCGCTGTAGGGACAGGGTGGGCATCAGGCCCGGAGAGTTCCCTGGGAGAGGTCAGAGCCCACACCCCATGGCCACTTCAGTCTCCCACTGGGTGGTGCTGGATACTTTCATGGCCACTCCAGGGGTCCAGATATGCACAGAAGGCTGTGGCTGGGGGGTAGCCTGGGCAAAAAAAGTGCTCACTACACTCCTGACTTTCATCTGGGTCATGTGGGGGATGGACTTGGTGTCATTGTGCCCTGCCCAGCCCACCTGGACAGACCTCCTTCTGGGCCAGAACAGAGGATCATGAGAACAGTGTGAGGAAGCTGCCCTTGGGCCAGTCAGGGTCTGACCCCAGTGCTCCCCAGGCCCCACTGGCCACACGTGGACTTACTCCTCTGAACCTTAAAGGCAATGCTTGTTATCGGCATCAATGCCTGTTCCCCTTCCAGCAAATACATGTCCCACAGGTGCAGGGTGAGCCCAAGAGAGATCTGTGGGGACAGCAGGCATGGGAGGACCTGGCCCTTCCAGGCTGGGGTTGGTGGCTCGAGCTGCACCCATTGGGGCTTCAGTCTCCAGAGTCAGTGACCTTCCCCATGAGGGTCACCTGACCCCTCCAGGACACTGGGTCAGACCAGGTCTTGCCGCTCCTCATGGGGGGGCACTCATTTCAGTGGGGACGTGGCTTCTGGAGATAGGGGCTTGCCCGCGGCTTGAGGCATCCCTGAGCCCTCCCAAGTTGGGTCCTGGCCCAGTCTGCCCATGAGGCTGGGCCTGAACCCCAGCCTCTGCCCTGGGATGACCCCTCTTGGGCAGAGGGTCTTGCTTGTGTGGCCTGCAGGGACCCTCCTGGGCCTCCTGTAGGCTAGGGGTGAGCCTAACCCCTGGGCTGGGGATGCAGGGCACTGCAGGGCAAGGAGGGTTCTAAACCGATGTGCAGAATCTCCTGGCCACTGCTCCAGCCCCTCCTGGAGTGACTCCTTCATCCTCCAAGTCTCCAGGGTGGCCCCTATGCAGCCAGCCTCTCCCTGATCCGTCAGCATCTGGCCACCCAGACCAGTTCTCGGTCCCTATGGTTTGGCCTTTTCCAGAATGGTCTAGGAATGGGAATCCTACTGTGGTAGCTTATTGGGCCTGGCTTCTTTCCCTTAGCAAAACGCATCTAGGATCCACCCATGTTCATGTGGGCATCACTAGATCGTTCCCTTTTCTCTCTGAATCTTCTGCCATTTGAAGGGAGGACCACCCTTCCTCTCTGCGTTCCCGTGTTGAAGGTCATTCCCGTAGCCTCCATGTGTGAGTGTCAATGAATCAAGCAGTGAATGTGGCATGCAGGTTTCATGTGGACATCAGTTTTCAAATCAGTGGGTTCAATATCGGTGACACTTTGGGGACATGTGGTTCAAGTCCATTGAACTTTGTGAGCCACTGCACAACTGGCTGCCAAAGTGGCTGTGCCGTGTGATGTTCCCAGCAGACCTGGATGAGAGTTTCCAGGACCCCAAGCTCCCCCTGCTTTTGGTCCTGTCAGTGTTGCCTGGGGAAGCTCATGGGCCCTCCATCCTGCTGCCCTCCCGTGGGTCCTACCATGGGTCCCTGTGGGTCAGGGAGAGCACTTTTCACCATTGTGCATGATTTTCTTTGCCGCCGTCTGTCTCCTCAGGATCCTCCTGGGTTCTGGCCCCACGTGTTCCAGTCTGGCCCAGGGCTTGGAACTTGGGAGGTGCTCGGTCCATGGTACCAGCTGCTCCCTGGTACAGGAGAGCTCTTGGCAGCTCTGTCATCCCTCCTGGGTGATCCTGGCTTCTGCTCCAGGGAAGTCCCCATCCCTCTGGTTCACCCCATCTCCACTGGGACCCTGTGGCTCCCATAGGCTTACTTGACTCCATATCGGTCCCTGAAGAACAGGTGGTTCCTTAATGTCCGGCTCATGTCCAGGTCGATCTGGTGGATGTGTCCAGAGGACCTCTTGCCCTTCTCCTTCATGACCTGTAGGGCAGGGCCAAGAGGAGGAAGCAGGCTCAGAATAGATGGAAGACTCTCTGCCCCAAATGGCAGTCAGCCCACAGTCAGCCCTTCTGGAAGGAAGGAAAGAAGAAAGATTTCCTTCTGCAGAAAGCTGCTTTTTGGCTTGTTTCTGAAGCCAGGGAGGGTCACGAGAGCCGAGTTCGTCTGTGGTGACTATGTCACCATCTGTGCCCAGGATGTGCATCTGACCACCCCCCAACCCCCAAAGCCTGGGCTTGATGTTCCCTCCAGCTGGAGACCTGGCTCCCTGACACGGCCTGGCCTGTTTGTTGTGTCTGGCTGAGCGTGCCTGGTATTTTCTGGGATTTTTTGCCTTGCTTTCCTGAATGTTCAGGGGGCCTGACCACAGTTGGCCCTGGACATTAATGGGAATGCCTTTATACACTCACTCAATCAGCTGTGGGCAGAAAACAATCTGGTGTCACATGCCACAGGACAACCCCAGTGAGGACCAGAGCCCGAGGATTCTGGAAATCTTTGGTTTTGGCCCCATGATTCCTCAGTAGAGGTGAGGTCAAGCTGGCACAGGGTCTCCCTTCCCAGGATTGAAAGAGTGTGTGGGCACTCAGAGTCCTGAACTCTGATCTGGACCTTTTCCTCCTTTCGGGTCACCAGGAGGCATCCCTACTCCGAGCTCCAGGGGTCTCCATCTCTGGATTCAGATTCCCTCCAAGCAAGGTGATGCTTGCACGAATGGGCAGCAAAGCTGGCAACCAGGCCTGTGGTCCTCTGGGTGAGGACAGTGTGCCATTCGTCCTCTGAGAGGACACAGCCATGGGTGCCTGTCCCCTGTCTCTGCAGAGAGTGGTTCCTGGGGCCTCTCCCTCCACACATTACTTTTTTGCTGTTCTGATATGTCTCCCATTCTCCCAGCATTTCCATCCACTTGCTCTTTCATCTCATCTCCTGCCACATTTGCTGTCAAATGAGAAATGTTGGAGTTAGCGGAGCTGCCAGGCTTCCCGGAGTGGCCCGTGGATGCTGGGTCTTGGGCTCTGAAGCCTTGGTGGGACCCAGGTGGAAGGAGCCAGGGAAGGGCAGACCCTAAGGGCTGAGGGCCTTTGAGCAAATGAGCACTAGTGGGCTGGCCTTGGGACCCCGGGACGTGCCATCCTCAGGCCACAGACACACCAGTCGTAGGTCAGGTCCCAGCCTCTAGATGGGGTCCTAACACAAGTGGGCAGCCACCCCCATACCATGACTGTGGTTCTCACTTTGGAATTTCATCAAACTGCCAGAGATACAACAACCTGGGGTCAGGTCCAGCAGGAATAGCTGCCCCTCCCAGTGACAGCGTGTTGCCCTCACCTGCCACTGCACAGACCTGCTGCCTCCTCTGCCTCATCAACCACCCACTGAGTCCCCCATCCCGGGACCAGCCCCCGATGGATCAGGCTCTTACCTTCACCTTCCAGGTAGTGACAGGGGGCAGCTCCGTCTCACTGTAAGGGAACCCAGGCAGAGCTGAGGACTTGCACAGGGTCTGGAGTCGTCCGGTTCAGGGAGTCAACCCCCAGAAAGGACTGGCTCTGTCCCATCCAGCTCAGGGCTCATCCCGGGAGAAGGCACAGGGAAGGGAGGACAAGGGCCTTCCTGTGGGGCTGACTCCCAGGAGGGTCCAGGACCTGGGAGAAGAGGGAGTACAGAGCCAGCCTGGCCGGGGTTACTGGGGCCCCTGGTGTGGGGGGTGGTCAGGCTGCACAATGGGTCTGCCCCTCCTGGACTGGAGGTGGTGCTTTCTGCTGGAGCTGAGAAAGGTCAGCCTTTGGATGGGATGCGGGCCACCCAGTGTGGGTGACCAGGCCCTGACAGTAATCCCTCAAGGAGTGACCAGTCTAGGGAGCCTGGTCTGAGACCTGCCTGGTACACCCTGGGTGCACCAGGGGCCCATCCCACTTGAGAGTCCCAAGGCCCTTACAGCATCTGACCTCCCAGGGTCCACCTGCCTCTCCCTGCACCCAAGCCACACACTGCATTTCAGAAGTGGCATGGCTCATAAGCTCCCTACCACACTACTTACCCGGTGATCCTCCATCTCTCCATCCTATGATCCCTGAGGGATGGGCTCCGGGCTGGGCTCCTCTTACCTGGCCCCAGATCCCTTCCCAGCACCAGACCCAGAGTCATTAGCCACAAGCTCTGCTGCCTCCCTGGCTCTCTGTGAGATGCCCAGAATAGGGCCCTGCCAGTCTTCTCCCCCATTCTCCTAGGGCCACAGCCCCTACTGTCCCCATGCCTTTCCCCCTTCCCCATGGGGACAGTGAGGGCTGTAGCTCTAGGGAAATGGGGGTGAACAGGGGAAGGTGGGCCCTCAGAGACCTGCTGGACAACAGCCCCGAGGCTGGATCAGGCCTCCCCTCACCCTGTGGCCACAACGCTTGGATCTCACTGGGGTTGTCTCCAAGTGAACAGGGCCAGACCCTCAGGCTGCCTTCCTCCTCTTGTGCTAACTCGGAGACAGAACTGCTGAGAGCCCAGGGGCCTGACCTAGCCCCCTCTCCATTCCCACCCGCTCCCTAGATGGGCCCCACACCACTGGCCTAACAGCAACCTCAGGCTGGACCGGCAGGGGAGCCAGGAAGGAGTTCTGACCCTGGAAAGGAGGTTGGCTCGACCTAGGGAGACAAGTCCTGCCTCAGAAAGGCCTTTGTAAAAGCAAACCCAGCCCTGAGCTGAGATAGGTGCTTTAGGGGCTGAGGGGAGCACAGAGGACTCACTGCAGAATCCCAAAGCAATCAGCACTGCTGTAGATTCCAACAGGCACAGGCCCCATGTCTGCTGGCAGCCCAGCTTGGTGTCCCTGCAACCCAGTGGGAGCCTTGGTGAGGGGTCCAAGGTAAAGGGTGAAAGGGCCACCTGTCCCCGCTCTGTGCTCCTAGGGAGCCCAGGACCCTTTCACCAGGGTGCACTGGAGGAGGCCTCCCTCCAGGGAGCAGACTGCCCTCTACCTTCTCATGCTTCATAATGATGTCCCCTCACTCCTGCAAAGTATCCGCATCCTCTACCATGTCCATCCTGTGAGACAAAATTGTCTAAAGGTTACACTGTACCCGAGAGCTTCGGAGAACACCTGAACTGCTCCTGCCCGGTTCCCAGATGCTGCCTGGCTGCATAACCCCCCTTCCACCACTGCACCCAGGTGAAAAAGGGCCAGCCCCAGTGGCCCACACCTGCACAGGTCTCTGGGGTCTAAAGCCTCAAGCAGGGGTAGGCATCTTCCCAAGGACTTGAGAACAGTGGGACCTGGACAGAGAATCCCATTGTCCCCAGATGCCATGAAACGCGCACACATTTGGCCTAGCAGGTTCAATGGTGTCCATCTGCCAAGGGTGAAGGGCCCATGATGGGCTATTCCAGGGATGTGGAGGCAGACTGGGGAGAGGGACCAGAGGTCTCTGTACAATAGGCCTCCTGGGATGCTCAGGGACCACAGAGATGTTCAGCTTCCTATGGGGAACAAGACCTCTCCTGACCGCTTGGTTCTACTCCACTCATCACTTGGACTATCATGGCCCTTCAGTCTGAACAGTGAAGCCACTTTAGGAACAACACCAGTTGAGCAGGAGGGTGTTTGGTTTTGGGGATGAAAATAATCTACTGTCTCCAAAGCAGCCCCTGTGCTCATGGAAACCACATCTCTCAGGGAGGGACTGTGGACTCCACCATTCTGAGCTGTCCATACAGGAAGGGGATTCATTTTCCTGGGTCACTGAGGAAGAACAGTGGGTCTTTGGTCCTGGAGAACACCTAGATGGACTGTCCCTTCTGGGAACACTTGGGGCAAAAGGAGGGCAAGGCCTTGAGAGGATCAGACAGAGAAAGAAATACTTGGGGAGAACCCCAGTTCCTGGACCCCTTTGAACAGGATGGAAGATAGTCTCACTCCAGCCAGCTCTCCAGGGCTCCTTCATTTTCCACAGCTGCCCAAAGGCAGAAGGCTCCCCATGCTACTCCCAGACAAGGGGCCATGTGTGTCCAGTGGGTCCCACAGGGACCATCAAGACCCAGCTTAGGGCACAGATGTGTTCGGAGGGCCCTCCCCTCCACCCCACCCACAGTGGATCCATCCCAGTGGCTCTGCCAGGGCCAGGCTCTGCCCCATCGGGATCGGAAACCCTGGACAAATTTGGGATCTAGGGCAAGGAGGCCACCGGGTTCAAGCCTTAAGTCCAGTGCAGCACAGGGCAGGGCTGAGAGCAAAACCCAGGGTCATGCCTGGATTCCTGGGCTGGTTACTGCCTCTCTGACCCCAGATGTCTCAACTGCCAAATGGGTACATTCAGGAGCCACCATGAGGACAAAAGAGACAATTGTCTACATGGGCAGTGTAGAGTGGGTACCTGGTGAGTGCTCAGGGGTCACCTTCCTCGGCTGCTGCCTAGAAGCCAGCACCGCCCACACTGTAGCCACAGTCCCCAAGTCAGCATGGAGGGAAGAGAGCAGGTCACACTCACCTGATACTGATGAATCAGCTGGCCTGGGCTCTGCCTCTCAGGGAGAAAACCTTTGAGTCCACAGAGCTGCTCACAGATACCACTGTGTGTGTGTAGCTGCTGTAGAACACAGAGGCAGGCCGGACAACGGACGGGTAATAAGCACCAGTGACATTCTGAGGTCATGGCAGGCATCACAATGGGGCCTTGCCTGGGTCAGCAGGGCCCAGAGTCAGCATCCTCCACTGCCTGAGGCGTCAACATGCCTGCCTGCAATGTGTTTGCACATGTGCATGCACACGTGTATGTGGGTAAACACATCTGTGCATGCATGTGTTGCTTCTCTGGCCAGGCCTGGCTGCCCCACTCATGTGTGCACCCAGTTCCTTGTCACTGTCACCCCCGGAGCCCCAGGCCAGCATCAAAGCATCCATGGGTGCTCCCTGACCTCAGCCCTCCCTGCCCAGGGTAGGCCTGGGATACACATAGGGATGGAGGGAAGTGACTGCTGTTGTTGAATCTCAGAAGAAAAATGCTAATACTATTACCTAATGATCCTTTTAGTATCTCTAATGGTCTTTTTAGTATCTCTAATGGTATCTATTTTTTTATTTCTGATATTTTAATTGGGTATTTCTCTCCATGATCCTTGGTTATTCCAGCTAGAGGATCCTGTGGGGAAAGTGCCCGGCACACAGTAGAGGCTCACTCTTCTAGACATGTTATCTAAAATCTGGCTTATCCGTCCTTCCACCCAAGGCCTAGGTGATGCCAAATTCCAGGAGCCAGAAAGAGCTTGGGATAAAAAAGAACATTCAAGGGGAGGGCTTTGGCCTGGGCTGAGTCTTCTTGTGCCATCCAAACCTGGAGGCTCAAGTCCTGAAACAGGGTGTCCTGATGCCCCAATGCAGTGCCCTCCTGATTGACACCTGCTCCCCTGTACTCATTAGCAACCTCACCCACCCTACTCTCAAAGCACACTTGGCCCTCATATCTGGGAGTTCTGCATCTGTGGATTCAGCCAACAGCAGATGGAAAATATTCAGAAATGAAATTGGATGGCTGTCTATACTGAACATGTGTAGACTGTTCCTGTCATCATTCCCTAAACAATACAGTATCACAACCATTTATATAGCAGCTGCATTGTATTATGTATCATAACTAATCTAGAGATGGTCTAATGTATACAAGAGGATGTGCATAGGTTATATGTAAATACTAAGCCATGTTATATCAGAGACTTGAGCATCCATGGGTTTTGGCATCCCCGGGGACCCTAGAAATAATCCTCCATGGATACCAAGGGATGACTGTATAAACTCACTCAGGAAGGCTTCTCATCAGAGGAAGGGCCTAGTTCAGGACACACAGGGACATCCTCCCTGGACTACTGTCCATTCATCCATCCATTCATCCATTCTTCCCCCAGCAACTCTAGGACTGTCCCAGTGACAACCCTAGCAAGTGGGGACAAGAAAAAAGACCAGCTCACGTTGTCCAGCTTTGAGTTTTGGAAGAAGTTGCACTAGTACGAGGATGGGGGTCAGATTCCTCCAGGATCCAGAGAGCATATCAGGCAGCCTCGGGGTGAGGAAAGGAGCCCAGCCTCTCCAGCAGCCACACAGGCCTGCAGTAGGATGGTGCTGGGGCTGGCCCTGTGGATCACTTGGGCCTAGTGAGGGGAAATAAAGACCAGGGGGCAGAGGAGGAGCATGGGGGCAGCTGGTGGCCTAAGGAGAAGGCATCTCAGGGAAGGGGTCTGTATTAGTTTGCTTTCACATTCCTATAAAGAAATACCTGAGACTGGGTAATTTATAAAGGAAAGAGGCTTAATTGATTTGCAGTTCAGGAAACTTACAATCATGGCAGAAGGCGAAGGGGAAGCAGGCACCTTCTTCACAAGGCGACAGGAGGGAGTGAGTGGAGAACAAGGAAGTGCCACACTTTAAAACCATCAGCTCTCCTGAGAACTCACTCACTATCAGGGGAACAGCACGGCGTGGGGGGAAGAACTGTCCCCAAATCCAATCCCCTCCCACCAGGTTCCTCCCTTGACACTGGAGGATTACAATTTAAGATGAGATTTGAGTGGGGACACAGAGCCAAACCTATCAGGGTCTCAGCTGGTCTTGCAGCTCCCCTGGGGCTGAGAATGTGTGCAGATCTGCTGACCCTGCTTTATAGCACTCGGGGGCTCTATCAGTGCACCCCCATCTGCTGCTTCCTGGGGGTGGTGGCTGCTTCCTCAAGAGGAGAGTGGATCTGCTCTCTTGCCAGCCCCCTGCAGGGCCTTGTGGAGCTCTGGCCATGTCCTCCCAGGGTAAGGGCAGGAAACCTGGCTCCTTGCCCTTCTTACTCCTTGGGTGACAAGCCTGGGGTCATCCTTAGGCCCCATCACTGCCCCTGCTTCTAAATGAAGAGCATTTTGCCAAATCTTCCTGGGAGAGGCTGGGGGCTCATCCCTGCTGTCTGTTTCATCTTGTTAAAGCCAGGTTAAGACAGCTGAGCAAACAGACAGTAGAGTGGCCCCCAGGAAGGGTGGGTGGAGGATGCTGGCCTTTGGGCTTGCCTGGACCATGGTGGGAGGGGGAAGGTTACCAGGAAGCAGTGCTGTCAGGGTTAAATTCAGGAGGAGGTGGTTATGCTGGTGGGGGTGGTGTGTGGCTGGTTTGGGGTAGGGCATAAGTAAGAGCCAAGGTTGGTCAGCACCCAGAGGGGGCAGCTGACTCATCCCTGTGGCAGCAGAACCCAGTGGTTGCCCTTAGTTCCTGGATCCAGGGAGACTTCTGGGGCCTGGGTCTGGGGCAGCCTAGGGGTGGAGGTGGTGGGAGAGGGGTGGGAGAGGAAGATTTGCCTGGCCGGGTGCAGGGCAGGAAGCAGCCCAGGGACTGGTTTGCAGTGGCTGCTGTCATCCCTACCCCCACCCCCAAATTCACCCCTACTCCCACCCTGGTGTAGGCCAGGGCCTTTTCAGGTGTCCTCTGCTGTGGTCTCAGCAGATCACAGGATGGAAGCTGGCAGCCTGGCAGGTGCACCACTTGAGCCAGGGGTGACCTGCAGCTTCTGCTTCTTAGAGTGCAAGGTCCCACACGCCTGTCTTTGAGGGTGCTGGGAGGTGGGGGACCAGCTTCTGTAGCCCTGTGCATGTGCCCTGAAAGGTGGCCTAAGACTCCTGTGTGTGCCTGTCCAGGTGGGGCCCCAGGAGCCTGAACAGTGGCAGGGAGGGAGATGAGGAGGGAGAGAGAAGTGGAGATGAAAGACAGAGAGAGAGAGAAGGGAGTGAGAGCGAGAGGAAGAGAGATGGGGAGAGAGACAGAGGAGGCTGAGAAGAAGAGAAGGGAGAGAGAGAGAGTGATGTAAAAGGTAAAGAGACAGGGAGAGAGGTGCATGAGTAGGAGGTTGGGTCACTCTTGATCCCAGTTGCCAGTGAAAACTGTTGGTCACTGTCACCTAACCACACATGCAATAAAGTCTTCTGCCTGCTCCTTACAGCCCCCAAGAACACCTTCTTCAAGAGAATAAAGTCTTTGATGGCTGCCCTTCCCTAGTTGATTTTGGTCATGTCTTCTAATGAACCATGATGTCTCTTTGTAGGAATGGTATGGAAAAAGAGCCAGATTTGAGGAGGAACATAACATGAGGCTTTCCAAATTATTCTCAGCTGAAAGGTCTTTAATGAAAGTTTCAAACTCTTTAGTAGATGGATCGCTGGCATCAGTGGTGCTGGTGCTAGCTGCCTTTCTTTTCTCTCATTCATTGTTTGAAATTGTTGAGGATTGAACAAGTGTGAAGATGACCTGAATAGGCCTTCACTTTTGACAGTCACATTCTTGGTAACTGGATTATACCTATGATAAAGGAGACAGATCAGAACCACACTCCTGCAGCTGGAGTACCCAAACCCTGGGAAGGCAGGTGTGCAGAGAACGTGAGAATCCTTGGGATAAATGTGGTGCAGCTTCCTAAAGAAACAGAGTTTTAATTTCGAGTAATTTATTATTTTTAATATGTTAATTAATGAAGAACAGACACAGGTATACTACAAAATATGTATGGGTTTTTTATAATAATGTTTTTTTTTGAGATGGAGTCTTTATTTCCCAGGCTGGAGTGTAGTGACCTGATCTCAGCTCCCTGCCACCTCTGCCTCTTGGCAGATTCAAGCTATTCTTCTTCCTCAGCATCCTGAGTATGTGGGATTAAATGTGCCCACCACCATGCCCAGATAATTTTTGTATTTTTAGAGGAGACAGGGTTTCACCATCTGGCCAGGCTGGTGTCAAACTCCTGACCCAAATGATCTGTCCACCTCGGCCTCCCAAAGTGCTGGGATTACAGGCATGAGCTACTACACCCAGCTTGGGTTTTTAAGATTAAATATATGACTTCAGCCAGGCGTGGTGGCTCACGCCTGTAATCCCAACACTTTGGGAGGCCGAGGCGGGCCTCCCAACACTTTGGGAGATTAAGACCATCCTGCCCAACATGGTGAAACCCTGTCTCTACTAAAATCCAAAAAATTAGCCAGGCGTGCTGGTGCGCACCTGTAGTCCAAACTACTCAGGAGGCTGAGGCAGGGGAATTGCTTGAACCTGGGAGGCAGAGATTGCAGTTAGCTGAGATCGTGCCACTGCACTCCAGCCTTAGTGACAGAGCGAGACTCCATCTCAAAAAAAAAAAAAAAAAAAAGAAGATTAAATATATGACTTCAAAGGAAAGTTAGTGCTTATCGTGGACACACTCTCATGTCTCCTGGAAATTGAATTCACTTGTCCTCCATCTGGGTATACGGGTGGACAATTTGGAGAGGTGCTAAATTAGGATATTCTCTGCCAAACACATCTTTCTCACCAGTTTCTCAGATCCCCTGCTGCTGTAGTTTATCCAATACTCTGCCAAAATGGAATAATCACAGAAAAGTCCTCATTACTCATTAGTGTGAGGTTCTAACCCCATCCATTTATGCACCACTAGATATCTGAAAACCAAAAAAAAAAAGGCAACAATAAAATGTTTTCATTTATTTACCCTTACTTCAATGGGTATTCAGACTAACTATTCAGAAATAGGTTAGCTATGGCCAGATGCAGAGGCTCATGCCTGTAATCCTAGCACTTTGGGAGTCGGAGTTTGGTGAATTGCCTGAGCTCAGGGGTTTGAGACCAGCCTGGGCAACATAGCAAAAACCCCATCTCCACTAAAAATACAAAAAATTTGTATTGGTGGAGCAGGCCTGTGGTCCCAGCTACTCAGGAGGCTGAGGCAGGACCTCCTGAGGCAGGAGAGTCAGAGGTTTCAGTGAATCGAGATCATGCCACTGCACTCCAGTCTGGGTGACAGAGCAAGATCCTGTCTCCAAAAAAAAAAAAAAAAGAAAGAAAGAAAGAACTTAACTAGTAGGGGGAATATCCTGTGGTAACATCTATACTTACCAAAGATAAAAAAGAAAATGACAAGAAAAATTCTGTCTCTACTAAAAATATAAAAATTAGGTGCACATGCTGGCACACACCTGTAATCCCAGCTACCTGAGAGGCTGAGTCACCAGAATCCCTTAAACCTAGAAGGTTGAGGTTGCAGTGAGCTGAGATTGTGCCAATGCACTCCAGCCTGGGCGACAGAGAAAGGTTCTGTCTCAACAACAACAAAAATTACTACCATGTCAAATAAATTGCATAGATTGCATTGCTTTGGGCTTGCCTTTCTTTAGCAAGTAAAGAGAATGAGAAATGTTCTTTCTATGCATTTCCTATGCTCTTTGTGCTTCATGAACTAATACTTCTGTTACTCCTTTAGAGGAAAAACATCTTGAAAACATTTCCTAAGAAATACTACCACAAACTGGAACTGGCTTTGTAGAATTACTTCAGCCTAACTCTCTTTTTAAATAAGAAATCTAAGACCATGAGGATCAGGATTTGATGTGTATTCTAAAGCGTCTTGTTTGACGCCTAGGTTGGAAGCATGTCACTATGAGTCAACTAAGCAATAACTAGAATATTATTTATTCCAGAAAGCTTTCTCTTATTTTAACTGTGTATTTGCAGAACCTCAAGGTCTATGAATCATTATCCACCTATAAAATGAATTAAATTTAACTAAATGCTAGTATTGTGAAGAATTAGTTTTTCACCATTTCTGTTTACTCTTATACTGTCCTGATAAACATATGAATATAATGAGTATGGGATAACCAGCAGTAGAGATTTCTCTCGCCTTTATTCATTCATTCGACAAACATTTAATGAGCATCTACTAAGTGCCAGGTGCTGTACTAGGTGTTAGGCATATATGTGTGAATAAGACAGAGGCAGCTTTTTCTCCCCTCATGGAGCTTCAATTCTATTGGCCTACTGTTCTTTCTCATATATTTGGGAAGGGAAGATTTATATTAGTAGTCTACGGAGCATCTGTTTAATATTTTTCATTTGCCACACCCAGGCACTGTCACAGGGCAGGACAAAGTCTTCAGTAAGATTGGAGATCATAGTCATTGCCCAGGCATTTATCTGTGTCTAGTATAACTCAGGTCTGTATTGAGCTGCTCATATGCTAATACATACTACCTGATGAAGGTTAGTGGTGTTTCAGAAAAGGCAAAAGAAACGGTCTGGACAGGCAGGTTCAGAATTTGAAACTGTCAAACAAATTTCACTTGTAAAAAGAGATTTCTGACTATTCAGATTTGAAAAGGCAATTTAACACAATTTTACAAACCAAAAAGATGATTGCATATTATAAGTGGAAATGTAGAAGATCCATACCAAAGCATGTAGGACATGGCTGTATATGTTGGATTTAAAGCCAGTTCCTGAGTATTCAATAGCTTGTTATCCAATCTATAGATTTTTTTTTTTGAGGGAGTCTCACTCTGTTGCCCAGGCTGGAGTGCAGTGGTGTGATCTCGGCTCACTACAACCTCCACCTCCCGGGGTTCAAGCGATTCTTCTGCCTCAGCCTCCTGAGTAGCTGGGACTACAGGCACAGACCACCATGACTGGCTAATTTTTGTATTTTTAGTAGAGATGGGGTTTCACCATCTTGGCCATGCTGGTCTCGAACTCCTGACCTTGTGATTCGCCCGCCTCAGCCTCCCAGTGTGCTGGGATTACAGGCATGAGCCAGAGTGCCCAGCCAATCTGTGGATCATTTAAAACTCAATTTTATTTCCTATTGGTAAGAGTCAAGGAAAGAAGAGAGAACTTCATTTTGAAGATGAAGGAACCGTAATTCCTTAGGGGTAAAAATTTAAAAGGTTGTTTCTCGCAGACCCTATAACATAATCCATAATTCCTTTTATGGCTCCTATTAATTACCTCATTATTTTAAGTATGTTTTAAAGGACTGTATTTGACTAATGGGTTCCCTTTAACTGAACTTGTTTTTATTTCTGATCTAACACCCCTTTTAAATGGATCAAGCCAAGACAGAATGTTTGTGACAACGGTGCTTGAGATTGAACAACTTTTGGCAAGGGTAGGTGTTTTAAAGGACTCTATTTGAGTAATGGGTTTCCTTTAACTGAACTTTTTAGTTCTGATCTAACACCCCTTTTAAATGGATCTGCCAAGACAGAATGTTTTTGACAATGGTGATTGATACTGAACAGCTTTTGGCAAGCGTAAGTGCTTTCTGCTAAATGGCTATTTTGCAAATAACTGTGTACTTCTTAGATAGGATCCTGGATTATATTAAGACAGACATGTTTAATTAAATTAGCCATTCCATTCAAGATATGTACCTCCCCAGGCCACCTGAATTTTGATGACAGCCATTCTCAGGTCATGTGGTGTTATTTTGGTCTTTATGGATTATGTGGATAAAATGCTGAATTCTTACTTGCCCTCTTTTTTTTTGAGGTGGAGTCTTGCTCTCTGTCACCCTAGCTGGAGTGCAGTGGCACGATCTCAGCTCACTGCAACCTCTGCCTCCCAGGTTCAAATGATTTTCCTGCCTCAGCCTCCCAAGCAGCTGAGATTACAGGCACCTGCCACCATGCCCAGCTTATTATTGTATTTGTAGTAGAGACGGGATTTCACCATATTGGCCAGGCTGGTCTTGCACTCCTGACCTCAGGTGATCAGCTCACCTCAGCCTCCCAATTACTTGCTATCTTGTTTGTTTTCTGTTTTGTTTTGTTTTGCTGTCAACCAAAAGGGCATATAGGCAGAAAATTTGCTTTTAGCTGTTTATATAGCACTTTGTAAAATATTTTCATTGTTTTTTTCCCTTTCTAGCTTATGAGGTAAATAATAAAATGGCAGAATATATCAACAGTGCAGGTGTCCCCTCCTTGAATATGGCCCTGATGCATACATTATAGATGTAGAGACATATTGCAGGTAATATATTGGGCTCGAGACTTTTTCGTTATCACAGGAGTTTTTGTTTCATTTTGTTTTTTAATCCCTGCATAGGATATGTGCACATGTATTTAAAAGGTCAAAGAGAAAAATCTGAGAAAATAAATGCCATGCTGTAGAGACTTGTTTTACTTTTTTATTTTTTATTTTTATTTTTGGTCAGCATTATAAAATTCTGAAAATATCTAATAGCTCATTCCTTTTCCTGGTGAAGTTGAGTAATATTCATCACTGGGTATATATACTTCCACTCTGGGAGACCTAGCTAACTAGCTGTAACAGTGAACTAGCCAATGGTCATGTATAGACAATAACATGGTGGGTTAGAGCGTACTTTCATCCAGCTTTGAAGATAATATGGAGGGGGAATGATTTACTACACTTAGTATATTGTTTGAGAAAACATTAAATGTGTATGCACCAATAAAACTAAATAAACTCTTAAAGATTTATATGGAGGGCGTGTTAAAAATATAGTAGTACAGGCTGGGCGGGGTGGCTCACACCTGAAATCCCAGCACTTTGGGAGGCTGAGGCACACGGGTCACGAGGTCAGGAGATCGAGACCATCCTGGCTAACACGGTGAAACCCCGTCTCTACTAAAAATACAAAAAAACTAGCCGGGCATGGTGGTGGGCACCTGTAGTCCCAGCTACTCAGGAGGCTGAGGCAGGAGAATGGCATCTACCCAGGGAGGCAGAGCTTGCAGTGAGCTCAGATTGTGCCATTGCACTCCAGCCTGGCCGACAAAGCGAGACTCTGTCCCTACATATAGTAGTACAAATAGGAAAGCAATTTTTGTGTATGTGTGATAGGGTCTCACTCTGTCACCCAGGCTGGAGTGCAGTAGTGCAATCACAGCTCACTGCAGCTTCAACCTCCCAAGCTCAAGCAATCCTCCTACCTCAGAGTCCTGAGCAGCTGGGACCACAAGAACATGCCACCACAAGTGGCTAACTTTTTAAAAGTTTTTTGCAGACACAGGGCTTTGCCCCGTTGCCCAGGCTGGTCTCTAACTCCTGTGTTCACAGGGTTTTGCTATGTTGCCCAGGCTGGTCTCTAACTCTTGTGCCACCATACCCAGCTGATTCCATTTTCTGACTTTGACCACTGCATTGAAGGGGATATACTGGCAATATTATTATCACTGGGGAAACTAAGGCCAGGGAGCCATGCCTTATGGGCTGGGACTGTTTCCTCAGCTGCTTTCACGTAAGCTTTGGTGGCCTGCCCTCTCAGCAGGAAAGACAGGGATGGCTGTCACCGGCAGGCCCAGGCCCAGCCCCTCAGCCAAGTAGGGTGGCCGGAGGATGCCATTCAGCACTGGCTCCCCAGCCCAGGGCTCACCGCTCTCATCCAGGCCCTCCAGGTGTACTGTCTGGTGGGGTGCAGTGCCATCCACCATGCACTCCAAGATGCTCTGGACCAGAGCCGGCTGGTTTCCTGGGCAAACCCTGAGGTGCTCCCCCTGCACACAGGTATTTCAGGCCTTGGCTGTCCTCATGGGAGAGTTCCACTGGGATGGTGAGGTGGCTGGGGAAGGAAAAAGAAGCCTCAGGTGGGCCGGGCACTGTGGCTCATGCCTGTAATCCCAGCACTTTGGGAGGCTGATGTGAGCAGATCACCTGAGGTCAGGTGTTTAAGACCAGCCTGGCCAACATGGTGAAAACCCGTCTGCTGGGAGCAGGCCCCAAGACTGGCCATAAACAAGATCTCTGCAGCACTGTGACATGCTCGTGATAGCTATGATGCTCACGCTGGAGGTTGGTGATTTACCAGAATGAGGGCAAGGAACACCTGGCCCACCCAGGTTGGCAAACTGCTCAAGGTGTTCCTAAACCACAAACAATGGCATGAGAGATCTGTGCCTTAAGGACATGTCCCTGCTGCAGATAATAAGCCAGAGCCTGTCCCTTTGTTCTCGGTAAAGAACACTTTTAGTTAATCTATAAACGGCAGAAATGACATTTATCATAGCTTACTGTCAATAAATAGGTGGATCAAGCTCTGTTCAAGGCTCTCAGCTCTGAAGGCTGTTAGCCCCCAATCCCACTTTGCATCTATTTCTGTGTCTGTGTTTTTATTCCTCTAGTGCTGCTGGGTTGGGGTCCCCACGACTGAGCTAGTCTCATCAACTGGCATCCAAATGTGGGGCTCGAACCTGGGTTGAAGGGCTGCTGGAGTGATGGTTGAAGAACGTGGAACTATGCTGGAGGACACTCAAGTGCTCTTAAGCAATCCCCATGGTGAGAAAGAAGGGGAGCTCAGAAGCATCAGGGTAACAATGAGACAAGGGTCAAGCAGACATGAGGCTTATTTGAGTTGGCTTCAGCAGCTCCTTGAAAAAGGAGTTAAGGTTAGCACTAGCCAACTTATGCCATTTTTTGTGCAGCAGAGAAATATTGCCCCTGGTTTCCAAAACGAGGAACTATGGAGGTAGAGGTCTGGGAGATGGTAGGTAGCGCACTGAAAAAGGCATATAAGGATGGTGCTGAGGATATTCCCATAACTGTCTGCTCAGTGTGGGCTCTGATTCATTCCACCTTGGAACCTTTTCACGTTGAAGATGAGGAAGGAGACAAAGAAGAGGAGGAATGTGATAGTGTTGTGGAAGAGATAAAAGAACAGATCTGTCCACTGCTTAAAGAGACCCAAGAAGGGGAAGCTTGTCCCTGCCCCTTGGCACTCCCTCAATATCTTGAAGATAGAGAATGGCCTGACCCTCCTGATCTTTCTTTTCTGGAGGACACTGGGTGAAAAGAAGTCACCCCAGTGACTGTTTGAGCAGTGCCGCAAGGGACCACCCTCAGTTCTATTCAGGAAGGAATTCAACAAGCTAGAAGAGAGGGTGATTTAGAGGCTTGGCAGTTCCCTCAGGATACACCCCCAGATCAACGGGGGAATGTTATGGCTACATTTGAGCCTTTTATCTTTAAATTACTCAAAGAGTTTAAACAAGCTATCAATCAGGATGGACCAGGTTCTCCTTTCATGATGGGTCTGTTAAAGAATGTTGCTACCTCCAGTCAGATGATCTCCATTGATTGGGATGCTCTTACTCGAGCCTGTCTGACTCCTGCTCAGTTTTTACAGTTTAAGACCTGGTGGGCAGATGAAGCTTCTACTCAAGCTGCCTGCAATGCACAAGTTCAACCTCTGATTAATATAACTGCAGACCAACTTTTGGGAGTCAGTGGCTGGGCTGTGTTAGATGCACAAGTGGTCATGCAGGACGATGCTACAGATCAGTTTAGAGGAGTGTGCATTAGAGCTTGGGGAAAAAAATCTCTTCAGGTGGAGAACAATACCCTTTTTTTAGTGCTGTTAAGCAGGGGCTGAAAGAACCTTATGCAGATTTTATAGCTCAGTTTCAGGAGTCTCTTAAGGTGATTGCAGATTCAGCTGCTCAGGATATAGTGTTGCAGTTATTAGCTTTCAACAATGATAATCCCGAGTGCCAGGCTGCTCTGTGACCTATTAGAGGGAAAGCACATTTTATCAGGGGAACCAGCCCCCAATATTTCAATGTAGGTTCTTTTCTAGTTCCCTAAGAAATAAAGAGAAAGAATACAAAAGGAGAAATTTTACAGCTGGGCCTCCAGGGGTGACATCAAACGTTGGCAGGTTCCATGATGCCCACCTGAGCCACAAAACCAGTTAGTTTTTATTAGGGATTTCAAAAGGGGAGGGAGTGTATAAATAGGGAATGGGTCACAGAGATCACATGCTTCATAGGGCAATAAAATGTCACAAGGAAATGGGGGCAGAGAGAGATCACAAGGCCAGGGTGAAATTAGAATTGCTGATGAGGTTTCATGTCCCACTGTGCATACATGGTCATTGATAAACATCTTAACGAGAAACAGGGTTCGAGAGCAGACAACTGGTCTGACTAGAATTTCACCAGCCTAGAATTTCCCAATCCTAGCAAGCCTGAGGGCACTGCAGGAGACCAGGGCGTATTTAGTCCCTTATCTACAACTGCATAAGACAGACACTCCCAGAGTGGCCATTTTAGAGCCCTCCCCCTGGGAATGCATTCTTTTCCCAGGGCTGTTCCTTGCTGAGAAAAAGAATTTGGTGATATTTCTCCTATTCACTTTTTTTTCTCATCTTCCTTTTTTTTTTTATTAGAAAGTCCTATTTTATTATTAGAATTATTAGTCCTATTTTTATTATAATTATTAGTCCTATTTTATTATTAGAAGTCTCATTTGCCTATTTTATAGGCAAGGAAACAGAAGCCCAGAGAAAGAAATATGACTCTGTTCTGCCCAGCTCCACAGGCAGTCAGACCTTATGGTTATCGCTCTTGTTCCCTGAAAATCACTGTTATCCCGTTCTTTTAGGATGCCCAGATTTCATATTGTTCAAACACATATGTCTTACAAACAATTTGTACAGATAATGCAATCATCACAGGGTGTTGAGGTGACATACATCCTCAGCTTATGAAGATGATGGGATTAAGAGACTAAAGTAAAGACAGGCATTGGAAATTTTAGGAGTATTGATTGGGGAAGTGATAAATGTCCATGAAATCTTCACAATTTATGTTCAGAGATTGCAGTAAAGACAGGCATAAGAAATTATAAAAGTATTAATTTGGGGAACTAATAAATGTCCATGAAATCTTCACAATTTATGTTCTTCTGTGGTGGCTTCAGCCGGTCCCTCCATTTGGGGTCCCTGACTTCCTGCAACACCTCTCCCTTTCCTTTCATATAAATGTGCCATGGCAATGAAGGCTTGTTCATTCTCTCAATTTTGACACAGGATTCTTTTACTGGTCTGACACACTAAAGACAAGCTGATTAAATGGAGAATCATAATTCCAAAATTTACTACACTGGAGTCCCCAATTGACTTAATCCAAGTCATGGGGTTTAGTCCAGAAAGGTTTTCTGCCACCTGATCTAATGCCTCAGCTCCAGGCACAATGGATAAATGAGCTTGAGAGGCTTCAAAAATTTGTTTCTTTAATTTAGTTATGTCCAATGGTAAATTGTCTTCCCTACCCAGAAGGTGTCCTTTGACCATTTTCCATGAATGATCAGTCTCACTGTAGGAATATGGTGTAATCCAGAAATCAGAAGTGCTCCAATCACACTGCATTTGCATGCAATGTTCGAGACTCACTACCCAATCTCCAAGCCAAATAACAGACTGTCTTAAATCATTAATTTGATTAGCCAATTTTTGATCAATACTTTGCTGAGAATTCCACATTTGGGTGGAATTGGCTTGCCAATCATTAACAAAATGAGCCATTTGAATAGACTGATATAACACCATTCCAGCAGTGGTGGCCATTGCAGTGACCATAATTAGGCCCATGATCACAGTGATTAAAGTGAAAACAAATATCTTAGATCTTTTTGTTATTCACTGTAACACTTCATTAATTAAATGTATCGAGGGGGAGGATTCCCAAGGTCTGGGCAAAGTTAACGGAATCCAGATTCCTTCTTGAGCTCAAACCAACATTACACTTTTCCTGGAGTCAAAATGGGAGTTAATACAAGTGTATAAATGACAATCAATGCATTGGACAGTTTGATTGTTAGTCCAAATTTTGATTTTCCCACTAACAGCATGTAAGGAGGCTTAACACAACTCTGTATGGGAACAGTCAGGTTGGAGGTAAGCAAAGCAAAATGTCTGGATCTATGTTGATACTGAGGGAGAGGGATGGTAGTGGGGACAATAGACAGAAAAGTTTCCCCTTCCCATACTCACGGTCCAGACATGGTAAGAGCCAATTTCCAAAGTTCTGGGTGTTCTTGGCTTAGAATGGGGAATATCATATGAGGCCTCGGGGGGGGGGGGGGTAATGCCTTTATCTTCCCATTTTAAGGGAAAGAATGAGCTGAACCTCCTATGCAAAGTAGAATGATGATTCTCATTCTCCCGATAAGAAATAAAATAAGTAGCCTCCAGGCATTCCCTTCTGGAGAGGAGCAATTGTTTTTTAAATAGACCTTTGGTGCCCAGTCTATTACTAAACCATATGAGCCATTTTTTAATATTACTGCATGTGGGTTAACACAATCTTCCCAAATTAAAGTTTTAGATGGGCCCTCAAAATTTTTAGGGCATGGTTTTCCTGCAGGTTTATATTGAAAGTATGGGGTATCTCCCATTACTCCCCCTTTCATTTGTTTTAAAGGAGAAAGGGAGAGGCTGGAGACAAAATGTCCTGGTTTCTCTGTAGCTGATCTCTCTGGAAGATAAGCAGCCCAGACTTGGGTTTCTAGATGGATACAACCAGATGCATGTCTGAGGCACAAAGAGGGGGTATCTATAACCCATAGTAACATTAAATGCAGTGCCTTCTTCTTCTGGTTGAGCAGGGCAATGCTTATCTGTGGCTCCAGGCATCCACAAACTATCATTAGTGTAGATTTCTGCAGAAGCATCCATCCAGGTGAGAGGTCAAATGAGTGGAGGAAAAGGCACATAAGCCCAGCAAGAATAATTTTGTGTAGCAGGTAAATCAGTGTGAGAGGAAACTGGTGAGACAGAAAGTATAAGGAGGACAATCATTAAATAAAACCTGTTGTAAGTGAGATTCAGTGCTGAAGGAGGAAGAGAAGAACAGAGGGATGTTATTTCCAGGTAATAGAAATGGTGAGATTTTTAGGTTTGTAAGGAGAAAAAGAAAGGTATTTAGGAGAAGTGGGATTAGTTAGATGGGTCTCCGTTGCCATCAGGGAGTATTGAACCAGGCCCATTTTGATTTGGTGTGCCAGCTTCTGAGGAGTTGGCACAGATCTCACCACATCTCAGGGTGGTCTGTGACATGGACGTCTTTTCCCTGTGGTTTTCATTGTTAGTATTCACACGAAGCTTGAGTCTCCTAGTGGGCACCCAGACAGGAGATTGATGATCTCCTGGTGAAACACAAGCATATCCTCTCCCCCACATTATAATTGTGCCAGGTTCCCAGGTATTGGTTTGGGAGTTTTTCCATAACACTGGCTTGCCTTCGTTTAGGGAGAATTTTTTGCCTGTATAATGGTGTTTGGCTGCAGTTAGATTATTATCTTTAGGGACATTTACAAAAGTTAAAGTAAACAATGCCAAATATAATTGGGAATGGGGGGTAGTTAAATTATGTTTTTGTTGTTCAGACTGTTTGGGCAATTGAGTTTTTAAGGTGCAATTGACCCATTGCACCACAGCCTGTCCCTGAGGATTGTAAGGGATTCTGGTAGTATGGGAAATTCCCCATTGTTGCATAAATAAATCAAAAGCCTTACTAACATATCCAGGGGTGGTGTCTGTCTTTATTTGATATGGAAGCCCCATAACTGCAAAGCAAGAATACAAATGTTTTTTAACATGGGCCATGCCTTCCCCTGTTTGGCAAGTAGCCCAGATAAAATCTGAGAAAGTATCTACAGAAGCATGCACACATGAAAGTCTCCCAAAGGAGCTAACATGAGCCACATCTATTTGCCATAAATCATTAGGAGTTAGGCCTCTGGAATTAACACCAGGTTCCTGATTTGGAAGTATAAAGACCTGACCCTGAGGGCAGCTGTGAACAATAAGCTTAGCCTCCTTCCAGGTGACAGCAAATTCATCTTTTAATACAGCAGCATTGACATAAGAGAGATTATGGAACTCCTGAGCTTCTTGGGTTGCAAAAAAGACCAAACAGTCAACTTTATGGTTACCAGCAGACATGGGTCATGGTAAAGTGGTATGAAATCTAATATGTGTAATATAGAAAGGGTGTTTACTGTTTATGTTGGCAAACTTCCTGTTGTAGCCTTGAAAATAAAGAAGCCAGTTCAGAATTATCAATATATTTGATGGTAGCAGTTTCTATATTTTTAGTGGCATGTACAACCTAAGCAGAATCAGAGACAATATTTAAAGGTTTGGGGAAATCCTGTAAGGCAGTAATGACAGCAATTAACTCTGCCTTTTGAGCAGAGGTATAAGAGGTAGAAATAAGCTTGTCTGTAGGACGTACATAACCAGCATTTCCATTACTGGAGCCATCAGTGAACACTGTAACGGCCTCAGGAATGGGCTGATCTTTGGTTAATCGAGGGACCACCCAAGACGTCATTTTTATGAAATCAAACAATTTGTTTTTTGGATAATGATTGTCAATAACACCAATAAAATCAGCCAAGTGAATTTGCCACAGTACAGAATGTTGAAAGGCGGCTTGAACTTTGAGCCGATTTAAAGGAACTACAATTAAATTCAGATCAAACCCGGAAATTTTAAGTATTCTGCACTGTGCCTGTCCAATTAGAGTGGCTGTTTGGTCCAAATAAACAGACAAAGTTTTCAACACAGAATGAGGAGGAAAACACCACTCTACTAAATCATTATGTTGAACTATTAGTCCAGTAGGGGAGTGCAATGAAGTGAAAAAGAGAAGCTGAAAAGGCTGAGATGGCTGTACTCTAGATAACTGGGCTGTCTGGATTCCTTCTTCTATGAATTCCAGTTCTAGTGAAGCCTCAGGGATCAAAGTCCTGGGACTGCAGAGATTGGAATCTCCCAATAGCATAGAAAACAAGTTAGACAGTGCATAGGTTGGAATGCCTAAAGTAGGTCTTAAATAATTAATGTTACCCAAGAGTTTTTGGAAGTCATTAAAGTTTTCAAAGAATCTCTCCTAATCTGAACTTTTTGAGGTTGAACGTGTTGATTATCGACCACCATTCCTAAATATTGAACTGGAGTGGTCTGTTGAATTTTATCCTGAGTGATGTGTAATCCAGCCTCTGTAACACAGCAGCTCAAAATTTGATAACAGTCAATTAATTCTTTATCAGTGAGGGCAGCAATTAAAATACCATCAATATAATGAAGAATATAGGCCTGGGGAAATTGGGCTTGAACTGGTGAAAGCACTTGTCCAACATAAAGCTGGAAGATTGTAGGGCTATTCAGCATTCCCTGAGGAAGTACTTTCCATTGATAATGAGCCATATGCTCTTGATTATTGATAGATGGTACAGTAAAAGCAAATTTTTCACAATCCAATTTATGTAAAGCAATATAAAAAAATCTTTAAGATCAATAACTATGAGAGACCAATTTTTAGGTATTAAAGCAGGGGTAGGCATGCTGGGTTGGAAGGCTCCCATAGGTTTAATTACAGCATTAATGGCCCTTAAATTCATCACCATCTGCCACTTGCCTGATTTCTTTTTTACTAGAGACACAGGAGAATTCCAGGGGGAAAGAGAAAATTCCACATTCCCAAGTTGTAACTGTTCAGAAACTGTCCATTGTAAAGGGATAGAATCAGGAGGCATGGCAGTGGCTGCCATTAAAAAGGATAACTTAAAGCAACCCTGTCTTCTTTTACAGTAATTGGGAAGGATTTAGTAATCCCTTCATGTTTTGGACTGAGTCCAGGAACAAACCCCATGTTTTCTATCATATGCTGACTGGGAGCACTATAAGAGTTATGTGTAATATTAATTTCAGTCTCCCATTGTGCCAGTAAATCTCTACCCCAAAGATTAATGGGGATTGGCATGATATAAGGCTGAATTGTACCCTTTTCACCATCAGGGCCAGTGCAAGGCAAGATAAATGTGCTCTTGTAAACTTCATCAGCTTTTCCAACACCTACTAGTCCCATGTTACTGGGATGTTTAAGCCAGGAAGAAGGCCATAAATTAGAGGAAATAATAGAAACATCAGCCCCAGTATCTACTAGGCCCTCAAACTTTTTTCCTTGAATGTGCACGTGGGCCATTGTTTAGAAATTACATTAATCCAATAAGCAGTCTTTTCACTGCCAGAGCCCGTCCCATGGCCACATGTCTTATCTCCTTTGCTTAAAACAATATTAGGTAGTAAAAGCAATTGAGCAATTGATTCACCGGATGGAATGAAAACAGGAACCTTGGCAGACATGATTAGTTTAATATCATCAATGGAATCAAAGTTAATGAGATCAGTATGAATGGTGATTCCTTTAGCAGAGGTAGATGCTCTACCTAACACCAGGCCCACCGAACGTTGAGGTAAATGGCCAGTGACCCCATGGGGACAATTAAAGGCAAAGAGTTAGGTAGTAAATTTAGAGGAATAGTACTACAGAGATTGACTGCCCCATGCCTTACTGTGGAGATGGACAAGCATTGTACTGAGACAGAAGGAGAGGCTGGGACCCATATGGGTTGGCTGTAGGTAAATTTGTTTGTTCTGGGGGCTGCATTGGGACCACCTGAAGCAGAAACACAAGATTGGTCTGAGTCTGAAGCATCCCATTTGATATTGGGGCCTGGGACTTGCCCTGCTTCCTGTTTCCCTGGTTTTGTGGCAGGGAGTTTCCATCTATATCATTCTTAGAGTGGCAAGTACTTGCCCAATGTTTACCTTTGCGACAATGTGGGCAAACAGTAGCAGCAGCATTTGGCCATGTTTGTTGAGCCAGCTTGGTCACTTTTAAGTTTTTAACAGTGCAATTTTTCTGAATATGACCAAGTTGACTGCAATTATAGCAGGCTCCAAGAAAAGAATTAGTGGGGCCAGTTTGATTGGTGTCCTTCATGGCCTGTGGCCACAGAATACCTTTGTGGGTGTCTGATCCAATGCCTTCACAAGCTTTAATATATGCAGGCAACACCTCGTGATCAGGTAAATTTTGTCATTGGATGGAACACATGGCCATTTTACACTCATGGCTCACATTTTCAAAAGCTAACATAGGAAGGAGAATACCTACAGCATGCTCATCAGAGACAGGTTTTTCAACAGCATCTTATAATTTAGCTAAAAAATCAGGGTATAATTCAGTGTGACCTTGTTTAACCGTAGTAAAATAAACAGGAGCTTGGCCTGGGGCACATAATTTATCCCAAGCTCTCATACACACCTTTGTTGCTTGTTCTGTGGTAAGAGCATCAAAGTTTAATTGGGCATAAGTATCAGAGAAACTATCAGAGCCTGTGAGCTGAGCCTGAGTAATTAGAAAGCTAATAGTCCAATTTAGCTGGGCCTGCAAACGGGCCTCCTCTGACCACCAGGTATGAAATTGTAAATGCTGAGATGGGGTTAAAACAGCTTTTTCCAAAAGGTCCCAGTCTAAAGGAAGAAAAATGACCTCAGTACAAAAAGTTAGTAATACCATTTTAACATAAGGAGAAGTAGGGCCATACTGAGTACAAGCATCCCTAAATTCTTTTAAAAAGGTAAGATTGAGAGGTACATAATGACACATTTGTACCCCTTGGAAGTTGGGAGGTTCTAGCATGACTGGATAAGCCCACGCATCTAATCCATTTGTTTGTTTATTTTGGCATAATAAACATTGCACTGAAGTTTTAAGAGTAGGCATCTGAGACAGAGTTGGCATAGATGTGACAGGAAAAGCATGTGTAGATTAGGGAAACTGAGGGTGAGGGGGTCAGACCAGAATGAGAGCATGAGAAATGGGCATTGGGGGAGCAGAAGGAGCAGAAGTATACTGGTGATTACTGGCATCCCTGTGTGAAGAAGGGTACAGAGAAGCAGGCTGAGTGGATGGCAAAGTGACTGGTTGAGGAACTGAAATGACCAGAGGGTGATGGGCTGCAGTGGATGGGGGAGGGCCTGAATAATTATAGGTAAATTGTAGTTTGGTCCCAGAGCCATTAGCTGACTCCAGAGGTTTGAAGAGAGAAGAATTTGCATATATATGGTCCCGGGCTGTCTGAGTTGGGGCCATGGGAGCTACAAGTACCAGCTCTTTGTGAAAAGAAATAAGGTCATCAAGGGGTGACATTAAGCCAAAGTCACTGGAGTTAGATATTGAATTGTCAGCATCATTAATTGGGGGAAGAGTAGGCGAAGGGAGAGGCTGATCAGTTAACAAAGGCTGTGTAGGAGAGGAAGGTTGAGGAAGAGGTGGAGGGTCATCAGATTCAGAAAATTGTGGTAACTGTAGGGAGTCACGGGATTGGTATGTCATTAGGATGGCACATGCCAAGGCCCAATCACCCCAAACAGTGATGGGAACATAATTTCCTGTTGAGACCAGTTCCTGGAATGTTGTGCCAACACTATCCCATAGTTCTACAACTAAGGTTCCTTTTTCAGGAAACTAAGGACAGTGTTCTTCCACCGCCCTGAATAGAGTGACCATATTTTCCATGGTTACTCAGACTCTGCCCTGTTTTTACAGGAGTTTAATATAGCAGAGGTAAGCATGAAGTTTAGACTCCATGTGGCCCATAGTTAACCTGGACCATACACAGACTACTCACCAGTTGTCAGGGAGTCGAACAAGTGTTTCCTTGGACTGAACCAATGGCATTTCTCCCCACCTATCAAAGGGAATTGGGTTTGCACATGCACTTAGGAAAAAAGAAAAACCACACTGGGTGCCAGATATCAGGGGAACCAGCCCCCAGTATTTCAACGTAGGTTCTTTTCTATTTTCCCTAAGTGTCAGCCAGTCTGAGAAATAAAAAGGGTGCAAAACAGAGAAATTTTACAGCTGGGCCTCTGGGGGTGACATCACATGTTGGCAGGTTCTGTGATGCCCACCTGAGCCACAAAACTAGCAAGTTTTTATTAGGCATTTCAAAAGGGGAGGGAGTGTACTAATAGGGAGTGAGTCACAGAGATCACATGCTTCATAGGGCAATAAAATATCACAAGGCAAATGGGGGCAGAGCGAGATCACAAGGCCAAGGTGAAATTAGAATTGCTCATGAGGTTTCATGTCCCACTGTGCACACATTGTCATTGATAAACATCTTAACCAGAAACAGGGTTCGAGAACAGACAACTGGTCTGATTAGAATTTCACCAGGCTGGAATTTCCCAATCCTAGCAAGCCTGCAGGCATTGCAGGAGACTAGGGCATATTTCATCCCTTATCTACAACTGCATAAGACAGACACTCCTAGAGTGGCCATTTTAGAGACCTCCCCCTGGGAACGCATTGTTTTCCCAGGACTGTTCCTTGCTGAGAAAAAGATTTCAGTGATATTTCTCCTATTCACTTTTGCAAGAAGAGAAATATGACTCTGTTCTGCCTGGCCCCACAGGGAGTCAGACCTTATGGTTATCTCTCTTGTTCACTGAAAATCACTGTTATCCTGTTCTTTTAGGATGCCCAGATTTCATATTGTTCAAACACACATGTTTTACAAACAATTTGTACAGATAATGCAATCATCACAGGGTCCTGAGGTGACATATATCCTCAGCTTATGAAGATGATGGGATTAAGAGATTAAAGTGTTGAACAATGTAAACAATCATGAGAGGAAATACGCTGTTGGGGATGATGCTCAGTTTGAGATGGACATCTGACTCTTCTGCAAGGATTAGAAGAAAAGCAGCAATGTAGATACTTGTGTGCACATGATTTGGCCAATAGGATCAACCATGAAAGACAGATGATGCACTACCAGCAGTCCCCATTACAGTCTCTACCTCCCCCTCTTCTTCTGGGTGGCAAGTGATGGGAAGATGATCTTCATCTGACCACTTCTTCTACCTGTCTCCTGTTCCCCTTTCCGGTTAAACAGGATAGATTGAAGGCCTTTGGTGTATTTCTGTAGAGCTAAGCAGCCCTTAGAGGAAAACAAATAAATTGGATTTCCTAGTTGTTTTAAAAAAAAGAAGAAGAAGAAGATTAAAGTAAAGACAGGCATTGGAAATTATAAGAGTATTGATTGGGGAAGTGATAAATGTCCATGAAATCTTCACAATTTATGTTCAGAGATTGCAGTAAAGACAGGTGTAAGAAATTATAAAAGTATTAATTTGGGGAACTAATAAATGTCCATGAAATCTTCACAATTTATGTTCTTCTGTGGTGGCTTCAGCCAATCCCTCTGTTTGGGGTCCTTGACTTCCCACAACAACATTTAGTTGATTATATCAAGGCCTTTGACAGTATCAAAGGTAATCTGCATAAAGCTACTCTGCTGGCACAAGCCATGGCAGGACTGAGAGTGGGTAAAGGAAATGCTCTGTTTCCTGGAGCTTGTTTCAGCTGTGGGAAACATGGGAATACAAAGAGAATGTAGAAAAAATCAGAGGGTCCAAATGCCCAGTGTTGGAAAAAAGAAAACTGCTGAACCAGGTCTATGCCCGAAGTGTAAAAAAGGAAAGCATTGGCCAATCAGTGTCATTCTATATTTGAGAAGGATGGAAACCCAGTTTTGGTATATGCCATGAGGGCCCCGCCCCAGGCCCCATTCCAAACCAGAGCATTCGTGGCTCAGGCCACTCCCTCACCCCTGTACAATGCTTGTTCCCCACCACAGCTGGTGGTGCCACAGTAGATCTGTGTTGCACCAGGGCTGTGAGTCTCCTCCCTGGAGAGCCACCGTAGAAAGTACCAACAGGAGTCTGCAGACCTCTGCCAGCAGGAAAGGTAGGACTACTTCTGGGAAGATCTAGTTTAAATTTAAAAGGAGTGCAGGTTCATACAGGAGTAATTGACTTGGATTGTAATGGGGAAATTTGAATCATTATATCTATCTCCATTCCTTGGAAGGCAGAACTGGGAGAGCATATAGTGCAGCTTCTGATTTTACCATATGTGGGACTAGGAAAAAGTGAAACTAAAAGAACAGGGGGATTTAGCAGTACAAATAATCAAAGGAAAGCCACCTCCTGGGTAAATCAAATTACTGATAAGTGTTCTACCTCTGAAATAACTATTCAGGGAAAGAAATTTAAAGGTTTGGTAGATACAGGAGCAAACATTGCAATCATTTATCTATAGCACTGGCCATCCATGTGGCCAATTCAACCCACTCAATTTAACATATTTGGAGTTGGTAAAGCCCCTGAGGTATATCAAAGTAGTTACATTTTGTATTGTGAAGGGCCCAATGGACAACCTGGGACTATTTAACAAATTATAACTTCTGTACCTATAAATTTATGGGGGAGAGATTTATTACAACAATGGGGAGCACAAGTTTTAATTCCTGAGCAATTATACAGCCCTCAAAGCCAACATATGATGCATGAAATGGGGTATGTCTCTGGTTTGTGCGTAGGAAAATATTTGCAAGGTTTGAAGGAACTACTTCAAGCAGAAAGACAAAGTTCCTGCCAAGGCTTGGATACCATTTTTGATGGCAGTCATTGTTAAGCCTCCAGAGCCTATCTCATTAAAATGGCTGACAGACAAGCCAATATGGATAGAACAATGGCCACTGAATAAAGAGAAACTGGAGGCTTTAAATGAACTAGTTAAAGAACAGCTTCAAAAGGGACATATATTTCCAACACTCTCCCCTTGGAATTCCTCAGTTTTCATAATTAAGAAAAAAATCAGGTAAATGGAGAATGTTAACTGACTTAAAGGCCATTAATTCAGTTATACAACCTATGGGGGCATTACAGCCAGGACTGCCTTCTCCTGCTATGATTCCAAAAAATTGGCCTTTAACAGTCACAGATTTAAAAGACTGTTTCTTTACTATCACCTTAGCTGAGCAGGACTGTGAATGGTTTGCATTTATGATTCCTGTGGTAAACAACTTGCAGCTTGCTAAGCATTTTCACTGGAAGGTGTTTCCACATGGCATGTTAAACACTCCATCCATTTTCCAGACTTACGTAGGGCAAGAAATTGAACCTACTCATAAAAGATTTTCACAGTGTTACATTATTCATTATATGGATGATATTCTTTGTGCTGCCCCCACTTGAGAAATATTACTCCAATGTTATGATCACTTGCAAAATTTCTCATGCCAGTTTAATTATAGCTCCTGACAAAATTCAGACTACTACTCCTTACTCCTACTTAGGGACCTTAGTAAATGACACTACAATAGTGCCACAGAAAGTAACCATATGTAGGGATCAATTGAAAACATTGAATGACTTTCAAAAATTACTAGGGGACATTCATTGGATATGGCCCATTCTAGGCATTCCTACTTATGCCATGAGTAATCTGCTTTCTATCCTTAGAGGAGATCCTAGTCTCACAAGCCCTCAGAAATTAACAAAAGAAGCTGAGGCAGAGCAGTAGCTAATAAAAGGCAAGTCCATAAGGCCCAAATAAATAGAATAGATCCAGAGAAGACTCGAGATTTGCTAATTTTTTCAGCTCAGCATTCAGCTAAAGGTGTTATTGTTCAAGAGCAAGATCTTGTAGAGTGGCTTTTTCTTCCACATACTAATTCATGGACTTTGACTCCTTATTTGGATCAAATCGCTACTATGATAGGAAATGGGAGAACTCAGATTGTTTAATTACATGGATATGATCCTGGAAAAGTTATTGTCCCCCTCATGAAGGCACAAATATAGCAAGCTTTTATAAATAGTCTTACTTGGCAAATCCATTTAGCTGACTTTGTGAGTATTCTCGATAACCATTTTCCTAAAATGAAACTCTTTCAATTTTTGAAATTAACTAATTGGATTCTCCCTAAAATAACTAAATTCAAACCAATTGAAGGTGCTGAGAATGTCTTCACAGATGGGTCTAGTAATGGTAAAGCCTCTTATTCTGGATCAAAAGGTAAAGTTTTTCAGACGCCCTATACTTCAGCTCAAAAAGCAGAGCTTGTAGCTGTAATTGAGGTATTGACTGCTTTTAATATGCCTATTAATGTGATTTATTATTCTTCATATGTGGTTCATTCTACAGAGTTAGTTGAAAATGCTCAGCTATGATTCCACACAGATGATCAACGGATGACTTTATTTACCCAATTGCAAGAGCAGTTAGAAGTAGAATGAACCCTTTTTTACATCACTCACATTAGAGCTCATACACCTCTTCCAGGACCTTTGACTGCAAGGAATCAATTGGCCAATCGCCTAGTTGCTACTGCAATATCTAATGCTAGACACTTTCACAATTTAATCCATGCTAATGTCTCTGGTCTCAAACACTGATAAAGCATTACCTGGAAAGAAGCTAAAGCTATTATCCAGCGATGCCCAACTTGCCAAATGGTGCATTCCTCATCTTTTACAAGAGGAGTTAATCATCAAGGATTGGAACCTAATTCTCTTTGGCAAATGGATGTCATGCATGTTCCCGCATTTGGGAGACTAGTTTATGTACATGTATGTGTGGACACCTTTTCTCACTTTGTCTGGGCTGCATGCCAATCAGGAGAGTCTTCTGCCTGTATTAAATGTCACCTTTTGCAGTGCTTTGCGGTGATGGGCATTCTAGCTTCCATTAAAACAGATAATGCCCCAGGCCCTACTAGCCAAGCTCTAGCTACATTTTTCTCTATATGGAATATTAAACACATTACTGATATCCCATATAATTCTCAAGGACAAGCCATAGTGGAAAGAATGAATCTCTCCCTGAAACAGCAGTTGCAAAAACAGAAAGGAGGAGACAGAAACTATAGGACTCCATACATGCAACTAAATCTAGCATTATTAACTTTAAATTTTTTGAGCCTGCCTAAAGGCTGATTGTTATTAGCAGCTGAACAACATTTACAGAAGCCAGCTACAAAAGCAGAAGTGGAAAAATGGGTTTGCTAGAAAGGCCCAATAACAAAAGTTTGTGAAACAGGTAAAATAATAACATGAGGCAGAGGTTATGCTTGTGTTTCTCCAGGACCAAATCAATAGCCAATTTGGGTTCCATCAAGACATCTAAAGCCCTACTATGAGCCAGATATCAAGGAAAAAGTTTTGGGAGGATCCAAAAGACCAACTGGTGGCAGCGTTGTCCAAGTTGATGCTGAGGAGGACCCCAACTGTCACGAGCAATCCCCGTCTAACACAGCCACCTACCTGGGGACAGATCAAGAAGCTGTCGCAGATGGTGGAAGAAAACCTGAGGAAAGTGGGACAACCAGTCACAATGAGTAATTTACTGATAGCTCTGATAGCTGTGATTACCATTGCCATAAGTATTCCTTCAGCAAGGGCTGACACAGAGAACAATTATACTTACTAGGCATATTTACCTTTTCCACCACTTCTATGGCCTGTAACTTGGCTGGACCCCCCATTGGAGGTATACACTAATGATAGCTCTTGGATGCCTGGTCCTACAGATGATAGAGGTCCATCTCACCCACATGAGGAAGGAACTGTTATGCATATTTCTTTAGGATTTGAATATCTGCCTATCTGTTTAGGAAAGGCCACTAGTTGCCTATCCCCTTGCTATCAATCTTGGCTGGCAATAATGCCTGGACATAATCACTCTATGATGCAGTTTTACATGCTTTCTGGTCTCAGTATTTACCATAATGAATCTGCTCCTGTAATTGAGGCATACCACCCTCAAGAACCTATTTGTAAACAGAATTGGACCTGGTTAGAAATAATGAACATACTTGTTTGGGAAGGTTGCATTGCAGAGGTGCTGCACAACAGGCAGAGGTGCTACACAATGATTCCTATGGAATCATTATTGACTGGTCCCCTAAGGGGATGTTTAGCATGAATTGCATCTCTCAGTCTGCGTGTGATGGCCACACTATGTTCAGCTGGTCTGAACAAAATGATCAGTTGGTAGAAATGATAAGAAGTATGGCAAGATTTCCTATTATCTGGAAACGTGGCGGTATGGTGGCACCTCAACTTCAAATGATCCTGATAAGATCAAGATTTGGGAAGAAAAATATACTATGCCATTCACATTGTAATCCTAATTACATTTTAGAACTTGTTGAAAACAATACTATTTGGATACAAAGTTGTGTTCATCCTGCTTTTCTGTTGGTAATGGGCAATCTAAAGTTTGGCATCCCTAATTATCATGTAACTTTCCAGGAATGTAGATTGTTCTCTTGTGTGAACTCTCCTTGTTTAATACTAATCATTCTATTCTAGTAGAGAGTGCTCAAGAAGGAGTATGGTTACTGGTGAAGCTTTCCTGTCCTTGGAAAGCCTTTCCCTCTGTACATATTATTACTGAAATTCTTCAGAAAATTCTGAGACACTCTTGACATTTCATTGATACTTTAATCTTGATTATTATGGGAATGATCGCTGTCACAGCTACTGCTGCAGCAGCTAGAGTTGTGCTACATTCATCAATGCACAGCAGATTTTGTAAATAAATGGCAAAAGAATTCTACTCTGCTGTGTAACTCTCAAACTAAAATAGACCAAAAGATAGTTAATCAAATCAATGATCTCCAACAAACTGTAACGTGGCTGGGAGATTGAGCAGCTAGTTTGGGATATAGAATGCAGCTAAAATGCTACTGGAATACTTCTAACTTTTGTATCACTCCTCACCCTTATAATGAATCAGAGCATGAATGGGAAAGAATAAAAAAGCATCTAGAAGGACACTCTACAAACTTGTCTTTGGATGTTGCAAAACTAAGAGAACAAATATTTCAAGCATCCCAGGGACACCTGACCTTAATGCCAGGAACTGGAGTGCTTGAAGGAGTTACAGATGGATTGGCAGCCATAAATCCTTCAAAATGGATAAAAACACTTGGAGGCTCTGTGATTTCTATGACGGTTGTGTTATTAACCTGTGTTGTTTGTCTTTGTGTAGTCTGCAGTTGCAGATCCCGACTCCTGCAAGAAGTAGCTCACCTTGATAAAGCCGTCTTTGTATTTATTGCCCTGAAAAAACAAAAAGGGGGACATGCTGGGAACAGGCCCCAAGACTGGCCATAAACAGATTTCTGCAGCACTGTGATATGCTCATGATGGCTATGATGCTCACGCTGGAGGTTGCTGGTTTACCAGAATGAGGGCAAGGAACATCTGGCCCACCCAGGGTGGAAAACTACTCAAGGCATTCCTAAACCACAAACAATTGCATGAGTGATCTGTGCCTTAAGGACATGTCCCTGCTGCAGATAACAAGCCAGAGCCTGTCCCTTTGTTCTCTGTGAAGAATACTTTCAGTTAATCTATAAACTGCAGAAATGATGTTTATCACAGGCTTACTGTCAATAAATAGGTGGGTCAAATTCTGTTCAAGACTGTCAGGTCTGAAGGCTGTTAGCCCCCTGTTCCCACTTTGCACTCTATTTCTGTGCCTGTGTTTTTATTCGTCTAGTGCTGCTGGGTTGCGGTCTCCATGACTGAGCTGGTTTCAGTGCCCATCTCTGCTAAAAATTACAAAAAATTAGCCAGACGTGGTGGAAGCTGTAATCCTGGCTACTTAGGAGGCTGAGGCAGGAGAATCACTTGAACTCTGGAAACAGAGGTTGCAGTGAGCCAAGGTGTTGCCATTGCATTCCTGCCTGGGCAACAAGAGCAAAACATCTTCTGAAAAAAAAAAGAAAGAAGAAAGAAAGAAAGAAAGAAAGAAGAAAGAAAGAAAGAAAGAAAGAAAGAAAGAGAAAAGAAAAGAAAGAAATAGTTGCTAAATTTTCTCAATACTAAAAATATTTGCAACTGGGTACAGTGGCTTACGCCTGTAATCCCAGCACTTTGGCAGGCCAAGGTGGGTGATCACTTAAGGTCAGGAGTTCGAGACCAGCCTGGCCAACATGGCAAAACCCCATCTCTACTAAAAATACAAAATAAATTAGTAGGGCATGGTGGTGCATGCCTGTAATCCCAGCCACTCGGGAGGCTGAGGCACAGGATTAGAGCTGCCAACAAGCCCAGCTAATTTTTGTATTTTTAGTAGAGGTGGGGTTTCCCCATATTGGCCAGGCTGGTCTCAAACTCCTGGCCTGAAGTGATCCACCCACCTTGGCTTCCCAAAATGCTGCCACCCTTGGCAGTCTGAATTTTTAAAAAGTAATGAATATTCTTAATATCTTTTAAAAATACAGTGATATGAAAATAAGGGAAAACGTTTAAAGATTATTTTGTTCTTTACAATTCTCTTGGTTCTGTTCTTTTTTGATTAGTTTTGGGATTAAATTTATTGGGAGAGGTCCAAAATGATGAAATTTGAAAATAAGCTCTATTAGGTGCACTATTAAGTAGAAAGAGCCTCTCAAGTTTTCTCCTAGGCTCTTTGAAGTTATTTTGTTTGGGAACTTTTTTCTTCCTAATTCTGCCTCATAAGACAAAGTACTGGGAGGTACAAAGGATAGTGATTTAATGGCACTGTTTTCCTAACACTGAATTATTTTCATTTGAAAGAAGTTGATCACTCTTCAGAAAAGTAATTGTAAAGTTATTTTTACCCTTGGTTCATTTGATTTCTTAAACAGCAGTTTTCCCGACAGAAATTTACAGTGTGATGACAATACATAACTGGTTCAGTGAGATGAAAATCCAATAATCAGCTTATGTTGGGACTGGATGTTGATTTATTACAGGATTATACACATGAATTCCATAAAACCAAAGCAAACTTTATGGCAATATGGGAAAGGGAGAATCTCATGGGATCAGTACAAAAAGATATTGAGTAATTTGCCTTTTATATTATTTTGTAGAATATTTATTCAGATTTGGCTTTAGGATATGTTCACAGTTAATTACAAATTGAGTGGCAGAACCATGGTTGAGATTTCAGGATTTCCAATTCCCATTTCACTGTCTTTTAAGCATTGCTGCTACAATGTCATCCTAATCTACTTTTCCATTTTTATCTCATGCTTCCCCTTATTTTATCATTGGCTCCTGCCAACCTTGACTTTCCTGTCTTAATTCCAAGTCCAGCTTAGATGGTATCATCATGGTTCCCTGATCTCTTACCACACACCCTAAGAATTATAATGTTACCTTTATGATCCTCTGCAGATGTGTCAAATACATTTTTTTAAATTACAACATTATCAGTAACTGAAGCTTTCCATGTTTCTCTTCCTGATTATCACCTATCTCTGCCCCCTCCCTTGTCCCAACAATTATATATTATAAACTATAATACATATACAAACTCATAGCCTTAATGTTAAATTATTTAAGGACTGTCAACATTTTTATGCTGATCTCAATCTATAATTTTAAATATTTTTTAGGTGAGGTCATTTCCTCTCTCCTTTAATAATCTATTCTAGCATTTCACACACATTTTTGGAAACTTTTTCACAACTGAACACTACTGACAATGTTAAGTCCCATGGGCATCTCACTGAAGCTGAACACTTTCCAATTTGGAGCTATCTAATGATACCTGTCATCGTCTCACTTGTGATATATTATGTGATAAGTTTCATAAACTATGATATACATTGATCATAAACTATATATTATGTATACTCTCAGAAACACTTCCCTAGAGATCCTTTATACTGTTGTAACAGGTTCAACAGTAAGACAGTTGTAAGACTTTTTAGTCCTTCAGGACATGTAACCCTTTTGTTTTTGTTTGTTTCTTTTTTGAGACAGAGTCTCACCCTGTCACCCAGGCTGGAGTGCAGTGGCACGATCTTAGCTCACTGCAAGCTCCACCTCCCAGGTTCACACCATTCTCCTGCCTCAGCCTCCTGAGTAGTGGGGACTACAGGTGCCCACCACCACGTCCAGCTAATTTTTTGTATTTTTAGTAGAGACGGGGTTTCACCATGTTAGCCAGGATGGTCTCGATCTCCTGACCTAGTGATTGGCCCTCCTCAGCCTCCCAAAATGCTGGGATTACAGGCATGAGCCACTGCACCCGGCCTCAAGGCTTTTGTTTAATTTCCATACAGTCCATTTACATATACATTTTGAGGAATGCATTGAGAACCTGTGTAGGGGATGGCCTTTAATGTATAGACATTGAGCACCCCCCACACACAATGTGTGGGAATCACTAGAATGCAACCCATTGTAATAAGTTGCTTTTTGAAAAATGGCCATAAAAGATATGTTTGTCTATTCCTTAAACTAGCTCCTGAGTACCAACTCTGAGTTAGTCACAGTAGAATGTAGAAATGAAAAGACCAATGTGGCCCTGTAGGAGTTTATAATCCAGGTGCTAGAGGAAAGTAAGGCAGGTACTCAAGTTTGTATAATCCAAGGCCGAATATGATTAGTGAGATGAGATGATAATAGTACCTAACATTGTGTGTGTGTGTGTGTGTGTGTGTGTATAAATTTACACAGTATTTTTTATGTATTATCTTTTTTGGCTTCATAATAATCTTTTGGTTAACATAGAAATTATCAGTCTCATTTTACAAAACTAAGTATTGAGCACACTTGTCTAAGTGAAGCGGCTATGAAATGCTGGAGTATAGATTTAAATCCAAGTCATCAGTCCCCCAAGTCCAGTGTGTTCTTGGTTATATCATTCTGCTTTCTTCGGTGGTGTTTTCTCCTGTGCTTTGCACAGTAGCCCTGCGTCTCAGCCAGTATTTCTGTTTTAGCAGCATGACTCTCTTTTGTCTTATTGTAGTATTTGCATGGTTAACTTGAATTTTAAAAATTTGAGGCCAGGCACAGTGGCTCACATCTGTAATCCTAGCACTTTGGGAGGCCAAGGCAGGTGGATTGCTTGATCTCAGGAGTCCTAGACCAGCCAGGGGAATGTGGTGAAACCCTGTCTCTACCAAAAATACAAAAATTAGGTGGGCATGGTGGCATGCTCCTGTACTCCCAGCTACTTGCGGGCCTGAGACAGGAGGATCACTTGAACCTGGGAGGTTGAGAAGGCTGCAGTGAGCCGAGACTGTGCCACTGCACTCCAGCCTAGGTGACAAACTGAGACACCGTCAAAAAAAATTCTTTGCTTGATTTCAGTGTTTCTTAGGCTTCATTTGGTGGGCTGCATGCACTATTGTGAAGGAAAACATTCCATTCCAACTGCTTTCCCACCCCATGTGCTAGATACTAAATCAGTGCTACATTTTACTTCCACCTGGAGAAAATGAAGATATCAGAGATAATAGACAAAGGAAAAGTAAGATTTTTTGTTTGTTTGTTTGTTTCAGAATGTTGAGTTATTTTGGTGAAAAACATAGTAAACTGTTAGAACTAAAATAGAGGCATAATATTTATCTGTTTATAATAGATATCTTTTTTTTGAGATGGAGTCTCACTCTGTCACTAGGCTGGAGTACAGTGGCATGATCTTGGCTCACTGCAACCTCCACCTCCTGGGTTCAAGCCATTTTCCTGCCTCAGCCTCCTGAGTAGCTGGGAATACAGGCACATGCCACCACACCCAGCTAATTTTTGTATTTTTAGTAGAGATGTGGTTTCACCGTATTGCCCAGGATGGTCTCAATCTCCTGAACTTGTGAGCTGCCCATCTCAGCTTCCCAAAGTGCTGGGATTACAGGCATGAGCCACCATGCCCAGCCAATAGATATCATTTTTTAGGGCAAAAGGAAAAGGATTATGCACTTTTATTTTTCATTCACAGCTATGAAGAGGCTCAATTTATCTACTTTCAAGATCACTAGGGTCAGTCAGTTAATCTGATTTTGTATTCTCTGCCAATTTTTTTTTTTTTTTTGATGGAGTCTCACTCTGTCACCAGGCTGGAGTGCAGTTTCATGATCTTGGCTCATTACAAGCTCCACCTCCCAGTTTCAAGCGATTCTCCTGCCTCAGCCTCCCGAGTAGCTGGGAGTACAGGCACGTGCCACCATGCTCAGCTAATTTTTGTAATTTTAGTAGAGATGGGGTTTCACCATGTTGGCCAGGATGGTCTTGATCTCTTGACCTCGTGATCTGCCCACCTGGGCCTCCCAAAGTGCTAGGATTATAGGCATGAGACACCGCACCCAGCCCAAAAATGTTTTTAAAGTTTCTCTTTTGTCCCAGGTCATATAAAAGTCAGTCTGGAGTAAACAACAGAAGAACTGAGCTATTTTTGAAAGAACACGACCACCTTCAAAAGTAGGTATTATTGAATGTATGTGCATTATGTGGTTTTCCATGTTTATTAATTTATTTACTTATGTAACAAACATTTTATTATGTTTATCATAGTAAGTGCTTTATCCATTCTAATTCATTTTATTCTTCTGACTCTTTTTAATAGAAAAGAAATTGCAACTATTCTGACCATAATGAGGAAAGGCCTTGTGCTCTTGAGTATTTCACATCACTTAATTGTTACCTTAATATGTTTTTTTTATTGCCTTAGTGTGTTCTTTTCCTCAGCAAGTCTTGCTTTAAAGCTTTTGTCCAATACTACAGGTTATTAGTAAAAATAAGTCTGGGTGTGGTGGCTCATGCCTGTAAACCCAGCACTTTGGGAGGCCGAGGCAGGTGGATCATAAGGTCAGGAGTTCAAGACCATCCTGGCCAAAATGGTGAAACCCCATCTCTACAAAAAATACAAAAAAATTAGCTAAGCATGGTGGCAGGCACCTGTAATCCCAGCTACTCAGGAGGCTGAGGCAGGAGAATTGCTTGAACCCAGGAGGTGGAGGTGGCAGTGAGCTGAGACTGCACCACAGTACTCCAGCCTGGGTGACAGACTGAGATTCCATCTCAAAAAATACAAATAATAATAATAATAATCAAATAATGACTTATGTTTGAATGGCCTGTTACCACTTATATATAAAGAAGCCTTATAAAGAGACATTGGATCATATACCAAATTTTTAAAAAGTTTTTATTTTCCAGGATTTCAGAAGAAAATACTTAAATACTTGGATGAACTGTATATATATCTTAAAACAAGCTGCCATAGTCTGCTTCATTATTTTTCTACTTTTCTCTGAAATGTACAGGTTTCTTTGTCCTTGGATTTATGTTTTGTTGTAGAACTTACAGATCAGAAAATTACTTATCTCTATGGACTTAGCCTATAAGCACTTGAGCAGCTTGTATCGGTGAGAGTTAAGTGTTAGGAATTATGTTGACATTTGCTACTGAATGTCATAAATTAGTCACGTCTTATGGGCTTAACATGCTGTTCAATTTAGTTTTCTTTAAAAGTCACCACTTTAAATATAAGCTGTTGAAATCAAAACACAGAAAGATCCAGACCTTTTTAGAAACCTGGGTGCTCCCAGTGTTGGAACTAGTTTTCTGAATCTGTTGGATGTTATTGATTTGCACAAGGGGGCAGGCTCTTCTAGAGCATGTTTAGTTTGTAGTATTCATAGCTTTGGTAGTTCTTTTGGTATTTGACAAAGACCACCATAAAAAGAATTTTGCATTGTATCCAAAATTATATTAATCTATTCTGGGGGAACACAGTAATTTAAGGGATAGCATATTCTAGTAGCATAAAATACAGATTAGATTGCATAAGTATCTCTATATTTACTGCCTCAAAAGAAACAGAAATGCAGTAGTTGACTTTGACAAGAATGATTTGATGCTGAGAAGAGTCTATCAGTTATTATATACATGAATATTCTTTATTTCATGACTTCAGAACACATCACATATTAAAACTTTTCTATGAATTTTGCAGAAAGTTTTGCATTTGCTTTAATTATTCAAGGTAAATCCTTGAGGAGTTTAATACCATTCATTTTACAGGAAAATGAAGCAATTCAAGTATACACATCTTTAATAATTTGTTTAGGGTTACAATCATGGTGAGAAGATGGAGATCAAAAGGTATTTTTCCATTTTTGTTTGATCAAAGTATAAAGTCTCAATTTTACATATACCATACTTTATATATATTGTATAGTTTATGTACATTTATTTCAACATTCTTGTGAAGAAGTTTGTGTGTACCAATTCTATGCAGAGAGAAACTGAGACAGGATGAAATTGAATGGAATAAGAGCTTCTGGAATTAGAGAAGTTGTTGAGTCTGAAAACCAGGGCTTAGTCATTGTTCTCAAAATGAGAACACAAGCTTCCAAATACTTTTTTTAGTCAATTTTGTTTTGTAAATTAAAACTGCTGGCTAGATAATAAAATAACATTAAAATTATTAATAAAATATGTTTATAAAATAATGTAAAAAACTTTAGTTTTTCAATGTTATTGTATTTCATTTGCTAAGTGCTTTGAGGAAGAAGCAGCAAGATATTTTTGAAATAACAAAAGCTATTAATGTGCTTTTGTCATAGTGCTCATTTTAAAAAGTATGATAGTTCAACAACATAAAAAGAAAATTTAAATCGCACATTAATACAAATTTTGTAACTTTTTTACTCTTTAGTAGATTGCACGTAGTTTTCCCATGTAGTTTGATTTTTTAAAAATATATGGTGCATATATTGCATAATACAGATAAACCATAAATTATGTAACCATTTCCCTAATGTTGACCTTTTGGATTATTTTCTGTTTTTACTATTATACATAGTAAATTCTTTGCATGTATCTATCATTATTTTCTTATAATTCCTAAATTAGAATTGCAGGATTAAAGAACATACTCATTTGCAAAGTTTTTCCTATAATGTTCCCAAATTTCCAAGTTTGATTTTTTGCAGTAGGGTCAGACTTTTTATGGCTACAACTATGTCTAAGCTTGTGCTTCTTCACAAATATTGTTTTTTCACGATAATATAAATTTTTACTTGTTCCAAAAGAACATATTTTTGCCTGGAAGAAGAGTAAATCAATTTTTGTAAATGAATGCCACACACACACACACACACACACGCAACTAACTTTGTAATGAATTGTTTTTACCAGCTCTCCTTAATACTCTTTTTATCTAAAAATCAATGTTTTTAGGTTTTAGCAGTTTGTGTTATAAAAGACAGAAATTTCTTTTCCTATAGGGTGGATAAGGTAACTTTCATTTTTGTCTTGCTTTCCCTGAGTCTGTCAGTCAGAAGAAAATACTGACTTTGAATTAGTGTCAAGCTTGTAACTAGTTGTTTTTCACTGGACTGTTGATACATTCTTAGAGATTTTTTCATTGCTGTTTAGATTATTTTCTCTTCCTTTCTACAACTGTTCTCTTTCAGCTCTCCCTTATATTTTTCTTCTTGGAAAAGTATCTAGTTAATTTTGTATTTTAAAGTTCTTAACCTCATCCCAAGAACTTCTGCCTTTATAATCATTTCTCTCTTCATATTTATTTTATACAAGATAGATGGTTGATTATATTGTTGCTGTCTTTACAGATGGAGAATTAAGGAATAAAAAGGACAGACAGACTAGATTACCTCAAACACTGAAATGCTATGATTTGTCCCAAGCCATACACTCATTATCTGACCAGGCATATGGTGCTTTTTCTGTAGAAGCATTTTGTCATTATGAAAAAAATTATGTCTTCTGTATTTACCTTAATGAAGCTGACAACTTTCAGAGGTTTTCAGTGGTGAAGAGAAACTTGGATAAGGAGATAACTTACACAAACAGAAAAAGCCTCATCTCTTCTGGATTCCTTTAATGCCAGTAGTCATCACCAGGTACAGGTTAACCACCCTTCACCAGAGCTGGGACCTCCACCTTCTCATCTACAGGTATATCACCTTAAAAATCTTCTGCGTTTCACTGTCACTCAACACATTTTCTCCTTCCAAGGCTCTGCAGTCTCATGAGTTTGTCTCTATTTTTCTTCTTATAACTTACCTTCCTACCCTAGCCAGCCTGGATCTCATAGAAGATTAACTGAAATACTCCCAACATTGGGTCATTCCTGTGCCCCTGTTTTCCTGCTGTACCCTGGTAAAATGCCAACCTAATCCACAGTCTATTGTTCTACTTCTGTATGTGAGGGCTAAAGAAAAATCAACCAGTCATACAGATTAACTCTGTTTTAAAGTAACTATTAATGCTGGGTGTGATGGCTCAGACCTGTAATCCCAGCACTTTGGGAGGGCAAGGCAGGCAGATCATGAGGTCAGGAGTTTGAGACCAGCCTGGCCAACATGGTGAAATCCCGTCTCCACGAAAAATACAAAAGTTAGCTGGGTATGGTGGCTGATGCCTGTAATCCCAGCTACTCAGGAGGCTGAGGCAGGAAAACCACTTGAACCTGGGAGACAGAGGTTGCAGTGAGCCAAGATCACACCACTGCACTCCAGCCTGGGTGACAGAGTGAGATTCCATCTCAAAATAAATAAGTAAATAAATAAATAAATAAATAAAGTAACTATTAAATATTTTCAACCTCATCTGAGTACTTAGTCTTGCCTGATGCCTTTTGCTTGCCCAACACTGTTGGCAAGCAATTCTCATTTTCTTCAAGAATTTTACCAAATCTTTTCCTTCTCCCTCTTGACATTCCTGTCGCTTCACCTGATACAGAGGTTCTTAACTCCTACCTCATTGATTTTTTTTTTAGACAGAGTCTTGCTCTGTTGCCCAGGCTGGAGTGCAGTGGCACAACCTTGGCTCACTGCAAGCTCTGCCTCCTGGGTTCATGCCACTCTCCTGCCTCAGCCTCCCAAGCAGCTGGGACTACAGGCAGCCATCACCATGCCTGGCTAATTTTTTGTATTTTTAGTACAGACATGGTCTCACCGTGTTAGCCAGGATTGTCTTGATCTCCTGACCTCGTAATCTGCCTGCCTCAGCCTCCCAAAGTGCAGGGATTACAGGCGTGAGCCACCATGCCTGGCCCTCATTGAGATTTTTAAGGTTTTTGCTTTTTTCTATAAATTGACCTATAGGAGTGAGAGGTGAAGCCAACTGGACTTCCTGGGTCAAGTGGGGACTTGGGGAACTTTTCTGTCTTACAAGAGGATTGTAAAATGCACCAATCAGGAACTTTCCTGTCTTACAAGAAGATTGTAAAATGCACCAATCAGTGCTCTGTAAAACACACCAATCAGCACTCTGTAAAATGCACCAATCAGCACTCTGTAAAACCCACTAATCAGCAGGATTCTAAAAGTAGCCAATCACGGAGAGGATGAGAAAAGGGCACTTTGATAGGACAGAAATGAAACATGGGAGGGGCCAATAAGGGAATAAAAGCTGGCTGCCCAAGCCAGCAGCAGCAACCTGCTTGGGTCCCCTTCCATGCTGTGGAAGCTTTTCCTTTCACTCTTCACAATAAACCCTGCTACCACTCACTCCTTGGGTCCATGCCATCTTTAAGAGGTGTAACACTCACCGTGAAGGTCTGTGGCTCCATTCTTGAAGTCAGCGAGACCATGAACCCACTGGCAGGAACCAACTCTGGACACATCTTGGGGGCTCATCCAGGATATCACCACATGGTGAGTACCATCAGACCCCTTTTGCTTGCTATTCTGTCCTATTTTTCCTTAGAATTTGGGGGCTAAACACCAGGCACCTGTCAGCCAGTTAAAAGCAACCAGCACAGCCACCAGGCTAAAGACACAGGTGTCAGGCTTTCTGGGAAAAGGCTCTCTAACAAACCTGACTCTTCAGAGTTGGGAGCATTGATTTGCCTGGAACCAGCTTCCACTTTTCCTGCACTTCCAGGCTGAGCCAAGGGTCAACAGAGAGGAAAGCCATTCAGCTCTGAGGTCCTGACAAAAAGTTGGTTGACCCTTCAGCCATGAGCAGAACTCATAGTTACATCGGCCGAGTGAGACTTGCCGATCTATACTATCTATCCTGACCCTTGCCTCCTGGGTCCTAATGCCTGTCAGACAAACTTCCTCCCACCTCTTCTCTGAGGCTAGTCCTGATTCTAAAAACCTCTCCTTGTCTCTGGTGCTCTTCTAGTATCTCCTATAAGGATGATTTCTAATATAAACTTTGGGACTCTGTTCCCTTCTTTAGGCACCCAGGCTCACCAATCAGAAAGATATAATTTTTGCCCAAAGCCCTGTTAGGGGGGTACTAGCTGGAATTTTAGGATCCCTCCTAAGACTAGCAGGTCTAACAAAGGCTATTCCCAAAGCTATGATATTGGGAGCCTCAGAAATTACAGACTCCAAAATAGGGGGGATATCCTTTCTATTAATATGATGAGAAGTGAGGACAAAATGTGTCACTCTTCCAACCCTGGAGATCCTTTCCCTCCCTCAGGGTATGGCCTTCTACTCAATTTTGAGGCATATCATCTTTTTAAGACAAGAGTAAGGTCCCCATACCAACAGGGAAAAATGCTAAGGACTTTAACTAACAGGTTTTCAAAAATGCATCAGTAAGGGCCACTAAATCTGACCTTCCTTGGTCCTCTTTGTGAACTAAGAGGAAAGGCAGTGTTTCTGCTGCTGCTTCAGTGAGTGTAACTGTTCCAAACAGCAGGGTCCAGAAACCATTGTGGGTTCTTGGGTGGGGAAAAAAAAAGACCAAAACTGTGGGTGGCTTTTTCTTTCATATGGGAAATACTCAAGCATCAACAAGCTCACCCTTGACATGCATCCTAAGCCATTAGACCTATTTGACCTGCAAACCCTGAAAAATAAGCAGCTTATTTTTTTCTGCACTATGGCCTGGCCCCAGTATTCTCTCTCTGATGGGGAAAACTGACCACCTGAGGGAAGTATAAGTTACAATGCTATCCTGCAGCTTGACCTTTTCTGTAAGAAGGAAGGCAAATGGAGTGAAATACCTTATGTCCAATCTTTCTTTTTATTGAAGGATAATCCACAACTATGCAAAGCTTGCAATTTATATTCCACAAGAGGCCCTTTCAGCTCACCTCCATATCCTAGCCTCCCTACAGCTCCCCTTCCTATTAATGATAAGCCTCCTCTAACCTCCCCCACCCAGAAGGAAACAAGCAAAGAAATCTCTAAGGGACCACAAAATGCCCTGGGCTATTGGTTATGCCCCCTTCAAGCTGTAGAGGGAGGGCAATTTGGCCCAACCCAGGTACATGACCCCTTATCCCTCTCTGTTTTAAAGCAGATCAAGGTAGACCTGGGAAAGTTTTCAGATGATCCTGATAGGTATATAGATGTCCTACAGGGTCTAGGGCAAACCTTCAACCTCACTTGGAGAGATGTCATGCTATTGTTAGATCGAACCCTGGCCTTGAATGAAAAGAATGTGGATTTAGCTGCAGCCTGAGAGTTTGGAGATACCTGGTATCTTAATCAAGTAAATGATAGAATGACAGCCAAATAAAATGACAAATTCCCTACTGGTTAACAAGCTGTCCCCAGTATGGATCCCCACAGGGACCTAGACTCAGACCATGGGGACTGGAGTTGCAAACATCTGTTGACCTGTCTTCTAGAAGGACTAAGAAGAGTTAAGAAAAAGCCCATGAAATATTGAATGACATCCACCATAACTCAGGGAAAGGAAGAAAATCCTACTGCCTTCCTCAAATGGCCATGGGAGGCCTTAAGAAAATATATTCCCCTGTCACCTGACTCCCTTGAGGTTTAATTGATCCTAAAAGATAAGTTTATTACCCAATCAGCCAAAGATATCAGGAGAAAGTTCCAAAAGCCAGCCCTGGACCCTGAACAAAATTTGGAGGCATTATTAAACCTGGCAACCTCAGTGTTCTATAACAGGGACCAAGAGGAACAGGCCGAAAAGGAAAAGTGAGATAAGAGAAAGAAAACAAACAAACCTTGGTGGTTCAGAGAGGACAGAAAATGGAACAGACCAATCACCCAGTAGGGCTTGTTATCAGTGTGGTTTGCAAGGACACCTTAAAAAAGATTGTCCAGTGAGAAACAAGCCACCCCATCGCCCATGTCCACTATGCCAAGGTAATCACTGGAAGGTGCACTGCACCTGAGGACAAAGTTTCTCTGGGCCAGCAGCCCCTAACCAGATGATACAACAACAGAACTGAGGGTGCCTGGGGCAAGTGCCAGCTCATGTCATCACTCTCACTGAGCCCCAGGTAAGTTTAACCATTGAGGGCCAGAAAATTGACTTCCTCCTGGATACTGGTGTGGCTTTCTCAGTGTTAATCTCCTGCCTCAGATGGCTGTCCCCAATGTCCATTACCATCCAAGGAATCCTGGGGCAGCCTGTAACCAGGTATTTCTCCCACCTCCTCAGTTGCAATTGGGAGATTTAGCTCTTTTCACATGCCTTTCTTGTTATGCCTGAAAGTCCCACACCCTTATTAGGGAGTGACATATTAGTGAAAGCTGGAGCTATTATCTATATGAATATGGGGAACAAGTTACCTATTTATTGTCCCCTACTTGAGGAGGGAATCACCCTGAAGTATGGGCATTGGAAGGACAAGTCAGATGGGCAAAAATTGCCCACCCAGTCCAAATCAGGCCAAAACACCCCACCACTTTTCCTTGTCAAAGGCAATATCCCTTAAGGCCTGGAGCCCATAAAGGCTTACAGGAGATTATTAGACATTTAAAGTTCAAGGCTTAGTAAGAAAATGCAGCAGTCCCTGCAACACCCTAATTCTAGGAATACAAATACTGAATGGTCAGTGGAGACTAGTGCAAGATCTCAGACTCATCAATGAGGCAGTAATTCCTCTATATCCAGTTGTACCAAACCCCTATATCCTGCTCTTTCAAATACCAGAGGAAGCAGAATGGTTCACCATTCTGGACCTCAAGGATGCCTTCTTCTGCATTCCCCTGCACTCTGATTCCCAGTTTCTCTTTGCCTTTGGGGATCCCAGACCACACGTCCCAACTCATGGGGATGGTCCTGCCCTAAGGGTTTAGGGATAGCCCTCATCTGTTTGGTCAGGCACTGGCCCAAGATCTAGGCCACTTCTTAAGTCCAGGCACTCTGGTCCTTCAGTATGTGGATAATTTACTTTTGGCTACCAGTTCAGAAGCCTCATGCCAGCAGGCTGCTCTAGATCTCTTGAACTTTCTAGCTAATCAAGGGTACAAGGCATCTAAACTGAAGGCCCAGCTCTGCCTACAACAAGTCAAATATGCAGGCCAAATCTTAGCCAGAGGAACCAGGGCCCTCAGCAAAGAATGAATACAGCCTATACTGGCTTGTCCTCACCCTAAGACATTAAAACAGTTGTGGAGGTTCCTTGGGATCACTGGCTTTTACTGACTGTGGATCCCTAGATATAATGAGATGGCCAGGCCACTCTATACTCTAATCAAGGAGGCCCAGAGTGCAAATACTCACCTAGCAGAAAGGGAACCAGAGGCAGAAACAGCCTTCAAAACCTTAAAGCAGGCCCTAGTACAAGCTCCAGCCTTAAGCCTTCCCACAGGACAAAACTTCTCTTCATACATCACAGAGAGAGCAGGAATAGCTCTTGGAGTCCTTACTCAGACTCATGAGACAACTCCACAACCAGTGGCATACCTAAGTAAGGAAATTGATGCAGTAGCAAAAGGCTGGCCTCACTGTTTACGGGTATGTAAATGGCATACTAGGTTCCAAAGGAAATTTATGGAGATCAGACAACTGCCTGCTTAGATAGCAGGTGCTACTCCTTGAGGGACTGGTTCTTCAAATACTCATGTGTGCAGCCCTCAACCCTGCTACTTTACTCCCAGAGGAAGGGGAACCAATCAAGTATGACTGCCCACAAATTGTAGCCCAGACTTATGCCACCAGAGACGATCTCTAAGAAGTCCCCTTAGCTAATCCTGACCTTAACCTGTACCCTGATGGAAGTTCATTTGTGGAGAATGGGATGCAAAGGGCAGGTTATGCCATAGTTAGTGATGTAACAGTACTTGAAAGTAAGCCTCTTCCCCCAGGGACCAGCACTCAGTTAGCAGAATTAATGGCACTTACCCAGGCCTTAGAACTGGGAAAGGAAAAAGAATAAATGTGTATACAAATAGGAATTATGCTTATCTAATCCTACATGCCCATGCTGCAATATGGAAAGAAAGGGAGTTCCTAACCTCTGGGGGAAGCTCTATTAAATACCACAAGGAAATCATGGAGTTATTGCACACAGTGCAAAAACCCAAGGAGGTGGCAGTCTTACCCAGCCAAAGCCATCAAAAAGATAAAGGAGAAAAGGCAGAAGGAAACAGTTGGGCAGATGCTAAGGCCAAAATTGCTGCCAGGTGGAACCTCCCATTAGAAATACCTATGGAAGGACACTTGGTATGGAACAATCCTCTTCAAGAGATTAAGGCCCAGCATTCCCTGGCCAAAACAGAATGGGGACTTTCACAAGGGCATAGTTTTCTCTCCTCAGGGTGGTTAATGATAGAAGTGGGAAAGGTACTCATACCTGAAGACAGCCAGTGGAAAATACTTGAGACCCTCCACCAAACTTTTCATATGGGTATTGAGAACACTCATTAAATGGCCAAATCCCTATTTACAGGGCCAAATCTCCTCCAGACCATCTGACAAGTAGTCAAAGCCTGTGAGGTGTGCCAAGGGAATAATCCCTTGGTCCATCATAAGGCTCCTCTGGGGGAACAAAGAATAGGGCACTATCCTGGAGAGGACTGGCAGTTAGACTTCACCCATATGCCTAAGTCAAGGGGATTTCAATACTTGTTGGTCGGTGTTGATACCTTTATAAATTGGATAGAAGCCTTCCCCTGCAAGACAGAGAAGGCTCAGGAAGTGGTTAAAGTCCTAATTCACGAAATAATTCCTAGATTTGGGCTTCCCCAAAGCTCACAAAGTGACAATGGTCCAGCTTTTAAAGCCACAGTAACTCAGGGAATTTATTGGTCAAGTCCTTCCCCTCTACCTCCCCTTCTATGGATTCCTTGTGGGAAGGACCATACTCGGTAATGGTCTCTACCCCACTGTAGTTAAGGTGGCAGGAGTGGAATCTCAGATTCACCACACCCAAGTTAAACTTTGGACTCCCCCTGAAGAACCTTCAGGACCATCAGTTCAGATCCCAAGATCAGCCAGACCAGCCTCGATACACCTGTGAACCACTGGAGGACTTGCCTCTCCTATTTCAGAAGGAAACATCCCAGACTAAAAAGGCTCCTACACCTGATCCTGAGGAAAAACCCCTTCCTACTTAAAAGAGATAAATGAAAACCTACATAAATCTTTTTTTATCTTTTAATTTTTTTATTATACTTTAAGTTCTAGGGTACCTGTGCACAACGTGCAGGTTTCTTATATATACATGTGCCATGTTGGTGTGCTGCACCCATTAACTCATCATTTACATTAGGTATATCTCCTAATGCTATCCCTTCACCCTCCCCACACCCCACAGCAGGCCCCAGTGTGTGATGTTCCGCTTCCTGTGTCCAAGTGTTCTCATTGTTCCATTCCCACCTATGAGTGAGAATATGCGGTGTTTGGAAAAACCTACATAAATTTTTAACACCTCACCTTGTCCCTTTAATGGAATCCTTTTACTGTTTCATCACATTACTAAGTGGCATACTAACCATACTCTTTGCAGAAGGACTATATACTGTAGCTCCTGCAGGGACAAAAATCCTAATCACATCAACCTTTTTTCTATCATCCTTCCTTCTGACAGAAATGTACTCCTACCTTTAACTTAGACTAGATAAAATGATCTCATCTTCCAGGGCATCCTCTTTACCTTCCTATTTACTCTTTGCCTATCTATCCCTCCTGCTTCCTTAGGTACCCCCCATAGTCACCTCTCCCCTTCCACTAGCTCTTAATTCCTCTAAGAGACTCTCAAATTAACCCTCTCTCTGTTAAACCAGTCCAATCCTTCCCTGGCAAACGACTGTTGGCTTTGTGTCTCTCTATCAGCTACTGCTTACATTGCCACTCCCGTTCCTGCAAAAAACTGGGTCTTTATTAATTTCACCTACCACCCCCCATTATGAAGGAAAAGACCCTTTCCAACTTCTAAATGTGCAATTATTAGCTGACTTCCCCACCTCTGATAGGACCAAAAATACCCTAACAGGACATGCAATCCAGCTTTTACGCTCTTACATTTCCAACCTCACCTATTACATGGACACTGAAAAGCCCATACATGGCCCTGTAACCAAAAATACCATCTTAACTTTCCAAGCCCCTTTATGCATCTAACGCAACCTGTTATCAGGCCTGTCCCTGGGACACCTACTATCTCATCAGTGTAATTACACCCTACAACTTCAAGCCCCAACTGATGATAGTAACTTCTGAGTCACCCACACAGCTCCATTCAGACAGCTTGTCTGCTTCTCAGTGACCCCAAAATCATCACCTCCTCCCTGCTTAATAAACAGTCTGGGTTTTTTAATGGCAAGCATACTCCCTGCATGACCATTCACCCCTGGACCCCCTGCAGCAGCGCCCCCACCACTAATAAATGCCTTCTCATCCCCTCTTTCAATTACTCTCTTGAATGGTTCCTAGTAGATACAAAAAGGTTTTTTCTCCAATGGGAAAATAGAACACAGGGAACCACTCTGTTTGCTCCCTTTCCAGCCGCTCACCAGAGCTACCTTGGCAAGTAGTCTAGCAGAATGGGAAAATGAAAACAACAAACTCACACACCTTTTTAACACACACAACCAGTTCTGTCTACCCAGCCAAGGCATATTCTTCTTATGTGGGACTTCAACCTATATCTGCCTCCCCACCAACTGGACAGGCACCTGCACCTTAGTCTTCTGAAATCCCAATATTGACATTGCCCCAGGAAATCAGACCCTATCAGTGCCCCTCAAAGCTCAAGTCTGTCAGCACAGGGCCATACAACTAATACGTGTACTTACAGGGTTAGGAATGGCCACTGCTACAAGAACCAGAATAGCCAGTTCATCTACTTTATTATCCTACTACCACACACTCAAAGGATTTCTCAGACAGTTTGCAAGAAATAACAAAATCTATCCTTACTCTACAATCCCAAATAGATTCTTTGGCAGCAGTGGCTCTCCAAAACCACTGAGGCCTAGACCTCATCACTGCTGAGAAAGGAGGACTGTGCACCTTCTTAGGGGAAGAGTGCTGTTTTTACACTAACTAGTCAGGGCTAGTATAAGATGCCACCTGGCATTTACAGGAAAAGTCTTCTGAAATCAGACAACACCTTTCAAACTCTTCTACTAACCTCCGGAGTTGGGCGACATGGCTTCTCCCTTTTCTAGGTCCCATGACAGCCATCTTGCTGTTACTCATCTTGGGGCCCTGTATTTTTAACCTCCTTGTCAAATTTGTTTCCTCCAGGAATCGAGGCCATCAAGCTACAGATGGTCTTACAAATGGAACCCCAAATGAGCTCAGCTCACATCTTCTGCCAAGGACCCCTGGACCGACCCACTGGCCTTTTGACTGGCCTAGAGAGTTCCCCTCTGGAGGGCACTACAACTGCAGGGCCCCTTCTTTACCCCTATCCAGCAAGAAGTAGGTAGAGTGGTCATTGCCCAGTTCCCAACAGCAGTTGGGATGTCCTGTTTAGAAGAGGGATTGAGAGGTGAAGCCAACTAGACTTTCTGGGTCCAGTGGGGGGACTTGGAGAACTTTTTGGTCTTACAAGAGGATTGGAAAACACACCAATCAGGGACTTCCCTGTCTTACAAGAGGATTGTAAAATGCACCAATCAGTGCTCTGTAAAATGCATCAATTAGTGCTCTGTAAAACCCACAACTCAGCAGGATTCTAAAAGTAGCCAATCGCAGGGAGGATTTAAAAAAGGACACTCTGATAGGACAGAAACAGAACATGAGAGGGACCAACAAGGGAATAAAGGCTTGTCACCCCAGCCAGCAGCAGCAACCCACTCAGGTCCCCTTCCACACTGTGGAAGCTTTGTCCTTTCGCTCTTCACAATAAACCCTGCTACTGCTCACTCTTTGGGTCCGTGCCATCTTTAAGAGCTGTAACACTCACCGCAAACGTCTGCAGCTCCATTCTTGAAGTCAGCGAGACAACAAACCCACCAGCAGGAACCAACTCCGGACACAGGAGTATCCTTACCCCTTTCTGATAGATTTTAGGGGATGGAGTATTTGTCCTGAGAAGGCCAATACATCCATCTGACACTTGTCTCTATCCCCATTTCCTATGTAAGTATTTGACTCTTCAGCCATCCAGTACACTGGCTCTGTCTTTCTGGTTTACACCCGCTATCCCTGTGTCAGCACTCATTTCTGCTTTAGCCCATTAACTTCCTTTCTCACAACTCTACTGAACTTGTCAATAGGCACATCAGTGATCTCCTGCATGCCCAGGTCTCGTGGACATTTTTCTTCATGTTTTTTGACTGCTGCTCTGCCTCACTTGATATTACAATCTCCTTTCCTTGAAACCCTAGGCTACGGTAGCACTACACTTTACTGGTTTTCCATTACCTTTCTTACTTCTCCTTTGTTTTTTTTCCAGAGTCCCTCCAGATGTGGCCTAGGAATCCTTTTAAACACAGTGCTCCAGGCAGAAATTAGTTGGAGTTAGTTTACAAGATGCAATTTATTTGCCATCCATCCTTGCATTTCAGTTCCATTATTTGTCCTCAACATGACTGTCTATAAAAACACTTTCTCCTTCCCTGGGATGGCAGCTAACAAGACCTAGCAAAGAGAAATGGGAAATTTTATTCACAATTTCACATGGGAAGCAATTGGTAAGATTATTTTACTGCCAAGGATAATAAAATTAATGAGAGAGTTGAAGAAAGAGGCATGAATTCTGAAATTATATAGAACCATCTAAGAGGTAAAACTGAGGTGTTTTATCCATAACTGTAGGCTGTGTTTGTTTTCATAGAAGTACTGTCTGATTTATGGACATGCCATTGATTACACTAGAATTACAGATTGGGCACATTAAGCACACCAACTTAAAAATCCTTGACATTTTAAAAATACCTCTGGCAGGGTTTCAGAGTACTCATGATATTTAAAATAGTACCATGATTTGTTGGTTTCTGAAGTATAATTTTGTTTAGTCACATGTATGATAAGAACATACAGACTTCTTGCTGTGGGCGTTGGCTCATGCTTATAATGCCTGTAATCCCCGCTACTCAGGAGGCTGAGTCAGGATGATTGCTTGAGGCCAGGACTTTGAGACCAGCCTGGACAATATAGCAAGACTGTCTCTAAAAAAAATAACAATCATAAAAAGATTCCTTGGTTTGTAGGATTAATTTTTTTTTCATTTTTCTCGCATTAATCTGCCACTTTTATCTAAGATACCTTAAGTTTCTTTATTCCTTGGATTCGTAGTGCAGTGAAATGATTAGGGCAGGGTTTTGAAACCAGATACCTGGGTTCAAATACTGGTGTGGACTGTATATTTGGGGGCAATGGCCTTAAATCCTCTGACTTTCCAGTGTCTTTTAAATGAGTAAAATAAGCCTTACTTTGTGGAATGTTGCAAAGATGAGAGAAGATGTATGTAAAATGTTTACCTATTACAGTGCTTGATATGTAGTAGACAAATTCTAAAATTACACTGAACCATTTTGCCCATTGTGGCTTTAGAATAGAAAAGCATACTCATACATTAAATTGTGCACCTAGGGCCAGGAGCGGTGGCTCACACCTGTAATCCCAGCACTTTGGGAGGCCGAGGTAGGCAGATCACGAGGTCAAGATATCGAGGCCATCCTGACCAACGTAATGAAACCCTGTCTCTACTAAAAATACGACAATTAGCCAGGCGTGGTTGTACGTGCCTGTAGTCCCAGCTACTAGGGAGGCTGAGGCAGGGGAATCACCTGAACTTGGGAGGCGGAGGTTGCAGTGAGCCGAAATGGTGCCACTGCACTCCAGCGTGGGCAACCGAGTGAGACTCCGTCAAAAAAAAAAAATGTGCACCTATAGCTAAGTGACTCCAGCCCTGTGGAACCCTTCAATGCCAAAATGGCATGTAGGACTAGATAGATGAATGTCACCTGACCCTGATCGTCTATTAGTACTCACTGTATTTTATTACTATTATTTGGAGACAGAGTCTCACTCTGTCACCCAGGCTGAAGTGCAGTGGCGCAATCTCGGCTCACTCACTGCAACCTCTACCTCCCAGGTTCAAGTGATTTTTCTGCCTCAGCCTCCCGAGAAGCTGGGATTACAGGCTACTGCCACCACACCCAGCTAAATTTTGTATTTTTAGTAGAGACTGGGTTTCAGCATGTTGGCCAGGCTTGTCTTGAATTCCTGACCTCAGGTGATCCGCCTGCCTCGGCCTTCCAAAGTGCTGGGATTACAGGCATCAGCCACTGCACCCAGCCAACTCGATGTATTTTAAAATCACTCTTACTGGTCATTAGTCTTATTACATATCAGTATAATGAACATTTTATTTATTCAAGTCCTTTAATTTTTTTTAGGTGGGGATAATAAAATTTCAGTTGCATTCCACCTGTTTCTTCATGTGCATATCTGGATGCACATGTAATTTGTTGGTACCAGTTTTCATTGCTTTACTGAGCATTTGTTGAGTATCTATGATGTGGAAAGTATTGTGCCGGGTGCTGGAGACAGAGAAGTTGAGTAAAGCATAGTGTCATCATCCCTGTCTTCAGTGAGCTCAGCCAGGTGGGGTGGGGAGCAGAAAAGAAATGTGAATCGATAGTTCCAGGGCAAAGTAATAAGTGCTTTATTATGATATGCAAAGGTTTGTGCGTACCCTAGAGGAGCACATGAAAGGGAGTCATTAACTTGCTGAAGCTTCTGAAAGGGCTTTAGAGAAGTCGAACATCTGATCTGGTTCTTGAGTAATGAGTAGGTGTTCACCAAGTAGAGGTTAAAGAAAGATTGAAAAGTTGAAACTCAAACCTCATGACCATGCCTCCCTGTCTTCTCTTCTCAAATCCATATCATTCCTGATACATTATTAAATGGATCTATTTTGAAACGTCATGCATTTACTCCCAGTCCAAACCCTCTCCCAGGTTATAGGCCTCACTCATGCATCTGAAGAGGACACACAGGGCAAAAGAAAGAGAGCAGTGGGTGGGGGGGCTCTGAGGGTCACATTGGTCAACCAAGGGTGCCATTCTTTTTCCTTACAAATCAGATTTACTGAGGTAGAATGTACTTACAGTAAAAATGTATCCATTTTAAGTTTATAGTTTGGTACATTTTAACAAACGTATAGACTCTTTGCCACCACAGTGAAGATAGAGAACATTTCTATCACCCCAAAAAAATTCCTTATGCCCCTTTTGAGTCAGTCCCCATCCCCCAGTCCCGGGCAGGTGCTCACTGGCTTTCTATCACTATAGATTAGTTTTACCTTTTCCAGAATTTTATACAAATGAATTCATACAGTTTGCACTTATTTCACCTAGCATAGTGTTTCTAAGACTCATTCTTTTTCTTAAATGTCAGTCATTGATTTCTTTCTACAGTGGAATAATTTCTATTGTATGATATATCACAATTTCCTTATCCATTCACCATTGGGTTGTTTTCTGGTTTTGGCTATTACAAATAAAACCATTATGAACATTCATACACAAAACTTTGTGTGGCCATATGTTGTCATTCCTCTTGAGTAAATACTAGGGGTTGTATTGTTGAGTTGTATGGTAAGTATGTGTTTCACTTTATAAGAAAGTGTCAAACTTTTCCAAAGTGGTTTATCATTTTTGCATTCCTGTCAGTCGTGTGTGAGAGTTCAAATTGCTTTAAGTCCTTGCCAACACACCCTTCTATTGTAGCCATTTTAGTAGAAGTGTAATGGTTTTTATTGTGGTTTTGCTTTGTATTTCTCTAAGGACTGGTGATGTTAAGCCTTCCTTCAAGTGTTTATTAGCCATTCATGTATCTTCTTTTTTACTATTCACAACTCACAGATTGTTGTGACATTTTTGTATCTTCTTTAGTAAGTGGTCTGTTCAAGTCTTTTGCCCATTTTTATGGGGCTGTTTCTATTGGGTTATAAGGGTTCTTTCTGTACTCTGGACATAAGGCGTTTGTCATATAAAGGTTTTGCAAGTATTTTCTTTGAGCTTGTGACTTGCTTTTCATTGCCATATGGTGACTTTCAAAAGAACAGAATTTTTCATTTTGATGAAGTCTAGTTGATCAGTGTTTTCTTTTATGTTTCATTTATGTTTGGCCTATTTAAGAAATCTTGGCTATCCTAAGGTCACAAATATTTTGTCTTATGTTTTCTCTGAGAAGTTTTAGTTTTAGCTTGTTTTTTGTTTGTTTGTTGATTTTTAAACCCACAGCCACCATCATACAGTTTTAGCTTTAACGTTTTGGCTTATGATCCACTTTGGCTTCACTTTTGTTTTTGGTATTAGTTAAGGATCAGGGTTCATTCTTTTTTTTTTTTTCCACATGAATATACTGTTATTTCAGTACCATTTGTTGAAAAGACTCTCCTTTCCTCCATTGAATCATGTTGACATCTTTGTTGAGAATTAATGGAACACATGTTAGTTTATTTCTGAACTTTGTTCTGTTCCATTGACCTATAGGTCTATCCTTACACCAGTTGCACCCTGTTTGGATTACTGTAGCTTTATAGTAAGTTTCGAAATGAGGTAGTGTGTAAGTCTTCCAAATTTGTTCTGTACCTTCAAAGTTATTTTGACTCCTCTGGGTCCTTTGCATTTTCATATAAATTTTAATATCCGATTGTTTAGAAGCCTGTTGAAATTTTAAATAAGATTACATTTAATCTAGAGATCCATTTGGGGAGACTTGCCATCTTAATAACAGCAAACCTTCCAATTCAGAAACAGCATATTTTAAAAATTTGTTTAGGTCTCCTTTAATTTCTCTCAGTAGGAGTTTATAGTTTTCAGTGTAAAGGTCTTATACAAATTATGTTACATTTATCTTTAAATATTTTCTATTTGGGAATGTGATTATAAATGGAATGTTAAGAGTTTTAATTCTCCAACTGTTTTTGTAAGTATAGAAATACAGTTGATTGCTGTGAGAGGTGAAGCTGGCTGGGCTTCTCAGTCAGGTGGGGACTTGGAGAACTTTTCTGTCTAGCTAAAGGATTGTAAACGCACCAATCAGCGCTCTGTGTCTAGCTAAAGGTTTGTAAACACACCAATCAGCACTCTGTAAAAATGCACCAATCAGCGCTCTGTGTCTAGCTAAAGGTTTGTAAACCAATCAGCACTCTGTAAAAATGGACCAATCAGTACTCTGTAAAACAGACCAATCAGCACTCTGTAAAATGGACCAATCAGTAGGACATGACCAATCAGTAGGACGTGGGCAGGGCCAAATAAGGGAATAAAAGCTGGCCACCCGAACCAGCAGGGGCAACCTGCTTGGGTCCTATTCCAGGCTGTGGAAGCTTTGTTGTTTAGTTCTTCACAACAAATCTTGCTGCTGCTATCTCTTTGGGTCCGCACTACCTTTATGAGCTGTAACACTCACTGCGAAGGTCTACAGCTTCACTTCTGAAGGCAGCAAGACCACGAAGCCACCAGAAGGAAAAAACTCCCGACACATCTTAACATCTGAAGGAACAAACTCCAGACACACCGTCTTTAAGAACTGTAACACTCACCACGAGGGTCCGCAGCTTCATTCTTGAAGTCAACAACACCAAGAATTCACCAGAAGGAACCAATTCCGGACACACCTGTGTGTAATTTTTTATCATGAGACCTTGCCAAATTTACTTAGCATTAGGTTGGTGCAAAAGTAATTGCGTTTTTTTGCTTTTTTTTTTTTTTTTTTTTTTTTTTTAAGCAATGGCAAAAACCATAATTATTTTCACACCAACCTAATAGTTTTAATAGCTTCTTGGTAAATCCCTTAGGATTTTCTATGTATCCAATCATGTTATTTAAAAACGCACTTTTATTTCTTTTCTTTCCAATCTGTTTCCCTTTATCCTCTCCCTCACTCCTCCTCCCTTATTGCACTGGCCATGGCCTCTAACACAATACTGAACAAAAGTGGTGAATGCAAAACATTCTTGCCTTGTTTTGTGTCTTAGCAGGAAAGCATTTAATATTTTACCAATAAACTTGATATTAACTGTAAGATTTTTGTACATGGTCTTAATCAGTTTGAGGAAGAACTTTTCCCTTTGTTTTGTTTTGTTTTTGCTGAAACCTGTTTATTGTTGATTGTTTTATCTTTTAATTTCAAATTTTAGGCACAATAATTGTAAAAAAAAAAAAAACAGATTTTTCACATATGCCTCATCCACCTTTCCCAATGTCAGTGTCTTACCTAACGCTAGTACAAATATCAATTAGCAAATTAACATGCTGTGTACAAGGTATTGGTCCAGATGTTAAATGTATGTATGAAATCTGATTTTGAAGACTAAAGTGGATATTAATATAAACAATTATTTTTTGCTTTGCAAAATAAATTCCAGATGAAATTCCTTTTAATCAAATTTTTATGTTGTATGTAATCAAAGTATTTGGCAAGCATCTCTTGTTGAGAAACAAGATTCAGAGAGAGTAGAGGTAGGCCAAGGTCTCATAACTATTTAGTAGTAGAGCCCTCACTAAATGCATATTTCCTAACCAATTCCCACATCACCAGCCTTCTCTGTGATTTTCTTCTTTAAATATTGATTGGCATTGTATTTTGCTTTCATTGAATTTGTACTTCATTATATTTGTGTTTTATTTTCATTGTATAACCACCATGGCATAATGTTATTGAGAACTGAAAGATCAGTTACTCTGTCTTTTTAAAAAATGTTTAAAATGAAATAATAATCTGTACATGGTTGTGGTCCCAGCTACTTGGGAGGCTGAGGTGGAAACATCTTTTGAGCCCAGGAGTTGAAGGTTGCAGTGAGCTATGACCATGCCACCGCACTCCAGCCTGGGGTGACAGAAGGTGATCCTGTTTCTAAAAAAAATAAAAATAAGGCCGGGCATGGTGGCTCATGCCTGTAATCCCAGCACTTTGACAGGCCAAGGTGGGTGGACCATTTGAGGTGGGAAGTTTGAGACCAGCCTGGCCAACAAGGTGAAACCCCATCTCTACTAAAAAATACAAAAATTGGCAAGGTGCAGTGGCTCATGCCTGTAATCCCAGCACTTTGGGAGGCTGAGGTGGGCAGATCATCTAAGGTCGGAAGTTTAGACCAGCCTGACCAACATGGAGAGACCCTGTCTCTACTAAAAATACAAAATTAGCCAGTTGTAGTGGTGCATACCTGTAATCCCAGCTACTCAGAAAGCTCAAGAGGCAGGAGAATCACTTGAACCTGGGAGGCAGAGGTTGTGGTGAGCCAAGATCATGCCATTGCACTCCAGCCTGGGCAACAAGTGTGAAACTCTATCTCAAAAGAAAAAAAAAATTAGGTGGGCATGGTGGTGCGCACCTGTAATTCCAGCTACTCAAGAGACAGAGGTAGAAGAATCACCTGAACCCAGGAGAGGAAGGTTGCAGTGAGCTGAGATCGCACCACTGCACTCTAGCCTGGGCAACAGAGCAAGACACTGTTCAAAATAATTAAATATATATATATATATATATATATATATATATATATATATATATATAAACTGGGATAATAGGCTGGGCACAGTGGCTCACGCCTGTAATCTCAACATTTTGGGAGGCCGAGGTGGGTGGATCACCTGAGAACGGGAATTCAAGACCAGCCTGGCCAAGATGGGAAACCCCATCTCTACTAAAAAAAAAAAAATTAGCCAAGCCCCATGCTCAGTGCCTGTAATCCCAGCTACTAGGGAAGCTGAGGCAGGAGAATTGCTTGAACCCGGGAGGTGGACATTGCAGTGAGCCAATTGACCAGGCTCGTCTCGAACTTCTGACCTCAGGTGATCCACCCACCTTGGCCTCCCAAAGTGCTGGCATTACAGGCATGAGCCCAGCCTATTATTTATTTTTAATTATACATTAAGTTCTGGGATACATGTGCAGAACGTGCATGGTTGTTACATAGGTATAACTGTGCCATGGTGGTTTGCTGCACCTAGCAACCTGTCATCTAGGTTTTAAGCCCTGCATGCATTAGGTTTTTGTCCTAATGCTATCCCTCCCCTTGCCCACAACCCCCCAACAGGCCCTGGTGTGTGATGTTTCCCTCCCTGTGTCCATGTGTTCTCATTGTTCACCTCCCACTTATGAGTGAGAACATGTGGTGTTTGGATTTCTATTCCTGTGTTAGTTTGCTGAGAATGATGGTTTCCAGCTTCATCCACGTCCCTGAAAAGAACATGAACTCATTCTTTTTTATGTCTGCATTGTATTCCATGGTGTATATGTGCCACGTTTTCTTTATCCAGTCTATCACTGATGGGCATTTGAGTTCGTTCCAAGTCTTTGCTGTTGTAAATAGTGCTGCAATAAACATACATGTGCATGTGTCTTTACAGTAGAATGATTTATAATTCTGTGGGTATATACCCAGTAATGGGATTGCTGGGTCAAATGGTATTTCTGATTTTAGATCCTTGAGGAATCACCACACTGTCTTCCACAATGGTTGAACTAATTTACACTCCCACCAACAGTATAAAAGCATTCCTATTTCTCCACATCCTCTCCAGCATCTGTTGTTTCCTTTTTAATGATTGCCATTCTAACTGGCATGAGATGGAATCTCATTGTGGTTTTGATTTGCATTCCTCTAATGACCAGTTATGATGAGCTTTTTTTCATGTTTGTTTGCCACATAAATGTCTTCTTTTGAGAAGTGTCTGTTCATATCCTTTGCCCAATTTTTGATGGTTTTTTTTTCTTGTAAATTTGTTTAAGTTCCTTGTAGATTCTGGATATTAGACCTTTGTCAGATGGATAAATTGCAAAAATTTTCTCCCATTCTGTAGGTTGCCTGTTCACCCTGATGATAGTTTCTTTGGCTGTGCAGAAGCACTTTAGTTTGTTTGTTTTAATATTTGTGTAATAATGTCCAGTTTTACCAAGCAGAATGTTTTACATAGGAGCTTTTATGCAAAACTCATTGTTCTTCACTTAGAGCTTGTTAGTCCAGAGTGAAATCAAATCCATTTTCAGTTGCTACGTGGCTTTGTTAAACAGAAACTTGAGTTGAGGATGCTCTGCTATATGGAAGAATTTTCACTCCCCTGATGTGTTTGTATAATAGAATGTATTTTTCCCCTTTCCCCTGTGAAAACTTTATGGAAAGATTATTTCAGTGTTAACCCTGACTGATATTTTACTAATCAAACAAGTGTCTGTTACTCCTTTATTCATTAATTTATCAAGCACTTAATGAGTGTCTTCTGTGTGCTAGGCACTGCACTAGACTCTGGGGAGTCAAAGATGAATCACACTTAGTCTCTAACCACTGGGAATTCATTCTGGTTAGAGAAATTATAAACAAATAATTATGATCCTATGGGATATTTTTAAAGTATGAAATGAGATAATGTATGTGAAAAAAACTTTGTAAGCCTTACACATTTAAGATTCTTTTCTCCAGTGGATAGCATGATGCCTGACATATTTTTAAATGCTCATTATACCTTTAAATGAACTGGTAAAGAGCCAAGAGTTATGAGAGCATAATACTAGAGTGTAGTAGATGGATTTGTTCTGCCTTGGTGGACAGGTGGGATGTGGAGATTTCCAAGAATATAACTTTTGAACTGGACTTGGAAATATAATTTGTTTAAGAATCGAGAAAGGAGGTTCTGCGGGGGCAGCTATCAGTCGTTAAACTGCCTGGATTTAGATGAACCACGTATCTATAGGCTTTTACAGTTTACAGGATGCTTTTGTTTACAGTATCTCTTTTGAGCCTTATGACAGGTCCATGAGGTGAGTTCATACAACCAAGAGAAGCCTTGACCAGAACCTGGGTTCTCAGGTGTAAGAGACAGCATCTGGCCAGTTTATTCTTTACAGTTTCATGGATGTTATGATTGCTAATATTATTGTATTTCTATTATTATATTTGTGAAAGCATGGTTTTTTGAGTTACAAGTATGTGAAAGAAAAATGTATACATGTCATGAAATGTATAGTTTTCTTTTTATTTCTCTAAAGAAGTTTAGCTTGTATTAATACATGAGGAGTTTTTTTCCAGAGGTTTCAGAAACAAGTTAGAAAATGCTTCCATAATATTTCATAGATTATTTAAGATTCAAGCAGTTTTTCAGGATTTAAACCATTTAAACCATTTATCTAATGAACAGTAAGTAGTAACTCTGAGCTCTACATTCTCTTGTAAGCTTTCTTTTTCTGTTATAGTTGAGCACATTTGTTGACATTTTTATTTTTTACACCAAAATGTTTGGTTAAAATACTTTGGGGAGAAAAATAAAGAACTTTTTTCTCATTTATAGTTGACTTCCTATTTTGTGTATATTGTCTTCTGTATGTATTAAGACAGTGAAGTATTGGTGAAAGACCAGGTAAATAGATCAATGGAACAGAATAGGCACCCCAGAAATAGACCTATACAAATAGAGTCAGCTGATCTTTGGCAGAGGAGCAAAGGCAATTTAATGGAGAAAAAATTGTCTTTTCAACAAATGGTGCTGGAACAACTAGACAACCACATGTGGAATAATGAATATAGACACTGACCTTACACCTTTCCCAATAATTAACTCAAAACAGGTCATAGACTTAAATGAAAAACAAAAAACTAGAAAATTTCTAGGAGTTTAATAACATAGGGGAAAATCTAGGTGACCTTGGGTTTGGCAATGAGATTTTAGATACAACACAAAAACACCATCTACAAAAGAGAAAATGGACAAGATTGACTTCATTAAAGTAAAACATGTCTGCTGTGCCAGTGACACTGTTAAGAATGAACAGACAGGTGGGCACGGTGGCTCACACCTGTAATCCCAACACTTTGGGAGGCCAAGGTGGGCAGATCACAAGGTCAGGAGTTCAAGACCAGCCTGGCCAACATGGTGAAACTCATCTCTACTAAAAATACATAAATTAGCTGGGCATGGTGGCCAGCACCTGTAATCCCAGCTACGCAGGAGGCTGAGGCAGGAGAAATGTTTGAACCCTGGAGGTGGAGGTTTCAGTGAGCCAAGATTACACCACTATACACCAGCCTGGGTGACAGGGTGAGACTCCATCTCAAGAAAACAAAACAAAACAAAACAAACAAACAAAAAAACTAAATATGGTCTTACCATACATTCTAGCAGTCATGCTCCTAGTGATTTTCCTAAATGAGTTGAAAACTTATGTCTACACAAAAACCTGTATATTAACACTTTACAGAAGCTTCATTCATAATTGCCAAAAGTTGGAAGCAATCAAGATGTCCTTAAATAAGTGAATGGATAAACAAATGGTGGTACATCCATGCAGTGGAATATTATTCAGCCATACTAAGAAATAAGCTATCAAGCCCAGAAAAGATGTGGGGACACTTTAAATGCATAAAAGCAGCCAGTCTATGAAGGCTACATGTTGTATAATTTTAACTATATGACATTCTGGAAAAGAAAAAACTATAGAGACAGAAAAAAGATCAGCAATTCTTGGGTTGAGGATGGGAAAGGGAGGAAAAACGAATAGGTGAATCACAGGCTACTTAGGGCAGTAAAACTCTTCTGTATGATACTGCAAGGATGGATCCATGACAAAACCCCCACCATCGTGCAATGCAAAGAGTCAACTCTAAAGCATGGCATTTAGTTAGTAATTTATGGGTACTGGGTGATCAGTTGTAACACATGTGCCACACTAAGGCAAGAGGTAATCACAGGTGAAGGAGAAGGGGTATACAGTGTGTACCTTCTACTGAATATTTCTATGTGACTAAAACTGTTCCAAAAATAATTATTTTTGTTTTTAAAAAAGTAAAAAGTGATTTTCCAGTATCTCACTGCTAATGGCTTAGCCTTTTTTTTTATTCTTTCCTTGAACTGAGTAGGAATCTGAGTCTGTCAGTTGCTTCACTTTCTGTCTCCCAGTAACTTGCTGTGATTATGAAAATGTTTGTGCTAAACAACCCATGAACAAAGCAAATAAAGATATTCCTTCATCTACCCAGACTGAAAGGAAATATGCCACCACATCAATGTTAATGGAAGAGAGATTACAGCTGGTTTCTCCTTTCATCTTTGTTTTCCTGTATTTTCCAAATGTTCTCTGTAAAATAAAAAGCTCTTAGCACTAAAACAGTATATATGTATTCCACTGCAGCTTAATTGTATTCAGTTAACATAATTGAAGAGATTAAATAAGAAATGTAGAAATAAGTAAGACATAGATCTTAAGGATCTCTCTGGTTAACTGTAAGTGAAAGACTATCTCACCACAATGCTTGATGTAAACGGTCTGATTGGTGAGTGACAACATCATCAATTATTGCAGCTTGCAAAGGGATTGATTTTTAAATTTTTACTTATTAATTATATACTTGCTTATTTGTTTTCTCATTTACTTGCTTTCTTATTTGCTTATTATTTACTCACTTTCCTATTGCTTTAAAAGAGGATTCTAATTAGATATTATCTAAGTGATTAGGCCGAGTTCTTACATTTTGTTGGTTTAAATTACTTTAAGATATATGTTTGAAATCACATGTTTACTCTTCAAATGTGTGCCATTTGCAGTGTGTGTGTTGGGGGAAATGAGTTATTTTTTGATGGGAAATGAGTTATTTTTTAAAAAGAGAATTATTTAGATATGGCTTTAGTGATTCCTTAGCACGATAACTGGTGATGAAATGTAGCTTATTGTTTTCAGCTAGTTTACATTGGTCTTGAGACAAACAGATATTTGTTTCTTAATTACAGGCTCTAGATGACTTTATAGAACACCTCAGGGCTGTTATCAAGTACTTACATACGAAGGATAACTCCATTTGATTATATATTTTATACCCCAAAGGAAAATAAGTTTAAATTTAATTTTAACCAGATGATGCCATCTGTATGGAGTCACTCTGTCATTGTGTCCATACTGGCCAGGATGCATTTTAATGAATAGTGTTTGTTTATTTGGTCTTAGCCAAATGAGCAAGGACCTGGAGACTGGGAAATTTGAGAAGACATTTAGGAATCACTGGCTTTTCTCTGTTGATGCCACTATGTAAACTAACGATGACGGGGTAGAGAAGATGTGTGGAATTCCTGTGTGATTCACTGTAACTGTAGTGTGCTAAATGCATGGTTAAGCTAGTGTCAGCATCGTCTTCCTATAAATTACAGATCCCTTCTGTGAGCAGAACTGCAGATGTTGTATTTTGAAATCTGCTTTAGAGGATATTTTAAGACTTTTAATAAAAGAAAGATGACTAATGTACAAGGGGACTCAAGGGGAAGAAAAACCCCTTCCTCTATAGGGTAGCATATTTGGGATTATAATTTTTGTTTTCTTTAGCTTGGTTTCATTTTCAAGTGAATCCAGAAAACACTATTTACTTTGACAATATTGCTATAAAATTACCATAATATGAGGATACGTTGTCAATCTCAAATATATAAAATGACCAATGTCAGCGAGCATTTATCCTTTTAAGAAAATCTATTCTATGAAAATCCAATTTTGTGCAAAAAGTGGGAAATAAATGGAGGCATAACTGTTTGCTCTACAAGACTTGATTTGATTCATGTAAATAGAAAATGGTTTTATTACATGTAAAATATGATTTAAATTGGTCAAAATGTCATTTTCAGAAAAGCATACCTTTTAAGCCAGCACTCATTACATAGAACAAGGATTCTATCTGTGTGCCACAAACAACTTCAAGGAATTTTCTTTGTATGTAATGACATAGGAAGTTTTTCCTTAGCGTTCATCTCAACTACGGTTCCTCAGGAATATTGTCTTTGAGTACAAATTATAATGGGTTTATTTTCTAACTAAAGTAGAGTAGTCAGGCTAGTTTATTAGCTAGTTTAGTTCTGACCTCTATGGTTGAGAACAGATACAACAGAAATGCTATTATATCTTCAGATCTTATAGAAAACAGATAGCGGAAATGATGAAGTGTACCTGGCTGGCTTTCTGACAATTTGTGTGAAATGCTTGGCTTTGTAATTTTACATTTCTTTGTAGTCTGATGCCTTGAGTTTATTTATGTAGAAACGTATTTCCACAGACTGCTTATCTGATTTTTACATGCTGCTTCACAGTTGTATACTACTTAAGGTATGTAGCTTTATACTTAATCTAAATTGGAATTGGGTTTTTGTGTTATTGTCATTTGGTACATTGGTCAACACTTTATAAATGTTTAACTTTTTGTTTTGAGTTAATTATAGATTTGCATGTAGTTGTAAGAAATAATAGAGAGACGCCAGGTGTGGTAGCTCATGCCTGTGATTCCAGTTACCTGGGAAGATGAGGCAGGAGGATCCCTTGAAGCCCAGGAGTTCAAAGATGCAGTGAGCTGTGATGGTCCCACTGCACTCCAGCCTGGGTGACAGTGAGACCCCATCTGTACAAAGAAAAACAAATAATACAAAAAAATCTCATGTACGGGTCTACTAAATTTTATTGTGTTTTGCTTTATTGCGCTTTGCAGATATTATTTTTTACAAACTGAAGGTTGGTGGCAACGCCGTGTCAAGCAAGTCTTGCAGTGCTGTTTTTCTAACAGCATATGCTCACTTCGTGTCTCTGTGCTACATTTCGGTAACAGTGTTTTAGATGTTTTCATTATTATCATATCTGTTATATAGCGATCAGTGATTGTTGATGTTACTATTGTAATTGTTTACAACCTCGCTGATAGAAAATTTTTGTGTATGTGTCTTTTTGTTTTGTATTCTTTTGTTTTGTTTTGTTTTGTTTTGTTTTGTTTTGTTTTTGAGACAGGGTCTTTCTCTGTCACCCAGGCTGGAGTGCAGTAGCATAATCTCAGCTCACTGCAACCACCACCTTCCCGGCTCAAGCGATCCTCCCACCTCAGCCTCCTGAATAACTGGGACAGCAAGTGCATGCCACCACACTCAGCTAATTTTTAAATTTTTTGTAGAGAAGAGGTCTCATTATATGCCCAAGCTAGTCTCCAACTCCTGGACTCAAGCAATCCTCCCACCTCGGCCTCCCAAAAGTGTTGGGATTACAGGCATGAGCCACCGCACCTTCCCAGTTGTGTGTGTTCTCACTGTGTCATTCACCATCCATTCTCAGCTCGCTCATTCTCCTCAGGCCTCTCTATTACCTGACACAGAACAGTATTGAAATTAGGCTAATTAATAACCTTGCAGTAGCCTGTGAGTGTTCAAGTGAAAGGAATAATTGCATGATTCTCACTTTCGATCAAAAGGCAGAAACGACTACCTTCAGTGAAGAAAGCATACCGAAAGCCGACCTAAGCTGAAAGCTAGGCCTCTTGTGCCCGTTAGCCAAGCTGTGAAAACAAAGGGAAAGTTCTTGAAGGAAATTCAAAGTGCCACTTCAGTGAATACACAAATGATGAAAAAGCAAAACAGACTTATTGCTGATACAGAGAAAGTTTTAGCAGTCTGGATAGAAGATCAAACCACCCACAACATTCCCTTAAGGCAAAGCCTAATCCAGGGCAAGGCCCTAGCTCGCTTCAGTGCTATGAAAGCTGAGAGAGGTGAGGAAGCCACTGAAGAAAAGTTTGAAGCTAACAGAGGTTGGTTCATGGGGTTTAAGGAAAGAAGTCATTTCTATAATATAAAATTGTGAGGTTGGCTGGGCGTGGTGGCTCACGTCTGCAATTACAGCACTTTGGGAGGCTGAGGTGGGGGGATCATGAGGTCAGGAGTTCAAGACCAGCCTGGCCAACATGGTGAAACTCCGTCTCTACTAAAAATACAAAAATTAGACCAGGCAAAGTGGCTCATGCCTGTAATCTCAGCACTTTGGGAGGCTGAGGCGGGTGGATCACCTGAGGTCAGGAGTTTAAGACCAGCCTGGGCAACACGGTGAAACACCATCTCTACTAAAAATACAAAAATTAGCTGGGTGCAGTGGCATGTGCCTGTAATCCCAGCTACTTGGGAGGCTGAGGCAGAAGAATCGTTTGAGCCTGGGAGGCAGAGTTTGCAGTGAGCCAAGATTGTGCCATTGCATTCCAGCCTTGGTGACAGAGCGAGACTCTGCCTCAAAATAAATAAATAAATGAATAAATAAAAAGTGCAAGTTTGAAGCAGCAAGTGCTGATGTAGAAGCTGCAGCAAGTTATTCAGAAGATCTAGCTAAGATCATTGATAAAGGCAGGTCCACTAAGCAACAGATGTTCAATGTAGAAGAAACAGCCTTTTGATGGAAGAAGATGCCATTTAGGACTTTCCTCCTAGAGAGCAGAAGTCAGTGCCTGGCTTCAAAGCTTCAAAGGACAGCTGACTGTCTTCTTAGGGGCTAGGATAGCTGGTGACTTTAAATTGAAGCCATTGTTTGTTTACCATCCCAGAAATGCTAGGGCCCTTAAGAATTATGTTCAATCTACTCTGCCTGTGCTCTGTAAATTTAACAACAAAGCCTGGAAGATATCTGTTTACAGTATAATTTACTGAATATTTTAAGTCCACTGTGGAAACCTACTGCTCAGAAAAAATAATTATTTCAAAATATTACTTCTTTTTGACAATGCACCTGGTTCCTCAAGAGCTCTGATGGAGATGTACAAGGAGAGGAACATTGTTTTCACGCCTGCCAACACAACATGCATTCTGAAGCCCATGGTTCAAGGAGGGATTTTGACTTTCAAGACTTATTAGTTAAGAAATACATTTTGTAAGGCTAAAGCTGCCATAGATAGTGATTCTTGTGATGGATCTGTGCAAAGTAAATTGAGAGCCTTGTGGAAAGGAGTCACCATTCTAGATGCCATTAAGAACATTCATGAGCAGGTCAGAATAGCAACATTAACAGGAGTTTGGAAGAATTGATTCCAACCACCCAGGATGACTTTAAGGGGTTCAAGCCTTCAATGGAGAAAGTAACAGCAGATGTGGCAGAACTCGCAAGAGAACTAGAATTAGAAGTGGAGCCTGAAGATGTGACCAAATTGCAGCAATCCATGATAAAATGTGAACAGGTGAGGAGTTGATTTTAATAGATAAGCAAAGGAAGTGGTTTCTTGAGATGGATTCTACTGGTGAAGACGCTGTAAACATTGTTGAAATGACAACAAAGGATTCAGAATTGTGTAGAAACTTAGTTGATAAAGCAGCAGAGGGGTTTGAGAAGATTGACCCCAATTCTGAAAGAAGCTCTACTGGGGGCAAAATGCTACCAAACAGCATCACTTGTTATAGAGAAATCTCTTCTCTAGGCCCCAGTTTTTTCTAAGTGAAGAGAATTTTAGAATCAATCTCATAGAAGTGTTGGGAGGATGAAGTTAAAACAAGCAACACATTTAGGATAGGATGTGGCTTATAACAAGCTCTCCATGAATATTAGCTATCATCATTCTTAAGAAAATTACCAAATTAATAGATTTTCTGCTCCTTCACACTTAATTTAGTAGTTTTTTTCATTTATTTTGTCTTCATTAAAGCAGTTGGCACAAAATTAGTTTGTTGATCTGCAATAGATTTTTTTTTTTTTTTTTTGAGATGGAGTGTCTCTCTGTTGCCCAGGCTGGAGTGCAGTGGCACCATCTCACCTCACTGCAACCTCCACCTCCCGAGTTCAAGCAATTCTCCTGCCTCAGCCTCCCCAGTAGCTAGGACTACAGGCACCCAATACCATGCCCAGCTAATTTTTGTATTTTTAGTAGAGACAGGGTTTCACCATGTTGGCCAGGCTGGTCTCGAACACTTGATCTCATGTGATCCACCTGCCTTGGCCTCCCAAAGTGCTGGCATTACAGGGCATGAGCCACCACACTGGGCCAATTGACATGTATTTAATAGTTATTCTCCTAGCAATCATTATTTTGTATTTTCTGTCTTAGCATAAACAAGTTTCAGTCTTACTGATGTGTGTTAAGCTGTTCCCCCATTTATACTTCAGCTGGTTTGTGGTTTTTAATAATGTAGATACAAATGTGAGGAATATTTATATGTACATAACTTTTCACTTTTAAAAAGTTGTGATAGGCTGGGTGCGGTGGCTCATGCTTGTAATCCTAGCACTATGGGAGGCCGAGGCGGGCGGATTGCCTGAGTTAAGGAGTTCGAGACCAGCCTGTGCAACATGGTGAAACCCCTTCTCTATTAAAATACAAAAAAAATTAGCGAGGTGTGGGGGCATGCACATGTAGTTCCAGCTGATCAGGAGGCTGAGGTAAAAGAATAGCTTGAATCTGGGAGGCAGAGGTTGCAGTAAACCAGGATCGCGCCACTGCACCCCAGCCTGGGAGACAGAGCGAGACTCCATCTCTAAAAAAAAAAAAAAAAAATTGTGATAAGGTCTGGCACAGTGGCTCATGCACTTTGGCAGGCTGAGGCAGCCGGATCACCTGAGTTCAGGAGTTTGAAACCAGCCTAGCCAACATGGTGAAACCCTGTCTCTACTAAGAAAAATATAAAACTTAGCCAGGCCTGGTGGCAGGTGCCTGTAATCCCACCTACTCAGGAGGCTGAGGCACCAGAATTGCTCGAACCCTGGAGGCAGACATTGCAGTGAGTCAAGACTGTGCTGCTGCACTCCAGCCTGGGCAACATAGCAAGACTGTCTCAAAAAAAAAAAAAGTTGTGATATAAAATATACATTAACATAAAATTTATCTTTATAACCATTTTGAAGTGTACAATTCAGCGGCACCAAGTACATTGACAATGTTGTGTACTCACCACCACTATTTATTTGAAAATCTTTTCTTCGCCCCACACAAAAACAAACTATAGCCATTAAACAGTAACTCTTCACTTCCCCTCTCCCTAGCTGCTACTAACCTCTATTTTACTTTGTCCCTAAGAATTTGCCCATTCTAGATACCTCATGTAAGTGGGATCATACAACATTCGTCCTTTTGTGGCTGTCTTTATTTCACTTAGCATAATGTTTTCAAGGTTTCATCCATGTTAAAGCATGGATCAGAGCTTGAGACAGAGTCTCGCTCTGTCACCCATGCTGGAGTGTGATGGCGCAATCTCGGCTCACTGCAACCTCCGCCTCCCGGGTTCAAGTGATTCTCCTGCCTCAGCCTCCTGAGTAGCTGGAATTACAGGCATGTGCCGCTGCGCCTAGCTAATTTTTGTATTTTTAGTAGAGATGGGCCAGGCTGGTCTTGAACTCCTGACCTCAGCTGATCCACATGCCTCGGTCTCCCGAAGTGATGGGATTACAGGTGTGAGCCACTGCTCCCAGCCTATTTTATGTATTTTGTACATACTGTTTAGCCATTGAACTTTTGATGGCCAGTGAGTATGACTGGGGCCCATCCAGGCAGGGTGTGGAGCAGAGGGCCCTCCTTTATGGGCTGGACTCACTAGTGGGCTGCTTACCTGTGACTCACCTCCAAGGCTCAAGTTAATGCTAACGTGTTGATTTGCTAGAACTCTGAGCTGTGCCTGTGTCTCCTTGGGCCCTGGGAGATTTTTTTCTTTTAGCAGTATTTTATGGAGATATTGTCTAGGTAGAGTAAAATGTACAGATCCTGGTTTTCTGTTGAGTTTTGTTTTGTTATGAGGCAGGGTCTTGCTCTGTCACCCAACCTGGAGTGCACTGGTACAATCATAGCTCACTATGGCCTCAACCTCCCAGGCTGAAGCAATCTTCCTGCCTCAGTCTCCCTGTAGCTGGGACTACAGGCATGCACCACCATGCCCCACTAATTTTTTTGATTTTTAGTAGGGATGATGTCTCATTATGCTGCCCAGGCTGGTCTCGAACTCCTGGGCTCAAGCAATTCTCCTGCCTCAGTCTCCCAAAGTGCTCAATTACAGGTGTCAGCTGCTGCACCCAGCCTCAGCCTGTTGTTAATGGATGTAAACACCTGTGTGACCACCACCCAGAACCAGATCCAGAACATTTCCAGGCTCTCGAAGACTCCTTCGTGCCCGTCCCAGTCAGAGACCCCCAAGGGTAATGCCATTCTGGCCTGTTGTTCAACTTGACTTGAATGGAATTTTCACAGCATGTGTCTGTTTGGATCTGGCTTCTTCTGCTCAGTTGCGAGGCCCATTGATGTTTCCTGTGGCCTAGCTCCTTTTTATTGCTGAGGGCCACTCAGTTGTATGAAAACCACAATTCATTCTCCCTTCTCCTTTGGTGAACATTTGCACTGTTTCCAGCCTGGGACAATGATGAGTAAAGCTGTTAAAAACAGGCACATATGTTTTCCTTTCTCTTGGGTAATTTTTTAGAAGTAGAAAAGCCAGCCAATAGAAGTAGATATTTGACTGTATTAAAACTCACCAAGCAGTTTTTCTTATTTTTTTTAATTTTTAAATTTTTTTTAGCCAGAGTCTTGCTCTATTGCCCAGGCTGGAGTGCAGTGTCGTGCACTCTCATGGACACACATGGATCCAGATGCCACAGCAGCCTTAGCTGGCCAACCTTAAAACAACACATTTGTTCTTATAGTGTTGGAGGTCAGAAGGCTAAAATCAAAGTGTCATGGAAGGTGGCCAGCAGGACCGTGGAGCCTCTGAGGCAGTGGGACACTTTGGCTAAGAGCCACATACTGGCTCTGGCTGGCAGGCAGTCTTGGCCAGCCAGGCTGAGCTCCCCACTGTCGGGGCAAGCCTGGGTGTCCTCTGGTGATGCTGAGTCCAGAACAAGGCTGCCCACATTCTGGTCCGCAGGGCTCAGCTCTGCTTTCTAGACTTCCAAATAGGAAGAAGAGGGAAAGTTCCCAGTCTCTGGGCACAACCAAGAACAGAGAGCAAGTTCTGACTCAGCAGAGGGATTGATTCATTCCATGCAAAGAGCTGCACTGCCAAGGCTGACACGAGCCAGGGACTCAGCACACGGCATCGCACCCAGTCCTCTCCAGAACTCTGCCACGTAGTGTTACCATCCTGCCGTTCAGAGGAGGGAAGTGGGGCACAGGCAGGTCAAGCAACTTGGCCAATGTCTGAATTGCTAGTGTACGGAGCTGGGAGGGGAGCCCATGGGGCCATAAATCCAGTGCAAAAATCCGTCCTCCTGAACCCTACGGAGCAAAAGTGAGTCCAGTTGTTTTCCTGGGTTTCCTGGACACACAGATCTGAATTTCACAGCAGCCTTGGCTGGCCAATCTTAAAACAACAAATTTATACTCTTAATGATTCTGGAGGTCAGATGTTAAAAGGTCAATGTGTCAGCAAGTTTGTTTCCTTCTGGAGGCTCCAGGGGAAAGAATCTGTTTCCTTTCCTTTTGCAGCTTCTAGAAGCTACATGCATGCCTTGGCTTATGGGCCCTCCTGCCATCTTTAAAACTGTCAGCTTTGTCCAGGCACATTGACTCATGCCTGTAATCCAAGCACTTTGGGAAGCCAAGACAGGAGGATCTCTTTAGTCCAGGAGTTGGAGACCAGTCTGGGCAAGAAAGTGAGACCGTGTCTCTACAAAAAAATAGAAAAAAATTAGACGAGCATAGTGGTGCATGCCTGTAGTCCCAGCTACTTGGGAGGCTGAGGTGGGGGGAATCACGTGAGCCTGGGGAAGTGGAGGCTGCAGAGAGCTGAGATCACACCACTGCACTCCAGCTTGGGTGACAGAGTGAGATCCTGTCTCAAAAAAAAAAAAAAAAAAACACAAAACAAACAAACAAAAAACCAAAACCAGCTTCTTCTTGCTTCTGTTGTCACATCTGCAGGACTCATTCTCCCGCCTCCCTTTTATAGGATCCTTGTGATCACATTGGGACCACCTGTATAATCCAGGACAATCTCCCCATGCCAAAATTATTGATTTAATCACATCTACAAAGTCCCTTCTACAACGTATTCACAGTTTCTGGGGATTTGAATGTGGATGTTTCTGGGGGGTGGCCCACTGATAACCAGTGTTATAAGTTTCTTGAAAATCCTTCCAGAGATATTTTATCTATAAATAAATAAATGCAAGTCCATAGCCTCCCCCCACCCACTTTTTATACAAGTGGCATCATTCCATATCAGTGCTCAGTTCCATCTTCCTCTTTTTCTTTTCTTTTTAAGGTTACACAGAACCTATTATATGGAAATACCCTAATTTATTTCACTTTTTTCCTGTTGGAAGACTTTTAAGCTCTTTCCAATGCTTTGCTTTATAATCTTTTGTATTATAATGCTGCAACCTATATAATCCTATAACCTTGTTTGTAGGATAACTTTCTATTTAAAATCTCATTTTTCAGGCCAGGCATGGTGGTTCATACCTGAAATCCTAGCCCTTTGGGAGGCTGAGACAGAAGGATCACTTCAGCCCAGGTGTTCATGACCAGCTCTGGCAACATATCAAGAACCTGTCTTTTCAAAAAACTTAAAAATTAGTGAGGCATGGTGGCATGTACCTATTTGGTCCCAGCTATTCGGGAGGCTGACGTGGGAGGCTCACTTGAGCCCAGGAGGTGGTGGCTGCAATGAACCAGGATCACACCCCTCACTGCACTGCAGCCTGGGCAACAGAGTGAGAACCAATCTCAAACTAAAATAAAATAATCTTGTTTTTCAGAATTTGAGGGTGCCATTTAAGACATTTTGACACTTCACAGAACTTTTTTGGGGAACTTGTTGCCTTGGAGATTAGCCTGTCCTGTCCCACCCCCATGATCTGTACTTCCTGTTTCTCCCTCCTGGCTTCCTTAATTAAGCCTTGTGTGTACTTGCGAGCCCATGTCCATCACGCTCTGCCTTCAATTCTGGATGCTGTGCTGTGAATACGCTTGAGTGGAGGCCGCATGCTTTCCAGGAAGGTGTGTATTTTCAGTGTTGTCTCTCATGATAGTATGAAAGGCTCTGGAGGGAATCACAGGCCTCCACAAACAGGCAAGCGGAAAAATGTTCCACAGACATGTTTCAGGGACAACAGGCTTCCCAATCCTAGGTCGTGCTGGTCCATAACTGGATCAGGCTGACTCTCCCTCCCCGACACCGCTGGTGTAGACAGGGACAAGAAAGAGAAGTCAGAGACACAAAGAAGCTGTGATTTGCTTGAGGTCACTAAAGTACTTAATGGCAGAGTTCAGACCTGACCTGAGGGGCAACAAAAGACACCCCCCTCAAATCCATGGGGAGCAGAGTCTATCTGAATCAGATCCCAGATTTTCTGGGGCTTTCACGATGCCAGGTGTGTACACTGAGCTAGGATGGGTTTCCCAGGGTTCTTTGTGGTCACACAACTCAACAATACAGACCAGAAAGCAGTGGCGAGTAGGCTGAATTTGGCTGGTGGGTGTTTTCTGTTTGGTCTGCACAGTGTTTAACTTGTTATTATAGGAAATTCAAACATGCAGAGAGAATTGTACCATCAACAACACACACCCATCACTCTGCTCCAACAATGATCAATTCAGGCCTATCTTGCTTCATCCTATACCCTCCCTCGCTTGCTTCCCTTCCCACCCTCAAATATGTGGAAGCAAATCCAGAGATACCATTCCATTGCAAATATTTCATTTTGTATCTCTATAATATGGGAATTTGGGGAATTTCATTTGAGACAGGATCTCACTTGGTTGCCCAGGCTGGAGTGCAGTGGCGTGATTGTGGCCTCAACCTCCCAGGCTCAAGTGATCCTCCCACCTCAGCCTCCCAAATAGCTGGGATTAAAGGTGTGTGCCACATCTGGCTAATTTTTTTATTTTTTTGTAGAGATGGGGGTCCCACTATGTTGCCCAGGCTGGCTGGCCTCAAACTCCTGGTCTCAAGTGATTGTTTTGCCTCGGCCTCCCAATGTCCTGCAATTATAGATGTGAGCCACTGTGCCCAGCCAGGAACTTTAACATAATCCTTTTTGACAAAAATTTTCCTCTAAGAAATTAGAAAATTTTACAGAAAAATAAAAATCCAGACTTCTGTCTTCTCTTAAAAATTTGGAAGCTCTGCCAATACTGGGCCCAGATGGCAATCACTGATTAGCACTGAGTAGATGTTGACTTTTCAGATGAGGGGTGTGACGTCTACTTTGCCACAGTCCCCACCACTCCCCCACCTGGCCATCTCACCCATACACATCACCTGCCTGGCTCCTTTAGGCATTTAATTTGTGTAGGAAATTGACCTAAAGGAGATATTAGAGAAGACATTAAAAACTTGAAGAATGTGAAAATCAGCCAGGAGATAGAACTGTGCTTTAATGAGGGTTATAGAACCACACTGGATATGAAGCATTTTGGGAATAAACTTTGAAAATTGGAAGTACCAGTTTGTGAATTTTGCTCAGAGAGATGAAGGTGGGGGGTGGGTGACAGTGGTGAAGCATCTCCTATGTGCCAGTCTCTTTTACCACAGGCTGTTTCTCACAAAATCATCAATCATATGCAGTAGGAGAAACACCTTTGTATTTTACGGATGAGAAAACTGAGGCACAGAGAGGTGAAATAGGCTTCCCGAGGTCACTCAGGTCATATGAGCAGCAGAGCTAGGATTCAGACCTGGAGTTGGCCTGACTCTAAAACGATGCATGCCTCACCATGGCGCATTGCTCCTTTAAAGAGCACCAGAAGAGAGAATTTGACAAAGTGGTTGCCCGTGGGGCCTGGGATGGGTGGGGAAACTACGCTAGGGCTCTGGGCTGCTGAGGGCCTGAGGGAAGGAATGGGGAGCCCGGGCGCAGAAGTAGAGGAGGGGGCTGCCCCACGGCTACAGAAGGCATCTGGGAAGACACTTTGCTGAAGGTGGCCAGGAGGGCAAAGGTCACAGTGGCCATTGTTATATGGTGGTGGTGGGGAGAGGGGGATGGCTTCTTCTTAACTTTCTCGGGTGAGTCGAAGGTTTACCCTCCAGACCCTTGATGGGTCCCTTATGTCCCTTGGACATCCTGAGTCCCCAGCCAGGGCCCTGGGCGCTTTGCTGGGAGCTTGACATAAGGTCCAGCAGCCCCCATTGCTACCTAATTCCTTAGCAGCCCAGGGTGTCTGCCTGCTACTTCCCTGCCTGGAAGGAAGGCCTTCTGCCTGGTGCGTTCCTGCTGCAGCCTCCACTGCCTCTTAGACTCTCACACAAGCTCAGCTCCCTGTCGCGTCCTCTCAGGGCCAGGCTTCTCTTTATCACAAGCTTAGACTGTCTGAGTAACTAATTGGATTTGTGTTTGCCTCCACACAGGACCCTAAGACCCGTGGGGCTGCGACTCCCTCTGTACTGGTCACAGCCGCACCCTATCCCCTTGCATGGCGCTGTCAAACCCAGGCTGGCCACTGACTAGCGCTGGAGGGGAGCAAACGGGAGGCCGGCCACCTGACTGATGTTCCCACACCTTCTCCCTGCAGGCTGTCCCCTTTTCTGGGACTATTCAAGGAGGTCTCCAGGACGGACTTCAGATCACTGTCAATGGGACCGTTCTCAGCTCCAGTGGAACCAGGTGTGTGTGTATATGGATGGAAACGTTTCACTCCAGCCTCGTCCCTTAGTAAACCACTGTGCCTGTGAGCCTGGGTTAGTTCAAACAGCAACATCCAAGCTCACGTGCCTGGCTCAGGGGAGGCCCAATGCGTCCCTAACCCATGCCACAGGGCAGCACTCCACAGGCACAACCTGCACCCAGGGGTGCCATTAACCTGGACTCCAGGATGAATGGGGCCCTGGGAGCTGACGGTCTAAGGAGGGCGTGGGATGGTCAGAGTTGGATGATTATGTTCTGGGTTGAACCTTGCACACTGTGACTAAGAGTTGCAAAAATCAAACTTCCTCTATTTCCCGTAACTGCTCTCATCCACTCTGAAGCTCTCCTTCTGCTGATGTGAAAATATTGAAAATTGACATTCAAAGTAATTTGGTCTCTTTCAGTTTCAAGGCCTTTTCTGGAAACTACTAAGTCAATTCAACATACTAACATTGTATCAGGGCTGTTTCCCACCCCCTCCTCCCTCCCAAGGTGGGCTGTCTGGGAACAGAGAAGAGCTCACATGGCTTCTCAGTGGCTGGGAGGGCTCTAGACCCTCACGCAGGCCTGGCTGACCCCTGCCGAGGCACCCTGATTGGGTGACACAGAGGTGTGCAGCTCTCTCCTGGTTGGGTGGGAGACCACAGGGTGGCTTGCTGAAGTCTGCGGGGCCCACAGAAGAGCCTCTGGACTCATGGTTCTCCCACAGAAGCCTCTCTGCCTCAGTCCCAGGGGTCCTCTCCTTAAGACCTTCTGGGCCTTGCAGATCCCAACTCAACATCAGTTCGGCCACTAGATTCTTGCTGACCTCCCCCAGGAGATGCCAAGGGCAGGGAGGCCCTGATCCCCCTGAACCCTCCAACCAGGGGAATCAGGACCACACCCCTGATCTTCCTCCCCTTCCTCTCTTCCTCTCCCTTGGCCTCCCCTACCTCCCAGCACCAGGAAGGCTTCCGACTCCCATCCTGTCGAATAGAGACAGATCCTACCTCAGAGGGCCCTCTCCTCTCGGGAGCTTTCTGTCTCTCCCTTCCTTGGGGCAGGAATTTCCAAAGGACTACAGGGATGAAGCTGAAGGGCTCCAAAAGAAAAAAATACATTCAGAGGTATTTCAAATGTACTCATCTCCATTTATTCATTTATTCATTTAATTAATTATTTTTTTTCTTTTGAGACAGGGACTTTTTTCTTTGACCCAGGCTGGAGTGCAGTGGTACGATCATAGCTCACTGCAGCCTCCAATTCCTGGGCTCGAGCAATCCTCCCATCTCAGCCTCTGGAGCAGTTGGGACTACAGGAGTGCACTGTGATGCCAAGCTAATTAATTTTTTTTAAAGTAGAGATGAGATCTCGCTGTTGCTCAGGCTGGTCTTCAACTCCTGGGCTCAAGTGACCCACCTGCCTTGGCGTCCCAAGGTGCTGTGATTACAGGCGTGAGCCACTGCGCCCGGCCCCAATTTCACATGCTCTTTACATTTGTTCTCTTCTTTCCCACTTAATCAGGCTTGTGCTAGCCTCCAACAAGTGTCCACTGGCATGGAAGGCTCTCTCTTCTAGGTGTGCTTAACAACTTCCATCTTTGGTAACAATTGGTAATCACTTTCCAAGACCTATGCTTCTTGTTTGCTAATATCAGCACTTTTCCTTAAGCATTTTCTACTTATTTTTAGAAAATCATACTGTAAAGGCAAAATCCAATAATTGCACAAAAACACATTAGATCCAAATTAGAGAAACAAAAAGATGCCAACCAAGCAGTCTCTGCGACGCAAGTTGTATGCAAGATCCCAGACAAATGCGAGGCAGAGGCACCGAAGCCCTCCTGTGCCTGTCACTGGCAATAACCCATGCCACAGAAGACTATTTGCTTTCCCTGGGCCTAGGTTTGCTGTGCGCTTTCAGACCGGCTTCAGTGGAAATGGCATTGCCTTCCACTTCAACCTTCTGTTTGAAGAGGGAGGGTACATGGTGTACAACACGAGGCAGAAAGGAAGATGGGGGCCTGAGGAAAGGAAGATGCACATTCCCTCCAGCAGGGGATGCCCTTTGACCTCTGCTTCCTGCTACAGAGCTCAGATTTCAAGGTGAGCAGGAAACCCCTCCCCACCTCTCACCCCCGGGTCCCCCAGCTCTATCAGGCGAATGGGCTTTAAGTAATCACCTTGATTGACATTCAGCCAGAGTGATGCTACTATACAGATAACACAATCATTTCCTTGTAAGGTGTTATTCATGGCTGCCTAGTCATCTTATGCACCTTTATCTGAATCTACAGGTGCACCTGCTGCTTCTTTTACTCTGAAAATAAGAACTAGAGGAGTCATCACGTTGCTGTTTGGTGGTGTGTGTCTTTGAATTCCAAGCTCATGCCATTCCTCTGCTATCACCACACCTCCTCTCCAGGTGTCTGGTAACATTTATTATTCAGCGACATTGTTCCAGCCTTCATCCAGGGTCTATTAAGGGTATAGTTTTGTAAGCAAATTGCAAATTACCTTTGCAAGCAGAGTAGGTCTCTGGGCTTCAGAAGCCTGTGGGTAAGTCAGTCCGAGTATGCTTATCTGAGATAAGGATGTCCCCATCCACTCAGTATGCAACCTGAGGTCACCTCTCCTCTGCTCCCCATGAGCATTTTATGCATATATAAATAATACCCCTGCAGCCATAAAAAGGAACGAGATCATGTCCTTTGCAGGAACATGGATGGAGCTGGAAGCCTTTATCCTCAACAAACACAGGAGCAGAAAACCAAACACCACATGTTCTCACTTATAAGTAGGAGCTGAACGATGAGAACACATGGACACAAGGGGGGAAACAACACACCCTTGGGCCTGGTGGGGGAGGGAGAGCATCACGAAGATTAGCTAACAGATGCTGGGCTTGATACCAAGGTGATGGGTTGATCTCTGCAGCAAACCACCATGGCACCCGTTTACCTCGTTAACAAACCTGCACATCCTGTACTCATACCCTGGAACTTAAAATCAAAGTTGAAGGGGATGGGCACAGTGGGTCATGCCTATAATCCCAGCACTTTGGGAGGCTGAGGAGGGCAGATGACTTCAGGTCAGGAGTTCAAGACCAGCCTGGCCAACATGGTGAAACCCCATCTCTACTAAAAATACAAAAATTAGCTGAGTGTGGTGGTGGGCACCTGTAATCCCAGCTACTCAGGAGGCTGAGGCATAAGAATCACTTGAACCACTGCACTCCAGCCTGGGCGACAGACTGACATTCCATCTCAAAAAAAAATTGTTCAAGGAAAAATAAATAATAAATAAATGAAACCCCAGGTGAGCTAAGACTAGAAAGACAAACCTACTGCAGGAAACAACCAGAAGAATGAAAAGTCCAACTGGAGCCCCGTAGAGACTCGGGTTGATGCACTTCGGGTCACACACACGTTCCTGTAACTGGCCCCACACTGAAGACCAGACTCAGGTCTTCATTTTCTAGAAAGAGGGTCCAGGAGCTCAGGGGTGGTCCCCATCCCAGCCTGGGATGCCTCCCCCGGAACACGTGCTCTCCTCTGGCAGGTGATGGTGAACGGGATCCTCTTCGTGCAGTACTTCCACCGCGTGCCCTTCCACCGTGTGGACACCATCTCCGTCAATGGCTCTGTGCAGCTGTCCTACATCAGCTTCCAGGTCAGACTGTGCACCTGGCACCGGTCCCAGGGGCTGGGATGCAGGGCCCAGCATAGCTGTGTCTAGGCCCAGCTGGGTGGGCCCAAGCCAATCTCCTACCCAGGTCACTCTGGGGACAACCTCTGCTTCCCTGTCCCAGTACCTGCCCGCCCCTTCTCCTCTGTCACTCTGCCCCTCCTTCTGTGTTACTGTCCCTGTCCGGAACACCTGCCTTGGTCTCCCAGACTCCTCAGCTGCCCCTTTCTCCTCACCCCTTGATTTCCACCCTGGTTAGGAGGCCATATTGTTCTAGAAAGAACACAGGCTAAGGAACCAAACTGAATCCAGTTCAAATTCCAAGCTCTGCCATTCATCCTCTGTGGGATCTTAGACAAGCAACTTCACCTCTCTCAGCCTAGGTTTCTTCATCTGTAGAATGGTCATTGCCTGCCCCCCATGGGTGGTTGTGTGGTTCAGTGAGGAGACAGATATCAGAGGTCACACAGTGGCCCCCCTGGGCCCACACCAGGGTCTGTTTGACCTCTGTGTTTTAACAACTTTGAATGTGTTGCCAACATCTAAAAGGTCAGGAGAGTCAGGTATGGTGGTGGAGGTCTGCAGTCCTGGCTACTCAAGAGGCTGAGGCGGGAGAATTGCTTGAGCCCAGGAATTAGAGTTCTGCCTGGGCAACATAGCAAGACCCTGTCTCCAAAAAACTTTGTTTAAATAATAAAATAAAATAAAACAAATAAAACTAAAGAAGGTCAGGAGATACCAATACCACGTGAAAAATGGGAAGATTAGGGTATGCTGGGCCCACATTCCCACAGGGCACCAGCAGCTGGGTGGGAGCTACTATTACCCTTTTGGCATTCGAGGCTGCTCCCTGAGATCAGCGAAGCACACAGTAGGCCCTCAGCAAATCTGGGCTTCTCGCCCTTTGGTCCTCATCTCTGACTTTGGTCCCTCTTTCCCTGACTCCCTCCCCTGTGGGTGAATGGGGAGGGAAGAGCTGGAGGGAGACCGCACCCCTGCACTGCTCACCAGAGCCTGGCTCTTTCCCATCCCATCTTGGCAGGGCCCTAACCCCCTTGCCTCATCCCCCTGCCTGCCTGGTCTCTCCCTCTTGCCCTTGCCTCTGCCTTTCGGCTTCTCCTTGGCTCTATTAATGCTTCTCCTCACTGCCCGGTGCCTTTTGTTTTAACAGAACCCCCGCACAGTCCCTGTTCAGCCTGCCTTCTCCACGGTGCCATTCTCCCAGTCTGTCTGTTTCCCACCCAGGCCCAGGGGGCGCAGACAAAAAGTGAGTTCAACACAGAGGCCCTGGGTGGCCGAGCAGACAGTAGGAAGGACCGAGGGTCTGAGAGGCTGGCCCCAGCCAGCAGGCCACTCAGGGCCTACAGGCCCCATCTTGCCCACTCAAGAGTTCCCTGTCTGTCTGCCGGGCACCCAGAGCTGGGGACCTGGGGGTCTCCCTGAATTCTTCATTCCCCCTTCTTTACGTCTCTCCAAGGCACCAAGAGGCCCGAAGCCACCGACATGGCCCAGGCCTCCGGGATTCCTCACCATGACGACAGGGGTCCAGTTCCCCACCCCCCACACCCAACCACTGTCACAGTGGTTCTTATAAGCACTTAAGTTCTTATAAGTGCTTCTTATAAGCAAATCTGATCACACCCTCTCCCTGCTTAAAAATCTTCACAGCCCCCAGCCCTTCAAATAAAGCCCAAATTCCCCAGCAGGGCATACAAATTCCTCCCAGTCTGACCCCAATCAACCTCGCTGCCTCACCCCTAAACCACAAAGCTCACGCAGCCTCTGCAGCTCACTCAAGGCCCTCTCGGGCCACCATGTTTTTGCATATGCTGTCCCTGGTCCCGGAAGCATCCTCTGCCAGCCTGCCCCCAGCACACGCCTAATTGCCCTTCCATGCTCTGCCTAAATGTCGCTCCTCTGGGAGTCCTCCCCGCCTGGAATATTGTTGGACGCTCCCCCATGACCCCACAGAGTCTGTACGTATCTGTGCCATGCCAGTTCAAAGCACCCCATTGTAACTGTGTTTGCGTTGTCTGTCCCCGTCACTCCACCCCCATCTCCCTATGCCCATGAGGCTTCAGAGGGCCGGGACTGTGCCTTGTTCATTTGCACTCAGTGAATGAATGTGGAATGTGGTTCACACAGCCAGGGAGAATGGGATACCAGCCAGGGCAAGAACAGTCTACTGGGTGGGGCAGGATCCAGGACAAGGAGGTGAGCAGCCCTTCCTCTGGCCACTCCAGTAGTGGGGACTGGGAGGAGGGGCGCTTTGTCTATGCAGTCTTCTTACGGCTCATCACGGTACAGACAGGGCACCTGCCTCCTGCCACGCTGACTTCAGGACTGGTCGAGCCCCAGGGAACATTTGCAGCGCAGCCCAAATTTGGCCCTGGCCCTGGGGAGGATAGAAAGTGTGCTGGATACAGTCAGACAGAACTGGCTGCCACTTTGGATTTGATGCCTTCCACCTGGGCGAGCTTGGGCAAGTTGCTTAATCTTTCTAAGCCTCATTACCTCACCAGGGACACAGGAGCTGAGGCTGCTTCCCTCATTGGAAAGCAGTGAAACCCAGGAATCAGCCCACAGTAGGCCTTCAACAAATACCACTTCTCACCTTAGTGGTAAAATATGGCACTGGAAGTAATGCTCTTGGCTGTGGGAGCTACAGAGAGCAATGAGGTCTCTATCAAACCCAGCCTCCTCTCTCTCAAGAGGAACCAATGGGGATACCCTACCCCCCAACCCCAAAGCCCTGTGCACCTGGGGGTAAAAATCTGGGTGCCACGGGCTCAGGAAGGCTTTCTTGGGAGCAAGAGGGAGGTGGGTGTGTCCGGGGAGGCATTTCTGAGCACAAGAGCCTCCCTGGAGTTTTGCCACCATCTCCTCCCATTCTGTGGTGCCCGCGATAACCACTATTCTGACTCTCCTCACCCCTCCAGCCTCCCGGCGTGTGGCCTGCCAACCCGGCTCCCATTGTAAGTCTCTTGCTTTCTTTTTGGATCGTCCTCATTTTGGCTTTTCTGGGCTCATGGAGGAGGCAGGGCCAGGCATTGGGCCTCTCCCATTGGGAGTGGGGAGGGCACAGGCCAGGCCCTTGACCATCTGCCCGGCCTGGTGAGGTTGGGGGTTGGATGTGGTTGGCTGGCCGTGATGAAACAACCTGAGTTGCCACCCCGTGGGCAGCCACGGAAGACCATGCCCCACATTCACTTCTGTCACCTGCAAAGGGAGGCTAGGCTGAGAGACGTTTCCCCGAGAGGAAAGATGGGCCAGAGCCACCAGCGTCCCCATCTGTCTTCTCCAGGGTTCTAACCTTTGCCCCTCGCTCATCCCCTTGAGAGAAGAGACACCTGGGCCCACCCTCTGTGGGGTCTGTGGGGCCATTGGGCTTGTTACGCCCCCTGGAGGGTGCCTGCCGTGTGGCGCCCTCTGGTGGGAGCTGGTGGTTTTCACACGTGAGAGCCTGGGTGAGACCTGGTTTCTTTCTTCCAGACCCAGACAGTCATCCACACAGTGCAGAGCGCCCCTGGACAGATGTTCTCTGTAAGTCTACAAGTTCTGGTCAGTTCACAGCTGCACAGTGTCCTCCTTCACCAAGAACTAAATTCCCTAGAGCGCTAGAGTTGGGAAGAAAGCGGTTTAGCAAGGAGGATGGGGACACTAGGGGCTGAGTGCTTGGCTCAGGTGACATGTGGCTAAAGCTGTCCTTGGGACAGCAGAGATTCTGGAAGAAGCAGGATTTATCCAGTGGTGGAAGAGGCAAGCCCCCTAGAGACCGGGAGGGAAACTGGTCTGTCTGTCACCAAGTGGGGAGTGCAGTGGCCCCAGCACCCGGATGTGAGGTTCCTGGCCCTGCATCCTGGGTCCCCAGGATGTCACTACCGATCATAGGCTTAAGCTCTTCTCCTGCTGGTGCAAATCAGGCCGGAAGTTTAGCGTTAGTGGGGCTGCCTGCAGAGGGGTTGAGGGACAGGTGACCGTGGTGGAGTCCGGGAACACGGCAGGAAGTTCCAGGAAGGCTAACATGAAAAGGGAGGTGGATGGGGGAGTCCAAGGGCCAAAGGCTCATGAGGTCAGCCTCACAGTGGAGCCCCTCTAGAATGCATGGGTGCGCGTGGGTGAGTGCTCGCGCACACATGCGCTCTCCCATTGAATTTCCTGGTTTCTTTTCAGCAGACTCCCGCCAACCCACCTATGATGTACCCCCACCCCACCTATGTAAGTGATTTCTCAGGGAGGGCGGAGGTTCTGTTTGTGGTGGGCAGGCTGGGGGTGAAGGGCCACTTCGGGGGTATCCACTAGCCTTGCAAAATGAAAAGCGAAGGGCTTTCAAAATGGTAAGCTGAAGGGCTTCAAAGCTTCCCAGCGAATTAGAAGACTGTGGAGAGGAGCTTTCAACCTTAAAACTGTCGTGTCAATACGAGCGCATTGCATGGCTCTCCCTTTTCACCCCACGAGATGAGTCTTTTTGTGTTTGGCCAAAGTTCCTTTCATGACACTAATCTAAGCCCATTAATATGAGGAGCACTGGAAAGTTTTCCTTTGGCTTTTATGGAACCAAGTACAGATATCGTTGGTTTCTTCTTAGCTGACAGCCCAAATTCATGGGACCTGGTACAATCTTCCCTTTTGTGTGGTGGGCTGCCCTGGCTGCCACTGGCTGACCCATGCCTCTCCTTCTGAAAGCCGACGCCTTTTGTCACCATCATTCCGGGAGGGCTGTACCCATCCAAGTCCATCATCCTGTTGGGCACTGTCCTGCCCAGTGCTCAGAGGTAAGCTAAGGGCTCCAGTTGACCTCTGGGAAGAGAGAGCCCTTCAAGGTGATTCCAGCCATTCCCCTGGCTTTGGGCAGGCTGTGGATGACGGGGAGGAAATAAGGCCCAGAACTCAGTGGACAAAGGTCCAGGTGGGCTGCCCACCCCAGGTTCCACATCAACCCGCACTCTGGGAACCACATCGCCTTCCACCTCAATCCCCGTTTTGATGAGAACGCTGTGGTCCACAACACCCAGATCAACAACTCTTAGGGGTCTGATGAGAGGGGCACAGCTGGGGAGAGGTGGGGAGTGGGCAGTGAAGATGAAGCCCCATGCTCAGTCCCCTCCCATCCCCCACGCAGCTCCACCCCAGTCTCAAGCCACCAGCTGTCCACTCCTGGTGGGAGGTGACGTCCTCAGTCCCTCCCCTCTGACCTTTAACCTAACTCTCACCTTGCACCCTGCATCAACCCTTCACCCCCTCCTGGAAAGCCAGCCTGATGGCATCCCACTGGCCTCCACCAACTGACCAGAGTGTTCTCTTCAGGGGACTGGCTCCTTTCCCAGTGTCCTTAAAATAAAGAAATGAAAATGCTTGTTGGCACATTCATGTGGGTTGACCGTGGCTTCTTTAATTCATTTGGAGACATTTTGGAGTCTGTGGAATCGGGCGGCGGTGCTGCTGAGAGGAGTGGGATGGGAAAGCATGGACTCCCTTTGGGCAGGGGGTCCTGACCTCACACCTCCTCCCAGAGGGTCCCTCACAAATCCCACGAGGGTGTTGGAGAAAGCAGGCTGGGGCTCTAGCCTTTTGGGCAGGAGTCTCGGACACAGGAAGGTGGTAATGGGGGACACCAGGAAACAGCCCCATGCCTCCGAGATGGGAGAGGGGCTGGGGCAGAGCCTGTGAGGGCCACAGCAGGGTCAGAGCTGCCTCCTCAGACCTGGCGTCCCAGTGGGAGGAGGTGGCTTGGGGAGGGGGGTCAGGAGAAGCCAACCCGAAGCACCGTCTGGGTGTGTGTTCCATTGTGGGTCTCTCCGGCATTAGGGGTTAGGGCTTGCATAGGAAAAGTGGCTCAGTGTTCATGTGTGGGGTTCTGCCAGCCACTGGGCCACTGCCAGGAAGCCCGACTCTGCATCCAGGTGATGCCAACACATCCTGCTCAGCCCAGTAAGAATCCAGTTCCTCAGGCCCCATAGTAGTCCTCAGAGCAGTGGCACCAGCTGCATCCGGGAGTTTGTTGGAAACGCAGCATCCCGCGCCCCACCCGACCTGCGAGGTCAGAGTCTCTGTTTTCACAGGACCCCAGACGAGGTGCGCACATTAAAGCTGGAAAGCCCTGGTCCGGGAGCGGACTCCTGGCCTTGTTGCTGAGATGCACGGCTGTCGCGCAGGGCATGGAGCTTTCCTGGAGCCTGAGGTTGGCACTGCCCCTTCTCCTGCCCCTGAGATGCTACTGCTAGAAGGGGAAGGTGGCGGGCAAGGGGGTGAAGTCGGCCAGGGCACCCAGGAGGCAGAGGCCAAACCTAAGCTGGGAGCCGTGTGTTGCCAGGACCCCAGTGGCCGCCGCTGAGCTCCTTTTTTGGTTCTGACCAGGAGAAGGAAACGGGGCCCACTCTCCTAAGAAGGCTTCCTTGGCCTGCTCCAAACCCAAGAGGGTCCCCAGTCCCTCAGGCGAGGATGCTGTGGCCCACACTCGCCTCGACACGCTGCCTTCCCAGGGACCACATCCGTACTGGCCAAGGCACAGTCTCGCATGAGACTGGTGGCCCCAGAGCAAAACGCTTTCTAAGACAGTGTCCAAGAAGAAGCTCAAGGCCTTCCTCGAAACACTGGCCTTATGCGACAATCCCACCCTCACCAGACCCCGTTTCAGATACTTTGTGTGGGAGGCAGGCCTGCGCCCCCTGCCCTACCACAGGTCTTTGGACCAGCACGAAGCTCCATCTGCTGCTGGCACACCTGGCAGCCATTTCAGAGGAGCCATGGACTGGCTGGGGTGTCCCTCTGTCGGGGATCTGTCCAGGCTGTGACACCCACCAGCTCCCCACTCTGAGAAGAGCTTTCCCTACAAAACACCCACACACGCATACAGTGTGATTAAAGTAAAATGCAATTCATGTAAATATCTCCATCAAGGAATCATACAGGGAAGACCCAAGTGGCCATGGGGAACAGACTGGGTGTTAGTTTTTTAAATACAGAGGCATAAATAACTGTACACAAGGCAGTTAAATACACAGTGGTGCGATAGCACCTCCTGGTGGTCACTTGAAGTGGTGCACTCAGCAGCAAGTTCCATCTTTCACCCACTTGCCAGGCCTGGCATTTAAGATTTTGTCTCCAAGGGACCAGGGAGGCCCCAGTTTGAGAGAGGAGGCTCCGATCAATCCAGGGTGCTACTTGTTAGGAGGTCAAGTAAAGGGCTTGATGGGGAGCAACGTTGAGGAAATAAGACTTGAGGCTGGGGGATATCACTTTCCTCCATCTCCCCAGGCCCTGTGACCTCAGATAATGCAGAGCTGGCTCCATCCTTAAGTTCTGTGCCGGCAGCTTTAACCCCTCCTGTAGGCCCTCAGAGCGCTGACATCTCCAGGCTGCTGGGCTGCACCGCCACCCTGTCCTTCTTCGCCTCGTAAGGAAATACAGCACCAAAGATATCTTCGTGATAGCGCTTCTGGCTCTTTTAGGTAAAAACAGAGAGCAACGTGTCAAGTCCAGGCTGGGATGAGCCCCTGGGGTTGCCCAGCTTCCCTATCACATGGACCTTCATGAGCCATCTGTCTTCCCAACTGTTATACTTAGATTGTGCTTGAATCTGGTTTAGACCCTAACCCTGCTCAGCACCTGCTCTGGTGCGGGCCCTCTAACCATCTCCAAAGCTTTACTTAGCATACCCATTTCCTGCCCAGCGTTCATCCCCCACCCAAGATACTCCAGGAAGTGTGAGCTCTGAGATAAATATGTTTGGGAAATGCTACGTCCTTTCTTTCCTTCCAGCCTTGAAGGGTCCTGATGAACAGCAGCATACTGAAGGCTCCCAGAAGTCTTGTAGTAAAGCAACGTGTTTGCCTTGCCTTAACTAAGCATGTCCCAGGCTATTCGACCTTGGAATCTTTTTGATGCCAACTGTCTACCGACCCACTGAACACATTTGGGGAAATGCCTGTTATCTCCTCACTGTTCTTCAAACACGCCAGCTTAACTCCCACCCCCGGGGCCTTTGTACCTGCTGCCCCTCCAGAACAGCCCAGAGTGTTTCCTTCAGTATCCACAGGGCTCCTCCTCACCATCTCAGGTTTATTCTCAGATGCCACCTTCCAGCTCTGCCTTCCCTGGCCACCCTATTTAAAATTACACTCCCCAGCGTTCCCTGGGCTGTTTCCTGCTGTTTTTCTCTGAAGCACTACACCTCTTTCTTGTCTGGGTTTGTCAGCCCCAGTAGAATGTAAAGAATTTTTGCCTGATTCATTTACTGCTCTATCCCTAGCACATAGTAGGTGCTCAATAAATGTTCAGTTGAACGTATGAATGTGTCTTAGGGAGAGTATGGAAGTGACAATCACAGGCTTTGGAACCAGAGAGAGGCAGACTGAACTCTAGGCTCTCACATTTACTGCTGTGGTCCCCGTAGGCCCCCTTCCCTCTGTAAAAGGGGGTGCCTCCCTCATAAAGTCCTCGGCAGGACTGAATGAAATGTCACATGAGAATCCTTGGCAAGCAGTATGCCCAGTGTAAGCCCTTGATAAATATCACTATTATCTTCATCAATAAAATGCAAGCCCTTCCTGCTGGGGGGATGAGGGTGAGCAGACACCAGCCTGGGTGTAAATAAGAAGTGTGAGGTTCACACGAGGCTGACGGGGGGCAGCCTTGCTCTCCCCTGTGTTCACAGCCTTGCTTTGGCCACACAGATACTTTCTGAAAGGGGGGTTTGGGGAGAGGCCAGGGAGACTCTCCTGCCCCCATTCTACAGATGGAAAAATGGAACACATTCACCCGACTTCTCAAAGCTGCCAACTGGTCCAGGATGTGCAGTAAGGCCATCTGACAGCCCACCCAGCTCAGATCTCAGCCACTGCTAAGATTCTCTTGGGGTCCAGAACCTTTCTGGGCCTGATTCCCCTGGGTCTACCTGCCACCCCTGGTCCTGGCTCCAACGGCCTGTGCCCTTGGCCGGCACCTTCAGCCCACACACCCACTACTATACCTTGAGCTGAAAGAAATAGTCCTCGACCTGCTCCTCATTCAATTTCAGCTTGGCAGCCACCAGCTGCTTCAGGGTGTGGGCCACGTCCCGGGCCATGCGCACATCCCCGCAAACATAGAGGTGGCCTGGCTCCTTGTGGAGCACACGGAGCACCTCGCTGGCCAGCTGCTGCCGCAGGATGTCCTGAACATAGACCTGAAACCAGAGGAAACAGTGGGTTCAGTCCTCAGCTGCTCAGGACAAGGCTTGCAGGCAGGCCTGCTGGCCTCAAGGAGGCGGGGAGAGGGGCACTAAGGGGTGAGGAGTGAGTCCCCTTCCAGCCAGGACCTTGCAAGGGGCCAGGCTCAGGATGAGGTGCATGGATGCCCCTGGGGCTCGGCTGGGATTAGAGAGATAAATGCTGGACACAGTCCTGCCCTCGAGGGGCTGACCATCCAGTGGGGATCCCAGACTGTCTCTGAATTTGCCATGCTTCAAAAAGGCATCAATGAAGGCAGTCCCCCTGCCCAGGGCTCTGCCTACACCCCAGAAAAGGGAGCCTCTCAATGCAGTCTACCCATTAGGTCTCTGCAGGGTATGGATCCCGGGCTCCCCAGATACAAGGTCCAGGAGTCAGTCAGGGACTCTCTGCTCCTGCTCCACACAGGATGCCCAGTGGCCCCAGCACTGGGCACAGAGCACTGGGCCCAAGAGGTGCCCTGATGGGACAAATGTGTGAAGGCCGAGAGTCTATTCTGACACCCCAGGCTCAGGGGGTAACGCGGCCCTGGGGACAGAAGAGCCCCTCTGATGGCCGTGGTGGAAGCATCGGCCGCCCTCCAGCCTTGCAAGGCTTGAGCGTAGCCAGCCTGGACCACCTCTCCCCGGGCAGTCGCGTGTCCCAGGGGGCCTGCTGGGGACCTTCAGCAGGCTGGGCTCTGGGGTTAACCCGCGTGTGACCTAGGTTAGTCCTGAACCTCTCCAGGTCTGTCGCTTCTGCTGTATGAGAGGGTGTAATGCTCTTCACAGCATCACTCTGATGGTTGTGAATTACCAGCATTTTCGAGCTCAGGAGGTGAAGGCTCGGGGAGGCGAGGGGCCTGTGGGGACCCAGGGCTCACAGTGGAGCTTGTGTGTGTAATGCTTCACCTGCTTTGAGGCTGCATTTACCTTGGGCTTGCCAGGCAGGCGGGAATAGGCTGTGTGCACCGCATGCAGCACCCCCTTCTGGGCCATCTCCAGCATCTCCTCCTGGTAGATGTGGTCCTCATCTGGGCGGCGGCACCCAAACACCAAGGTCATGCGGCCTCCCCGCACTCCTGCAGGAGTCCCGGGCTGTTGTTACCATGTTGGCCACCAGAGGGCGCCAGGGCTCCAAGCCCAACTGGAATTCTCACTTCACTCCCACTAGCTATTTAATAGCATTATCCCCACTTTACAGATGAGGAAACTGAGGCCCAGCGCATTCAGATCACTCATCCATAGTCACAGAACTGAAAGTGCGGATGCAGAATTCCCTCAGCCAATCGGAGATCAAAAGCAGGGACTTTCCTGTTACCTCCACTCCCAGGAGAGGGAGCCCTGGCTACTATGCGGGAGACGGAAAGGCAGCCATTCTAACCCGCAGAGGCCCGCACAGGGAAGCAAACTTGGGAGGCCTTCCCTCGAGAGAGGTCAGGAACCGTTTGTGGGGCTGCAGTTCTGCTCCTAGGCAGGCGCTGGCCCCCTGGTGCCCCTCCCACCTGGGAAGCCTCCAGCCTTACCCTTGTGCTGGGAGTCATGGAGCCGTTGCTGCCAGAAACTGCGGAAGGGCGCGATGCCTGTGCCAGGCCCGATGAGGATGCAAGGATGGGAGGGATCCTCGGGGAGGTGGAAGCCGCTGGCACTGAAGAGGACAGGAGAAGAGGGGGCCAGTCCTCAGACACCCCAGGCCCACGCACACACAGGATGGCTGGGGAGCTGGGCCTGTGGGAGGCGGTCGTGAGGGGGTGGAGAGGACAAGAAGCTCCTATTTGATTTCCCACGTCCTGCAGGCTGCTTCACTTCTGTCCAGGCACCAGCACCTCCCCCAGGTCCTTCTGTAAAAGGGCCAAGCTCACTGGACTCTTGAGACCCACCTGTCATCGCTGTCCCTGCTACAGGCAGCCACACCAGTGTGACCCCAGTGCCTTCTTTATGGGCCAAGGGGCTCCGAGCGTCTCCTAAACCCCAGATCCCTCCCTTTCCTCCCGGAACTCCCAGGGGTCGGCGGCCCCACAGGGGACAGAGTGGAAGGGGTGCTTACTTCCGCACAAAGCAGGGCACTGGGTCTTGGGGCTTCAGGCTGTTGAGCCATGTGCTGCAGACGCCGTGGTGCAGGGGACCCTGGCCATCTGCAACGATACCACAAAGTGACCAACGTCCCCCCACTGCCCATGCGCAAACTGTACCAGCTGCTCCGCCCACACCACGGCCCTCCTTGGACGCCCCCACTCAGGCACTCTCAGGACTCAATGAGCAGCTGTTTGTCCTCCTGGTTCTGAGATCCACCCTCTGTAAGCGCGGAGCTGAGGAACGTTGAAAGGGACTTAGAGAGGCTGCAAGTTGCTCCTTCTGCCCAAGCAGAAACTGAGACGGGGAGAGGAAAAGTGACTTGAAAAAGGTCACTCAGGTCGTGGTGGAATCAGGTGGACAGCTCAGCTTCCCTGACTCCTACTCCAGTGCTCCTTCCAAAGACTTTCTCCGGGAACACTCCCAGCTCACCACTGAGCTCCACTGACAGCAGCATGAAGTGGCCCCTCAGGGTGGCTACTGCTGTGCGTGCTCATGAGCGTGGCCCTTGCTGGTAGCAACCCTGGGTGGTGGATGAGTTCCGCGCATTTCAGCCTGCTCTGGCACCTTGCTTTCCTCCTCAGTGGGCCCTCCTGGGCTTGTAGAAACCCAGGAGGTCTCTCTGGGTTGTGTTCCCTTTACAATGGCCCAGCACTTGAGGAAGGCCTCCAACCAACTGCAGAGGTCCCCCTGGTTTTCCTCGGGATTAAACTTTGATCTCACAGGACACGTCTGCCTCTCCTCTCCTGGTCTGGGTGGCTGTTCTCTAGCAGGGCAAATAGAGTCTCTGCCAAGGTTTTAGAAACTGTGTTTTTGCTTCTTGAGGACAGAGGGCTCGGAAGTGTGGGCAGCTCCCAGCTTTGCCAACCCAGGCAATGCTCAGTTACAGAGGGCAGGGCAGGGGGCAGCGGCCAGTGGTGGAGCCGAGACCACCTGGACGAGATGTTGGCCTCCCGCTCTATGGCAGCGTCACCCCCTGCTCTGCTTCCCTCAGTGACCCTGACCTTTCCTTCTTGGCTTCAGCACAATGAAAATCATCTAATTATTTCTATGCCTATCTCTCCACTGCCGCCTCTAGATGCTCCCTGAGGGCAGGGCTGATCTCTGTTGTATTTCCATACCCACCCCAGTGCCAGGCACCCACTGAATAGCTGAGTGAGTGAATGAATAATCAATGCAGAATCTCCCCTGCGTTCAGGCTGCATGATTGGGAAGACTAAGAACCACTGGCCTCCTACCAAGGGTTGAGTGCTCTTCACATCTGATCTCATTAAATTGTCCCAAGAGTAGTGGGACAGTGGAGTGGTGGAGGACTTGGACTCAGCAGTTAGACTATCCAGGTCTGAATCTCAGCTCTCCACTTACTAACAGTGTGACTTTCTGTGCCACCTGTAAAATGCACACAGTGCCTACCCCACAATGTAACTGATCATATACATACAGAAGGCTTGGTTTAGTGCCTGGTTCCTAGAGATCTCTCCCACACACCTCCTAATACTGTTAACAACTCTGGGCTGTGGGTGTTCCCTCCCTCCTTGAACTGATGAGGGAGCTGAATCTGAGTTGATGAACAGATGTCCAATAATGGGCGGAGCGGGGCTGTTCCAGAGCCTCTGCCCCTGGCTCACCTCGGGTGTGGTAGGTGACCACGGCCACAGTCAGGTGGATCTCTGTGGGCGTGTGATCCCGGGAGGAGCTGATGGAGTAGAACCTGGGCTTCAGAATGGGGAGCTGGGAAAGCAGGAAGCCAGCAGACACCCGCAGGGACGGGAACTCCTCTAGCACCTCCAGGAATGTGGGGCTGTTGGTGAACTTCCACTTGCTGTACTCTGAGGGCTAAAAGCCAAGGGTGATGTCAGTGACTCAGGGCGCCTGTCCCGCTTTGGGGAAAAGACTGTCACAACCCAGTATTCATTCATTCATTCACTCACTCAACAAACAAGTCCATGTGCCAGGCACTGTCCATGGTGCTGAGACGACCAAACTTGAGACAAAATAAGTGCCTGTCCTGGAGGAACTCAGTCCAGTACATTTATCTAACTTGTGTTACCTCCACTGTCGGCAACTCATGGGCAGGGGTCAAATCTTTATTGTAATTTATTTGGGGCAAGGCTTTGGAACCAATCAGACCTGGGTTCAAATCTTGGCTGGGTGTCCTCACTAGCTGTGGAATCTTGTCCCAATTACCCTTTGTGAAACAAGGACAGTATTGCCTGTCTTGTGGGGATGTTATGGGAATTAAATGAGAAAGCATGTGCCAAGTTAGTACATTGCAGCCACAAAATAATGGCGGTGGAGGTAGCTTAAATTGAGATAATTAGCTATAATGATGATGATAATAATGACAACCAGTGCCTTTTGCAAAGACTTGGAACCAGACAGTTGCAGGTGAGTTAACGCATTCTCTCATTAACTTATTAATTCAGCTCTCCATCTGTCACTCTGCCCATTATGCCCATTTATCCATTCATCCACATCATCCATCCCCCAATACATCTTAAGTGACAAGTTTATTCCAGTTTTGGGGAAAGCAAAGACGGATAAGGGCGGCTCCCCTTTCTAGCTAATGTTCAAGGCAGTGCACTCTGGTTGCATCCTGCAGACACTTGGAAAAATTCAGTTCACTCAACACAACTGTGTCCTAGACATGGGCCAGCGGACGATGCCTGGCTTCCCACCAGCCTTTGACAAGTCTCACTTTGGGAACCTGGTGTGGATCCCTCTTGAAAGTTAAAACCAGCTCTGGACTCTGGCTCCCCACATGCTGGGACCCCCCACATACCCCCACTGCCCACCAGCCCTGATCTTCACCTGGCACAGGGCCTCCAGCCTCTGTCTCTCAGGCTCTTCTGTGGCCACCTGGGCCAGCTTTTGGAGCAGCAGCTGGGTTGGGGGTGTGGTGATGTCCAGGAAGTAGGTGAGGGCCTGGCTGAGTGAGCAGGGGGGCAGCCTCTTGTCACTGACCCAGTAGCTGCCTGGATGGGGAAGGAAGGTGTCAGGATGGAAAAGAGGCCCCATTCAGGATTCTCAGCAGGTAGCGAGGCCCCCAGGCAGACACCCTCTATTCTCCAGCTGCAGGGGAAAGGAGGCTCTAAAGACCTGGCTCTAAGAGCAAAAGGCAGGAAGAAGGTGGCGCATGGAGAAAGGACTGCCAGGGAAGGCTGATCACCAGCCCCCAAAGGGGCAGTAAGTTGGCGTGGTCCTGATAAACTAACCACGTCCTTCTCTGGCCCAGACCTGAACTTTAGCAAGACACTCACTGGTGATCTACAGACTCACAATGACTAAATCCACCAAAGACTAATGGATACCTCACAGGCCAGTTGTTCACTTAGAGAGAAGCCCATGACTGCAGTCCCCTGGGTGCTGTACCAAGATGTGCTGGGTGAGCAGATGAGCCCAAAGGGAAGTCCCAGGGAGCAGCATGCAGGGCAGTCACAGCACAGACCCTGGTGCCAGAAGACACGGGTTCAAACCCTGGCTCCCCACTTCTGAGGTGACTGAAGCCTCTGGGCCTTGGCTTCCCTCCCTGTGAAACAGATCTGATAGCACAACCTATCTTGCTGGGTTGGCATGAGCACTGAATGAAATTGTGCCATAATAGTTGGTGCCGTGCCTGGTACACAGATGCTTTGTAAACACTGGGTAAAAATAAGAGCCTGACATTCTCTCCTCTGGAACAGAGTCCTGATGAACCACATCCTTCACCCTACAGTCACAAGGGCAACTGTCTTGTCGTCCCCACGTCTCAGGTTCTCTCACTTTCTCCTGGACAGTGGGGGTCACTGCCAGGCTCTGTTTCTCTGATCCCACTTTCTTTTTTATTTTTTTGAGATGGAGTCTCTGTCACCCAGGCTGGAGTGTAGTGGCGAGATCTCATATCACTGCAACCTCCACCTCCTGGCTTCAAGCGATTCTTGTGCCTCAGCCTCCCGAGTGGCTGGGATTGGGATAACAGGCATGTACCACCATTCCTGTCTAATTATTTTTGTATTTTTAGTAGAGACGGGGTTTTGCCATGTTGGCCAGGATTGTCTCAGACTCCTGACCTCAAGTGATCCACCCACCACGGCCTCCCAAAGTGCTGAGATTACAGGCGTGAGCCACCACACCCAGCTCATCCCACTTTCTGACTTTGGCCACTGCATTGAGGGGGATGTTATCATTAGGGAAACTAAGGCCAGGGGGCCATGCCTTATGGGCTGGGACTGTTTCCACAGCTGCTTTCACATAAGCTTTGGTGGCCCGCCCTCTCAGCAGGAAGGACAGGGATGGCTGTCACCGGCAGGCCCAGGCTCAGCCCCTCAGCCAGGTGGGGCGGCCAGAGGGTGCCAGGCAGCACTGGCTTTCTAGCCCGGGGCTCACCACTCTCATCCAGGGCCTCCAGGCGCACTGTCTGGTGGGGTGTGGGGCCATCCACCACTCGCTCCAGGATACCTTGGACCAGGGCCGGCTGGTTGCCTGGGCAAACCCCAAGGTGCTCCCCCGGCAGGTAGTTCAGGCCTTGGCCATCCTCACAGGAGAGTTCCACCAGGATGGTGGCACGGCTGGGGAAGGAAAATGAAGCCTCAGGTGACATTGCAGGATTTCCTCCAGGGCTCCTTGATGGGCAGGCGAGATTCCCCAGGAAATGTGCCCTCCTTTCATTTTCCTGGCTGGTTCCACAAGCTAGGCCACCACCCTGAGCTTGGGATGAGGCATCCCCACAGGCAGGGGTGCTTAAGAGGGCCCCAGGAGCTTCCCTCTGGGGAGGAGGGGGGCCCACCCCTTCCCAGCAGCCCTTGGAGCCCCCCGAGGGCTTGGCTACAGCCTCTGCCTAAAGAAAGCATCCGCCTTGGACATACATGGATATCAGAAGAAACCTTTCCTTGTTGCCAGGACAAACCCTGTTCTTATTAGAACCAAGGCCAGTTTTCCTAATGCATGCGGGGAGGACAGCACAGATCAATGAAACCTGCAGATAATCCACAAGGCTCTTTCCCAGAGCTGGGAAATTTCCTTCCCTGCCAACACTTTTCCTGAAAGTTCTTAAGAATGAATCAAACAGTTTAAGTCTCTCTTGCACTCTCCTTTTAGTGAAAGAGTTCAATGAGGAAGGAGAGGAAGTGGAGCAGATGCTTAGAGTCCAAGCTGGAAAAGTGGCTCGTGGTTAACCAAGAGTAGACGTAAAAGCACAGGTGGCCGCAGGTTACCAGGTGGGCCGGTCCTACCGACAGTGTGGCTGCTAATGCCAGCATATGCTCTTCTCCTCTCCCTTCAAAGACTGACTTCTTCTGATCTTTCATTCGTTAAAATAAAATCGACAGAGTATCACCCACGAAGCCCTGCACTTTCCCTTACCTGGATGTCGGACTTTGTAGATTCTGCCGAGATTTGAGCCTCATGGTGAACACGTTCTTGGCATGCATGCTGCTGAGGGCTGTGGAGGACACAGAGACGGTGAAATGGCAAAGTGGTTCTTGAGCGTAGGTAGGGGAAGCCCCCAGATGTCTGAGTCAGTGACATCTGAACACCACCCTTGGGGCATCCTGCTGAGGTGGCCGTTGGGTTTTTCTTTTTCTTCCTTTTATTCCACAAATAAAGATCCTTGGTCCAGGCCGGGCATGGTGGCTCATGCCTGTAATCCCAGCACTTTTGGAGGCCGCGGTGGGTGGATTACTGGAGGTCAAGAGTTTGAGACCAGACTGGCCAACATACTGAAACCAGGCATGGTGGTAGTGCCAATAGTCCCAGCTACACGAGAATCACTTGAAGCCAGGAGACGGAGGTTGCAGTAAGCGGGAATCGCGCCACTGCACTCCAGCCTGGACGACAGACCGAGACTCCGTCTCAAAAAAAAAAAAAAAAAAAAAAAAGCTCCTTGATCTGATACAGGGCAGCTTCTAAGTGTTGCTTCTAGGTGTTGGGAAATTCAATTTAGGAACCTAAAAATGGAAAGTCCCGGGACATCTCCATGGCTTGGGATCCACAGGAGAGCATTGTTGACATTGGGGATATCTTAAATATGCAGAAACCTTCAGGACTATCTTAGACAGGGCACAGGGCACAGCACCTGGGGGTGCAGAGTGGAGAGTTCACCACTACAGCCTGGAATCGCCTCTGTGACACCTTCTCTACGACACTTGGCTGCCTTCGCAGCTGGAAGGCTGGGGCTCAGACCCCAACATGGCCACAGGCTAGCAGCTTGCTTCACCTCCTTGAACTGCAATTTCTCCATCTGTGCCTTTCTCCCAGGAGGAGTGTCCAGGCTCACTTAGCCCATGTGGGCCAGGAGCCCCGCACAGTGTCTGACACACAGTAGGCCCTTGGCGGATGCTGATCCCTTCTGTCTCCACCACCCTCCTGGGGCTCCCTCCTGAAACAGCCTCCCTCAGCACCTTGAGTATTATGCCCTAACAGGCTCTTGCATGCAGTGAGAGGGAGGCCCCGAGGCCAGCTGTCTCTGTTCAGAAAGACCTGGGGGTCTCCTTGACCATGGGCTTAGGGCTCAGACCCCAACACAAACAAGCCCCATGTGCTGCAGAGAAGCAGGTACCTTTGCTGAGGTCCAAAGGCTGTGAGTCCTGCACGAGCCTGTAGTGGTGCGGGTCCCAGGTCACATTGGAGGTGTAGAGCTTGGGGATCTGAATGTGCTGTTTGCCTCGGACATCAAACGTCTCACAGGCTGCCTGGAAGAAGGTGGAGCAGACTGCGGTTAATGGTCAGCAGCAGCAGCATCCCCACCACTGGGGCTACCACTTTTTAGGCCCTTACCATGGGCCAAACACTGAGCCGTGTGTTTCGTGTAACTTCGAAGCACACTTACCTGATAGGGTGACAGCAAGGACTCAAAGAGGTGTCTGGGCTTGGCACATAGTAGCTATTGCTACTATTATAAATATTGCTTTGTTTTTGTTTTGAGACAGGGTCTCACTCAGTCGCCCAGGCTGGAGTACAGTGGTGCCATCATAGCTCACTGAAGCCCCAACCACCTGGGCTCAAGCAATCCTCCCGCCTCAGTCCCGTACCTGTAGCTGAGACTACAGGTACGCACAACCAAGCCCAGCCAATTTTCTGTATTTTCGGTAGAGGCAGGTTTCACATGTTACTCAGGCTAGTTTCAAGCTCCTGGGCTCAAGCAATCTGCCCACCTCAGCCTCCTAAAGTGCTTGGATTGCAGGCATGCTCCACTGTGCCCGACCACTATGAATGCCAATATTGACATGATCTTGTTGTATCCTCATGCCCACACTGGAAGAGGTCTGATTGCTCTTATGTTCCTGGTGTGGAGCCACATGGAGGAGGCCTGGGCTTTGGAACCAAGCCTGCCCCGATGCAAGCTGATGCTCCTAAGCACCACCGCTGAGTGACGCTCTGCATGAGTGACGAGTTCCCTAAATGACTGGGGCAATCACAGCAATAAAGAGCTATGGAGATACTGAGTGGATCCAAAGTGGATCCGCCATTGTGTGGTGCCTGTCCCCAGGCTCTCTATGGCTGTGAGACTGAAACAGACACAGTAGTTAAGAGGTGACCTAGGTAGTCACTGGAGGAAAGACCTTAAACTAGAAGCTCCCTAAGGGCAGGGGGGTATCTGTGCCACCTTCTCCCCCAGAGTTGTGTGCACAAGGTGGAGCTCTTCTAGGGGGCTGAGGGAGAGCAGCAGTGACCTAAGCCCTCAGGTTTGTGGCCCTGGCCCATGCCTGGGACCACATCTACAGGACCACAGGCAGAGGTCATGCCACCTGGGACGCCCAGCACAGATGTCCTAGGCATGAATGCACCCTGTCATGTCCCTGCTGTGGGGCAGCTCTGGCTGGGAACTGACCTTGAAGGTTTGCACGGCCCAGCTGCGGAAGGCGTCCTCCTGCCCACTGAGCTCATCCCCTTCTCCCATCGGGGTGAGCTGAGAGGCCCCCAGGTGGGACAGCTTCTGATCAATGTCATGAGCAAAGGCGCAGAACCGAGGGTACATGCTGGAGCCGAGGCCAAACACAGCGTACCTGCCCGAGGACACACACAGAGACACATGTCCCATGCAAGCAGCACCTGGCACCCAGCACCCAGCACCAACAGCCTGGAGAGCCAGCCCCAGACTCTCCCCCTCCAGCTGGAGAATGGAGCTGGACCCCCTTCTGGTCCTCTCCATCCCCCAGCCTTGTCACCAACTCCCATGACCACCCCATGCTTGGCCTGCAGACCTGTGAGAGGGACTTGGTTTCTGTGGTTTGACCCTCGACACATTCTGAGTACAGACCTTAGACCCAGGTCTCTGTGCCTGCACGGTTCTGAGAAGACCCCCTGTGCACACCCAGTTCCATCCCCTGAACCCAGACTTTGGGTCCACAGGGCAGGGCTAGGAGTAGGACAACGGAAAAAGCTTTACCTGAATTTGTTGTTGAGCTCTTTCAGCATGAAGAGCGATTTCTTCAGTTTCTAGAAAGAGAGGGAATGACAGAGTTCTCAAGCCAGGATGAATAAAAACACTGTTTTTTCCTTTCTTCTGGAAACCTGGCCACAGCTTGCAGGAGAAGGCTCACAGCCCACCACGGAAGTTGGTTTACATATGGGGCTACCTGGCCAAGGACCTGGTTGTCAGCTGACAAGTTTAGCTTGTCTCTCACTCCAACTAAACTGTAGCAACTTGTGTAGGCCCTGCCTCTTAATGGGGGACCTGGAACAGCTGGGCCCCCACCCATCCAGCCCTGGCAGAGGGGCCTGCCTGGTAGCATGCCTTCTCCAGAGGGGCTCCGAATGCGCCGTGATTCTGTTTGGAACCCGGTAGAAGCAACAACAATTGGTCCTACAGTCTCTGAAATAAGGCTGGCTTTCCAGGAAGCCAAGATGATTCCAGGAGGTATGTGACCCAGCAGAACTAGCGTCAAATCCCATGGTGAGTATTTACTCCCTTTTCATAATTTATTTTTTAGTTATTCCCCTTCAATTACATTTTCATTCTTCGGAGCACTGGAGAGACAGTCTCATATTGGTGCTAATAGACCTTTAATACCTCTCTCATTGCCTATTAGTCTTTTTTAAAAACAAAGATAGCTGAGCACGGTGGCTCACGCCTATAATCCCAGCACTTTGGGAGGCTGAGGCGGGCGGATCACCTGAGGTTGGGAGTTCAAGACCAGCCTGACCAACATGGAGAAACCCCATCTCTACTTAAAAAAAAGAATACAAAATTGGCCAGGCATGGTGGCGCGTGCCTGTAATCGCAGCTACTCGGGAGGCTGAGGCAGAAGAATCACTTGAACCAGGGAGGCAGAGTTTGCAGTGAGCTGAGATCGCACCATTGCACTCTACCCTGGGCAACAAAAGCAAAACTCCACCTAAGTAAATAAATAAATAAATAAACAAACAAACACCAAAAACCAAAAAACAAACAAAACAAACAAAGAGCAGGCCTTGGCCAGGGAATAGTATCTAGCTAAAATTCATTAACTTCATTTTGTTTTCATTGAATTTATGTTTTGCTGCTTTCCATTTGTGAGAGTGATACAAGTTTCCTTTAAATATGAATTTGTAAATACAAACAGGTAGGCCATTCACAGAAATATATTAAATATGTCATAGGAAAGGTGGCACTCCCATATGGCAATAATTACAATGGAGGCCGGCAAATGACCTGAGTGACCCGGAGTGGCCTGAGCACTGACTCCCAAATGTCCTCCGTAGGACCTGCCGCATCCCCCAGACCCTTTCCTGGGTCCTCCCGTGCCCTACCACCCCCTAGACCAGCCAGACCTCAAGCCACCCACCTCTCCATTGCCAGGGCAGTCTCCATTGCCAAACGTACTGGTCACCACCAACAGCAGCCGTTCCTCCTCCAGGCAGCTCAGCCTGTACTTATCCATGCAGACAACCTGGATGGCACCCAAGTGGACATCAGCCCTCGGCTCCCAGTAGGGCCCTCCCTACCCTGCGCAGACACCCTGGGCTTCCTCCCACACTGCCCCCAGGCTGCGGCTCCTGTGCTCATCTGTCTCTCCCAGGGCCCGGCACAGGCGTGGCACAGAGGACGTGAATGAACCAATTTGAACACATCATCCTCTGTTCTCCTTCCCCGCTTAAGCCCTATGGTTAACACATTGGCAAGCCCTGGAAGATCTGTCCCAAAAATACTGCCTTTCCCATGTCTAAATGCCTCTCACCATGTCCACTACTATTTGCAATTTTGTGTGTGTGGAAATATTTCCACAAAATTGGAATGAGCAGGTCACAGCTGTGCCTGGAGGGAATGGCCGGGGAAATGTGCCCTCATCTTGCTGTTCTATCCAGGCCCACCCAGCGGAGGATGGGGGACCTGCCACCACTCTCCTGGCAGTTCCAGACTCCTGGGAGCCAGCAGGTGAGGCTTGGACCCAAGAGGTGTTTTCAGCAACCTGGCCGACCTGGTCATCAGTCAGTGCCCCCTTGGCCTAAGCCTCTACGTGGCACAGACCACAGCTCATCCCATCGTGGCATTACACTGGCCTGTGCCCTGTCCTCAGAGTCACATCCATCTCCCAGAAGCCGTGCGACCCTGGAAAACCCATCAACCTGTCTAACAGTCAGGTTCCTCCTCTGTGCATTAACAATGGCATTGACGCCTGCTTTGCAGGGCGCTGGGAGGGGAGGGTGGGGTGTATGCTGGAGAGCTCCCCAAGGGCAAGGCCTGGCTCTGCGCCACCCACTGTCAGATCCTCAGAGCCCGGGGCTGGTCCAGCACGTGGCCACCATTCCCTAAGAGTTGGATTTTATCCATCAGTGCTGAAGGCAGGGGATAGAGCTTAGACAGACCCTCTGCGGCCTTTTTTTGTTTATCTGAAGCTTACTCATCTCTTCCCCCTTTCACATGCAGCACTGCATCCTGCAGAGCAGGTGTTCAGTGAGCCTGAATAAAGTTCAGCCAGAGCAGCTGATGTATGTTGAGGCCTGGATTCATTGTGAAAGTGTTTCTCAAACTGTGTTCTCCAGAACACCATGAAAAACTCATCTACTGTGTAAGTTTTGGAATCCCTGCACACAAGTCTTTCCTTCTCTTCCAGATTAATGATGCACATTACCACATCCAAGACTCTGAGACATCCAGGAGTGGGGAAACCGTTTTAACTTTTCCTAGACTCCCCTGCACACAAGCAGAAAAAACAACAGCCATCCCACTGAGCCAGTACCTTGGGGTTGAAGGCACAGCTGAATAAGGCCCCCAGGTCCCAGGCCAGCGCCTCTGATTTTCCTGTCTCTGTCGCAAAGAGGATGGTGACTCTGACTCGGGACGCCATTGTCTTGCGCATCAGCATACAGGCAAAGAGCACAGCTCTGTGGGGACAGACAGACAGGCAGGCGCTGTGTGCTGAGTCAGCCTTCCAGAAGAAAATGGGGGACCAGGGGAATGGGAGGGGACAGCGTTTAATGTGGGGCAGGTTGAGGGAAAAGCAAGCTACGTTTCTCACCAGCCATGTACCGTGACAACTCACCCTTTTCCTCCCCTCACCCACTACTATAGGCCCCTTTGGGAAAAGGGAGGAGAGAGAAGGTTGGAACAATGGCAGCAGGGGACCCTTGGAATTGGCGACTGGACCTCTGGGAGCCAAATTCCACGAAGAATATACATTCCCAGGCTGGGTGCCGTGGCTCACATCTGTAATCCCAGCACTTTGGGAGGCTGAGCAGGAAGATCGCTTGAGCCCAGGAGTTCAAGACCAACCTGGGCAACACTGCGAGACCCCGTCTCTACAAAAAAAACAAACAAAATTAGTCAGGCGTGGGTTTGTACCTGTGGTCCCAGCTACTTGGGAGGCTCAGGTGGGAGGATCACTTGAGCTCGGGAAGCAGAGGCTGCAGTGAGCTGTGATGGCACCACTACACCCCAGCCTGGGTGACAGAGTAAGACCCTGTCTCAAAAACAAAAGCAAAAAGCATAACCATTCCTTGTGTTCTTGCCCTTCAAGGACTGGAGGCAGAGGCTGACTAGAAGGGAGAGATATAGTTCACACATCACTACTAGCCACTGCCACTGCCACTCACTTGACCAAGACTTTCAATGGAATCTCTCTTCTCTTGGGTCTCCGCTTCTCGTCCTGCCAGACATGGGTTTTCCAGGCCTCTACCTTCAGAAAAGAAAGGAGATGTGAGGGCAGGGCGGGGTCCTGGCTTGGCTCAGCTCGCGGATGCTGGAGTGGTAGAGGACCCTTCACACCCATCATGAGCCTGGGAGAGAAGGCTGGCCTGCGCCCCACCCCTGTCACTGAACTCCCACAAGGGAGGGCCGTGGCTGCCTCTCCCCCAGAGTTGCCTCTCCACTGCCCGGCATGGAGCCTGCACATCGAGGGGGGGCGGCTAACCCTTATTCTCATTAGTGTCCTCCTGGAAGGAACAGGCTGCACTCCTTTTGCTTTTAGCATCTTATCAGCAGGCAGATGACATAATGTACAGTCCCAACCGAGACACCTTTGAGAGCAAGAAGAGCTGCTACTACAACAGGCAAGACTCCAGGACATGCCGTCACCCTGCATGTGAGGTCCTGTAGATGGAGGAAGCTCTTCCTTTAGATGAAGGAAGCTCTTAAAATCCAACCCAAGTCCTTTTTGGCACAAAATGAACTCTTCTCAATAGCTCATGGTTACTGAATGCATTCTGCATTGGGCACTGGGCTGAGCTGTTCCATACACCAGCTTTGTGATCCACACAACCCCCCGTCGTGGAGTGAAGCCCATCCCTTTTAGAGATGAGAAGATCAGGGCTCAGAAAGGTGAAAGGACCCACCCAAGACCCTATTGCTAGGAAGTGGCAGAATCAATAGCGTCTGACTCAGGGGCCAATCCCCTCAACACTCTGCTGAGTGACTGTTGCCGGGCCCTCCCGTGGAAGCAGGTGTAATGACAGACCCCCCATCTGAGCCACAGGCCACTAGCGGTGCAGTGGAAGCCACTTCCTTCAGTGCCACTCTCCGTGGAAATGCACAAAGGCTGCTCAGCATCCTTGAGTGGGGCCTGGAAAGCTCTAACAACATACTCCTGCTTCCCGTCGTGCCCTACATGTGTAACAATGAGGTGCACACACACACACACACATACAGCCACATCTGAGCCCCCAGGAAGGAGAGAAGAGGAAGGCCCCTAACCTGATAGTAGTAGAAAGGGGACAGGACGTAGTTCAGCATCTCCTGGTGAAACACGGGGGTGATGCTCCCAGACATGGGAGGGACCAGCCAAATCCAGTCTGCCGGGCAGCCCCCACGGGACCGGTATTCATTCTGCATGTACTTCATGAAGGATTCTGCAGCCGAGTGGTGGTCCATGATGGTCACATTCTGCTTCTGTATCAGAAGGCAAGATAGGGAGTGGAGATAAGGGTGGGGGAATCAGGAGAGGGGCCGGTTGGCCGCAGGGCTCCCAGAGAGTGCCTGGGAAGGCCTGGCAATCTGTAACACGGGAGAGCAACTCCTGGCCCTCTCCTTGCCTGCTGAAAATAAACACCCAAATGGAAGGCGCTTGTGGAGCCTCTGACAGAGCCCAAGAAAGCACATTAGTCAGGGTCAGCCCACAGGTCCCATGGGGGCCTCCCTTAAGTCTTTGAGGGCAATATCCAGCCTCTCATGCCCACAGGTCTCCCCAGACTCCCAGCAAATGGCTCTCTCTGGATCTGCATAACTTAAACCACAGCACCTTTTGGCAGGTAAAGGAAATACCATCCCAGCCATTTATGGTGGAGAGTTCTAAGAGTCACTTCCATGGGGTTGTAGCCTCCTCAGCCAAGAAGGAGCCAGACCCCTCCGTGGGGAGGTCTGAAGCATTGGGAGAACTGTAGTGTATGGGAGACGAATCACTCACAGTCTGAAATTACGGGCTGTGGGGTCTGACCCCATGGAATGGTCCAGCAAGGCAGCCACTGGCCTCTATGTCTGTGGCAACCCATTCAGTCAAGAGACATTTGTTTAACACAGTGGTTCAAACTCTGGCTTTTTATTTGCCATGTGACCTTGAGCAATTAGTTCTTTAAGTTTTCTCATCTGTGAAATGGGAGTGATATGAATTCCTATAATGGCCAGGTGCAGTGGCTCATGCCTGTAATCCTAGCACTTTGGGAGGCCGAGGTGGGAGGACTGCTTGAGCCCAGGAGTTTGAAATCAGCCTAGGAAACATGGTGAGACCCTGTCTCTATAAAAATTTAAAAATTAGTAGGCCAGCTGTCGGGGCTTACACCTATAATCCCAGCACTTTGGGAGGGCGAGACGGGGAGATCACCTGAGGTCGGGAGTTTGAGACCAGCCTGACCAACATGGTGAAACCCCGTCTCTACTAAAAAATATAATAATTAGCCAGGCATGGTGGAGGCACACACCTGTAATCCCAGCTACTCAGAAGGCTAAAGAAGGACAATCGCTTGAACCCGGGAGGCGGAGGTTGCAGTGAGCCGAGATCGCACCACTGCACTCCAGCCTGGGTGACAGAGCGAGACTCTGTCTTAAAAAAAACAAAAACAAAAAAATTTAAAAATTAGCCAGGTTTGGTGGCACATGCCAGTGTTCTCAGATATGTGGGAGGCTGATGTGGTAAGAGCATTGCTTGAGCCCAGGAGGTCAAGGCTGCAGTGAGCCATGATTGGGCCACTGCACTCCAGTCTGGGTGACAAAACAAGACCTTGTCTCCAAAAAAAAAGTTCTTACATCATGAGGTTGTTGAAAGGATGCAATAAGCTGGAATAAGCAAAGCATAGTAAGTGCTTAATAAATATTAGCTGCTCTTATAATCTCCATCTGCCAGGCACTGCATAAGGCATCGGCGTTATAGAAGGGAAAGACACAGCCCTTTCTCTGCATTAGAGTCTAGTCTAACTGGGTGGGGAAGCCAAGGAAAATCAGTCATTTTCACACGGCCTGATAGAAACTCTGATGGAGGCAGGCAAAGGTGCTGGGGAAGGGCAGAAGAGAGGATACAACGCCAGACAGAGGCCCAGGGTGAGTTGGCGAATTTCGGGAGCAGCTCCTGAGAGGAAGGGAGACTTGTGAGAGGGGTGCAAGTTAGTTGAGTGGGGCACTGCATGAGTCAAGGCAGGGAGGCATGAGAGGATCCAGCTGGTGTCAGGCCTGGGAAGGCCAGCCATGCCTTGTAAATTCAATAGACATACATAAGTTATATATGTGTATATAAAAGTCCGGCCACCACTCTTGTGGACGTGGGCTCTCATTCACTTATTCTTCCAAGACACAGCAACTCCTGGGAGCCAGATCAGTTCTAAGCTCAGTGGTAGCTACAGGATGGGTGCAGTGGCTCACACCTGTAATCCCAGCACTTTGGGAGGCAGAGACAGGTGGATCACTTGAGGCCAGGAGTTTGAGACCAGCCTGGCCAACATGGTGAAACCCTATCTCTACTAAAATTACAAAAATTAGCCGGGTATGGTGGTGCAATCCTGTAATCCCAGCTACTTGGGAGGCTGAGGCAGGAGAATTGCTTGAACCCAGGAGGCGGAGGTTGCAGTGAGCCGAGATCACACCATGCACTCCAGCCTAGGCAATGGAGGGAGAGTTCATCTCCAAAGGAAAAAAAAAAAAAAAAAAAAAACTCAGTGGTAGCCACGATCATGATGACAACATAATAAACAGTAAGAAAATCATTGCTTACTGAGTGTTGTCTATGGGCCAGGCAGTGCAGCTAAACATTTTGCATGCATTTTTACTTAACTCTTATAATCCTCAGATGAGGGAGGCACTATTATCCCCATTTTACAGAGGAGGAAACAAGGGCCCATCTTTTGAAGTTTACCCTGAAGGAGGGTGGTGAGGAAGTCCTGGAGACGCTCAGGCAGTGGAAGGACACAGTCAGCCACGGTGAGGAGACAGCAGAGGCTCACAGATTTTCTGGGACGTATCCACATCCTGCCAGCATCAGGGCTGGTGCTGGGAGTCCCCAGGAGTCAGGATGTGTGGTGCAAAGCCAGCCCTTCCCCAAACACCGGGGGGCTCTTCCTGTTCCATCTTCCCCTCCCCCGTCAAGCACAGGCCTGATCTGCCTATGGGGTGACCCAGTCATGGGGAACAGTGTGTGCTCATCTGTACTCTGTTCACCACTCACATCCTTGGCCCAGCCTAGTGCCCAGCACCAGGCAAATGCTGAGTAAAACACTGCTGAATGAATGAATGACTGACCAGTGGTGGGGTCTCCAGGGCATCTGTCAGCTTTGTGGCAATGGCTGTGGCTTCTAAAGTAGTATCTTCCTACATCTCAGGCCTCCTTCCCACAGGGAAGGGAAGTGTTTCTATGAGTAAGAGCAGCGGATGGGCCTGAGGGCTTAGCCCTACACAGGAGCCCAGCGGCTGTGTGTGGGCTTAAGAGGAGGTGGAGGTTGTTATCCTCGCACAGCAAGCAAGAGCAGCCACAGCTCACAGGTCCCCTCCCAGCATCACTCATTCATGCACACGTCAGACAAGGACTGAAGACCCAGTTTGTGCCAGGCCAGATCGCGGATGTGGCCCTCATCATTCATTCTTCAAAGACAAATTATTTTAGCATCTACCATGTGCCAGACACTCTTCTAGGCCAGAGGTGCAGCAGCAAACAGACAGACAAGGTCCCTGCCCCATGGAGCTTACATTCTAGTGGGGGAAACCAAACAATAAAGAAAGCTGGCCCGGCACCGTGGCTTATGCCTATAATCCCAGCGCTTTGGGAGGCTGAGGCAAGCGGATCACTTGAGGCCAGGAGTTCGGAACCAACCTGGGCAACATGGAAAAACACCATCTCTACTAAAAATATAAAAATTAGGCAAGCGTGGTATGCACCTGTAGTCCCAGCTACTCGGCAGGCTAAGGTGGGAGGATCACTTGAGCCCAGGAGGTCAAGGCTGCAGTGATCATGCCACTGCATTCCAGCCTGGGTGACCGAGTGAGATGATGTCTCAAAAAAAAAAAAAGGAAAAGAAAGAAGAAAGTCGATGTCCTATATAATGCCAGGAACTGTATGAGGAAGTATTTTGAAGAAAAATAAAATGGTTAAAGGACTAACACAGAGAGACAGGTTGGCAGTGGGGTGAGGGCGTCATTTTACATGGCACGGTCAGGGAGGCCTTCTTTTTTTTTTGAGCGGAGTCTTGCTCTGTCGCCCAGCCAGGCTGAAGCAGTTGGGGGATGAGGAAGCACAATGAGATCTCTCCATAGTTTTGCTGTAGAAAGGAGCAGAAGGGTGAGGCAGTGGCTGGAGGGAGCCTGAGGTTTGGCAGGAGTTATGTGGTTAGCTATTCATTTCTTTCTTTGAAATGGGGCTAAGAGAGCCTGTCTGTACACTGCTGGGAATGACTCAGCAGAGAGAGAGACATTGATGATACAGAGAGAGAAGAGGAAAATTTTTGGGAGTAAAGTCCTTGAGCGATTGAGAGAGGACAGAATTCAGTGCTCAAGTACAGGGATTGAACAGTCTTGGGAGGTGAGGAGCTGCCTGTTGCTGGACCTCTAGAGTGAGCAAGGGGGCTTACTTATAAATTAAGCATCACATAAGTCACTGGATCAGTTAAGCTTCTCACCAAAAAGTCTTCAGACTCACAAAACTCCAGACATACCTGGAAACTATGGAGCACAGCAATGTTGATCTCAACGACAGCCTGGTCTTTCCAGAGCGAGGCCAGCTTGTGCGTTTCCAGGCCCATTCTCCTGCCCACTTCCTACAGAGGCAGAGTGATAGCGGCGAGTCGGTCCCTGAAGCCACCCCCAGGCCCACACCTTCATCTGGCCAGCTGGGCTGGCTGGGTTACCTCCAGGATGTTGTAGCGCTGGACGTCACAGAAGTCCCGGACTCCGATCTCTGTGCCCATGTACCAGCCATTGAAGGGGCACCCTGGGAACTCCAGGCCGCCCACCTCAAGCAGCATGTTGGCCACTGCAGGCAGGGCGTACCACTTTAGCTCCAGTTCCCGAAACCACTCGTATCTGGCAAAAAGGTAGACACAATTTAACTGGGGCCTTCCTTATTTTTATTTTATTATTATTTTTTTTTTAGTGACTTGGTCTTGCTCTGTTGCTCATGCTGGAGTGCAGTGCAGTGGCACAATCATAACTCACTGCAGCCTTTAACTCCTGGGCCCAAGCGATCCTCCTGCCTCAGCCTCCCAAGTAGCTAGGACTGCAGGCATGTGCCATCTTGCTCAGCTAATTTTTTTCCTTATTATTATTATTATTATTATTATTATTATTATTATTATTTTATAGAGTCTCACTATGTTGCCCAGGCTGGTCTCGAACTACTGGCCTCAAGTAATCCTCCTGCCTCAGCCTCCCAAAGTGCTGGAATTACAGGTGTGAACTACCTTGTCTGGCGCTGGGGGCTTCACTTTTGCACCTTTGGCCTCCCACTGACCCCCCACCTGCCCACCAAGAAAAAAGCTTCAGAAAGAGTCAAACAAGAAAACTCCTTTCCAAGAGTTGATTCTGAGTTAATCCCAGCCAGAGAGACGTATTGGACACATAGGATGCCATTTATTAAATTATGCATTCATGCACTCATTCATTCATGCAAACCTATATTAAGCTTCAAGTATGTGCCAGGCTCTGTGCTAAATGCTGAGAATGCAACACAACAGAGCAATTAAGGACTCCAGTGTCAGAAGCTGGGGTTCAAGTTCTGCCTCTGACTAGCAGTGTGAACTTGGGATGTTTTTTAGCCTCTCTGAGCCTCAACATCCCCATTATCAGAATAGAAACATAGCATCAAATTCATGGAATTATTATAAAGCTAGTAATATCATTCACTTGTATATTCAGTTATTCCACAAATATTTATAACTGAGCACCTACTATGTGCCAGGCACTCTGCTAGCTGTTGGGTATACATTGTGAACAGAAAAGAAAAGATCTCCACCCTCAAGGAACTTGTAGTCTAATGTCTAGACTCTAGATTATAAATGGGTAAACAAATATATAAGAAATAAAAACAAGATGATGTGTTAGACTGAGGGTAAGGGGGCCTCCTCTAGCTTGAGTGGTCAGAGAGCCTTCTCAGAGGAGGTGACATTATAGGAAATACCTTTTGACAAGAAGAAATGAGCCTAGAAAAATTCTGAGGAAAAGGCATGTCATGCAAAGGGAACAGGGAGTACAAAGGCTGTGAGTCAGGACTGAATTTGGTTCATTCAACGGCCAGGAAGAAGAGCCCAGCCCAATGTCTGCTACAGAGTAAATCTCAATACGCAGAGGTATTTTTGCAATTATGAGAACTGCCTAGAGCAGGGGCTGGGCCAGTAGGACTCTTGAAGTCACTGCAGCCCTATATGATCCCGACAGGAGAGGGACAGCTAAGAGCATTGGCAGGAGGGCAGAAGAGGCCTGGGCTGCTCCTTTCTAGAATCTCAATGCATTCCTCTCCTGCAGTCACTGCTTCTCAAGCTCCTGGGGCCCCATCCGCCTAAGCCTCTGCTTCCCCTCAGCATCAACACATCCACCTGTCTGAGGCCCGAGGTGCCAGTGCAGAATGGCTGCAGAATGCAACAGTGACAAAAGAGTCCTTGAAGGCCAGCCCCCTGAGTGTCACCTGCTGCTGGCTGGGCTTTAGGGAAGGTATGGGGAAGGCTGGAGCCGCACTTAGGAAAGGAGAAGGGCTGTGTGTTGACTCGCCCTTGCCCCCAGCACCCTCAGCCTACTTACTTGGGATGTTCCATGGCCACCTCAAGCACAAGGTCAGGTGGGATTTCGAAGAGCTCAGGGTCACGGCCATTGGCCTGCAGGACCAGGGGGACCACATCGAAGCGGCCGTACTTGGGCTTCCAGCCCAGGTCGATGCACAGCTGGGGAACAAGACGGGCCCTGTGAGTCTGTAAGCCCGGGCTGCGTGTCTCCTCTGGGCTCCACTCTGTCACTCGCTCACCACGGGGCTCCCCGCCCCAATGGCCGGTGGCTGAGGCTGGGCCGGGTACCTGAGTGAATTCCACGTTGGCAGGGTCCCCTCTGATGCTGCCATCTGGCATCTGGTAGCCAGCATAGCGGATGAGCTGAGCATTCCACACCCGGAAGTCGTGCTTGCCATCACTCCGCTGGGGGAACACGGTGATGGCCGACCTTCCCAGGACAGGAACAGTACTGTTTACCACCTAGCCCTGGTGGGGGCCCAGCCATCCTGCACTGGCCCTACCTCCCTCTCCACCCTACCTGCTCTGCAGCCCCTGATCCCAAGCTGACTGAGCCAGCCTCCTGACATGCCTTCTCCTGCTGCCCTCCCTCAAGACCCAGGGTCCACCCCCTCAAGGGGGCCTTCCCATCCATCAGGCAGGGTTAGCTGATCTGCCAGTCTTTCCCTCACTGCCTATGTCTCCGTCCTTGCAGTTGAGTTAGCTGGTTGCCTGTCTAGTGCAGGTCATAGGCTCACACCAGCTGGAGCAGCATCTTAGGGTCCTAGTCACTCTTCCTCCTACCCCCCCATACCCCATCTTCCCCCTGCTCTCCCAGCCTTGTCCTGTGTTGAGTTGCATTAGGTAGGCACTGAGTGTTTGCTGAACAAAAAGATGAATGAATGACCAAATGAGCTGTTCAGTCCTATTAGCTTTGACCTCGTTGGTTGGGAGAGGAAGGTAACCTCTTAATGTCCCATGCCTTCTAAAAAATGGGAGCCCCAACCCTGAATAGTGAAGCAGTTACTTCTTAAAGATCCTCCATCCCCTCCAAGTGGCTCCACATCAGAAGGAAACCAAGGGCATGGGTTGCCGATGGGAGCTGAGCTCACAGGGGCTGGGCTCACTACTGGAAGTCCCCGAAGAAGCCTGAGTCTTTCTCTTTTTTCTTTCTCCCTGGTTTCTCCTGGAGCTGGAGATGCCTCCCCTAGACCCAAGTGCTGCATCTTTTGGCTAAGATTCTCAGGCAAGGCAAGCCCCTCTGCAGCCCTGGGAAATGTGCACCGACCTGATGTTGCCATTGTTGGTGGAGTAACGCACGTGTCTGCAGATGTGTTCAAACATTTCCCGGGCAGTGGAACAGCTGCGGGCATCGAAGACCTGCAACAGCCCATCCAGACCATGCCCATCAAAGACTGGGTAGACAGAGGCTTTGAGGCTGATCAGAAGTCACTGGGAATCAATAGTGCAGCCGAAACACTCAACACACAAACACTCAACACCATGCCGAAGAGTGCAGCCTCCAATCTGCACCTGCCACTCAACACCATGCAGAAGAATTCAGCCTCCCATCTGCACCACCGCTCCCATTTCATGGCTGCCCTCTAGGGGAGCACAGGCAACCCCACTCAGAAGACCCCAGCAAACCCAGAATTCCAAGAAAACCTGACTTGAAAGCACCATGAATCGGGATTGCCACAGCCCCAGGCTAGGTCCTTTCCCACACCAGCACATACTACACAGCCAGAGTTGGTTTCACTGGCAGTTCTAATCGATTTCTCTGTCCAAGTGCTTTTGATATTATCCTGCAACAAATGACTCCCCAACAAAAAGATGGCCTAGGAGGCTAGGCTAAATAAAATGTTCTCTTGGAGCCAAGAATTCAAGCATTGGAGGAAAACAACACATCTTGCAGCACCACGGCCTCAAGTGTAATAAAAACAAGGTCGTGGTTTACTCTAATGATGGCATTTAGTCTCCTGAATTTAACACAATAGAGAATGGGCAGCTAGAAACCCTGGTGCTGAAACAGGATTCAAGGCTTCTAGAGAGGGACCCTAGGTGCCCCATCTCAACATTTGGGAATGTAAGAGAGGATCCAGGGCCATGGCTTCAGTCCCAGGAGGCCTGGGCACAGCTCTGTGTGGCTGTTCCAAGCCATCTGCTCAGGGCCTGGCCGCCTCCAGCTCTCTCCCGCTCAAGTCTAAGGAAGTTCACCTGCAGGTTGGACCACTGGATCCTCCCAATGCAGCGTGGGGCATTGCGCCAGGCCTGCTTGGTGGCGAAGATGAGCTCATCTCCCGTCAGTTGGTAGGTTCCTGTTGTTTCTATCTCCTTTGTTACCGCTTCCACCCTGGCCAGATGTTCCTCTATTTTTGCCCTGGGGGACAGGAAGACAGCAGGAAGATCAACAATGAGATGGCCTTACATGGGGATTAATTCAATCCACAGAAGCAGGAACTGAAATAGGACATCAGAAGGGCAAGATGCCTCTCACCAGAGACAGCTCCCTCCAGGGCTGGCTTTGGGGACCTCACACTTAGCCTAGAAGCACCCCACGCTCAATGCTCTGCTGTCCCCATCTTGAAATTCTTAATCATTTTAAAATAAAGAGCCCACATTTTCATTTTTACATTGAGTCCTATAAATACTACCTAGCCAGTCCTGAGCCCATGGGAACACTGCTTATTTTCAGGTGCTTTTTCTTTAATCATATTCATCTCAGTAAGGGGTGCAATCCTTCTCAGACACTTGCAAGCCTGGGAGGAGTGTCCCATCCAGCCATAGCAATGTCCTGCCTCTCCATTAGTTAGTAGAGTGCCCTCCTTCCTTGCCATGACTGAGAGATGAGCCAGTCCCTCCGTGGCAGCTCCGGTGTACTGGGTACCCACATGAGCCAGGCACTGGGTGAAGCAACCCACAGGCAGGGTCTCACTGAGTCTGGGAGGGAGGTATTTTTGCATCTATTTTATAGCCAAGGATCTCAAGGCTCTAGGAGGTTAAGCACCAGGCCCAGGAACATAAGTACAGGAAAGAGCAAAGTCAGGACTCAGACCCAGGTCGCCCTGATGCCAAGCCCAGGTTCTTAACTGTCAGCAACGTGACCTTCCATCTTCCACCCTACGGGGACAGTAAGCCCAAAGATGTTGAGGGCCTGCCCACCCTTCTCAGGAGCCTGGTCAAGCCAGGACTGGGACCTGGCTATCGGAGCTCAGTCTGCAGGGTCCCAGGGCCTGGCCAGAAAAGAGCTGCCCACGTCATAGTCTCTCTAAACCGTGCTGTTCCTCAGCCTCAGAATTGCTCATTCAGTCACTCCATATGCAATTCTAAACTTGCTTCTCTCCTCCCCTCCCAGACTTCAAAAATATCCCAAAGGGAGGGAGGGACTCAGTCAGAAAGGCTTTGAAACACACACACACACACACACACACACACTACCACCACCACCAACAACAACAACCTTGAGATTTCCAGTCAGCACCAAAGCCTTTTGAAACAGCATCAAAACTATTTAAAGAATGAACTCCTGATTAAGGAGAGTGGGTAACTCTGAACAAAATGGCCTTTCTGTGGATGAAGAGTGTCTCGACAACTTTTCCTTGATTAGAGAAAAAAAGCACAAAGACAAAACACTGATGATATTTATCCCCAAGGACACCCCTGCCATAAGGAGCTGCTGGGTGAGGTGGGAACCACCCCACTGCTGGGAGACCTCCCTCCCCAAACAAAGCTTCCAGCAATATTCCCCCCTCTGCACCTGAGCATGACAACAGTAATGATCACCATAACACCCACACCACCAACACACATGGTGGTCAGCACGTGCATATGCAAGAAAGGATTATTTTTTACATTCACATCCAATTCCTTCAGAGTTTTAGATGTGATAGCCATTTTCATATAGTCATTTTCTAAGGCATTAGAAATGCTATGATGTCTATGAGCTCTGAAAAAAAGGAGTGGCTTTCATCATCAGTGAACAGATTTAAATGTAACATGCAGCAAGTCACAATCTCTAAATATGCTATGATTCTTCAGATACAAAAGGCCACTGAACCTGCTCAGCTGGTCATGTCTTAGATTGCCAGGGTCCCTGTGAGGAGAGGCTGCCATTCCCCGTTCACACCCCCAGGTTCTCTTGCTCAGGGAAGCAGGGGTTCAAGGTATGTACTTGTGACTTGGAAAAATACAATTTTCCTCTGGGAGAAGCAAATGGGTTCCAACACCACCAAGCATGGCCCTGTAGCCCTGCTGGGCTTCTGAACACCCGCCCAATTGCCTTCCACACAACAGCAAGGCCTCCCACGTCCAGAATAGAGTTGGGAACCTGCAAGGCCACACAGCTAGGTACTAGAGCATTGATGGGAAAAGCAAGGGCTCAGGCACCAGCTGCCTAGGTTCGAATCCCCACTCTGGGGCTTCGAAGGGTGTGACTTTGAGCAAGGTACATCTCTTCTGTGGATTTCAGTTGCCTTGTCTGTAAGATGAGGATAACAATAATACCAATCTCATAGTGTCATGGTGCACACGTGCTTTATGCTAAATAAATAAATAAATAACATAAGTACTGTGGCCCAATGAAACCCATCCAGGAAAATCCCTGGACCCCGAAAGGCTCATTAATTAACAACCGAGCTGAAAGGCCAAGGATCTTGTGAAGTTTGCAGTCAGGAAGCAGGCAGCCCCTAACAGGCTGCTCAATCCAGGCTGTGCATTAGAATCACCTGGGGAGCTTTTGAAGCACACACATGTCTGCCTCATCCCCATCTCCCCAGATTCTGCTGCCCTTGGCTCAAGGGACCCTGCCATCAGAATTTTGCAGGCTTTCCAGGTAAGTCTACTGTGCAGCCAGGGTTGAGGACCACCGACCCTGGAAGATGAGGGCCTCTTCTGAAGACTCACGGTCCCTCCCAGCTCAGACATTCTAGGGTTGTAGAAAACTGGAGGTGGGCCAGGTGCAGCGGCACACACCTGTAATCCCAGCACTTTGGGAGGCCAAGGCAGGAGGATCGCTTGAGCTCAGGAGTTCAAGACCAGCCTGGGCAACATAGTGAGACCCTGTCTCTACTAAAAATTTAAAAAATTAGCTAAGCATAGTGGTGCACACCTGTGGTCCCAGCTCCTCAGGAAGCTGTGGTGGGAGGATTACTTGATCCAGGAGATCGAGGCTGCAGTGAGCAGAGATTGTGCCACTGCACTCCAGCCTGGGAGACAGAGCAAGACCGAGTCTCAAAAAAAAAAAAAAAAAAAAAAAAAAGACAAAGAAAAGTGGAGGTGGTACCACCAGAAGCCACTCTTTCCGCCAGGGAGTCCCAGGTACATGTCTGTGGCTCACTTTGTGTGGTGCAGTGCTGTGTGAGGCTCTCCCCTAATAGCAACACTCCCCTTCCAGCCTAGAAAACAATCCATTTCTGGGCCGGGCTCGGTGGCTCACGCCTGTAATCCCAGCACTTTGGGAGGCTGAGGTGGGTGGATCACAAGGTCAGGGGATTGAGATCAGCCTGGCCAACATGATGAAACCCCATCTCAACTAAAAATAAAAAAAAAAAATTAGCCAGGTGTAGTGGCACACACCTATAGTCCCAGCTACTCAGGAGGCCGAGGCAGGAGAATCGCTTAAACCCGGGAGGCAGAGGTTGAAGTGAGCCAAGATCGTGCCACTGCACTCCAGCCTGGGCAACAAGAGCAAAACTCCATCTCAAAAAACAAAAATAAAAACAAACAAACAAACAAAAAGAAAACAATCCATTTCTTTCAGACATTCTTTCTTACAATCTCTTCATGCATTTTTGTTTTAAAAGTTTTAAAGGGGCCTAAATTACATAGCCACATATTTTATTTGGACAACGCAGTGTTCTAAAAACATGAAAATGGCTAATACTTATGTCGTGCTTACTGTGGCCCAGGCATTGTTCCTAGCTCTATATTCTTTAACTCCTTTCATCTTTATAAACTCCCGCCAACTACCCTCCTCCTGCAAGGTGGGTACTATTATTATCACCATTTTCGGTAAGAAAATCAAGGCATAGAGAGACAAAGTAACTTGCCCAGGGTTACTCAGCTCGTAAGGGGCACAGCTAGGATTTGAACCTGGGAAGGCCACAATGCTATACAACCTCTCTTTGGATGATTAAAATTGTATACGTTGGCAATAAAATTGGCAAATGACAATTAAAAATCTTTGTATTCCAGTGTCTGACACAAGGCTGAGGCATACTCAGTGCCTGATGTGTGTCTGTCAACCAAATGACCAATTGGCCATAGAAATGAAGGATGTCTAGCATGGTCCTCAGGGAAGCCTCACTGGGTAGAAAAAAGAAGAGAACTCCAGAAATGTAGAACCCCACCAGGGTCAGGGCAAAGAGCAATGGCCTGCCCTCTCCTAGTCAGGTGGCCTGGCTTCTAGCTGGAATGAGGTGACTTCAGGTATGTCACCAGCTTCCATGTTCACACCTGTAGGAGTAGGGGCCTGACTAGGTGGTCTCAGAGATCCTTTCTGTCTCAAACATTTCATAATTAAAGGGTCCATATTAATTCACAATCAAGGTCTCTGGATGCCAGGACACTGTTCTGAACTTACTGAATCCTCACAAAAATCTCATGAGCCACCTTCTGTTATTATCCCCATTTTATATTAGGTTGGTGCAAAAGTAGTTGCAGTTTTTGCCATTAATATGATGAGGACGTTCAGACACAATGCGGGAGCCAGGGTTCGAATTCAGTCACTTTTAACTGGTATTGCTATGTACAACGTTATCCCACAATTATGAGAACCTGCTCCAGGGTCTTCTCCCCTAGAAAACCGTGATTTTCGCTCTGCAAAATCATAGTGATTTAACACCACAAATCTGGAAAGAAAAGGGATCTAGCTAGGATCAGAGGGTGATGGGTAGAGACAGGAGAGCAGGAGGAAGGGCAGGAGGCAGCGACCCTGCAGGAGGCAAGCCTTACTCTTTGAAGGAGCCGTAATATTGGTTGACAAATTCGATAGCTTGAGGTAGAAGCTCATCTGGAGGGGTAGGCTTGTCCCTGGGTCCTCTGGTCAAACTTTTGGGAGTCATAATGGACCCCAGGCAAGATTTGGACCTGCAAGTTAAAATCTGGAAAGAGAGAGGCAGGTGGTGAGGGTGGGCCATTCGGCCTCTTGCCACCCTCCTCTGGGGCCAGCTCTCCTGGCCACCTGGCTCCTCTCTGGCTGCTCCGGCTCCCTGCACCTCTTCTCCACCCCTGTGGCACCTCCTCCTTGGGGTCCACCTGGCTTTCTCCCACCTAGATCTCCTCTCTTCCACTGGCTGAACCCCAGTGGGTGTGAGTCAGGTTTTTCTCCCTACTCCGGACTCAGTCTCTGGCCCTGCTCCCCAGCCAGCTCCAGATCCAGAGCAAAGTCAATCCAATATGGCTCCTATGGGAACATGATATTGGTATTTGGCCAAAACAAACTGAAATGAGACATAGGAAGGCACACGCGTGCACACACACACACACACACACACACACGAATGAAGTACACCCGAATGTTAACTGTGGTGGTTTGGGGGCATGTGGGAAATAATTTTGCTTTCATGGTCCTGAAATTGTCCATTCTTTCCCACTTTACAACCATAGAATGTATCCTGAAGTTAGAATTAAAAACTTACATGACAGAAAGAAGCCTGAAAAGACATTTAGTCCAACCACTCACAGGATACTTGAACCCCTCTGCAATCTATCAAATTGCATTTAAATCCTTCCAGTGACAGGGAGCTCACTACCTCCTGATGTAATACAGTCCAGCTCTGAGCAGTTCTGTTAGAAAATTCTCCCTGACATTATCCTGAAATCCGGCTAAGAAAGATATGAATTTGTTTCTGCAATCATTTATTTGACCTTCTGGATTATCCATTATTTACTGGGGTGGTTAACAGGGAGTTGGCATCATTTACTTCCTACTGTAATCTGTGAGGAATGTCTCTGTTCCTAGACCCCTTTGCCCAAGCAGATGATTGTTTGGTTTGCCCAGGGGGACACCTGTTTGATCCACAAAGCCCTGGCAGCTTCACCAGCTTGGGACAAAGGTGGTTCTCCCTGAAGCCCCAGACTTACCCCTTTGGCCTTATGGTGAAGTGTGTCTTGGAAAGTCATCCCGCTGCCCCAGTTTTTGATCCTCACATGCCGTGGGGAGGACAATGGGGTTGCATCCAGCTTGACCAGAGATTCTGGAGACTTCTGCAAGGGGAAAAAACAGGGTTTTCTCTCAGGTCTCTCCTAGACCCCAGGCCCTGCCTTGTCTTAGAGTGGGGAAGGATCTATGGGTGGCCACACAGGGCAGGGTGTCCCTCCACGTCCCTCCTCTGTTTCCAGCCCCCGGGCGACCTGGGCCAGTGCCTGCTAAGAGCTCCAGGTGCCTGGGCCACTGGCCAGGGTCCTCTCCTCACCCAGGGCCTTGCCAAATGCTTCCTCAGAGGAACTGCTGTAGGAGGGACTAAAGACTAAGTTGGAGGTGAGAAGGATGACTGTCAGAGCCAATACTACTGAGAACAGAAAGGCACCACTGCATTCCTTCCCTGGGAGCATGTAAGGACATATAAGCCACCCTCTCTCCCACTCCTACCCATTTCTCTGCCCACCTCTCTAGAATGGTATGGAACCCAGGAGATAGAAGCTAGCTGTCAGTGCACCTTGGGGGCCACCACTCCCGACCACTGGGGGTTGTCTCACTCTCCCAAAGCCCTTCCTCATTCCCACCTGTTCCCCCCAACACCCCGGGTCTGGGACTCTCCACTCTCCATCCAAACCCTGGCTTCCTGCCCTCTCCAGCCCAGCTCTAACAGGCTGCTATGTCTGCATCTGCCTGGACCAGGGAGGAAGGGGCTTCCCACACCCATGTGACTCACTGACCTTTCCCGTCTCCACGAGGGGCTGCGGGGACTCATTCTGCTGCTTGCTGAGGTTGTGATACTGAAGGTCATCCTGTGTCACTGGACTGTGAAAGGAAACAGCTAGCATGAGATGCGGTATCCAAGGGTGGAGGGGCATCTTGGAGTTCCCTCTGCCAGTAACCTCATTTGACAAATAGGGAAACTGAGTCCAGAGGGTGGGAGTGAATTGTTCATGGTCGGTCTGACCAACTGCCTCCCCATCCCCATCTTCCCTCTTCCTCTTATCTTCTTCCTCCCGCAGAGCCAAAAGGGCATGAGCAGAGCTGAGCCAAAGCTACTGGCCCAAACAGCAGCCCATAGAGGATCTGGAAAATGCTCCTTCACCCTCTGGAAAAGCCAAGTACAAACGTGGCACAGGGGCTGGGTGGGCAGAGAATGGCTCCAACAACTCTGCCTCCCAGACTAGCAGCACTGCCCAGCAGCCACTTGGATTGGTTGACTGATTGACTGATTGATTTATATTTTTTGAAACAGAGCCTTGCACTGTCATCCAGGCTGGAGTGCAGTGGCATGATCTCAGCTCTCTGCAACCTCCACTTCTCAGGTTCAAGTGAACCTCCCACCTCAGCCTCTTGGGTAGCTGGGACTACAGGCGCACACCACCACACCTGGCTAATTTCTGTATTTTTGGTAGAGATGGGGTTTCACCATGTTGCCCAGGCTGGCCTCAAACTCCTGGCCTCAAGTGATCCTCCCACCTTAGCCTCCCAAAGTGCTGGGATTACAGGCAGGAGCCACCGCGCCCAGCCCCAGCCACTTGTTTTTCATGACTTAAGCTTTATTTAAAACACGTGATTTATCTTGGTTTATTTACTTATTCTACATTTCTATTACAGAAAATGTTAAGTGTACAAAAGTAGAGAGAATAGTCTAATAACCTTCCATGGGCCCTTCACCCAGATTCAACCCAATTCAACAGTGATCAATCCACGGCCGATCTTGTTTCACCTATACCTTCCCTGCCCCCATCATTATTTTAAAACAAATCTAAGATGTCAACTTACCTTCACCAAGGTAAAAACAAGTATTGTAAAAATTAGCATTAAATTACAGATTACTTACAAATTAAATTAAACATTACTTAAAGTAATTTTTTAAATTAAAGATTACTTAAAAATTCAGTATTCTGAAACCGGTCAGAAACCGTTTGTCCTGGTTTGGGATTTCAGGTTCATTCCGGCGAACTGAATAGTCACCACTCACACATGCCTCCCCTAGGAAGAATCATCCCACCAGGGCACCTTGGTTTGAAAGCATATTGTGTTCCATGTTCTTGGCAGTATTTTCCAGGGTATGCATGCTTGTGCATCTGAGGGAGAGGTGGTTAGAGACTATTATGAGGGTCTCACATTTTCTACTTGATATGTATCTATGATGTTGAAATGCGATAAATGACCATGTATTGCTTTTATTATAGAAAAAAATGACTATATGTTACCATTATATCATTAATTATATACATTACATAGTAGCAGTAAGTGATTTTTTACTATAAAGAGATACTGTCTTAAAAGAGGATGTAAGTATGTATCAGAAAGCAACTTATATCTGAATCAAGGGATTCCACAACCCTGTAAAGGGCCTTCCATGTGACCAACCATTGCCAACTGGCAAAGATGCTTTGCTTAGCCAAACTTTACTCAGACTTCTGAATCTTCTGCGGGGCCCATCCAAGCATTTCCTTGTAAAAATGCAGTTTTAGCAAAAGAATCCCTACTTAGTCAGTTTAACAAGAACCCTCCATCCTTGATAGCTTGTCGTCCTCCCCATCTGATCAGGGTCCTCATCCTCCATCCTCCCCCAGGCGATGTCTGATCACCTTAGCCTGTCCTAAGCAAGAATCCTGTTAGGTTGGGTGAGGCAGAATTCCCCCTATGCCTGAAGTTTTTCTTGGTAATTTTCCATCCACAGACCCCACCCTGATCCTTGGCTATAAATTCCCACTTGCTCCTGCTGTATTTGGATTTGGGCCCAATCTCTCTCCTCCACTGCCAGACCCCACTGCAGTAGGTCCCTGTACCTATTGAGATGGTCCTAAATAAAGACTTCCATACTGTTCTTTAACAAGTATCATTGAATACTTTTTTCTTTAACACACCTGGTCTAGACTGGTGTGGCCTGCCAGAAAAAAACAAAACAAAACAAAACAAAACAAAACAAAAATATATATATATATGGCAATCTGGATATTCAGAACAGATAAGCCATGGCTGAGCAGTCACCATGGGGCTGCTTCAATAGGAAGATGTATGGGGGATGGGGTCCCCAGGGGACAACTGCCCCTCTTGCTCTTTTGCCATTCCCCCTCACCCCAGCACCCACCCTGCACCCATTCTTGCTTCCTCTCACTTACTTCTGGAAGTAGAGTTGGACAATTTCAGAAGCTTCAGACCAGAAACATCTACAGTACTGTTTAGATTGAGAAGCAATGTCTTTGTACATTTAACATAATCATTTTACCCCATATATTAAAAAGTATCACTTTTAAAAGTTGGCTAAAAATCCACTCTACAGATGGGCCACGATTAGCCTGGTCCCATTGTCCATGGCTGGATGTTAGACTGTGTCTAGTTTTGCCCTCATATAAATAATGCCTTAAACTGTATACACAGTCTGATGCTGGCTGTGTGTGTGTGTGTGCGTACAAGCACAGAAAAACACCTCGAGGGAATGTTAGTAAATGTTAACAGTGACTAGCATTAAGTGATAAGATCATAGGCAATTTAACTTTTCTTATACTTTTCCACATCTTCCAACTTTTTACAGTGACAATGAATTCCTTTCATAATTGGACAATTCTTTAAATTTGAAAAATGAATAAACAAAGTTTTGCCCAAGTCCCCTCCCACACCATTTCTTCTGGCTGGCTGCTGGGAGACAGGGTGACAGGGTGACCAGACTCCAGGTGAGCACCTTCAGAATCTGGACACTTCTTTCCAAATTATCACATTGTTGATTCTGACCCCGCAGACGCTCGTGCAATTTGACTAAACCCACAGCTGTGCGGGGTCCTGAGGACCCTCAAGGACCTGCATTCAAAGAGAGTGCTGGCAGCTGGGCGCGGTGGCTGACACCTGTCATCTCAGCACTTTGGAAGGCCGAGGTGGGCGGATCACTCGAGCCCAGGAGTTCAAGACCAGCCTGGGCAACATGGTGAAACCCTATCTCTACAAAAAAAAAAAAAAAAAAAAAAAGGTGCCAAGTGTGTGGTGATGCGCGCCTGTAGTCCCAGCTACTCAGGAGGCTAAGGTGGGAGGATCACCTGAGCCCTGGAGGTGGAGGCTACGGTGAACCGAGACGGCGCCACTGTCGCCTGGGTGACAGAGTGAGACCCTATCAAAAAAAGGGGTCGGGGGCGTGGGGAGTGCTGTGAGTGTGGTGGCTTGCTTAGACCCAGAACTTTCTACAAGCCCTTGACCAGCCGAGCCGGTCACAGCTGCAGACTGTGGCTTGCCTGGGCTGACCTGGGGGCCAGATTCCCCTGCGGTTCCGACGCCTCCCTGCCTGTTTACCTCGCCTTACACCAAGAGTGGTGGTGGGGACAGATGGGGAGGGTGGGGGGGATGGCGCCCTGGGAAATGGATCTCATTTGTGAAACAAGAACCTCCTTGCTCTCTTAACCATATTTGATCCAAAGAGTGTAGCAACTTTCAACCCCAGTGCTGAAAAATTTCAAAAGCTCCCAAGTGCTGAAACATTCGCAGCGCAACTGAACCCGCATAGACGCCTCTCATAGTGCATGGGGGGTTTCTCTGGGCCGCCTGGGCTCCTGAATTGCGACCTCTCAAGCGTTCTAAAAGAGGAAAACGCTTTTAGTAAACCCTCAGGAATCCCACAGAGCGCACATCCCCGCCCTCCGATTTCTCCCAGAGAGAGATGGGGCCCCGCCCGGGCTCGGAGCCCACCGCTTCCCTCCCAGGGCGGACTTCGGCCCGCGGGGTACCTGGCTCTGCGCGGGCAGCAGTCAGGCTTCGGCCGGAGGATCCTGCAGAGCAGCCTGCACAGCCGGGGCCCGGCGGCCTCGCACGCCGCGCCCAGCCCCTCGCGCATGGCCCGGCTCCTTAGGCGCAGCTCCGCTGGCTCCACGCGCCTCCCAGCGCCCGCGCTTTATCGCTCGGAGCCTGCAGCCCCCGCCCCGGGGGCGGGGCGAGCCGAGCAGCGGCGGGGGCTCTTCACCCACGCGATGTCCCGGGCCGAGCTGCCCCTCCTTCCCTGCCTTCCCCGGCGATCCCGGGACCCAAGCACCCAGGGGCCCGCAGCCGGCGTCTGCCGCGGAGTTTGGATGGCACTGGACTGTGTCTGGGCTAAGATGCCCGGGTCGTGTTGGGCCTCGTGTTTGTTTATTCCCCATAAAATCGCAATAAAGCTTATGATAATTACCACCATTGCGCGGTGCTTTCTAGTTTACAGAGCAAATTTCCTTTCTGTCATTTCGTCCAGTCTCGTTAAGCAGACAGCTCTACGTTGTCATCTCCACTTTATTGAGGCATTAGCTGGGGCCAGAGAGATTAAGGATCTTGTCCAGGGCCACACAGCAGCCCCAGGACCACAGCCCAGCCTAAGCTCACACCACCTCACAAGGCTGTCCCGGGAAGTGTTATATTACTTGTTACATACAGCATGTTCTGTGCGATTCCAGAAAAGAAACCAAAGAAAGCACTGGGTTAGGGGTGACTTCTAGTAGGAATATTGCAGGAGGGATCGTAAGCCCCTTCCGGTGCCTTGCAGGCCCCTTGTCCTTGCTACCTGGACTGCGCAGAGCCTCCTGACTTTGCTCCGCCTGTAAGGTGCTCCTTATCTCAAGCAAGATAACAGGTAGGGTCCAGACCCAGATGGGGCAGCAGCCCTGGACCTCAACATGCAGGGGGCCCTTCTGGCAGTATGCAAGCACATTAAATCCCGAACCCCAGTTAAAGCAGAATGAAAGAGGGCACATATTTATTTCTAGCCAACTGCAGCCCAGCAAGCAACACATAGCTCGACTTGGTTCTGAATTCCATGTGTCTTCACCTAGATGCTCCCACATTTGCCTTTGTCCCTAAAATACACACATGCGTACACACACACGCGCACACACACACACACACACACACACACACACACCATGCTCATTTCCTAATTGTTTACGAAGGTATAGAATCACCAGTCACTTAGAATAGGCTCTTGGTTTCATGACACCTGAACAGATTAGAAAATTACTTTTTAAAATCAAAATATATTCATTGGCTCTCATTGCTTTCAGGATGAAATCCCCTTTGCACGGCTGCTTCCTCTTCCAGTAACATCACCCCTCCCTCACCTGAGTGGATGTTGCACTCTGGGTGGACCCACCTCCTCCCCCCAACTCCTCCCCACACTACAGCCTGCCCAGGCACCTCTGCAGTCTCCCCAGCAGAGGCCTCTAGCACGGTCCCAGTACACCCACAACTACGACCTCCTGTCTACACTCCATCCCACCTACTCCTGACACAATTTCTCCAACTCGCATTCTTCATGTACGTCTCCCAAACCAGCGAGGAAGACATCCGTTTCCCCGTTTCCTTCCTGACAGCAGGAACTGGGTCATTTTTCTCTGTCTCTTGAACAGTGCAGCACACAGTAGGCCCTCTGGGAGAGCACAGATAGTGTAGATGTTATGAGTTTGGACTTGACTCAAACCTTAGCTCCACTATTTTCCAGGAATTGACCTCCAGTAAGTCACTCAATCTTGTAAAACAAGGATAATAGTTCCTGTCTCATTATTGACACAGTACTAAGGACCTTATAAATGTTATCTATTGTTTTTAGCAGTGGTGTATGTAAGTAATAAGTGGCTCAAACAATTCACTGATGAGCAGAAGGGTTTCATTGATATCTTAACTCCCAGCACAGAGCCAGGGGAGTGGGCATCTGCATGTACTCGTCAATGGAATGTGACATGCCCAGGACACAAAGGTGGCAGCCCCATGCAGGGGTCCCTCTGGACTGCCTGGATCTGAATCCCAGCTCTGTCATTTGCTAATTATGAGATCTTGAAAATTACTTTAACTTTCTGGGCTTCAGGGTCCTCATCTTTAAAATGGGATAACTAAAATTCCTTCCTTGTGGATCGTTGGGAGAGTTGAATGAATTGATGTGTGATATTTTTTTCTTCATCCCCTCTTCTATCTGACTGGATCCTTTCCGCCAGCCCACCCCAGCATGAAGAGGAGGGGGAAAAACATGGTCAAGTTAGCTGGTTTGTCACATGTCCACTGCAGCTCAGGGCCCTCCCTGGAGTCTGAACTCATATTTCCTGAATGGTCCAAAGACACAAGTCAGCCCCCAAAGACATAGGGATAACTGGCAATGCTATTAGAGGGTGTGGGGATGAGGGTTAAAGGCTGCAGCCAACACCGTAAGGGTTTTGGGAGATTCAGGGTGATCCGGAAAGACAGCAGATAGATCACTAGGGCCCAGAGTTCGAGGGCAGCCTGGACAACAGAGCAAGATTCTCAGCTTTAAAAGAGAGAGAGAAAGAGAGAAAAGAAAAGGAAAGAAAAAAGAAGCCTAGGTGCGGTGGCTCACACCTGTAATAGCACTTTGGGAGGCCAAGGCAGGAGAATTGCTTGAGGTCAGGGGTTCGAGACCAGCCTGGCCAATATGGTGAAACACCGTCTCTACTAAAAATACAAAAATTAACCAGGCGTGGTGGCACATGCCTGTAGTCCCAGCTACTCAGGAGGCTGAGGTGGGAGAATCGCTTGAACCTGGCAGGTGGAGGTTGCAGTGCAGTGAGCTGAAATGGAGCCACTACACTGAAGTCTGGGCAACAGAGTGAGACCCTGTCTAAAAATAATAATAATAAAAAATAAAAATAGAAAAGAAAAAAATAGGGGATGAGTTGGGTCTGGATGAGCTGAGGGAGGAATGTGCTATGCACAGGCACTGGGGAGCTGAGGAAGGCTGGGATGGGCAGGTGGGATGGGCTCTCCATTTGGGTAGGGTGCTCGCTCAGAACTCTGTGGAAGCTTTAATGTGGTGACAGGCAATGGGGAGCCACTGCAGGCTCTAGAATAGGGGCGTGACTTGCTAGAAGTCCAGTTGGCAAGAGAGAGCTCAGAGCCAGTGTGGGGAGCTGGAGTCAGGGAGGTCAGCTGGCAGCGGCTGCAATGATGAGATGAAGAGAAGGAAGGGGCGAAGCCACTGCCCCTCTACAGCCCTTAGAATCTGGACATCTAGAGGCCATCAACTCTGTGTTCTCACCTCTTGGTCTCTTAGCCACCTCAGTTGCCATAGCCCAGACTGCCTGGTTTCAAAGTCCTCTCCTCCAATTCACCTACCACACCACAGCTAGACTGTCCTGCTCAAGAACCTACAATGGCTCCCTACTGCCAGGGAGAGCGAGTCCAAATCTCCTACCCTGCATTCAAGCCCTTGTGCTCTGGCCTGGCTTTGCCTATCCCAGCCCCCAGCCCACTCCTGGCCAAGCACAGTCAGGCTCATTTCTGCCTCTGAGCCTCTGCTCACCTCTCCCCTCTTCCTGAATGTCCTTGCTACTCCTCTGCACCTGTCTACATTCTACCCATACTTCAAAGGCCACAGAGTCCACCTGACTTCTGTGAAGCCCCTAGAGGGAACTCTGTTCAATTTTGCTCCATCACCTCCTAACTGCCAACACCACCGCTAATGATAGCAATGCCAACAGTGCCATTTGCTGAGCACTTACTCCAGGCCAGGCCCTGTGCTAAGTTGCTCACATGGGAAAGCTCATTTACTCCTTCCTCCAACTCCAGGAAATCACCATTGTTACCCTCTTCTTATAGAGGAGGAAATTGAGGCTCAGAGGCTAGGGGACTTGCCAAAGGTTACAGGGCTACTGAGTGGCAAAGCCACTTGCTCATCCCCAAGCCCATCCTCTTAGCCACTGGCATTTTTTGCCGCCTCTGACAGATACACTCAGGGCCGTCATGCTGTACACATCCAGGGGGCGCCCTACCCTTTGTAGTCCATGGGAAAGGCTCCTCTGGGGCGGTGGGGTTGTGTGGCTATGTGGTGGTCTTGTGTAGATGGGGGCTTTGGTTTCAGTTGCACTATTGCGTTATTGCAGATTGCTTTGTCTTTCCACCTGAGCGAGCCTCAAGCCTGTCCCTTGACTTGTTCATTAACTGACTCATTCTCTTGGTTCTGCCCTGGGAGGAAGGATGGGCCCGGGGAGGAGGGACATGAAGAATCCAAATCTGGGCTCAAGTTCCAACTCTGTAAACTCTGTAATTACCGGTCATTCAGGCTGGGGGAAGTCATAATCCTATTAGAGCTTCTATTTCCTTATCTGTGAAATGAGTCAATCATATGAACTTCAAAGAGCCGCCACAGAGATCAGTTGAGATGCAAAGTCTGTCAAGTGGCCTGTGTAGCTCTGGCAAGGGCAGGTACTCAGTAGATGGTGATGAACCCTGATGTGGACTAAGTGTCTGTTCTGTGTGGGCACAGTGCTGAGTGCTGTAGATCTCATTTCATCCTCAGCACACTATGGTGAGGGCCCCCTTGGGTTCCTCATACCACAGGTGAGCACTAAGTTTCAGAGAGGTTAACTTACCCTGCGTCACACAGCTGGCTAGAGGCAGCACCCGGCAACTAGTGCGGCCAGCACAGGGCTTGGAACTAGTTTGTCTAACATCCTGATGCCCTTCACCAGGATGATATTCAAAGCATCTAGCAAGCGGTGAATTGGAATGGACGCAGGCCAGGATGCTGACCCTCCACCCCCACCCCTCCGCCATGGTGCCCACCACGAGGCTCTACTGCCTCCCATTCTCAGGCCAAGCTCCTTCCCATATTCTTCCCCAAAGATTCCAAGCTTCTTCAGGGCCAGCCCCGCACCATGTCCCTTCCTTCTTCACATACCGTCAGGCACAGCGAGGTGCCCAATAATCAGCGGCTGCATTGAATTCCAACAGGGACTTTCAAGAAGCAATGAGGAGATCAGACCTCAGGTGAGAGAGGAGGAGCAGAGAGAGGAATTCTGAGTCATCGGTGCCGACAGGGCATGGGTGCCCAAGGAGACAAGCAGGAGGTTCCCCCAGGGAAAACTCACCTGGAGGTGGCACAGGGGGCTTTCTCCACATTGTTGTTGATGTCTTTTTCCCCATTCATTGCATACTGGTGGAATTTGGTCTTGAACAGAAATTTCCAAGGACAGGCCATCTCTATGGCTTTACAAAGCAGGTCACTTATGTCACTTATCTGGATTTGAGCTCAGATGTTCTTCACTGTGGGGCTGAAGAAGGGAAGCAGAGGTGAGGGAAGGTTGAAGAAGAGTTTACAGAACAGGGCTTCTCAGTGGGGTTGGCTCACTGGGGAATCGATATGAACGCCAGCATGAGCCCCTTCATCAATGCTTTGCAACCTCTGTCTCTATTTCGGGGTTGGAATGGGGAGCCTTCGGACACAGACTTCAATTCTGTAAAGCCACCTAATAATCTTAAGGAAAAACAATGAACCCCCCCATCCCCATCGCCACTTAACAAGGACAAACTGTATGCACCATGAGCCTCCTTAGCGGGACCTGCTGGCCCACCAGACCCAGCCAGGCTTCATCACTGGCCACAGGCAGGGTGAGGAAGAGCCCGGAGGTCGTTGAAACAGGGGTGCCTTTGCCTGACCCTGAAAGACACTTCCCAGCAGCTCTCATTATCAACTGTAGTTTTAGGTCTATTACTGGGGAAAGCACTCAAGCTGTAGCTACCTTTCTTTTAAAGATTTTGCAGTTGTTGTTCTAACTCAGCATTATTACTTGCTCCTCTTTTATTATGTGGGGAGGAAATATTTGTGAAAAATGCACTCATCCCTCGAAATCTGAGATCATCTCCTTTGAAACAGACAAGAGGAAGATCAAAGAGGCAAAAACTCTGTCTTTAGAAGACAGTGTAGTGAATATAGTCCATGTAAGAATTTTAGGCCAAGTGCAGTGGCTCACGCCTGTAATCCCAGCATTTCGGGAGACCGAGGCAGGAGGATCGCTTGAGTCCAAGAGTTCGAGTTCAGCCTGGGCAACATAGGGAGACCTTGACTACAAAAAATTGAAAAATTAGCCAGGCAGGCATGGTGTCTTGTGCCTGTAGTCCCAGCTACTCGGGAGGCTGAGGCAGAAGGATTGCTTGAGGCTGGGCAGTCAAGGCTGTTTCCAAAAAAAAAAAAGAAAGAAAGGGAAGGGAAGGGAGGGGAAGGGAGGAAAGGACAGGAAGGAAAGGAAGGAAAGAGGGAAAGAAAGAAAAGAACTTATAGCCCCATAGACCTGGGTTCAAATCCTGGAATCCTAGCTCTACCAGTTATGTGTCCTGGATCAAGTTATTTAACTGAAACTCATTTATTCATCCATAAAATGGGTTTAATATATCCATCTTACCAGGATTTGTGGGGAGGTTACATGTTATAAGGACTGATAAGATAATCTCTGTTAAAAAAAATTCTTAGCAGATACAAACTCCCATTTTGAACTTTTCAGAAAGTTTTTCCTTGTCATGTAACAACCACAGCTAATATTTGCAGAAAAGAAATCTGACCAAGATGCCATGTTCAAATGACCAAACCTCATGTCGGCATTTTTTTACCTAGACTTTCCAACACCTTCTCTCTGTAGGCAGAAAATTCCCACAATTTTCTGAGCCTTCTCAAAGAGGAAGAAACAAAACCCTCTCAAAACAGCCGCTTCCCCAGAAATGAAGGCAACTCACCTTGCAGCTGGCTGCACTGCCTCCCCGGGGTAAGGACAGTCAAACCAGGAAGAGACCTGTGCCTTGAGAACTTCGGGACTGTCTAGAACTGCCCAGTCCCCTCATCAAAGGTGGCCGAGAGATTTTAAAGCAGGAATGAGGCTGAGTTCTCTGCGGCCGGAGCCTCAGTTTTCGACTCGCTACAAAGTTATGAACACACTGGCAGCCAAGAAGTATTTATACTCACCCCATGCCATCCAGAGAGTTGTTTTTGCATAAAGGTCTCTTTTTTTTTTTTTTTTTTTTGGTTTCCAAAGGGAGTGTCCCCAGCTTGTGTACAGTTAGCTAATTTATGACTGTGACTGCCAGGGCCTGTGGGTGACCTGATCTTGCTGTTACATCACTCTGTGTGGTGCCTCTTCACCCAACCCACCTCTTTCTGGTCCCAAGTCCAAGGTGGCAGTTCATCAGCAGGGTGGCTGCTAAGATAGAGGCACCACGGAGCCAGGTTTTATTTGGCCAAGCCACATGGCCTCACTTTCAGCATCTGGGAGATTTTTTCCTCAGCAGGGAGCTCTCTGGTTAATCCCTGTCCATCCTCTCACTTTTCCAGCTTGTGACAGGAGTCCAGGAAGCTGGGGGAATATTGACAGTATGGAACACACTGGAAAATGCCCAGGTTCCAGAAGGCCAGTGATATTAGATGATGCCATTATTCCAGACAGGCCTCTGAACTAGTCACTTGAGGTTTTTGGAAGGGAAAGGAAGGAAGGCTATTGGCACAGAGAGGCCTCTGAGATGTTGGTCTTACTAACACCTCATCCTTTAGCACTAGGTAAGCTTTGGTGGAATGGCAGGTAGGATTAAATTCCTTCCCTTATAATGGAAATGATCACTTCTTACATGAAAAAGTGGTAATTTCTTATAATTTCATTTCATTTATTTTATTTATTTATTTATTTTTGAGATGGAGTCTCATTCTGTCACCAAGACTGGAGCGGAGTGGCACGATCTCTGCTCATTGCAACTTCTGCCTCCCAGGCTCAAGCGATCCTCCCACCTCAGCCTCCTGAGTAGCTGGGACTACAGGCATGCACCACCACACCCAGCTAATATTTTTGTGTTTTTGGTAGAGACTGGGTTTCACCATGTTGTCCATGCTGGTCTCGAACTCTGAAGCTCAAGTGATCTGCCCACTTCAGCCTCTCAAAGTGCTAGGATTACAAGGGTTAGCCACCATGCCCGGCCTATAATTTCATTCCTTATAATGCCTGAAATACAGTATTCCCATACATATGCATTTTTCCATCATAAAAGTAAAATAACAACTACATTAGGGAGAAGTTGAGAAGCAAAGGGAAAAAAAGTCACCCTTGATCTCACCGTCCCAACACTTTGCTACCACTGTCCACTCATTTCCTTCTTGTCTTTCCCAAGTTAAATTCAGCATAATATATTAACTTTGTCAAAGATAAACTAAGAGCCACAAAAAAGACATGGATATCAGAGCTCAAGGATCTTTGTTGAGTGAATGTGTGGATGAATGAATGAAAAATAGGAGTAAACTGGAATGAGTTTTAACATATCAAAGCCATCTTCCCTTCAGGCTTCAGCTCAATGCTGCGGCTCAATGCTGCGGCTTAGAGCTCTGGCTTATGGAGCATCTGCCACGAAGAGCAATGCATTTTAGAAAGTGACAAGATGGCCGGGCGTGGTGGTTCATGCCGGTTCAGTTCAGGTAAACAGCACTCAGGGAAAGAGTCAGAATCCTGGCCTTAGGGAGTGCAAGGCCTAGAAAAATAAATGGATAATTATAGTACAGAGTGATATCTGTAGTGATGGAGGGATGGTATGGTGCTGATGTAGCTGGTTCTGCCTTGTTCAAGGAAAGTTTACAAGGGAGAGGACACCAGGGCAGGGTTTTGAGGGATGATTAGGAGTTTGCTACACTCTATTCCCTGTAGCTGCTTTCACATATTCTGGCTATACCTGCAGCAAACACATGTATTAACACATTTAATGCCCCCACCCAAGAGCCTCTGAGGGGGATACTACTATTTGCTATTCATGGAATCCTCAAGAATCCCATCTACTTGGCCTCAAAGCACTTCGTTGATTTTCCTTCAGAAAATGCAGTTATTCAGTTATGTGATCTGTCAAACATGTCACCTCAGGTGCCCCTCTAACACAGCGTCTGCTTGGTGTGGCATTCTTGACCTGTGGCAGGGTTTGAGTCCAAGCACCAGGCTTGAGGACACATTTGGAATTAGCCAGCTGGGAAGGAAATATAATTTCTCCTCAATCATCTTAAGTTATTTGTTGGGAAAGACACTGTAACAAAAGACAGATTAATAATAGAGAAAAAAAAGCAAGTTTGTTAATGTCTGTGATGCACACCACGCAGGAGAAGCCTCAGTGAAAGTAACTCAATGCTGCGGCTTAGAACTCTGGCTTATGGAGCATCTGCCATGAAGAGCAATGCATTTTAGAAAGTGACAAGATGGCTGGGCACGGTGGTTCATGCCTGGAATCCCAGCAATTTGGGAGGCTGAGGTGGGCAGATTGCTTGAGGCCAGGAGTTCGAGACCAGCCTGGGCAACATAGTGAGATCCAATCTCTACAGAAAAATTGAAAATAAATTAGCTGGGTATGGTGGCATGCCCAGCTACTGTAGTCCTAGCTACTCAGGAGGATCAGGTGGGAGGATCAATTGAGTCTGGGAGTTAGAGGCTGCAGAGAGCTATGGTCGCGCCACTGCACCCTAGCCTGTCTCAGAAAAAAAAGGAAAAAAAAGAGGGAAAGGAGGAAAGGAAAGGAAAGGAAAGGAAAGGAAAGGAAAGGAAAGGAAAGGAAAGGAAAGGAAAGGAAAAGAAAGGAAAGGAAAGAGAGAAAGAAAGAAAGAAGAGAAAGGTGACAAGACGAATGCAGTTGTAGGCTTCCAGGGGTGGCAAGCTGTGAGAAGGTAAACATGTGGAAGTGAGCTAAGGAGTAGGATAGCAAGGTTTGTTTGTATTTGTAGATGGCTCTGGTGCCATCTCTGAGCTGATAAAAGTTATCTTCTCATCTTGATGCTGGGAAAGCATCTTTCTCCAAGGAATGTTTATGGCTTGCTGCAGGCAGGACAGGGCAGTTCAGATAGCCCTCTCTCTAGCTGCTCTTTCTCAAATGCCTTCAGCTGGAGATAATCAGGATGCCATATCGGCATATCTGGGCGTGGCATGTTCTGGTTTCCTTTAGCCTGAAAGGTCCCAGGTTCGAGGCACAGCTTCACTGCTGACCTACCATGTGATCTTGGAAAAGCCACTTCTCTCTGGGCCTGACTTTTCTCGTGACAAAAGGTGATAAAAATAAAAGTAAATAAACGAGATACAAGAAAATGCTTTGAGCCATTGAGCAAAAAGTCAGCCAAGTAAGAATTTATTATCCTTGCTGGGAGTCAGAGAGTAACAATTTCCCTTTTGACAAAGAGCAAGTGGATGCCAGGACTTGCCTTCTGAAGTATCCTTCCTCAGACAGGTCCCCGTCCCACCACAAACACCTGCTTTTAAATTCCCGGTCCTCTCTCTCCCTTTGTAACATTAAATTCATGTATGTATTTTTAATTTTTAATTGGAATAAATTTCACATAACATAAAATTACCAATTAACTATTTTAAAGTGTAAAATGCAATGGTTTTTAGAATATTCACAATGTTGTATAACCATGACCACTATCCCAATCCTCTCTTAACCGGCAAATAGGAAGAGGAGGAGAGTAAAAATAGTGATAATGATTGTGATGATACACAGAGGTTAGGAGACTCACCAAGGTCACACAGCAAACAGCCTTCAAGCCGGGACAAACAGTGAGCTTCTGGTACCCTCCCCAGAGCGCCTGTCTGCAGGGTCCAGGGCTGGCCCCCTCCTGGAGGTTGGCAAGTCTCCTACGGCTTCCTGGGCCTGCACGGCTGCCTTCTTCTTGGCCCTGCCCACCCAGCAGGCCGCATTCCTGGCCTCTTCTGATGATGGATGCAGCAGGTGAATTCTGCTGGGGAGAAATCAAAGAGCACCTTGAAGGGCAGGCGGGGGACAGGTGGGCCCCCCGGAGGGTGGCGATAGAGGTTCCGAGGCTGCTGTGGAGAAATGCCCTCCTCCCTGCCTTCCCAGGCTGTCCTAGGCACCATGCTGACAGCAATCAGCACGGGAATGTCTTGGGCTCATTATCCTGGAATTGATTTTCCACTGGATTGATTTGATCTGTTTCTATGCCAGGCTGTGAAGATGGTTCAGATCCAGTTAGCCCTCGGAAGTTAGCAACTTTGAAGGCTTTTCTACAAAAACAATTGATCAGAGCTAACGTTTACTGAGCAAGGCACTTAAACATACCAAGCATTTAATCCACACAACAGTCCTATGGGGTGGGAATGATCACTAGCCCCATTTTATAGATGGGGAAATTGAGGCTAAGCAAAGCCAAATGACTTGTCCAAGACCACACAGTCAGGTGGTGGCAGGGCTACAACCCTGGAGTCCCAGCTTGCACTTGCTCTGGTGCTTGCTCCATAAATACAGCCAGGCCCTGGGCTTTCCATTTATTATCTCAGTTAATCCTCCAACAACGTTGTGTGGCAGGTACTATTATAATACTATCCCCAATTCACCAATAAGGAAACCGAGACACAGAAAGTTTGAGCGACCAGCTCAATGTCACTCAGTTTGTAAGTGGCAAAGCTGAGGACTGACCCAGGTCTGAGACCTTGACTGGACCCCACTTGTGCGCCCACTGTGTGCTTACCCATTTTGCTACAGGTGAGTACACCCAGGGGCAAGGAGAGGTGACAATGAGAGAGTGGGAAACTGAGATCAAGGTAGGAGCTGAGGATTACCTGGGGTTGAATGTTCTCCCCTCCATGTCAGTGTCTGGTGCCAGCTCTGTGCAAGGCCATGGAAGGAGGAGACGGAGTTCCTACTGTGTGCCCCGCCTCACAGAAAGTGATAAAAATTTTATTTTAGAAATATATTTAAGGTTTAAAGAGAGCCAGTTTAAGGTAAAATGTTTAAGCAAATAACAGTATAGGTGCATGCAGATGTGACACAAATGATAAAGGTGGGACGTGAAGGAAACACAGGGGCGTGGCTCTTACTCTCTATTTGTGTGTGTGCATGTCCCGTGGCGAGTCACGTGTCCTGTGGGGCCTTCACTCCACTCAGCTGTCAAAGGAAGGCATTGAGAAGAGGCATTCCTGGGACCCTCCCGGTTCTGAGGCCCTAACAAGCTCAAGTCCCCAGACCGTGAGCCCTATGTCATTTGTCAAGTGACCACTGGAGGGCGTGAGTCACACAAATTCCAGCAGCTCCGAAGCTGAGGTCTTCCCCGGTTTCCACCACCTTGCCTGACTCGGAGATGACGGAAGTGAAGTGAAGGGATTTTTACTGGAAACGCCCGGTGGTCACTCCAGGATGGACAGGCCCAGGGTGGACCAGGAAGGTGGACAAGCTTTGCTGAGTCCCTGGAGTGTGACTCAAGCTGGCTGGTGCAGGCCTGGCACTTTGCTGCTGTTTCTTTTAAAAGCCTCGTTTCTTGTCAAGCCTCCCCAGAACACCCTCCCTTCCCTGCCCTCCCGTTTTGCTTCCTGGGTGCCCGTCCTTCTAGGCGGAGAAACAACAAACAGAGTGGCACCTGGGGTAGTCCCAGGGTGTGATGGTTCAAGGGGCAAGATTCAGGGGCAAGTAGTGTATCTGGGAAGTGCAGGGGACATCAGGAGGGGAATGAGGAAGTGAGACAGAGAAAGGGAGGCAGCTGGTAAAAGTACTATAGGGCAGCTTTCACGATTTGCAACCAGACTCAGCCCCACCAGGGAACTTGAAAAATGGTGCAGAAAACAGGGCTTCAAATGATCCCATCCAAGGGGCCAGGGGCTGGGCTACTGACCCAGCAGTTCCAGAGCATCACTCATTGAGGCTGCTCCCAGGGAGGTTAAATTCCCAAGGCCTGCTGTGGGCAGAGCAGCCTTCCTTGGTTCTGGGAAAGCCCTCTAGAATTCACAAAGTGCACTGGAATGAGACGAAGACAGACGTCACTGCTACAGGGGGTTTAGAATTGGGTCAAATGGAGGAAGAGAGGTACCTCCTCCCCAGGTACAGCCTCTGAGGGTGCTGGATGCTGATCCAAGAAGTTCTAAATGCCAAGAGCTTCAGCTAAGCCCACCCTCTTGTATCCTTCCCTAAGAAGCGCTGCATCTTTGGTTAGGCCACATAAGCCCTCCGGGCCTCCCTTTCCTCAGTTAAGGGTCTCTGAGGCCTTTCCAGCTGTGGTATCTGGGCTTTCTGAGTCTCCCCACCTCATACATATCTGGTCTTTGATGCTCTTGGAAAAGTTATCTTCCCCACCAGAGTGCCCCTGAAAGGCAGAATGTAGCAACGACTGGCAACTTCTGCAGAGCCTGACCACTGTGTGCACAGAGATGTCTGGAGCATCGCTCTCTACGAGAGCCAGAAACAACCCAAGTGATCAGCATAGAGAAAGGCACACCAGGCCAGCTTTATAGTGTACCATTACGTGGCCAAAAAAAAAGTGTATTAAGAATTTTTTGGCCAGGTGTGGTAGCTCATGCCTGTAAATTCTAGCATTTTGGGAGGCTAAGATGGGAGGATTGCTTGAGCCCAGGAGTTTGAGACCAGCCTTGCCAACATGGCAAAACCCTGTCTGTACAAAAAATACAAAAATTACAAAAATTAGCCAAGTGTGGTGGTGAACACCTGCAGTCCCAGCTACTCGAGAGGCTGGGGTGGGAGGATCGCTTGAGACCAGGAGGTCGATGCTGCAGTGAGCTGTGATTGTACCATTGCACCCCAGCCTGGGCAACAAAGTGAGACCCTGTTTCAAAAAAAAGGATTTATTTAGCTGGGCATCGTGACAAGCACCTGTAGACCTAGCTACTAACTGAGGTGGGAGGATCACTTGAGCTGAGGAATTAAGAGACCGCAGTGAGCTATGATTGCACCATTGCACTCTCCAGCCTAGGCAACAGTGAGACTCTGATCTCTTAAAAAAAAAAAAAAAGAGTCTTTATGATAAGAAATAATGTTCATGATATCAGTAGAAAAATGATAACCCCTAACATGTAAAATAAAGACAGAAAAAATGTGAGAAAAAAATACTAAAATATTAAAAAGTGGTAGAATTATGGGCAATAGTTATCTTTTCTTTACCCTTCTCTGTATTTGCTATCTGTGCATATGTTAGTTTTATAATATAAAAAGTGACTCCTTACTTTTTGAAATACTATCTCAGACGTGTGGCTGTGCCAGTAATTCACCTTTCCCAAAGGAAAAGAGCCTCTAGCACCCATTTTCATTACAGGAGGCACAGAGAGGGCGGCTGCCCACGCCCCTGGCTGTTCTGCAGGAGTTACACCGGTTTTCTGAGCATCGTCCGTGAGTTTTCCAAGCTGGGCCCTGGGGATCCAGTGGTGAGTGATGGCAGACAAGCTGGCTGTCTCTCTCCCTCCCCACTCTGCTGCCAATAGAGATGGCAAGATGAGTCCCAGAGCCTGTTGGAGGCGGTGCATTTGGGGGACAGGGGCTGCCTCCTTAAAAACAGAGTGGAAACCAGGGGGACAGGCCAAGTGCATCGAAATGCTAGGACGGTTGGCCAAAGCTGAGCGGCTCACTCTTGAAACAGAGGTGGGGTCTGGCTCTTGGTGGGTGAAGGAAGAATTGGAGGAAGGGAGGAAGGGTAATTCCTCCAGCAATTTGAGTGGGAGGCTGTGGGGGGCAAGCTATTAATAACGGCAGAGGCCACTGTCAGGCAGACTCAGGGACAAGTCTCAGGCCTGCCACCTAAATTCATCTGTGGGCATTGGAGAGGTTACTTTTGGTTTCAGTTTGCTTATCTGTAAAGTGTGGATAATCACAGAGTCCCCACCTCCTCAAGCCTTGGGGAGGAGTAGCGAGAGGATGTACGCAGCACCTGCCCTGCAGTTCAGCTTGAGCACGCTCCTATCTTGCCAGAGCCGGAGCGTAGCTGTAGCTTTAGCAGAGCAGCAGCACCGAGCTGGCTGGCTCTGCCTACTGCTATTCTCCCAGCACCTGGCACATGCTGGAGCTCAAGAAACAATGCCCAGCTGACTGCCAGGGCCTTTTTAATGTGTTATCTCATGCATTCCACACCACCACACTGTGAGGTGAGCTGTGTCAACCCTATTTTACAGATGACAAAATTGAGGCTTAGGAAGATTAAAGAATTTTTCCCAAGATCATACAGCTAAAGCTGCAGAACCAAGATTCAGGTCCATTTGATTCCAAATGCTTCTGGGAGGAGCATCTTAGGGACACCACCGGTCTGAGGCTCAAGGCAGCCCTCTCTCACCCAAGACCAAGCTCTTGTAGACAACAACTGTTTAAAGGGCAAAGACAGCTCCTGGGGAAGAGGCAGGAAAATCAATGAAATGATCTGTGATGCTGTCAGGGCCCTGGAGGAAGGACTGAGCAATGCAGGAGTTCCCCAGGGGCTCCCGGGAGGGCCCAAGAGGCCAGGTGGGGGCGGGGTTGGGCAGGGAAGCCTGGGGGAGTACTCTCAGAGGAGGTGACAGTCCCCAACAGGAGGAAAGGCTGTCCTCCTGCTGAGCTTACAAGGGAAGCTCCCATGCCGGAAGGAAGAACCTTGAACTTCTGCTTCCAATACCTGTGTCTAGCCTGTCTCATCCTGGCCTGCATTTCAGAGCTCCCCCCAACTCCAGGAGCTCTCTAGTAAGCCATGCCTTTGCACACACTGTTCCCTGTTGCTGGAATGTCCTTCCCGACAGCTCCCTAGCCCACCCTTGCCCTGACTCGAATCCCCTTCAGACTCTGCTTTACTTCATGGCATTGTTGCCTCTAGGGGCTCCCCTGACCCTCCATCCTCAAGCCCCTTGGGGTTCCCCAAATCCCTTAGGCTCCCCTCTCCTCAACACTGATCCCACTGTTTTAATTGTGGTCTCACTGCTCTGTCTCTTTTACTAGACACAAGCTTCCCAAGGCCAAGGTCATGTCTCACATCTCTGCAGCACCAGCAGCATGCTTGGCCCAGACTAGGTGCTCAGTGGATTTTGTTTTGTTGAGATAAAAAGTCACGTGCCATTAAATTCCCCCATTTAAAGAGTATAATTCAGTGGTTTTTAGTATATTCACAAAGTTATGAAACTATCACCACTATCTAATTCCAGAACGTTTTTGTCACCCCAAATAGAAACCCTGTACCCATTAACAGTCACTCCCTATTTCTTACCCCCAACTCTTAGAAACCACTAAATCTACTTTTTTTTCACTATAGATTTGCTTATTTTGGATGTTTTATACAAATGGAATCATATAATATTTGGCCCTTTGTGTCTAGCTTGTTTCACTTATAATGTTTTTGGGGTTCATTCACGTGGCATGTTTAAGTTCTTCATTCTTTTTATGGCTTAGTAATATTCCACTGTATGGATATACCACATTTTATGCATCCATTCATCAATTGATGGCCATTTGGGTTGTTTCTATTTTTTGGTCACTGTGAATATTGCTGTCCAAATATAAATGTTTGAGTACAGGTTTTTGTGTGAACATGTACTTTCAATTATCTTGGAATAGAATTGTTGGGTCATAGGGAAACTTTATGTTCAACTTTTTTGGGGTACTGCCAGACTATTTTCTGAAGTGGCTGCTGCACCATTTTATATCACTACCAGCATAGGAAGAGGGTCCCAATCAGTCCACATCCTTGACAACACCAGTAATGGGCTTTCTTTTTTGTGTCATATAGCTTCTAGTGGATGTGAAGTAGCCAATGGACCATTGACGAATGAGTGAGTGACAAACGGATGGATGGATGGATGGATGGATGGATGGATGGATGGACATATGGGAGTAGATACCTGACCCTGAGTTCTGAGCTCTGATTTTGGTGGGACAGCCTGCTTCCCTGAGGACCTGCATCAAGTAGAGACATAGCAACCTGCAGCCTGCCCCTGACCATCGTGGTTCCAGATGTCCAATCTGCCTTCGTCCTCGGTGGCTCTTAAGCACACAGGTGACCTGGATTCCCCTAAGCCTGTGGAAGGCCCTGGAGGGGGCCCCATTCTGGGTGACACAAGTTTTATTACTCATCAGTTTCAGTTTCTTCTTCTGTGAAATGGAAGGAGAAAGAGAAAAGTCACACAAGTTTCTGCAGAGGGTGTGGCACATAGCAGGTCCACAATAAATAGGAGTTTCGTTTTTCCAGTCTGTTTCTCATCCAGTGTGTATATAAATGCCACTCCACTAATTATCTACTGGAAAAGAGCTTGAGAAGTGGGGCAGTGGAAAGGAGGGGGGACGGGGAAAGCCAGGCAAGAGATTTACATATGGCAGGAAGCTGCAGCAGGTCATCGAGGGAGTGGGAGTCACAGAGCAACCCTGGGAGGATTGTCACAGGCTTCGGAAGAGGATATCCTCCCAGCCATTTGCATACCCAAGCACCACTCTTACTGTCAGGAAGACCTGAGCCTCCTATTTAGGCCTTTGGATGGGTGTGGAGAGAGGGCAGCATCTAACTAGTGCTGATCTGAGATCAACTGCAGGTCCCCAGGCAAACCCCACAGAAGGGTGAATCAGATTCCAAGGCCAGTGAATTTTATCCATTGTGCCAACCTTCATAGACAAGGAATGGCTGCTCAGAGCCTTGCAGTGAGATCAATGTTAAAGTTCTGTAGTTTTAAGGCTCAGTAGGAAAAAGTAGCCACCCGCATCTGCCCTGGGCAGATGACCAATGACCTGTATTTACTGCCCCTGTTCTAGACCAGTACAAGATTAGCTGTCTGTTGGGTAGTTTCCATGTAAATAGTTTGTTACCTGGGGCAGTTGAAAGGTCAGGAGGAAAAGAAGAGGGGATTAAAATAAATTGCTGGAACGGGGGACTGGCGGCGGCAGTGGTGCTCACTTGAGGCTCCAGCCTGCAGTGAGCATTGAGCACTTAATTTATGGAGTGCTCAGCTGAGGTTGCCACTAGCTGCTTACGAGAGGCCAGCAGCGCCGTGAGCCAGGCCCACTTAGGGAAGATTCTTGGCTCATCCATGTGACTCACCTTCCTCATACGTAACATGGGGACAATGGGGATATATGTCACAGGGCTGCTGTTTATCTTGCCGGATGATCTAATGCACATGGATGAAGAAGGGAATGTGGGAAATACATGCTCTCAGTCTTAACAGAAGGGAAAACTGAAGCCCGCAGTGGGTTGGAAGAGGTGGAGAAAATGCAAGAAACACAGACAGCTTTGTGATTGCAACTTTGTTCCAGGTCCTGGTTGTGTCTTTAATTCCATATTAATTGTTTTGTCTTTAGTACTTAACTCCTATCTGGAAGAACTCCTCATTAGCCCATCTGCCCTGGCATGGCCCACTTCTGAGGGGTTTCCTTGGCCTGTTTCCCTGATGTGTATCATGTGACCCCTCCAGTTGCCTGGACAAGGGTGGGCATGTCACCAGGGAGCAGCCAGTGGCCTCAGAGGTACCCTGATGGACCTCAGGCCCTGCAGGTTTGAACTGGAGACAGAAGAGTGGTGATTGATAGCAGAGTTGGTATCCAAAAGCCCCCCAGAGAGATGACGGATGGAGCTGCAGGCAGAAGAAGCCTGCAGTGGGGAGTACAGGGCAGGTTGCTGCAGGAGGAGCAGGGAGTGAGGGGTTGAGCTCCAGACCAGGACGCCACAGGCAGGCAGGGTGGAGAGAACCCAGGCCCTGGAGAGAACTGCCTTCAGGGTCCCAAAGTCTCCCCAGGCTGCATGATTCCCGCCATGTGGCCCAGCTTCCTTATTGCCCAGAGTTTTACCGTAACCTCTTGCTCTCTGGAAGAACCTGTTCAGGGAACTTGCATTTTTGCAGCTCCATGACAGAGTCTGGCACAGGTACTATTGGTTAATTGAGGAAGTCTGCTATTTTATGGCACAAATGAGAGCCAGCAGTTTGCAGGCATTGAGGAAGGAGAGGCGTATGGACTATGATAAGGGACGACCCTGGAAAGCACCCTGATACGGCATTGGCTAGGGTTCTGAGGAAGCTAATAACTTTGCCGAATTTTGTTGGAAAGGCAATCAACCTTTTTACAGCCCTATTAATGACTTTATCAAATCACTGCTTTTATGATCTCTTGGTGAACCCATCAATCCACGTAGAACATGAAGACTCTTGGGTTTTCTCTCCATGAGGCGAGAGAGGTTGAACCACTCGCATAACGTTATGTGGCAGTTACTGTCTAACTCAGGGAATCCTTCAGGAAGATCCTCAGCTCCCCTGCTACCTTCCACATACCCAAGCTGCTGTCTGTCTGAATATGCTTTTCCCCATGTAACTCAGAGTGTCGGGAGGATGGGGGAGGATTCCCAGAACAAGTGGCACCTAAACAGGGTTTGGTTTGTTTTTGTTTTTGTTTTAAGACAGCGTCTCACTCTGTTGCCCAGGCTGGAGTACAGTAGTGTGGTCACAGCTCACTGCAGCCTCGACCTCCTGGGCTCAAGTGATCCTCCTGCCTCGGCCTCCTGAGTAGCTAGGACTACAGGTGCATGCCAAAACCTGGCTAACTTTTTTTTTTTTTTTGGTAGAGATGGGATCTAGATTTGTTGCCCAGGATGATCTCAAACTCCTGGGCTCAAGAGATCCACCTACCTCAGCATCCCAAAGTGCTGGGATTACAAGTGTGAGCCACGGCACCTGGCCTGAGCATCTTTTTACATGCTTGTAAAAAGCATGTAAAATGTCTTTATCTTCATTGGTGAAGGGTCTATTCAAACCTTTGCTCAATCTTTAAATTTGTTTTTGTTTTTGTTTTGAGAAGGAGCCTCGCTCTGTCACCTAGGCTGGATTGCAGTGGCACAATCTTGGCTCACTGCAACCTCTGCCTCCCAGATTCAAGCGATTCTCCTGCCTCCGCCTCCTGAGTAGCTGAGACTACAGGTGCCTGCCACCATGCCTGGCTACTTTTTGTATTTTTAATAGAGACAGGGTTTTGCCATGTTGGCCAGGCTGGTCTCAAACTCCTGACCTCAAGTGATCCACCCGCCTCGGGCTCCCAAAGTGCTAGGATTCTACCATGCCTGGCCCCGGTCTTTAAATGTGTTATTTATTTTCTTACTGTTGAGTTTTGTGGATTCTTTCTGTAGTCTGGGTACAAATCTTTTGTTGGATATGGGGTTTGCAAATATTTTCTCCCAGTCTTTGCAGTTTCTTAAAGTGTATCTTGCAAAGCAAAAGTGTTAAATTTTATTGAACTACAACTTGTCAATGTTGTTTTGTGTGGATCACTGCACAAGGGTTTGAAGAACGTATTCACTGAGCTGACAAGGAAAGAAAGGGAGTTCTAGGCAAAGCAAACAGCACATGCAAAGGAATGGAGGCCTGAAAAAGTGGGCTGGGGTTGGGGAATTCTAAGTACAGTTGACCCTCGAACAATGTGGGGGGTTAGAGGAACTGACCCCTGCACAGTCTGAAATCCGTGTATAACATTTGATTCCCCAAAAACTTTACTAATAGTCTACTATTGACCAGAAATCTTACCGATAACATAGTTAATTAACACATATTTTTATATGTATTATATACTGTGTTCTTACAATAAAGTAAGCTAGAGAAGAAAAGTTATTAAGGCAATCATAAGTGGCCGGGCAGGGTGGCTTATACCTGTAATCCCAATACTTTGGGAAGTTGAGGCAAGAGGATCACTTAAGGTCAGAAGTTTGAGACTAGCCTGGGCAACAAAGTGAGACCCCATCTTTACAAAAAAAATTTTTTTTTAATTAACCGAGCACAATGGTGGATGCCAAGTAGCTAGTCCCAGCTACTTGGGAGACTGAGGTGGGAGGATCACTTGAGCCCAGGAGTTCAAGAGTGCAGTGAGCTATGATTGCACCACTGTACTCCAGCCTGGGCAACAGAGCAAGACCCTGTCTCAAAAAATATATATTTTTTTATATATTAGAAGGGAAAATATATTTACAATTCATTAAGTGGAAGTGGATCACAATTAAGGTCTTCATCCTCATCATCTTCAGGTTGAGTAGGTTGAGGAAGAGGAGTGGTTGGTTTTGCTGTCTCCTCTCAGGGATGGCAGAGGCAGAAGAAAATCCACTTATAAGTGGGCCCATGCAGTTCAAACCCCTGTTGTTCAAGAGTCAACTGTAGCTCAATATTGTTGAACTACAATATTGTACACTTAATATTGGTACACTACAAAATTGGTATACTCCTCAGTACCAATTTTCTGTATTAGTTGATATGCATTGTTATAAAGGAATACATGAGACTGGGTAATTTGCAAAGAAAAGAGGTTTATTTGGCTCACATTTTGCAGGCTGTACACAAAGCATAGTGTTGGCATCTGCTTCTGGTGAGGGCCTCAGGAAGCTTCCAATCATGGCAGAAGGCAAATGGGAGCCAGCACATCACATGGTGACAGGGAGCAAGAGAGAGATGGGTGTCGGAGGGCAGTCCTCAACTCTTTTTAAAAACCAGATCTTGCATAAACTCAAGAGTGAGAACTCACTCATTAACATGAGGATAGCCTCAAGCCATTTATGAGGAATCCGCCCCATGACCCAAATACCTCCCCACCAGGGCCCACCTCCAACATTGGGGATCACATTTCAGCATGAGATTTGGAGGGGACACTATGATTCTAGTGTGTGCATCCATGTGTGTATCTGTGCATGTGTGTGGCTGGGAGGGGAAGGGAAATGACTGGATCATAGAAGGGACCAGATCATAGGCTCTTGGGGGCTGTGCCAAGGAGTGTGGGCCCCTCATCCTATAGGTAAGAGAGCTACCAAAGGGTACGGCAATTGCTCACTTTTATTTTTGTTAACTTTTTTATTATAAGAATTATATGTGGCTGGGCACAGTGGCTCATGCCTGTAATCCCAGCACTTTGGGAGGCTGAGGAGAGTGGATCACTTGACCCCAGGATTTCGAGACCAGCTTGAGAAATATGGTGAAACCCCGTCTCTACAGGGCAAAATGCTGGTTAAAAAATTAGCAGGTGTGGTGGTGCATGCCTATAGTGCCAGCTACTCAGGAGGCTGAGGTGGGCGGAACACTTGAGCCCGGGAAGTTGAGGCTGTGGTGAGCCAAAATCACACCACTGCACTCCAGCCCAGATGACAGGAGTGAAACTCTTTCTCCAAAAAAAAAAAAAATTATATATAATTTATTGTAGAAAAATATAGATCAATGAAAATATGATTAAAACTCTATATACTTCTACCACCCAGAGGGTAGTTACACTATTACCATTTTGGCTGGTTCTTCTGTTCACACACAAACACACACACACACACACGTAATTTTTCTATAAAAATGAGATCACTCCATATACACTGTTTTGTAATGTGGTATTGTTTTTGCTTAATAAATAATATATGTGACTGGTTTTCCATGCCATTATTCTTTTACTGTATCATTTTTTGTTAAGATAAAGTTTTTTCCTTTATTATAATTTAATGTAATATTTCATGCATTCAAATTAAAGCATTACATTACAAATGTAATCTTATGAATTACCATGGACTCCCATCTGGCTACAGGATGAGAAAAACCTACTCCCATCATCTCTGTAGGCTAGCATATATTTAGTTCTTATTATGCGCTAGATACTGTTCTTTATGTGCAGTAACTCCTACAGCCATCGAAAAAATTCTCTGAGATAGTGATATTATTATCACCATGTTACTATGGGGAAAGGCACAGAGAGGTTCATCAGCTTACCCAAGGTCACACAGGGGATGAGTGGAAGAAGTAGGGCTAGAAATGTTGGAGATGGACTTGAAGATGAATTTATATGGAAGATAAGGGAGCAGAGGTGACAGCAGTGACTTCTGGGTTTCTGGCTGTTGAGACTGGGGGGCAGGGATGCCCCTGACTGAGATAGGAAAGGCAGGCCGAGGAACTAATTTAGGACAAGGATAAAATCAGGAAGTCTATTTTGGAGGCGTTAATGTTAAAGGACCTGTGGGACATGAAAATGGAAATGAACAAATGACTATAGAATGAACAAGTGCATGAATGAATTGATGAAAGACAAATCCTCAATGATATGGTTTGGATCTGTGTCCTCACCCAAATCTCATGTCAAATTGTCACCTTCAGTGTTGGAGGTGGGCCTGGTGGGAAGTGATTGGATGGTGGGGGTGGATTTCCCTGTTGGTCTGTTTTCGTAATAGTGAGTGAGTTCTCATGAGATCCAGCTGTTTTAAAAGTGTGCAGCACCTCCCCCTTCTCCGTCAGTCCTGCTCCTGCCATGTAAGATGCCTGCTTTGCCTTCTGCAATGAATAAAAGCTTCCTGAAGCCTCCCCAGAAGCAAATGCCAGCATCATGGTTCCTGTACAGCCTGCAGAACTGTGAGCCAATTAAACCTCTTTTCTTTATAAATTACCTAGTCCCAGGTATTTCCTTCTTTTCTTTTCTTTTTTTGGCAAGGTCTTGCTCTGTTGCCCAGGCTGGAGTGCAGTGGTGCAATCTTGGCTCACTGCAACCTCCGCCTCCCGGGTTCAAGCGATTCTCCTGCCTCAGCCTCCTGAGTAGCTGCGACTACAGGTGCCTGCCATCACACCGGCTAATTTTTGTATTTTTAGTAAAGTCTGGGTTTCGCTATATTAGTCAGGCTGGTTTTGAACTCCTGACCTCAGGTAATCCACTTGCCTTGGCGTCCCAAAGTGTTGGGATTACAGGCATGAGCCACCGCACCCGGCCTAGTCTCAGGTATTTCTTTATAGAAATGTGAGCATGGACTAATCAGGCAAGATTATTCTCAGCACAGCAACAGACAGATCTGGCCCATCATGTTAGGAAACCATAAGTTGAAGTGTAATGATGGGAAGGTTCACAGCTGCTTACAACAGGCCAGGGCAGAGAGGATGCATAGACACACAGGATGGGGGCAAGTTGTTTTCAGTGATGTTTATCAAGTACCCAGGATCCAGCAGCTGCTCCATCTGGGAGTGGCTGCTGCTTTCTCTCCTGGGAAGATTCCTTCTGATCTTGGGAGTAGGATTTGGGGTGAAGGCTGTGTCCAGAACTGGGTCCTGCCACCCCAACACCCTGCTGAGAACAAGGCACATTCCTTAGCACTCAGGGTAGGAGAGAGGCGGAGGGATGGAGAGGCTTCAATCCCCCTTCTCGGGAGACAAAGGGCTCTTCATGATTTAATTAAAATGCCCATCAAAACCTCAGAAGATAGGGGTTAGTTGAGATGAAATAAAAATAGTTGGAGTGAACACATTACAATTTCATTTCATTTCAGGGATATCTATGAGGTTCTAATATTAGAGAGAGACTTAATCTATCACTAAATTCCTATCTGGCCTGCCACACTGGGGGCATTTCTGAAGATGTCCAAATTCTGTTTTGAGAGGCCTGGAGAGTCCTCCGTCCTTTGTTTCTCTGTTCGAGGAGAACCACAGAGTGTGACAGTGTTTGGTATGTGGCAGGCACTCAATCAATATGTGCAGAAGGAAGGAGGGAGTTTCTTCTTTACTCCTTTAAGCTTCAGATTTAGAATTTGCCTAATCTTGGGGTGAGACAAAGCCTTGAGACCTCCACAGAGGTTTCCTTTGCATGGACAACTTTTCCTCCAGATAACACATGACTCACTTCCCTGCACTTCCAGTCTTTGCTCATGTGTCACCTCCTCACTGAGGCCAGCCTTGCCACCCCTATTTAAAATGACAGCCCTCCTTCCCCCAACCCTCCTGACCCCCCCACCTTGCTCTGTGCATCTCCCCCAGAGCTCAACCTCACACCTTACATCATTTACTTACTATTTGTTCATTGTTTCTCCTCACTAGAATGAAGGCCCCACAAAAGCAGGGATTTTTGTCTGTTTTGCTTATGGATGTATAAGTGCTATGCATAGTGCCTGCCTCAATAAATATCTGTTGGACAAATGCATTGATTAATAAGGCAGAGAAGAAATTTTTGTTAATTGCAATTACTATTGCTTTCCAAAGAGAGCAGACTCCAAGGATAATCCCGGGATAGTACAGCCCACAGATCCGAAGGTGCCTTATTCCCAGGCGCAGCTTCCCCACAGACTCCGGGTGTTCAGGAATAAACCCCGAGTCAGGGAATGAAATACTCCTCCAGCATCAACCTGAGGGCCAAGGCCCTACCTCCACACCCACTCCCTGGCTCGGTGCCCATCAGCCAAGTCCAAACCCACACAAGTTGTTCCCACTCTGGAAATGGTGGGGGAAAAAAACCAACATCCAGTGCCAGAAATCAGTGTGATGTACACAAAAGCTGCTTTTTTGCCTTTTGCAGATGCAGAGTGGCTGCCCAGGCTCACGTAGCCAGAGAGCAGGCCCTGGGGAGTGGTCCAGGAAAGCACTGGACAGTAGTCATCTGTCTGGAAAATATTAGCCCACAGTCTGATGTCTTCAAAACCTGAGCCAGGTCACCCTTTCTCTTTCACTGACAGAAATAAACAGTTCTTGGTCTTGAAATACACAGGACTTTCCCCAGTTACTGCTGCTGCTAGCACTGGCTTACTTAGTCTTTCATGGTTTAGAGCCTGTTTTCCTCCGGAAGCAAAATTTGGCTTGAGCGATATGAAGAGTAATGAAAACATTTTAAAATGCAAAGCTGGGTTCTTTTTCCCAAGGGTAGCTTCTTGGAAATCTCTGGTTTTTCCAGCAACAGCTGAAAAATTGAGGCCTAATGGATACTCTGTGTTACAAAGTCAGAGAACTCCACAGATGGAAAGAATCAACCTCCTTTCCCTGGATGCCCTTCATTTTAGAGCTGATGACGCCAGATGACGCTAGATGCCTAGAGCATCTAGACCCACTCCCCTTCATTTCTTCCTCCTGACCCATAGTCTAGAGACTTTGAAAACACTACAGGTGTTCAGATTCCATTTAAAGACTAGAGCTCGACATTAAATGCAGCCTTCCTATCACTATGTATGGGGGAGAGATAGTCTTTTCACTAAATGGTACTGGAACAATTGGATTTTTATATGAACTATAATGAACATTGACTCCTACCTCAAATCAAACAGAAAAAGGAATTAAGACAGATCATAAACCTAGATGTGAAAAGTAAAGCAATAAAGCTTCTAGAGGAAAACAGGAGAATATCTTCATGACCTTTGGGCAGGCAAAGATTTCTTAAACAGAACACAAAAAGCACTAACCATAAAGAAGAGATTGTTAAATTGGACCTCATTAAAATTAAAAACCATCCTTCATTAAAAGATATTATTAAGAAAGTGGCCAGGTGTGGGGCTCACACCTATAATCCTAGCACTTTGGGAGGCTGAGGCAAGAGGGTTGCTTGAGCCCGGGAGGTCGAGACCAGCCTGGGCAACATGGTGAGACAACATCTCTACAAAAAAAAAAAGTAATAATAACCAAGCATGGTGGTGGATGCCTGTAGTCCCAGCTACTTGGGAGGCTTAGATGGGAGGATCACTTGAGCCCAGGAGGCTGAGGTTGCAGTGAGCTGAGCCAAGATCATGCCACTGTATTGCAGCCTTGGCAACAGAGCAAGACTCTGTCTCCTGTCTTAAAAAAAAAAAAAAAAAAAAGTGAAAAGGCAAACTGTGGACTGATATCTAACAAAGCATTTGTGTCCAAAATATATATCAAACTTCTATAAATCAACAAGAAAAAGACAAGAAAACGACAAATAATTCAATGTTTAGAAATACTAGAAAATTCTTACTTCACAAAGGAGAATATCCAAGTGACCAACAAGCATTTGAAAAGGTGCTCAACATCATTCATCTTGAGGAAAATGCAGATTAAAATCTGCAATGAGATACCACGATGCACCTACCTAAATGGCTATAGCTAAAGAATTTGACTGTATCAAGTGTTCTTGAGAATGTGAAGCAACTTTACTAGTGGAGTGTGCTTTGGTACCACTGCTTTGAGAAACTGCTTGGCAGTAACTACTAAGACAATAGCACAAAATGTGTGCATAATATGTTCACCAAACACAGTGCAGCACTAATCATTGCATCCCAGACTGGAAATAACCCAGATACCCATAACAGGAGAATGGGTAACTGAATACATAGTGCTTTATTCATAATTATTTCTAATTCTCATCATAACTCATTCTTCCATGTCGTATATTCATGATTATTTATAACAAAATATTGTACAGCAGAGATTGGTGAACTGTGACCCACAGGCCAAACTGTAGCCTACTTTTTGTTTGTGTGTTGCTTATTACTGCATTTGAGCTATGATGGCAGGGTTGAATAGTTGTGACAGAGACTATAGCTTTCATAACCAAAGGTATTTATTATCTGGTTCTTTGCAGAAATAGTTTGCTGACCGCTGGTAAACAGCAATGAAAAAGACAGACTCTCTATTATGTGCAAAAACATGGATGGATCTCACAGACATAATGTGGGGTAAAAGAAGCCAAATATGGTTGGGCATGGTGGCTCGTGCCTGTCATCCCAGCATTTTGGGGGGCCAAGGCAGGAGAATCACTTGAACACAGGAGGTGTAGGTTGCAGTGAGCTGAGATTGTGCCACTGCACTCCAGCCTGGGAGACAGAGTGAGACTCTGCCTCAAAAAATAAGAAGCCAAATACAAAAGAGTACAGCCCGTGTGATTCCATTTACACAAAGTCCAAAAACAAACAAAATTAATCCATGGTGATAGAGGTCAGAATAGTAGTTACAGTAGTGGCAGGGAGGTATGAGGAAGGGGCTCAAGGAAGCCTATGCTGTAGATCTTGATGGGGGCAGTGGTTCAACAGGAGTATAATTATGTCAAAATCAATCAAGCTGCACAATTAGATTTTGTGCACTGCATATCACTTCTACCCTAATTTTTGAAAAGGGGATCAATTGCTGGCCTCCAAGCAGGGCCTGCCACATGCAAAGCAGAGTGATGCAGTTTCCTCCTTCACCCCAGAGATTGGACGCAGTAATAGTAGGGCCATGTCACAGTCCCTTTCTGAATAGAGCACCCCCAGATGGTGGCTTTCCTACCCACAGGCCACCACGTATAATACCACTTGACCCCATCAACCTGGCTCCAAATTCCTGGATCCAGCTGATGGTGCCAAAGCCAACCTTCCATGTCTGGTCCTCAAACTTTAGTCCACTTACAAACCACCTGGGGGCTTGCTAGCAACACCGATTCCAGGTCCCTCTTCTCCCAATTCCTAGTTTTTTTGAGTCCTGGGTGGGATCCAGGAAACTGCATTGTCAGCAAGTCCTGCAGGTGATTTTGATGCAGATGGACCAGAGACTACACTGGAGAAACGCTCTGTGCAGGCTGAGGGAGTGGGCATGAGGAGGCAAAGGGGAGAAGGCAAGAGGGTGAAATTGCTCTTGACCAGAAAGGGAAGCAGGAGAGAGCTAAGAGGAAGATGTAGCGGAAGAGGAGGTGAGTGAGGCTGAGGGAGAGCAGGCGATGAGGTGGCCTTGATGAAGTCTGGCCATGTGGTGTGTCATGGAAAACCTGTTTCCTACCTCTCCACCAAAGAGTTGGTAAAATATCTGTTTATCAAGGGAACCACCCCCAATATTTCAACGTAAGTTCTCTTCTATTTCCCTAAGTGTCAGCCAGTCTGAGAAATAAAGGGAAAGAGTACAAAAGAGAGAAATTTTAAAGCTGGGTGTCCAGGGGAGACATCACATGTCGGCAGGTTCTGTGATGGCCCCCAGGCCGCAAAACCATTAAGTTTTTATTAGTGATTTTCAAAGGGGAGGGAGTGTATGAATAGGGTGTGGGTCACAGAGATCACATGCTTCACAAGGCAATAAAATATCATAAGGCAAATGGGGGCAGAGCGAGATCACAGGACCAGGGCAAAATTTAAATTGCTAATGAAGTTTTGGGCACGCATTGTCATTGATAACACCTTATCAGGAGACAGCGCTTGAGAGCAGACAACCAGTCTGACTAAAATTTACTAGGCAGGAATTTCCTCGTCCTAATAGGCCTGGGAGCGCTACGGGAGACCGGGGCTTATTTCATCGCTTATCCACAACCGTATAAGACAGACATTCCTAGAGCAGCCATTTTAGAGACCTCCCCCTAGGAATGTGTCTCTTTCTCAGGGCTGTTCCTTGCTGAGAAAAAGAATTCAGCGATATTTCTCCTATTCGCTTTTGTAAGAAGAGAAATATGGCTCTGTTCTGCCTGGCTCTCAGGCAGTCAGACCTAATGGTTATCTCCCTTGTTCCCTGAGCATCGCTGTTATCCTGTTCTTTTTTCAAGGTGCCCAGATTTCATATTGTTTAAACACACATGCTTTATGAACAATTTGTGAAGTTAACGCAATCATCACAGGGTCCCGAGGCAACATACATCCTCAGCTTACGAAGATGATGGGATTAAAAGATTAAAGTAAAGACAGGCATAGGAAATCACAAGAGTATTGATTGGGGAAGTGATAAATGTCCATGAAATCTTTGCAATTTTTGTTCAGAGATTGCAGTAAAGACAGGTGTAAAAAATTATAAAAGTATTAATTCGAGGAACTAATAAATGTCCATGAAATCTTCACAATTTATGTTCTTTTGCCATGGCTTCAGCCAGTCCCTCTGTTCAGGGTCCCTGACTTCCCACAACATCTGTTTCTTATTAATATGCTATGAGGTTGGCATTTGCAGGGTGTGTTGAAGGGCTGAGTCCACCTTTACAGGGTGAAAAAAGAGGCTGTCCAGAGAGGTTCTGTTCTGTCACATGTGGATTTGATTACTGTAGAGGAAAATGAGTATCACCCTCCTCCCAGCACTTGGGCTCAGTCATTCCCATCAAACCTTCTGTTGTTTTTTTTGTTTTTGTTTTCTGGTTTTTGGTTTTTTTTTAGATGGAGTCTCACTTTGTTGCCCAGGCAGGAGTACGATGACTCGATCTTGGCTCACTGCAACCTCCACCTCCTGGGTTCAAGCCATTCTCCTGCCTCAGCCTCCCAAGTAGCTGGGATTACAGGCGTGCCACCACGCCTGGCTAATTTTTGTATTTTTAGTAGAGACGGGAATTCACCATATTGGCCAGGCTTGTCTTGAACTCCTGACCTCATGATCCACCCACCTTGGCCTCCCAAAGTGCTAGGATTACAGGTGTGAGCCACTGCACCTGGCAACCCTCTGGTTTTCTTCATTTGGTTCAGGTTGAAAGTTGCCTCAGCCCATATTCAGATACATATATGTGTAGGTGTGTATGTAGATTCCTGAGCAGGCCCCTATGGGCAAGACCAACCAAGCCAGATGATGTGTTGTGAATGAAAGAGTGGGCATGAGATAAATTACATTAAAGAAATTGACGACGTCTTTTGTAGCTTACAGACAAACAGCAGGTCTTTAGGGACTGATACGCTATAACCTCCAAGGTAGATATTTAAGTTTAAAAAGCAAGGTGTTTTAGTATAATATGATTTCTGAACAATTAGTGGGGGAGGGATGCATCTGTAGGTTTTTATACATTAAACGTCTTAGGAAGAAACATTGAAAACTAGCAGAGTGATGGGCTCCAAGAAGAGAAATTGGGCATGGAAGATAATCAAGCTTGGGAATAAGACAATTCTTTTTAAGGAACAGGGTCTCATTCTAGCTCCTGGCTGGGGGCCTCCTGGCTGGAGGGCAGCAGTGCCATTATAGTTCACTGCAACCTCAAGCTTGCAGGCTCAACTGATCCTCCCACCTCAGCCTCCCTAGTAGCTAGGACTACAAGCATGCACCAGCACACCCAGCTAATTTTTAAAAAGTTTTTGTAGAGATGGGGTCTCACCACATTGCCCTAGTTGGTCTTGAACTCCTGGGCTCAAGCAATCCTCCCGCCTCGGCCTTCCAAAGCACTGAGATCACAGGGGCATGAGCCGCTGTGCCCGGCCCAACTTTTATTCTATATTCTTTGATGCTGTTTTTTTCCCTACATAAATTTTATCTATTTAAAACATTTTAAATTGAGGGAGGAAAGAAGGAAAAAAGGACAAGAGGAAGGGAAGGAAGGAGGAAACAGTATTCCTAGATGGGTATTGGCTCCTGAAGAGCCAGTGCAGAGTTGAGAGCTGTTCCAGCACATGAAGCAAGCACGGGCCCTGGAGGATACTCCTCTGGCCACCACTGATGCCCATGGGCAGGAAGCCAAGTTGGTTCACCAAGCCAGGGCTCCCTCCTCCATCACTTCATCCATGGACTGTGGGAAGACTGTGTTGTCTTAAAGTCATGCCCACACCCTGGGTGGAAATGCCGTGGTGTACTAATGTGGAATTTCCAGCAGCTTCTCTAGCACAGTACAGTTCAGAGATTGTTTTCTTTGTGTTAACATGGCCAAGGTTGAAGCAAGAAGGCTGAAGTGTGGAAAGTGCAGAAATTTGGAAAATACATGAAGGGCTGTCAAACGGCCTCCTCCTGGTCACTGTCAGAGCACCAAGACCTGACAGGCAGGATGGCAGTGGCAAAGGCTCTAGGCCCAGACTATCTGGAATCAAATCCTGGCTTTTCTACTTGCAGACTGTAAGACCCTCCCGAGCATCATTTCCCCTGAGAACCTAACAGAATCTACCACATAGGGCTGTGGTGAGAATGAAGTGCATTAATGTATACAATGTTTAAGCAGGGCCTGGCAGAACAAACACACAGCAGATGTTAGCTGCTCAGGCTATTGCATCTTATCTGAATTCTAACAGCTCCTTGTAAAGCAGGTTACTTTGATACTCCGAAGCTTAGGTAAATAGACTTCATAAGGGCTACCCAACGGAGTCTCTGCTACCAAGCCCAGGGTTTGGCCCACGACATCAGCATTTCTCAAACCCTATTTGAGAACCCTTAGTATCCCACCAAAATTTTAATAAATACTACTCCAAAACAGGGTTTTGTGACCAATAAGTTTGGGTAACACTGGTTTAAGTGAAATTAAGCAGGTTATTTGCTGCAGAATTTATCAGAACCTTTACAGTGCCAATGAATGTGTGGCTCTTAGATGGAGTAGCATTTCCCAAGTCATTCGACCATTAAATAATTTTCTTTTTGTAGTACACTATTAACACCTAGAGGAACATTAGGGTTGTATATAGAAAATAACTTTGGAGGTGCTATGTTACTGTATAGGACAGGCATGGTTAGAGGAAATCATCTGTTTTCAGGCCAGTCTCCATCAAAGAGAACGTCTTCAAAGTAGACTGTAGAACATACCTGGGCATGGTGGTTAAGAGGGAGATAATGAGTTGTGGAAAGAACATGAGTACTAACAGCGGGATCTGAATTCAAATTCTGACTCCTCCAACTAGGGGAAGGCATTTGCTTTCGCAGAACCTCAATTTCCTCATCTATTGGTTGGCAGACTAGCATCTACTTCATTTTGTTGATTTAAGATTTAAATGTCAGTGGCCCCAAAGTGATTGCCACATGATAGTTTCTCAGGGTCAGTTTCCTTTTTGTATCAGTCAGGATGTTTTCAGTGGCAAATAGCAGATTGCCAAACTTAAATTGGCTCAAACAAAAAAAAAAAGCGGGGGGAATTTATCAACGTAAGCAAACGTCCAGGTTGGGGTTTATCAGAGTTTGTGGTGTCCTTAGAGCAGGTGGGAATTCTCCCCACCAGAGAGCTTAATGCCCAGGCCTGGAAAATTCTAGACTGACAATTGTATATAGATGATCTGCAAGTGCCTTGATCCCTAGGGGTCAACACATATCCACCAAAAACAAGTCATTTGCACTTTTGCAGATCATCTTTAGTTTCCCCTTTTTCAAAAGGATTATTTTTTCAGGGGGCCGTGATGAAGCAATCAGTCTCAAGCCACGTGGGCAGGCAGCCCCAACAGCTATGAGAATTTTCAGAAGGAGTTTACAAAAGCATAGCCCAAGAGCCTACAGTTTTACTAATAGAAACTGCTGAAAGTAAAGCCTACAAAATCTCTTTGGCTTGTAGAAATATTTTAAAAACTGAAATAATTAATTATTGCATAGGGCATGGGCAATAAGAAATAAAAAGTTTAAGAAGCACAACCATGGATGTACTGTAGCAGAATAATAGCAGCTGCCACTGGTGGAAACACTGCTATAGTTCCATGTAAAACACATAGAATTTTGACTTTTCTATTAAAGCACAATTTTAAGTGTTTTTATTAAGGTGCATTAGTTGTATGTATGCTGCTCAGTGGATTTTTTTTTTTTCAGTTTTTATTTCTTTTTCTCAGTCAGGGTCTCACTCTCTCACCCAGGCTGGAGTGCCGTGGCACAATCTCGGCTCACTACAGCCTTGACCTCCCAAGCTCAGGTGATCCTCCCACCTCAGGCTCCCGAGCAGCTGGGAATACAGGCATGCACCATCACACCTGACTAATTTTTGTATTTTTTGTAGAGGTGAGGTTTTGCTGTGTTACCCAGGCTGGACTTGAACTCCTGGCCTCAGCTCAGTCTTCCAAAGTGCTGCGATAACAGGCGTAAGCCTCCGCACCAGGCCAGCTCAGTGAATTTTTATGCACATACACATACACATCTATACCTACCATTCAGATCAAGATATAACACATCTCCAGCTCCCCTTCATGAATGCACCAGTTGATGAAAGTTCATTCATGCTCCTTCCTTGTCCATCCCCTGCTTCAGGAACCAGTATTCTGATTCATTTTGCCTGTTCTTGAACTTCATAAAAGTGGAATCACATAGAATGTACTCTTGTGTCTGGCTTTCTTAGCTTATTGTTACAGCCAAGAGAGGTACCATACTGCTGAATGTATTATTAATTTCTTCTTTTTCATTGCTATGTAAATTTATTTGATAGACATTAGGGTTTTGCAGACATTTTGTTGCTACCTTTTATCATAATGTCTACAAAATACTTATGCTAACATCCAATTTAGTGGTAAACTATTGAATAATTTTCTTCTGAGTTTGAAAACAAGACAAAAATATCTACTACTGTCTGAGTGCGGGTGACTCATGCCTGTAATCCCAGCACTTCAAGAGGCTGAGACAGGTGGATTGCTTGAGCCCAGGAGTTCAAGATCAGCCTAGACAACATAGCAAAACCCTGTCTCTGCAAAATAAATAACTAAATAAAATAGAAATTAGCCAGGTGTGTTGGAGTGCACCTGTAGTGCCAGCTACTCAGGAGGCTGAGGTGGGAGAATCACTCTTGCCTGGAGGTCAAGGCTGCAGTGAGACACAGTGGTGGCTCTGCACTCCAGCCTGTTGACAGAGCAAGACTCTGTCTCAAAAAAAAAAAAAAAAAAAAATTCTACTATCAGCAGTTCTATTCAATACTTTACTAAGAGACCTGAGTTCTGGCCCTTACCCCTGCCTCTAACTACCTAGGGACCTTGAATAAGTCAATTAACCACTCTGCTTCTTAGTTTCATCATCTTTGAAAATAACTAGATAATGCTTAAGATCCCTTCTGCATATCTAAGTTCCAAGTAAATGCACCTTTTTTTAAAAATGTGATACCACAACATGGATGAATCTTGAAAACATTATTCTAAGTGAAATAAGCCAGACACAAAAGGACTTTTTCCACTTACATAAGGTATCTAGCATAGTCAAATACACAGAGACAAGCTAGATCAACTAGGAGGAAAAAAGAGAGAAGACTCAAATAACTAAAATGAGAAATGAAACATTAGTACTAATTTTACAGAAATCAAAAGATTATGACAGTGCTTTGAACAATCCTAAACCAACAAACTGGATAACCTAGATGAAACGGACAAATCCTAGAAATACATGCTACCAAGATTGAATCATGAAGAAACCAGAAAATCTAAATAGACCTATAGTTTTAATAAGGAGATGGAATAAGTAATCAAAATAACTCCCAACAAATAAAAGCTCAGGGCCTTATGTCTTCATTGATGAATTCTACCAAACAATTGAAGGAGAATTAACACCAATCCTTCTCCAACTCTTCCAAAAAATTGAAGAGAAGGAAACACTTCCTAACTTATTGCATGGAGCCCTAATACCACAGACACAGGCATTACAAGAAAACTGCAGACCAATACCCCTGATGAATATTGACACAAAAGTTCTTAACAAAATATTAGCAAACTGGATTTAACATCATATTTAAAAGATTATATTGAAAGAATGATCCAGAGTAATTAGGCAAGAAAAAGAAATTAAAGGTATCTAAATTCGGAAGTAAAAAGTAAAATTGTCTGTTCACAAATGGCATAATTGTATATGTAGAAAACCCCAAAGAGTCCACAAAAAAAACTGTTAGAATTAACAAAGGATTTGGCAAAATTCCAGGACACAAAATAACACAGAAAAATCAGCTGCATTTCTATACACTAAAAATGAACAATTGGAAAAGAAAATTAAGAAAACAATTCCATTTACAATAGCACCAAAAAGAATAAAATACTTAGGAATTAACTGAGGGAGTGAAAGACTTATACACTGAAAACTACCAAAATATAGCTAAAAAATTAAAGAAGACACGATTAAATGAAAAGACATTCAGTGTCTTTTCACTGGATTGGAAGACTAATGCAGTTAAGATCAATGCAATTCCTATCAAAATCCCAAATGATATTTTTTGTAGAAATAGAAAAATTTATTATAAAATTCATATGAAATCCCAAAGGACCCTGAATAGTCAAAACAACTCGAAAGAGCAGAACAAAGTTGCAGGTTTCACAGACATTTTTTCCACCACTGTGTGACCTTGGGCAAGTTACTGAATCTCTCTGTTCCCAAGTTTCCTCATCTGTAGATGAGGATAACAACATCACCCACATCATAGGGCTTTTATGAATATCAAATGAATAAGGATATGGAAAATGCCTACAACACAGACTGAAACATAGTAAGTACTATATACAGAATAGCAGCTATTATTAATTTTTTATTAACATTACTCCCTGGATGGCTGGGGGAGCCTAGAGAATTTCTGCAGAGATATCTGGCTCCCTTGTAGGTGATTTAGCCAAGTGGTACCCATTTCTGAGAAGCATATTTTTTCTAGAGTCAAGTCAAGACTTAGAGCCAAGTGCCAAGAAAGAAAATTAGCCAGAGGGCTGAATCACTTGACTCACCTGGACAGGGAAAGCCCCACATCTGCTATGCTCAGACCTGCACAGGGTGCCGCAGAATGCACCAGTTTAATAAACTGGGGAAATTGGGGAGCTTGTTTCCTGTCCTTTGACTTGACTTTGGCAGCAAGGGGACAGCCCCAGCCCTTGCTTCCCAAAGCCAACTCATGCCCTTCCATTGACCACAAAAGAGCACACTGTCCTAGAGACAAGACTGTTACTCACCACCGCTGCCATTCACCTGGCACCCTAAGAAGGAATCTGTGCCTTCCAAAAGACACACAGCTAAAAAGAATCAATCACTGAGCTGTCCCCACAAGTGGAAACTTTCTCATTAAGAAGGCTGGAAGCAGGAGATGGAGTGTCTGCATTTAATTCTGTACCCTTTCCTTGTGGGAAGCATTGGTTGTCAATCCAGAGAAGCTGGAATCTTCCCTGGGAATCGCCGACAAGAGTGATAGGGGTCACTGTGATTCTAAACACTCCCTACAGGCATTTGCAATGCAGTTCTCACAGCTGGTTGCAAAAGTACCAGAAGAGAGAAGGCAAGAAAACAAGGTAATTGAATTCCCCGGCAAATGTGATTTAAGAAAAGTTGCCTTTGTATACAAGGTTAAACACTGGAACTGGGCCAGCTTGTCAGCTGGTTCAGGAGGGCAAGCCCAGGGCCAGGACATTTGCCTTTGAGCACAGGCCACTTGTACAGGTCTGGCTGTTTGCCACCATCCCAGCAGGACCACATTCCAGGTGGAAATGCCAAAATGTGCACACTGAGAATTTCCAACAGCTGAAGCTCCTCTTCAGGCCGTGAAGTCAGTGCTAGTCCTTGTGGCAACTCTAGCCAAGATCACCCTGGTTTTTTTACTTTCTCTCTTGAGAGCAGCACATAGAGGTAAATACAGTATTGAGCAACTAGTGGAAATAGAAGGCATGGGGGTTTTCTGGTGGCTGACTCAAGCTGGCTTGTTTGTGTTACCTGTATCAGCCGTGACTCTCAAATCCATCTTTCTGAAACTCAAGTCATTGTGAGCAACCACCTCTCATCCCTGAACCAAAGTCAAAAATAAATGTGACATGGGATCAGGCGTGGACGCGGGAGCTTAATTATAAATTGACTGCTCTCCCGAGAAGAAACGTCACTGATTCGAGCTTTCATGATTTCATGGTGAGACCTAAACCATTTTTGCTTCTGCAAAACCGCAGTCAAAGACATCTCTGAACAAGTTACCCCAAGTCTCTTACATGAGGATCTACGAAATCTAATTTTCCAGAAATGTAATGCCAAGTGAATGTTTGCTTCTCCAAACAAAAATGCTGCTTGTCAACAAGCAAACAAACAAAATGCTGATGCTGCTACTTCTTGGTTTTGTTCTTACTCTTCCTTGAAAATCAGGTGATTAAATTTACATGGTCCACCATTTCTCTTTTTGCCTTGAGTGCTAGGAAGCTCAGAGTCAAATTTCATGCTCAAACTATTTGTCCACATTCCTGATAGAATATTTCCCACTTTGCCATTATGAGGCTTCCAGTCTCTTTTTAAATGCTTCATGGTCACCGTATTTTAAGTTGTAAAACCCCTCATGTCCTTTTTAAATAAAGAGGCAGAATAAAATTAATTACTTAACTGGTTTAATCACTTAAACCTGACTTGGGGTTAAGCTCCAACCATGCTACTTAAAATAGAATTGAGCACCTAATGCTCCTGAGACCTTGGTAACAGCTATTGTTCAGAAAGAATTGGCTCTGGGTAGGGTTTGGGTTACTGATTTGAATCTGTTTTCTTGGAACTAATTTGAATTGATTGGTGAGGCTGAGGGACGGTCACTTCCTACACTCCTTTATTTGAAAGGATTATGTTTTTGTATTATAGCCAGGGAGGCAGGCAGGTGCAGTGACTCAAAATAATCTTCCTTGCTCTCAGCAAAGCACTTCACACGGCTACATACATCCATGTTCTTATCTTTCAGCCGAATTGTTACAACAAATACCAGCCCTGCAAAAATCTCAACAGAACAAAAGATCCCCAAGTCCTGGGAATTAAAAGAGATCCACTTATTAGAACAACTGTTCTCCTGCTTTGTTAACTAACAAAGCAGCAGAACAATTACAATACTTGGATTGCACTCAGGATTGGTTAAAACAGGTTTACACCTGGTTTATGAAATAAGTAAACATGGGTCGTGTTCACAATGTTATGTTAGGGCCCACTATTTGCAAAATCAATCAATTGCCATCTATTCAGTTAGAACCCTGGATTAGTTGGAATTGTGCAAGTTGCTGGTACCAAAATGGAGTCTCTTATGTCAAAACTCTAATAAAATGGAGTTGGGGGCATGAAAGAAGGAGCTCTCATATGCATATCTGTACCCTGTCTTATCACAAGAAATTCCTACACACCCCACATGCCCCACTTGTCCCACATAGCATACATGCCCTGCATGTACCCTATAACAGCTTATCAGAAGAACTTTCTCAATATTGCAGTATTTTAGGTGAGCTGGCTACACCAGGACACTTAGCTGACAATGGCTGTCACCACCAATGAACAAATGCCAACTCTGTCATGAGCTTCTGTGATCTATGGACTTTGTTTCAAAGCAATTTATGTGGACTTCTTTTTGTCTTTCAAAGACTCTCCTTTGCCCCAATACTCCTGGATATGTTTATGATCAATCATAGCCCACATATCCTGAGCTTGCAACCCCTCACTATTCGCAAATAAACACATTTGTTCTGGAGAGCCTATCCCTTTGAGTTTAATTTTAGGTTTATATACAATGATGTCAAAAGTGGAATCCAAAGCAAGCTTCACCTCAGACAGATTGGTGGCCCCCAGGACTATGTGCTGTACCCACCAAGCCACTTGCACGCCCCACTTCCATGAGTTGTCGCTTTGCCCTGGTCAGTCTCCTCTTGAATTTTGGTTGCTCCTGAATTTCGGTTAACTTTATTCAATATCTGGTTCTATAAAAGCCTAAAGGTCATCATCCTTCTGGTTTGACCTGCATGTCTGGCTTACAGTTTTGGTGAGTTAGATTTTTCTTATTTCTGAACATCTTCCAAGGGCAAAATAACATAATCAGGGGCACAGGTCAACACTGTTTTGGCTTTCTATCTACCAGGGCATACAGCTTATTAGGCCTGCCTCTGCAGGTGCCCGATCAAAAGGTTGGCAGCCCCCAAGAAAATGGCTGGACAGAAATGTGGATTGCACCACATTTGTGGTGAGTATATTTATAAAGTTTTTCCTTTTGCTCTTGGGAAATTAATAAGAAGGAGAATGGAATCCCCAAATTCTAAAGCTTGAAGAGATAGTCCTTCTTTAGGGACTCCAGCTGACTACATGTTCAAACATTGTGGCCCTTTCTCATGCACATTTTTAAGCCAATAGGCAAATTACAGCAAAGATAGTTTTAAAATATAATGGCTATCATCTAGAATGTTCCATATGAACAACAACACACTTTAAGAAGTACATTTAAAAATTAGGGCTCCCAAATTAGGCTATCTAGAGGTGTCTATTGATGTGCAGAAGCTTCTAAGAAGATTTCAAAATTTTTTATTGTCTCTTTAAAAAGACTTCTTACAGACAGCAAATAAAAAATTTAAGTGACTAATTGGAAAAAAAAAAAAAAGGATACAAAGGAGTATAATGGCTAACATTAGAGACTCCCTTAGCAGATCCCTCATAGGAGCATGCAGGCCCCACCCCACAATGTGGAAATAAAGGGAAAGAGTTCCTTCAAGGGAAATTCCAGCTTTGTCTAAAAATCTTCCCTTAGCAAGATTTTTAAAAGCTGAAATCAGAGCAAAGTTAAAGTTATTTAAACCCACCATAAATTCCTTTTCTCTGTAAATTCCTTTGATTCAGGAGAAAAACATTTACAAGAACTTGTTTAAATTATTTGTGCATTTGAAGCATTGTAAGAACTTCTTGTTTGTTTGGCCTTCTCTCTTAAGCTAAAAAGGAACTATGTACAATCATGGGTCACTTAATGGCAGGGATATTGTATTCGTCCATTCTCACACTGATAATGAAGTTATACCCCAGACTGGGTAATTTATAAAGAAAAAGAGGCTTAATGAACTCACAGTTCCACATGGCTGGGGAGGCCTCACAGTCATAGCAGAAAGTGAAGGAGGAGCAAAGGCACATCTTACATGGCAGCAGGCAAGAGAGCATGTGCAGGGGAACTGCCCTTTATAAAACCATCAGATCTTGTGAGACTATTCACTATAAGGGGAACAGCATGGAAAAAACCTACCCCATGATTCAGTTACCTCCCACTGGTTTTCTCCCGCAACATGTGGGGCTTACGGGAGCTACAATTCAAGATGGGACTTGGGTGGGGACACAGCCAAACCATATCAGATATGTTCTGAGAAATGCATCATGAGGTGATTTCATTATTGTGCAAATATCATTGAGTGTACTTACATAAACCTAGATGGTATAGCCTACAGCATACCTTGGCTATATGGTACAGCCTATTGCTCCTAGGCTACAAACCTGTACAGCATGTGACTGTACTGAATACTGTAAGTAACTGTAACACAATGGTAAGCATTTGCATATCTAAACATAGAAAAGGCACAGTAAAAAAATACAGTACAAAAGTTTTTTTCAAAGGTATACCTGTAGAGGGCACGTACCATGAATGGAGCTTGCAGGACTGGAAGTTGCTCTGAGTGAATCGGTAGGTGAGTGGTGAGTGAAGATGAAGGCCTAGGACATTATTGTACACTACTGTAGATTTACTGTACATTTAGATGACACTAAATTCATTTAGAATTCCTTTCTTCAATAATAAATTAACCTTGGCTTACTATAACTTTTTTACTTTATAAACTTTTTAATTTTTAAAAAACTTTTTGACTCATAATAACACAGCTTAAAACACAAATACATTGCACAGCTATACAAAAATATTTTGTCTCTATTCTTATAAGCTTTTCTTGTTAATTCTTGTTTTTTTTTTTACTTTTTAAACTGTTTTATTAGAAACTAAGGCACACCACACATTAGCTTAGGCCTACACAGTGTCAGGATCATCAATATCACAACTGCCTTCCATCTCCACATCTTGTCCCACTGGAAGGTCTTTGGGGGAACAATGTGCATGGAGCTGTCATCTCCTGTGATAACATACCTTCCTCTGGAATACCTCCTGAAGGACCTGCCTGAGGCTATTTTATAGTTCACTTAAAAAAATAAGTACAAGGAGTATACTCTGAAATAACAGTAAAAAGTATATTGTCATATTCACATAGTCAATAAAAATGATAGTTATTTGTTTACATATGTATAGGAAATACACAAACCAGTAACATAGTCATTGTATTATCATTATCAAGTATTATATACCTTACATAACTGTCTGTGAGATATTTTTGTACAACTGCAGCACGGTAGGTTTGTCTACACCAGCATCACCACAAACATGAGTAATGCATTGCACTTGGATGCCAAGATGGCTATGACCACACCCAGACCTGCAACGCTGCAGGTATTAAGACCAGAGGTGTCTCCCTACTGATCCCAGCAAGTCCATTTGTGTGAAAACAGACAGGGAGCTGCCAGAAGTTCAAATGTAGGATTTCAAGTGCCCAGCCAAGTCATTGGCTCCCAGAATACATAATGAAAACCAACAACAAACAAATCGAAACAGCTCAGAAGCAAAGCAAAGTGCTATTGGAAAAGCAGCACCAGTGCTTTTGTGAGATTCAGAGATATAATCCCTGCCACCTCCAAAAAGAAGCAATAAGAACAATTATGTAAGATTCTTTAGGGCAAGGACTGAGATAGAGCAGGGACCCCTCATAGGAGCCTGTAGGCCCCTCCCTGCAACATGGAAATAAAGGAAAAGAGTTTCTTCAAGGGAAACTCCAGGCACCTAGCTAGCCCTGAGAAGAAAATGAGTGACCTGATCATTAAGAAGGTAATAGTAGCTTAAAACTATAACCAAGGAAGTTAGAGTCACAAGATGTTCCCTGTAGAACATTATATTTATCCCTTTATCCCTAACGATAACGTCTTAACATACGTTTCTCTGAGTTGTTTTTCAGGTACCTGGACCCCTACCAAATGGATCCACTAGCACACAGGCCTCAGATAAGGGGGAACTGCGGATTGAACTCTGACCACTCCTCTTTCTTCTGAAGTTCTTCCTGAGGGACCTGGAGGAAATCATACCCACAAACCAGAGCTTACATTCTTTTCTACTGACCCCAAATTTTTAGACAAAGCTTTGCTTCCTTAACCAATTGCAAATCAGAAAATCTTTGAATCTTTGAATGCTTTGAGACATCCCCCCTTTTTAGGTCAAAGCAATATATAGCCTCCATGTATTAATATGTAGTTGTGCCTGTAACCTCTGCCTCCCTGCCTTAAAAAACCCTTAACAAGCCATCGGGGAAGCCAGGTCTTAAGCATGAGCTGCTGGATTCTCCTTGCTGGGCACTCGCAAATAAACATCCTCCTTTCTCCCACTGCAAACCTTGGTGTAGATGTTTGGACTTACTGTGCCAGGTGAGTGGTCAGTGGATCCCAAGTGGATTCAGTAACAATTAGTTGGCAACTACAAAGGGGCGAAAGTCCCAACCGGTGGCCTTGCCCATGGCACACCAGCCCCTGGCTGCAGCCACCCTTGGACCCTGTCCGGCAGTTGGCTGAATTATTTTGCTCAGGGATGGATCCATGCATTTTATGCTTGACCAGGTGTCATGGGCCATGGCATTTTTACTTTTGTAGCATTAAAAATAAGGCACTGGGCTTGGAAGATGTCCTTCGTAAGTGGTAGGTTTGTGGGCAACAGCCCCAAGGTATTTTTTTCTTTGGACACTGGGTTCTGCTTTGGCAGGACAACTGACTTTGCTTTGGCAAGGCCCTGGGCCCTGCTTTCTTAGAGTATTTGGTTTGATTGGGGATACTCACTAGAGAGCTGAAGGGATCCAGAACTTGAGAAACCATATTTGGTTTTGACTTGCTGAAAACAGACTTGCTTGAAACTCTATCTGAAGCCTGGCTGAGGCAGCAAGGTTTTCATCACCTATGGTTTTGTCATCTAAAATGGGAAACACAAGCTCTATTCTACCTTGCAGCCCATTAGGGTGTATTCTGCAGAACTGGGCCATTTTTAGCTTTCAGCCCATGAAAAAGAAAAAGTTTTTTTTTTTTTTAATTGTAGTACTGCTTGGCTGCAATATTCTTTAGACTCTGGAGGAAAATGGCCTGAAAAGGGGTCCTTTAAATTGGACTCCTAAATTCAAAAAATAATTTTAGAGATCTCTTTTTCTAAACAGTTGATGGGAAAATCAAATTTTAAAAAGGAAATGCAATAGCGTCATGGCTAGCCTTAAGAATTCTCTTGACTAAATTAAAGAACAAAAATATAACCTAAAACAAAGTTAAAAAATATTGCAAGCTAAAAACTACATGACTTAGATCTTCTCCAGGAATAACAGCAAAGACCATTCCATACTGTAGTCTAGCAGCTAAAGTTCCACCATTTCACTACAGCAGCTTGGGTTCAGTCAGGGAACTGAAACCACCTTTGCAAAAATTATATCAATGAGAAAATTATGACAGTGAAAGAGATCTGATCTAACCCACCCTCCTCTTTCATTTCCTTTAATCATTCCTGGGTTTAGGCCTAGCTAACTTTGGAAGACACTTAGGTTATAGGCCTTCCCCAGAGTTCAACCACCTTTGTAAAGCTAATAAGAGACCCTCAGTCTAGGGGGAGGAGAGAAGCCCAAATTCTGCTAAGGCATAGACATAAATGACTGTCAGCCATTATTCCAGGGGTCCTGCAAATAGCATCACTATTGTAGAACCTAAGATTGGCCTTTTTATATATCTTTTCAGGCTTTTTGCATGTCTTCTATCCATGGCTCCACCTAGACCTGCCAACTCCATTCCTGTGGCCCCACCCAGAAGCAACTCAGCTCAAGAGCCTTTGAAAATCCCCTAACCTACTAGCCTGAGATGAGATTGATTTGAGTGCTAACTCAATCTCCTGCATGGCATGGCCAGCCTCATGTCAATTAAACTCTTTCTTTGCTGCAATGCTGTGGTCTTTATTTGTGCAGTGGGCAGGAAGAACCCAATGGAAAATTACAGAACAAGTCTTATTGATTTGATATTCATGTGACTTTTGCAACTTACTGATTCTTTTCCTTTCCAGGAACCGCTTTTGATTTCCTGCCCTCTTCCATCTTAGAGGCATATGGACTTTGGGGGTCTTCGTGTTTAGATTCTCAGCTGAGATTCTAGAGAATATGGCCAAACAGAAATGTGGCTTGTACTCCATTTGTAGCTAGCAAAATTTTTCTTTCTTTGAGCTGTCTTGAGGGTGATTCTGGATCTTGTGAGCACTGATTTTCACCTCTTCGGAGACCTCATGCAACTCTTGGTTGAGTCATGTTAAAAGAAAAACTTTAGCCGAATTAAATTTAAAGGAGTTTAATTGAGCAATGAATGATTCGCAAATTGGGCAGTCCCCAGAATCACACCAGATTCAAAGAGACTCCAGGGATGCCTCATGGTCAGAACAAATTCATAGACCAAAAAGGAGGGAAGTGACATACAGAAATTTGCAAAGGAGAGTCTTTGAAAGACAAAAGGAAGTCCACATAAATTGCTTTGAAACAAAGTCCATAGATCACAGAAGCTCATGACAAGAGTTGGCATTTGTTCATTGGTGGTGACAGCCATTGCCAGCTAAGTGTCCTGGTGTAGCCAGCTCACCTAAAATACTGCAATATTGAGAAAGTTCTTCTGATAAGCTGTTATAGGGTACATGCAGGGCATGTATGCTATGTGGGACAAGTGGGGCATGTGGGGTGTGTAGGAATTTCTTGTGATAAGACAGGGTACAGATATGCATATGAGAGCTCCTTCTTTCATGCCCCCAACTCCATTTTATTAGAGTTTTGACATAAGAGACTCCATTTTGGTACCAGCAACTTGCACAATTCCAACTAATCCAGGGTTCTAACTGAATAGATGGCAATTGATTGATTTTGCAAATAGTGGGCCCTAACATAACATTGTGAACACGACCCATGTTTACTTATTTCATAAACCAGGTGTAAACCTGTTTTAACCAATCCTGAGTGCAATCCAAGTATTGTAATTGTTCTGCTGCTTTGTTAGTTAACAAAGCAGGAGAACAGTTGTTCTAATAAGTGGATCTCTTTTAATTCCCAGGACTTGGGGATCTTTTGTTCTGTTGAGATTTTTGCAGGGCTGGTATTTGTTGTAACAATTCGGCTGAAAGATAAGAACATGGATGTATGTAGCCGTGTGAAGTGCTTTGCTGAGAGCAAGGAAGATTATTTTGAGTCACTGCACCTGCCTGCCTCCCTGGCTATAATACAAAAACATAATCCTTTCAAATAAAGGAGTGTAGGAAGTGACCGTCCCTCAGCCTCACCAATCAATTCAAATCAGTTCCAAGAAAACAGATTCAAATCAGTAACCCAAACCCTACCCAGAGCCAATTCTTTCTGAACAATAGCTGTTACCAAGGTCTCAGGAGCATTAGGCGCTCAATTCTATTTTAAGTAGCATGGTTGGAGCTTAACCCCAAGTCAGGTTTAAGTGATTAAACCAGTTAAGTAATTAATTTTATTCTGCCTCTTTATTTAAAAAGGACATGAGGGGTTTTACAACTTAAAATACGGTGACCATGAAGCATTTAAAAAGAGACTGGAAGCCTCATAATGGCAAAGTGGGAAATATTCTATCAGGAATGTGGACAAATAGTTTGAGCATGAAATTTGACTCTGAGCTTCCTAGCACTCAAGGCAAAAAGAGAAATGGTGGACCATGTAAATTTAATCACCTGATTTTCAAGGAAGAGTAAGAACAAAACCAAGAAGTAGCAGCATCAGCATTTTGTTTGTTTGCTTGTTGACAAGCAGCATTTTTGTTTGGAGAAGCAAACATTCACTTGGCATTACATTTCTGGAAAATTAGATTTCGTAGATCCTCATGTAAGAGACTTGGGGTAACTTGTTCAGAGATGTCTTTGACTGCGGTTTTGCAGAAGCAAAAATGGTTTAGGTCTCACCATGAAATCATGAAAGCTCGAATCAGTGACGTTTCTTCTCGGGAGAGCAGTCAATTTATAATTAAGCTCCCGCGTCCACGCCTGATCCCATGTCACTTTTATTTTTGACTTTGGTTCAGGGATGAGAGGTGGTTGCTCACAATGACTTGAGTTTCAGAAAGATGGATTTGAGAGTCACGGCTGATACAGGTAACACAAACAAGCCAGCTTGAGTCAGCCACCAGAAAACCCCCATGCCTTCTATTTCCACTAGTTGCTCAATACTGTATTTACCTCTATGTGCTGCTCTCAAGAGAGAAAGTAAAAAAACCAGGGTGATCTTGGCTAGAGTTGCCACAAGGACTAGCACTGACTTCATGGCCTGAAGAGGAGCTTCAGCTGTTGGAAATTCTCAGTGTGCACATTTTGGCAATTTCCACCTGGAATGTGGTCCTGCTGGGATGGTGGCAAACAGCCAGACCTGTACAAGTGGCCTGTGCTCAAAGGCAAATGTCCTGGCCCTGGGCTTGCCCTCCTGAACCAGCTGACAAGCTGGCCCAGTTCCAGTGTTTAACCTTGTATACAAAGGCAACTTTTCTTAATTCACATTTGCCGGGGAATTCAATTACCTTGTTTTCTTGCCTTCTCTCTTCTGGTACTTTTGCAACCAGCTGTGAGAACTGCATTGCAAATGCCTGTAGGGAGTGTTTAGAATCACAGTGACCCCTATCACTCTTGTCGGCGATTCCCAGGGAAGATTCCAGCTTCTCTGGATTGACAACCAATGCTTCCCACAAGGAAAGGGTACAGAATTAAATGCAGACACTCCATCTCCTGCTTCCAGCCTTCTTAATGAGAAAGTTTCCACTTGTGGGGACAGCTCAGTGATTGATTCTTTTTAGCTGTGTGTCTTTTGGAAGGCACAGATTCCTTCTTAGGGTGCCAGGTGAATGGCAGCGGTGGTGAGTAACAGTCTTGTCTCTAGGACAGTGTGCTCTTTTGTGGTCAATGGAAGGGCATGAGTTGGCTTTGGGAAGCAAGGGCTGGGGCTGTCCCCTTGCTGCCAAAGTCAAGTCAAAGGACAGGAAACAAGCTCCCCAATTTCCCCAGTTTATTAAACTGGTGCATTCTGCGGCACCCTGTGCAGGTCTGAGCATAGCAGATGTGGGGCTTTCCCTGTCCAGGTGAGTCAAGTGATTCAGCCCTCTGGCTAATTTTCTTTCTTGGCACTTGGCTCTAAGTCTTGACTTGACTCTAGAAAAAATATGCTTCTCAGAAATGGGTACCACTTGGCTAAACCACCTACAAGGGAGCCAGATATCTCTGCAGAAATTCTCTAGGCTCCCCCAGCCATCCAGGTAGTAACATTAATAAAAAAACCTGTAACCTATTTTAATAGGCAGACAAGATTGAAAACCTAACTTAGGAATATGCACCTGTAACAGTAGCTGAGTCTTGGCCAATCCCAACAGCCATACTGCAACCACTCAAGTGTTCAAACTGTGTTCAAATAAGGTAAACACCAACCTGTAACCAATCCAACTGTTTTTTTACCTCATTCCCAATTTCCACAAGGACTCAAATAGAGAAGTACGGAGTCCTCTCAGACCATATTTAGTTTGCTTTAACAGTCATAACCCTGGTTAAGGCCTATTAGTTTCACAGGGAAGGCTATCTTTGGAAAAAATTTCAAAAACCAGAAATATCAGTGGTTCACCCCACTAAAATCTGGTAATAAGAGATGTGAAATTTTTTTAAAAGAGCTTTATAATCAGAAGTCAACATAATTAAAACAGAATACAGAATTTAGGCTATTTATGTGTGTGTGTGTGTGTGTGTGTGTGTGTGTGTGTGTGTGTGTGTGTATTTTAAGACCTCTGTTCTCTCTCTATAAAAATTTCTCCATCAACTAAATTCATTTTGTCTTGAACTCCTGCTAGCCTTATGCACTCCGTCTGTCTGTCTCTCCATTCACTTCTGTTGGCCCCTCCTTCCTCTTGCCATCCTTGATGCCACATGAGAGGACCAGAAAAATACGTTCTAACAGCCTGAGATCCCTTAAGGAAAACAGAAAAGATGCCATGAACTACTCTTTTGAGAGGAACCTCTGTTTTTCCTCAGGGAATCCCAAGAGTTGTAAATATACAGAGGCCTCGCCTCCCAGACCTAAAATTCTGTTCTCTTTTGTATTCTATTACCTTATCTGTTGGTTTTTGAGGTGCCAGAAATTACTCTATATTATGAAAAAAATTCCCTTATAAGATCCTGTGGTAAATTCCTGCAATTTTATGTTGCTTGATATCCATTTTTAGTTTTCCTGCAGCACAGCCTAAACTCCTTCTTAAAGTTGAATAAATTCTTGCTCTCTCTATCTTTTGAGACATGGATGGCTACACCTTGCTTCCACTGGGGCTCCATGATGACTTGAACCATGTGGGACAAATGGATTTTCATTCGTTCCACTTACAGCAACATAAATTGAATCCAGCTATCCTTTTAACTTTAGCCAGTCTCATGGCCAGAGTTTTAAAATCAAGACTGTAGTGTCTTTGTTTATGCCTGTTTGGATCTTTATTATGTGCATGTGTATGACCTTGTATGTTGCCTATGATACCAAATTGGCTTGTAAATAAAGGAGTACTTATAAATTAAATGAATAAGTCCAAATGCTTTTCAGGTTCCCATGATTTTAATAATCTTTAGTAAATAAAGATAGTTTCGAAATTGTTGGTAAAACAAAATAAAAGTGTTTTCAGAATTTAATGTAGACATTTCTGCCCAGATCTATTGATCAGATACTGTCTCTGCTAGGTGTTTTAAGGTCATAAAACTATTGCTTCTGTAGTCCTTTCGATACTTGCTTCACTTGTCTATAAGCTTATGTATGTCTTTAGATTTGAGCCTTCGGGCCATGATGAGGCCTAGATCCAGGAAAAGTCCTTTGTCCTGGGGTCTACATCTGAAACATTAAAATTGCTTATTTCCTGTGCTTTTCATTGAAAATAAGGGTTATTAAGAATTAACATTGTAATTAATATACGCAGTGAAGACTACTAGAGATGAGAAAAGCAATTCTATATGCAAAGGATTTTTTTTAAAAAAGGATGTGAGGGGTGTTTTGTTTTGTTTTTTGAGACAAGGTCTCACTCTGTCAGCAAGCCTGGAGTGCAGTGGTGCAATCATGGCTCACTGTAGCCTCAACCTCTTGGGTTCAAGTGATCCTCCCACTTCAGCCTCCCAAGTAGCTGGGACCACAGGTGTGCACCACCATGCCCAGCTACTTTTTAAATTTTTTCATAGAGATGGGGGTCTCACTATATTTCCCAGGCTGGTCTTGAACTCCTGAGCTCAAGGGATCCTCCTGCCTCAGCCTCCCAAAGTGCTGGGATTACAGGCGTGAGCCACTGCACCTGGCTATATGATTGTTTTTTATTTGGTTATAAAAGGTGTAGGAATGTGGTTTTTGTTAAAGGGAAAGTAAAATGGAAAGAAAGTTTAAGAGACAAAGTAATTTTTCTTTTACATGAGATACAACTTTGTGTGGTCAAAATGATGATAGAGAAAAGAAAGTAAATTTTTGTCCTAAGGTAAAATGATAGGACAAAACTGAAGGTTTAAGCAAGTTGTAGAAAAAGATTTATGAAAGATTAATCATGTGAAAGGAGCTTTGTGTATGATCAAATTGACTAAAATTAAAAGGGGATGATTTAATTTTTTCAAAAATTAAACATTAATATGAAAAGCACACTAATGCAGGGTCAGAGTCTGGGCCTCCATGTCAGAATGGCAAAGTTTTCTTGGAGCATTGAACTTCTCTTTAATAAACAATTATAAAAGGTTATAAAAGGGTAATAAAAATCTTACCTTGTGTGGTTAAAATTAACTGAAATTGGATGGATTTGTTTATAAGGTTTTATTAAAATTATCTTTAGCATTAATAATATGCTAATGAAAAGGTAAAACTTGGCTTTCTCTTTTAATAAGATTTTCATATAATATTAATAAGACATAATAACAGATTATGTTTACCCTTAGAATAAGCTCCAAAAATAAAACAAGCAAAAGAGAAAGAGACACATTCAGCTGGCATTATGCTGTCTTTATTAGGTCTTATGATTATTCGGAAAACTGAGTCTCCTCCCTATGAAATAGTAAATTTTGCTTTTCAAAATCCTGGAATTATCACTTTGGCTAAATGAATGACTATTGCTTTATAGTTACCTGTGATCCTATTTTGTGATATCAAGTGTTTTAAACCTCTAATATCTGACAAACATTCCAAAATTAAATTTCAAATTCTTGATTCAGTCTTTTTGACCTCAAACTAATTTTTTTATATTAGGACCCCTGGAAGTCCAGGAAAGACATATTGGGTTTACTTGGTATCTTAAAATCATACAGGAAACATTGTGAAATATAAAATGGTATTTAACTTTGTTTGGGTTGTATTTGCATAAATGTGTTATTAATATGTGTTCCAAAATTATATGAGATTCTTAAAATTCTGATGCCTTAATATGTTATCAGCAATGATTATAATTATTATGTTAAATTCTTGTATGTCACAGACTCTTGTCAATTGCATCTTTAATCATAGCTTTTCCATGACTTGCTATCTATAACTTCTCAAAAAGTGATTTCTCCTTTGAAGAAGTTCATGGAAAGGATTCTAACAAATACTCTTGAATACAGGTTTCTGATAACTTTGGAAATGGTACCATTGACTAGGAAAAAACAAAAACAAAAACAAAGGAAAAACCTCCAGAACTCTAATTAAAAAGCTGATGTATTCATGAGGATTGCTAGCTCAACATCAAACAGAACAAGAGTTAATTATATGGAGCTAAACTAATAGATAACTGGAAGCATTTTTTTACTTTATTGTTTGAAACACTGCTGTTTTTTTTGTTTTATTTTCTTGAGTCAAGAAAACTTTTTCTTTTGAGCTATTTGTAGCTTTGAACAATTGATTAAAGTAAACTCTTGTAAGCAAAACTTCAAGCATGTTTCTCTCTACCTAATTTTTCCAAAATTTGGAAACCGTTAGTGAGTATTCTTAGTTTATAGCAATATAGTTATTTGCATAAGTTTAATAGGAATCTGGGCGGGGCACGGTGGCTCACGCCTGTAATCCCAGCATTTTGGGAGGCCGAGGCAGGCGGACCATGAGGTCAGGAGATCAAGACCATCCTGGCTAACACAGTGAAACCCCGTCTCTACTAAAAAATACAAAAAAAATTAGCCGGGCGTGGTGGCTGGCGCGTGTAGTCCCAGCTACTCTGGAGGCTGAGGCAGGAGAATGGCGTGAACCCGGGAGGCGGAGCTTGCAGTGAGCGGAGATCACACCACTGCATTCTAGCCCGGGCGACAGAGCGAGAACTCCGTCTGAAAAAAAATAAAAATAAAAATAAGAAGTTTTCTTTTGTAACAGGACACAATTGGAGACACTGACTATTTTACCAAGGCTTTGATTGGAAATGCATATTTTCACATATGACCAGACTGCTTTGAGGAACTGAAGTTAATTTTGTAGAGCCAACAAAAAGTCCTTGGGAAAAACTGTCTGCACAATTCCCTCACAAAGTTTCTGACCCTGTGGTAAGTAAAGTATGTAACTTTCTGACAGCCCAAGAACCTCAGGATATTTTGGGACCTCAAGAAGAGGGGAATTAATGCAATTCATACAGGTATCTGCAGGCACAGATAAATCCTTGACTTGGCTTTAGAGGCTTTTAAAAAGTCTAATCTGATATTCCTTATGAAAAAATATTCCAGCAAAGCCAACTTTAAAAGAGCTTATATAGTCAATAACTATTTTCACTGCACATTATGCAAATAATCAGGCCAAAAATAAGAAGACTAAAACTTATTTTACAAATAAGTTGGTCCTGCTGTGGTTTGTCTTTGATAGAAATGGGGGATAGAGAGAGAAAAATTTCTTCCATTTTCCTGACTTGGACTCAATGAAATTGCTACTACCTTTTTCTCGAGCTGAAATTCATGCCTTGTGATGTTTTGAGCCTAATATCTAGATGACCCAACTGACTGCCCTCCGGACTGTAAGACAGCTGGTTTAAGGTCAGTTTCATCCTCGATGGACAGGACCATATGATGTGCTGTTGATGACTCATTCCTCAGTAAAATTAAGAAGAGTCAAACTGTAGATCCACTATTCCTGGGCAAACCTGGTTCCCCAAGAGTTTCCTAACCCTATCCATCAGAATGTGACAGAAAACAGGAACCACACCTTAAAAACATCACGGTCCTGGTCGTCTAAATTTGGAATGCTGGCACGCCCCGAAGACTGACTTCTGCAGGTGGACTAGTGAACCCTGACAGATCTCACGTTGCTGTTCAGAAGACAGACGCCTAACAATAAACAATAAGAGATACAGACATAAACCATTCTTTGTCATCATTTATTTTGTCTATCAACTACTGGCTAAGCAGATTCTGTGTGCTGCCCTAGGGTCTTAATTACTTCAAGTGCTCATATTGAACCATAAACATGATTACCTTTTTGTTACGTTTCCCTGTGGACTTTGAGCCCCCTAGATTAAAAGGATAATTACGTAACTTGGATTTCTCGAACACTGGCAAAGACAAATAATCTGGAGATACGTTATCTGACCTGGCTAATAGACTAACAGTACAACAGTTCACTATATTGTCATAATCTGACAATTTATTATTTTAGTATTCTCCTCTTTTGGTTGCCTCATTATAAAGTCTGCTTTGATTTTGCCTCTTCAGATGAGCCCGGCCCTCAAATATACCTCCTTAGAGGCCTGCTCTCTGAACACATTGGAAGTCCCTATCTTAGTGTGTCCAGAATTGGTTCCTTCCAGTGAGTTCTTGGTCTCACTGACTTCAAGAATGAAGCCACGGACCCTCGCAGTGAGTGTTAAGTTCTTAAAGATTGTGTGTCTCGAGTTTGTTCCTTCAGATGTTCAGATGTGTCCGGAGTTTCTTCCTTCCGGTGGGTTCGCAGTCTCGCTGACTTCAGGAAGGAAGCCACAGACCTTCGCAGTTAATGTTACAGCTCTTAAAGGTGGCGCCTCTGGAGTCGTTTGTTCTTCCCTGTGGGTTCGTGGTCTTGCTGACTTCAGGAGTGAAGCCGCAGACTTTTGCAGTGAGTGTTACAGTTTTTTTTTTTTTGGCTTTGTTTTTTGTTTTTTTCTGAGACAGTCTCGCTCTTTCGCCCAGGCCAGAGTGCGGTGGCGCGATCTCCGCTGACTGTAAGCTCCGCCTCCCGGGTTCACGCCATTCTCCAGCCTCAGCCTCCCGAGTAGCTGGGACCACAGGCGCCTGCCACCGCACCCAGCTAACTTTTTGTATTTTTAGCAGAGATGAGGTTTCACCGTGTTAGCCAGGATGGTCTGGATCGCCTGACCTCGTGATCTGCCCGCCTCGGCCTCCCAAAGTGCTGGGATTACAGGCGTGAGCCACCGCGCCTGGCCATGTTACAGCTCTTAAAGGTCCTGCGGACCCAAAGAGTGAGCAGCAGCAAGATTTATTATGAAAAGCGAAAGAACAAACTTCCCGCAGTGCAGAAGTGGACCGGAGCACGTTGCAGCTGCTGGCTCCAGTGGCCAGCTTTTATTCCCCTACTCGGCCCTGTCCACGTCCTGCTGATTGGTCCATTTTACAGAGTGCTGATTGGTCCGTTTTTACAGAGTGCTGGTTGGTGCATTTACAAACCTTTAGCTAGACACAGAGTGCTGACTGGTGCATTTTTACAGAGTGCTGATTGGTGCATTTACAAACCTTTAGCTAGACACAGAGTGCTGATTGGTGCATTTTTTCAGAGTGCTGATTGGTGCGTTTACAAACCTTTAGCTAGACACAGAGCGCTGATTGGTGTGTTTACAATCCTTTAGCTAGACAGAAAAGGTCTCCAAGTACCCCCCTCCACCCAGGAAGCCCAGCTGGCTTCACCTCTCATTAGCTCCCAGCAAATTAAACAACTCATTGGAACTAAATAGTCCACATACTCTGGGGATCCACAAACCCATATTTGCCTGAGTTCCAAAAAGATGGAGCTGACTACTTCTTTGGGCAGATGTTGTTACCTTGGTGGGGAGTGGCATCCCATGAGCACACAATTAGAAATTTCTTCCTCACTTTCAAAATTCTTGCTGCTAAAACTGCATACAACAGCCACCCAGCCAAGAGGAATTAATTCATTGGCTCAGGTTGTTTTAGATAATAGGATAGTCTTAGATTGCATCTTAGCTGAATAGAGAAAAATATGTATAATTGCAAATACCATGTGCTGTACTTATATAAATGGATCTGGGCAGGTAGAAACTCATTAGAAAGAATTAGAGAACACGACATTTTGTTACAACAGGTCTCCCCAACTGTCCGCAAGGACTGGCTTTCTTTGTTTTCTTGGATTCCTCATGGAATACAGTCCATATTTTCTGGATTGCTAAAGTTAGGCATGTCCGTCTTGCTAATTTTGCTTATGCTTTCTATCGTAGCCAAATTAAAATGTTGTAATAAAGCAGTGATGAAAGCAAATAATATAATGATAATTCTGCACCATGGTGCCATGCCTGGGGCACGTGAATATCTTGAGCTACATGCTAGAAATTTATCTCCTCATTTCCTGGTCCCTAATCTTTGTCCCCATTCAGCAGAAAGTAGCCACAGCCGTCTGCGTTCCTGTACCCCCCAGGACTGAGAAGTGACAAAAGACAGGAGGAATTGAGACCGAGCAGGACCCCTCTAAGGGTCCTGCAGGGATCTCCTCCCCACCCCCTCCAAAGCATGGAAATAAAGGAAAATCTTGAGTTCCTTCAAGGGAAATTCCAGGCACCTAGCTAGCTCTGAGAAGTAAATGAGCAACTTGATAAGCAAGAAGGTAATAGTAGCTTAAAACCATAGCCAAGGAAGTTAGAGTCACAAGATGTTCCTTGTAGAATCTAAAGATAACTTCTTAACATATGTCCCTGAGTTGTTTTTCAGAAACCCCCACCAAATGGATCCACTGGAGCATAGACCTCAGATAAGGGGGAATTGAGGACTGAATTCTGACTGCCATTCTTAGTTCTAAAGTTCTTCCTGAGAATCCTGGAGGAAGCCATGCGAAAAAGCCAGGGCTAACATTTTTTTCAGCTGATCCTAAATTTTTAGACAAAGCTTTGCTTCCGTAGCCAACTGCAAATCAGAAAATCTTTGCATCTACCTATGACCTGTAAGCCCCTGGTTTGAGATGTCCCACCTTTTTAGATCAAACCAATGTGTAGTCTATGTGTATTGATTCACGAGTTTGCCTATAACCTCTGCCTTCTCATCTTTAAACCCCCTTACTTGCAAGCCATCGGGGAGGTCAGGTCTTAAGCATGAGCTGCCTGATTCCGCTTACTTGGTTCCCTGAAAATTAACACCCTCCTTTCTTCCACTGCAAACCTCAGTGTGAATGTTTGACTTTACTGCACCAGGCAAGCGGACCCCACTTCAGTTCTGTAACAGGACTCTCTGTTTCACAACTATAACCCCATGCCTGGCACATACAAGGTGCTCAATGTTTGCTTGTTGACTGGCTGATTCATTGCATCTTACATGTTCTCTTTTTTAATATTCACAACGCTCTTCGATACAATAGGTGCCAGTAGGGGACATGCTGATGAGACAATTCAAGCACATGGTCAGAATAAGTTCTGGTTAATGTGGCAGCACAAGAGAAGAACACACTGTCTGATTCATTTGGAAATCAGGGATGGTGTTTAAGGAAGGGGAGCAAGGGACTATTGAATAACAGCAGCTGTTGAGTGTTATGTGCCTAACACTGGCTGGGCACATTGCCAGGTGGTTTATGCATATTGTCTGTAGCTCTCACCACAACACTGCAAGGTGGATGTTTCCTCAGTTTACATTTGAGGAAAATGAGGCTCGAAGAGCCCAAATAACTTGTTTTAGACCAGTGGACTGAACTCTGTAAAACAGAATACCTGGAAAAAATATAGAAAGACAAAGTAGAAGACAAACTATCATATAGAAAGAAGTAGAATAAAGTTAAACCCCTAAACTTATGCAATTACCACGGCCAAACACTGTTGGCAAGCAGCAAGGTGTAACAAATAGAATATAGATTCCGGAGTTGGACAAACTTGTATTTGAATCCCAGATTCACCATTTCCTCATTGTAAAATTCTGGGTAAGTCATTTAACTTTTTTAGCTTCAATGTTCTCATCCATAACGTGATAAGTACTTTAAGGGTAAGTATTAAATAAAATGAGATGACTTGCATAATTATTGATACTCAATAAATGCTGTTTCCCTTTCTTAATCTGTCAGTCAAGGCAACAGAAGAGACAAAGAATTACGCAATTATTATTATGTCTAAATATTGTTTTAATGGTTCTCAAAGTGTTGCCCCTGGGCCAGCAGCGTCACCTGGGAACTTGTTAGGCATGCAAATGACCAGGTTCCACCTCACACCGACTGTATCAGAGACCCTGGGGCTGGAACCCAGCAGTCTTTTTCCAGGAGCCCCCCAGGTGATGGTGTGTGCACCAAAGCTTGAGAACCGTGGCTGTGGTTCATTATCCTCCTGGTCTCTGCAACACTGCAGTGGAGGGAACTGAGAAGCCGAGTAGGTTGGCAAGATCACAAGGTTATTCACTGGAGACATCATTCAAATGCGGATCTCAGGCAAGTAGTGCTCTTCTTACTCGGAAAAAGAAAACCAATAGAGGCAGGTGCCAGTGACTCATGCCTGTAATCCCAGCACTTTGGGAGGCTGGGGCAGGTGGATCATCTGAGCTCAGGAGTTCAAGACCAGCCTGAGCAACATGACGAAACCCTGTCTCTACCAAAAATATAAAAAATTAGCCAGGCGTGGGGGCACACACCTGTAGTCCCAGCTACTCGGGAGGCTGAGGTGAGAGGATCACTTGAGCCTGAGAGGCGAGGGTTGCAGTGAACCGAGGTCATGCTACTGCACTCAAAGCTGGGTGACAGAGTGAGACCCTGTCTCAGAAAAAAAAAAAGAAAAGAAAAAAAGAAAAAAAATAGAACACAGACTTTGTCATTTTTCTGTTGGAAATATGGAACTCTTTGTACCTCTGTGAGCCTCATTGGTGGAACTTAGAGACTCTCATAAGGCAGTCTCTCTGTTTATATGTCTTTTCCCTACCTGAATCTACAATATAAGTACTCAATACATCTTCTGCTCACTCATTGTGAGGAAACATAGGGTAATATATATAAAAACATATTAAATAATCCTGAAAAAAGAATCATGCTCAAAGTAAATGCGCATATCTGTTATCAAGGAAACTCTCTTAATAGAGCCCCCCAGGTATCTTTCAAGGACTAGAGCAAGTTAGCAAGTTAGCACTTGCAGGTAAACAGCTGTGGAAGGAGAGTGATGCTGGGGCCTCAGTCATGTGCACCTGCCATAGGCTCAGTGTCATGGCCGTAAAAGCACAGCTTGATGTGTGCCCAAGCGAGGTGTTTGGCAGGTTGGGGTTGGGAGGAACTGCTATGGGCAAAATCACAAATATTGTCTCAGACAGCTGTGTGCAGGTAAACTGGCTGTGGTGGGAACGGGGTACCCTGGTTGTTTTGTTTTGTTTTTTGAGACAGAGTCTTGCACTGTCGTTGAGGCTGGAGTGCAGTGGCGTGATCTCAGCTCACTACAACCTCTGCCTCTCGGGTTCAAGCGATTCTCCTGCCTTAGCCTCCTGAGTAGCTGAGATTACAGGCACGTGCCACCACACCCAACTAACTTTTGTATTTTTAGTAGAGACAGGATTTCACTATGTTGGTCAGGATGGTCTCGAACTCCTAACCTTGTGATCTGGGGTGCCCTGATTTGTAGCATTTATTGATTTCCATGGTGAATACTCTCACTATGGGAGATTTCAAGCTACCAATGGTTTAACAATCTGCTTGCAAAGTTCCTGAATATTGAACAATCTGCTCTAGGGGTGCCAGTGTGGGCTGGCCTCAGAATACCCCTGTGGCATCAACTATCAGTGGGCCCGATTTTGACTAGCAGGTGGCACAGCAAAAGCCGTTTAACAATGCTGAGTGTTCTTCAATCTGCCTGTGTCCTGTTTAGTATCTATTGTCTTAAATATCTGGAAAATGCTAATGAAAATAAGAGGTAAGAAAAAAATCACTGAGGAACTTTAAAAAAAAAATCAGTACCAAAGCTATACTTACAGATTCTGATTTAATTGGTGTTGGGTGGGACCTGGCATCAGCTCTTAAAGCCCCTCTCCCAGGTGATTCTAGTGTGTAGCCAGGGATAAATAATTGCAGATAATGTGGGTTAGCAAGGGGCAGGCCACCCCTAAACCTAGAGTCTATTGCCATAGTGCCCCATACGAGAAAGAATGTGTTATCCCCACCTTGGATATCTTTTCCAGCTTTATTGAGGTTTACTTGACAAATACAAGTTGTACATATTTAAGATGTACGGTGTGATGTTTTGATGTACGTATACATTGTGAAATGATTACCACTATGAAGCTAATTAACACATCCCTCACTTCACATAGTTACCCGTGTGTGTGTGTTTCCGGAGATATATTCTCTCAGCAAATTTCATTATTATATTGTAATTATTCCAAAGCTGTTTTATGTATGTTTGACCTCCCCAAATAAGGGAAGCTCCTCAGGGACAGGGTCAGAGCCTCCTGTTAGAACATAGCAGGGTTGTGTGGATGGCGTGTCCTCAGTAGATGCTACATGCTCTGGGCTTATCTTCAAACACCTCGCCACACTGGAAGGATCACAGCCTTCTGTAGACATTACATGACAATCCTCAGAAGGAAAAGGGAGGACTGGGGACACCCCCACCATCACCAGACTGGGGACACAGAGGCTTCCCCATTAACAATAATAACTCAAAATGCCCTGAGCTGTGTCCCACATGCTCGTACTTCTGTGAGTTCCCTGGAGGTATTTCATGTATGCCTGTGCTTGAGTCCTCTCCTGCTGAACCCTGGTTTCTCTAGGGACTTGGCACAGAGCACCCCATGGCCACCAGATACCACCATCTTCCATCATATCCTGACCCTGGGGCCCTTGAAATAGCAAAGCTGCAGGGCTTTCTGGTGCAAAGTGGAAGAGAGGGGATCCCTGAACAGTCCACGGAAGCTGGGTAGGTGTGTGAATTTGAGTGAGAGGTCATCAGAGTCGCTGCCCTCTTTCCCTGCCTCAGTCATTCTGAAGGGCCCCTTCTTGTCCATTCATCAACCGTGGCTCCTTCTTTGCTTAGAATGAGTTCTCTGAGGGGAGGTTCCACCATTAATACAAATCAGGTCTGGAAAGCCATCCCATCGGTTTTCCAGACATGCCTGAGCCTTGGGTTGGATTCAAGCTGAGATCACCCCTCAAGTCACAGCAGATACACCAGTGGCAGCAGTCGGCACCTACAGGACAAGCAAGGTGCATCCAGAATCTAAAGATAAGGCTCCCCTGTCAGAGGAAAACCCATACAAGTGAACACTTCATAGATGAAACTGGCCATCTGTAGAAGTGATCTGCCTGATGAGGCAGAAAGGAAAGGGGAGAAAACTAACATTTTCTGAGCACAATTTTCTAGATTTTTTATATATTTTGGCACTGAGTGCTCACAATTCCCTTAGGTAGGTAAAATTATTCCCATTTTATAGATCAAGAAACAGAAATTCAAAGAGATCATGTGGCTGACTTTAATCTCAGGTATATTTGGTGCCACTGATCTATTTTCTGCCCCTCTAGGTTTGCCTTTTCTGGAATGTCAAATAAATGGAATCACACAGTATGTAGCCTATTACTTCTGTAGGTATTTTTGCTTCTTTCACTTAGCGGAAGGCATTTGAAAACAACCCATGTTTTTGTGTGTATCCATGGTCGATTTCTTTCTACCGCTAGGTAGTATTTCATTGTTTGGGTGTGCCACAGTTTGTTTATACATTCCTCAACTAACAGAGATTTGGGTAGCTTCCAGTTTGGGCAATTACAAGTAACTATAAACTATAACTATAGACTATAAATAACTATAAACATTCATGTACAGGTTTTGCATGACCATAGCTTTCATTTCTCCAGGAGTGAAATTGCTGGGCCATATGGTAGATGTATGCTAACTTTACAAGAAACTACCAAGTGGTTTGTAAAGTGTTTGTAGTCTTTTTGCAATCCCACCAGAGATGTATAAGAGTGCTGGCTACTTTGCACCCTAGTTATCATTTGGTATTGTCAATATTTGTTATTTTAGGCATTCTAAGAGATGTATAGTGATATATCATAGTGGTTTTAACTTGCATTTTACTAATTACCAATGATGCTGAGCATCTTTTCATGTGCCTCTTGGTCATCCATATATCTTCTGTGGTGAAACATCTGTTCATGTCTTTTGCCCTTTTTTCCCTCAAAATTTTTTACTGTGTTAAAACACACATACCAAAAGATTTATCATCTTAATGTTTTTAAGTTTACAGTTTAGTGGTTCTAAATATATTCATGATATTGTGAAACTATCCCCACTATCCATCTTCATAACTCTTTCCCTCTTGTGAAACTAAAGCTCTGCACCCGTTGAACAATAACTCCCCATTTCCCCATCCCCCTCGCCCCTGGCAGCCACCCTTCTACTGTCTCTGTGATTTTGACTACTCTAAGTATACCTCATATAAGTGGAATCGTACAGTATTTGTCTTTTGTGAGTGCTTTTGCCCTTTTTAAATGTGCTTGCTTTCTGATTGTTGGATTTTGAGAGCACTTTGTATATTCTAAGACACATGTCATTTATCAGTTATGTAACTTGCAATTATTTATGTCTTTCCATTCTCAGAACAGTGTTTTGTTTTATTTTTGTTTTTCTTGAGAGAGAGTCCTGCTCTGTTGCCCAGGCTGGAGTGCAGTGGCACAATCTCGGCTCACTGCAACCTCCGCCTCCCGGGTTGAAGTGATTCTCCTGCCTCAGCCTCTGGAGTAGGTGGGATTACAGGCGTGCTTCATTCCAGCCACGTGGCCCTTCTTGCTTCCTCTAATATGTCTATTACAGGTCTGCCTCAGGACCTTTGCACTTGCTATTGCCTCCATCTGAAATGCTCCTCCTCCAAATATCCTCATGACTCACTCCTCCATTCATTCTCTGTTAAATGTCACCTTACTTAAGAGACCCTCCCTGAAGACTCTATTTAAATGGCTCCCCAGCTCCATCTTGCTCTGCTGCTCCACCTTGATTTATTTATTCTCATGGCGTATATCACAATCTGACATAACACGTATTTGCTCATTTTTATTTATTTATTAACTGTATATTCCTTCCCCCAACAACTATCAGAATGTCAAGCTGGAGCGAGCAGGAATTTTGTCTGTTTTATGCACTGATGTATCTCCAGTGCCTAGAACAGTGCCTGCACATACTGAACTCTTAATCAAGAGTCCTCGATCTTACTGAACAAACTCAAACAATTATTACAGCGTGCCTACTAGGGACCGGGCACAGTGCTGGGCTTCGGAGATACAACGGAGAGAAAAACAGACATGGTCCCTGCCTTCATGGATCTCACAGTACAGCAAGAAAGACCAATAGTAAGTCATCAGAGAAATAAAATGGGTAATAGTTCCTGGGCCTACAAGAAGTACAGTCGGCCCTAAGTATCTGTAGGTTCCCCATCTGTGCATACAGCCAACTGTGGATAGAAAAATATTTTTTAAAATAAATAAATAACAATAAAAATAACAGTACAACAATAAAAATGTAAATAATAGAATATAACAACTATTTATATGGCATTGACATCATATGAAGTATTACAGGTAATCTACAGGTGATTTAAAGTACACAGAAGGATTGTGTACATTCTATGCAAATACTGTGCCATTTCATATAAGGGACTTGAGCATCCTAGGATTCTGGTATCCATGGGAGGTCCTGGAACCGGTCCTCTACGGATACCGAGGGACAACTGTACACAGAGCTGGGGAGCTTGTAACTTAGTCATAAGGGACCTAGTCATGGAAGTGAGAGAAGGGCTCCCAGAGGAAATGGTGATTGAACTGAGAGCTGAAGAGTGAACAGTGGCTAACCACGTGAGGAACAGGGAGAAAGGGACATCTAGCCATGTGGCATTTCATGTACAAAGACCCCATGCGTGGAAGGAGCTTAGCATGTTTGAAGAACTAAAACATGGTGAGATTGCCTAAGGGTGGTGAGTTGGGCAAGAGGGAGGCTGCAGTGGGGCTGGGGTGAAGGCAGGGCACTCTGGGGCTGGGGCAGGCAAGGTGGCGATGGCCAAGTAGGGACTGGCCTTTACCTTATGAGAAAAGGGAAGCCACTCAAGGGTGAGCTCACCTTTTTAACCACCCAGTGTATGTGGAACATAATAAACACTCAATAAAACACTAGGCTAGGCATGGTGACTCACACCTGTAATCCACGCACTTTTGGAGGCCCAGGTAGGAGGATTACTTAAGCCCAGGAGTTCAAGACCAGCCTGGGCAACATAGTGATACCTCATCTGTAGAAAACAAACAAACAAAAAAGCCTGGCATGGCGGTGCACACCTGTGGTCTCAGCTACTTGGGAAGCTGAGGTGGGAGGATCACTTGAGCTCAGGAGGTCAAGACTGCAGTGAGCCATGATTGTGCCACTGCACTCCAGCCTGAGCAACAGAGTGAGACCCTGTCTCAAAACCAACTAACTAAATAACTAACTAACTAAATAAATAAAACACTTGTATGTTGAAAACACTCTTAGATGTTAGTGGCAGTGTAAACTGGTCCCATTTCTCTGTAGGGCAATTTCAGCACATCTTTCAAAATTACAAATGTGTATACATTTTCACTTAGCAATTCTGCTTATAAGAACTTATCCTACAGATGTTTGCCCATGTATGAAAAGACATTTGTACAGGGTTATTCACTGCTGTGTTGCTTATAATAGTAGAAGAATGTAAATAAACCAGCTGTCCCTTAATAGGAGATTACTGAAAAAGTTGTGATATCTCTATGCAGTGGACTAATATGAACCATAAAAAAATGAAGACTTCTATGCATTGTTTTGAAAAGAACTCCACGATATATTAAGTTTTTAAAAATCAAAAAAGAGAGCACCAGAAGAAAAGATGTACAGTTTTTCTATACATACCATATCTCTGAAAGGAGGCATAAGAAACTGGTCTGTTACTTCCCTCTAGGGAGGGAAATCAGACAATTGGGACTGGGTTAGGAGATCCTTTTACTGAATTCTGAACCAGGCAAATATCTTACCTATTCTATATAACAAAATAAATTTACATGATAGGAATTATGGATTAAATAAACTAATGAGTTAGAAAATTAATTTATCTTTTAAACAGCTTTCAGCCAAAACTCCCCTCTGCTATTCAGACAGAAAGGATTTAGGGAGTCCTGGCCCCTACCCCACTCTCTGATTCCTGACACAGCCCCCAAAGGGAATCCACCAACAGAGGGGCCTTTGGAAAGGGAGGTTGGATGAAAGTATTTGTTTTGGTCAATTGCATCATTTCCAGGAAAGGGCCTCCATTTTACCTTGAAATCAGGCTGTCTCAGGACCCCACAGAAACACAGTTCGGGGACTTTCCCAAACTTGTTTAATTAGGCTTCTTGCTGAAAAGCTGCGCTGTGGGTCTCTAAAGCAGTAACTGGCCTCTAGAGATGCAATCATCTCTCCACAGGGAACTCTCATGAAAAAGTCTGATACTCAGTGCTTTCCTGAATAAAAATAAGCATCCAAAAGTATTTGCAATATCAGGAAAAGCAGAACAAAGCGGGTAAGGCTGGAATGTCTTGAGCTTCTCAACTGCAATGACCAAAGAGTTGATCTGTGAGTTCTGATTAAATTCCAGTAAAAAGGGCACTTGACAGTGAGGGCCACTCAATTTCATCACCCTGGCTTGATGACAGAGGATGAAAGAGAGGCCAGGGGCTCACCTCCAGAAGGAGTTTCCTGTCCCTCTGGGTGGGGGAAGTAGGCTCCCGGTGCTGATGAAGGGAGGCTGCTGTGAGCTGTGCCCTGGAGTCCCCTCTAGGAAGTCTGAGGCACAGACCAGGAGAGAGGGCCTAGGAGGGACCAGTAAAGGACGAAGCAACAGAAAAGAGTGAGAATAAGTGAAGGATGGGAATCTTCAACCCGCAGCCTCTGTTTGTTCTATAAAGTGGTCATTTGTATAACAATTCTATGGAGAAGGATTACTGCCCTCAGCCCCCACCCCCATTCTACTGATGAGGAAACTGAGGCTGAGACAAGTGTACTCGCTTGCCTAAGGTCTCACACCTCACTAGTGTCCAGGTCAGGATACGAGCCCAGGTCACTCTGATGCCAGGATCCCTTCTCTTGCTTCCAGGGCAACTTTAATATAATCAGAAGAACCCATGTTTGAGTCAACAATAAACATTTAGCTCTGAAGAAACTGTGCCATTTTCCTTTTAAATATTATATCTTAATATGCTATTGGTACAGGCGAATAATTTCCACCGCAAAAACAAAGAAGATGAATTCCTCTTTTTTTCTTTCCTTCTCGCCTCTCCTATGAGCTGGAGGGGGAAACTCAAGTCCTTTTACCAGTTGACAAGACAAAAGAAAATACCCAAGATCCCCAGCATAGCCAGAGTTCCTCTTGGAGGCAGGATCAGACTGCTGCAGCCACTTGGGCCATTCTAGATGCCAAAAGCTTTCCTCAGGGACAACATTTGGAGTCAACACCAGTATATTTTCCTTGCTGGGGCTTTCTATAAACTGTGTCTTTCGCCTCACCTGAAGACAAAACTGGGGAAAACAACCTTACCTTAGCCATGCAGACTTGGATTAGACACAGCAAAGAACTTCCTGACAATGAGTGATGGATGTGGGATCAAAATATGGGTAATTAAGGAAGGACAGACTTGGAATAAGTTGGTTGGTGATATGGTTTGGCTGTGTCCCCACCCAAATCTCATCTTGAATTGTAGCTCCCATAATTCCCACATGTTGTGGGAGGGACCTGGTGGGAGATAACTGAATCATGGGGGCATTTTCTCCCATACTGTTCTCGTGGTAGTGAATAAGTCTCATGAGAGCTGATGATTTTGTAAGGGGTTTCCCCTTTCGCTTGGCTCTCACTTTCTCTCTTGTCTTCTGCTGCGTAAGACATGCTTTTCACCTTCCGCCATGATTATGAGACATCCCCAGCCACAAGGAACTGTGAGTCCATTAAACCTCTTTTTTGTTATAAATTACTCAGTCTTGGATATGTCTTTATTAGCAGCATGAGAACAGACTAATACAGTTGGGAATGTGCCGTGCGTGTAGTCTAGACTTAGTGGATTGAGGTTGAGCTGATTTGTTGATTATCTCTCACCATCTCCTGCAAGCACCCTGCCATCTAGTCTGAGTCTCCTCCCAGGCCCACATTTAATTATACCTCTAGCTGACCCCACCATCTGAAATGCCTTCTCCTCAGGTGAGACAGGACTGCCTCAATCCTGTCTGCCTTTCAAGGTATAGCTCAATTTCCTGGGTCTGCTCGAAGCTTTCTCTGACCACTCCAGCCCATATCAATCTGCCCCTCGGAATTCTAGGTAGTCTGGGCCTTAGTCATGGTCATCTGGGTAGAGGGTAGCTGGTTCCTGGGAAGCCGGATGGGGGTGTTGTTATCAGAGAGAGAGGGAAAGGGCACGGGAGAGAAGAAGGAGTGACTATCATAGCTGTCTATCCTGAAACACAAGCTACATGATGATTGTCCACTCTGCCATGAGCCTGCCACACCAACCACATGACAGCTGTCCACTATGCCATGAGCCTAGCTTGCCTAGCTTAGCTACAAGACAACTGTCCATGCTGCTGTGAGCATGCCACACCAGTCACATGACAACTGTCCGGTTTGCCTCGAGTCTGCCACATGCAATCATTTGACCCACATTTACCTTCCAGGTGGGCTCTTCTGGGAAGAGGGGTCCTGAAAGCACACATACATATTTGCCAACAACATTTCCCAAACAATGTCAAATCACGAAGTTAGCACTCTGAGGCACACTCATGTTATGTTGGTTTGCAGCACAGCTAGCTTCTCTAGCATCCAATCACCCTGCTACAGTTATATGTTACCGCTTGAAAGATGCACTCGCATATAAGATTTCGTTTTATCCTCATAACAACTCCATAAAGCCCATCTTATAGATGAGAAAACAGACTCAGGCAGAGTGGGTGGTTTGTGCCAGTTCACATGGCTAAAAGGCAGCAGAACTAGCACTAGAGTCCAACCTCTTCAGCCCTTGGCCAGGGCACTTTTCATGATACCATCCATGCTCATCCCCAACTCTGCCCCCACGAGGTGCACACAGAGTGGGCATTCCCTGTATTACCAATTGACAGGTGACCAGCTGGTCAATGTTGGTGCCAGTTAGAATTCCGACTTCTGACCATAACACAGAAATACTCCTACTCATTCACATATTGGTCTCGCATTAGTATTCTATTGTCCATATACCCTATACGAGAGCATCAGATTCACCTCAATTATTTCCTGCAGTTCACACCAAAAGCAGGAGATGGACCAGCCCAGCACACCAGGCTCCGGGTGCCATGCACCTTCTGCTATCTAAGCTGAGCCAAGAAACCCCAAACTGTCCATCTCTAGTCACTCGGCTGTCTTGGATGATTCCTGACCTGCCCTCCTTCAGGCTAATCTCAGCCAGACCCCAAGAACTTGACTCCAAGTTTTTGCTAAAACAAGCTTGCCTCTGTTCTCTGGTCTCTCCAGCATCTGACTCTTGGCTTTTCCAGATAGACTTTGGCTTGGTCTTGCTTCCTGGTACCAGAAAACAGGGTGCAATGGGTCTCTACATAAATTAATTAATGTTTTCAAGGTGCTTGGAACAGTGGCTGGCACATAGTAAACACAATATAAGTGTTTGCTATTGTTATACCTGCTTAGAATACTACATCCCAAACACTTAATCCAGGCTTCCCAATCCCTTGGTATAAAGTCCCAAACCATTGCACAGCTCTGGCTGAGCTCTCTGAGGTCATCGTCCATGACTCTCCTCCTTGTGCTCTGAAATACCTCGACTTCCTTTAGGTCCATGAAGATGCTACACCCTTTCCACCATAGAGCTTTGCCTTGCTGTTTTCTCCATTAAAATACTCTTCATTTCCTGACCCCATCCCGCTTCCATCCCCCTGCCCAAAAACACTCATCGTTCAATTCTTAGCTGGAATCTTACTTCCCCTGGGAGATCTTCCCTGTGTCCATTCACCGCTCCACCCATCAAGATTAGGTTGGATCTCCATGTTACACTTTCCTATAGCATCCCTTAGTGATTATTCTAAATGGGCATATAGTTGCTTCTTTCATGTTTGTCTTCCCCCTGGACTGTAAGCCTCATGAGAACAGGAACCGTATTTAAAGATGCATTACTGTCTCCTCAGTGCCTGCCACAATGTTTAGAATGACTAGGGGCTCAAAAACATATTGAATTGTATTGAACTGAATCAAGATGGAATGAAAAATGATAGTGGCATTGATGCCAATGAAAATAATGAACTTAAAGCTTACTGCGCTATTATTTATTTGCTAGATTTGTCATGACCTGCTGAAAACCAGAACCTTGAATCCAATCAGTAATTAAAGGGTGAAGAATGGAGGAAACAAATTATAAAATCAATACTTCTTTGGGCAACAGCATCTTTAACTATTGCTACCATTTCATTCATTAAAGCTGAAAGGGAGAGATGAGGGTCCCGGTTATCAGGGATCAAATGACAACCAGCAAGTTACTCATCCCTGATTGGTCAATCCAGAAGGCGCTGAACTTTGCCTTGTACACAAAGACATTGCCTGGCATTATCAGTGCTGCCATTTGAGGAGTGTTGAGATTATCTTCACCAACCCAAACAAATGTGAAACAATGCACAAGGAAAGTAAAGGGAACAACAGCTCACCCGCCTTTTCACAGTGATGGTTTCTGTCTTCCAGAGCCCAAGGTTCAACTCACTTCCAGTCAACAGGGACCCACCAAGTCCCTCTCTCTGCCTACAACTGTTCATTGAGTAACTTCTAATTTGGATGATGAGCACTTGAGGGCTCACTCCACAACATCCATCAGTCCTGATTGTTCCTAGTAGTTTTTCCCACTGACAGCAGCATCATCTACTCTCTATGAGGTGCCCTCTGGGGTCTGACTCAGGCTGGATGACACAGCTGGGTGATTGATTATTTTGATGCAGACACACAACTTTCTGCAACTGTATTTCTGCCTTCTGCTTCCCAGAGCCAGAACCTTTCCCCTCAACTTTTTCTTTTTACTTCATCCACAGTGGTTGTGTAAGGGGTTTTAGCCACCCATAATTCTATCAGGCCACTCCAAAGCAACCTCATATAAATATGCAGTCCATAAAAAGCAATAAGAGGCCAGGCACAGTGGCTCACGCTGTAATCCTAGCACTTTGGGAGACCAAGGCTAGCAGATCACTTGAGGCCAGGAGTTCAAGACCAGCCTGGCCAACATGGCAAAACCCCATCTCTACTAAAAAAAACAAAAATTAGCTGGGTGTGGTGGGACACCTCTGTAGTCCCTGCTACTCAGGAGGCTGAGGCAGGAGAATCACTTGAACCCTCAAGGCGGAGGTTGCAGTGAACCAAGATCAGGCCACTGCACTCCAGCTTGGGCAACAGAGTAAGACTCTGTCTCAAAAAAATAAAAATAAAAAGCAATATGAGTGCTGCCCAAATGAACTTGCTGCTCCCCTTTCAACCTGACTGCTACTCCAAGTCCCTTCTATCAGGAGTCATATGTCAGCAGGCAAGTGACTCATCTCTGATTTGCCAATGCAGAGGGTGCTGAACTCTCTGCCCTGGGTACAAGGTATTACCTCGCACTATCAGTGATGTCATTTCGGAACTGCTGAGAATGAACAGCCACCACCGCCCATAGTAGCCACCACCTGGCCAAAGAACCTGATTCATATGCAGCAAATTGACAGAGTGTTGGAATCACACAGACCCAGTGTCAATCCCAGCTGTACCACCTTATGTCCGTAAGAAACTGGGCCAGTCCTTCATTTCTCTGAGCCCCAGTGTCCTCATCAGAAAATGAAAACGACAGCACCTCTTCATGTGGTTGCTGCCAGAATTTGAGATAATATACACCAAGTACCCACCCAGCACCTGGCTCCATGTTAAGAGTAATATCCACTAAACATATGTAGAAAAAGTGAGCATTAGATGAAACAAGTGCAAGGAATTTTGCACCAAGAGATGACAGAATTCTTAGGGAGAAATCCATGTGACCTGCAGATAGAGTTCAAGAAAGGCTTTGTAAGGGGTCAGCATTTGAGCAGAGCCTTGAAACAGGGGCGAGGCATTTGGCAGATGGACTGGGGGAGGAGGGCACGCCAGGCAGGGGAACAGCACAAGCAGATGCTAGGAATGGAGCCCAAAGCAGCCGTACCTATTTGGGCAGGTAACACAATGCAGCTGAAGCACAGTGGGCAGTGGGTGGGAGCCTCAGGACAGGAGGCTGGGGCCAAGAAGGAAATGGGTTGGAAGGGCCCTGCAGAGTCACTGCTAAGTTGTAGGGATGTACAATATAGCCAGAGTCTTGTCAGCAAGGGTCATGTCAGGATAAATCAACTACAACAGCAATTAGATAATGGAAAAACGAATATCATATTTTCAAACTCCACCATTTAAGGCTCTCTGGGCTGTTGGAGACCGTTACATCATCTGAGAGGTGGTTTCTTAATCAGAGAAGGAGGCAGCCCTGGAGGGAAATAATGCTGAGGCTGAGTTAGGCGAGCTGAGTCCTCTGGAGGCATGTTATACAGATGCGCCAAGGACACTGTGAAGTCCAGGTCTCATCAAGTCCTAGAGGCTTGGCTGCCAAGTCAGCCCCCAAAGTAAAGTCACAAGTCCTAAAAAAAACAACCTTGGAGATTCTCTCTATTCAACCCTTACTGTGTTCTTACCACACGTAAGACCTTGCTTTTGGCCTGAGAGGCACAAAGATGAACAGAGCATGGTCAGCCTCTGTCCCACAGGAACTTACAGTGCAGCCTCAGTGCCTGGCCCAGACTGGCACCCACAGTGACTGCCCGAAGACTGGCAAAGACCAGCACAGGCTGGGCAGGAGAGGCTGGGTGAGGCTCTCAAAAACCAGAAGCAGGGTGACTACACTCCAGGAGGGGGGCCATGGGCCCAAGTGCCTCCTCTCCACTGTCCTGATGCCTAGGGGCCTTTCCTCTGTTATTATACAGAGCCACGCTTCACTTTTACCCATGCTGGCGGCTGTCTATAACAATATATAAATACTGAGCTGTTTTTCATTAAAGAAAATTGGGGCAGGCGCGGTGGCTCATACTTGTAATCCCAGCACCTTGGGAGGCCAAGGCAGGCAGATCGCTTGAGCCCAGGAGTTTAAGACCAGCCTGGGAAATATAGTGAAACTCTGTCTCTACAAAAGAATTTAAAAATTAACCAAGGCTTGTGGTGCACACCTGTAATCCTAACTACTCAGGAGGCTGAGGTAGGAGGATCACTTGAGCCTAGGAAGTGGAGGTTGCAGTGAGCTATGATGGCACCACCTCACTCCAGCCTAGGTGACAGAGCAAGACTCTGTCTCAAAAAAAGAAAAAAAGAATGAAAAAGAAAAGAAAATTGAACAAATCCAGAAAAATAGAAGGAAAAATTACCCAGAATTTTAGCACCACTGTTTTGATGGCTCTCTCTTTAGTTTCTCTCTCTCTGCATAAGCAAGTTTGTTTTGATGTTTTATTTGTAAATAATCACACTGTATATTCAATTCAATTTTGTGTACTACCTTTTCTCAGGAGCATCTTGTCATAGACAGTTTTCTTTTTATTAAAAATTATTTTGAAATTATCAGTCTTACGAGCCTCATGACATTTTATCACACAGTTATATCGGAGTTCACGGGTCCTGTACGTTTGCTGCACTGAGAGCTGTGTAGTGTCCCATGGCGGGCACAGGTTTTGTGGTTAGGCAGACGCCCGTCCTCTCCAAATCCTATTCTGACACTTAGCTGTGTAGCTTTTAACAAGTTACGCCATCTCTCTGAGTCTCAGCTTTCTCATCCATAAGACAAAGATATCATAATCACTTTGCATGCTTTTTTTTTTTTTTGAGGATCAGAACTTAATACATGTAAAGCAACTAAATAAAGCAAATTAGATTACTAGAATTGACCAGTGTGTGTCTTAAACTGGAAGATACCAATTGGCCAAGACACAAATCTAAGCAATTACAGTCAGCCCTCCATATCCACGGGTTCTCATCCGCAGATTCAATCAACCTCAGACTGAAAATATCTGGGGAAAAAATGGACGGTTGCATCTGTACTGAAGACATATGGGCTTTTTTCTTGTCATAATTCCCTAAGCAATGCAGTATAACAATGACAGTTAACCCTTGAACAACACAGAGGTTAGAAGCACCAATACCCCATGCAGTGGAAAATCCACATGTAACTTTCAGCTCCCCAAAAACTTAACTAATAGTTTACTGTTGACCAGAAGCCTTACCAATAACAGAGACAGTCAACTAACACATTTTGTATGTTACATGTATCACATACTGAATTCAAACAATACCGTGAGCTAGAGAAAAGAAAATGTTATTGACCCATTTATGCCTGAGGTTGCAATTTTTTGAATTTTTGCAATCAGACCTTGAGCAGTAGGATATAAATAACTCCCACATGCTTAGCATTCCAATAATGGAACACTGGGCATAAATAGTTAAGAAAATAAGGAAGAGAAAATACATTTCCTATTCACTGAGTGGAAGTGTATCATCACAAAGGTCTTCACCCTCACCATCTTCATGATGAGTGGGCTGAGGAAGAGGGGGAAGAAGAGGGATCTGTCCCACTGTCTCAGGGGTGGCAGAGGCTGAAGAAATTCGTGTATAAGTGGACCTACACAGTTCCAGCGTCAGCCGTATTTACATAGCATTTATATTGTTTCAGGTATTATAAGTAATTTCAAGATGAGGTAAACTATACAGCAGGTTGTGCATAGGTCAAATGTAAATACTATGCCATTTTTAATAAGGGACTTGAGCACCTGTGGATTTTGGTATCTGTGGGGGCTACTGGAACCATGCCTCGGGGATGGCTGTACATATAATTTAGAGCCAAACACAGGCACAGGCACAAACAGGTTCTTTTGGAGTGAGAGCCCTGAAAAGAACCAATAGCACTTTCTAGGCAGCTATTCCAAGGGTAGTGGTGTAGGAGGAACCACCAGGCTTTGGAGCTAGACAGTGCTGGGTTTGAATCTCACATTTACCCTAGTATGTCATTGGGTGATTTGTTTAACCTCTGAGCCTCATTTTTTTTTAATCAGTGGAAATAATAAACTATGACTTTGTGAAGATTCAGTCGAATGAACTATGGCATGAAAAATGCTTGACACTGTGACCAGAACAGATGCTTAATGAATCCTCCCACCCCTCTCCTCCCTTAGGGCCTTTCTGGTTTTCTGGTGCTGAGATGATGAACACTGGTGCTCCTCCTGGATTTGCCCCATACCACCCCATTCAAGCCTGTTTGTGCTGTGGTGTCCCTCACTATGCATTGGGGACAATAACCGCCATTGCCTCCTTCACACAAGGGACAGGCAGTCAACAGAAAGAACAAAAGGGGCCAGGCATGGTGGCTCATGCCTGTAATCCCAGCAATTTGGGAGGCCAAAGTGGGTGGATCACCGGAGGTCAGGAGTTCGAGACCAGCCTGGAAAACATGGTGAAACCCCGTCTCTACTAAAAAAAAAAAAAAAAAAAAAAGGTTAGCTGGGTGTGGTGGCGGGCACCTGTAATCCCAGCTACTTGGGAGACTGAGGCAGGAGAATCACTGGAACCTGGGAGGCAGAGGTTGCAGTGAGCCGAGATCATGCCATCGCACTCCAGCCTGGGCAACAAGGGTGAAACTCTGTCAAAAAAAAGAAAAGAAAAGAAGCTGGGAGGCTCCTTTGAGAATTTCTTCCCATTCCCCAGGCCGGGCCCCCCAGTCAAGGCTGGGCGGATAAGAGGATTCAGCCAACCAACTCCAAGAAGGGACACCCCAGGGACACTCATCATAGGGTCTCCTGTCCCAAGTCCCTTTCTTCAGTTTTCAATTATAGTCTTTTACCAAAAAATCCTTTAAGAGGCTCTCTTGCTGGCATTCCTCTTCCCTCTCTTTCCTGCCTCTTGTCCCCTCCCTTATCCCCCTCCCTTTTCTTTCCTTCTCTTACCTCTCTTCTCCTCTCCCCTTCTCTCCTCCTTTGCCTTTCTCCTCTCTTTCCTTCCTCCCTTTTCTCTCTCCTCTCTCCCCAACTTCCTTACCACTGTTTAGTATTTCCCCTCTTGCACCCCCTTTTTCTTACATTCTCTTTTCTCTTCAAAAAGAGGTTCTTGAGAGGGCAGAGCCCCCAGACTCTCTATCAGCCAGGGTTTGGTGTGGAGAACAGAAACCACTCTAGGCATTTCAAGAAGGGGCTCACTCCAGGAAATTAGGTTCATAAAAACCCATCAGAAAGCTGGAGAAGCAATGGTCAGGGAAGCCACTGCTGGGCTTCAAGAGATCCGGAAGCCACTCCTGCTGTCTAGGCCAGGGGCCAGAGGAAACCATACCTGGTGATGACAGCTACCCAAATCACCAGGTGGGAGAGCCACATGGGATCCGGAGAGATGCCACATCTCCTGTCTGCCAAAGCCCACACCTCTGCCTGCTGATGCCGCCACCTCCCAAGTCTCACACAAGGGCCTCCTGAGAGGCTAGCCCAGGAGGAACTGCCCAGCAAGAGAGGGCAATAGGAGGGGACCCGGAGGGCATGACCAAGACTAAATCCTTGAGGATCAAGAGAAAGAGTACCCAAATACCAATCTCAAGCCCAGACAGCAAGAAACTCCAAGGTCTAGGGTGGAGATGACAGAGACTGGGAGCTCGGGCGAATGGCATAGGAATTAAGGGCACTGGCTTTTAATTCAACCCCAGTTCCCCTGCTCACCAGCTGTGCAAACTGCTTTACTTCTCTGGGCCTTAATTCCCTCATCTGCAAAGTGGGACTTATAATAGCACCTACTTCTCAGAGAAAATTGAAGTAAACAAAGCACTTAAGGCCCAGTGCCTGGCATGTAGTAAGCACTGAAAATACAGTAACATTGTACAAATCATTCCAAAGCACCTGTCCCACCTTCTCTTTGTCTCTACCATTAAGAGGAAATGATACAGAGGGGGGCTACCTGCTAACTTTTGTTTTCCTTGCAAAACCTGAAAAGGTAACATTTTCAAAAATCCATGTCTGCAGCAATGTCTGACCCTTCTTCATTTTGCTTCTGAAGGTAGAGTAAGTTGGGTGACTGCCCTCCCTTGGCCATGGAAAAAGCTAAGGCATAAAGGATCCAAAATCCTATTGATGATATTTGGAACATTTTCTTTTAATTATACAGTAAATTGACTTCTGGGGGCAGTGGACAAGCCTGTGAATTTTAACACATGCAGAGATTCATGCAGTCGCTGCCACAATCAGGACACAGACAGCCCCAAACACTCCCTTATGAAATCCCTCTATAGTCACCCCTGCCTTCACCTCCACCCCTAACCTCAGGCAACATGCTCTGTTCTCCAACATGGTAGTTTTGTCTTCATGAGACGGTCAAGAATGGCTCTATTATGTGTGTAACCTTTTGAGACTGGCCTCTTTCACTCGGCATAATGCCTTTGAGATTCATCCAAATTGGTTCAGGTATCAATAGTGAGTTTCTTTTGCTTGCTGAATTGTATTCCATGTTTGTGCTGTCTGAAGAGAATATTCAAACATCCTTGATGCTGTTCCTTTGTGAAGCCCACTTTGGTGAAATTCAAAGCAATTGATTCAGAGTAGCAAAAGATGTATTCTAAAAGAATTTTTTGGCCCTGTGTGGTGGCTCGCATCTGTAATTCCAGCACTTTGGGATGTGGAGGTGAGAGGATTGCTTGAGCCCAGGAGTTCTAGATCAGCAATGGGCCTAACATAGGCAGGGCCTGTCTCTACAAAAATATTGGCTGGGCATGGTGGTGTGTACCTGTAGTCCCAGCTACCCGGGAGGCTGAGGCAGGAGGATCATTTAAGCCCAGGATGTGGAGGCTGCAATGAGCTGTGATTGCACCACTGCACTCCAGCATGGGTGACAGAGCGAGAATCTATCTCTCAAAGTAACAATAATATTTAGCCATATGCTCAGCTCTAAAATATTTACTCTAGGAGAGGGTGACCCCCAGAAGCATATAACCTAATTGGGCTGTGCTTCCCCATTTGGGAGATAATCAAGGGAGAGGGGTGCAGGGAGCCGTCACTGGCATCTAGCCCCACTTGTTCCTCCTGCCCCTAGCAGGGTTCAGGGCTGCTTCATGTGGTCTACAGGCCAAATGGATCTTCAGCAACAGCCTCCAAAGCCAAACTCCATGCCTCCATCTGGTGGCCTTGGTCTCAGTAGCTGATACTCTCCTAGTGCCCCACTTGAAGAGGGCTTGCCACAGCCCTGGGCTTCTTCACTGCCACGTGCGCAGTGCTCCCTCCGATTTCACTGGGATCGGCCCATTGATTCCTGTAGGCGCTGGCTTCTCCTGACATGACTCCGTGTCATTCACTGACAGAAGAAGGCCGTCTCCTGACCAGTTATAATTCTTTTATCAGAATCCAGCAGAAAGGGGTCTTGCTCTTACAGTGTATTATAACACCCTTGTTATTTAAAATCTTTTCCATGGCCAGGCACAGTGGCTCATACCTGTAAGCCTAAACTTGAACAACCTAAACATGGACTATTACTTTAAGGGGTCAAATTGGAGGGATCGCTTGACAGGAGTTCGAGATCAACCTGGGCAACATAGCAAGACCTTGTTTCTACAAAAAAATATATTTTTTCCATGATTTTTTGCTTTCTTTCAGTCCCTGACCCAAAGATTTCCAAAAATATGTTCTCTTGGAATTGAGTCAAGGAACAATTTTAGTGTTACATCTCAATGTTTCTTCCAAAATTTCCCCTCCTTCAACTAGTGCCCAAAGACTGACTGACTAAAGAATCTTGTTTCTCTCTTCCCAAAATATGCGTTCCCAGATCATTGTGTATAGTGAATGGTCTCTAAAGATGACCACCATCAATGCCTCCCCTCATTTTATAACCATGCCACTCTTTCCATCAAGAGACAGACTCTATTTCCTCTCTCCTTGAATCTGGGCTAGTTCTGTGACCTGTTTTAACCAATAGAATGAGACAGAAGTTCCTCTCCATTCCTAGCCCTTATGAGAATGATAGAGGCAGGAGGCAGAAAAATGCCTAGGCAGATAGGATGGGTCTCCGGGGAAACCCAACCTTCAAGAAGGAAACAGTCCCAGTAAATCCTCAAACCGGATTGGGAACTGGCTTTCCCATTTGGCACACTTTCCTCTGATTGATCCCCATCCTTCACCTATTTACACATACCCACCCTTTCCTAATTGGTTTTCTACACTATCGTGCCCACCTTTGAGTGGTGTTTTTGCTTTAACCTTTTTTGCACACTCACAAACCAATCAGCATGTACTCCCTATTCTGAGGCCATAAAAAGCCCCAGGCTCAGCCATATTGGGAACCCTCCTGCCTTCAGGTAGGGGAACCACCCCAGTGTCCCCTCCCTGCTAAAAGCTGTTTCATCACTCAGTAAAACTTCCCACCTTGCTCACTCTTCTTGTATCTGCATGCCTACTTCTTCCTGGTCATGAGACAAGAACCCAGACCTAGCTGAGCTAAGGAGCTGAAACTCCTGCATCAAGGATGTGAAAAGGCCTAGGTTCTCATGCTCTCTAATGAAGCCAACCACCATACTGTAAGGAAACTTGGGCTAGACTTCTGAATGAGAAACCATGTGGAGAGAAAGAGGCCACACAGAGGAAGATCAAGGTGCCAGACATGTGAGTGAAGCCTTCCTGAACCTTCCAGCACAGCACAGCCACCATCCGTCTGCAGCAGATCAGTGACTCAGCTGTCACTACATGGAAGAAAGAGCCAATCCAGTCAAGCCCTGGATTCATGTCCCCCAGAATCATGAGAAACAATAAGTCATTGATATTTTATGCCACTAAATTTTGAGGTAACTTGTTACCCAGCAATAGATAACAGGAACCCTGGGAGACAAACCTCCAAGTGTTCAAGAAGCAGCTGTTGCCCTTGCTCCAGCATCTCAGCCCAGGGCCAACTATGTTTCAACTTGCCTCCGCGGCTCCCAGAAAACTTTAAGAATTTTCATGCAAATAGAATCCCTGAAAACTTCTCTCACATGCCCTGACATGCCAGCCCCCACATGTGACATAAAGATGTGACTCCTTTTTTCTCCCCTCAGATTTCTTTTCTCAATTGTGATGGAGATTTTAGGAAGATGTCAAAATGAGTTGGTTCTTCCTAATCAATGAAATAATGCACAAGGGGCAGTGGTCAGTCTGCAAGCCCAAACTGGCCCCAGACAACTGCCAGGGTAGGGAGACTAAGAGCAGGGACCCCTCTTAGGGACCTGCAGGGATCCCCCAAGCGTGGAAATAGAGGAAAATCTTGAGTTCCTTCAAGGGAAATTCCAGGCAAGTAGCTAGCCCTGCAAAGTAAATGAGCATCTGGATAAGCCAGAAGGTGATAGTAGCTTAAAACAGTAGTGAAGGAAGTGAGAATCATGGGATGTTTGGTCCCCCTATAGAAACTAAAGATCACATCTTAACACATGTCCCTGTGTTGTTTGGCAGAAACCTGGACCTCCACCAAATGGATCCACTGGCTCAAAGACGTCAGATAGGGAGGACTAAGGACCAAACTCTGACCACTGTTCTTCATCATTCTAAATTTCTTCCTGAGGGGCCTGGCAGAGGTCACGCCCCTGGGCCAGAACTAATATTCTGCTAATCCCAAAGTTTTAGACAAAACTTTGCCTCTTTAACCAATTGCAAATCAGAAAACCTTTGAATCCATCTGTGACTCCTGGCTACCCCCTCCCTCCTGCTTTGAGATGGCCCTCCTTTTTAGGTCAAACTCATGTATAGCCCCCATGCACTGATTTATGACGTTGCCTGTAACCTCTGCCTTCTCACCTTTAAAAACCCTTGTCTGTAAGCCATGGAGGAGTTCAGGTATTAAGCATGAGCTGCCCCATTCTCCTTGCTTGGCACTCTGCAATCTTGATGCCAAGGTTGGACTTTATTGCACCAGGTGAGTGGATCCCAGTTTGGTCCAATAACAAGACCATGTGCAGTTAACAAGCATGGCAGTTACATTTTATTGACCCGTGGCTGAGTGCCAGGCACTAGCTAAGCACATTATAGATATCATCTTATTGGGTTCTCACAACTTCCCTGAGAGACAGCTATCCTAACATTGAGTTAACAATGAGTTAACATTTGTCTTAACTCATTTTCTGGTTTGTGGGAATCATATATGAGCCAGAGGGAGACACCTCCGTCTAGTCCAGTCCTTCAGCCAAAAAAGATGCCCAGGAAAATTTTGTCTTTTAACCCTGTGCTTCCCAACCTGTTTCATGCCCTGGCACACATAAAAAGTGACAATAAATTTGGGGTACACTGAGACAAGGGGTTGAGGTGGAGGTTCCCAGTTGGAAAAATCCATTAAGCTGCTTATAATCCAAAATGCATTTTCCTAAATCCTTTTAAATCTCTTAGACCTCTGAGAGGGGGTGAGAATAAAAAAAATTTTTTTAACGTAATTTAGTGGAGATAGGCTATTGTCTCTTAGCACCTTAGGAAGAGCAGACTTCAACCTCCAGAAAGGGCCCAACCCAGGCCATGTTCATTCTTGAGATGCAACCTTGGACAAGTGACTTGGCCTCTCTTGGCTTGTTTCTCTCTGCAGAGGTGAGAACTCCCCCATAGGATTATAAAGGCAGGAGATGAAGATGGCATCGGGATTGGTCCTCGGGCCAAGTAGAAAAACTCAACCTCAGATACCCCTGGAGACAAAGACAATTGTTTCTTTCAATAGAAACTACTCGGCCAGGCCGGGTGGCTCATCCCTGTAGTCCCAACGCTGGAAGGCTGAGGCAGGAGGATCGCTTGAGCCCAGGAGTTCAAGACCAGCCTAGGCAACATGGCAAAACCCCATCTCTACAAAAGATACACAGATAGCCAGGTGTGATGGCATGCGCTTGTAGTCCCAGCTACTTGAGAGGCTGAGGCGGGAGGACTGCATTAACCTGGGAGGTGGAGGTTGCAATGAGCCAAGATCGATCCACTGCACTCCAGCCTGTATGACAGAGCGAGACCCTGTCTTGAAAAAAATGAATTAATTAATTAAAAGAAAAAGAAAATAAACTGGTCAAGGAGGAGGGAATTTTCTAGACATTAATGACGGTTTGGGTGGTACCTTCCAGATGCATTGGAATTTATTTGGTTTTCTCCTGATATTTGCTTTCTTTTGCTTTTTAGCCATTTTATTGAGATATAATTCACATACCATCCAATTCACCCATTTGAAGTGCACAATTCACAGATTTTTAGTACAGTCACAGAGTTGTGCAACCACCACAACAATCTAATTTTAAAATGCTTTTATCACTCAAAGAGAAAAAAACCCCATCGCTATTAGCAGTCATTCTCATTCCTCCCCACCCCTACCCCCAGCCGTCCCTAGCCCTTGGCTAATCTACTTTCTTTCTCCATAGATTTGCCTGTTATGGACATCTCATACAAATGGAATCATGCACTACATCTTTTGTCTTTTGTAACTGGCTTCTTTCACTTAGCATGATGTTTTTGAGGTTCACTCATGTTGCAGCACACGTAATACTTCATTTCTTTCTCTTGCCAAACAATATTCCATTGTGTGGCTACACTACATTTTATTTATCCATTCTTTAGTGGAAGGACATTTGTACTGTTTCCTTTTTTGGTTTTTATGAATAAATCTATAAACTTTTGTGTAAAAGATTTTTGTGTGAACATGTTTTCATTTTCCTTGGGTATATACGTAGGAACAGACTTGCTAGGTTAATTAGTAACTCTATATTTAACATTTTAAGGAACTGCCAAACTATTTTCCAAAGTGGCCACACCACTTTACATTCCAACCAACAGTGGATGAGGGTTCCAGTTTCTCCACATCCTCACCAACACTTGTTATTATTTCTTTTTTATTATAGCCATTCTACTGGGTGTGAAGTGGTAACACATTGTGGTTTTGGTTTGTGTTTCCCTGATGGCTGAGAAGCATCTCTTCTGTGCATATTGGCCACTTGTATATCCTCTTTGGTGAAATGCCCGTTCAGGTCCTTTGCCTATTTTGGCATTTGGTTTCCATGGCGTGTTTGCCCTTTTAATGGGAGTGTTAAGCTGGGAAGGTGGATAGTGCTTGATTAATGCTTGAGTTAACACGAGTGGATGAGAAGGGCTCCCTACATTTGGAGAAGCTTTTGTTTGGCTATGAAGGCCTGGGGTGTTTTCCGTGTTCCCTGTGCTCTCCCTCTGTTCGCTTTTAAGCCAGGGTTCTGACCCAGGTTGTGTTCTGACCCAGGTTGTGTTCTGACCCAGCTAAGTATGCAAGGGAAAAAAATAGGGGCTTGTGCCAGAGATAGCATGAAGTCAACACTGCAGCAAAGATGAAGACAAGGATAGGATGTTTGTTTACCTCCAGGCCTGGAGGCTAAGGCTGGATTGGCAAGTTGTCCTCTTGGACAATTCCTCTTACCTTCTCTTACTCAAGAACTTTAAAGATTAGTCATGTTAATAGAAAGATGATGGTATCAGAAAAACATGCCAAGGAATTCACAGTTTCTCAGCCAGACTTGTTAGCAACAAAAGTTATAGGTAGTGGTGTATCTGTGTGTGTGTGTGTGTGTGTGTGTGTGTGTGTGTGTGTGTGTGTGAACTAACGTCTATAAATAGGAAACAACTTTTAGAAAAATAATACTTTAAAAGTTGAGACATGAAAGAAACTTCTGGATTACTGTGTGTAATCATAGCCGCCTAAAACTGATGGGGCCACCCATTTCCAGAAGCCATACAGATCAATAAAAGAGCAAATTAAACCATTCATAACCCAGTCCAGATGGAGATATAGATGGGATTCTCCATAAATAGGAGGTGTTCAATGTTTGTTGAATTAAAGAATGAATGGGTAAATGAATGAATGGCACACTGCAGAGGAAATGGGCACGCCCTACCTTTGGGGCCCAACTGCAACCCATACAGAGCCCTAGCACTTCTCACACTGCATAGTGTGTACGGGATTAAAGGTCTGTCTACCACTGGACAGTAAGTTCCGGAGGCAAGCACTGTGACGTATTCATTCAACAAATGCTTGTGAAGCTCATGCTATGTGCCAGACACTGTGCTGGGTGCTGGCAGGACGAGAGTGGTGAACTAAACCAAGTCCTTCCTGTGGAGCTCACTGTCTATGGACTGATTCTTCCTTCGTGTCCTCATCATCTGCTCAGTCCAGGGATGCAGTAGACGCTAGTAAGTGTTCCTCCTCCTTTGCTCACCAGATTTTTTTTTTGAGACGGAGTCTCGCTTTGTCATCCAGGCTGGAGTGCAGTGGCGCAATCTCGGCTCACTGCAAGCTCCGCCTCCCGGGTTCACGCCATTCTCCTGCCTCAGCCTCCCAAGTAGCTGGGACTCAGGCACCCACCACCATGCCCGGCTAAATTTTTCTGTATTTTTAGTAGAGACGGGGTTTCACTGTGTTAGCCAGTATGGTCTCGATCTCCTGACCTTGTGATCCGCCCACCTTGGCCTCCCAAAGTGCTGGGTGGGATTACAGGCCACCGCGCCAGGCCTGCTCACCAGATCTTTAAAGGAAATATTTGAAGCTGTTCCACTGAAAAACATTTTTTCATTTCTTCGGAGAGGCTCAAAAGCAATCTTGCAGCCTCTGAGCAGTTCATTAGCAGATTCCTTTAACCAGCTCCAACCCTGTACCCTGCTTCTGATTCGTTGTTGAAACCATGTGCCTTTCTGGGGTGACCTTGTGCCTGCCTGCTCCACACGGTGCTCTTCACCCTGTAAGGCACTGTTCTAAAGCCTCTCAGCATCTCGAACTTCAGTCACCCACCCCAAGTTAACAAGTTTACTCCCTCAGGGCAAATCGGCCACAGCTATGGTTCCCCATCATCGCACAAAGGGTGCCTGTTTTGTTTGATTTGGATGCTCAAGTTAATCCCCACCCACTAGGGAGGCAAAATGGACAGGTTCATTTCAAGAGGATGGGAGGAAGGTTGGATTTCAGCACTTGGTAACTTTTACTTTGGGGGAAATCCTCTCTCTGCATCAAGACAAACTTCCTGGAGGAAGTGCCTGCCAACTGTGCAGTGAGGGCAAGTGTTCCCTCCTCCAAAGCAGCTCCCAACCATCGGCGGTAAGACTTAGCCAAGAAATACTCACCATCTCCCAGCCTTTCTCATTACTAGAAAGCAGTGAGAAACAAACAAATGAAAGACAGACATCACAGTTTGCCTGCGATCATCATTCTTTCCATTCAGCCAGCACTTAAGAGCTCACAGCCTGGGCAGCAGACACACAACTGGCCTGGAGGGTTCTGCAACGACTAATACCTGGTTCCTGGCTTCAACGGCTTCACTCTTTGGTGGAGGAGACAACTACATAAAGAGTTGATTACAAAATCGCCCCTTTGGAGAAGGTCCAAACTCCTTAGCAAGGCCTGCAGGGCTCTGCACGATTTGGTTCCCGTGGTGTATTCAAGCCTCATCCCCTCCACCTCCACCCCTATTTTCTCCACCCACCATGATGTCTCAACCACACCAAGCAGCATGCGAGTCCCTGAACAAGTGGTGCTCCTTGGCCTGAAATGCCCCTCCCCCAAGCTAGCAAAGATGCCTCTGTCCCCTTCTCTGACAGAGGTTTCCTCTCTGCAGCAGATCCCAACTGGAAAAAGGGAGATGCCTGAACCTTAATTCAAGTTTTGAAATTTTATTTTCCTGAGACTGGACATTTCACTTCATGCATTGAAACTGTTTTGTGACTTCAAAGTAGCCATAGCTTTGGGTTTTTAAAATTTAAGTCCAGCCAGAAATTTTTGAGGCTTTGTCTCAGTTTTCATCCAGGGACAGGGAGAACAGGAACCTCCAGAAAAAAAAAATACAAAGGAATTGTGAGAGAAAAAGATAAATCTATGTTATGATCACATCCTACGAGCCACAGTTGCTCAACCTCCAGGCAACCCACGTCTGTCTTTCCCTTAGACTGTGAGTCCCTTCCTGCGTGGAGGGAAGACTGTGCAGTAAATGGTCAATGAAGATGGGGTGGGCACAGGGGCGAGAAATGGAACTGCGTAGGGCGGGACAGGCTCTGCCCCAGGAAGCATGTGCTGGTGTAGGACTCAAGGCTAGCACTGCCCCAGGAGTCAGCCTCAGATATGCAGGGTCTTGCAAAGAAGGCCCTTGAGGGTTTTAACATCTGTCTTTTGCTACACAGATAAACCCAGAAACTTTATAATGCAAATGCACCCCAGAAAGGCAATGTGAGTCCAAAGGAGTATCTAAGTGTGGGCAACACGTGTCAAATCCTTTCCTGCTGACATTTTGCTTGTACAGTGGACACCAGGGAGAGCCGCAAGGACCCACCTAAAGAGAAGCATCAGCTGGGCGCGGTGGCTCACACCTGTAATCCCAGCCCTTTGGGAGGCCAAGGCGGGCAGATCACTTGAGGTCAGGAGTTCCAGTCCAGCCTGGCCAACATGGTGAAACCCCGACTCTACTAAAAATACAAAAATCAGCTGGGTGTGGTGGCATGTGTCTGTAATCCCAGCTTCTCAGGAGGCTGAGGCAGGAGAATCACTTGAACCCGGCAGGCGGAGGTTGCGGTGAGCTGAGATTGTGCCACTGCACTCCAGCCTGGGCAACAGAGTAAAACTCCATCTCAAAAAAAAAAAAAAAAAAAAAGGAAAAGAAAAAGGAGAGAAGTGTCATCACCAGGTAAACCAAAGACAAGAGATGGAGGCCACATGGCTGACAGCCCATCTGTGTGCACTGCCGTAATCTCACCAGCCCATGGGATGTGCAACCTGTAGCAGTGAGAAAAGTGAGCCTGACAGGTTAACAAATCTGCCCCAAATCACACCACCACTAAGTGACAGACTGGGATTCAAATTCAGGTGTCTGTATCTCCAGAGCCCCCTCCAGCAGGCCACACTGGCTGACTCTGGGTGAGACCTTCATCTCCTTCTTCCATTTGCTTGGAGGCTACTCTGTAAACCTTCAACTCTATGCATTTGAGAATTGAGAGGAGAAATGAAGGACCCATACGCATGGTCCACGCAGGGCTTGGAGTAGTGGAAGTCAGAGGGCAGGGTGGAAGGCAAGGCTGCTGCTGAGGATGGGAGGCTCTCCCAGGCTTCAACAGTGCCCCTGTGTGCACAGTGCTGTGTGCATCCTGCCTCCCCTACCGTGGGCCCCTGCATGACCGGGCTCACTACCCTCTGTGGCAGCACAGGGGCTGGGGGAGAGCAGCCAACACACTGTTCACCCACCCCACCCCTTGCTGGCTCCCTCACAGGCCAGCCACATGCTGGAGCTAGGCAACCACTGTCTGACATGTGGCAAGTCAGCACAGCTGGACCAAGCACCTACCTAGGAACTAAAGGTCATAGAACCACTCCAGGAGCTGGTCAAGAGCAAACGACACTAACTCTATCCTGAACCCTTGTCAGCCTTCAATCATTTCTCTCCTGTTGGGGAAACATCTGGGATACAGCTGCCCCCACTCCTATGATCACAATACAGCCCTGCCACCTGAGGAGGGGCCCCCAGCTCAACGGCAGGGGTGCAGACAGGGGCCTGGCTCAGCTTTGGCCCTAGCCTGAAACCCCTCAGCTTGCCCATACCCTGGTGGGGCAGATCTGACCTCATCAACTGTTGTCTAGCAGTGGGGCCAATCCCAGTCACCTTCTCTGAAGAATGACCCCTCCTGGGCAGCTTTGTCTGACTTGACTCTAGGTTCTCAACAGTAGATGACACTCAGGAAGGAGACAACGTATGCTTAGGGAACGTATGGTTTATCAGTTGAGAAGACACACGAGCTTCCACAAATTGATATATTTACTTCATTGCCAGCGGAGTACACTCGCATACATAGATATCTCTGAGTCACTTTAAGTCACATAACTGCAAGGATACAAACAAACACTAGTTCATCCCTGTGGCTGAGTGCCCTTGGGGAATACTCAGATCCCAGTGGGGCTTCTCTCTGCATCTTCTGGCCACTCTGGCCGTTCTCCCTGAGCCCACCCACCTTCTCCCCCTCCCTTCCATTCTTCCACGATGGTAGCAAAGCAGGGAAGTGCCAGTGGAAAGAGACTGCAGGTGCACAGAGGCTTGGACAGGCCAGAGTCCATGGCAGCTGCTTTGGCGTCTCTCCTTGGTTCATGTGGTGGGCACTTCACCACTTCAAGGACACTGTCAACTCCCTGAAGGCAAGGCCCAGGGCTTTGACTTCCCTAGGCATGGAGAGACAGTAGTCAGGAAAAGCAGCTCCTTGGCAGACTGCTGGGTGTGTGACAACTGTGAGGGCTCAGGGGCTACAAGCAGGGACAGGGCAAGCTCGCAAACAAAAAACTGAGACCCGATGCGGTGCATGCGGGGAGCAGAGCTGTGCAGGGCGCTGCAGGAGCAGAGGAGGGGGCGGGGCAGGACGGCTTCCTTGAAGGGAGCCCTTCAGGCACTGTCATGTGCCACATCCTGTGTGAGGCACTTCACCTTCATCTTATTGCATCTGGGATTCAAATCCAGATCTGTCTGGTTCTAAAACCCACGTGCTTTCTTCTGTACAGGTTGCTACCTGAGGGGACATCTGCTCTGGGACTCAGAGAATGATAAAGAGATCTCCAGAATAAATGAATCACTTTCAGAGAAAAGTAAAAGAACAAAAACACAAAAATAAAAAACACACAAAAGAAGCAAAAAAATACTACATTCTCCCCAAATTTCACATCGTAAGTGGCTGGAAGTGCAAACATAAAGGATGCTAGCAACATGGCCGCGGCAAGAGGAGCCTCTGGAGCAAGGTCAGCTTCTCCCCTGATTTCTGGCTTTCAGCCAACAAGGCCAATGGCTCTTCCAAACCAGCTGCTGCTGCTGAGCTCCAGAAGAGGGGCCTCTCAACTTCCAGAGGCCAGGAAGGCTCACCCTCGGAGCTCTCAGTTTTGTTTTTTATACTGCAAGACAGAGAGATTCGAAGTGGAGGAGGGAAGCCAACAGGGGCAGGAGGACTCTGGAGAAATCTCAGGCCTCCATCATCTGGACCTCACCTGCCTCCTGCAGGGGCTTCTTGGAGGTGGTGAAACCCAAGCAGGAGGCACTGGGCAGCCAAATCTCTAGTTCATGCCTGGACTCCCTTTCTTCTTTAGTGAAAAAGGAAGCTGACAGGGCTGGGGAGGGAGGATAGTGATAACTCACTCTGGAGAGTGAGTTAGAAGGACAGGGAGGTATGGTCACACTCCAACTCTCTAGGTCCTTCTAATACCAGCATCTAAGGGCCAAGACGCCAGTCTACATTCCTGACTCACTCCCTTCCTCCACCAAAACATACTGAATGTTTCCTCCATAATTCTGCCCCAGTGTGAATACCCCCCAGAGACAGGGAGTCCCCCGCCAGGACAGCTTCCCTCTCTGCGGCATCACAGTGCCACCGCCGGCTCTGGCACTATAGCTTTCCCTCCTTCTTCCTGCTGCCCCCTCTCAGCTCGATCAGCACTGTTGGGCAGAAATTTGCCTTTAAGGATGAAGAGTGAGAGCCCCTCCCCACTTGCAGAATATAAATGCAACCAGAAGGGATTTGTCTTCACCTTTCAGCTTCTGGAGGAGGGAAGCAGCTGGCTGGTGGCCTCCTCCACAGGGACCATTCTCAACTGTGGGGCAGGAGTGGCCTCTAGTGGTCATGGGGATCACAGCCATCATCACCCCAGCTCGCAGGCAGAGCCCAGGGGCCAAGCACCTACTTTGTTCATGATCCAGTCAGCATCTTCAATGGCTCTTTTAATAATCTGCTGGATTCTCTCAGGGTTGTCTTCATCTGAATGAACCCGAAAACTCTGCAAGTTTAAGCATAAAGAAAGATGACTAGGCAAAATTCCCAGGACAGGCAGCTTCAGAGCACCAATCACAGGCCAGGGACACTGCTGGGCACTTTATACCCAGCAGCTCTCTTCATCCTCCATAGACTGTTATGATTATCCCACACAGAGATGAGGAAACAGAGGCTCACTTGCTGCTGAACAATAGCATTTGAATCCTAGTCTATGTGACTGCAAAGCATGTACTCCTGCCACCAAGGTAGGTGCAAAAAGACTGGCCCCCAAGTTACTGCCAAATCAAGCTAGGCCCAAAGGCTATCAGGCAGTAGAGTCCAAGGGGAAACTTCCATCTCTCTTCCTCAGAAGACGCTGCTTTCCCCAGGGTGAGATCTCTGCATAGGCTTTACAGCAGGGAGGAAGAAGTAGGACTTCTCTCGGCCCAGTGCTAGGAGAGCTACACAGGGAAGGGAGGGGAGGTAGTAGATAGAGTGGCCTCAGGAAATCCACCCAGGCCCAGTGCAGAGCATGGGATACTGTTTGCTTTTGACCAGATATTCATCCTTGAGAAGCAACCTAAGATTCAGGTTTTGCTTTTCAAAAAGAACTGGCACCAGGCATGGTGGCTCATGCCTGTAATCACAGCACTTTGGGAGGCCGAGGCGGGCAGATCACCTCAGGTCGGGAGCTGGAGACCAGCCTGACCAACATGATAAACCCCATCTCTACTAAAAATACAAAGTTAGTCGGGCGTGGTGGCACATGCCTGTAATCCCAGCTACTCGGGAGGCTAAGGGAGGAGAATCGCTTGAACCCAGGAGGCAGAGGTTGTGGTGAGCTGAGATTAAGCCATTGCACTCCAGCCTGGGCAACAAGAGTGAAACTCCATCTCAAAAAAAAAAAAAAAAAAAAAAAAAAAAGAACTGGCACCTCCCTCCCCTGTCACTCCCAGCCCCACACATCCTCCTGCTCATCTTTAGGAGCGCCCCCCGCTCAGCATCCACCTCTGGCATGCCCTCCTTGACTCCCCCAGACAGCTAACTGCTCGTTCTCCATGTTTCCACAGCCCTCTGTGGCTACCGCCACCTCTGATTTTTTTTTTTTTTTACTTTCCATATTATATGTGTATGAATTTTAGCTAACTTTCTATTTGGAAATGATTTCTCACTTACAGAAAGTTGTGATAATAATACAAAGAATTTCCTACCAGAATCACTGACTGTTAACATTTTGCTACACTCGCTTTATCATTCTCTTTATATAAGTATGTATAAATTTTTTCAGAAGCATTTAAGAGTAAGTTGCAGACACGCTATCCTTACCCCTAAACATTCCCATGTGTAGTTCCTAATGACAAGGGCATTCTCTGACATAACCACAGTAATCAAATTCAGAAGACTCAACATTGATACAACTCTATAATCCATAGCCCATATTCCAATTTCATGCACTGCCCCAGTAATATTCATTTTTTTTTTTTGAGGCAGGGTCTCACTCTGTCACCCAGGTGAGAATGCAGTGGCACAATCACAGCTCATTGCAGCCTCGACCTCCGGGCTCAAGCAATCCTCCCACCTCATTGTTTGATTTTTCTGTAGAGACAAGGTCTTTCTATGTTGCCCAGGTTGGTCTTGAACTCCTGAGCTCAATCTGCCTGCCTTAGCTTCCCAAAATGCTGGGATTACAGACATGAGCCACCATGCCTGGTTCCCAATAATATTCTTTACAGCATTTTTTTTCTGGTCTAGGATCATACATTACATTTAGTCACCATATCTCTTGAGTTCTCTAATCCAGAACATCAAAAATGTCAGCGTTGTGTTTCACGACACTGACATTTTTGATGAGTACAGGCCTATTAGTTATGTGGTAGATGGCCTCTCGATTTGGTTTTACCTGATGTTTTCTCAGGATTAAATTCAAGTTGTGCACTGTTGGCAGGGATGCCTGCCTAAATGATGTCGTGTCCCACAGTCTATTTTAATTACCCACTTAGCTGCCTCATGCATGCCCTAGCACAGCTGGTGTGCTGGGTGAGGCACCCTCTGTTTCCTGGACAGAGAGGAGCTGGGCTGCCCAGCACTGGTTTCCTGTGGCTCTTCCCACACTGCCACCTCACCACCATCTCAGAGACTAGCTCTGTGCCCTGGCCTTGGCCTCTGACCTGCGCCCCTAAGCCTGCCATTAGAGGCAGCCCCCAGACCTGGTAGAGCCAGCTCGCACCTGCCTGACAGCATGCTTGTAATGCTGCTGGATGCCCTTGGTCGGCAGCTGCTGGCAACAGCGCAGCAAGTATCGGTAGAGCTGCAGTGGCCTCCGAACCAGTTCTGCTCCTGGCAGCGGGGCCATCCGTGAGACCCTCTGTCCCTGGAAAACAAGCAGGATCACTTCCAGGGCATCAAGCCAAGTTCAGTACTCAGCCCTGACCCCCAGTTCCCAGTACTCTGGGAAGCAAGCTTGGTGCAGTGCAGAGGCCCCTCCTGTCCCATCCCATGGAGCCTGCACCTTGGGGTGGGGTGGGCATTCAGTTCAACAGAAGCTCTAGCCCAGAGCAGGCCCACAAGACCAAAGGTGAGTGTGGAGGGAGACTTACAGCCTCATCCCTGGCGTCTTCTTTCTGGAACTCAACTTCAAGTGGTGCATGAGTAGGTGTCCCTCACCGGCAGGGTAGGGTAGAAAAGCAGGAAGACCCTGAGGGGCAATCACTAGGAAACCAGCTCTGACATCAGCCATGGTCTGGCGAGGGCACCAAGCCACAGAGGGGAGAATGCCTACAGGCCTGAGCCTTGAAATTCAAAGTGTGCTCCTGAACCAGCAAAACCCACAGCATCGGGAGCTCATCACAAATGTAGTCTTGGGCCCCACCCCAAAGACCCACCAGATCAAACCTGCATTTTAACAAGGATGCCAGGAGATTTGCAGGCACATTTTAAAGTCTGAGAAGCATGAATCTAGGGGGCTCTGCAGAGAAGTTGCTGGACAGAGTCACCACAGCGTGGGCACGTGATTTCATTTCACTATGAGTTATCATAAAAATCACAATGGGCTGGGCGTAGTGGCTCACGCCTTTAAGTAGGGCAGATCACTTAAGGTCAGGAGTTTGAGACCAGCATGGCCAACACGGTGAAACCCCGTCTCTACTAAAAATACAAAAATTAGCCAGGCTTAGTGGTGCATGCCTGTAATCCCAGCTACTTGGGAGGCTGAGGCAGGAGGATCACTTAAACCCCAGAAGTGGAAATGGCAGTGAGCCAAGATAGTACGACTGCACTCCAGCCTGGGTGACAAAGCAAGACTCCAACTCAAAAAAAAAAAAAAAGAGAGAGAATCACAATGAGCACTTGTTTGTCTCTATTCACTTTACATGTGATTAATGCACACATAAGAAAACCGGTCACAGAGAGGTCTGATAACTTGCCCAAGATCACACAGCTAATAAAGCTGGAGCTTGGATTTGAACTCTGGCAGTCTGGCTCCAGAGCCTTTTTCTAAAAAAAAAAAAAAAAAAAAAAAAAAAAAAAAAAAGGCTGTATTGAGGTATAGTTGATATATAATGAACTTCATATACTTAAAGTATATAATTTGATAAGTGCTGCCACAGGTACACACCGGAGAAGCCACCGTCATAATCAAGAGAGTTAACATATCTATCATCACCAAAATTTACCGCATACCCTTTGTAATCCCTCCCTCCCGCCCTCCCGACGTCCCCATCCCCAGGCAACCGCTGCATTTTCCAGAGTTTTGTATAAATGGAATTATACAGCAAGCTCTCTTTTGTGTCTACAGAACCCACATTCTTCTCTGTATTAACACTCTCTCTAAAGAACCCACAACTCTAGCTTAACCTCTTCTTTTTTAAAGGAACTATGAGAGTATAGATTGTTTTAAATGGTAGGTTCTAGAACATATGGGCTTGCAAAGCTTTCATCAGGCTCCTGCCTGAACCTCTGCCACAGCATCTGCCTGGTGTCCCAGTACCTAGCCTGTCACTCCAGTCTCCTCCACACTGACACCACGTGAGCTCTGGAATCAGTGTCCTGGGTGCATCCCAGTCAGCCACAGGAACTGCTCCCAGACCCCTCAAACCACCAAATGTGGCGCCTTTCAGTGCACATGCAGCTCCCTGGCCGTGGACTCCTTCCCATCTTCTCCGTGTGAGGAACCTTGTTCATCCTTCCAGGCTCAGCTTAGTGTCCTTCCTCCAGGAAGCCCTTCCTCACGGTCCCTCTCTGGAGACAGAGGTGCTCACCCTGTCCTCTGTGGGGCTGCAGTGCCCCGCTCATGGTGCTGCCAGGGACTCATCTGCTACCTCGCCTGTGGCTCTCCCTGGGCTGAGCGCCTGGCCCGCAGTGGGCTTCACTCACTGTTAACTAAACAGAATGAAGCTACTATCTCCTCTGTACAGAGATGCCCCTTATGTTCCAGATGAAGGAGCTAAAAGAGATCTAGTGACTGGCCTTAGTTTTAAAGGAACATATAAGAAAAAAAAAAAAACCCTCCCCTCACCTTGCAAAAAGAACCAGAAACTAAATCTATCAGATGCCCTTAAACTAAGAAGGGAAGCTTAGGAAGTAGCTGGTTCCAGAGGCTCCTTCATTCCATTTACATCCCATTATCTCCTCGGCAACAATAAATGTGTCTCCTCAGCTACGTTAGCCAATTCCTCCTGGTTCCCTGGATTCTTGCTCTGATGCTGGAGTGGATAGGTGGTTGTCTGACCCCCACCATCTATTCTCCCTTCTAGTAACAGCCCCAATGTGTGATCTGGGGTGCACCCCTCCCCAGGTCTTGGCCCAGAAGGTCTGAGTGGGACTATCAGAGCCCTGCATCCACATGGATATAAGGACTAGCTCACACACGGGCACGTGCCAAAAGCTAGTCCAACCAGAGTGCATCGCAACACCTCTGCAGAAGTGGCGTGAAAGGACTCTAGCTCCTTCCCACTAAACTTGATGCTGGGAGGATTTGATCCTCTCTCAGTGAAGCCACCTTGCCTCCTCTAGAAGCCTGAGACCATAGCCACATAGCAGAAGGCAGAGCTGAGACCCTGAGAAAAAAACAAGCCCAAATAACGTATTTGGGCCAGGGGTGATGGCTCACGCCTGTAATCCCAGCACTTTGGCAGGCTGCGATGGGTGGATTGCTTGAAGCCAGGAGTTTGAGACCAACCTGAGCAACACAGGGAGACCCTGTCTCTACAAAAAATAAAAAATTAACTGGGCATGGTGGCATGCGCCTGTAGTCCCAGCTACTCAAGAGGCTGTGATGGGAGGATCACTTCAGCCTCGACTGCAGTGAGCTGTGATCACACCACGGCACTCAGCCCGGATGACACAAAGTGAAACTCTGTCTCAAAAAAAAAAAAAAAAAAAAAAAAAAGAATTCATTTGGGCCCTAAAACCATCTACCTGAAGGAAGTCCTTCCCCTAGACTTCTCAATGATCTGGGCCAATTAATCCCCTTTCACCAAAGCAGCTGGGGTTTGTTTTGTCACTTGTATCTCAAAGGGTACTAACTGATGGACAGATCCTCACAAATTCTTCCACAATGCAATCTGATGACTCCAGCTGTAAGGCAGAGTCGGACAGGACAGGGCTTCTCAAGTTCCTCCTGCTATCAATCATGACCATGCCAGTCCGACTCACCACCCAGAAATCAGAGGGGAACCCGTTCAAGGGTGGCCAAGACCATCAGGAGCAACCACAGGAGACATACCACCAAAGTCCCAAACCTGATGGGTAGACTCCACTGGCAGGCTTCCCCAAACTATATAAAGTAGTAATCAAATATTGTAAAATGCTAGTCGCGGAACAGATGGTTACCATCTGCAGTCCTCAAAATTAACATTTGGAAAGAGCACAACTTTGTTTCATTACTTAAAAACTCAAGCAATACTTAGTAACCAACCCAGCAAGTATGGGCGGCAGATTATTTTCAGCTCAATTATAATACTTAGTCATTCTCAGTAATAACTAGTAGAGAATACATGTGTGGGTCCACTTAGAAGAGCTAAACTAAAAATGTTTTAATTTAATTTAAAGCGTAGGTTTGCTATTATTTAAGGGGCAATGAACCTCACAGCATCATTGCTAAAACTGCAGTCAATGCCTCTGGGCCTGGCAACACTTGCCTCCCTTGCCCTGCCCTTTGGACTTGATCTTGGCCTCTGCATCCTGGCTCCCTGCCTCTGTGATGGCTCCTCCATCTTCCCAGGCAACCAAACCAAAATCATCACAGTCAACCCAGGTTCCTCCTTCTCCTCAATCCCCATGCCACTGGTTTCTTTCTTTTCTTTTCTTTTTTTATTTTTTTTTTTTTGAGACAGAGTTTCGCTCTTGTTGCCCAGGCTGGAGTGCAATGGCGCAATCTCGACCGCAACCTCCGCCTCCTGGGTTTAAGCAATTCTCCTGCCTCAGCCTCCTGAGTAGCTGGGATTACAGGTGCATGCCACCACACCCAGCTAATTTTCGTATTTTTAGTAGAGATGGGGTTTCTCCCTGTTGGTCAGGCTGGTCTCAAACTCCCGACCTCAGGTGATCCACCCACCTTGGCCTCCCAAAGTGCTAGGATTACAGGCGTGAGCCACCACACCCGGCCCCATGCCACTGGTTTCTAATTCCTATCAAATTCCACCTCTGAATGCCCCTCATATTTTTCCCTTCCTCTCTACTCCACTGCATACCCTTGGTTCAGACTCTCTCTGAGACAACTGCAACAGCCCCTAGCTGGTCTCCCTGTCTTCCAGTCCATTTTCTGCCATCCTTCTCTGCCCAACAGCCAGAGTGAATCTTTCTAAAACATAAATCTCAAAGTGTCCTGTCCTTCCTAAAACCCCTAATATCCACCCCTGCCCCCATCATTCATGGCAACTTTTCCCAAAATGTAGAACAAATACCTGAAATTACTTTAAGTAGTATACAGCCAGTATTTTTTATTGTAATGATTTTATATTTATTTTCATGTGTAATGAGGGGGGAAAAACACGTTTTCATAGGTATTAATGGCCTAAAGCAGTTTTTTCAAATGCTCATAAAACTGATTTTTTATGTATCAAATTGAAATGTGGACCCGGCAAAAATCATGAGGGTCCTGAAGTGTGGAAAGCACTGGTCTACAGAATAAAATCCAGGCTCCTGTCCATGGCCTGCAAGGCCCCTCTCGATCTGGCCCCTACCTACCCCTCATCTGCACCTCTCACCACCCACAGCCTAGTCCAGGCAAACTGAGCCCTGTATGGCACACTCCACAACAGCCCATGCTGTGTTTGCCTGTTATGGTCTCAGCACTGGGGCAGAATGTCTGGCATGGAGTAGATGTACTTACTCATTGGGGTTCTCCAGAGAAACAGAACCTATAGGAGGGAGGGTGTGTGTGTGTGTGTGTGTGTGTGTGTGTGTGTGTGTGTGTGTGTCAGAGAGAGACAGAGGTTTATTACCATGAACTGGCTCATGCAATTATGGAGATTGGCAAGTCCAAAATCTGCAGAGCCAATGTCCCAGTTCAAGCACAAAGGCTGGAAGCTGCTGTAGAACCAGGAAGAGCTGATGTCCCAGTTTGAAAGCCACAGGCAAGAGAATTCTCTTACTCAGGGGAGGCTTAGACTTTTCGTTTAAGGCCTTCAATGGATTGGAAAAGGCTCACCCATATTATAGAGGGCTGTGTGCTTTACTCCATCGAACAATTTAAATGTTAATCTCACCCGCATTGAAACACCCAGAATAATGTTTGACCAAATACCTGGGCCTCCTGTGGCCCAGCCAAGTTGACACATAAAATTAACTATCCTGGTAGACATTCAATTTCTATTTTGAACGAATCCTCCTACTTCTGCCTACAGTGCTCCTCTCTGCTTCCTGAATACCTCCTGCCTCTTCCACACTCAGCTCTGTGGTCTGGCATCTCCTCCTCAGTGCCACCATGCTCAGTGGGAGGCCTGTGGTTACCTTGAAACAGCCTTCATCACCCCTCATTACTCTAGGTCAGGCCTCTAGTTCAGGCTCTTGCTGGGGTTGCTGGAAGGGTATCCACCTGCCCTCAGGCCCCACCAGCCATTCTCCATATGGTGGTCACAGTGATTTACCAACTTCCTGAATGAAAATCTTCACTGGATGTGAAACGATAGTGTGAATTATGAATTTTCTTGGGTTATAAGACCGATGTGGTTATGTGGGAGAATCACTTTACTCTCAGGAGACGCAGGCAGAAGGATTTAGAGGTGACATGTCATCAGGTCTGCAGCCTCCTTTCAAATAGTTCAGCAAAAGACAGCACAGAGAGAAGAGTGAGGAAGATGAAGAAATGCAGCAGAATGTTCAGATCACGTTTAGATGGTAGGCATTAAGGGTGAACACCATGCTGTTATTTTAACTTCCATATATTTGGAAAATTTTCCTAATAAAAAATCGCTTTAAAAACACACCTGGCAGGAAGTCACCCAGCTTTTCTCCCTACATGTGCTCCAAGTGGCAGGAAACTCACAAGTCCCCCATTTTCGCTCTGCTCAAGCTATTGGAAAGTCCCTCCAGTTCTGAGTTAAAATTCCCCGCTGTAAAGTTCTACTCACTCCACAAAGAGCTCTACTCTTTGGGACAAAATCTTCCCTCACCTCCTCCCAAGCCCAGCTTTTCATTATTCACAGTCAACTATCCCAGCCCCTCCCTAGTCCCTTTTCCAATGTAAGCAGCGGGGAGGTGCTGTCGCCTCTCAAAGTGTCTCTGTCCCACTTGCCCTCCTCTCAACACACGTACCTTTATTTTTGATACCACTCTTAAACCTGCTGTCCCATGGGAAAACAACAGTTTGGCCATGCTCTGACCAACTCCACAGGCAGTGGCCCTGTCACCTCCTTTGACCTGGGAATTCAAGGAATGCAGCTCAGACTGCTTCTCTGCTGGGGCCCTCACGTGGCCCTGGCATTTGGCTCAAAGGCATTTTTCCATGTGCTGCTCTTTTTTTCTTTTTTCTTTTTTTTTTTTTGAGACGGCATTTCGCTCTCGTTCCCCAGGCTGTAGTGCAATGGCGCAATCTTGGCTCACTGCAACCTCTGCCTCCCGGGTTCAAGCAATTCTCCTGCCTCAGCCTCCCCAGTAGCTGGGATTACATGTCCATGCCACGATGCCCGGCTAATTTTTCTATTTTTAGTAGAGACGGAGTTTCGCCATGTCGGCCAGTCTCAAACTCCTGACCTCAGGTGATCCACCTGCCTTGGCCTCCCAAAGTGCTGTGATTATAGGTGTGAGCCACTGCACCCGGCTCCATGAGCTGTTCTTAAGTCTCTTTCCCCATCTTTTATTTTATGAGGTCATTCCAGAGTCACAATCTGCCACCATCCTTAGGGGGGTCTGTTATATCAACTCAATTCAACAAAATAAGAGCACAGAAACAGTCACACCCCAGGTAAACACAGGGTAAAGACAAAGAGAAAGACAGTAACCCTATATACTGTAAGCATCAGTCAACTACGCCATGCCATTCAGAGCATCTAGCACCTGTACAACTCTGGACCCAGCCCTAGGACCACAGAGATGAACAGTCTGGTGTACCTAGCTCTCTGACCCAGAGCCTTCTGCAAAGCCGATGGCTCCCATCCAGGGAATGAGTAGGACATGCCAAGTTTGAGAGCTTTTCATGTTACCTCATTTAATCCTCACAACAATATTTTAAGGGAGGTATCATTAGTCCCATTTTATAGATGAGGAAACTGAGGCCCTGAGAGGTTAAGTAATTTGCCAAGAGCAACAAGGCTAGTATAGAGCAAGGCCCGGAATAGAACCTAGGTCTATTTGATTCCAAAGACTATGCCCTTATCTGCTTCGTGAATCTACCTGCTATGTCTGAGCCACTCATAAAAATACTGACCAGATCAGGGCTAAGGACCCCACAAAGAACTCTGGCAGGGTTCATGCATGACCAGGTTCAAGCACTTATAAAGGCACTTGACTGCACTATTATCCAGTACTCCTCAATCTTCTCTACAAAACCTTGCTCCATGCCTTTCTGAAACCCAAGGACATCGTCTGCAGCTTCCCCCTGCATATAGATGGAAAAAAAAAATCAAAAGAAAGAAAGAGTCACCAGGCTGACATCAATTACACAGATAAAGGAAAGGAGCAACTAAAGAAATGCTTAACAACAAAGCTCTTACCAAATCCAAAGGAGAATATGACAGAATTTTTAAAAAGAGAAAATAAAGCTACAAAGGGAATTTCCTGGAAGCCAAGTGTTATCACTGGCACAGATGTTGAGAAGCAGGCCCACAGTCCCATTTAACCCCACTGTCCTTTTCCCTAATCTATGTCCCGATATAGGCACCTAAAAATAAGTGGGAAAAAGTCATATATTAAAAAAAGACGAAAGAATGGAACTGCAGAAAATAACCAGAAATTATGCCCTATTGAGCACTGATACACGCTAAATTAAGCCTGCACAGGCCATTTTTTAAATATGCAATTACTCTTCTTGAAGGGAAAAGTTGAAAAATAGGAATGGAGTGGTTTTGCTTCCCACCCCCACCCACTCCAGGGCTCCATCTTGCACATCTGTGTTCTCCCAAGCTAGCAATGGGGCAGCAATCCCTGCCTCCCCCAGTCCCTCTCCTACATAGCCAAGGCTCTAAAGTCCCCTCACCCCCTCCCTGCCCCCTTCATCCCTGTTGGCATTACCTTGGTTCCCAGCTTTGTACCCATACCTGGCTGGGACTATCCGAATACCTCCTGATCTGTCTCCCTCCTTCCAGCCCAATCCACATGGTGCCACCCAAGAACACTTCCTAAAAAGCACACCCTGTCACTCCCCTTCCTCAGAACCTCTGTAGAGAGTTCTCTACCCATGGCCTTCTGAGATCTGTTTCAATCCCTCTCATCAGTCTCCCCTCCTGCTGTCCTTCCCACACTTCCTGCATTTTAGCCACAGACTGAACTTGGAGGACTCTGGGATCAGACAGTCTGGGTTCAAATCCTGGTTCTATCACCTGCTAGTTCTAGGACCCTGGACGAGTTTCTTAACTTCTATCTCGAAGTCTGTTCCCCATCTGTCAATGCGGTCCCTAATAAATAGTATTTCCTACATAGGACTGTTGTAAGGATGAAATAACGCTCCTAGACTACTAAGCATGATGCCTGGCACACACTACATGTTTCCTACTAACTGTTATTGTTAATACCATCTCTGAAACATGCTGTGCTTTCCCCTACCTTGACTTCTTCACCTGCCTCAAGAATTCCCCTTCATCCTTAGAGATCCAGTTCCCTGTCACCTCCTTCAGGCTTTCATCCCATGCTGTTCACACCCCTATTACAGTCATCACACTGCTCTGTAATCACTTATTGTGATTATAATCGATGTGACAGAACTTAGAGCAGGTTTTGGAGACAAAGAACCCTAGTTTAAAAGCCTACCTCTGCTATCTACTAGCTGTGTAATCCTGGCCAACCTGGTTGACTTCTCTGGACTTCTGCTTCCCCCACTGTAAACTGGAGAAAAGAATAACCCACCTCACAGGGGTTTTGTAAAGACCAACCTAGCTAACTTATGGAAAGTGCCTAGCACAGGGGCTGGCACATCTTAAGTGCTTGAACATCTTTTTTTTTTTTTTTTTGTCCTGAGACAGGGTCTCACTCTGTCACCCAGGCTGGAGTACAGTAGCATGATCAGGGATCACTGCAGTCACAACTGCCCGGGCTCAAACGATTCTACCTCAGCCTCTCAAGTGGCCGGGATCACAGGCACACGCCACCACGTCTGGCTAATTTTTTTAATTATTTATAGAAACGAAGTCTTACTATGTTGCCCAGGCTGGTCTCAAAATTCTAGGCTCAAGTGATCCTCTTTCCTCAGCCTCCTACGGTGCTGAGATTATGGGCATGAGCCACTGCGCCCAGCGTTGAACATCTTACCCTTTCCTACTTTATTTGGCTTTCTGTTCCTTGCTGACTGTAAGCTTCTGAAGAACAAGAAACTATACTGTATTAGTTCAACACCTGTGAAATGAAGGGAAATTAGTAAGAAAAATATATATACGGTTATTAGTCACTCCTCCACAGTTTATAGTACCTGAACCATAACAGAAGTTCCATAGATGTCAATTGATTCCCAAGTTACCAGAGGAAACTAAAGCCAGCAGGAAACTGTCCTGAAGTCAAGAACCTATGGCAGGTGAACCCAGAAAACATTACGCTAAGTGAACAAACCCAGTCACAAGGGGCTACTTAATGTATGATTCCATTTATACGAAACATCCAGAATAGGCAAAAGTACAGAGACAGAAGTACATTGGTGGTTGCCTAGGGCTGGGAGAATGGGAGTAGATGGGAGGGGGGAGTGACAGCTAAAGGAGGTGTTTCTTTTGGGGGGTAATGTTCTAAAACATTATGGTGACAGCTGCACAACTCTGCAAACACACTAAAAGACACTGAATTGTGCACTTTAGATGGGTGAACTGTATGCTTCGTGAATTATATCTCAATAAAACTTTTTAAAACAATAACCACAAAAAGGATCAATCCTAGGAGCGAAAGGGTTTTGGCCACGGAGCAACTTGCTCTTACGCAGAAGCATAAATCATCACGACAAGGTTGCTCCGGCCACCGGGTGCCGCGGGCAGAGGGACGGTGGAGGGGACATTCTCCTTTTAAAAGTGGCCAGGCCCGTGAGCCTCTGAGAGGCTGGCCTCCGGGCTGCCCCGGACCTCGCGCCCCTAGCTCGCGCTGCAGGCCTTTCCTGCTCCTCCGAGGCCGCCCGGCCAGGCCTGCGTCAAGCCCGGGCGCCGCGCTCCGGTGCACTCAGCTCTCCGGTGGAAGAGCGCAGACCGCAAGGGAAAAGGTGCCGGCGCGGGTCGCCCCTAGGTCTTCAATAGATCCGAGGACACCCGAGGCCTCCACATCCCTAGCCCGCCCCCGCCACCCAGTGGCTCCGGCCGCCGCTGCCCCCGCGCCCCCGCCCTCGGCCTCGGCCTGCGCAGCGCGGCTCACCAGCCTCCAGGGGAACGCCAGCCCCGGACGCCGCCGCGGCGACGAGTGCGCCTGCGCCCCGGGGACTGAGCGGCACCGCCCCTGCCCGGCGACGGTGAGCCCAGCGCCCTCTGCCGGCCGCGCGCGGGACTCGGGGTCCTACTGGGTGCCTCTTCCTAGATCCGACCCCACCCAGTTGAAAGCTGTCCCCACTAACAGCCTTCGTTACCTGTTACCTCAAACACCCACTCTGCCTTCTGGCTGTTGCTACGCCGGATATAAGCCCTAAAGGCACTCTCTCCTCCTTATTCCTGAATATGGATTGTGCTATGAATATGGGGTGTTCAAGATCTCTGAAAGGCTTGCTGGAGGACTTTTCCTGAACCTCTCGTGTTGATGACAAGAATTGTGTTTGGATAGGAATCTGCGTTTTGAATCATTTCACCAAATTACAGTCCCATAACACCTGTCAAAAGAATAAATATGACAGTAATAAGCATGCTTCCTTTCAGACCCATCTATAATTATAATTGAGGAAAATAATACAAAATTTAAACTTAGAGCTACTGCCAGTATCATTCTTTGAAAATGAAATAATGCTGTTTATTAAATAGGCTCTCCCTGCTCTCTAATGTTTAAAGCTCAAGTGCTTCTCTGAATTGATTTAAATACAAGTTTTATATCCTGAAAGAAATCAAGATGAGTCATTATCTTAAGACAAACCCCCCTGTTCAATGATGCTGCTGATCTCTCAGCTGATGTCTAAGCGGGAGTTAGGTTGTTAGTGGATAATATTGCTTCTGTTCACGTCTCTCTTCTCCAGGGCTTTTTAAACCTGTTTGTAACGAAAAGGCTGATTTCCTTCAGACTCCATGTGTCGTTGATTTAACAGGACAACTTCTTACAGGTTTTTCTTTTTCCTTTTTCTTTTTTTTTTTTTAAGTAAAACATTGCTCCCCGGTGGCACCTGGGAATCTGTTTTTCTTCTCTTAGGATAAGAGAAGCAGGGATATTTCTTAACGGAAGTTTTGTTTTGTTCCTAACTCCCTTTAGAGCTTCCTCTTTTCTTTTTTTTTCTCTTCACCTAACATACTAGACTTCCCTCAAATCGGGGGTGGGGGATGGGAAGGTGGGGTTCCCTCCCTTGAAATATTCAGATAATTGCTTCCATTTATTTTAAAGATGTAGACTTGGACAAATATATCTGAAAGATACAATTGTACCCTCATAAATCAGCCCTCTTATTTACACATGCATAATCAAGGGCACGTCATTAATGCAGAGCCAATCAATAAATCATTAAGCTTTTAAAGCCCTTATTAAGAACAATCTGCAGTAACATCATCCACTCCTGTGCTCAGTCTTAGGATCATTTAATAATTTTAAGAAATTTCACAGTCTGTTCTGTAGTCTCATCTCCCTTTTGTTCCTAGATAGCTGTATTCCTGCATCAGAAACATGGTTCTAATACCTAGATCTCATAAAATATTGAAGATGCAAGCTGTTTGCTTTACCTCTGAAAGGCTCCACCTTCAGAATCACTTGTGCCTCTTCCAATTTTACAAACGCACAAGATTTTAACTTTCACAACAATTTCTTATAAACATCCAAATACTAAGAAAAAAAAATCCAAAGTAGGAGAGATTTGAACAATAATCTCTAATTTTTTTTCCAAGTCACAATGGAAACCTAGATTTGAAAATAATTGAATTTGAACCTTTCAACTTGACAGCAACCTTAGGTTCTTACAGCTTCAATAGTAAAATGAAATAATTTTTACTAGTCCAAACATTCACTTAAAATGACACCAGTCTCATAATCTGATAAAACCCCAACCATTTTTACCATGTCATTTTCCTATACACTGAAATTTTAGCAGATGAACCCCCTTATGTCAGACAGTGCATGATATTTACAGATAAACAAAATAGAAAGACCTTTTACTTGAGAAATTAGTCACCCACTGTCCAGGGGACATGTTCGCACAGGGGAGTTTATTGACTTTCCTAAGAAATACACCACATTCTCTTGATTTCTGACATTATGTCATTTAGCCTGACAACTGCAGATTTGTAACCAGTATTTGTAGGGAAAGATACAAGAAGTCCTGACGTTTCCAGTTTAAACCTGTTTTTAGATTTCAAAGAGAAATGATAACGTTTGCATCCTCTGATTAAATCAGGTTATTGTCTCCAAGGGTGACCATGTAAATAATTCAAATTAATTCATCAGTGTACAATAGGTTTAATAAGCATAATAAACACTTTTAAGAAAATACTTAAGACCCTCGGTCTGCCCTCGATCTTGCTCCCTATTATCTCAGATTTCCCTGAGAACAGAATGAGTGGTACCACGTTGTTCTCTTCTATTCAAAATATGCAAAGCTGCTATTTACCAGCTTGCAATTTGCATGTCTCAAATCCTGCCAGAACACAGGGTGAGGGCCATGGGGTGATGGGTGAATATGCCAGAAGAGGACACCAGGGGCGAAAATGGAAAATGGGGTGAACAGATTTTCCTTACCCCAGCGTATTGCAAAACACAACTCTTGCTGACTACTCAAGATTTAAGACAATAAAAATATTGGGTATGAAAGGTTATGTGAAATCTCAGACATCTAGTTTGTTTTTCTTTAATTGCTGGGCAAAAGAAAGGGATGAGCAAGGATTTCAATATTTTTATAAAAGGGAACACAAGAGGAAAAAGGGTACAATTGTGACTATTTACAACATACACTTGGAGATTAATTTATGGGCTGGGTTTCAGCCTTCCTGGTCCTCCATACTATGTTACTTTCTGCAGCACCATAAATCCAACTTTGCTGACTGGTATATGTCATTCTCTGTTTCTAGTGTGTTCTGTAGTAATTTATTAACAGTGACCACATGTGAAACCACATTGGTGATCAGATGTATGTTATCTCTGAATATGTCCCCACTTTTTTTATCTCTTGAAAATATGTTCTATGTCTCATGATTTCAAATTGTAAATAACATACACACATACACATAATGTTTTGTATGAATCACCTTTGGAATGGAATTTCTTTTTCATAAAAATTTCAAGTGCATGCTGGATGTGTATGTGGCAATATTACCAAAGGAGTGAATGCGCTTGGGAACATTCTTCTTTTTTGCATTTTGACAGCATTTGACTAAAGATCCACTTAAAATTACCTTGCTCACAAAGTGTAATTCTGTTTCCACTGACTATATCTGCAGTGTCTTGAGATGTCCAGAGACAAGAATTACATGCCACCATTAATAGGAATGGAGACGGTAAGAAATAATCAACTTTATTAAATAGGATTATTTGAAGAAAGAGGAGAGACAAAGGGGTGAAGAGGAGAAGGAGAGAAAGAAGAAAGTGAAAAGGAGGGAAGTGGAGAATAAGTAAAAGTAGAAGGGAGTTATCCTGTTGATGCTGTCCCCAAGAGAAAGGGATGATAGAGTTTTAAGTGTAGCAGCCCAGAAAAAAAAAAAAAGGCAACGTTAATGAAGGGAAATCATTTATCGGCTTGGCCAGGAAATTGGGTGTTCTGGTCAGTCAACTACATGGTTAATAGTTACCTTCCACTTCAGCAAACATCTGTTGAGACTCCTTCATGTGCAAAACTCCATGCAAGACCCTGGGTCATAGCGGAGGCCTCTGAACTCTATCCCTGCCATGCGGGCTCTCCTGTCCTTCTCCACTATGGTTAGAGACAGGTATAGTCTTGTCGCTGTCCTGCTGTAGTCCCCTTAATGACTTCTCCGTGTTCTCTGAATACATACGCCAAACTCCTTACCATGTCCTATGAGGCCCTCCAGGGTCTGGCCTCTTAAGCTTCCATCCATGTCCCCGTCCTCTGTAGCAGCCACAGTGGCCTTTCAGACACTCATTGTATCGTGTCCTTCTGCCCTGCTCCTCCTTTAGATCCCAGCTAATAGATCTCTTCCTCGCCTTCCCTGACATCCACATTCCCACCCCATAATGGAGCAGGTCCCCCCACCCAAAGAGTAGACTGTACTTTTCTCCATGGCATGCATCACAATTTATAGTTACATATACCCCAATTTGGACTCCCCCCAGAGAGGCCCCCAAAGCAAGGATTTGAGAACAACTAGTTCATTTGAAAGGTGGTTCTAGAAAACACTAAGTGAGAAAATAGGGAAGTGAGGCTGGGTACAGTGGCTCACACCTGTAATCCCAGCACTTTGGGAGGCCAAAGTGGGTGGATCTCCTGAGATCAGGAGTTCAAGACCAGCCTGGTCAACATGATGAGAGCCCCATCTCTCCTAAAAATACAAAAATTAACTAGCCAGGCATGGTGGTGATAGCTTGTAATCCCAGCTACTCAGGAGGCTGAGTCAGGAGAATCGTTTGAACCCAGGAGGCGGAGGTTGTAGTGAGTGCGCCCTTACACTCCAGCCTGAGCGACAAGAGTGAAACTCCATCATAAAAAAAAAAAAGAAAGAAAAGAAAAGAAAGAAAGGAAGGAAGGAAGCGGGGAAGTGAGGCAAGGAAAAGAAGGCAGCCTGTGAAGAGAGCCTTCCCAAGCAAGTTACCACCAGGGACCACTGAGCTTCGTCCTGCTGGGGAAACAGTGTGGAACCCACACCTTGGTTATCCCACCCTGGGGTATTTATACACCAATTCCTGTTTGTTACAGGTCACACAGTGCTCTCGGGGGCACTAACTCCCTGGTACTTCTAGCCTGCCATGATCTCAGGCAAAGAGATACAGATGCTGGCAGTTGGAAATCAGCCGGGTATACTGCAGTGGTAAGGCGAAAGGGTGGGGCACTGACAGTTGTGGTAGTTACATATACATGGACATTTACACATAATACATACATATATATGTGTGGGTACATGTAGATAGATATGCATTTGTGTTATTATATCAGTCATATCTCTCTCTGCACTAGAGCCCCATGAGTGAGAGCTGGGACTGAGTAGCAGTATCCCACCCAGTGCCTAGGCCTCACTTCCTGTGGTCCACCATTAAAATCACTCTCTTACCAACACCCTCAACTCCCTGGTTCCTCTTGGCCTCTGTCACACTCACTCTGGATGAATCTACCATCCTCCTTCTCCAACCTGCACCCAAGCAGATTAATGCTGAGAAAATTACACAACAGAGCTGATGGGTTTTACTTTAAATTTATGATCCAATCCTCAAAGGCATAATGGATGTTGCCTGGGAAGAAAATAACTCTGTTTCTCAGAACTCCTACACCCCACCTCCACCCTCAGTCTCAGCAGAGGACCTCACTGAAAGATAGACATCATCAGATCTTCTTCTCACTCCTTCCCCTTCTTTCCTGATATGCTGTGGAAAGTTTCCTTCTGCCTTTGAAAAACCGGTCCTTGGCTGGGCGCGGTGGCTCATGCCTGTAATCCCAGGACTTTGGGAGGCCAAGGCAGGCAGATAACCTCAGGTCAGGAGTTTGAGACCTGCCTGACCAACATGGAGAAACCCCATCTCTACTAAAAATACAAAATTAGCCGAGCATGGTGGCGCATGCCTTTAATCCCAGCTACTGGGCAGGCTGAGGCAGGAGAATCGCTTGAACCCAGGAGGCGGAGGTTGCAGTGGGTGGAGGTTGAGGTGGGCAGAGGGTGCGGTGAGCTGAGATCACGCCATTGCACTCCAGCCTGGGCAACAAGAACAAAACTCCATCTCAAAAAAAAAAGAAAAAGAAAAAAAAACGGTCCTTCTGCTGGTTCCCTGGATTCAATCCCTGTGTGTTCCTCAAATCTTTGCTCCTAGAGTTATCCCCTCTCTCCTGCTTCATTAATCACCCCCTTTCCACCTGTTCATTCTAAGCAACATACCAATGTGATCGAGGGACTTGCTACTCAAAATGGGATTCATGGATCAGCAGCCTGGGCCTCACCTGGGAGCTTGTTAGAAATGCAGAATCTCCCACCTGGGCCTGCAGAATCAAAATCTGCATTTAGCAAGATCCCAAGATGGTTCCCAGGCACATCAAAGTCAGACAAGCAATGGGCTAGGGGTTCCCATTAAAACAAATTAACAGAAAGCACACATATCCACATCCCACACCCATATGAGATTGCTCCATATCCCCTACCAGATAGATTTCTATTTCTCTACTCTCCCTTATAGCCAAGATTTTATCCTTTCATTCAAAAAACGAACACCTACCAGGTACCAAGCAGTTTTCTAGGTTCTGGGGAGACAGAATAAATAAAACCCATTTGATCAGTGTGCATGTGTGGTGTCTTAGGAGCAGAGAAAACAAAGAAAGAAAGAAGACATGATCAGGTCATAAGTGAGTGCTTTGCAGAGAAATAAAATGTGGTCATGTGGTCTTCACCAGATGGCTACTGTAGATCACTCCAAAGAGGTGACATTTAAACTGAGATCTAAGTGACAAGAAGCCGTCATTAGAGTTGTCTACAAGGGAAGCCTTAATTTCTCACTTACCATTCCCCCATTTACCCGTCAGCCAATACAGTTGGTTTCCATCTCGTGCCACTGAAACTGCTTAACAAGGTTTTCAATGACTTCCATGTTGTCACAAGTAATAGCTCATTTTCTGTCCCTTAAAATGTTGTAAAGTGAGTTAGTCACCTGATTAACCTCTTCCTTGCCATACATTGTTCAATGTTAAAATTAAAGGCTTTTCTGGCTGGGCAAGGTGGTTCATGACTGTAATCCCGGCACATTGCGGGGCTGAGACAGAAGGATCACTTCAGCCCAGGAGTTCAAGACCAGCCTGGGCAACCAAGTGGGACTCTTGTCTCTACAAAAAATTAAAATATTTAGCTGGGCGTGGTGGCATATGTCTGTGGTCCCAGTTACTCAGCAGTCTGAGGTGGGAGGATCACTCGAACCTAGGAAGTCAAGGCTGCAGTGAGCTGTGATTGCACCACTGCACTCCAACCTGGGTGACAGAGGAAGACCCTGCCTCAATTTAAAACAAAAAAAGAAAAAGAGACTGGGCACAGTAGCTCACTCCTGTAATCCTAGCACCTTGAGAGGCCAAGGCTGGCAGATCACGAGATCAGGAGTTCGAGACCAGCCTGGCCAACATGGTGAAACCCCGTCTCTACTAAAAATACAAAAATTAGCTGGGCTTGGTGGTGCACACCTGCAATCCCAGCTACTCAGGAGGCTGAGGCAGGCGAATCACTTGAACCCAGGAAGCGGAGGTTGCAGTGAGCCAAGATCGCACCATTGCACTCCAGCCTGGGTGACAGAGCAAGACTCTGTCTCAAGGAAAAAAAAAAGAAAGAAAAAAAAAGACTTTTCTGGATAAGGGAAGAGGTGGCAGGAAAGATGAAAGGGAAGGAGATAAATTAGATAAATTTTACTCAAGCATAAATATATCATTTCAAATTCAGTAAAAAATACATTTTATTTGATTTTTTTTTTATACTTTAAGTTTTAGGGTACATGTGCACATTGTGCAGGTTAGTTACATATGTATACATGTGCCATGCTGGTGCGCTGCACCCACTAACTCGTCATCTAGCATTAGGTATATCTCCCATTGCTATCCCTCCCCCCTCCCCCTAACCCACAACAGTCCCCAGAGTGTGATATTCCCCTTCCTGTGTCCATGTGATCTCATTGTTCAATTCCCACCTATGAGTGAGTATATGCGGTGTCTGGTTTTTTGTTCTTGCGATAGTTTACTGAGAATGATGATTTCCAATTTCACCCATGTCCCTACAAAGGACATGAACTCATCATTTTTTATGGCTGCATAGCATTCCATGGTGTATATGTGCCACATTTTCTTAATCCAGTCTATCATTGTTGGACATTTGGGTTGGTTCCAAGTCTTTGCTGTCGTGAATAATGCCGCAATAAACATACGTGTGCATGTGTCTTTATAGCAGCATGATTTATAGTCCTTTGGGTATATACCCAGTAATGGTATGGCTGGGTCAAATGGTATTTCCAGTTCTAGATCCCTGAGGAATCGCCACACTGACTTCCACAATGGTTGAACTAGCTTACAGTCCCACCAACAGTGTAAAAGTGTTCCTATTTCTCCACATCCTCTCCAGCACCTGTTGTTTCCTGACTTTTTAATGATTGCCATTCTAACTGGTGTGAGATGGTATCTCATTGTGGTTTTGATTTGCATTTCTCTGATGGCCAGTGATGATGAGCATTTTTTCATGTGTTTTTTGGCTGCATAAATGTCTTCTTTTGAGAAGTGTCTGTTCATGTCCTTTGCCCACTTTTTGATGGGGTTGTTTGTTTTTTTCTTGTAAATTTGTTTGAGTTCATTGTAGATTCTGGATATTAGCCCTTTGTCGGATGAGTAGGTTGGGAAAATTTTCTCCCATTCTGTAGGTTGCCTGTTCACTCTGATGGTAGTTTCTTTTGCTGTGCAGAAGCTCTTTAGTTTAATTAGATCCCATTTGTCAATTTTGTCTTTTGTTGCCATTGCTTTTGGTGTTTTAGACATGAAGTCCTTGCCCATGCCTATGTCCTGAATGGTAATGCCTAGGTTTTCTTCTAGGGTTTTTATGGTTTTAGGGAATCAATATCGTGAAAATGGCCATACTGCCCAAGGTAATTTACAGATTCAATGCCATCCCCATCAAGCTACCAATGCCTTTCTTCACAGAATTGGAAAAAACTACTTTAAAGTTCATATGGAACCAAAAAAGAGCCCACATCACCGAGTCAATCCTAAGCCAAAATAACAAAGCTGGAGGCATCACACTACCTGACTTCAAACTATACTACAAGGCTACAGTAACCAAAACAGCATGGTACTGGTACCAAAACAGAGATATAGATCAATGGAACAGAACAGAGCCCTCAGAAATAACGCCACATATCTACAACTATCTGATCTTTGACAAACCTGAGAAAAACAAGCAATGGGGAAAGGATTCCCTATTTAATAAATGGTGCTGGGAAAACTGGCTAGCCATATGTAGAAAGCTGAAACTGGATCCCTTCCTTACACCTTATACAAAAATCAATTCAAGATGGATTATTTGATGTTTTTAACAAACCCTTTGTGACATCAGGTATATTTGGAAATGAGATAGATAACTGCTTTTACCAGCTCACCAAGGGAAAAGCTGGTTCAACATTTCAACTGGAGGTCAACTGGCCTCCCCGACCTCTGTGTTAACTCTCAGGGTATCTGAATTGGAAAGAGAGCTGGAGGGGGCTAAGAGGCTTCCCACTGGCCCACCAGGCTGAACCCACTCTCATTCTACCTTTTTCCCCTGCAAAGCAGGTTAGAGCAGTGAGGGGGTAGAGAAGGTGAGGAAGAAGAAAACCATTTGCTGGGAACTACAGAACCTTACCCAGGAAATGGATGGGAGTTATTATTAGCCTACTGATGTAGAGAAAGACCTAATTCAGCCCAGGGAAGGTGGTTTAGGGATGCCAGTATGTATTGTACCAAAGCTTGGGTTTCATAAAATAGAGGGCTGCATACCTCATTTACTACACATGGTTTGTCAAAACTCTTGACTTACATATTTCTTTTCTTTTCTTTTTCTTTCTTTCTTTCTTTCTTTTTTTTTTTTTTTTTTAATTGAGACGGTCTTGCTCTGTTGCCCAGGCTGGAGTGCAGTGACACAATCTGCAACCTCCGCCTCCTGGTTTCAAGCGATTCTCCTGCCTCAGCCTCCCGAGTAGCTGGAATTACAGATGTACACCACCACGCCCAGTTAATTTTTGTATCTTTAGTAGAGATGGGTTTCACCTTGTTGTCCGGGCTATTCTCAAACTCCTGATCTCAATTGATCTCCCCTTCTCGGCCTCCCAAAGTGCTGGGATTGCAGGAGTGAGTCAATGCATCCAGCCAGGTATTTCTTTTTAAATATCAAATAGCGTTAGAGTCTGTCAGGAGCACGCAGCTTGAATGTTACCCTAGTGCTGCGCACTGAAGCTTGGTCCTGGTAACAACCACTGATGTACGCATGCACCATCATAGTCACTCAACACACTGACTTTGCAGCTTTAACCACTGAATCCAAGCTCAGTCAACACTTGGCCCTCTGTGGTGATGGGGATATGGCCAAGGGTAAAGAAAACTCAGAGGTTAAGAGATGGTTACAGCTTCATGCCCCTGCCTACTCCAATAGTAGAAGACAGTAAAATCAAAAGAACATTTTGTGACATGTGAGAAATATATAAAATTCATATCTCAGTATCCATAAGTAACGTTTTATCATAGCAATGCCCATTTATTTATGTATTGTTTATAGGTGCATTTGTGCTACAATGGCAGAGCTGAGTTACTGTGACAGAAACAATATGGCTCACACAGCCTAAAAGATTTACTCTCTGGGCCAGGCACAGTGGCTCATGCCTATAATCCCAGCACTTTGGAAAGCCGAGGTGGGAGGATCACTTGACCCCAGGAGTTCAAGACCAGCCTGGTCAACATGGTGAAACCCTGTCTCTACTAAAATTACAAAAATTCGCTGGGCAAGGTGGCGCACGCCTGTAATCCCAGCTACCCAGGAGGCTGAGGTACGAGAATCACTTGAAACCAGGAGGCGGAGGCTGCAGTGAGCAGAGATCCCATCACTGCACTCCAGCCTAGGTAACAGAGGGAGACTGCCTCAAAAAAAAAAAAAAAAAAAAAAAAAAAGATTTACTGTCTGACCATTTCCAAAAGAAATGTTTGTGGATCCCTGGTCTGCAGCCAGAGGTGCAGGTGTTTTAGTCTTGGATTCCAGGGTCTGCATGATGGTGACCGCATCTTGACTTACCTTTGCAGCCTTACCTGCGGGGCTTTCCTGCTTCACATCCCTCCCACAATGGCCCTGGCAAACCTCTTCTTGTTCCTCACTTAAATCTCTTGCTGTCCCACCTCTGTGTTTTCTCCCTGCTGTTCTCCTCTTTTGGAAACCACACCTAATACTCTCAATTTGCTTTTATGCCAATTTCCCTCAACCTTCAAACAGGCCTTCCCACATCTCTCAACTATAATTTATTTCTCCACCCTTTTTTTTTGGCCATAATTCTCTCTGTGCTGTCTCATGACATGCCAGTTTTCTACTTTGCATTATGATTATTTATGCACATGTTTTATTCCCCCTCTAGACTATAAACTCCTTGAAGAATGCATCGGCTCATTACAAAATTAGCATTCTGAGAACCCTTATTTGCATCACACATAAGATCTCTTGTCTTCAGCAAAAAGGAGTATACTTATGACACATATAATTGGCACTTATCACACAAATCAATGATAATGGGGAACAAGGGCAAGATGGTTAATTAAAACCTACAGCAAATTCCTCCAAAATTCATTTTTGCCTTTCCTACTATTTTACCAGTATAATATGCACTGGTTTATACCAAATTCCTTATTTTTTACTCTCCCCCCAGACTTTATAGATGTGTAACTGCCTTGGCCATCATGCAGTTAGTGGGTGCAACAAGACCACAAGTGAATAATCCACCAGCTGAAATCATCAGGTCTCCAGGAATGGAAAGCTTTGGGACATTCTTTCCAGTAAGAGTAGGAGCCTCTGAACTCTGAACTTTCCACCCACAGAGCTCCATAAGGATTTGTGTGTATGCCATTTGGAACTTAGACATGGAAAAATAATCTTTTAGTATGGCTCTGATACTGAAAATAATAGGTGACGTTCAAGTAAAAATTAAATAAAACAACCAAGTTCCCTGCACATATGTCTGATTAGGCAGGCCAAATATTCTATGGGAAACATTAATTCAACCAGAAATGATAAGGAAATAAAATAAATATGAAGAACAACTCTGCTTGCCAAAGCAACATATGCGTTTGGGATGAGTCTTTGCACCCATGACTAGTATACACAAATATTGTGTTAAACCTTTCCTCCTAATAGCCTCATTTCTCACATGCTCTTCAGAGGAAAAAATGTGATGCTAATTTAAGATGACTTATCCTGCTAAGCACATAAATAAAAAATAGTTCAAAATCCAGCACATGATAGAACTCCCCTTTCACATTTAATTAAGTACTTTTAATTGGCAATTCATTTGGCAGACTGTATATTTCGGGCTGGAGAGACGAAGCAGAGCAGACCCCTTAGTTAGATACAAAAGAGGAGATGTGGGGTGTGTACAACTGCTTTATGGTATGTGATGCAGAAATGTGATGTCAGGCATGGAAGAAAGACGACTATCTGACTATCCTTACATCTGGGAAGGAATTAGCAGCGAACAGGGCAAATGCTAGAGGGTCTAATCAGGATTATAAAATGTCATTTAGAAAGATATTTACATTGTTAATTAGGCAATGAAGCTGATAACTGCTACTCTGTACATCGTGCTAATTACCCTGGTGCCTTGGAAGACTTTCTAATCAGCCAGATCAATAGACTCCTGGTTTATGCTAATCACACAGAGTCACCCTCCTTCTGAAGTGCTTTGCTTATAGCAGCCTGAACCCAGTTCAGCTCCTGCCCACTGTCCTGTGCTAGAGGCAGCCAGCATTCATCTGTCTGCCCACATCACAGCAGTAAGGCTGATGCCTGCTCACCCCCAAGGCCCACAGCAAGGGAACTAGAATCCTACCATGCAGCACGCCGTCATCAATTGTTCAGGAAGGAGGCCTGAGCCTTTGTGCTCCATGAGATTTTCATGTAGCCACAGCTCTGTTTTCTTCCGACAATGAGAAAGATCATATAGTCCCGAGGGATAAGGGCTATGAGGAAGATCTAGATTTAAGTCTCCTCTGCCATCGACTTTGACGGTAACGACCTTGGAGCAGGACACCAATTGTTTTGATGGGAATGTGTGCAGGACCAGGTATGAAGGTCAATTTGGCTCAGATACTGGGTGAACCTTTAGGGACTTTTGTTTGTTTGCTTTTTCACTGATCATTAGTATGAACAAACTATTCTTCTGAGCCAGAGGAACCAAACTGCTTACCTCTCCCAGTACACAGGCAGCATCTCTGGGGCCCCAGCATGACAAGAAGAAATCTGAAAAATGTAATAAAAGGCAAAGACAGTCTAATGCAGAGTGCTTTCATGTGTACAGCTGCCTCTTGGTCATCCACATGGAATGGGTAGAGTGTGCATGAAGGAGACCCAGAAATAATCCATTTACCTCATTGCAACCTATAATTTCTATCTCCTTCCCCCACCAAACCTCAAACAAAAAAATGGCTGGTAGCCAAGTGGCCTGGTTTGAAGAAGATTAACTCATTTGCTTTTTGCTCTAATTCCCTGGTAGGTGTCCTAATGAACAGTCAAAAATCCCACTTGGAGAGTAACAGGGCAAAAAAAGAAAGGATTAGCAAAGGGTTTGGATAACCCATGGACTGAATAATCAGTCCCCAAATAATTTAGAGTCAACTACACGTAAACTTTAAGCAGCAGCCAAGGGAGGGCATGGAGTTGGAAAGCCAAGGTGAGAGAGACGCTGAGCACAATTAGGGTTGGAAACAGCTGGGATCCATTTCTTCACTGCAGAAGCAGAACTCCTTCTGTGCACCTCTGCATGGGGCTCCCAAGCTTTCATTGCTAGCTCCCCTGCCCCAGCAGGCAGAGCCTCTGAGTTCAAGGCCAGCTCCTGCGCTGGGCTTTGGGATGGGGCCAATTTGTTGAATTGTTTCAGTGCTTTGATGTGTAAACTAATCATCCGTCATTGTGCTCTAATTAAACTTAAGTGGTGCAATGGATTTGCTGTCATAGAGGCCAGGGCCCCTCCTGGCTTGGGGAGGGAGGGGCAGGATCCACTGAAAGCATCCCAGCCCCAGGAGAGCATAGAGCAAGGAAATGCCAGGCATGAATAGGAAAGGAGCTGATAACCCTGTCTAGGTCTAGGAGACTGAAGAAAATGGGAAAAACCAGCAACCAAGGCGGGTCTATGAGTCTCTGATTTCCGGGGTGTAATCGCCCTCAGCATGAGTGTCCAGACATAACAAGTTCAGGTCAAGTGGCTAACCACTAGGTGATCTTACATTTGTCATGGTAACACATCTCTCTGGGGCCAGCTGGCTTGGCATCATCAAATTGTAAAACTGTTTCACAAGGTGAGGGGCAGTTTCCCCCCTACACCCAAACCAGATGACCAAAAGGTGCCAGGAGAGCAGATTCAAGACTCTATAAAATGTTGACCATCACGGCCATTTTCCTCTTCCCCAAATACTTGCATTCTAACTTTCAAGAAGTATGTCTGCAATTATGAAGGGGAGAGTGAGTTCTCCTTATGATGGAGAGTCAGAGGAAAGAGGGAGAAGATGGTTGTGGTGCAGTTGTGCTGTGACATGTGTTTTGGGAAGAGAGTCATCCTGTCCCAGACCTGACCCTTCCCTGGCTCCAGTGCATCACCAGAAGGCGGGGATGAGAGTGTCCATGTTCCATACTGCACCAACATTTTGTGGGACCACAACCTGGATAATGCTGATACATTTGTGTTGTTGCCTCAATGTAATTGATAAATCCCACTCCATAGAGACACAGTGATGACATGATGAAAAGATTCTTCTCTTCTTCACCCACGTATTCGTTTAGCAACTATTGATTGAATATCTGTGTACAAGGCATGCTATAAGATCCAAGTTGTGCAAGATACAGCCTCTGCCATGAAAGGACTCCTACTGTCAGAGGAAAGATAAGATGACCACCTATGATTTGACAATTGCAAGTAATTCAATAACAACTATACCTTGGAGGGAAAAAAAAATAGATCAAGCATATTATCATATGGATATTATGGGGAACTGTCTAGACATCTCCAGAAAAGAAAGGGAAGAAAGGACACTAACACTTTTGGCCATCTTTTTGTATGCCAGACACTATGTCAGGCATAATCACAACTGTTTTCTCATTCAGTACTCACCACTGTCAGAGGCGTTTGAACAAGAGCAACTCCATCTTGAATAGGTGCTGGGTAAAATAAGCCTGAGACTTACTGGGCTGCATTCCCAGGAGGTTAGGCATTCTAAGTCACAGGATGAGATAGGGGGTCACAAAGACCTTGCTGATAAAACAGCATGCGGTAAAGAAACCAGTCAAATCCCATCAAATCCAAGATGGCGATGAGAGTGACCTCTGGTGGTCCTCACTGCTCATTAAATGCTAATTATAATGCACTAGTATGCTAAAAGACACTCCCACCAGTGCCATGACAGTTTAGAAATGCCACGGCAATGTCAGGAAATTACCCTATATGGTCTAAAAGGGAAAGGAAGCCTCAGTTCTGGGAATTGCCCACCCCTTTCCAGGAAAACTCAGAAATAATCCACCCCTTGCTTAGCATATAATCAAGAAATAACTAGCTGCATGTGGTGGCTCACACCTGTAATCCCAGCATTTTGGAAGGCCAAGGCGGGTGGGTTACTTCAGGTCAGGAGTTCAAGACCAGCCTGCCAACATGGCAAAACCCAGCCTCTACTAAAAATACAAAAATTAGCCAGGCATGGTGACATGTGACTGTAATCCCAGCTACTCAGGAGGCTGAGGCAGGAGACTTACTTGAACCCAGGAGGCGGAGGTTGCAGTGAGCTGAGATTGTGCCACTGCATACCAGCCTGGTCGACAGAGCGAGATTTTGTCTCAAAAAAAAAGAAAAAAATAAATAACTATAAGTATCCTTAGTCCAGCAGTCTAAGCTGCTGCTCTGCCTATGGAGTAGCCATTTTTTTTTTATTCCTTCGCTTTCTTGATAAACTTGCTTTCACTTTACTCTATGGAATCGCCTCAAATTCTTTCTTGCACAAGATCCAAGAACCCTCTCCTGGGGTCTGGATCGGGACCTCTTTCCAGTAACATCATCATCCTATAAGGTGAACATGATTATTCCTATTTTACAATGAGAAAGCTAGGCCAGGCGTAGTGGCTCACGCCTGTAATCCCAATACTTTGGGAGGCTGAGGCGGGTGGATCACGAGGTCAGGAGATCGAGACCATCCTGGCCAACATGGTGAAACCTCGACTGTACTAAAAACACAAAAATTGGCCTGGCGTGGTGGTGTGCGCCTGTAGTCCCGGCTACTCAGGAGGCCGAGGCAGGAGAATTGCTTGAACCCGGGAGGTGGAGGTTGCAGTGAGCCGAGATAGCACCACTTCACTCTAGCCTGGGCGACAGAGGGACACTCCATCTCAAAAAACAAAACAAAACAAAACAAAACAATGAAAAAGCTAAGACTAAAGTATCCCTGACGAATGCCATATAAAAGTGTGGCAGGCATACAACTTGTCCCTGCCCTCTCCACAGCCCCATATCTGCGCTCTCCTTCTCTGGTAATAGAAATTTTGGCCTTAGATAGTTACCCAAATAAGATCTACCTCTCCTAGTCTCCTTTGTATAGATCTGGCCATGTGACTAGGTCCTGAGAATAGGATGGAAAGAGATGTGATGGGAGCAACTTCCGTGTTGTATCTTACAAAAGAAAGCAGCTGGGCGTGGTGGCTCACACTTGTAATTGGGAGGCAGAGGCAGGTGGATCACTTGAGCCCAGGAGTTTGATACCAGCCTGCACAACATAATGAGACTTTGTCTCCGCAAAAAGTAAAAAAAGAAATTAGCAGGGCATGGTGATGCGCACCTGTAGTCTAGCTACTCGGGAAGCTGAGGTGGAAGGATTACTTGAATCCAGGACGTGTAGGCTGCAGTGAGCCATGATTGTGCTACTGCACTCCAGCCTGGGTGATGGGGCAAGACCCTGTCTGAATGAAAGAAAGAAAGAAAGAAACAAACAAACAAACAAACAAACAGAGAGAGTGGGAGGAAGCGAAGTCAGAAAGCCTGTTTTCTCTTTCCTCTTTCTGCCTTCCTGCCGGTTCCAACAAAGATGTGGTGGTGACCACCTCAAACCATGGAAATGTAGACAGCATGCTAGGGCTGACGGAGTGAATGACTGGTAGGGTCCAGATTATAGGACACCCTGAAGACCCCATATCAGTTTGGACTGTTTCTATTCCTACTCTTACATGGAAGCAATAAACTATTTTGTTTAAATCACTGATATATTGACTCAGTGTTTCAGGCATATGTCAAGTAATAGAGAGTAGCACAAACCAAATAACAGAGGAATGCAGAGGAGAGAAAAAAATCATCAAGAAAAATATTCTTCAATTGTTTTTAAATTTATCAAACACCTAATACATGCCAGGCACTGCTCTGGGCTCTGGGGATTCAAAAATAAACAAAGTTCTTGACCTTAAGGAGGAAACCCATAAAACGATCATTTTATGTGGAAATACCATTGTTAGCAATAATCACAGAGTGCCATGAGTGAACCGGAAATGGACACCTATCTCAGCCTGAAGGATTTCCAGCCTTTAACCTGGGCCTGGAAATCCCCATTTGGATTTTATTATAGTAGGGAAGATGGAAGGTGGAAAAAAGAGGAGGGGAAAAACTGTTGTCAGAGGCTGCCTCCTTGCCTGACTTTGATTAGTCCCACTACCTGTAATTGCCACCTGGAAGGTTCACTCTCTCCATTCCTAATTATTCTTGCATGCACAGGTCCCGCCTTGTCTAGAAGACTCTGCTGAAACTCCCCAATGCTGAGTCTGAAGGAGTATCTCCAATGACACTGACATCTGCAGCACTCCAGCAGACTAAACAGCAATGCAAGGCCACACATCAAGTATATTTGCAGGGTTGTCTTCCTTCCTTATTGTTTTTGTTTGTTTGTTTGTTTGTTTTTGAGACAGAGTCTCACTCTGTCACCAGGCTGGAGTGCAGTGGCACGATCTCGGCTCACCGCAACCTCCACCTCCCGGGTTCAAGCGATTCTCCTGCCTCAGCCTCCTGACTAGCTGGGACTACAGGCGCACGCCACCACACCTGGCTAATTTTTGTATTTTTAGTAGAGACGGAGTTTCACCATGTTGGCCAGGATGGTCTCCATCTCTTGACCTTGTGATCTGCCTGCCTCAGCCTCCCAAAGTGAGCCACCGCGCCCAGCTCCTTCTTTATTTAGATTAAACTCCTTAAAGGCCGGAGTGATGTTTTATGAAGTTCTGTGCACCTTGCTCAGCACATGGCACGGAGCCTGCAATTGAGAGCCCAGAGCCATGTGGACAACTTTGGACTAAGACTCACAGGGGTTCAACTCCCACCCTTTCCATTCATGGGCTGTGTGTGATCAGGAGCAAGTCACTTACCCCTCTGAGCCTCACTATCTTCATCTGTGAAAACAGGAATCATAGAACCTATTTGGAAGAATTGTCATAACATCTGTAAAAGTATCTAGCAATGTGCCTGGCACAGAGGTAATTTATTTTCCCTTTTTTTTGAGACGAAGTCTCGCTCTTGTCCGCCAGGTTGGAGTGCGATGGCGCGATCTCCGCTCACTGCAACCTCCGCCTCCTGGGTTCAAGCGATTCTCTTGCCTCAGCCTCCTGAGTAGCTGGGATTACAGGCACCGGCCACCACGCCCGGCTAATTTTTGTATTTTTAGTAGAGACGGGGGTTTCACCATGTTGGCCAGGCTGGTCTCGAACTCTTGACCTCAGGTGATCCGCCTGCCTCGGCCTCCTAAAGTGCTGAGATTATAGGCATGAGCCACCGCACCTGGCCTATTTTCCTTTTAAAAATACATATTTCTCAAAACATATCCTTAATTCTGGGTGCTGTATCATTTATTAGAAACTGCAATGCTCACGCCCTCTGCCCATTCACATTGACTGCATGCGGAGGAGTTTGGAAGACTCTAATAGAGAGAGCCCACATTCAACTAGTTTAAGTGTCATGATCATTGCTGGTCAGGTCAGGTGCGTGTTGAGTGCATGAGAGGCAGAGGGGGTCGTGTGCTGGCCATTTCTGGACCTCATTTACAAAGTTGGCTATTCATTAAGACTTAAGACTTGCCACATTGGGCCACCAAGCAAAGATTGCTGTCAGGAACCCAAACTGGGAAAATAGATCATTTATGTCCTGAATGGCTCATAACATTTTTTTTTTATTATACTTTAAGTTTTAGGGTACATGTGCACAATGTGCAGGTTAGTTACATATGTATACATGTGCCATGCTGGTGCGCTGCACCCACTAACTCGTCATCTAGCATTAGGTGTATCTCCTAATGCTATCCCTCCCCCCTCCCCCCACCCCACAACAGTCCCCAGAGTGTGATGTTCCCCTTCCTGTGTCCCTGTGTTCTCATTGTTCAATTCCCACCTATGAGTGAGAATATGCAGTGTTTGGTTTTTTGTTCTTGCGATAGTTTACTGAGAATAATGATTTCCAATTTCATCCATGTCCCTACAAAGGACATGAACTCATCATTTTTTATGGCTGCATAGTATTCCATGGTATATATGTGCCACATTTTCTTAATCCAGTCTATCATTGTTGGACATTTGGGTTGGTTCCAAGTCTTTGCTATTGTGAATAATGCCGCAATAAACATTCGTGTGCATGTGTCTTTATAACAGCATGATTTATAGTCCTTTGGGTATATACCCAGTAATGGGATGTCTGGGTCAAATGGTATTTCTAGTTCTAGATCAACATTTTTGTATAGAAAGGAGATAAGGCACAGTATTTGGAATTGCCTCTCCATGAATTTTTGATCCCTCCTGTCCTGCCACACACACACACAGACACACACACACACACACACACACACACACACACACACACACACAGTCCCTTCCCCTAAAAAAGCCCGTTCCTGCCCTGGTCTAGAAACCCAGGAGCCATCCCTGACTCTCCCTTCCCCTTAACAGTGAGTCTTGTTGATTCTCTCCTCAGCTTCTCTCTTGAATCTATCCTCTTCTCTCCATCCCACCACCAACCTAGTCCAAGCCACCACTGTCTGTCACTAAGAGCCTTGCTACTCAAAGAGTAGACTGGGAACCAGCATCACTGGAAGCTTGTTAGAAGTGCAATCTCTGAATCCACCCCAGACCTAGATGTAAGGAATCAGAATCTGCGTTTTAATAAGATCCCCAGTGACTCATTTGCACTTTAAAGTTCAAGAATGGGAATGCTGCAGGAGCCTCCTAACCAGTTTCCCCCTCCTACTGCTGCCTCACATTAACTCATTGGTCTGGAACCAATTTGCTCTCTTTTTATTTATTTATTTTTTGACTGCAACCTCTGCCTCTCAGGTTCAAGCAATTCTCCTGCCTCAGCCTCCCAAGTAGTTGGGACTGCAGGTGCACGCTACCATGCCTGGCTAATTTTTTGTGTTTTAGTAGAGACGGGGTTTCACCACGTTGCCCAGGCTGGTCTCGCACTCCTGAGCTCAGGCAATCCACCCGCCTCGGTCTCCCAAAGTGCTAGGAGTACAGGCATGAGCCACTGTGCCCAGCCTCAATTTGCCCTCTTAACTTGAGAACTCCCACACTATTCAGATAGTGCCATTTTTCCACTGTACTTCTCTACATGACACAGGATTGCTGTTCTAATTTTTTACAGATTATTTTATCCACAAGATAAAGACAAGATTTCTTGTTTCCTCCCTGAGTAGGTGAGGGAAGATATTTTGGGTCATTTCATTGGAGGCTGTGGGATTCTTTTCAGGGTCCTGCATTTATGAAACGGTTTCAGTTCCAAGTCCCCTTTTCAAGTGAGCCCAAGCTTTGTCCCTGTCCCAGCCCAGGCATGAAAACTCCAGCCCCAAGCCATTAGGGTTTGTATTCTGGAACTCCCCCCACCCCACTCCCACCTCTCAGCAGCCACAGAATCCACTTGGGATCTTTCTGCTCTGTCTTTAACCTCTCCTAATCTCTGCCTCAGGATTATTTGCCTTTCTTTATGTGAAACTCAGACCCACTGTTTGATTTAGTTTAGTTTAGTGTTGTTTGTTTGTTTGTTTGTTTGTTTCTGAGGTGGAGTTTCATTCTTGTTGCCCAGGCTGGATTGCAATGGCCTGATCTCGGCTCACCGCAACCTCCGCCTCCCGGGTTCAAGCGATTTGCCTGCCTCAGCCTCCGGAGTAGCTGGGATTACAGGCATGTGCCAGCACGCCTGGCTAATTTTGTATTTTTTAATAGAGATGGGGTTTCTCCATGTTGGTCGGGCTGGTCTCAAACTCCCGACCTCAGGTGATCCACCTGCCTCGGCCTCCCAAAGTGTTGGGATTACAGGCGTGAGCCACCGCACCCGGCCTAGTTTAGTTTTTAAAATGAAAGTCATTTCTATGTGTTTATGGTGGAGTTAGGAGAGGAGGAGGGAAAAGAGTCCCCTACTGGCCCAACTTACTTATCCTGTTACCAGTCAGAGCCATCATCTTAAAACTGCGGTCAGATCCCGCTACTGTCCTGTTTAAAATGGGTCAGTGGCTTTTCTCCACGTTTGGGCCAAAATCCAAAACGCAGAGTAGGCAACCTGGCCCCTGCCTACTCAGCTCCCCAGTCATTGGTGCGAGGAATAAAGTTGTTGAAAGTGTGACAGTCTAGAGCTGCACTGTCCCACAGGGGGCCACTCCAGACCGAGCTGTGTGCTTGGTGCATACTGGATTTCAAAGACTTCCTATGACAAAAAGAATGTAAAGTACCTCTTTAATTAAAAAAAAATTGTTTTTTTGAGACAGAGTCTCACTCTTTCGCCCAGGCTGGAGTGCAGTGGTGCCATCCCTGGATGGCCTCAACTATAGCCTCAACCTCCTAGGCTCAAGCAATCCTCTTGCCTTAGCCTCCTAAGTACCTGGGACCACAGGTGTGCACCATTAAGCCCAGCTAATTTTTGTATTTGTTGTAGAGATGAGGTCTCACTATGATGTTCAAACTGGTCTTGAACTCCTGAGCTCAAGCAATCTGCCTGCCTGGGCCTCTCAAAGTGCTGAGATTACAGGCATGAGCCACAGCGGCTGGCCCAAATAAATTTTTATGTAGATTACATGTTGAAATGGTAATATTTGGATTATTGTGTTAAATTAAATATATTTCTTATTTTATTTATTTATTTTTTTGAGATGGAGTCTCACTCTGTCACCCAGGCTGGAGAGCAATGGCACAATCTCGGCTTACTGCAACCTCCACATCCTGGGTTCCAGCAATTCTCCTGCCTCAGCCTCCTGAGTAGCTGGGACTACAGGCGTGTGCCACCATGCCTGGCTAATTTTTGTATTTTTTAGTAGAGATGGGGTTTCACCATATTGCCCAGGCTGGTCTTGAACTCCTGACCTCATGATCCGCCTGCCTCAGCCTCCCAAAGTGCTGGGATTACAGGCGTGAGCCACCGCACCTGGCTAAATATATTTTTTTAAATTAGCACCGGCCGTGGTGGTGCACACCTGTAGTCCCAGCTACTCGGGAGGTTAGGGCAGGAGAATCACTTGGGCCCAGGGGTTCCAGTCCAGCCTGGGCAACACAGCAAGACTGTCTCAAAAAAAAAGGTTTTTAATTAATTTCACCTTCTTAAAAATATGGTTCCTAGGAATTTAAAATGACAAAGGCAGTTTACATTATATTTCCATCAGACATTGCCGGTGAAGCACCTGGAAGCAAAAGTGATTGCAGACATTGGAACTCATATGTCATTTCTGTTCGCTCTGGTAGACTCGGGTGCCTCGGGAAAGCCCAGTGCTTTCAGAAGCAATTCATTTAGCACTGAGCGACATCTGAGCTCATTCCTGACTGTGTTGAGGGGTGGGCAATCTCACTGGGGAAAAACAAACAGCCCGAATCAGGCTTTGTTCTTAATGATATTCCTAAGTGCTGACGACACCCCTGCTGGGTCCAGCCTCAGGGGACACAGTGGGGAACTGATTGACAGCCATTAAGAAAATGGAATTGAACACCTCAGATCAGACATCAAGGCAGAATCTTTATCAAGCTAGCATCAGACTCTGCGAGCTCTCCAGCTAGGAGGAAGGCTTGCCTCTAGGACCTTTGCTGTTTGCGATTATAGACAGTCCCCAGTGCTATTTAACATTCTAGAATTCGAATTGTAAAAAGACATCATTGTGTACTGCTTGCCATTCACTGGCCATGTGGATGAGTGAGTTAACCAAGTTAACCTCCATGGCCCTCAGTGTTCTCATACATAGCATGGTGGTGAAAATTGTACCTACGTCATGGAGTTGGTGGAAAAACGAGACGAGCATCCAGCCATGCACTTATAACAGTGCCCAGCATACAGCCAGTGTTCAATGGAGATTCGTTATTATGATGGCTATTTATGTTTCACATGGGAATGTTTGCATAAAAGGAGTCTTTGCCTACAGCCAAAAATCTTAAGCTAAAGCTGAGAGATGTGCTCCATATGGCCTCACAAGTCCTAAGTGCCATTTCTGGGTACTGGTCATGGGCCTGTTCTGAATTATTTTGCAAAATGGGATCCAAACCAAGAATCTTTACTGTGATAGTGGTCATTTATCATTTTGGCATTTGTCAAGCATCCATTTCCCTTCAAAATAGTATCCCAGGCTGGGCATGTTGGCTTATGCCTGTCATCCCAGCATTTTTGGAAGCTGAGGCAGGAGGATTACTTGAGCCATGGAGTTCAAGACCAAACTGGGCAACATAGTGAGATCTCGTCTCTACAAAAAAAAAAAAAAAAAAAAAAAAAATGGCTTGGTGTATTAGTCTGTTTTCACACTGCTATGAAGACATACTACCTGAGACTGGGTAATTTATAAAGGAAAAGAGGTTTAATTGACTCACAGTTTCACATGACTGGGGAGGCCTAAGGAAACTTACAATCATGGTGGAGGGGGAAGCAAAAAAATCCTTCCTCACAAGGTGGCAGGAGAAAGAAGAGTGAGGAGGAAGGGGGAAGAGCCCCTTATAAAACCATCAGATCTCATGAGAACTCACTCACTGTCATGGGGGAAACCATCCCCATAATCCAATCACTCCCCTCCCTCCATATATAGGGATGTATAGGGATGACAGGTCCCTCCCTCAACACGTGTGGACTGCAATTAGAGAGGAGATTTGGGTGGGGACACAGAGCCAAACCATATCACCTGATGTGGTGGTGAACACCTATGGTCCCAACTGCACTAGAGGCTGAGGCAGGAGGATTGCTTGAGCCCAGGAAGGCAAGACTGCAGTGAGTGGGGTTTGTGCTATTACACTCCAGCCTGGGCAACAGAGCAAGACCCTGTCTCAAAGAAAAAAGAACAGCATCCCAATTTCCTTTTGGGAAATAAAGCCTCCCTCATTTTCTGCAGTTGGTAACTCCTAGCACCTCTCCCTGGATAAGCCCAGCTCCTCTCTCCCTGTCCTAGTATAGACAGGGGCAGCCCACAGAGTGCTTTTTGCTGTGAGCTGCCCCACATCAACAATATTCTTCTAATCTTTTCCTTTGGTTATAAGTCGGTGAGAGTCCATTTCTGTTGCTTGCAACCAAAAACCCCACTGATAAAATTCTTATTCCTTCCCTTCCTTTCTCCCCTGCTCCTCACTCCAGGCTTTCCTCCAAATGCCACCAGAATACAGAACAGACCACATGGTCAGAGGAATTGCACTTCTATAGAGTTTGAAGTGAGAAAGCAGCACATGCTCCATAAACAGGCTGAAATCGAGGTCCCTTCAGCTGCAACTGAAATGTTACAAGAGAGACAGATCCCACGGTGGAAACCAGGCTTTGTAATGACAGAGCCCCGGATTCAAAATCCTGCTGTATGACCTTGTGCAATTACTTAGTTTCTCTGATCATCAGTTTCCTCATAAGTGTACACACACACACATACACACATACAAACATTTTTTTTTTTTTGAGATGGAGTCTCGCTCTTTTGCCAGGCTAGAATGCAATGGCGCAATCTCGGCTCACTGCAACCTGCATCTCCCAGGCTCAAGCGATTCTCCTGCGTCAGCCTCCTGAGTAGCTGGGACTACAGGTGCGCTACACCACGCCCAGCTGATTTTTGTATTTTTAGTAGAGACGGGGTTTCACCTTGTTGCCAAGGATGGTCTCGATCTCTTGACCTTGTGATCCGTCTGCCTCGGCCTCCCAAAGTGCTGGGATTACAGGCATGAGCCACCACTCCCGGCCCACATTTTTAAAATAAAAGATATGTTTTAAGTAATTGGCTTACATGATTGAGGGGGCCAGTAAATCTGAAATCTTTTACTTGAAGTCAACTGACTTGTAGATGGTAACCATGTCTACAAAATGCTTTCACAGCAACACCTAGATTCATGTTTGATTACATAACTAGGTACTATAGCCTAACAGAGTTGACTAAGAAAACTAACCGTCACAGAGATCATAACACTACTTTGTATCCTTGAGTATTAAACAAGCTAAATGCTTATAAAGTACTTAGCACAGTGCCTGCCATTTATAGGAACGCAATAGGCAGTAGACTCTTTTCTAACAAGCGTTTGTTAGAAAGGCATTTTCTGTTAGCAGAGGCAGGAAAGGATAATATAATAGCATTCATGCAATGTGCTGGAAACCAGGCTCTATCCTAAGCACTTTATAAATATTAACTGATATTTACTGATTTTATTTAATCCCCCAACTACCCTAAGAGTTAGGTAATCTTATTTAGATGAGGAAATAGTGATCCAGAGAGGTTAAGTAAATTGCCGAAGGTCACACAGCCAGCCTGTGGTATGCCAGTAGGCAAGTAACTGCCTCTCTGAATCAGGCTGCCCATGAGTGGTCTCTGCAGCATGTATTACCCAAGAGAATGTCTTCCCAAGTGTCAACTCCAGTTAAAACCTTGAGATAAAGTGTGCCCTGCCCTATCACTTTAAGGAAAACTCCACCCAATCCCACAAACATGGCCAGATTTAGTTGCCAGTATATTTTTGAAAAATATTTTAGGGTAGAATATCACACCCCCACCACACTCCCCCCTCTACTCCACCATCTCCCCATGATAAGAAAAAGCCAACACCTTTCCATCTAAGAAAACTTGGCGGAGGTCCCTCCCCACACACAAAGAATGGCTGCTTCTACGCACTTCTATCAGGAGCGTCGTACAACTAACGAACTTTCCAAACAAAGAAACAGCAAGTCAGAAATAAAATCATGTGCTAATTGTGGTTTTCCTGGAATGGATGACTATATAATATTCTAATCAAAAAGCTGGAATCACATTTGCGTTTAGACAAGGCTTGTTAGAAAAATACATGAGAATAAAAGGAGGCCGTAAGACCACGGGTGCTTCTCCCAAGGCCAGTCATTACTGCTCAGGGCAGGCAGCCAGCAAGTGGGAAGTTGCCCAATTTTGGTCAAGTCCAGAACTCCAGGGATGCCCCCTTGTGTCCACTAGCTCTCTTAGGGGCCCCCAAATCCTACTTACACTACGGCCACCTAACAGCATTCAGGCAGCTCCCATATCAGTTTGCAGTTAGCGGGAATCCTCTCCCACAGCAGGTGTTCTTTTTTCCTTTTCAAAACCATGCTGGAAATTTAATATTCAGTAAAATAGAGTGCCATGATAATGTTTAAAATCCGGCCAGGTGCAGTGGCTCATGCCTATAATCCTAGCACTTTGGGAGGCCAAGGCAGGCTGATCACTTGAGTCCAGGAGTTTGAGACCAGCCTGGACAACATGGCAAAACCTCATCTCTACAAAAAATGCAAAAATTAGGCAGGGCACGGTGGCTCACGCCTGTAATCCCAGCACTTTGGGAGGCTGAGGCAGGTGGATCACCTGAGCTCAGGAGTTGAGACCAGCTTGGCCAACATAATGAAACCCTGTCTCTACTAAAAATACAAAAATTAGCCAGGCACAGTGGCGGGCGCCTGGCTAATCCCAGCTACTCAGGAGGCTGAGGCAGGAGAATCGCTTGAACCTGGGAGGTGGAGGTTGCAGTGACCCAAGATCACGCCACTGCACTCCATCCTGTACAACAGCAAAACTCTGTCTCAAAAAAAATAAAATAAAAAGAATACAAAAATTAGCCGGGCATGGTGGCACTTGCCTGTAGTCCCAGCTACTGGGAAGGCTGAGGTGGGAGGATTGCTTGAGCTCAGGAGGTCGAGGCTGTAGTGAGCCATGATTGCACCACTGTACTCCAGCCTGGGCAACAACAGAGTGAGACCCCGTCTTGAAAAGTGAAAAAAAAATTAAAAAATAAAAAATTAATAAAATAAAATTAAGAGTCAAGGAATTTCTAACTGTGACTGCTTTTATTTGGGTGGAAAATAATTCCAATGTAACAGGTATGGGATCATAAACATATAGGAAGACACCCCCAGGTGTGACTTCCTCTTGTAATAAGGAACATCTCAAACAGGCCATGGGCCATGCATGCTAGGGTAAAACTGTGATGTACACAAATCTAAACTTGCTAGAGCTTGATGTTTTCCTTCCATCTTTCCTTGCTCCTTCTTGATATCAAATTTTTTCTATCCTCCCCAGAAACGGGGCCCCCGGGTCTAGAGATTGGGATCTTCTGGTTGGGCAATGGCTCCTCTACAAGGCAATTTCAAAAGTCATTCTCTATTCTGTACCAAGTGGTGGAGATTAACATTTCAGACAGGCATGATCCCAGATCCTGAGGATTAATTTGGTAGTGTTTGAGTGATATCTACCGGTTACGCCCTGGGGTTTGGCTGTCTCCCTTGTCTTTATCTGTCAATGTCAGTGTCAAATTAGGGAGAGAAAGAAAATAGGACAAGCCAAGGGCAGCCTTTCTGGGAGTTATGCCAGGCTGGCAAGATGAGGCAGACAGGGCAATGTGCTAGCAGGTCACGACTGGGTCAGATGATAGAGAAATGGGGTGTCTGCAGGGACACACATGGGACTTTGGGTTCAGAGGACTGAGCTAAGGTCAGAAGTTGGGGAGGTGAATTGGAGTCTGTGTTCAGAAATCCATACTGGGTATGATGGTGTGGTCTGAGCATGACAGACAGGCCAGTCACAGAGAGGAACAGAATCAAAATGCAACTCCCAGGCCTGAAGATGGGAAAAAAAATGCAGCGTATGAATAATCGTCACACACATTTCATTCATTGGTTCTTATCCCTGTCAACTCCTTCAGAGCCACAAGGCCCCTGCAGATACTCCTGCCCCACCTTCCAGTCACTTCCAGGCATCCAGAGGGATTCTAAAGGGATGGCCTCACAAATGGCTGCTGTGGCCCCGACGAACACATGCTTCGGCACTGATTGCCTCTCCATGCACCACCTGCCTCCCATGCACCCAGGCAAGGTGCCGTGTGCCCAGATGGCTGCAGTACCCTCTGCCATGCTCACCACCTCTCCCAGGCCTTCCCACTGCAGGCCATGTCTATATCTCTCTGCCTGTGGGCTTTCTGTGGTGACGGGACCCCACCCCCTCTTCACACAGCAGGATGCAGGAGAATTCACAGCCCCTCTAGCTGCCCCAGCAGCAGCCCCCAGCCAATGACTGAAGGAGTTGCTGTAAATACCCCACCTTCCTCATCCCTAGGACAAGGTCAATTGAAGGAACATTTCTACATGGGCCTTCAAGGTTCCCCAGGAAAACTAAGCTACAGTTGACCACAGTGGTAACTTGCTTGATAATGCATGTCTTAATGGCTGCTTTTCCTTCCCTGTCCCACTTTCCTATGTCTTTACTGGTGTTTCCCAATAAATTACTTGCACTTGAATGTTTGACTTTGGCTGTGACAGTCTAAAACATTTCCAGCCTATCTCTCTGACCTCCTACTGTTGATTCTTCACACGGCAGCCTGAGTGGTCTTTGTAAATTATTTATTTATTTATTTATTTATTTATTTATTTATATGAAAATAGAGTAGAGACAGGCTCTCACTATATTGCCCAGGCTGGTCTTGAACTCCTGAGCTCAAGCAATCTTCCTGCCTTGGCCTCCCAAAGTGCTGGAATTACAGGCATGAGTCTCCATGCCCGGCCCTGAGTGTCCTTTGATAATATCAATCAGGGCAGATCACGTCCTTGCTCAAAACTTTCCAAGAATAAAAATGCAAAACACTTCCTATGGACTGTGAGGTTCTGTGCAACCTCTGTGATCTGGCCCCTGCTCTACCTCTCCCTTCACTCCCTCTGCTCCAGCCACAACGGCCATCTCGCTGTCCTTCAAACGCTCTGAGTTCTCTCCTGCCTTCAGTCTCGTGTGCCTGCTTTTCCCCTTCCTGGAGAACTCTGCACTTAGACCTCTGAGGGGCTCACTCCTTGTCAATGTTATTCAAGTGTCAGCTCAAAAATCACCTCCTCCAAGAAGCCTTTTCTGACTACCCAATCTCAGATAGCCCTGTTCTCAACCCCCTGCCCAGTTAGTCTTCAACACTGATGACTACCTAAAGCTCTCTTGGGTATGTATTTGTTGACGTGTTAATTTTATGCCTCTTGTTCTCACCCTGGTGCCTAGAACATTGCCCAACACATAGTAGGCACTTGATAAATATTTGTGGAATGAAGAATGATCCAAGCAAGAGAAGAAGAGAAATTAAGACAATGGCAATAGCAATGGAGAAGAAGAGATCAATTGGGAAAATATATAGGGGAGGGAAGCAGTGATATCAGATGACCTATTAGATATAGAAGGTAAGGGAATGGAGGCTGACACCAAGCTTGAGAGCCTGCAGGGATAGGGATGCCATTCACCACAACAGTGAGTGCAGGAAAGGGCCAGGCCTGGAGGGAAAGATGGTGAGTTCATGTGGACATGATGCATGTGAGAAGTCCATGAAATGTCCAAATGGAGATGTCCAGCAAAGGGTTAAAAATATAGGTCTGGAGCATCAGAGAAAGGAGGAAACTAAAGATTTGAATCTGGAAGGGGTCAGCAATGTGCAATTGAGCCTGTGGAATAGAATGACATCACTGGAGGAAAACATTAGAGAAAAGTTTGCAAACTAAGTTGCTTTCAGGGACCAAGAAAATAATTCAGATGAGTGAAGTAGCTCAAATCAGAACTATAAAGAGTGGTGGTTAGTGCAGTGAGAATTCAAAATAATATCTGCCTTCTTGAAAGACTTTCATAGTAAACGTTATTTAAACACTATGGGGGCCAAGCAAAACAGGTCTGGTGTAGGCCACTAATGTGAGGCCTTTAATGTAGAATGAGAAGTTTCCCTGTGCTACTAGACCCTGAGAACACCAACATTTAATAGGCAGGCATAGAATAAAGAGTTTCCAAATGAGACTGATGAGGAGCAAGAAGAGAGGTGGGGTAAACCCAACAAGAGTCATGGTGCAGAAGTCAAAGAAGTCAGCATTATCAAATGCTGCCGATGGGTCCAATGGAGTGGAATCCAAAAGGATCCCTGGATTTAGCCAGAGGGAGTTCATTAATGGCAAGAGCAGGAGCAATGTCAACAGGAAGGGAGTGGAAGACAGAAGCCAGGCACAATTTGATGAGAAATCCATGGAAAATGAGGATGTGGCAACAGTAAGAGGATAGGCCATTCTTTCAAGAAGTTCGTCAGTGAAGGAGAGGACGGGGACCCAGTAATTTCATCCTGGATATGCAACAGAAATGAGTACTTGTGTGCAAAAAAATGTAGAAAAAATGTTGATAGTAGCTTTATTTATTTATTTATTTATTTATTTATTTATTTATTTATTTATTGAGACAGAGTCTTGCTCTGTCACCCAGGCTGGAGGGCAATGGCACGATCTCGGCTCACTGCAACTTCCACCTCCCGGGTTCAAGTGATTCTCCTGCCTCAGCCTCCTGAGTAGCTGGGATTACAGGCACCCGCCACCACGCATGGCTAATTTTTTTGTATTTTTAGTAGAGATGGGATTTCACCATGTTGGCCAGACTGGTTTTGAACTCCTGACCTAAAGCGACCCGCACACCTCAGCCTCTCAAAGTGCTAGGATTACAGGTATGAGCCACTGTGCCCGGACAGCTTTATTTATTTATTTATTTATTTATTTATTTATTTATTTATTCATTTATATTTTTGAGGCAGGTCTCACTCTGTCACCCAGGCTGGAGTGCAGTGGCATAATCTCGGCTCACTGCAACCTCCATCTCCAGGGTTCAAGTGATTCTCCTGCCTTAGCCTCTTGAGTGAGGTTGGGACTACAGGTGTGCACCACCACACCCAGCTAATTTTTGTACACAACGAACTCAGCTAGGAAGCTGGAAATACTCTGTATCTTGGATTTGGGTGGTGGTTCCAGGGGTATATACCTATGTAGAAATTCTTTAAGCTGTACACTTAAGATTTGTATAAACATAAGATGTGTGTATGGCTGGGCACGGTGGCTCATGCCTGTAATCCCAGCACTTTGCGAGGCTAAGGCGGGTGGATCACCTGAGGTCAGGAGTTTGAGACCAGCCTGGCCAACATGGAGAAACCCCGTCTCTACTAAAAATACAAAAATTAGCTGGGCATGGTGGCACTTGCCTGTAATCCCAGCTACTCGGGAGGCTGAGGCAGGAGAATCACTTGAACTCTAGAGGCAGAGGTTGCAGTGAGCCAAGGTTGCACCATTGCAATTCAGCCTGGGCAACAAGAGTGAAACTCCGTCTCAGAGAGAAAAAAAAGATGTGTGTATATAATACTTCAATTAAAAGGTGAGAAAATAGGCCAGGCACAGTGGCTCACGCCTGTAATTCCAGCATTCTGGGAGGCCGAGGCAGGTGGATCACTTGAGGTCAGGCGTTTTTTTAATTGTTTTTGTTTTTCTTTTTGTTTTTTTGAGACGGAGTTTCGCTCTTCTTGCCCAGGCTGGAGTGTAATGGCGCGATCTCGGCTCACCGCAACCTCCGCCTCCCGGGTTCAAGCGATTCTCCTGCCTCAGCCTCCTGAGTAGCTAGGATTACAGGCATGTGCCACCACCCCAGCTAATTTTGTATTTTTAGTAGAGACGGGGTTTCTCCATGTTGGTCAGGCTGGTCTTGAACTCCCGACCTCAGGTGATCCGCCCGCCTCGGCTTCCCAAACTGCTGGGATTACAGGCGTGAGCCACCGAACCCGGCCGAGGTCAGGCGTTTGAGACTAGCCTGGCCAACATGGCAAAACCCCATCTCTACTAAAAATACAGAAAATTAGCCGGGCATGGTGGTGGGCGCCTGTAATCTCAACTACTTAGGAGACTGAGGCAGGAGAATTGCTTCAACCCAGGAGGCGGAGGTTGCAGTAAGCTGAGATCATGCCGCTGTACTCCAGCCTGCGTGACAGAGAGAAACTCCGTCTCAAAAAAAAAAAAAAAAAAAAAAAAAAAAAAAAACCACTGAGAAAATAAAGGAGAGAAAGAAGACATTTGGCTGAGGAGGAGACTGGGATTTTCTTTTAGAACCAGCTCAGTTCCTGCTTTAGGTCTAATGTTAGAGCTGCTGTGGACATTTTGGCACAGAAGAAAAAGTTGAAACAAAAAAAGACTATCACAAATTATGTATGAATTACAAGGGAAAAATGGTAACTTTATTTATTTATTTTTTGAGACAGTCTTGCTCTGTCGCCCAGGCTGGAATGCAGTGCCATGATCATGGTTCACTGCAGCCTTGAACTCCTAGGCTCAAGAGATCCTCCCACCTCAGACTCCTCAGTAGCTAGGACTAAAGGTGCACACCACCATGTCCAGCCAATTTTAAATTTTTCTGTAGAGACGAAGTCTCACTTTGTTGCTCAGACTGGTCTTGAACTCCTGGACTCAAGTGATCCTCCCACTTCAGCCTCCCAAAGTGCTGAGATTACAGGCATGAACCACTGTGCCCAGCCCAAAACAGTAACTTTATAGTAGAGAAAAAGCAAGAAACCAAAGCTAATCTCACCAATACTAGAGCAAACTGACATCCTGTGTCCACTGATAGGATGTACTGGGAAGGACACAGTATCATTTCAGTGGTATTTCTGTCAAAAATACAGAACCTGAATTTTATCATGAGAAAATAATAGACAAGTCCAAATTTAGGTACATTATACCATATAACTGGTCTTAATCTTCAAAATGTCAAGATAAAAAAAACACAAAGAGGGCCAGGTGCAGTGGCTCACGCCTGTAATCCCAGCACTTTGGGAGGCTGAGGCGGGCGGATCTTGAGGTCAGGAGTTCGAGACTAGCCTGGCCAACATGGTGAAACCCTGTCTCTACTAAAGATACAAAAAATTAGCTGGGCGTGGTGGCAGGCACCTGTAATCCCAGCTACTTAGGAGGCTGAGGCAGGAGAATCACCTGAACCCAGGAGGCAGAGGTTGCAATGAGCTGAGATTGCACCATTGCACTCCAGCCTGGGCAACAGGGTGAGGCTCTGTCTAAAAAAAGAAACAAAGAAAGGCTGAGAAACTGTTCCAGATTAAAGAAAATTAAAGAAACCTGATAATTTAAAACAGTATGTATTCCTGAAGTGGTTTTTGGACCCAGAAAACATCTGTAATGGGCATTATTGTGATAATTGAAAAAATAATTAAATATGAACTATACATTAGGTAATAGTCTAGTATCAAGTGTAAAATTTTTTTGATTTTGATAACTACTATGGTTATATGGTTGTCCTTAGGAAACATACACTGAAGTATTTGGGAATAAGGGGGCATGATGGCTTCAACTTGCTTTTTTTTTTAAGAGATGGGGTCTCACTATGTGTCCCAGCCTGGGCTCAAACTCCTGGGCTTAAGTGAGACTCCTCCCTCAGCCTCCCGAGTAGTTGGAACTACAGGCATCAACTAACTTTTTAATGGCTTAGAAAAAATGCAGAGAGAGCAAGTGAGTGAAAAAGAGAAAACAAATGGGACAAAATGTGAACAATTGGTGAATTTGAGAGCAGGTTATATGGGAATGCCTGGTACTATTCTTGCAACTTTTCTATAAGTCAGAAATTATATCAAAACAAAAAAGTATCAAAAATAAACAATACTCCCCAGACATGGTGGTTCATGCCTATAATTCCAGCACTTTGGGAGGCCAAAGTGAGAGGATCAGTTGAGCCCAGGAGTTCGAGACCAGCCCTGGGCACGTGAGACCCCTTCTCTACAAAAAATTTAAAAATTAGCCAAGCATGGTGGCACTCATCTGTAGTCCCAGCAACTCCAGAGGCTGAGGCAGGAGGATCGCTTGAGCCCAGGAGCTCCAAGCTGCCATGAGCCCTAATAGTGTCACTGCACTCCAGCCGGGGCAAAAGAGTAAGACCCTGTCTCAAAACAAACAAACAAATCAAAGCATGACAATTTAATAAACAAAAACAACATTGTGTCTCTATAAAGTTTTTTAAAATTTTTAAAATAAGATGTGGTACCTTTGATATAAAAGGGAAGGGCCCAGGCCAGTCTTGTGAAAGCATAAAGAAAAAACACCCTTTCTCCCAGGGCCACATGCCTTTCCCAGCTTGAATCAGGGAATGAGAGAGGCACCTGGGTCCCAGCATTCCTGGACAAACAAACAGAACACACCAGACAGCTAAAGGACCGCAGCCCTGGCTTTGGGGATTTCTTGGTTATGGCATTTCAGAATTTTTGCCAGTAATAATTGTCCAAACACACACACACACACACACACACACACACACACACAAGAACCTTGCCACAAGGGACTAGCTTGAGACTAAGCTATTTTCACCTTGGAATGATAATATATCAATCAGTGCGGTCAAGGTCACAAGCTTTGGAGTTTGTTTTTTTCTGGGTTCAAACTCCAACTTTACCACTTGAGAGAAGGATGTCCTTGGGCAAGTCCACTTGATCTCAGTGGATTTCACCTTACTCATCCTTAACACAAGGCTTTAGTAGTACCTATCTCACAGAGCCATTGTGAGAAATAAATGAAATAATGAATGCCAGGTACTCGGCACTATCTCTGCCTCACAGAAGGCACTCAATAAGTGCAAACAAATATGTAAAAAACAGTAAAATGATTCTAGGAGTTAGATGTGTTTCAAAAGCTGGTTAAGGGGCTGAGGACTTTCCTAGGAATAACTTGTGCTCACCGAATATTTACTCCATGCCTGTCACATGGAATATTTGATCTCATTTAATTTTCAAAACCACCCAATGAGTCAAGTATTATTTGTATTTTACAGACAAGAAAATAAGATCTAGAATGGGTAAGCTGTTTGCTGAAAGTCCCCCAGCAAATAAGAGTTGGATTATTCCAGAGCAAGCTTGTCCAACCCACAGCCCACAGGCCACATGCAGCCAGGAGGGCTTTGAATGCAGCCCAACACAAATTCATAAACTTTCTTAAAACATTATGAGGTTTTTTGTGATTTTTTTTTTTTTTTTAGCTCATAAGTCACTGTTAGTGGTAGTATATTTTATGTTTGGCCCAAGGCAATTCTTCTTCTTCCAATGTGGACCAGGGAAGCCAAAATATTGAACACCTTTGTATAAGGCAACCCAGTTTGGTGCCAAGACAAAGAGGTTGAGGGATGATATGAGCACCATCAAATGTCTGTCTTCAAGACTGTCCTTCAACTGGTAACCTAGAAGGTCCCAAGTCTAAATGGGGATCAAGTGAGTTGGGCCAAGTGGGCTGCAATGGCTTTTGAAGGAAGCCAACCAAAGCTATTGCCTAAGATATCCCAGCCTGGGTTCCAGAAGCTTAGACCGCAACCAGTGATGACTCCAAAATGGGGCTGGCTGCTACTGGAAGCAGTACCCTTGGCACAGATAGAAAAGTTGTCAGCAATGGGCACTGGCCACCTTAGCATGGATGCTGGCGGGTACCAGCAGCCATGCGTCTTCTGCTGATATCAGCAGGAAGCACCTGGTGACAAGCTGAAGTCTTAGAGCAGGAATTTGGAGATGGAGGGCTTGAGGGTACGGATAAGAGGACCAGACTAGGGGACACCTATCAACACCACTGCCAAGGACTCTCATCACAAAGGGGGAAGTGGAAGCAAAGCAAGAAGAGAACTACTGCTTGGTAAGAGAACTGCTTTTTTTTTTTTTTTTTTTTTTTTGTCACCCAGGCTGGAGTGCAGCTGCAGGATCTGCGCTAACTGCAACCTCTGCCTCCTGGGTTGAAGCGATTCTTCTGCCTCAGCCTCCTGAGTAGCTGGGACTACAAGCAGGCGCCACTACGCCTGGCTAATTTTTGTATTTTTAGTAGAGACAGGGTTTCACCATATTGGCCAGGATGGTTTCAAACTCCTGACCTCATGATCTGCCCACCTAGGCCTCCCAAAGTGCTGGGATTACAGGCGTGAGCCACCGCGCCTGGTGAGGACTCCATTTTCTACCCCTAGGCTAAAGAGCCTGGAGGATTATAGCTTACAGAGCAGAGAAGAACTCTGATACTCATACCTGCATAGTGCTAGCTAGTCAGTAGACAATACTTAGATAATTCATTTTCTGATTTCTGACATTAGTGAGAGGTTGGGGTTTTGTTTGTTTAATAACAGCCTTCATTTAGATCTTTGCAAACAGCCTTGAATGAGGAATGTCCTTATGTTTCAGGGAACATATCAGGCCTGGAAGCAGCTTTTTTAGGATAAAGCTCACTCATTGAACTTCAAATGCACTGACTCCAACCATTTCCTAAAATAAGGAAAATCTGTCTGCACAGACGGCATTTTCACTCTCCTGAATGTTTTCTGTTGGTTGGTTGGTTGGTTGGTTTTATTGGTTGGTTGGTTTTGATACAGAGTGATACAATATCATGAAGAATATTAGTCAGAAATGGGGCACAGGTCTCAAGCAGGTCTTGGGACCTTGGGCTATTAATCTTTCTGGGCCTTAATTTACTTATCTATAACATAAAAGGACCTTAATATATGATTGAGAAGGCCCAAACCACCTTTAAAATTTAGATCTGTGTCTCCCCATCAGACCTCTCTGGAGACACAGGATCTTATTCAACCTCACACAGATTCTTGGGTTTCTGCCATTCACATCTACATTGAAAATTCTCCCATAAACTTTATACAAGTCCTTATGGAATCATTAAAGCTTTGCAAGAAAACAACAGTACCCATTATAAAAGCCCAAGAAACAGAGAAGAAAATCATGTTTTATAACCCAAGAAATCTGTCCAAATCCTAGAATTTTTCTTCAGAGTACATCACAAGAAGGAACAGTCTCTTCCTTCCTAGTGGGAAAGTCAGGGTTTCTTTCATTTCCACCTTGTTCGCTTGTAACCGCTCTCACCAGGCAAAGTTCTGAGCAAGTGAGATGGACTCATCTCGGAACTCCAGGCTGTGTTTACATAATTGGTAAAAGAAACATTCCAATCCCATTCCTTCGTCAGCTCCGACAGACCAACCAGCATCCCCCTCCCACTTGCCACTTTGATAGGGGTGACTGGTATCTCCATCTCCTTATCTTTGTTGATCATGTTTCTGGGTTTCCAATTGCGTCAATTTAACTGGTTGCCAATAATTCTGTCATCTGAGGGGAAAGCAGAATCTCAACTGAACATGCAGATGTCCTATTGAGACTTTGCCCATAAGGGAGCGTCTTTGGTGCTTAAAATTCCATCTTTTGGACCTCATATCAGTTGATGTTTTTAGTTGCATCGGAAACCAACTCTAAGTGATTTAAGCAGGAGAGAAAGTTATTTAAGGATATTTATAGTTCACAGAATCTCTGGAGGAGCGGGGGGCTAGAAAACCAGACTTGAAGACTACACAGAGAGACTCCGAGTCCCCCTGGGACTGACCTGAGATGACCAGGGAGCTGGTATTTTTAGCTTCCAGAGGTAAATAACAGCCTTCACTTCCATCAAAACTCATTAGGTAGAAAACACACCAAACATGGGAAAGGCGTTCCGGAGCTGGGCTACCAAAGAGAATAATAAATGTTCACTATAGTTTCATCTTCTAGTTTTGTACCATCCCTGAAACATTTTCTTTTTCCTCCAGGAGCCTCAAAATTACAGTTAAGTCTACAGTCAGACAGAAGGAAACTGGCATTTATTAAACACCAACTTTGTGCCTGGAAGATTCACTTACAATATCATAATCTTTACAATAACTCTGCAATATGGATCTCATTATCAGCATTCTTTTTTTGTTTGTTTGGTTGGTTGGTTTTGGTGGTTTTAGTGTCAGGGTCTCACTCTGTTGCTCAGGCTGGAGCATGGTGGCATGATCATAACTCACTGCAGCCTTGAACTCCTGGAATCAAATGATCCTCCCACCTCACCTCCAAGTAGCTGGGACTACAGGCATGCACCATCATGCCCAGCTAATTTTCTTTTTCTTTTTTTTTAAGAGGTAGGATCTTGCTATAATGCCCAGGTTGGTCTCAAACTCCTGGTATCAAGTGATCCTCCCATCTTGGCCTCCCAAAGTGCGGGAATTACAGGTGTGAACCACTGCACCCAACCTCATTCTCAGCATTCTTATTATGTTTTGTCTTATTATCCTCCAAGGATAGGTTAAGTAATTGTTATGGGTTGAATTGGGTCTCCCCAAAATTCCTATGTTAAAGTCCTAATCCCAGTATCTCAAAATGAAGGTAAGGTCTTTATAGAGGTAATCAAGTTAAAATGATGTTATTAGGATGGGCATTAATTCAATATGACTAGTCTCCTTATAAAAAGCAGACATTCACACACAAGGACACATGCACACAGGGAATATGATACCTGAGATTAGGGTGATGCGTCTGCAGGCCAAAGAATGCCAAAGACTGCCAGCACACCACCAGAAACTGGGGGAGAGGCATGGAACGGATTCTTCTTCACAGCTCTCAGAAAGAACCATGCTGCTGACACCTTGATCTTGGAATTCTAGCCACTGGAACTGTAAAACAATAAATTTCTATTGTTTAAGTCATCTAGTTTGTGAGACTTTATTACCATTGCCATAGCAAACTACTACAGGAATTCACCTCAATTCTCATAGCGAATGAGAAGCAGAACCAGATTTGAACACAGGTCTGGCCAATTCTAACACACCAGCCTCTTCACTATGACTGTATCATAATTTCCCTCCACCAAAAACTCTGGGGTGGTCTATAGCCTACACTTAATGGTGATCAGATATTTTAAGCTGAAGGACCTAATTTTGGTGGGAAAGATGCCAGTTTGGGTCATGTTGAGTTTAGGTGCCTGATAATACCCTGGCGTTCAATAAACACTTGGATATATGAATCTGAGTTCAGGGAGATATCCAAGCTCAAGAGAGGCAATCAGAAGTCATTAACACACAAGTAAAAATGGAAACCCTGAGTGTGAATCAGATCAACAAGAAAGAGCACACTAAGAACCAGTGGGCCTAGGATGATCCCTGGAGTAGCAATGATTTCTTTTTGCCACCTTATGTCCATTTTTTTCCTTCTCCCATAGTAATAGAATTTTTAACTGAGCACATGGGCTTCAGAGTAAAGACTACACTTCCCAGGCTTCCTTGCAGCTAGGTATGACCATGTTCAGGCTAAAGGGATGTTAGTGTCACCTTCCTGAAAATTCCCTTATGAGGTAGTTTATGCCCTTTATTTACTCTTTTTCTCTGTCTTTCTTCCATCTTGCTCCCTGGAACTTGGATGTTGCCTTGATTCACAAGGATGAGGATCATTCCCAAGGAATTGTAGGGCAGTTAATTGGAAGAGGACTGTCTTAGTCCATTTGTGTTGCTATAAATGTATAGCTGATACTGGGAATTTATAAAGAAAAAATCATTTGGCTTATAATTCTGCTCTCTGGGAGACTGGGCATCTGGTGAAAGCCTCAGGCTGCTTCCACTCATGTCAGAAGGTGTAGGAGAGACAGCACGTGCAGAGACCACATGGGAAGAGAGGAAGCTAGAGGGGGAGGTAGGGGAGGAGCCAGGCTTTCTATCAACCAGCTCTCATGGAAGCTAATAGAGTGAGAACTCATTCAGTCTCCCTACCCTCCAGGGAAGGCATTAATCTATTCATAAGTGATCCACCCCCCTGACCCAAACACCTCCAATTAGGTCCTATCTCCACCACTTGGGATCAAATTTCAATATGAGATTTGGAGGGTACAACATCCAAACTAGAGAAAGACCTGTGATCCTGAGGACTTCCTGAAGTGGAGATGCCATACCAGCTCTGGACTGCAAATATCTGGACATTTGTATGACAGCTAAACAATTATCTTGTTCAAGTCAATGTTGCTTTTTTTTTTTTTTTTTTTTTTTTTTGGTTATTCTTTGCTATACCCAATCCCAACTAATATACACGGTGAACACCAGGATATAGGAGGTAGACATAGGAAAGAGATCAAAAAGGAATGGCCAAGATAATGGACATCTATTGTTATACATACTCATAAGAGCATCACTCTTCTGGAAATAATTCTTCTAACCAGTTGTTCAGTTGAGAATTGCCACCTTCTTATAGGCCCTGCCTTCCAGACTACAATTAAATGTGACTAGCCAGTTATAGTAATTGGTCCAGGTATGGGCACTTGACCCCCAATAAACCAATCAATGCCCTTCTTTGAGCTTTCTTTTACCTTGGGTTCAAGGAAAGCAGTTCTCAGACCTTCTATGATGTTCAAGGCCAGGAGCCATTGATGGCAATATCTCTTACACATGGAGAGACCTGTCGTCTTAGTCTCTTTGTGCTGCTATAACAAAATGCCTGAGACTCGGTGATTTATTAAGCCCAGAAACATTTTCTCACAGTTCTGAAGGCTGGGAAGTCCAAGATCAAAGTACCTGCCAGTTTGGTTGCCTGGTGAGGGCCGCTCCGTAATTCCAAAATGATGCCTTGTTGCTGCATCCTCCAGAGAAGAGGAATCGTGTGTCCTCACATGGCAGAAGACAGAAGGGCAAGGGAGCCACATGAAGCCTCTTTTATAAGAGCCTTCATTTATAAGAAAGAAGCTTCATGGCCTATTCACCTCTTAAAGGCCCTATCTCTAATACTATCACATTAGCCATTAAGTTTCAACACCTGAATTCTGGAGTGGACTCATTCAAACCATAGTCATCTGAGAGAATGAAGTCATCATGGAAAAAGGAGAAGCGACAAAAGGCCTGGAGAATTCTGCCACCATCATCTCTAGTACAGTTGCAACTGCCCAAGAGGTTTGCCTTGCCCACTGCCTAGACAGAGCCAATTCATCAAGACAGGGGAATTGCAATAGAGAAAGAGTAATTCACTCAGAGCCAGCTGTGCCAGAGACCGGAGTTTTATTATTACTCAAATCAGTCTCCCTGAGCATTCTGGAGCAGGGTTTTTAAGGATAACTTGATGGGTGGGGGGAAGCCAGTGAACCAGGAGTGCTGATAGGTCAGAGATGAAATCATAGGGAGTCGAAGGTGTCTTCTTGCACTGAGTCAGCTCCTGGGTGGGGACCACAAGATCAGATGACCCAGTTTATTGATCCGGGTGGTGCCAGCTGATCTATCAACTGCAAGGTCTGCAAAATATCTCAAGCACTGATCTTAGGAGCAGTTTAGGATGGGTCAGAATCTTGTAGCCTCCAGCTGCATGACTCCTAAACCATAATTTCTAATCTTGTGGCTAATGTTAGTCCTACAAAGGCAATCCGGTCCCCGGGCAAGAAGGAGGTCTGCTTTGGGAAAGGGCTGTTGCTGTCTTTGTTTAAACTATAAACTAAGTTTCTCCCAAAGTTAGTTCAGCCTACGCCCAAGAATGAACAAGGACAGCTTGAAGGTTAGAAGCAAGATGGAGTTGGTTAAGTTAGATCTCTTTCACTGTCTCAGTCATAATTTTGCAAAGGTGGTTTCACAGTCTTTCCTAAGTTACGTCCATATTGCTTTTTTTATCAGAGCTTCCCACATGAGCTAATTCATTCCAACTCTTATTAGAAATCTAGTTGAAGTTGGGTTTCTGCCATTTATGACCAAAAGTCCTGAGTGATATAATCAGAGAGCTACAAGGAAAATCAAGAAAGTGTGCTGTCATGGAAGAGGATGTTAAGGAGGAATTGATAGTGTCAGGGGCAGTAGAAGGGTCTGGTCAATTAAAGACCAAAAAGTGCCTGATGGATTTGGCAATTAAGGTGGTCACCATTATGACAGCGATTCCTTGAAGTTAAGGTTAGAATCAGATTTCAATGAGTTCAAGAGTGAACAGGAAGTTAAGAAGAGGAGACAGTGAATTACAAAGACCTCTGCTGAGGAATTGGAAAGGAAAGGAAAGAAAAGGAGGAAGTTTAAAGGGTAGCTACAGGGGGCCTTGTGTTAATAAGGGTTTTGTTAAAAAGCAAAATTGTTCTGCGTATTTATAGGCTGAGCAGTAGCAGTTAGAGATTTGGTAAAGGATTTGGGGGGGTGCAAAAATTGATGAGGCAAGGCCCAAATTAGAATAGGAGGGAAAGGAATTAAAGTCAAAGGATAAGTGTTGAACGGGAGGAAAGATACTTGTTCTTTCTTAAGGAAAGATGGTAAAGAACAGGTGCAAGTGGAGTGAGCAAACTGAGTCTCTCACCTTTGATGGCCTCAGTTTTCTCATGCAGAAAGGGCAGACTCTCCTAGTGAAATGGAAGAGAGCAAGAGTAAAGAGGGAAGTTGAGGCAAGCAGTGACACTTTCTTCTTTGATTAATGAGGGGATTAGGAAAGGAGGCTGCTCTAGGACGGCTCTGAGGGCTGGGACTGGGGACCATGGAGGGGCTGTTCTGGGTCTTTCTGTGGTTTTCTCCAGCAGTGGTCTTCCGTCCTGGTTAGTGGAGGAGAGAAGCAGCAGCAGCATTACTCTAGGACGGAGATTTCAAGGGGGGGCAAAGACCAAGGATTGAGGAATAGAGGTGCAGGGGAGAGGGTGTTCTGATGCTATGACACAGGACCCATGCTGGGTAAAGGGGAGGAGGAGAGGCTGGACACCTGAGCCCTAGAGAAGGGAACAGATGCAGGGGAGAGGGAGGACATGGAGACTTACTGGCGCACAACCCAGAGAACATTCTGGCATCAACTGGGCAAGGAAGAAAATTCCACAGACTCTAAATTTTAAAATAGAGCTTTGCTGTTTTTAAGACCTGTATTACAGGGAGGAAGGAAGAGAGTGCTTGCCAGCCGGGGTCGGGGACCATCATCCCAGCTCCTTCATACACTTACCTACATTTAGGCTTTCTCATGTATCTTAAGCAACTGTGAATACCCGAGACCCGCTATTCCACACACAGCCTTCCAAGAATTGCTTTGTGATACACAGGTATCACAGAGAGGTCCTGTGCTGGCACCAAAAATTAAAAAGAAAAATCCAGGAGAGGAAACTGATAACTTGCATTTGCAAACATACATTTGAAAACAAGGTTAAATACACATTTGAAAACAAGAAGAATGGCCGGGCGCGGTGACTCACGCCTGTAATCCCAGCACTTCGGGAGGCCGAGGCGGGCGGATCACGAGGTCAGGAGATCGAGACCGACCATCCCGGCTAACACGATGAAACCCCGTCTCTACTAAAAATACAAAAAAATTAGCCGGGCATGGTGGCGGGAGCCTGTAGTCCAGCTACTCAGGAAGCTGAGGCAGGAGAATGGCGTGAACCAGGGAGGCGGAGCTTGCAGTGAGCCGAGATCATGCGCACTCCAGCCTGGGCGACAGAGAGAGACTCCGTCTCAAAAAACAAACAAAAACAAACAAACAAACAAAAAAGAAGCGTCGGAGTATTCAGAAGAAGCAAGGGGAGTGTGACATTGCCCGTCTGTAAAGGTGCTCATGACAGGGGGTCAGAGGAATCAAACATTAAGGATCATTTCCACTGGTTTAGTTTTTGGCTGAATGTGTGACGTGAACTTCTGATTTTGGGGGGCTGGTTTCCTAGTCATCTTCCTTGATTCTGCATAACCGAGGGTCCCTCTTCAGACTGGACCCTAGCAGGAAGTGACTCCCCATGGTTACAATGCAGATGAAAGCAAACATAGAACCCTTAGGTTAGAAGGTTAGAGGCAGCAGCCAGGGATAACACAACGAGGGAAACAGCCCTCCACACACAGAGACTGGTAGCAACCCAGTTATCTGTCTCTCTCTCTCTCAGCTCTCTCTCGGTCTCTCCCCCAGGCTGGAGTACAGTGGCGCAATCATGGCTCACTGCAGCCTCGAACTCCTAGGCTCAGGCAGTCTTCCCACCTCAGCCTCCCGAGTAGCTGGGACCACAGGCGCGCGCCACCATACCCAGCTTCAACCTGTTGTAGTAGTTATTAAGGAATTATTTTAGGCAGATAGAGAGAAAAAGGGGTCCTTGGGAAGTTTTCTTTTTTTAAGACATCTCTGGAAAATGTTCTTGTAAAGCCAGACCGGCAAACTTTGATAACCTTTGATATGCAAATCCAGGCCATTAGAAGCTGGGTCCACCCAAACATGGCCATTCCCTCCTTTTTCTTCTTGCCCTTGCCCCACATGTGCCTGGTGACATGGCCACCCCCACAAATCCCCATGTGTGTAGAACATCATGGTGCCCTGTATTTGCATATTAAAAGGCTAGGGTGGGAGGGCCAGCTTTTTCTCCGGCTACATGAATCACATGCCTGGTCAAACCAATCCCCTAAGCCCTATGCAAATCAGACATCGCCTCCTCCAGCCTCTGCATATACACCTGGCTGGTATCCGTGGCAGGCGGGCACCTCCTCTTTCGGCTTTGCAGCCCCCCTCCCTCTGTCTCTGTACGGGGGAGCTTCTTATGTCTTCTCTCCTCCTTCTTGCCTATTAAACGATCCACTCCATAAAACCACTCTACTTGTGTCTGTGTCGTTTTATCTAAACCGGCATGAGGACCAAGAACCCTGGTGTTCCTCCACTCATCGGAGCTGTATCAAACCCAGTTCTTAAGGTCTGAGAATTAAGCAAGAAAAGAACCAAATGCTTGGCTTCAGTGTTAAATGTCCCAGAAGGGGAGGTAGGCTGGGCTCTAGTTCTGGGAGCTCAGAGCAAACCAGCAGGAACCCAGGCCATCCCAGGCCCCCAGCACTGCCATTCCTTAGGAAGGGAGGATCTGCTACAGAACACTTTTGAGACTTGATCATTTATAATCTATAAATATGTATCACACTCTACGTCTAGGTCTCCTTTTAGAGTGTGGGTTCACTTACCCTTAACAAATCTTTTTGTCACTTTCACAAAGTCCCCAGATTAAAGAAACATTCTTCTACTATAAATAGACACCCAGACCCAGGAACCATGCCTGGTGCGATCTCAGCTCACTGCAACCTCCGCCTCCCAGGTTCAAGTGATTCTCCTGCCTCAGCCTCCCGAGTTGCTGGGATTACAGGCATGCACCACCACGCCCGGCTAATTTTGTATTTTTTAGTAGAGACGGGGTTTCTCCATGTTGGTCAGGCTGGTCTTGAACTCCTGACCTCAGGTGATCTGCCTGCCTCGGCCTCCCAAAGTGCTGGGATTACAGGCGTGATTCACCTCACCCAGCCCAAAATATTATTTTAACAAAACTAATCTCCTGGTGTGTGCTGTGTACAGATATACCACATTTTTCTTATGTTTATTTCATCACAAGTATGTGTGTATATCAGATAGGAATCTTTCAGTTGCCAATTACAGAAAACTCAACTTAAACTGGTTTACCCAATAAAGGGGTTTTATTAGCTCATGTTTTCAGCAAATATCTATCAAGAGCCTACTATGTGTTGTGCAATTGAAAAGTTTGAAGATGGTACTAGATTTAGGCAAAGCCTGATCCAGTAGCCTAAACAGTTTTAGCAAAGACTTGAGTGGTGTCTTTGCCTCTGCTCTGGCTTCCATGTATCCATCCTTAAGCTCCACATGCTAGTCCTTCAGCTCTCACTTACCCCACCCAGCACCATCCCCTCCGTACGTTGCTCTGTCATGTGGAAGAGAGAGTCTCTCTCAGAACCCCTGGGATTCACTCTCTGTGGCCATCCATGTGCCTGATCCCAACCAATCAGGGTGGCTGAGAATGGGATTTGGTGAGCTGCCTAGACCAGTGAAACCTACCCCAGGAGGTGGGAATGGAGCCAAATGCACCCCAGCTACTTCCAGGCGAAGTGGATTCCCCAGAAGAGAATAAGAGTGAATGGATGCAGAGAAGCAAGGGACAAATAGTCGTCACCGCATTGTGTCATTGTTCCGGCTACATGGAAAGCTCTCCATAATGATTGAGAGCACAGGCTGATGCCAGGCTGACTGAGTTAGAATCCTGGCTTCACACTTATCAGCTGTGTGACTTTGGGCATGTCACTTAACCTCTCTGTGTCTCAGTTTTCTCATCTGTAAAGTGAGGATAATAGCACCTGCCTCATAGGATTGAGGATTGTGATGAGGATTAAATGAGTTAGTATTTGTAAAGCAATTGGAATAGTGAATGATACGTAGCAAGCACTTAAAAGTGCACTGTGAACACAGTAGGGGGCCCAATAAATGCTTGCAGAGTGGGTGAAGGTACAAAGCTGGGAGCAAGTCCCACTACTGTCCAGACTTTCACCCCCAGCCACTCCATCTCTCAGGGCAGATCCTCCTGCCTTGGGGTCTGCTGTTTTGGAGATATTTTCCCAGAAAGCTGGCAGCTGGGCAGCGATGAGTGCCCCCCACCTATGATTAAGATGGCATAACCCTAGATGGCATCATTAGAGCACCATTTTTCCCTACAAACTGATGAGAAATCCATAGGGGTGAATTCTGGGGGCCCATCAAGGCACTCCTGGAATAAATGATCTACATGTGCCATGATCATCTGTATGACGATTTCAGGCTGTTTTATCCCCAGCCTGTGACTTTTCACGCTTCCTAAACTGTATAAAAATGAACTGCAATCAGGCTGATCTATAGATAGACAGTTCCTGTTTCTGAGCATGCTGAATGAGGGTGGGTGTGTTGATACATTTGCATAAAGCTGATGGATGTAGAAGGCTATGGTTTTTTGGTTTTGTTTTTGTTTTTTTTGAGGGGTTGGGGTGTCCTTTTGGAAGTGGAGCCAGAGAAGAGGTAAAATTAAGGAAAGTAAAAATAGGGCAGACTCATAGCTTTTTCATATGAAAATGAAGGAGGCAGTAGCTACAAGATAGTTTACTGATGCTCTGTCTGCAAGGAAAAAATGGGCTGGTTTGAAAAGCAAAACAAAACTGACCAACAGGTGACTGGGAGGGATGGGGAAAGGGGTGTGATCTGTCTTTCCTGTCTGCCTCCTCTCTGCTTTTTTCATGTATACACGTAAGGGAAAGATGTAATAGTCTCTGTTTTCTATGTACAGGGATATTTAGATATGCAAATGAGCACAGCCTGTTAATGAGCTGAGGGTGATTACACTGCAGGGAGCTGCCAGCCCCTGCTGAACAATAGGTGAAGAGACACCAGGTGTCTGTGAAGGGGGAAGGGGACCTCCCCACCCCTGCCTCTGTGCCTCTGACCTGTCTGCAGAATGAAACTGTTAGGCCAAGTTCTTATGCTCCTTCTAGCTCCCAGATCCTGAATCTAATGAGTTAAGGTGAGCAGCGGGAGACCAGGTAAGCCCTGGGGCTCATCAGGGAACTGATGAGCAGGTAAGCTCCGGAGGCTCCCGAACCTTACCTGGGCCGGGAAGGGTGATGGGCAGCCAGTGAAGCATGAAGCTGCCTCAGATGGGCAGGACCACTTGGCAAGTGCTATGGAATTGGGGTGGGAGAAGCAGGACCCTATGGAGTGAGCAGGTCATGCTGCGTCTCTTTGGGCAGCATTTGGTCACAAGATGGTGACTGGGCACCTGTGTGCTTATCAGAAGTCACGGCAAAGTTTTGCAATGAGAAACAGGAAATGAAGGAGTCCGCTTTTAATTTCTAGGGAGAGATGCTCAGTATTAGTAAAAAGGACGTGGACTTTGGAGTTGTACACATCTGAGTTTGTTGGGCTAGACACATTGGACATGTTATACCCATGAACCCTGGCTGACAAGGTGCCAGCCACACAGCCAATCTCCCCTACTGATAAGATAAAGGACTTGGCCTATCACATATGACTCTCCTGACAACCACTTGATGGTTACCTAGCGAAGGAGGTAATTAACAAAGAATCTTACAAGAAACTCGTGTTGCTCGGGCAAATGCCCGGCCTGGACATCCCAGGTCCAGAGGAGTGGAAAGAACCCAGCCAGTTCCAACGGGATCTGCAACGTACTTTCTGACCTGTTGTTCTGACGGCAACAGAGCAGGACACTGTCATCGCCTGCCAGCCTCCAAGTCTCTGTGACACTGTCTCAAAACAGTCTAAAGCTTTAAGTCCCCTCAAACCTCCCACATCTGCCATGTGGCTGGATCACTCCAAAATCAGGACATGTCCCTAACCTTCTATTAAGGGCATTCGACTTTATACCATGTCACTGAGCATCACTCAATCCTGCCTATAAATATGGATGCTATGCTAACAAGACTTATTGCTGATTTAATGGCAGTGAGTACAGGCTGGTGTGCTGCACACATACACAGAGAATGGTATTGAAAAATGGGAATGATAATTAGAGTTTAATAAATGGTAATTTGCTCCTTGCTGCTGTGTGTGACAGGGGTTGGGGAGGGATGAAATAGAGGGGCCCTTCCAGAAAGTGAAATGTGGATAGAACGTATGCCATGACAGCTTTATTTTAATTTTCACATTGCCCAGGATTGAAGTTAATGCTCATTTACCTACAGATCCTTTTCCCTGGAAATCACCTCTTGTGGAACATGAGTGGAGAAGACAATTAGACAAGAAATATTTATCACTGGGACCAAATTTTAACTAGAGTCATAGAATGAAGAGGTCAGGGCTCCAGAGACAAAGTGAAGCAGAGAATTAAAATAATTATCTGGATCATTCAGGGGAAATAAAATCATTGTTTTTGCTTGAGTGAGTGTCTGAATGATCTAAATAATTGTCCCCACCCTTTGTTTTGGTCTGGTAGTGAAGACCTGGCCAATCGATCCAGTAGCAAAGGATGGAAGTTGGAAGTTTGTGGCGAGAAAGGACAGGAAGGCTGAGTAAGCCTGAATCCCCCTGGTCCTGCAGGCCTGAGCATTGGGCAGAGGCTGGCCCAGTCCAGAGCTTGGGCTGGAGAGGGAAGGATGGTATTCCTGGAAGCTAGAGACCAGAAAGTAAGCAACGCTGAAAGTCGCATGGGAAACCAAGGTCGACAAACCCAGAATACAGCCAGAAGGAGCCAGGTTTAGTGAGTGAATCCAGGAAGCTAAAAGATTAAGCAGAACAGAATCATGAGGGGTGTGTGTGTGTGTGTTTGTGTGTGTAGTTAGGAAAGGTTAAACAATTGACTATACCAGAGGTTTGCAGCTTCTTGGACTCCACTGGCCAATCAAGAGAAGTGGAATTTTTCTGGGGCAGTGGCGGTATGCTAGTGTGCAAATGGAAGGTATGGTGTTATTCAGCGGGCCCTGCAAGTCTCCCCTTCCCAGAAACAACTACTTTATTTCTAGATATAGAATAATAATAATAGTAAAAAGACAGCTACTTTATGTAAATGCATGAATGATCCATTGCTTGAGATTTATTCGTGGCCTACTTGTGTGTTCATTTTTCAAACACAAATTTTCCTTGGAGGACAAATCAGTAGTTTCCAAGCTTACTATAGAAATTAACAATAACTAATTGTGGTAGATTTTAAATTCCACAGTTATTCAATATTGTTCCTTTTAAGAGACAGAACTTAATTCCCATCTCCTTGAGCATGGCTTGGACTGGGTGACTCATGACCGATAAAATATAGCAGAAGTTATGGTGTGTGATTTCCAAGTCTGGGTTATAAAGTGTTTTGTAGATTCCTCCTAGTTCCCTCTTTTGGATTGTTTGCTAAGGTAGAAGCCACCTGCCACATCACTAGGACACACAAGCAGCCAATGCAGATGTCCATGGAGTAAGGAACTGAGGCCTCCTGCCAATAGCTGCGTGAGTGTGCCACCTTGGAAGCAGACTGTCCAGCCCCAGTCAAACCTTCAAATGACTGCGGCCCCAGCTGACATTTCACTGCATCTTCGTGAAAGGCCATCAACCAGAACCACCCATCTAAGCCATTCCTAATTTCTAGTCCTCGGAAACTGAGTTATCTAATAAATGTTTGTTATTTTAAGCTGCTAAATTTTGGGATGGTTTGTTACTCATCAATAAATATTACAATAATCATAGCTAAGATTTACTGAACATGTACATGTGGCAGGCTTCACATATATTAACATATTTAAATGGCTTAACAATCATATGAGATAGTTACTATTACCAGCTCCATTTTGTAGTTGAGGAAACTGAAGTATACAAAGTTATACATAGTGAATACTGTTAGTTCCCTTTCCTGGCTGTAAATGTTGGCTGCTAAAGACTCACAGCTTCCCCTCTTTCCAGAGAATTGCCCCTGGCTGGATAGGAGTGGTCTCACCTAGGAAGTTATACACTGCCTTCCCCTCCCACTATGGCAGCCCTCAGCCACTGACTAGTTGATGCAGGGCAGGACCACCACAAAGTGGGACCAACTGTATGGTGCAATTCTCCCTCCAAATTTTTTTGCGGTGGAGTCAAGCAAAAGCTAGACTCTAGCTGGGATTACATTCTTGCTTAGATCCATTTGCTACCTCTATCCTGCTTTCCTTGCCCCTTTTCTCCCAAAAGCACTCCCTCAATAAATCAAGTGCGTTGGAATCTTGTCTCAGGCTCTTTTTAAGGAACTCAACCTAAGTTAGGCATAGTGATTTACCCAAAGTCATTGCTATGGTTTAAATATTTGTCCCCTCCCAAACTCATGTTGCCATTTAATTGCCATTGTGATGGCATTAAGAGGTGAGACCACTAAGAGGTGATTAGGCCATGAGCACTCCGCTCTCAAGAATGGATTAATGCCATTATCAAAGGAGTGGGTTCTTATAAAAGGTCCAGTTTTCCCCTTTTTTCTCTCTCTTATCCTCTTGCCTTCCTCCATGGGATGATACAGCAAGAGGATCCTCACAAGATGCTGGCACCTTGATCTTGGACTTCCCAGCCTCTAGAACTGTGAGAAATAAATTTCCATTCTTTATAAATTAGTCCATCCCAAATATTCTGTTGTAGCACCAAAATGGACTAAGACAGCCAAACAGCCTGGGTTTGCACGCGACAGTCTGACTTCAGAGTTCTTGCCCTTAAAAATATCTCTGGAAGAGTAACAAATACCAGTAGAGAGCAGTAGCACAATCATAGTTCACTGCAACCTTGAACTCCTGGGCTCAAGCCATCCTCCTGCCCCAGCCTCCCAAGTAGCTGGGACTACAGGCATGCATCACCACACCTGGCTAATTTGTAATTTTTTTGTGTGGAGATGGGGTCTTGTTACATTGTCCAGGCTGGTCTCGAACTACTGGGAGTTCCTCAAGGATCCTCCCACCACCTTGGCCTCCCAAAGTGCTGGGATTACAGGCATGAGCCATGGTGCCTGGCCACTACTAAATTTTCAGCTCCTATTTTGGCATGAGACAAGTGGTGGGTGGTTCAGTTCGGCTTTTTGTAACTGCTAGTTCTGTCCCCCACCCCGCCCCGCCAACACACACCATGGATAGTACCACGTGAAAGCCAGTCCTCCTGCCCCTCATATTCATCCCTTACCTCCCACCCTAATTAATCTGGTCCAGATCCTCATTCTTGCCATGAATTTTAGCCTCCTCTCTTAGATAGGATTTACATGTTCTTGCCTATAGTGGGTGAAATTGAGTCCTAACCCCTGGTACCTGTGAATGTGATCTTATCTGGAAGTAGAATCTTTGCAGATGTGATTAAGGTAAGGATCTGAAGATGAGATTATCCGGGATTTAGGGTGCGTCTAAATGCAATGACTAGTGTCCTTATAAAAGAAAGGAGAAATTGGAGACAAAGAGACACAGGGGGAAAACCACATGAAGACAGGGTGTAGAGATCAGAGGGATACATCTGCAAGCCACAGCATGCCAGGATTGGATTGCAGAGCCACAGAAGCGAGGAGATACACAGGGAACAGATTCTCCCTCGGAGCCTCCAGAAAGAACCAGCCCTGCTGACACCTTGATTCCAAACTTCTGGCCTTCAGAGCTATGAGACAACACGTTTCCATTATGTCAAGCCTTCCAGTATGTGGTCATTTGTTATGGCGGCCACAGGAAACAAATACACTTCCCTTCAGAGGCCCCTGTTCATCTCAGCCCTAAACCCAGCAGCAGTCTCTGGAGTGAGGTTGGGGAATTACAAAAGCCGTAACAGGCATGCATCACCACACCTGGCTAATTGTTAATTTTGTGTGTGTGGAGATGGGGTCTTGTTACATTGTTTACAAAGCCACAGCCTTGTGGTTGTTATAGTTCCCATTTTGCTTTGTTTTGTTTTGTTTTGTTTCATTTTGTTTTTTACAATCGAGGAAATGGGCCCAGGAAGTTCAAGTGATTTTTTCCAAAGTCCCTTACACCAGCAGTCCCCAACCTGTTTGACACCAGGGACCAGTTTTGTGGAAGACAATTTTTTCATGGACAAGGGGCAGGGGGGAAATGGTTTTGGGCTGAAACTGTTCCACTTCAGATCATCAGACATTAGTTAGATTCTCATAAGGAGCACGCAAACTAGATCCCTCCCATGTGCAGTTCACAGTAGGGTTTCCGCTCCTACGAGACTCTAATGACGCCGCTGCTCTGACAGGAGGCAGAGCTCAGGTGGTCATGCTCGCCTGCCCTCCACTCAGCTCCTGCTCTGCAGCCTGGTTCCTAACAAGCCATGGACTGGTACTGGTCCCTCAGGGGTTGGGGACCCCTGCCCTATATAGATGGTGTATAAAGCCCAGATTGTGGGTCTCTAGACTCCAAATCCTGAAGTTTTTAGTCCTCAAGAGGAGACTGGCAATGATACAAGGACACTACTAAAGTCTTTCTGTTCACTGTCTATAACTCTTCATTTTAAAATCTAGGTATTTGGGGATATGGAGTGTAGGGGGAACAGGAAGGTGGGACCTAGCTTCTTATCCTTCTGCCTTTGACAGCATATAATGTCTCCCATAAAGTGCAGCAGCAAAGTCTAACTTAAGCATTTAAGTGACCCCTTCAGTTCCTTAATGATGCTATAAATGCAATCCTGGTGTGATTTATAAAGCTATTAAAATAAATGCTTCCACTGAAATAAACATTGCTACCTCTCAGCATATGTTTACTTGCATAACCTAAGCACAAACTTACCCGAATATGCAAAACCTGAACCAAAGATGATAAACGGAGGGCCTGGGTGCCGTACACAAATGAACTGGATGTGTGTGGGTCTTGACAGCATCTTCTAGGGACAGCTGGTCTTTCAGACTTTTTTTTTCTTAGTCATGGTCTTTCAGTCTTGAAGCCTTGCCTTGTTTCTCAGTTTGGAGAAATGCCTCCCTCCATGGTCTGACGCCTAGCTGATGCCTCTCTATCCATGAATTTCGCATTATGCACAGAAAAGCACTTTTTAAAATGCTCTCCTCAACCTTTGTGCATGGTTCAGCTCCCATGGAGAGCCCCACTTGAGTCTTTACCATTTTTCATGTCACAGAAATGTTTGTAGGCCCTGGGCCATGGGAGGTTTTGGAGCAAGAGGGGCATGATGAAATTTGCTAATCACATCTTGGAACCATGAGATTTTAGGTCTATATTCAAAGAGGCATGAACCCAGGGCCTGAATTTAATTCATCTTCAACCTCACAGCTCTTTGGACTGTGCTGCATTGGTCATTATGTAAGAAGGAACATTTGAGAAGAAATCGAGTAGGTTTGAGATGATGCCCAGGAGTCATAGGACACAATGGAAAAGCAACAGGGAACAGTTTACACCAGTCTGTCTGGTTCACTATGATATCCTCAGTGCCTACCATGGGTGCCTGGCACATACAGCTTGCTGTAAATAAGTGTAGAAGGAAGTGAGACAGAGAGGGAGGCCCTAGGGAATTCAGTCCAAGTCCTGGTTCCACTACATACTAGCTGTGTGATGATGGGAAAATTTATTAATTTCTCTGAATCTCCACTTCCTCATTTTGAACTGAGGACAATAATATCTTTCTATTGTAAGTCTTACACAATACAACTCATAAAAATGTCTAGAACGGTGCTGCACAGAATAGGTGCTCTATTCCATAAATGTTCATTGAATGAATGAATGAAAGTCTGGCTGTTTCCCTGCGGATGAATGGCCCTTGAGCTTGGAGACATTGAGTATGGTGCACAGGGACAAGCTGATCACTTCCCAAGGCATGTCAGTGGAGCGCTGCCTGTCTCCTTATTTATGTGCCAGGTTTTCATCATTTGCCATCCACACTTAGGGGATTAATTCCCTGGCAAGTGCAGCCAGTAATACACAGCCAGCCATACGACACAGATAACAGCAGCTACGGTTGTAATTCCCATCCCATTGACAGCCCTTCAACCAACAGAGGAAGGATGGAGCAGCTGAAAGCTTCCATTCAAAGTCAGTAACAATAAGTTACAAGTGACTACGTATGTGGAGGGCAAGTGAGAGGGGGCAGGAGGAGGGTGAGCAGCCAGCCCCTTCTCTTTGTGCTAGTGTAGCAAGCAGGATCCAGCCAGGAAGTGTGCCCAAGTGCCTGCTTAGATGTTAGGGAAATGATTAAAGTTTTCCAATTTTGGAAACAGAAGTTTAATAGTTTATTTTTTTCCTCTTTTTACCCAACACCTTTGGAACCTTTAAGATTGTATTAATTGGAATATAAAATGTTTCAGGTGCAGTGGAAAACAGCATGGTGATTCCTCAGAAATTAAACATAGAATTACTATATGATCCAGCAATTACACTGCTAGGTATACACTCAAAAGAACTGAAAACTAATACCCAACCCAGTACCTCTCCAGGAATGTTTATTACAGCAGCATCCACAATAGCCAAAAGGTGGAAACAGTCCAAATGTCCATCAACAGACGAGTGGCTTAACAAATTGTGGCATATATAGCAGAATATTATTCAGCCATAAAAAGGAATGAAGTACTGATACATGCTAGATCGTGGATAAACCTCAAAAACTTTATGCTAAGTGAAAGCAGCCAGACACAAAAGATTATGTACTATATGATTTCATTTATATGAAATATCCAGAATAGACAAATTCACAGAAATAGAATGGAGATTGGTTGTTTGCTGGAGCTGGGGAGAGAGAGTAATGGGGAGAAACTGCTTGATAAGGGGTTTGCATTGGAATCATGGAAATGCTTTAGAATTGGATAGAGGTTGCACGATACTGTGAAGGTACTAAATGTCATTAAATTAATTAAATTGTTCACTTTAAAATGGTTAATTTTATGTTATGTGAATTCCACCTTAATTTTAAAAATTGTATGAATGTAATTATGTGAATAAACACACATAATAAAGAAAATTACAACCCCACATATGAGTATAAATGAAAACTAGAGGCTGGGCGCGGTGGGCTTGTAATCCCAGTACTTTGGGATGCCGAGGCGGGTGGATCACAAGGTCAGGAGATCGAGACCATCCTAACACGGTGAAACCCCGTCTCTACTAAAAATACAAAAAATTAGCCGGGAGTCGTGGCGGGCGCCTGTAGTCCCAGCTACTCAGGAGGCTGAGGCAGGAGAATGGGAGAATGGCGTGAACCCGGGAGGCGGAGCTTGCAGTGAGCTGAGATCGCGCCACTGCACTCCAGCCTGGGCAACAGAGTGAGACTCCGTCTCAAAAAAAAAAAAAAAGAAAACTAGGTTTCCTTTCCTACCTGACCCTCCATTCTCCTCATAGACAATTACTAGAGTTTTTTGTGTACCCTTTTAGAGGTATTTTTAAGTCTATATATATACATACATATATAGAGATATGTAAAATCATGGCATGCTGTACACACTATTCTGCTGTGGAGAATGCTTTGCTTTTGTTTTTGAGACAGGGTCTTGCTCTGTCACCCAGGCTGGAGTGCAGTGGGGTGATCATTGGCTCACTACAGCCTTGACCTCCTGAGCTCAAGCAGTCCTTCCACTTTGGCCTCCTAAAGTGCTGGGATTACAGGCATGAGACACCACACCCAGCTAATAATGTTTTTGTTTTTGTTTTTTGAGATAGAGTCTCACTCGTCTCCCAGGCTGGAGTGCAGTGGTGCAATCTAGGCCCACTGCAACCTCCACCTCCTGGGTTCAACCGATTCTCCTGCCTCAGTCTCCCATGTAGCTGAGATTACAGGTGTACACCACCACGCTCAGCTAATTTTTGTATTTTTAGTAGAGATGAGGTTTCACCATGTTGGCCAGACTGGTCTCGAATTCCTGACCTCAAGTGATCCACCCACCTTGGCCTCCCAAAGTGCTGGAATTACAGGCGTGAGCCACCATGCCCGGACAAGAATGTTTTAAAAATACCATTTAATGGGTCTCAACTCAGATCTACTCAATCCGAATTTTCAAGGTTGGGCCCAGGGATCTGTTTTTACAAAGCAGGTGGTTGGTGGGGAGGGAGCTAGTCTAGTCCAGCCTGTGGCTTTCCTGCCGTTCCTGAGTACCAGGCATCCTGCCTTCAGCTTGGTTGGCTTCCTGGGGTCTTCTCAGAACTGGGGACTCATAGGCTGTCTGGCCCTCAGTTACCCTTCTCCAATACTCTTCTGCCTTCACCACCCACCTCAGACCACCTCCTCCCCCTCCAGATAACCATGCCAGCCCCAGGGACCCTCACCACCACGACCTGCCAGGCCTGCACTTCTGCAAAGCCAAGGCTAGCCCCACCTGCTGGCTTCTCTGAGGGCACTCCCAAGGGTCAGCATCTTGAGCCTAGCTCTCTGGAGCCTGATGAAATTCTCATCTTCTCTCCGTTGCTACTCAATAGCTGAGAGACCAACTCAGAAAAGAATGATTGCCAGATTAGAATGTCAATGCGTTTTAAAATATCTAACCAGTTGTTGAGCCCCTACTGTATACCAGGTACTGGAATAGGCCTTTCTTTTGGGGGTTGTTTTGGTTTTTTTGTTTTTTTTTTTTTTTTTGAGACATAGTCTCGCTCTGTCACGAGGCTGGAGTGCAGTGGCACAATCTCGGCTCACTGCAACCTCCGCCTCCCAGGTTCAACTGATTCTCCTGTCTCAGCCTCCCAAGTAGCTGGGACTACAGGCACCTGCCACCACTTGCATTAGCTCCCTCAGGTCAGTCTTTTTAAACCCCATCTTACCAGTGAGGAAGGAAATGGAAGCTTAGAGAGGTTGAGGAACTTGCGGGCTAATGCATGGAAAAGCCAATCTGACTCTAAAATCCAACTCTTTCCTCTACCCCACATTGTCACACAGTCCAAGCCTCATCACTCGTGAAGGGAAGTAAGTGTTATCAGTGAGAGGAACCTGTGCATCTGTAGGTGGGACACCTCTTTCTGCTAGCAAGATCCCCGGGAACTAAATTATCATCTGAAGGTGAGTGCAGAATAAGAGCCTAGGGAGGCCAGGCATGGCAGTTCACGCCTGTAATCTCAACATTTTGGGAGGCCAGGGTGGGAGGATCGCTTGAGCCCAGGAGTTCCAGACCAGCCTGGGCAACATGGCAAAACCCCACCTCTACAAAAAATACAAACATTAGCCAGGCATGGTGTTGTGCGCCTACAGTCCCACCTACTTGGGATGCTGAGGTGGGAGGATCGCTTGAGCCTGGGAGGCAAAGGTTGCAGTGAGCTGTGATTGCGCCACTGTACTCCTGTCTAGCCTGGGCGAGAGAGTGAGACCATGTCTCAGAAAAAAAAGATAATCTAGTAACCTAGGGAACAGAGCATCTCAAGGCATCCTCCACAAAGCTGTGGCCACATTAGCCTTGGCCCACAACATATTGTGCCATTGCATTCCAGCCTGTGCGACAAAAGCGAGACTCAGTCTCAAAACAACAACAACAACAACAACAACAAAACAGAATTCTATTCTCTAATGGCCTGAATATGGGCATCTACCCTCCCCTCCCCCTTACATAAGGCTGGGTAAACCCTGGCAGGTTTTCTGTTTTGCCTCCTTCCATTAGGGTACCAACCAGCATCATCAGTGGGGAAATAGTCTTTGGAATCCATGAACCTAGGTTCAAATCCCAGCTCTTCCCTTCATTAGCTGTGTGACTTCGGACTCCAGACTTCAGACTTCAGACATAGCTCCCCAGATGTATATGAAACTCACTGCCCAGAGTTCAGTCACTGCTGGTTCCTCTCTTCCTCCTGGCAACGCAGCGTTTTCCCAGGCACGAAACCCACTTTTCTTTTGCCACATTCCAGTCCTGAGGGTTATCTCTGGTCATGTTTATGGGACTTGGGTAATCTTAATCCTCTCCCTCCTAGCCCTCTCTCCCCTTTGCCCTCAATCCAAATAGACATATGATCAGGTCCTGGCCCCAGGCATAGGATAGATATAAAAGGGACCTTGTATCTGAGACTGGGAGCCCGGAGCTCCTTGGGGAGGATTTCTACTTCCCACGGCTCACTAATCGGGCTCTGGGAGTCACATGAGGACTCGTGACCCCTGGGCCCAGATGGTCTTTCATCTCACTGCAGACGGGACAAGCTCCTTGGGACAAAGCAGCTTCACACTGCCTGACTCCAGGCAGCCCCACAGCAGGCTCACCTCACTCTGCCTGAAAGCCATCTTCCTGAAAATTTGGGTGATTTGTGAATTCATAAATTCAATCCTTCTTTATTCCTAATGATTATTGTCCTTTCAAGGGACATTTGTCCTTGGCTTATATCCTCCAGATTGTATCTCCTTAAGTTGCAGGGCTCGCTAATGTCTATTGAGTGTTTGTACTATGCTGAGTGGGATTACATGTGAGTTATTTCATTTCATCCTCATAACAATCTTGGGATGTGAGCACCGTTTCTATCCTCACTCTAAAGACCATAACCATAGCCAGCATTTATACAGCACTATGTCACGGACATCATTCTCTGTGCTTTATGTTTATCAACTCACCCTATCATCACTGCAGTCCTACGGTGTAGATGCCAGTCATCCCCCATTCACTGAGACTGACAGGTTGAGCAAGTGGCACAGGTCACACAACCAGCAAATCAGAGGCTGGAATTCAAGTCTGGGCAGGATGGCTCCCAAGGCTCCTGACCATTCTGATACACTGCCTCCTGTTTTTCCCATAGCATTTCCAGGGATGTCCTAGAAATGGCAAGGGAAGTCCCACTTGCCATTTCAGAAGCCATGGCTACCATTACAAATCAATAGGGTGTGAGCCAGACAAGGCCTGGCTCAGTCACATAGTTTCCTGAGGCGCTGAAGGACAGACCACACTGATTGATTTCTCGGCTGGGTCTTTAAATGTCAGTGTGTGCGTGACCACATCAGACCTTGGGTACAGAAATAAAATGCAGAAGGAAAGGACATTCTAGTGCGTGGGATGAGAGGGAAGCAGGGCAGGAGAAGAGCAACAGCCTGGAGCACACGTGTGCAGGCTGGGTGGGCTTCCTGGGCTGGCGGAAGGGGCCCCATGTACCCAGTGGGGGATGGGAGTGGGGTGAGACCTACACCCTTGACCTTGGACTCCTGTGAAGCTGTTTATGGCCTGACACCAACCCTGGAGAGATGGGTCTTAACCTGATTTAGCTCCCTTATCAGTATTGATTGGCCACTGTTAGGCGCTGCTCATTTGGGCCAGCCTGACTGCCTGAGCACAGATCAACATCCCCAGCGCAGCATGGCAGGGCAAAGGCAGTGCCCTCCTTCCCACCCCCCAGAATTCACCCAGGCCCCCACTGCACACTTCTCTGGGCCTGCCCAGTTCAGTCATTCACTGTTCTAGGATCGGAGGGGACAGGCACACGTGATGGAGACAGAGCAACCTGCCTACTCCCATGCAGCCCGGAAGGGGAGACTGACAGGGTAAGGAAGCCAACAGAAATAGACTCAAGACGAATCTCAGATGTGTTGTGTGCAGGAAAGGAAGAAAATGAGGTAATGTGGGAGAACCCGTAGGGAGGGGACAAGGGAAAGGGGAAGATAGTCCAGGAGAGCCTCTCCAAGGATGTGAGTTTCTAGCAGAATTCTGAGTGATGGGAAAAGGGAGCATTCTGAGAATTGAAGAAAGAGCTCTCCAGGCAGGGGGCACAGCAGAGGCAAAGGACCAGTGGCAGAAGCAGCCTTGGCCTTTCAGACATTGAGTACAGGGAGCAGCAGAGTGGTGGGTGGTGAGAGGAGAGAGGAAGGTGGGGACCAGATGGACCCCCAACCCCTGCCACCCTGTCCCTGTAGGATGGTTCCTTTATAAGCAGCCCAGGTTCATCATTAGGACTTGACATTGGTCCACCTCTTTTTCCCCCTCCCACCCACATCCCTGGACATAGCTTTCGGTTAGCCCCTAGCCCTCACAGTTGTGGTAAAATATTTCAGAGAGTGGCTTGGAATAGTGGCTCATGCCTGTAATCCTAGCACTTTGGGAGGCTGAGGAAGGAGGATCACTTGAGCCAAGGAGTTCAAGACCAGCCTGGGCAACATAGGGAGACTCGTTTCTACAAAAATAATGAAAATATTAGCCAGGCATGGTGGTATGCACCTGTGGTCCTAGCTACTCAGGAGACAGGTGGGAGGATCACTTAAGCCCAGGATGTGGGGCTGCAGTGAGCCGTGACAGCGCCACTATACTCTGGCCTGGGTGATACAGCAGGACCCTGTCCCCCCTCAAAAAAAAAAAAAAAAGATTCCAGAGAGAAGACCCTTACCCAGTCATGCCAAATCCAATATGAGAGGTTAAGGAAGGACCCCAGGGACCACCCAATCCCACCATCTGCCTCCTCTAGTTCTAGCTCATATCACATCCCAGCTGACCACTCACTCATACACGTCTGCCCTGGGCTCCATCTCTGGGCCTCTGCTCCTGCTGGTCCAACATTGATTGGCAATGTCCTTACCCCACATCTCCATGTCGGGAAATCCCTGTCATTTGCCAGCATAAATGATTCCAAATTCTTGAGGGCTTTCCTGACTCCCAGTCACATTCAATCGCAGGTTTGACTTGTTTTAATGCTCCTCAGGCATTTGTTTGAACATCCCTTTGATCTTTCATTTCCTTTTGTCCTACAATGTAGTTTTCTGAATACCCGTCTCTCCCATCATACCACAAAGTCTGTGGAGAGCAAGAATTCAAATGCTGGTTCTGCCATGTCCTGGCTATGAGGTTTTGACAAGGCACTTCACCTTTCCAGATCTTAACTTCCTTTGATTCCCACAGAACTGACCCTGAAACCAGGACATGATATCTGAAGTTTATTGGGAGGTGATTCCAGGAAGTGCTGGCAGGCAAAGTATGAGATGAGACAGGAGCAGGAAAGAACCCCTAATAGGGAGTATTATTCATCAAGTCACCACACTGTGCTATTGAAGTTCAATACTGCTGGGTAACTTTGGGGGACTGCAGAATACCGTTTCCTAACCCGGCTGAACGTTGCACTCATCAGGGAGATTTAAAAAATATGAATGCCTGAGTTCTATCCACAGAGATTCTGACTTAATTGGTCTGGGATATAGGCTGGGCACCAGTATTTTTTTTTACACCCCCAGGTGATCAAATGTGCAGGAAAGTTTGAAATCACTGGTGTAGAATACATCTCAAAGCTGTCCCAGTCAAGAGGTGAAAAACCAGGGTGTTTATCCACCAACTCTCATCCATCTTTGGTTGAGGATGTTTCCAGCGTATTCTGTGAGTGTCCTCGAATGCTACCTTGACCAGAAAACAAAAAGCAAAACAAAACAAAAAACCCATAGATGTTTGCAGTAAGCAGCCTGGGGTATATGAGGGCGAATATGGGAAGTGTGTTAGTGTCTGCTATATCCTTCATCTCTAAGATGGGGGTAATAAATTTGTGAATTTTTGCAAGGATTAGCAAATGTCGGCTAAGTGTCTGGCAGGCACACAATAGGCAGTTACTAAATGTTGTTATTCTGGTTTTTGCTGTGGGTTACTGCTGTATTCCCTTAAGCACCCAACCGGGGGCTTTGTGCCTAGTGGATGCCCAGCAAGTATCAGTCATTCTCTAAGTGCTCCTCTAAAACAACAATGCTGGAAACCTGAAATCAGTGGGGCTGACAAGACACATCACTCAATCCTGTAGTTCTTGAGACTCTGAAACCATGTGTTTCCCTAAGTGATCTGATATTTTTAACCTTGGCTGCACACTGGAATCACCTGAGGACTTGAAAAGAAAATACAAACGCCTGGGTCCCACCCCCAGGGATTCCTGATTTAATTGGTCTGGAGCTAGGTCTGGGCATTTCGGATTTGTAACAGTTCCCCTGGAGATTTTAATGTTGTAGACTTCATGATTAACCAAGGGTGGAGGGATGGGTGGGGGGTTAGGAAATGAGCAGGGAAAGGATAGTTGCATAATTCTTCCCTCTGTTCCATCCCAATCCTCCTCCCATCCCTCCGCTGTGTCTCAGGGCTTCAGAAACTCATTTCTAGCAAAGTGGCTGGAGGCCCTCACAGGCATAACCCCTGCTGCTCCCCGTTCCACAGGGCAGCCACAAACCACCATGCAGGCACCTTCTTGCTCGTCTGACATGTGTCCTCCTCCACATCCTGCTTGCCCGGCCCTAGCACCCACACTGGCTCACTCTGCAGACCCTCACTGAGTGTCTCCCACACATCAGACACTAGGTGAGGCACAGGGACACAGGGATGCTGCAATCCTTACAGTTCCTGCTCTGAGAGGAGAATAATGCACAGAAACCTACATGTTCAGGGCTCCAGTGGAAGTCTGCATCCTTGCTGTGAAGCAGGGGAGGAAAATCATGTTCTCCTGGGCAAGAAGGAGAGTGCCTGGAAAGGTTTTCTAGAAGAGCCTCACTGAGATAGGTAGAAATAAACATCCTATTTTTTTTTTTTTTTTTTGAGATGGAGTCTCACTGTGTCACTCAGGCTGGAGAGTGGTAGCATGATCTCGGCTCACTGCAACTTCTGCCTCCCAGGTTCAAGTGATTCTCCTGCCTCAGCCTCCCAAGTAGCTGGGACTACAGGCATGTGCCACCACGCCTGGCTAATTTTTGTATTTTTAGTAGAGACGGGGTTTCACCATGCTGGCCAGGCTCGTCTTGAACTCCTGACTTTGTGATCCGCCCGCCTCAGCCTCCCAAAGTGCTGGGATTACAGGTGTGAGCCACTGCACCCGGCCAACATCCCTTTTTTATAGATGAGAAATTTAAGTCACCAGGGAGAGAGGCTGATGTCAGAGCCTTTGTGAAGTTCCAGGCAGGGTGCTGGGCACTCTACCCATATCATTAATAACAATAATAATAGCTTGTTCATTTACTGTGTGCCAGGGCCCTTCCAAGTGCTGGTTGAACCCTCACAACACTCCTAGGAAGCAGATGCAATTATGAATATTTCCCCATTGCACAGATGAGGAAACCGAGGCTTGAGGAGGTGAAGTGACTTGCCCAACATCACACAGGAGTAGTGGAGCCAGAATTGTAGCCCAGGCTGTTTGGCTGCTGAACCTCTTCCCTTGACCTTGACATTGACAGCCTCCCATCATTCTGCTCATTCTCATAATCCAATGAATGAAGGAGGCATTAGAAACGTGCTGTTTACAATCAAAGACAATAAAGATCAGCGAGGCCACAGCCACACAGAGGGCAAGCTACAGGCAGTGAGTCCAGTCCTGGCCTGCCTGATTCTGCAAGCCCTCCTTGGTGCTTTGCTCCCATGGTCCAGCTTCCCTTCCATGCCTCCACTCTGTTTGTGTAGCTGCAGGTTCTCCCAAGTATTTCCTCCCCAACTGAAGACCAGGCCCAAGGAGCAGACCCTGCCAGCCGTCAGCTGAGCCTTGCCGGGTCTGGGCTACAGTGGGGCCTCCTTTCCCACAGGCCCCTACAGGAACTCCCACAGTCATCAAGTAGGGGCCCACTCAGCGTAGAACTGACATCGCCAGCCCCACAAGGCTGGTGCCTATTGGCAGGGCCCAAGGATGGCTTGATGTTTCTGCTGGGGTGTCTTGCCGTGTCCCCGTTTTCATCATATTTTTAACCGGGGGTGTGGGGGCGCCAGGAAGTCTGTGATTTGCTGGGGTGAGCACAGCCCGGCCTGTATCCAGCATCCAACATCTCCTTGGTACCCAGCTGGGCAGATACATCAGGACTCTACCCTCTCTCCCCTCCCTGAGCCTTGTCCCTTTGAGAAAGCCCAGGAAGGCAGCTCTGCACGCTGAGAAAACACTTGCTAACCTAAGGGCTTGTAATGAACCAAATTCTGCTGAATTAATTGGATGTCGCTAGCAGTGTCAGGAAGGGGGTTGGGGAGCAGTGGCATCCACCAAGCCTGGGGATGGGAAAGGCGGGGGCAGGACAGCCCACAACACAAAATACTTCTGCACAGCTTGTGCAAGAGAAGAATTCCTCATTGTCAGCTCTTGCCAAAATAGCCAAGGCACCCACTCTCGCCTCAGACAGCACCTCTTTTCTGAAACTGGACTCCCAGCCTGCAGCTTTGAACTTGGGCCTCCAGGTGCATCTGTTCTTGTTCACAGGAGCCATAGCACAGCCTTGATGATAAGAATGAGCCTGAACCAGCCCCCACCGAGCTTCAGGGTCAAATTACAAAGGCATCGGGAGGCTCTATCTCTTGGCTGTACATCCAACTTCCTGCCTTGATGGAGCAGGCAAGTAAAGAACCCCATGCTGGTAATCACATCTAGTTAAGTGTCTGGAGGGACTCAGTGTGTGTGGTCATCAGCTGGTCTCCGCACAGAGGGGGCGCAGAGACAAGAGCAGAGACAAGAGCAACTGCTGGAGGGACCTGAGCCCAGAAGTCTTTTTTTTTTCTTTCTTTTTTTGAGACAGAGTCTCACTCTGTTCCAGGCTGGAATGCAGTGGTGTGATCTCGGCTTACTGCAACCTCTGCCTCCCAGGCTCCAGTGATCCTCCCATCTCAGCCTCCCAAGCAGCTGGGACTACAGGCATGCGCCACCATGCCTGGCTAATTTTTGCATTTTTTGTAGAAACAGTTTTCCCCATATTGCCTAGGCTGGTCTCAAACTCCTGGGCTCAAGTGATCCTCCCCCCTTGGCCTTCAAAGGTGGTTGGGATTGCAGATGTGAGCCAACGTGCCCAGCCTGGAAGTCTTATCCTAGCTTTGCTGTAAGTGGGCTGTGTGACCCTGGATAAGTCACTCCTCTCTCTGAGCCACAGTGTCTTCAACTGAGGGATAAGAGTTGGAATGATCAGTTCATCTTAATCTGTGCATCTCAGACACTGGGAAAAGGCAGGGGTCTTAAGGGCATTGCTAAGGTTTAGAAACTTTGCATGCACTGTACACTGTGTGTGGGTGAGGAAAAAATAGCTCTCATGCTCACATACACTACTATTTTTCAAATGAACATAGAATTGATTGTTTTTAATAAAATAAACATTTGTTTTTAAAGCAGTCACTGAATTCACAGGAATTTTGGTCTTTTTTTTAATGATACTTTATCTTTTTTATTTTTTATTGTGGCAAAATATACATAACATAAAATTGACCATTTTCACCATTTTTATAAGTGTACAGCTCTGGGGCAGTAAGTACATTGACATTGTTGTGCAAGCATCACCACCATCCATCTCTGGGAGCTTTTCATCACCCCAAATGGAAACTCCATACCCATTATACGGTAACTCCCATTCCTTCCTTCCCCACCCGCCGGCCCTGGTAACCACTAATCAATGTTTTCTCAATCAAAAGACACTAAAAATGCAACAACTCTCTCACACGGGGTCCATGGAATAACTTGATGTTGAGAAGAAGTCCTACTTCCCAAAAAGGTAAGACATCCCTGACCTAGAGGTGCTAAGCCCCTTCCCGAACTGACATTGAATGATTCTACTTTTCTAATGGCAGGAAGGAAAAATCAAGCTGTTAATTTTTTTTCCTGGAATGAAGATGAATTTAATTTTTTTTTCCTTTTCATTCAAGATGGGTACCTGGAGGTAGAATCTACAAAAAAAACTTGGAAATGTCAGAGTTGTGGTTTCCTCTAAGGGGCTGGAAATAGCACGAAGAGGCTTGTAGGGAGCAGGAATGTTCTAGATCTTGATCTTCCAGTGGTCACATGGTATGTTCCTATGGAAAAAATTATCAAGCTGGCTAGGTGCAGTGGCTGTGCCTGTAATCCCAGCACTTTAGGAGGCCAAGGCAGGAAGATTGCTTGAGCCCAGGAGTTCAAGACCAGCCTGGGCAACATAGTGAGACCCTGTCTCTATAAAAACTTTAAAAATTAGCTGAGTATGGTGGCCCACACCTGTAGTCCTAGCTACTCAGGAGGCTGAGGTGAGCAGATCACTGTGAACCCAGGAGTTAGAGGCTTCAGTAAGCTACGATCGCACCATTGTACTCCAGCCTGGGTGATAGAGTGAGACCCTGTCTCTTAAAAAAAAAAAAAGAAAAGAAAAATTATCCAGCTGTTTACTTCAGATTTATGCACTTTGTTGGATGCATATTATACCTGCTGTGACACCATTTTTTAAGTGGAGTGAGTCATTCAGTTCAAATGGGTGCAGATAACAACATCACAGTCAGGGAAGGGTCTCACCTTTCCCCTGCCAGTTTGTTATGTAAAGCAAGGCAGAATCTGTTCTGTCCTGAAATAAGGCCAGGTAATGCACCATTTGTTTATTCATTTGTTTAAGAAAACATGTGGAATGTCTTCTATGAGCCAGGTCCTATGCAATGCCCTGGGAATAGAGAGAAGGTCCCGGACCTCACAGAGCTGTATCAGCCGTCACTCTCACTCATCCACCTACAACATGCATGGTCAAGTTCATTTTCACCTCACCTAAACAAGTCCTGCTGAAATCTAAGCTCATTTCCTGTCGCTACTTTCTCAGCAGAGGTCATCTTAAAGACTCTGAGATCATACTGTGAAACTCCGGCCAGATGATCATTAGCAGGGAGTAATCCTCTTTGTCTGGCAAAACCACCTCGATTCTTTTATATACCTGCCCATCTTCAAACCCTCTGGTCAGTGTTGGTTAACACTAACAATGTGCTACTACAATTTACCTGTTTATGTTTCTCTAAGCTAGAACTTCTTGAGGACAAACGCTTGCTTTATTTTTATTATTATTATTATTATTAGAGACAGGGTCTCATTCTGTTGCCCAAGCTAGTGTGCAGTGGAGCAATCACAGCTCACTGCAGCCTCGATTTCCCGGGCTCAAGCAAACCTCCCACCTCAGGCTCTTGAGTAGCTGGGACCACAGGCATGTGCCACCATGCCTGGCTAATTTTTTAATTTTTTGTAGAGATGGGGGTCTCCCTATGTTGCCCAGGCTGGTCGTGAATTCCTGGGCTCAAGCAGTCCTCCTGCCTCAGCCTCCCAAAGCGCTGGGATTCCAGGTGTGAGCCACTGTGCCCAGCCTGTATTAATTTTTGTACTAATTATATTTATTGAACATCAAATAGGTGCATAGAACAGTGCCTGGCACATGGTAGGTCCTCATGAAGTTGACTGAATGAATAAGCAAGTTTATAAGTGAATAAATGGATGGAACAACAATAAGCCCAGAGTAGCTAAATCACAGGCTGAAGGTCACACAGCAATGGCTGGACTGGGAGGGACACCTGTCCCCAGACTTAGGCCTGCCCCTCTTCCCTTGGCAGGCAACAGCCACACTATAAAACTTTCCATCTATTCCTTTGAAGAGGTGGGTTTGATTTATATCAGCCATCAGGCAGCAAAAATATGGGCCTTCAAACTTTTATTGCCTTTTTATTATTCCTGGTGACGCACAGAAATATCATCCAAAACATTAGCAATTACTTTGAAGGTGCGTGTTTCAAAGGCTTGGGGATGGGGTGTTTTCTAATTTGATAAGTCAGGGTGTTTTCTGCCAGGCAGGCCCAGGGGCATCGGCAGGACTGGAGCTGATTCAAAGGCAGAATTGATCTTTCAAGCCTCATTTTCATTTCCATTAGCACCCTATCAGACACCTTATCCCTGAGCCAGTTCCTATCCATGTATAATTTATACATTTGATTTCAATAGATTAATCTCTGCCTCTTTCACAGGAGAGTACAGCAGAGACGGTTCTCTCTCTCGTTTTCCATAGGGAGAGTAATCATATATATTTCCATAGATCTCAATCCGTTTCCACCTAGAGAATTTCTTTTAAGATTAATTCCAAACTCACTGTCATATTTATTTAGTTTTTAGGACTGGGTGGAACTGTGGGTACGTGTGATAATTTCTGTTTATGTAGGAGGTGGGCTTATTCCAGGCATACCAGGGAGGAGACCAGCCTATCTCCTCCTGGTGCTTAGGAATGGCCATCCACTTTGGGGGTGAAACAGGGATGTAGGGAGAAGACTAAAGCCACCCTCCCCTGGAGCTAGGGTCAGCGCCCACTGACCTCTGACCCAAGTGTAGCCCTCCATCCCCTGAGCTCCAGGGCTTCTGGAAGAACACCAGAATAGCACAAGACAAAGATAAGATACTCTTTCCAAAACCTACCACATTTCCACAATCCAAGGCTCTCTTATTTCTCCCTTTCTCCATTTTTCTTCCCAGTGCCCTCTGGATTCCAGAGTCCAATTTTGGAATCACAGTTTTCAGAACTCTCTTGGGCGGGGCACTGTGTGTAGCTCAAACCTGTAATCCCAGCACTCTGGAAGGCTAAGGTGGAAGGATCACTTGAACCTAGGAGTTCAGAACCATCCTGGGCAACATAGTGAGACCCCATCTCTACAAAAAAATTTAAAAAATTAGCCAGGCACAGTGGATTGCTTCTGTAGTCCCAGCTACTCAGGAGGCTGAGGCAGGAGGATTACCTGAGCCCAGGAGTTTAACGCTTCAGTGAGCTATGATGGTGCCACTGCACTCCAGCCTGGGTGACAGAGTGAGACCCTATCTCAAATAAATAAATAAATTAAAAAATATTAAGTACATAACTTTTTAGAAAATACAAATTGCCTATCTGATTTGGTGTAGTTGACAAATTAAAAAAAAAAATACAAGCCAGGCACAGTGGCTCATGCCCATAACCCCATACTTTGGGAGATTGAGGCAGGGGATCACTTGAAGCCAGGAGTTTAAGACCGGTCCGGGCAACAAAGTGAGACCCCCATCTCTATAAAAAAATTTTTTTTAAATTAGCCAGTCACAGTGGCATGCACCTGTAGTCCCAGCTTCTCAGGAGGCTGAGTCAGGAGGATAGCTTGAGCCCAAGAGTTCAAGGCTGCAGTAAGCTATAATCATGCCACTGTACCACTCCAGCTATTTGGGAGGCTGAGGCAGGAGGATCATTTATTTGAGCTCAGGAGTTTGAGGCTGCAGTGGGCTATGATGGTATCACTGCACTCCAACCTGGGCAACAGAGCGAGACCCCGTCCCAAAAAAAGAAGAAAAAAGAACTACCTTGGCAGTGATTGAACTCCCTCTCCCCATTCCTTATAGCCAAAGCCTCTTCTCAAGAACCCTGTGTTTCTCTGTTTATGGGCAATTTCACCCCCTGAGAGTCAAGCCACAAGCCTTCCTGCTGGAAGTTCTTCCTGGTTGGGCAGCATGGCAGATTGTATTTTCCAAGATGGCTGCAAAAAGATATCCCATCCCACAGGTCCTTACAACGTGACACTGATAATTCTCCGATTGAGAAATGGGGTCTACATTTCCTCCAGTTGAATCTAGGCAGACTTGTGGCTATGGCAGAAGTAACGTTTTTGCTCCTGCATGCTTATTTTAGAACTCTTGTTCTTGGAGCCCAGCTGCCATGCTGTAAGGAAATCCAGACCACACAGAGAGGCTACATGTAAGTGTCTGGGCAACAGCCGCGACTAAGGTGCTTGCAAACAGCCAACATCAATGTCAGTCATGTGAATGAGGAAACCTTTGGAATGACTCCAGCTCCAGCAAACATCTGATTCTAACAAAGACCAAGAGATCATGAGCAAGAATCACTTAGTGAACCCCTACAGAACCATGAGAGATAATAATAGAATGATTATTGTTGTCATTGTTGTTTTTGAGACAGGGTCTTGCTCTGTCGCCCAGGTTGGAGTGCAGTGATGCAATCATGGCTCACTGCAGCCTGAACTTCCCCGGCTCCAGTGATCCTCCCACCTCAGCCTCCCAAGTAGCTGAGACTACAAGCACATGCCACAACACGGCTGATATTTTTGTTTTTTGCAGAGATGGGGTCTCACTCTGTTGCTCTGGCTGGTCTTGAACTCCTGGGCTCAAGTGATCCTCTTGCCTTAGCCTCCCAAAGTGCTGGGATTATAGGCATGAGCCACTGTGCCTGGCCTGATTGTTATTGCTTTAAGCTGCTAATTTTGGGGGTGCTTCATTTTGCATCAATAGATACTGAAACAGGCATGGTTAGCAGAGCAATTGGAGATAAAAGTGAGCCTCTGGCAGCTTCCCCCTCTCCAGCTTAAAAGACATCCCACATTTATACAAAATCACATGCAAATGAGTACTGAGAGCCTCAGGTCCTCCCTCCCTCAGCAAACATTTGGAAAGGAGAAGATGGGAAAGGAAGAGAGACAATATTCATTGCATGCCTGTCATATACCAAGTAGGTGTCTTCTAACCCATTATACAGCTAAAGAAACTGAAGTCCAGGGAAGTTAAGTAACTTAACCAAGCCCATACTGCTAGCAAGTGTGCTGTCTGTGAAGTGGGGCCTGCATAAGTCGCCCATGGACTGAGACACATGTGGAGGGAAGCGGTGCTCAATAAGTATTAGTGGAATGAATGAAAAAATAAATGAATGCACACCCCCAGTCTTCTCTTTGTAGCCTTTCTTTTTCCAGTGGCTCAGAGGGAGAACCCACCCAGTTTGCTTTTCTCATGAAGGGCAAGAGGAGGAAGGAGGTGGCTGTTGGCTGAGTCCAAGACCCCCTGTTGCTGGGCTCCTGCAGATAGGGTGGCCTTCTCTGCCAGCTGGGAGTTGCCATTCTGTTGTTTCTCTCCAGTCATGGGCTCAGGGCTACCTCCTCTGGTCTCAGTCCTCTTTCGGGTGCAGCTCCCCGCCTGAGCTTCAGGCCCATCTCAGCCCATCTTTCCTGCATGTGCAGCCTCTGGTGTCAGTTCCTGGGGCAGAATCAATGCCAGAGTGATTGCCACCACAGAAAGGTAGCCAGGCAGGGCCAGCAGCTCCTTCTTGCACCCTTGTCCTCTCCAAGCACAACTGGGATCAGAAATAACCTTCTCCCTTGCCAAGGCATTTGAGGAGGACTGCAGGCCCTGCAGCTATAATGTCTTTCTCTTGTTCTTTTTTTTTTTTTTTTAACCCAGCAAATCATATTTTCCCAGGAAAGAAGGAGAAGAAAGCAAGCATGGAGAGGGGAGGAATTTACACCAACCAAACACCTTCCACATCCCAGGCACTGTTAATGTGTATTCATTATCTCATTTAATCCTCCTAATAATGCTGTGAGGTACATATTATTATTATCCCTGTTTTACAGATGAGGACACGGAGACTCAGAGAGGGTAAGACAGTTTCTCAAAGTTACACAGAGTAACTAATGGGAGTTAGGGTGAGGTTTCAAGCCCAGCCGAGCCTGTATGGCTCTAAAGCCAATGCTGTTTTCACTATAAGCTTTTTCCTTTTTCTCTTTCCTAGGAAGCAGAATCCTCTTGCCCCTGGAGCCTATGGGGCCATCACAGGGCCAGGAGGTAACCTGATCTCCATCACCCAAGTATCATGCACGGAGCTGGGGCAAAACTCTGTCAAAGATCACAAACAAATTACTCAGTCAAATGTATCCGAGCCACCTCTGGTTCCTCACTTTTGTGTACAAGACAATTGAACTTCTGATATTTGGTTCTGGCCCACTCAGCACTTCAGAGCCTTCAGCCGACCATAACCCTGCCTCCCAGAGCTTAGATCAAGCCAAATAAGGAGCTCTACTCCTTTCCCATATATCTGACCTAGCCCATCACTGAATTCCATTTCTGCTAAATACCGTGATAGCACAGTGGGTCAGCACCCAAGTTCTGGAGCTACACTACCTGGGTTCAAATTCTGGTTCTTAATACTAATAGGACCTCTAGCAAGTTATTCGACCTGTGCCTTGGCTTAGTTTTCCCACGTGCAAAATGGGGTTAATAAAAACACCCAACAAATAAAGTTGCAAGGACTCAGTGAATTAGTACGCAGAAGGGCTCATCATATTGTAAGTTGGCTATTGGTGCTATTTCTGGTTTGATCTAAACACTCTCCACACCCAGAAAGAACACATCCCAGGGCTTGCAGCAGCTCACACTGCAGACCACACTAAACAGCCCTCCCAACCCCTCTTCTCACCTATCACCTCTCAGAGAACCAGCTAGAGACTGGCCTGGAAGCCGTTCAACATAGACAAGGATGCTCTTTGAAGCTGGCTGGGTATGGCCTTAAATAACTCACAAGCCAGCTACCTCCTCTGTTTTCCCTCATGCCGCACAAATGGCTTCACTAACTTCAGGCCTCACTTTGAACCCTCACATCATTTCCTGACATTGCTGGTGCCTGGCCTGGAGGCAGCACCTTACACAGTAAGGAAAAGCAGCTGCTCATTACCTCGCCTCCCCACCTCCATTAGGATAAAAATCACCTCCCAAGATGGGACTCTACAGCCAGAGGGTGAATTGGTGACCTCATTGCTCGGCTCACTAGGTTCCAGGCATCCCTAAATGCCAGTGATCTTTCCTTTCCCTCTGATGTGTCGATGCCAGCCTTTCAGTGGCCAGGATCCCTCCCCTGGCCCCCAGCCTGGTTGTAGAACCACCCTGGCGTGTCAAAGGACTCTGGATTCCAAATGGCATGTTTAGAAGTGTGTTTACTGCCTGTGTTCGTGGTTTTCTACCATCAGGACACCGACTGTTGAAAGCAAAGTTCAAGCCAGGTTGGTGCAAGTTGCAGAAGCAGAAAAAGGATTCTACGCTACGCCTCTCTCCTTCCTTCAACTCAGCTATCCTGGACGCACTAATGTAATGCCATTGTGTTAGTCTGTTTGGGTGGCTATAACAAAATACCACAGACTGCGTGGCTTATAAGCAACAGAAATGTCTTTCCCACAGTTTTGGAATCTGGGAAGTATGAGATCAAGGTGCCAGCAGATTCAGTCTCTGGTAAGGGCCTGCTTCCTGGTTCACAGATGGCAGCTTCTCACTGTGTCCTCACATGGTGGAAGGGGCAGGGGTTCTCTCTCAGGCCTCTTTTATAAGGGCACAAATCCCATTCATAAGGGCTCCACCCCAGTGACCTTATCACTCCTCAAAAGTCCCACCTCCTAATAACATCACCTTGGGGGCCAGGATATCAAAATAGAAATTTTAGAGGAACACAAACATTGAGACAATAGCACTCCATTTATCCACCTGTCCACTTGTCCATGTTCACTGTGCACAGCATTTCCTGGCCCCTCCTCTCCACTGACATATCTTTGTTTCTATATCAGAATTTTTTAAAAAGACATTCAGTAAGCTTCTGATTTGAAGCAGGCCATGTGCTGTTTGGTATGTATTGTCTCAATTACTCCTCACAAATACCTTGGGAGGTAGGTATTTTATATATATATATTTTATGTTTTAAAAATTTTATTTATTCATTCATTTATTTATTTGAGACTGAGTCTCGCTCTGTCGCCCAGGCTGGAGTGCAGTGGTGTGATCTCGGCTCACTGCAACCTCCACCTCCTGGGTTCAAGCCATTCTCCTGCCTCAGCCTCCTGAGTAGCTGGGACCACAGGCACCCACCACCATGCCTGGCTAATGTTTGTATTTTTAGTAGAGACGGGGTTTCGCCACGTTGAACAGGCTGGTCTTAAACTCCTGACCTTGTGATCCACCCACCTCAGCCTCCCAAAGTACTGAATTACAAACATGAATCACTGTGCCCTGCCACGTATATATTTTAACATAGGGTCTTGCTCTGTTACCCAGGCTGAAGTGTATTGGCACTAACACAGCTCACTGCAGCCTCCACCTCCCCAGCTCAAGAGATCCTCCTGCCTCAGCCTCCTGAGTAGCTGAGACTACAGGTGTGCACTACCATGCCTGGTTACTTTTTTTTTTTTTTTTTTTTTGTGCAGAGATGGGTTCTCCCTATGTTGCCCAGGCTGGAATACTATTATTAACCCCATTTTATAGACCCAGAAACTGAGCCTCAGAATGGTTATGAAACTTACCTGGATTCCACATCCAATGAACAGCCACACTGGGATTTAGATGAGGTCTAGCGAACTTTAGAACCCAGTTTTGTTTTGTTTTTTTTTTGAGACGGAGTTTCGTTCTTGTGCCCAGGCTGGAGTGCAATGGCGCAACCTCGGCTCACCGCAACCTCCGCCTCCCAGGTTTAAGTGATTCTCCTGCCTCAGCCTCCTGAGTAGCTGGGATTACAGGTATGCGCCACCACACCTGGCTAATTTTGTATTTTTAGTAGAGATGGGGTTTCTCCATGTTGGTTAGGCTGGTCTCGAACTCCTGACCTCAGGTGATCCACCTGCCTCAGCCTCCCAAAGTGCGGGGATTACTAAGAACTAAGTCTTGTTTTTTGTGTGTTTTGATTTGATTTGATTTGATTTGGGTTTTGTAGAGGCAAGATCTCCCTATGTTGCTGAAGCTAGTACTGAATTCCTGGACTCAAGCAATCCTCCTGCCTCGGTGAGGTCTTATTTTAATAACAGCAGGTCTGGGTCCCTAAAGGACTCTCTGTGACATATGCAGTGATTGGTGTTGCAAGAAACACCAAAGGTAAAGGCTTAGAGTAGCCCCATGAATAGCCAGATTCAAACTCCAACATCCTGGTACCAGGATCTGAGCACTCAACCTGGTCACATAAACTCGGCATGCAAGAGAGAATCAGACAGTGTTTCCCAAAGTGTGTTCTATGGAACCCTCCCCCCAACCTTCTTTTGTTACACCAAAAGAAGGGTTCCACAGTCCAACAGGTTTGGGAAACATTATATATTCTGATTCCTATCTAAAGATTTATAACACTCGTTAGCAATTTTTTTTTTTTTTTTTGAGATGGAGTCTCACTGTCGCCCAGGCTGGAATGCAGTGGCGTGATCTCGGCTCACCGCAAGCTCCGCTTCCCGGGTTCACACCATTCTCCTGCCTCAGCCTCCCGTGTAGCTGGGACTACAGGCACCCACAACCACACCCGGCTAATTTTTTTGTATTTTTAGTAGAGACGGGATTTCACCGTGTTAGCCAGGATGGTCTTGATCTCCTGACCTCGTGATCTGCCTGTCTCGGCCTCCCAAAGTGTGGTTAGCACATTTTTAGTATGAGGATTTTAAGTATCTTTCAGTAAAGAGATCTGTTTGCCTTTATCTATATCAATGTTTCTCCAGTTTATATAATCCCTGAACCCTTTTATCCTTTTTAGTTTCCGTGGAGTCAATGTTCTGTGGAATAGAGTTTGGGAAACACTGTTTTGGTATCTCTACCCTTGCCTGAATTGGGCCAGGTGTGTCTGCAGATCACCAGCCTGCCAGCTATAACCACCCACTCCATAGGTGGTACCAACAAGGTCAGCAGCATGCAGCTTGGGCCCATGGATCAGAGATTACACTCCTATTACTGGCAGGGGCCCATCTAACCCCTGGAGCCTGCAGCCAACTGCCAACCCAGCCCAAAGCTGACCTCGCTTGACTTGATTCCTTATCTTCAGGCACTCTCTGCCTCCCTGGGCTCCCATCAGAACAGCCCAGAAAGCTGCACGCCTGCTTCCTGCCAGAGAGGACATGCTAGATAGAGAGAGCTGGGGTGACAAGCCCAGCTGGAAAGCAAAGTACTTCCCAAAGCAGCACTTAGCAGGGCCATGTGCTGGGGAATCAGCCTTTGCTTGAGCAGAGGCATCCAACAGCTTGCAAGGCAAAGAAACAAACAGCTCCCAAGCACAAAACGCCTTCACAAATGTACGGCGTGTGAAAGAACCCACCTGTCTCTCTGCCACCCCACCCACCCAGGTAACACCCAAAGCAGCAGCAGCAACTGCGGCCGCCTCCACCCGCAACAGCCAAAGTCATGTGAATGCCAAGAGCCTTTGCTTGTCAGCTCCTAAGGACATTTGGCCTAGCACAAAGCCCAGGACAAGAGATCAAGAAATAGTTATGGATGCAAGGGGCCTAGGACAGGGTGAGGTGGATGTGGAAGTGCCTGTGAAATCAATACAGCCTTCTACTTCCTCTTGAAATTTGCTTTCTCGAGCCTCTTTTTAAAGGACCTGGTATTGTCCTTGACTAAGGATCCTGTATGCACAAAGGTATCTAAAACCACGGCCAGCCTAAGGCATTGCTGATTGAGTCCACATGTGTGTATATTTTATTGTTGGGTACATATAGGTTTATGTGAATGGGGGGAGTCGAAAACACAGGAAAAACCAAAATGCAAGGGGTATTAGACAGCATTGCCTGAAAAAGACACTCATTTTCCATGATTGATGATCAAGGTTGGTATCAATGACTGCTTGCGTTTCCCATCTCCACTGCACCCCTGAATAGATGCCCCTTACCATGAAATTTATAGCCCTTTGCTTGAAATGCTATACTCTACAGTAAGCTAGGACCAAAATAATAACTAGAGGGCAAAGCAATTAACCATTTCCCCAGGCTGAAGTTTCATCCTCTTACTGCCTTGATAATTTACTCTGCAAAGTGGCAGGCACCTGGCTCAGAGTCACTCTCCAAATCTATTCAAAAGTCCCTGAATTCTGCTGAGTTTGGTTTCACTGTATGAACAGGACCAAAAACAATAAGGTCTTTGACACCTTATTATAATTATATTATAATACTAAGTTGTATTATAATTATAACACAACTTAGTTTTCCTCCAAAGCTTCCATTTGCTGGGATGCTAGGAGACAGCATGAGCAGTTTTACTGTTTTCATGGAAGCCTTTGGGGGAGCGGACCAAAAATTACATCACTGTGTGCCATTCCTTCGCCACCACATCTTCCTATTTCCACAGAGATCTTGGGGCTCTCAGGCCCCCAGCCTCAGGGTTCTCATGGAAAAGTTGTGGCCATTCTGAACTTTCAGGGGAAATACAAGAAATGGGAACACCAAGACAAAAGGCAGCCAAAATTATATCACAATCTGTCCAATTCTGAACCTATGATCTTATCATCTGCTCTGACCTCTCCTCGCCCCCAACTGCATCTCCTCCTGTCTCCTATTCAGTGAATGGTTCCACCATCTGCCACTGGCTCAAGTCACAAATATGGGGGTTATCTGGGACTTACCCATTTCCCTCATCACCACCCCCATGCCGTATTCAATCAGTCTCTTAAGCTCTGTCACCCTCTTTTCTCCAGCTTCACTGCCATCACTTTTGTTCAGACCACCGTCTTCTTTCCCCTGGTTGAACAAGAGCCTAAGTGTCTCCCTTGCTTTTAGTCTTGCTCCCCTCTGTCTATTCTCCACACTACGGTGCCACAATGACCTTTCTGAAAAACAAATAGAATCATGTCACTGCTGTACTTAAAACCCCTCAGAAACCACTTGTGTTCACCAGGATAAAATTCTAACCCCAACCTTGGTACCCAAGGTCTTTCATGTTGGCTCCCAGGCCACCTCCCCCAGCCTCTTTTCTCACCACTCTCCCCTTCTCTTACCAAATACTAAACTACTACTAGTTCTCAGGACACGCCATGCTCTTTCATGCCTCTAGTCCTTGCACATACTATTTCCACATTCTGGAACAATTTTTCATCTTCTTTCTCCTGGCTAAGTCCTACGCATTCTCCAAGAATCAGCTAATGCATATCTTCCTCTAGAAAACTTTCTGAAGAGGCAAAAAGCCCCTCCTGCCTCCTTACTGTCCCCAAGCTCTTGCATAAAAACATGCTGTTCCTTCTGTCTTATTCTTATCCTTCTTAAATGTGGCAGGAGGTGAAGCAGACTCCTGAGCAATTCCTAACCCATAGCACCTGAGGGACTATCTCCCTAGCCTCCCTTTCCTCTTTCCTAACAGAACCCCAATGTCTTCGGATATCCACCCTCACCCAAATAGCCCCATGCCTCAGGGAAAGCTGACCTTGCCACACTGATTGGGCTGGGGGAAGGGGAATATATATCTCATTTTTCTTCACAATGATTGGCTCAAGAATGTCATGTGACCCAATTCTGGCCAATGAGTTATGACATTTCTTGTCTCTTAAGAGAGAGTCACTGGAGGAGACCAGGTGTGGTGAGTAGATCATGCCGGTAATCTCAGCACTTTGGGAGGCCGAGGCAGGAGAATTGCTTGAGCCTAGGAGTTCAAGACCAGCCTGGGCAACAAGGCAAAACACCATCACAACAAAATTAAAAAATTAGCCAGGTGTGGTGACACACACCTCTGGTCCCAACTACTCGGAAGACTGAGGTAGGAGGATCGCTTGAGCCCAGGAGGTTGAGGCTGCAATGAGCCAAGATCCACATCACTGCACTCCAGCCACCTGGGTGACACAGTGAGACCCTGTCTCAAAAAAAAAAAAAAAAAAAGAAGGCCGGGTGTGGTGGCTCATGCCTATGATCCCAGCGCTTTGGGAGGCTGAGGTCAGGAGTTTGAGACCAGACTGACCAACCTGGAGAAAGCCCATTTCTACTAAAAATACAAAATTAGCTGGGCGTGGTCGTGCATGTCTGTAGTCCCAGCTACTTGGGAGGCTGAGGCAGGAGAATTGCTTGAACCCAGGAGGCGGAGGTTGCAGTGAGCTGAGATCGTGCCATTGCACTCCAGCCTGGGCAGCAAGAGCAAAACTCCTTCTCAAAAAAAAAAAAAAAAAAAAAAAAAAGAGAGAGTCACTGCAGGAGATGGCCTGTCTTCTTCCTCTACATCAAGAATTCTTAGCCTTTTTTTGGTGGGGGGGTGGTGCCAGGATCCCTTTTGTGGTAAGATGAATTCCGTGAACTGCTTCTTAGAATAATATTTTAAAATATATAAAATAAATTACATGTAAACAATTATAATTTAACCACGTATTAAAATATTAAAACAATATATTTGTGGTGTAATAATATATGTGATACTTTATTAACACATTCAATATCAATATTTAATGGCAGGTCTAATAACTACTACAATTTCAAAGTGGGATTGAGTATAAATGATATTTTATGATATATTTGTAATTGTAATGTTATATGAAAATACATATGATTTCTTTTGGTGGCAAAGCCACAGTACACTACTACCACTATAGATGTTGCCTGCATCCATAATTGAAGAAAATGCCACATTTCAGTTAGAGGTTAGTGGTGTAATTCTTTCTCCCACTCAGGTTCGTGGCTCTCCGGGTTTGTCTGTGGAGCCCAGGTAAGAGCTCCCTGCTCTGGACTTTGTACTCTCTGGCTGTGATGGCTGGAACCACTGCAGCCATCTTGCCAGCAACTGGAGGGTGGACCACTATGGCGTTGGCATACCGGAAAGATGAAAAGAACCTGGGTCCTTGATACCATTGCTGGGCCTCTAAACCAACCAGCCCCAAAGCCTATTGACTTCAGTTATGGAAAATAATAAAATGACTTATTGTTTAAGCCCATTTGACCCAGGATTTCTATGGATTCAGCTAATTTACAGAGAAGGAAGAAGGTTTAACTTTATGTCAGAGTCAGTGTCAAAAGACAGAACAAATGGAGCACCTACACCGAGCTCACAATCCAAGTAGAAAGCCCCTTTCCTGACGGAAAGCAATTTAAACTGCCTCTGCTATATTCACAGTGCAGGAGAATACCGATTGCACAAAGACAACGTATGCTCTGAGCCCTGGAGTCAGTGAGACTTCTGGGAGCACCTGTACCTTACCATCATCTTGCAAGCGCATTGGATGGAGGTGAACCCTTGCACAAGGACAGATTGATGAAAACTCTTTCCTAACCACTGTACTTTGAGCACACCTGGAAGCAGTAACAAGCATTCTGAACATGAAAGCTTACACTCTATTGCCCACAGCATGGGGCAAGAACAATGTGGGATACATCCAAAAGCAGTGCTGCTCAAACTATAGTCCTCAGAAAGGAACATCAAACCTGATGATGCGTCTGAAACAGGCACCAGAAACATCAGGAACAGATTGCTGGGCCCTATCCTCAGAGGTTCTGATTCAGCAGGTTGGCAGCAAGCCCTAAAATGTGCATTTCCAAAAAAACTTAGTGTTATGATGAGGTTTTTGGTCCAAGGATCACACTTTAAGAAGCACTGTCCTAGAGGATCCACAGAGGCCCAGAATGACTCCCTCAGCCACATGGCTAATCATATCACTTAAGGAATAGGATCTGGCTTTACAAATTTATTAGGAGTCTGGTGCAGAGGCTGGTGCCTATAATCCCAGCTACTCAAGAGTTCGAGATGAGCCTGGGCAACATAGAGAGACCCTGCCCCCCAGCTCTTAAAAAACAAAGTTCATTAGGTATTAGTAGGCTGAAAAATTGATCTGGTTATCTAGTTCTCTTTGCCAAGTTTGTTTTGAGCCAGGCACAACTCTGCTTGACAGTGGAGTGCTGGAGCTAGCTGATACCAGCTCGAAAGAGCTAATTGTTAAATTTTCAGGAATTTTGCAAGCTGGTTATTATACACAGCCATCATTACAAATTAATTATATACACTTTTAACAAAATAAATTACATTAAAAACAAAGATACTTAGTACTCCTCACTTCCTAATTATTTTACTATATTTTATTATCATCTCTGCTCTTAAGGTTATTTACATCTACTGTATGTATGTGATGAAAAGATTATATGATGGTGTATCTCCTCTTCCCCACTCTACATTCGATGACTCACCACTGGTAGGTTGGAATCAGCCACGGTGGAATTTACACCATGGAAATTGTTGATTGTATTGATTTCAGATAATGATGGAGAAAATGTTAATACTGCAGATTAAACTTAAAATCATGTTGTGTCTGTAACTGTTACACTGTGACTAGTACCAAAAAATCAAGGCAATATTCTTCCAGCATTCAAATACTACCACCTGATTCAGCAAAGAAGTCACTATGTCATTGACTAACAAATGAAATTCTGATACACGTTTGTTGTTTTTCTTTCATTTGACTCCTTAATGGAAATGAAACTATCAACTGACATTCCTGTTGGAATTATCCTCATTTGTTAATGATGTGAGTTCTTCTTTGGCAAATTGGATAGCATTGATTCATAGTCTGATTTTGTCAAATCATGGTTGAATTGAAACCATAGTTATGGCTGGGGAAACAAGATTTCAACAAAGGTCAACAAAAGCACTGTGAGAATCAGTTGGCTGTGTGAAATTTACAATAAAGCATTGTATAGTTTACTCTTCTTTGTAATTTGGGTGCTTCACATCTGTATTAGTCAGATCAGACGGCCATAACGAAATATTATACCATGGATTGGGTAGCTTAAACAAGAAAAAGTTATTTTCTCACAATTCTGGAGACCAGAAGTCCAAGATCAAGGTTTCAGCCAATTTGGTTTGTGGTGAGGGTTCTCTTCCCAGCTGGTAGATGGGCCGCTTTCTCTTTTGTCCTCAAGTAGCCTTTCCTCAGTGTGCATACGCTTGCACATGGGCAGAGAGACCCAGCTCTCTGGAGTCTCTCCTTATAAGGACACTAATCCTTTCAGATTAGGGCCTCACCCTTATAACCTTATTTAACCTTAATTACTTCCTTAAAGTCCTCATCTCTGAATATAGCCACATCGGGGGATAGGGCTTCAACATAAGAATTGGTTGAGGGGGCAGCAGATACAAACATTCAGTCAATAGCAACATCCTTTCTCTCTGTAAAATATCTAAAAATTTATAATAAACAAATGATACAAAAGTTATAATAAACATTTTTTTCTGGAGAGCCAGTTTTAAAATATTAATGATCACCATCTTTTAGTCATCTTTATTTTCTGGACAGGGTAGGTCCTAGCTGATTATTAGGGGGAGGATTCCATTGCCCAGAGTGAGCAAAACTGGATGAGCAACTCCCTGGCAGAATTCTGTCTTACCAGGCTGATTTTGTTCGAATGTGCTGCCTGTAACAATAGTATCTTTCCCACGCTTGTAATTCGTCCTCCTGCGAGTAGCTTGGTGTACTTCCCTAGGCAGAGAGTTGTCCTGAAAGTGGCCAAACTTGCTGACCCAGGGCCACACCAACCCTCCCAATTGCTCACAGTCTGTCCCTCTTTCCTTACAAGTTTACCAGGGCACGAAAAGCAGGCAACTTCCTACTGAATCTCTCCACCAGAACAGGACTGGGGAAGGGACCTCCCTTTCTCATCAGAGGTCCAAGGCAGCAGTACAGCATGCTAATACCCAGAGGCAGGCAGTGCTACAGTTGGGCAGTCTGGTCAGTGGTGACAGTGCAGGCCACACAAGGCCTTGAGTTGGAGGAGCAGAGGGTCTTTCCAGAGCAGTGGAGATGATGTAGGACTGGACTTATTCACAAACTCGATGACTCTCAGATATGCTGGAGAGGAGAGATCAAGTCCTGCAGTTGCTCAGGTAGGGCTATCCAGCAGCAACTTTCTGATCTAACTATTTATGAGATCTCATTTGCACCTCATTTGTCAAGCTTCACCTTCATTCTGCAGATGAGAAAGCTCATTTTAGGAGAGGAGATGACTCAGCCAAAGAGGTCACATGGTGAATCAGGGTCCAGTGGTGTGGATGTGTCTGTTTCATTCAGCCTCTGCTCTGGGCAAGCTTTCTCCTTTAAATGAGCAGAGGAAGCATCAGCTCCGTGCATAGAAACATGCAGAGCCAGCTGGCATGTCTGCGAATCTGCATCTGTGCTTCTCCCAGACCTTTCAAAGGTTCTGGGGATGAGAGTGCAGGGTGAAGGCACTCCAGAAGGACTATGCTGGTAACTTGCCCAATGGCCCACTGTCATCGCCTTGACTCATCACCCACCTGTTTCATTTGTCTCTGTCTGGGAGCTTAACTAGAGTCCAAGTTCCTATAGGCAGGGAACATGATATGCATGGGCTCCTGAGCCAGAACTGTGTTCAAATATTGATGCTGCCACTTACTAGCTATGCCACTGGGCAAGTCCATTAAATGGAAAAGGAAAGATGCAAAAATTCGTTGAGGGCCAGGATGTGGTAGCTCACACCTGTAATCACAGTGCTTTGCGAGGCCAAGGATTGGCCTCCCAGATTGAATTCCAGATTGCTGAGGCCAGGAGTTCAAGACAAGTCCTGCAATATAGCAAGACCTGTCTCTACAAAGAATAAACAAAAAATTAGCTGTGCATGGTGGCACGTGCCTGTAATCTCAGCTGCTTGGGAGGCTGAGGCAGGAGGATCCCTTGAGCCCAAGAGTTTGAGGTTACAGTGAGCCATGACTGCACCACTGCACTCCAGCCTGGGTGACAGAGCAAGACCCTGTCTCTAAAAAAAAATTTTGTAACATAATGAATGCCTTTTATAAGTTAGGATTTGTTTTACTTGTAAATGACTGAAACCCAACTCAAACAGGATTAAGCAAAAAAAAAAAAAAAACAGTTTATCGTTTCAGCAATCAAATGATCCTGGAATAGACCTTATAGGCTTCTGGTGAGGCTTGAGACCTTGTAGACTTCCAGGGGGCTGAGCAATGTCCTCAGGACCCATTTTTGCTCTCTCCATCTCTAGCCTCCACTTTTTCGGTGTTGGCTCCATTGTGGGCTTTCTACTCAGGGTAGAAAGGTGGCTGCCTAATCTCCAGTTGTGTATACATGTGCTGCATATACCAACTGTCAAGCTCCCATCCACTGGTAAGGAAAACCAGTCTCTTCCCCCAAAACACTCACACAAATCCTAGGCTTCACTTTGGACCAATCTAGGTCATGAGTTGCACCCCTGAACCAACGGCTGTGGCTAGGGGAATCCAGAGCACTGGTCAGCCACGCTTGAGTCACTTGCTCACCCCCTGGAGTGAAAATGAAGCCTGGTCCAGAGCTCACAAACTACAAATGCGGTATGGAGAGGTTTCACAAAGAAAAAGAAAGAAACTATTACTGAAATAAGGTACAATGGATTCTGGGTAGCCAAAAAGACAACAAATGTCTGCCACACCTACTATCTACCATGCTCCTGGTACTTTTTTTTTTCATTAAACTCTTGCAATGGTATAACTTAACCTTTCAGAATCACAGTTTCCCCTTTTTAAAATGAAGATAATGATACCTAATAAGACTAGCTACTACTTATCTGGTACTTTCTAGGCACTGGGCTAAATGCTTTATGTATTCCAACTCATGTAATTATTTATATCATAAGATTATTGTTGGAAATAAATTAAAATAGATGACATAAAATGTCCTAGGCATAATACCTGATACATAATAGGTGATAAATGTTTAAATGCATTTTATTTTATCAGTCACTCAAGCACAGTATTAAGCACCTAACAGATGCTTATTTTAAAAGATGAACAAATTAATCTATGTATGAAATTATTTCTGCATTTACTTATTTATACTCTACCTAGTTGCACAAAGGATTTGATATACAGGATATGCATTCGATAATATAGCACAATATAAACAGGTAAATAAAATCAGGACCAAGGAATGTGTGAATTAGAATAGAATAATAAGATAAGGGGAAAAATAAAATGCATTAATGGATGTCATGGATTTAGTTTTTGAATTTGAGGCTTCGAGTTTCCTGGCAACCAAAGAGAAAAGGGAAAACCCGTTGGCTGCAATACCACAGTTCAAGAATGCAAAATAAAATCATTCCTCCAGGAAGATAATTTAATGCATTGGCTTTTGAGATAAAGGAATTCTTGTTGGGCAGTTGGGGTAGTGGGGACAGGGACAGATACTGAAAAACTGTATTTGAGGTAAAAACAGTAGTTTTTTTTAGCACAGGAAGTAATTGGCAAAAAAGCACCTAATCTTTTGTGGGGCAAATGCCTGATGTACTTTTGATAACAGAATGAGGTGCCACTTTAGGCCTCTGATACAACAATCAAATCCCTTGAGGTGAAATGCCTCCCACAGCCTTGGGGGGGATTTCCCTCCAACAGACGCCATATTCAGAGGGGAGGCAGGAAGCTAGTCTCCAGAAAGAAGCATACCCTGCAGACCTGACTTCCATTCTCAAGAAGAGACCCAGGAGCTGTTCTCCCTGAGGCCTAAGGAGGAGAAACCAAGGGGGTTTTCACCTGGCAGCTCCCCTAGGCAGGATAACTCTTCTCAGCTCCAAGGTCCCTGCCTGCAGCCGAGAAAGAGTTAATTGCAGTGACCCAAATCTGCAGTCCCATTTTCAGCATGCTGAAAATTACTTTTTAATCCTGGCTTTTAGGGCTTGCCTGGGGAGCCATCTGCTGCACCCTCCCCCACCTCGGGCACACAGGATTACTCCCACCTGCCCGCCTAACTTGCTTTTGTGGGGCCTAATTCTGCTCCTGCCCTTCCAGATCATAGTAATTTGGAGGATGACAGTTTCATTTGTGGCGTAGGAAGAGAGCAAAGATTTTAAAACAACAAAAAGCAAGGTCTTCCAGCCCAGATTAAATAGAAAACAATTTGAAAGGTCAGAATCCACAGAGGTACAGGTCTGGGATAATCAGACCCCCAGCCTCAGCCATGCCATGCCATCTGTTGCAGGCATCTGGGGCTGGGCAATGTAGCACTTGGTTTTATTCTGGGTTCCAATACTTAGGGGTCATAGGGTTCCAAAAGTGGGTGATGCACCCATGACTCAGCTTGCTCCATCCAAGGAAATTGAGCAGAAGTCCCTAAACTCCCACTGGAACAAGACCTAGAGATTATGCCCTAGTCTCTCAGTCCTTCAGCACCTCTCTAGACCAGTTTAGGGAAGCCCCCTACTGTGTGCCTTGGTCTGCACCCTCAAGGACCTAACTGTGCAATGGAGGAGAGATGAGTCATAAAGAGTACCCAGTGGGATATATGCTACGATGGGGCCTTTGACCTGAGCCTTGAAGAATAAGCATTCACCAGATAGACAAGGTGAGACAGGACCTTCTAGAGAAAGGGAATTGCATGGACAGAAGCCAGAGATGGGATGGTGCTTCTGAGGAGGGTACAGGAAAAAAGGGTCTCACCTACATGGCTGGTGGAAGTTATCAGTTCCATGGGTACAACCTCTGAGAAGCCAATCTAGCAATAATCTTTGAAATTACAAACATACATATCCTTTCACCCAGAAATTCCGCTTCCAAGAATTCAACTAGCAGATATACTCCCACGTATGCAAAATGGCATGCTTACAAGTTATTCAATGCAGCATTGTTTGCAATAGCAAAAGGTTGAAAATGACCTACACGTCCACCAACAGGCTGGTCAAATGAATTCTAGGACATTCATACAAAGAATACTCTGCAACGGGAAAAAGAATAAAGTAGTTCTTTATGTTCTGGTAGGAAATCATCTCTAAGAGTGTTGTTCGTGATAAAAAGCAAGGGAAGTAACCAAATGCAATGTGTGGACCTTACTTGAATTTTGATTCAAACAAAACAGCATTTGTTGAGAGAGAAAAAAAATCAAGGAAATCTGAATGCTGACTAGGTAGCTTATGGTATTAAAGAATTATTGTTTTCTTTTACATGTGTAGAGGTTGTGTTTTTTCTCAGGTAATTTTCTTTTAGAAATATATGCTGAAGAATTAATAGATGAAATTATATGATGCCTGGGATTTGATTTAAAATAATCAGGGGGAGAGGGAGAGGAAGTGAAGATACAAAAAGATTGGCCGAGTGTGGATCATTGTTGAAGTGGGTTGATGGCTATATGGGGGGTTCACACTGTTTTTTCTACTTTTGTGTATGTGTGAAATTTTCCTGCAATAAAAGCTTCTTAGAAAGCAAGGTGCAGACTGGTGTATTTAATATGCTGCCACCAAAACTAAAAAGAGAAGACTGGCCGGGCACGTTGCCTCATGCCTGTAATCCAGCACTTTGGGAGGCTGAGGTGGGCGGATCACGAGGTCAGGAGTTCGAGACCAGCCTAGCCAATATGGTGAAACTCTGTCTCTACTAAAAATACAAACATTAGTCGGTCGTGGTGGTGTGCGCCTGTAGTCCCAGCTACCCAGGAGGCTGAGGCAGAAGAACCACTTGAACCTGGGAGGCAGAGTTTGCAATGAGCCAAGATCACGCCACTGCACCCCAGGCTGGGCAACAGAGTGAGACTCTGTCTCAAAAAAAAAAAAAAAAAAAGAAGAGCAGACCCTCACCAAACAAGTGTATATATATATATGTGTGTGTGTGTGTATATATATATATATATGTATATATATGTGTGTGTATATATATATGTGTGTATATATATGTGTATGTATATATGTATATATATGTGTATATATGTATATATATATGTATATATAGAGAGAGAGTGTGTGTGTGTATATATAATGTATATAATATATATATACATTACGTATATATGGTATATGTATGTATATAGATATATTGTGCATGCATGTGTGTGTGTATGTGTGCGTGTGTGTATGTTGAATGAATGAATGTCCTCCTGGGACCTATCAGGCTATCTTTAGGAATACAGTTAGTTTAAAAAATAAGTATTACATAATGTGAAAAATGTGGGAATACAAAGGAGGAAATGAATCATCTTTAAGGGGGAGAGGGGCTGGTTGAGGAATGTTGCTGGAGAGGAGATGACGTCTGAGCCGCATCCTGAAGGGTGTCAAGGAGCTTGGCAGGTGAGGAGTGTGAGTTAGGAGTCAAGCATTTTGTACTGAGGAAAAAACAAGAGCAAAGGTCAGAAAATTTAAAGAATAGAGTATGTTTAACTAAAGACACTGCTTTTGTATTATTATCAAATCATACTATTGTCTTATATGGAGAACTTTAGCCACGCCTCTTCAATTCAATTCAAAGGGATTTATACATCCACACATACAAAAACAGTAGGAACAATATACTTGCCTATTTGCTTATATACTTATAACAAATCTCTGGAAGAAAACATGCAGCTGCTAAAACTGTTTGCCTCCAGGAGGGTAGACTAGTGGCTGGGGGACAAGAGTAGGAAGGAGATTTTTTACTGTTTTATTTTTTGTATCTTTTGAATTTGGACCCAAGTAAATATATTATCTTAAACAAACAAACAAAAAAGGCCAGGTGCAATTGCTCATGCCTGTAATCCCAACACTTTGAGAGGCTGAGGCAGGCGGATCACTTGAGGCCAGGAGTTTGAGACCAGCCTGGCCAACATGGCAAAACCCCATCTCTACTAAAAATACAAAAATTAGCTGGGCATAGCAGCATGCACCTGTAATCCCAGGTACTTGGGAAACTGAGGCAGGAGAATCACTTGAACCAGGAGGTGGAGGTTGCAGTGAGCAGAGATCACATCACTGCACTCCTGCCTGGGCAACAGAGTGAGACTGTCTCAGAAGAAGAGGAAGGAGAAGGAGAAGGAGAAGGAGAAGAAGAGGAAGAGGAAGAAGAAGAAGAAGAAGAAGGAGAAGGAGAAGGAGAAGGAGAAGGAGAAGGAGGAGAAGGAGAAGGAGAAGAAGGAGGAGGAGGAGGAGGAGGAGGAGGAGGGGAGGAAGAGGAAGAGGAAGAGGAGGAGGAAATTAAACAGAGTGAGACTATCTCAATAGAATAAGAAGAGAAAGAAGAAGAAGAACAAATTAAGCAGAGTGAGACTGTCTCAATAGAACAAGAGGAAGAAGAAGAAGAGGAAGAAGAAGAAGAAGGAGGAGACAGAAGGAGGAGGAGGAGGAAACTAAAATTAAACAGAGCAAGACTATCTCAATAGAAGAGGAAGAAGAAGAAGAAGAAGCAGCTAAAATTAAAAAAAAAATAAGATTTGGAATTACAGAGAACAAGCCTGAGTAGCTTGGGTAAGTTATTTACCTTCTATGTCTATGAATTTCTTTTCCTATCCATGGAATGGGGACAATGACATTAGTATCACCTCATAGGAGTGCTGTGGTATTAAGTGAAATAATGTACTAGATAAATGTATTAAATAATGTATTTAAATACTAATGTACTACATTAAATAACATAATAAATTATTCACAGAAGGCACCTTTATAAACACCAGCTGACATTAATGCAAAGCCAGGACTCAATCCATGACTCTGATCCCACGTTCCAAGTTCTTCCCGCTCAAAAGGTAGTCCACCTGACTAGCCCTCAGGCCAAAGATAGCAAAAGGATCAGTGGGATCTCTCTGAAGCTTAGCAGCAATGGCCTTATGGGTTTTTATTGTCCATGGTCAGCTCTGCCAAGAAGCACACACAAACATTTCTCATCAGCTCATGGATATTTTCACTGGCCTTGTCTGCTCCATGAAACAACCTTTGGAGGTCAAATTGATGAAAGGTGTGGTCTTGCCTGTAAGACCAGGATCGAGTCTTTCCCTCTGAGACAAGTGGTTCTTCCCAGAGCTGTTACCAGGCATCTAGGTCCACTAGCAGAGAACCCTGGCCTAGAAGTCAGAAGGTTTGTGGCCCAGGCATCGGAGTCAAGAGATCTTAGACACTACTGGCAAGGCATATAGCCTAAGGTGTATACCTTAACCTCACTGGAGCTCAGTTTCCTCATCTGTAAAATGGGAATAAAAATGCCTGCCCCAGCTATCTCTTAGGGCTGATATGAATAATTAATGAAAGAGATATGCGAAATTAAATTTTCTAATTTAGACTCTAGATTATTGGGGTCTTCTTCAATCCTTTCCACCCAGGCAGAGTCTTTGGTTCTACCAATATGTAAGTTTTAAAATGTGATCAAAGGAAAGCCAGAGCTATCACCTTGAGGTTCCTGAATCTGCCCTCCTCTCCTCTATCAAAGAGATTATAGCACACACAGGCGGGTAGGGAGGATCCTAAGCACCATAAATACATGTAGGCAATATCCATGTCTTTCAAATGTTTGTCCTTGGTGAGAGCTGCAGCTGTCTTTTAATATGGCTAAATGAAGTAGGGGAAAATCAGAAAAATGCAAATGAGATCCTTATTTTAGGCAAATCAATCTCAGCAATGCTCATATCTGATCAAGCTTATCTTTAGGACGATCATTAGGATAATGGATTAATGTGAAAGTTTATTTTTACCCTGTCTGCTCTCACTCCTTGAAGACCCTTCAGACCTCATCTTGATTCTGCCAGACACCCCAGGAGGACGGGAACTCCTTACCAGTCAGTTTAGTCCCCAGCATTCATGTTGGGGCGGACTCTGGCAATCATAGGGTTCAGCTCACCACAAGGTCACCCAGCACCACACTGCCCCCACCTTTCATCATGTGACCTGAGATAGCTGCAGCTACCCTTGGACTCCAGGGGTTTTATTTAGGAAGTCCCAGAAAAAGATAAGAAAGATATGTGGGAATTTCTTTACAAGGAGGCCTTTGAGAGACCTGAAGTGTGATAAAGAGATTAAGAGAATAAGCCTTGAAGTCAGGCAGCCCTGGTTGAATTCTAGCTCTCTTACTTACTTGCTATGTGACCCTAACTTCCATTAGCCTTGGTTTCCTCATCTGCAGAATGGAGATCTTATTTCCATCTACTTAACTGGGGTGTTGTGAGATCTAAATGAGAATTGTGTCCATGCAGCACCTAGTGAAGTATCTGACATGGGGTAAAAATGAGAGCTACTGAGCACTTAATAAAGCACTGTCCCAAGTTCTTTCTATGTATTAATTTAATACCAGCAATAATCTTATAATATGGGTGTTATAGCCCCCTTCTTTAAAAAAAAAAAAAAAAAAGGAGGAGGAAAAGGAAGGCCTGAGAAATTGAGTGACATAGCCAAGGGCCAAGATTTGAACCCATGGCTCTAGAGCCCACCGCATCACTCCTACCCTACAGCTCTTGCCAACTTGCTGGCAAAAATGGAGAAGGGTCTTTTGCTCGCACGGAAGCTGGACTTGTAGTGAACCCCTCTAGAATTCCATGTAATTAGAAACAGAGGGCACCAGTTCAGGAAGAAAGAAGCAGGTAAAGGAGAAGGCACAGGGGCCCAGAGCTTTCACTAGGCAGGAAAGAGAGACAGGCAGCAGGATCCTGTCCACAAGCAGCCATCCCAGAGCCATTTTCTAGAAGGGACACCCCCTACGCAGAGCCCCTGACACTGCTGTCCTGAGCCTGAAGCCCGTCTAAGGCTTCTCTTCCCTGCATATTGAGAAGGGGGCTGGAGAAACATCCTGGGGCTCTGCAGAGATGAAAGTCACGGCACACCCTCAAAGCCTTTCTCATTTTAAGCATTAGATCACTTTGTATCAGAGCCACTTGGAGATGAGAAAGTGGGAGTCCGCCTTGGGGCAATGGTATCTGAGTCTGAGTCCAAAAATGTTTGCCTATAGATGTAAAGAAAAGCCCAGATTATTAGAAACAACATAGCAATTAAGACAAAAGATTAGGAAATTCAGGCCTGTTTCAAGTTCCAGCTCTAACACTTACTAGGTCCATAGCTTTGAGTGATCATCCTAATCTGGTGCCTCAGTTTTATCTTCTGTAAAATGGGGCTAATAATACCTACCTCATAGGATTTAGGGAATTAAATAAGAAATATATGTACAGAGCTGAGATAGGGTCTAGCATAGAGTAAGTGGTTAATGAGTAGTAAGTACTTATTATTATATGTGGTGGTTTTAAATTCCTAAAAGACAAAAAAAACATACATTCAGTTGACCATGTGTATGTGGAATGGGCAATGTGCGCATACTTACATATAAACATGCATTTATACGTATTTCCCCAGGCACATCCCTGAAAAACCAGTATATACTCAGACATTCCCTTGAATCAAAATCGAGTCTATTCCACTTCCTCCTCAGTCCAGTGAGGTGTTCAAGACATCAATTATTATCCCCATTTTAGACATCAGGACCCCAAGGGACTTAGCAGCATCTAAGTAGCCTGCTCAAAGATTCAAGGCTAATCCAATGTCCTCCGTACTCTTTTCTTAGCCTTCCTGACAATTTGTGTTCACTGCCCCCTCTAATTCTCTGTCCAAGCTAAAAGACCGTGAATTCCACACACACACCTCCCCCCCGCACCCCCCCCCCCCCCCGGCTGCCGGCAAATGCAGCCTGATTATCGGAAGGAGATGCCTGAGAAGAGTGAAAGGAAAAAAGAAAGAAGATAGAGGGAGATGGGGTAAAGGGACATGTGGCCTCGTTCTTCACTGTCCCAAATTCCCTTTTCAAGGGCATAAGCCTGCACCCACCTCTTCCAACCGCCCCCTCCATCCTTGTCTCTGCCCCTGTGTCCCTGTCTTGTCCTCCCAAGGGCTACAGCAATATTTCAAATGTTCCTCCCACAGCTGGGTGCCTGCGCTGGTTTCTGGGCTCCTGGCATCCTGAAGCCCCACCCTGATGCTGGCTCCACACGTGCCTGTGCACATTCAGGGCTGTGAAGGGTCAGTGGGCCACGTGAAATTCCAGGAAGGAACAAGGCTTCAGGGGTGCTGTCCTTGGCTGGTTCCTACAGCACTTCCTTCCTTGTACCCCGCAGAGCCTTTGGCATGTAGAGTCACGTGTTCATCTAAGTACCACTGATGGTTTTGATTTTCTACCTGAAGAGTGCACAGAAGCTGGCCTTGGACAATAAAAGCAAAGGCAAAGGTGCCCGGAAGGAAGGATCAGTGTGAGGAGGGTATGGAATGGTGCATGCAAAGTACCAGCACAGCGCCTGGCACAGTGTAGACTCCTCACACAGAGGGCTCTCCTCCCTGCCCCCAAGGAGATCTCAGAGGCCCCCCTCCTGCCAAAGCGGCATTTCAACTCCTCGCATACACTTGGGCTTCAGTCCATTACACAAGGAAATTTGGCTTCATTTATATAAAGGGGCTAATTACCACATGAGACATAATTACAAGACAGGAAATGGATTTATAGATGCCGTCAGTGGGAGGGGAAGTTGCAGCGGCTGCTTGGACTGCTCCGTGCTCCTAAGGGGCTAAAGCTGTCCCCAGCGGACAGGATTCTTGCCCTGGGAGTTCTTGCTTTGCTGAGAAATGTGCTCTTAGAGAGGTCGGCAGTACTACAGATTTCTGGAAATCAAATCTAGTTCTGTCTCTGAATTTGTTCCACAATTGGCAATGTATTCCCACAGGTTCTCTTCACACAATAAAAATCATACTTAAGAATGTAGTTAGTCTTAAACATTAAAAGAGAAAGATAAGTCTTATGATAGATTCCAAAACTAGCCCAAAGGAGAAATGCTGGGTAGAAACTGTACAGCACTAGTATCTGCTCTTCTTTGAGGTTAGATGAACCCTGAGAAAGAGCTATATTTGCCAGACACGGTGGTGTGCACCTGTAGTCTCAGCTACTTAGGGGGCTGATCGCTTGAGCTGAGGCATTCAAGGCCAGCCTGGGCAGCACCCTTTCTAAAAGGGGGGAAAAAGAGCTATATGCCTGCTAATTGACCTAATAAATAGTCCCTTATGATTTCATTTTTCACCTTAAAACCATATATCTTAATTTAGACACACATACACACACAGAAACAGACAATAGGCAGAAGTGAAAAGGCCCTTCCTCATTGATAACCAAAGATAAGCAAATTAGTACTAGCTAATATGTGGGGAGCACACTCTGTGCCAAGCACTGAGCTTTGCTGTCTTATTTGTTCATCTTCACAACAGTCCCATGAGGAGGGTGCAGTCATAATCCTCAATTGATAGCTAAGGAACTGAGACTTAGGAAGGTCAACCAAGGTGGCCAAGTCCATACTGTAAATGCCAGAACAAGCGTTTGCACACCACTTGTCTGAACACAGAGCCTGGATTCTGAAGAACAATGAGAACATTTCTCAAATTAACAATAATATATTCTCAAGAATCTTAAAAATAAAAATTTTTCTATTTAAAAAAAATTTTTAAGAAAAGAATCTTAAGACTATCACTCCCGGAGACCGAGCATTTGACTCCTGATCACCTATCTTTATGAAATAATCTAAAAAAATGGAAAAAGTTTAATGCACAAAGATCTTCTGAGCAGAGTACCTTGATTATAATGGGGAGAAATTGGAAACTAAATGCTTAGCAATGAGGGAGTGGTTACATAAACTATGGTACATCCATAAATGGAGTATTATTCAATAATTAAACTGATGTCGCTAAAGAGTTTATAACAACGTGGGCAAAAGTTTATGTTACGTGGAATAAAAATAGCAGGATTCAAATATGTATGCGTTACGATCTCTACAAAAAAAAAATACGCAAAGAAGGACATCTAGAAGGAAATGTACCAAAATGTCAGTTTGTCTTTTTTTAAGCATAATTATGACTGTAAGAAACCATTTTCTGTCTTTTGTGACAGCTCTTTATTGTTTGCACTCTTAACAGTGTTCCCCAGGCCCTGCCCACGCCTGTGAGTACTTTATGGTGAGGTCTTGCTTATCTTTCCTCACAGATGTGCATTTCAAAGAACCACTATCATCATAATTTAACATTCCTGTAAGTGTTCACACAATGGGCTTCCCTTAAGCAGAAGATATCTGTGCCAAAGTTGCGTCCTTTGTCCTGGCTGATGACATCAGGTACAGAGTAAGGGACCCTTTTAAGACCAAGGAAAGGAATGCCTAAGGGTCAGGGCTACAGGTACTATGAGTCTCCTCCATAGCTGAATGGTCACTGGTTCATTTATTCATGCACACCACAAACTTGTGCTGCGTGCCTACCATGTGTCAGGCAGCACCAGTTTGGGTTCTGAAAATGTAGAAATAAAAAAGCCAGGCCAAGCATGGTGACTCATGCCTATAATCCCAGCACTTTGGGAGCCTGAGGTGGGTGGATCACTTGAGGACAGGAGTTCGAGACCAGCCTGGCCAACAGAGTGAAACCTTGTCTCTACTAAAAATATAAAAATTAGCCAGGCTTGGTGGCACACACCTGTAATCCCAGCTACTCAGGAGGCTGAGGCAGGAGAATTGCTTGAACCCGGGAGGCAGAGATTGCAGTGAGCAGAGATCACGCCACTGCACTCCACCGTGGGTGACAGAGTGAGACTATGTCTCATGGAAAAAAAAAAAACCTGTCAAAACTTTGCCATGTGGCTCTAAAAGCATCTCTGCTGATCACCTAGGAAAATCCGAAGACGCCAAGGCCAAAATAAGTAACTGAGGCTCTGTGGCAAGTCATTGGCTGGAGAAAGAACTGGAAACCAAGTCAGGGCCAGGTACGATGGCTCACGCCTGTAATCCCAGCACTTTGGAAGATGAAACGAGGGGCATTGCTTGAGCTCAGGAGTTCAAGAGCAGCCTGGGCAGCATTGTGAGACCCCAGTCTCTACAAAAAATAAAAAATTAGCTGGGCATGGTGTACACGCCTGTAGTTCCGGCTATCTGGAAGGCTAAGGTGGGAGAATTGCTTGAACTCGAGAGGTTGAAGCTGCAGTGAGCCGTGATTGTGCCACTGCATTCCAGCCTGGGTGACAGAGCAAGACCCTGTCTCAAAAAAAAGAAAAAAAGAAGCCAAGTCACCCAGCACTTTGCACTGGGCAGAAGGGGATACGAATTCTCCTTGCTGGTCTAAGATAGCAGCCTCTTTGTAAAAATAACAGTAATAATAATCAGTTCTGTTGGTAGTTTCTGGTGCCTGTGGTGGAATGACAAGGACACTAGCATAAGTGGCTTGTCTTCCATGGGCCAGGCTTGTGCCTAAGACTGGTCTTCCTAACACAGATGGTCCACCAGGGTGGTTGATAGGCTTCGGTCTGTCTAGAAGCACCATGCTGCTCCTGTGCTTCCAACCCAGGAGGACGCATCACACCCCCACACCACAGGGAGTTCCACGCCAGGGCAGCGTGAGAATCAGACAGACCTGGGTTCTGCCCCCTACTCAGCCACTTTCTAGCTGGGTGGCCTTGGGCAAGTTTGCTGCCTCTTCTGAGATATAAGGTCCTCAGGAGAGGGGTTGTTGTGAGGAGGAAATGGGATAATGAAGGAAAAACCTGAAGCCACAGCATCACTTGAGGCATGTTCAGCTTGCTCTTGGAATTTGGTTCCCTCATTCTCCCCAAGCCAGGTCAGAGGCCTCCAGGCCACTGTCTCCAAAGGCCCCTCTCAGACAAGAGCACTGACCCAAGGCCTCTCTCGAGCAGTCTGCTCACCTGAACGGCCCATGAGAGACAGTCTGCCATTTTAGCCTCTAACACCCACTGCTTTCTGAAGCAACAAGGCCTACCTTCTAAGACACCTGCATTAGTGGAGAGATATCTGCCATCCTGGCAAGGCAGCTGGGACCCCAGATTCAGACCGCCAAGAGTCTTGGGCCTTCAGTAGTCGGAGTCCTGTAATGAGACAGAAGCAAGAGCTCAAAGGCTCCCGCGATGCAGCCTTGGCCCAGAAGAGGATTTCCCTGTGGAAAACTGCTGGAGTGCCACCACAAGGCTGTGGGACAATAGAGAAGGGCCCGGGAGGAAGGAGTGGAGAGAAAGGGGGAGAAACAGAAGGTAAATCTCTGGAAGGACAGTTGGGGAGGAGATACGTGTATGGGCTTCGGGAACAGAGGAAAAAGGGTTTTGCTTGAGTGACCTTGGCCAAGTGTTTAAAATCTGTGTTTGTTTGGCTGCCAGAATGGAGGGAGTGACACTTTCTCTTGTGCAAAAGGTATGCTCTGGGCCCAAAGATTCAGAGGGGTGTTCCTAAGGAAGGCCAGGTGGCTCACCAGACAGGCATTTCCTTTCATCAACTCACCACAGTCCAGAATCTGTGCATGGCCTGAGAAGCTCCCAGACCTGATTTATTGGCATATGGATGGTTCACGTCTCAGGAGTTAGAGTGTCCAAGAGCACAAGAACTGGAGCATAAATCCCAGAAGGCCAGGGAGCAGACTTGATGGGTACAATGGCTCAGGGAGTATCTCCCACCCAGAGGCTTGGCATCCCAGGGACCTATGGAAGTGTCTTGCTTGTGAAGCTTGGAATAAGAGTCTATGACTTGCTTTATTGATCTTAATCAGGGTCCCCTGTCTAAGTGGCTTGTGGGCCTCTCACCATCCTTCCACAGCATTGCCACAGAAAGGTAGGTCTCTATTTGGTTAGCCTCCCTGTGTTCTCTTCAGTGTTTGGGCATCACCAAGTTCTTTGGGTTTCCTTTTCCATCCTACCAGGCCAACCACTTGCCTTCTGTTCTCCCTGCCTTTCCCAAAAGAATGGAAAGCAAATTGCTTGGTTTCCACTTTGTAATTACACTCCTTTTGGGAATGTCTCCCTGGTCACCTTGAATGGCACTGGAGGTAGCGGGGAGGGAGTCTCAAACTCTTAAGTCACATCTTCACAGACTGATTTTTATTTCACTGTAAGTGGCTGTTCTCACCCATTGTGTAAAATCTAAAGAGTCTCGTTCTCAAATGGAAACTTTATTTTCCATACCTTCATGCTCTGGGTAGGGGAGCCCTCATTATCATGTATGGATAACATTTTCTTCACAGGGTGGAGGTGAGGATTAAATGAGATAGTGGCATGGGTGTGCATTTGTATTTGAGTTCTTAGGCCAATGTCTCACAAATCACTCAATAAATCACCATCCTACAACTCCTACCCACCACATGACCAATATGTGAGAAGGGAAGAACAAACACAAGAGCCTCAGCATCTTAGTCTTTGCCAGAAATAAAGCTGGGCTATGGAATAGGAAGGAAGAGGAAGCTGAGGAACAGACATACAGTTTTGATATTTGTCCCCGCCCAAATCCTCATGTTGAACTCTGATCCCCAATGCTGGAGGTGGGGCCTGGTGGGAGGTGTTTGGATTATGGGAGTGGATCTCTCATGGCTTGGTGCTGCCTTTGCGATAGTGAGAGTGAATTCTTGTGAGAGCTGGGCATTTAAAAGTGTGTGGCACCACCCTTGCCACTCTCCCTCTCTTGCTCCTGCTCCCCCTTTGGCTTCCACCATGATTGTAAGCTCCCTGAGACCTTCCCAGAAGCCAAGGAGATCCCAGCACCATGCTTCCCATGAAGCCTGCAGAACTGTGAGCCAATGAAACCTCTTTTCTTTAAAAATTACCCAGTCTCAGGTATTTCTTTATAGCAATGCAAAAAACGGCCTAACACAAACAGTTAGTGAAAGAGGGGAGCTACAGCTCAAATTTTCTCTATTCAACACAAGATCTTTATTGCGTCTCTCCCCCTGGGCTAGACACTGTATTACAGCACCCGTCCTTAAGAAACATAATGAGGTCTAGACACATCAAAAATCCAACTATGTAATCTAAGTGTCAAGGTCTGTGGATATAAAATGGGGTCCCATTTACTTTTATTGTCCACATGACAATGACTTGGGCTCCCACCTCATCCAACCTTCCTTACAAAAGGCATTTCCCAGTTATTTGGAGCAGTCCCCAAGGGCATATCTTATATGCTCTTAAAACAACCCACTTATTTACAATCACCACACAACATCCATCATATTCTCCCTCTCCTATTTCAGGTGCCCTGTCCCATGTCACAGCCCTGGTAGCATCGGAGGGAGATTCTTAGATGCCCCTTCTGAAATCACCAGTGATCTTCGGAGGGTACCATCTCCTGATGCTCTCAATATCACCACTATCTAGAGCCCCAGATCTATGTCGGTGTCACATTTTGTCTCCTGGGCCCCAAAGCAGCACTGTTTGAGCTCGGAGTCCATAAATTATCTCACCAAGAAGACTTCAGACCTCCCATTCTTCCCCTCTATGCCTCACTCCCTGCAAGCAACTTCCCATGCCCTAACCCAGTGAGGGCGTATGTGGAAATAGCCAGCCAGCTAACCTATGCAGCTGTTGATCAACCATGCCTACCAACCAGAACAGTAAAATGGTTTTGCACCTACCTGGCTTTGAAGACAAGCAGTCCTGGGTGCCAGAGTCAGCAGCGCTCCTGTTTATTAACTATTTGACTTAGGTATACCATATCTTATACTCTGAGCTGGTTTCTTCATCTGTAAAATTGAGATAATCATGGTAGCGGCTTCAGAGAGCAATTGTAATAATTACTTGACATAAATCATGTAAAGCACTACTTCCCAAACTATTTCCCATAATATATGCCAGTGGAGGGCTCCTGTTAAATCTATGGGTTCCAGGACTTTACACCAAGCCTAGTGAATCAGATCTTCAGGGAGGGGCTCAGAATCTGTATGCTGAATGAGTGTTCCAAGTGGTTCTTTTGACCTTATGGGAAATGCTCAGTAAATAGTAGCTTTGCAAAGTCACAATTTACATTACCAATATCTATAGTCAGTTTAACAATGATGTCACAATTTCCATCAAGAACAATGAGTACAATGTTTTACTTCTGGATAACAAAAGGGCCATTCTGAGATTTTTTTTCTTAAAGCAGCAGTCTCCTCCAAAGGTAAATTAAGGTCTGTAAATTTAGATTCAGAAAATGATCTGTAAATTTTATTTTATCTTATTTTATTATTGTTTTATTTTTTGAGACAGGGTCTCACTCTGTCACCCAGGCTCAACCTTCTCATTGCAGCCTCAACCTTCCAGGCTCCAGTGATCCTCCCTCCTCAGCCTCCTGAGTAGCTGGGACTACAGGCATGTGCCACCATGCCCGGCTAAGTTTTGTATCTTTAGTAGAGACGGGGTTTTGCCATGTTGTTCAGGCTGGTCTCGAACTCCTGGGTTCAAGCAATCCTCCTGCCTTGGCCTCCCAAAGTGCAGGGATTACAGGCATGAGCAACCACACGGGCCCATAAATTTTAAATGAGCACTTATCCTGCTTTTACCTACTAATGTTTCAAAAACTTTAGGGACTGATCATATACAGGTAGCCCTATTATATCATATTCTCTGTAGGGTCCTGCATACAATAATCATCTTCAGAATTATGTTAGATTCACATACACAATGTCAACACATGTACAATTTTTGAAATACACCAGACTCAGAAACATAACCCTTGCAAACCTTGGGAAGTGTTCATATATGTTTTTATTACTCAATTTTTTCATCCTCTTAAATCTTCCACCCAACTGTGATCAATCAAGGCTATCCTTTATAATCATGGACTTTTCTGTGATCTTTTCTACAAAAACTTTCATCTCATTTCTGAAGCATCACTTCTCTTCTAATATTGTCTTGTTTTCCAACTCATTACACTGATACCTTCTCCTCAGTGTGAAATTACTGACATCGATGAGGTGTGAATTCACCCTCCTGGGTTCTGCTCCTGTACGAGTTCTCTGGAGAACCATGAGTCATGGCTTCCAGATGAGACCCTTTGCCCATTTTTGTCCATTGACTTATTGGAGTAAGCTGTCGATAAGAGTTTCTCTATGTCAAATGAGGGTTGAGCTATATTTGAAGGTTTACCCATGTTTTGTAGACTACAAGCCTTTTTCATACGAATCTTCTGATGTTCCAATTCCCTTTTGAGGTGGTCTCTGGTATCTCCACTGGCCTTTTATTTATGCATTTGCTTTTGAGAGGGGCTCACCAAATTGCCCTCCACAGACCTACTGGGGGGGCCCTGCTGGCCCCTTCCACCCACCCAGATCACAGCAGAAACATTGAAGGCAAAACTTCCAACTTGGATCCCTTCCAGGAATAATAGTAATATCAACTATTCTGCATTCTGCTCAAAGCTCTATCTAAATCATCCCATTTAATCTTTAAAATGGCCCTTCAAAGTGGATATTATTACAATACTCACTTTAAATGTTTGGTTCAAAGAACTTAAACAACTTGTTCAAGGTCATTGAGCCAGTAAGTAGCAGAGCCTGATCCTTTGGACACTAACTATAGCTTCCAGTCTCCGTACTGTTGCCCCAATTCCCTCTCACTTTTCATCTTCTTCCTAGTGACTTAATGGGAGCCCCAATCTTGCCAAGGGGAAGTCCATAGTCTTTAACACTTTCAGCCCAGCTTGGCACCGAGACCTTGCCCAGCCCAGCTGGACTTGCATGACAGAGAGGCTTTATTCTCCAGTCCTGTGTTCCTCCACAGCCATTCTCTGAAGGATGAGGTCATTCTTCATAGAATTACTTTCTGCTCCTCCAGCCATACTCCCCTAACTGCAGCGCCCCTCAACACACTGTAGTCTCCCAGTTCCAATTATCATCACCAGGCTGAGTGGGCCCTTGGAGACACCTCCAGGAAGGAGAGGACTAAGTTAAAGTCCAGGCAGCAAAGATACTGTATTATCTATCTCTGTATAACAAATTACCCCAAAGTTTAATAGTTTAAAACAAAAAACGTTATTATCTCCCAGTTTCTACGGGGCAGGAATATGAATGAGTCTTAGCTGGATGCCTCTGGCTCAAGTTCTCTGAAGAGGCTGCCATCAAGCTGTTGGCCAGGAACATGGACTCATCTGAAGACTCAACTAGAGCTGAAAGCTCCAATCCCAAGCTTGCTCACGTGGTTGTCATCAGGCGTCAGTTCCTTATGAGTTATGAGGCTAAAGATCTTAGTTCCTCGTCACACCACATAGGCCTCTCCAAAAGACCACTCACAGTATGGCAACTTGCTTCCTCTACCACATGTGATTCAGGAAAGACAGCAAGAGAGAGCACACCCAGGGTGCAAACCACAGTCTTTTTATAACCTATCTCAGAAGTGCCGTTCTATCATGAATACTGCATTTTATTTGCCAGAAGTGAATCATTAGTCACTTAGTGGAAGGAAATTACACAAGAGCACAAATAACAGGAGATGGAGATCATTGCCAGAGCAGGGGTTGCAGGGTGGTCGGGACTTGGTAATCCCACTGCAGGAAAAGCCATTTAAAGCCTTGGCCCAGTACTTGCATCTCAGGATGTCAAGAATAAGAGATCATGGCTGAGCATGGTGGCTCACACCTGTAATCCCCACACTTTGGAAGTCCAAGGTGAGAGGATTGCTTAGGCCAGGAGTTCAAGACCAGCCTGGGCAATATAGCAAGACTCTGTCTCTACAAAAACAAATGTTTTAATTAGCCAGGATATAGTGGTTCATGCCTATAGTTCCAGCTACTTGGTAGGCTGAGGCCAGGGGATCATTTGAGCCTAGGAGTTGGAGATTGTAGTGAGCTATGATGGTACTACTGCACTCCTGCTAGGTGACAGAGAGAGAGAGAGACACTATCTCAAAACAAAAAAAAGAAAAGAAAAGAAAACCAAAATAAGAGATCATGATCTCAGTAACTGAATCCTGTGGAGAAGAAAGAATGGGGTTCTTTGTTTCCAGTATTGGCTCTGCCACTATTTGATTTGCAAATCTGGCAGGTCACTTGGCTTCTCTGACCCTTGGTTTTCCTCCAACGAATGAACCCCTAGAGACAAAGATCTTGTCTGATTTACTTCTGTATACATCAAAGACCTCACAGAGCATTTGGCACACAGTCAGAGCTTAATGAATATTTGCTTAATTAATTAATTACACTATGTTGAAAGGTTGTGAGGATCAAAAAATATAGTTGAGTGTTGTAAGTCATCAGATCACAGAGACCTAGTGCTACAAAATCTTAACCATGTGAAGGTCTTATCATGAAACAGAAGTGGACTAAACCGTGCTAAAGGGCAGAAAACCATTAGATTGGTGCAAAAGTCATTGCGTTTTTGCATTGAAAGTGATGACAAAAGCTGTGATGACTTTTGCACCAGCTAATACCATTCTCCCATCTCCCTGTGTCTGAAGCAAGGCTCTTCCCTTCCTTCCTCAAAATGGAATAGCCCTGAATTACCTGTTTTTTAAATGATGGCTTTTCTTATCTCTTTTGTTTCAGACTATGCCTACTATAACTTTTTTTTTTAATCTAAAGTGTTTTATGACCCCCTCATGGAACCTAAGTTATCCTGTCTCATAAATAGAATGTAGGCAACTTGAGGGCCCTCAAAGCATAGTGGTAGACTTAAGAATGATGAAAATATCTAGAATTGAGAGCAAGATTAGTGGTACTAGCCATTGTAAGGAAAGAAAGTCCCAGAAAGACAATGATTGGATGCCTTTTCTCCTACTCTTCATCATGGGATCAGGGTTTTGTGGGACAGAGGAGACAGAATAAAGAAAAGGTGGAAAAGATAATAATGGCAAAAACTTATGTATAATGTCTCTGTAAAGTCTCTTCTCCAGTAATCTTGAGATGTCACATCATTTCCTCCTGTGTAACTTCTTGCTTCATAAGGACAAAATTTCCCAAATCTCTGCAAGCTGAATTCATTCCTCTGCATAACCTAAAAGGCCATGACTAAAGAGAAAAGCATCCCTGTGCAAGTAAAGGAGACAAGAAGGGAATGTTCATGGAACATGTGAGGTAGTGCGTATGAATGCAGGACCCACCTGCACCAGGTCACCTAAGGTACTTAGGTTAAAATTCTGATGCTCAGTCTTTACTCCAGCCCTCTGAATCCAACTCTCTGGAGAAGAGGGAGGAATAAGAGTAGAAAATCTGTCCAGTGGTCTTTGTTGGGAAGGTGGGAAGAGTTGCGAAAGATCTGTGCCTGGCAAGTTTCCAGCCTGGTAGGGTGTTATCCAAAGCAGACAGACTGGAAATGCAGGTCTGCCCTTGAAACCTCTAAAGGTCAAAGTAGAGATGCTGAAATGAAGGTCATCTTTAAATTCTAAAGAGCAGGACTGAAAGCAAGAGACCACGCCAGTGGATCAGGAACTCAAAAGATTCTTTCATCAGTCAGGGTCAGGAGCAGGTAGAAGGCCCTGATAAGCGCTGGTAACAAAAAGGGGTTCTTATTTACCATGGTGGTCGGGTCCATGGGTGGGTCTGCCTAGCCTAAAGGTTTTTCTTCAATTGTTGCACACCCAAGAGGAATGCTGTCTCCGCCCACCATTTCCCCTGCTGTCACCTTCCACGACTCTAACTCAGATTTGCTGAGATTGACAGAGCTGCCAGGGGAGCCAGCCGGGCTGTCTGGTGTGTGTAGTTAAAAATAATCTTTAGAGATTGCTAAGCTGGCTTCTGAATATCTGTGGCTCTAATTAATGGGTGATCGTCATGCTGTTATATGAATTTGAAAACTACTGCTTCCAGAATGCATTGTTGCCCCAGCTGCTGTCTGCCAAGCCACCCCATATTGTCCCCATCACCCGCTGGCCCCCACCCACCCCAATCTGTCACCCCCAGGGACCAAAACCTGTGCTTAATCCACTGGATTCCAAGTCTTGGCCTGGTTACCAAAAGATACCCTGAAAAACAGCTTGAACGCAGAGAATAACAAAGGGGCTTCATCACAGCTTATTTCACTTATTTATTTTTCTCGGGGATTTCTCTGCTTCAGCCGCCTCAGGGGGCAGGTACAACAAAATGACAGAAATGAAAACACTGAGCCACATTAAAATGCTCTACCAGCAACAGCCAAATCCTGAGGCTTTGAGAATAAGCTGACAGCAAGTGCAGCTGTCCCTCTGCTAGCGACACGAGTGTAGGCTGATTGATGGTTTTGGGCTTAAGCCCAGGAGTTTAATGATAATGATGATGGTGGTGATGATAATTATTATAATAATAACTAACTTTTATTGAGTGTTTTCTATGTGCCAGAAACTGTTCTATGCATTGTGTATATCTCTATCTGCATCTCTCTCTGTAATATCTACATATCTAAAATCTTATTTAATTCTTACTGCAGTTCTATGAGGTAAGAAATATTATTACCCCATTTTACAGAGGAGGAAGCTGAGGCCCAGAGGATTTCAATAACTTGGTAAATGAGTTGTGGGGCTGGGACATGAATGGTTTCTCCTTCATCATTACTCAAGTCTTCTGTAGAAATATGATGAAATATATTGCAGAAAAACAACCTCTGGATCCCTACTGTTTGAATCCATTCCTGAGTTCACATACTAGTTCTGATATTTACTAATGGTGTGACCTTGGCCTCAGTCTTCTCAACTATATAACAGCGAGTCAAATGCCTCCCTAATTTTTTCAGTTGGGTCCTTTCGACTGTGAATTACAGAGTCGTTCAATCAAGTCACCTCATGAAAAGGGGAATTTATTGAAAAGATATATGCTGTACTAATATTTTTTTTAGAACTACAGTATTTGAGTGCAAGTAATAGAAAACCAACTCAAACCAGCTTAATCCTAAAAGGAGATTCCTTGGCTCACATAACTCAGAAGGATGAGATAAGGTGCAGGTGAGAGACAGCTTCAGGCCTCTCTGGATTTGGGGCTCAAATGACGTGCCTGAGCAACTTTGTTACTCTTTCCGCTTCTCAGTTCTGCTTCTCTCTCTGTATTGGCCTCATTCTTTGCTGCTATAGTTGGGCTTCCACTCTTGAGCCTGCAAAGATGACCACAAGCAATCCTAGCTTCCACGAGCCAGGAATAAGCAAGCAAAGAATCTAACCAAAGTCTTAGAGACAGTGCAGCCCTGCTGACACCTTAATTTTGAACTTCCAACCTCCAGAACTGTGAGATAATAAATGCCTGTTGTTTTAAGCCTCGCAGTCTGTGGTACTTTGTTATAGCAGCCCTGGGAAGCTAACACAGTCCCCTTCTCTTTCCTCACCTCGGGAGGTGAGAGCTGGCAGGTGATCCAGCTTCGCTGTGTTGAACTCCATGTATCCGACCATGGCCTCTGCTCTTTTTTATGCCTGGCCACCTCTGCACCCATAAACCTGTCACAGAGGGAGTCCTGAGACTCATGTCCACAGCATGGATGCAACTCAAATAATTCCTCAGCCTGGTATTCCTTAGCACAATTAAGTCCCAACAAGATACAGAAGATTGCAACCCCCACACCATGCTTGATTCTCAGTAGATAAGCAAGCTAAGTGTCCTCCCGGAGTGCAGTTCTGCCTTGCCCAGTCACAGATCTGCTATCAAACTTTGTTCCTCAGGAGTCTTAGGATTTTTGCATTAATGAGACTTTAATGGAGCAAAACACGTGGTGACATCTAATGGTGTCCAAGATAAACTGGGCCAGAAGACAAAAAAAAAAAGCTTGGTAATAACCATGTAAATTATTTTACAAAGCCCTGCTTTAGAAATTCTTAACCCCTTAAACTCTTCCTATGCCTTATTTTCCATATCCAAACAATTACCAAAACCTGGCAATTCTACTTTTCAACGAGGATTTCAACAAATAGTTGTTGAGTGCCCACCGTGTGCTGGAAATTGCTCTAGGAACTGGGGACAAAGAGGTTGAGCAGAACAGATAAAGCACTTGCTTACACAGGGCTTATATTTTAGTGGGGACCTGGCAGGAGAGAAAGTAAGCAAATAAACAAATAGATAAATACTTAATATGTCAGGTGGCTATATGCAATAAAGAAAAATAAAAGGAGATAAAAGGATAGTGAGGGATCAGGGGACTTTTTCACACAGGACAGTCAAGGAAGGACCATATGATGAGATGACATTTGAGCAGAGACCTGAACGAAGTGAGAGAGGGACAGCAAAGTACAAGACCATGCAGATATCTGGAGGAAGAGCATTCCAAGCAGAAGAAGTGTAAGAGCCCTGACGTGGAAACAGGCATGATGTGTTGGAATAATGGCAGGGAGGCCAGTGTGGCTTGAATTTGATGAATGAGGGGGAACGGTAGAGAATGAGATATGAGAGGTAGCTGGGGGCCAAATCATGTAGGGCCTTGGAGACCTCTGTAAGATGGGTCATCCTCTGCATGAGATGGGAAGCCACTGGAAGGTTTAGGCAGAGGAGAAACACGATGTAGCTTATCTTGTAAAGGATCCCTCTGGCTGTCATGCAGAGCAGTGGCAGGATCACAGTTCACTGGAGCCTCAAACTACCAGGCTCAAGCAATCCTCTCACCTCAGCCTCCTGAGTAGCTGGAACTACAGGCACACAACACCACATCTGTCTATTTTTAAAATTTTTTTGTAGAGATGGGGTCTTGCTATGTTGTCCAGGCTATTCTCAAACTCCTGGCCACAAATGATCCTGCCACCTCAGCCTCCCACAGTGCTGGTATTATAGGTGTGAGCCACCATACCCAGCCAGTTTTATCTATAACTTGAGGGGCAGGAAAGCCCCCTGGTTGACATCTGCCTGACATATAGAAAGTGTGCAGGCCAAGCATAATAATCATGCCTGTAATTCCAGTGCTTTGGGAGGCCGAAGCGGGAGGAGAGCTTGAGGCCAAGAATTTGAGACCAGCCTGGGCAACATAGCAAGCCCCTGTCTCTAACAGAAAAAAAAATGAATAAAAGAATTAGCTGGGTGTGGTGCATCCACCTGTGGTCCCAGCTACTAAGGAGACCAGGGCAGGAGGATCACTTGAGCCCTGGAGTTTGAGGATGCAATGAGCCCTAATTATACCATTGCACTCCAGCCTGGGTGACAGAGAGAGAGACTGTCAAAACAAAGCCCCACAAAACAAAAGTGCTCACAATGTTCATTATTAATATGATTCGTCGAATGCTTAAGTCCCTTCTTACAGAGTGCTGTTTAACTTTCAGCTCAACTCCAAAAAGCTGACTATGAGATTAGGTAGGGGCTCTTGACTCTTGGCCCAGGCTCTTCTTATCATCACCGACTGGGTCCTTTATGCAGACCACAATGGATTCACTACCAAGAGAACCCACTCCAGGCCGGCGCAGTGGCTCACTCCTGTAATCCCAACACCTTGCAGAGCTGAGGTGGGCAGATAACTTGAGTCCAAGAATTCGAGACAAGCCTGGGCAACATGGCAAAACTCCATCTCTACAAAAATTAGCTAGGTGTGGTGGTGCATGCCTGTGGTCCCAGCTACTCGGGAGGCTGAGGTGGAAGAATCACCTAAGCATGGGAGGTCAAGGCTACAGGGAGCTGTGGTCGCGCCTCTGCACTACTCCAGCCTGGGTGACAGAGTGAGACCCTGTCTCAAAAAAAAAAAAAAAAAAAAGAGAGAACCCACTCCTTGGATTAAACCATGCCCAGTTAAACCATGCCCAGGCTACTAACAATGACCATCAGGGTAATTTATAGGTTCAAGCAACAGTGAAGAAAGATGAGCAAGTGCTGTGGCAAAGGTAACAATAATTATAATGATCACTCCTAAAGCCTGTGGCTCTGAGCTCCCACAGTAAAATCCTAGGCTCCCTACCCCTTCTCCCTCATCCTAAGACCCTTCTTCTTCCTCTCTTCCTCCACCTTCCCCAGTCCCAGGAGAGTCCCTGAAGGGTTCACCAGCCTCTTCATTACAGAGATGAACATTACAGAGAGGAGTTACACAGAGGACACTGCCTGAGGGACCAAGATCAGAGACTGAGTCCAAGAGCAGGAGCTGGGGTGACCAGCCCACTGTCAGTCATTCTTTTCTTTTCATTGAATTGGTCTGTATTTTGAGCATCATGTAAAAAAAAGTCCTTTGCATTTCCAAAGTGCTTTTACATCCATTATTCCAAAAGATATGTAGAGTGTGTCTATTTTGCAGGTGAAGCAGCTGGGCTTTGAGAGGGTAAGGCATTGCCAGAAGGTCACCCAGCTAATTGCAAACGATCTAGGGCCAGAAGATGGTTTCCCCCACTCGGACCTGAGTCTCCTGTTGGCTGCCATCATCAATGCTTCACCAGCAAGAGTGACTCCCACTCTCTTGGTGGAGGATGGGGGAGCTCAGATTCAGAATATGGAGAATGTTCCAGATGTCAACATTTTAGCCTTAACAAATTTATTGAAAACACATTTCTTCAAAATAATTTATTCCTAAACAGTAAAGCAGTGGGGAAAGGCAGTTGTCAAAGAATGAATTGAACAGACAGGATAACAGACAGGTTAAGGGGAATAATTAGAGGCTTTTTCTCGTTGTTCAACAGCTTCTTTTTCAGGCCTGTCAATCACTGTTTATCACACTTGAACCAAAACAATGATTTTTTTTTCCCTCTCTGAGGCCAGGAGGACCTACTGGGGAGATAGTGACTAACGCTGAGGCAGGACCAGTGTGTCATACAGACTGAGACTAGAGTAGCTCAAAATTGTTTATGTCAGCACAGAAACCAGGAGTACCATGCCAATAGGAAGGGCCCATGCCAGTAGCTACTATTACATCTGGCAGAAGGAGGCGCAAATATTTTTCTGAGATCCTATTTTGTCAGGTATTCTTTATTTAAACTTCTCAACAAACTTGCCAGATGGACACTTTTACTCCCATTTCATAGATAGAGATACCAAAGCTCAAGGTTGTTAAAAAGCATGCACACACAAAAAGAAAATGTGCACAGCTCCAGTGCTAACAGAACAGCACCATTCCAGAAGAACTGTCCATGGACACAACTAGGATGGGTATTAGGATCCCGATAGCAGGCTGAGGTTCAGGCAAGTCCCTGTCTCACTGGGACCCTGGGTACTAAGAGCAATCAATCTGGCTCCAGATAAGGCATGAAGCAGAGGAAGAGCAAATGCTTAACTCAGGGGCACAGGGTTAGGGAGGGAGCTCACCCTTGGCAAAAGAGGTGCCTAAACTGGGTTAGTGGCACAGTCATGTTCCAAAGCCCATCAAATGAAGTTCTGAGACTTTGGATGAAGCTTACCCACCTTGGAAGAAGTAAACCTGACAGAGGGAAAGAATGCAGGGTTTTAAGTGGGTGCAGATGGAGGAGCTGACCCAGGAGGAATAAGAGAAGACTTCCTGGAGGAAGGGGTGGCCACATTGAGTGGTAGCCACGTATGTGAAAGTGGAGGAAAAGAGAAAAGAATTCCCAGCAGAGAAGACAAGAAACAAAGACATGCATGTGTCAAAACATCACAAAATGGGGAGAAAACTATAGTTGGATATAACTTGAGTGTTAAACTTGAAGCAAGAAGTGGCCATTAATAAGCCAATAGCTGATAATAGCTAACTTCTACTGAATGCCTAGCACATTCCAGATTTTCTCAGTTTTACATATAGTATTCATTCATTCATTTCACAAATAGATATTGAGCACTACAGGGATGGCTGCATGATGTGAGGGTGAAAAGTTTCAATGCACATTGAAAATGTGGGGCCTCTAGTTCAAAAGCAGGAAAAAGCTTTTTACCTCCTTCCACGGTCCCTCTCCACTAGTCATGGTATTTTTTATTTGCTATTTAATATTGTATTCCTGAAGCACAGGGATACTGGCAGGGCAAGTACAGACCCTCACAGGCACCCACTGCCCTGCCCTGAGACTTCGATCATAGGCCACACATATGCCCAACTCTGACCCTCCTCATGTCCATGCCCAAGTCCCCTCTGAGGCATAAGGTGGCAGTTGCTGAGAAGGAATGGAAGAGGAGGTAGGTGAGAACCCATCTGGAAGAGGTGAAGGACAACAGAGGCAAAATCACATGCGAATTGGAGCACGAAGCCCGTGAAGCATGCTCCAGTGTCCAGTCGGACTCACTTACAAAACACAGATGTAAAGATCAAATTATTAAGAATTTCAAGATGGCAACCACACAGCATTAAACTCCAAGTGCAGGGCCCCCTCTCTGAGCATGGGCCCCATGCACCTGCACTGGTTGCATGCCCTTGAACCTATCACTGGAGTACCGCCATGTGTTAAGTTCTGCTCTGGACTCTAAGGTACAGCAGTGAACAAGACAAAAACATCCTGCTGTCTTGCAGCTTACATTCAAGTGGGGAGAGAAAACCAACCAAATTAGCAAGGCAAATATATGGTATATTTAAGGGTCATAAGTAAAATGGATGAAAATGATGCAAGAAGAGAGTATAGTGGTACTGGAGAAGGTGCAGTTTTTAAGATAGATGTCTAGAATAGGCTCATTGAGAAGATGACTCTTGAACAAAGATTTGAAGGAAGTGAGAAAATAAGCCAAGAGCATAGGTGGGGAAGACTGTTCCAAGCAGATAAAAGAGCAAATGCGAAGGCCCTGAGTCAAGAGTGTGCTTGCCTTGTTCAAGGAAGGCGGTATAGATAGAATGGGACAAGTGAAGTGCAAGAGATGCAATCAGAGAAGAAGCAGAGGTACAGATCATGTAGGGCCCTAAAGGTCATTTTAGGGACTTGGGCATCTCTGAGTGAGATGAGAACCTGTGGAGAGTTTTAAGGGGGAAGTACTATAACTGGACATATTTTAAAAGAGTTACTCTGGCTGCTATGTGAAGAAGGGATGACTGAGCTGAGTGTCAAATTTTGAATGGTAGCAATGCAAGTGAAAGTGGAGGATGAGGACAGGAGAAATAGCATGCAACTGGAGAGTATTGCAATAATCCTGGTGAGAGATGATAGAGATTTAGACCAGAGTGGCATCAGTGGCAGATGTGAGAAGTGATCTGATCTTTGCATGTACTATATTTTGGGGGGGCCTTTTTTATTTTTGTTTGTTTGTTTTTGAGATGGAGTCTTGCTCTGTCACCCAGGCTGGAGTACAGTGGCATGATCTTGGCTCACTGTAACCTCTGCTGCCTGGCTTCAAGCAATTCTCCTGCCTTAGCCTCCCGAGTAGCTGGGATTACAGGTGTGCACCACCGCACACGGCTAATTTTTGTATTTTTAGTGGAGATGGAATTTCATCATGTTGGCCAGGCTGGTCTCAATCTCCTGACCTTAAGTGACCTCAGCCTCCCAAAGTGCTAGGATTACAGGCCTCAGCTACCACACCCAGCCCCATGTATTGTATTTTGAATCAATACATTTTCCCCAAAATTAGATATGGGATAAGAGAGGAAAAGAGGACTCAAAAGTTACTCCAGAAATTCTGGCCAGAGCAATTGGAAGAATGTTGTCATTAACTAAAATGACGAAGAATGTGGATGAAGCTGGTTTTAGGAGAAAACTGGGAATTAGATTTCAGACAGGTTGGGTTTGAAATGCCTGTTACACTCCAAACACAGATATAAAGTAGACAGTTGCATGTGAGTCTGAAGTTTGGAGGTGAGGCATAGACTGGAGATAGAAATATGTGAGTATTTAGTATAAAAATGGCATTTTTAAAACAATGAGACCGAATGAGATCTCCAAGGATCCAAGTGTATATACAGAGAAGAAGTTTAAAGACAGCCCTGGGGTACTCCAACATAAGAGTTTAAGATAAGGATGAACCAGCAAAGGAGACTGAAATGGTGAGGTCAATGAGATGAGAGAAAACCGAAAGGATGTGGTGTCTTCAAAGCCAAGTAAAGTCAGTGTTTCAAGAAGAGATTGATCCTCAGTGCTAAATGCTGCTGATGCATCATTATGAGGAATGAACCACAGTAGGTTCAGTGGTGTTGTGGGAGTGAAATCCTGGCTAAAGTAGATTTAAAAGAAAGTGAAACTGAACCAATTCATTATTTTGAAAATTAGCAAGTAAATGGGAAAAAAAAACTCCAAATATCTATCCTCTTTTTCCTCAAGGTAACCAGAGTTAATGAGGAGAAGTTTCATGTAGATGTATTCAGCCAGCAAATAATGAAGGAATGAGGGCCTACTGCAGTAGCTCATGCCTGTAATGTCAGCAGCTTGGAAGCCCAGGAATTCAAGACCAGCCTGGGCAACCTGGTGAAACCCCATCTCTACAAAAAATACAAAAATTAGCTGGCGATGGTGGTGCACCCATAGTCCCAGTTACTTAGGAGGCTGAGGTAGGAGGATCACCTGAGCCTAGGAGGGTAAGTCAGCCGTGAGCCATGTTCATGCCACTACACTCCAGCCTGGGCAACAAAGTGAGACCCTGTCTCAAAAAAAAAAAAAGAAGGAATAATAGAATATCATCATTTTTGCAACTCCTGATGAATGAATGGATCTTGACAATGCTCACCAATGGCACTATAAAAAGAAATATGTACTTCCAAATAACAAAGAGCCTGAATCTAATTAAGCCTCTAGTTCTATCAATTTATAAAAACCACAGGGAGAGAGGAACCCATTTAGCAACACCACAGGGATGCAACAGGAAAATCCAGTCTGGGGGAAAATCTACAGGAAAAAATGGTCTTGTTTCTTCAACAAAAACATGGCAAAAATGAAAAAAAGGGTGGAGAGAGAAACCTCTAAATTAAACGAGATTTAAAGGTAAATCAACAAATTACAATGAATGATTCTTATTTATAGCTTGATTCAAACAAACAACACTGAAAAAAATCCTGACATTTGAAATAATTGAAAATTTGGACAATGACTGGATTCTTGATTATATCAAAGAATTACTGAGGCTGGGCACAGTGCCTCCCACCTGTAATCCCAGTACTTTGTGAGACTGAAACAGGAAGATTACTTGAACCCAAGAGTTCGAGACCAGCCCAGGCAACATAGGGAGACCTCCATCTCTACAAAAAAAACATTTTAAAATTAACAGGGCCTGGTGGTGTGTGCCTGTAATCCCAGCTATTTGGGAGGTTGAGGTGGGAGGACTGCTTGAACCCAGGAAGTTAAGATTGCAGTAAGTCATGATCATACCACTGTACTCCAGACTAGGTGACAGAGTAAGATTCCATTACTACAAAAAATAGGGGAAAAAATTACTGTTATTTTTTGGATATGATACAGTGTGAGGTTTTTTTTGTAAAAGAGCTCCTATCTTTTAGAAGTACATATTGAAAATTCTACAGATGAAACTATATGCCTGAGATTTGTTGCAGAATAATCCAGGAGAAGAGGTGAGACATAAAACATTAGCCATAAACTGATAAGTACTGAAAATCTGGTGATGCGTACATGAGAATATACTAAGTCTTTTTCTCTTTGACATATGTTTTTTTGTTTGTTTTTGAGACAGTCTCACTCTGTCACCCAGGCTGGAGTGCAGTGGTGCGATCTCAGCTCACTGCAACCTCCGCCTTCTGAGTTTGAGCAATTCTCCTGCCTCCGCCTCCCAGGTAGCTGGTATTACAGGCACATGCCACCACACCTGACTAATTTTTGTATTTTTAGTAGAGATGGGGTTTCACCATGTTGGCCAGGCTGGTCTCAAACTCCTGACCTCAGATGATCTGCCCGCCTCAGCCTCCCAAAGTGCTGGGATTATAGGCATAAGCCACTGCGCCTGGCCTTCATGTATGTTTGAATCTTTCTATAATAAAAAGTTTTAAAAATCCTTTCAAAGAGTTTTGCTGTAAAGGAGATAAAAGAAATGAGGCAGTAGCTGGTACTATGTAATCCTCAAGAACAACTCTTTGAAGAAGGTATCATTACTATCATTCCCATTCTACAGTTATGAAGTCTAAGTTAAGTGACTTGTGCAGGGATGCACAGTAATGACAGAGCTGGGATAAAAAACCAGGTAGTTTGTCTTTGGAGCTCTCGCTCTTAACCACTGTACTATGCTCAGTACGTTAAATGTGGGGAAATAACATGGTCAGCTTTGCATTTGGGATCACTTTGAAAGACTTGCAGACGACAAAATTGGAGGCAAGGGGACCAGCGAGGAGTCTACTGCAATAGTCTAGGCAGGAGATGATGGTCACCTCCACCAGGGAAGTGGCAGTAGAAATGAGAAAAGTGGAAGAATTGCAAAGATATATGGAGGTAACACCGACGAGGAGAGCTTGGCAAGGCTAGAAGAACAAGAATGCGGAAAGGGTCAGTTATGGATGTCTGATTTACAGCTTGGGTCAGTGAAATAGCTGAGACAGATAGGACAAAAGGAAAACTAGAGTGAGGTAAGAAATGAGTTCATTTGGGACATATTCAGTGCTGCCTGTGCTCCCTATTGGGGAAAATATCAGAATTGAAGTCACCTCCATTTATTGGCAGAGTTAGCTTCACCTTGTTAGTAACTACAAATGATGGGTTCCTGGTTGAGGAAGAAGGTAAGCATGATTTTCACTGATGCCCCTCTCAGGCAGAGCAAAGGCCATGAAGTTAATGTTGTGCCTCCAGATTCTGGCCTAAATACCTCCTTCCTGAGTCGATTTCCTAGGGCCACCCTCCTTTCCAACAAATAGACATGGTTCTACCAAGGTCTTGGCTTCAGCCCTAGGAAAATTGCACATGGTAAAAGGAAAAAGCTTGTAAGTTAGACATATTTCATATACAGAGGTTGCAGTTTAAGGAGGATGATGACCACTTACTAGTTGTGGAACACTGGATAAATTTGCTTAACTTTTCTGAGTTTTGTTTCCCCTAATTATTTATTTATTTATTTATTTATTTGAGATAAGGTCTTGCTCTGTCACCCAGGCTGGAGTGCAGTGGTGCAAACATGGCTCACTGCAGCCTCAACCTCCTGGGCTCAAGTGATCATCCTGCCTCAGCCTCCTGAGTAGCTGGGACTACAGGTGCACACCACCATACCTGGCTAATTTTTAAAAATTTTGTAGAGATGGGAGTCTCACCATGTTGTTTGGCTGATCTCAAACTCCTGGATTCAAGCAGTTCTCCCGCTTCAGCTGCCTAAAGTGCTGGGATTACAGGTGTGAGCCACTGCACCTGGCCAGTTTCCCAGTTTAAGATGAGAATAGTGGCTGGGCACAGTGGCTCATTCCTGTAATTCCAGCACTTTGGGAGGCTGAGGCAGGCAGATCACTTGAGATCAGGAGTTCCAGACCAACCCGGCCAACATGGTGAAACCAAGTCTCTACTAAAAATACAAAAATTAGTTGGGCATGGTGACGGGTGGCTGTAATCCCAGCTGCTCAGTAGGCTAAGGCAGGAGAATCACTTGAACCCAGGAGGTGGAGGTTTCAGTGAGCCGGGATTGCACCACTGCACTCCAGCCTGGGTGACAAAGCAAGACTCATCTCAAAATAAATAAATAAATAAATAAATAAATAAATAAATAAATAAATAAATAAAATTGAGGATAGTGGACTGGGTTTGGTGGCTCATGCCTGTAATCTCAGCACTTTGAGAGGCTGAGGTGGGAGGATCGCTTGAGACCAGAAGTTCAAGGCCACAGTGAGCTATGCGCTCCAGCCTGAGTGGCAGAGTGAGAACCTGTCAAAAAAAAAAAAAGAAGAAGAAAAAGAAGAAGAAGAACCTGTATCTTAAAATTAAAATGAATTATTGGAAGTAAAGAGTCTAACACAGGCAGCTGGGTGCTCAGAAAATGCCAATTTTATACCTCATTCCCTCTGTGAGATTCTTGGGATGTGATATCTGCAATTCCTTGTGGTGTTTGTGAGTCATATTCTACGTCTGGGCAGAGCAAGGACAGCAGGCTTTGATGGCCTTACCTGATTCGAGTGCATTCCATCCTGATCTATGAATACCCTAAACCCCATTTGAAGTACATAAATTCACAAGGTAAGACTCTCCCAGGACTCCAAGATTGCTTGATGCACTGTTGCTCCCTGTAGCCTCACAGTGGCAACCTGCTGGGGTCATCAGCACCACGTGTATGGACAGCTCCTCCTCCAGGACTTCCTTAACTCTTAATTCCAGAACCTGGCCTCTGCCCATGGTTCTGATCAAGATTTCCCTTCCTTTCTTGCCCTTCTTGCCATAGCTTCAAGTACTCAGGCCAGAGTCCATAGGCTTGGCATACCAGAAGGTACCTGAAGGCATCTGATTCCAAAACAAATCAGGTTAGACAAGCCTGCTCAGGTAAATACATTTTCTAAACCTGTATCACCACTTTTTGGGAAAGGCTTCATTGTTATCTATTGAGGCTGGTTCTGACATAAAGCTTATGTTTTGAAAACAGTATAACTTTTTAAAGTTTTTTAATGAGCCCCTTCTGGGTTGAAATTAATGTCTTTTATAGTTGCATTCTCCCTGGCTTTATTTTCCATGTCTTAGGAAAATGCTTATGTAGCTGCCTCAGCTTTTCACAAATTATCAAGGGAATTAGGGCACATTTTGGGGAGCTTGTTCTTTGGCCTTATTTTGAGAACATGTCACTTAAATAATTCTCTCTCTTCTCCCCAAGACAGGCGTGGACTATGGGAGGAGTCCCATAACTGTTGCCATGGGGAGTAGCTTTTGCTTTATTTAAGAGAACTAAACTGAAGCATACTTACATTAGCAAATGGAGCAGATTCTCAAATTTTAACATAAAGCCAAAGTGTGTGTGTGTGTCTGTGTGTGTGTGTGTGTGTGTGTATGTATATACATATATATACATATATATAGAAAGAGAGAGAGAGAATGAGAGAGAGAGTGAGAGAGAGAGAGAGAGAGAGGATCTCACTCTGTCACCCAGGCTGGAGTGTAGTGATGCCATCTTGGCTCACTACAATCTCTGCTTCCCAGGTTCAAGTGATTCTCCTGCCTCAGCCTCCTGAGTAGCTGGGATTACAGGTGTGCACCACCATGCCCGGCTAATTTTTGTATTTTTTTTTTTTTTTTGGTAGAGACGTGGTTTCACCATGTTGGCCAGGCTGGTCTCAAACTCCTGACCTCAAGTGATCTGCCTGCCTCAGTCCCCCAAACTGCTGGCGTTACAGGCATGAGCCATGGTGCCGGGCCATACATTCTTAAATTGGGGTCTTTCTTCTCTAAATTGGGTTGTGGGCTGACATAGGTACTCTGGTATTAGGACACCTGGAGGAAAAGTCCCAATTAAGAGTTCCTGGCTGGGTGCTGTGGCTCACACCAGTAATCCCAGCACTTTGGGAGGCCAAGGCGGGTGGATCATGAGGTCAGGAGATCAAGACCATCCTGGCTAACACGGTGAAACCCCGTCTCTACTAAAAAAAATACAAAAAAATTAGCTGGGTGTGGTGGCGGGCACCTGTAGTCCCAGCTACTTGGGAGGCTGAGGCAGGAGAATGATGTGAACCTGGGAGGTAGAGCTTGCAGTGAGCCGAGATCGCGCCACTGCACTCCAGCCTGGGCAACAGAGTAAGACTCCGTCTCAAAAAAAAAAAAAAAAAAAAGAGTTCCTACGAGTACTGAACTGACCCTACTTCTGGAAGGCAAGAAAATGAGCCAGGATTTACCATATAACAATCATGTACACAAATCTCGAGTTGCAAATCTTTACACATGCTATCTCAAGGAGTTGTCACAGCAACTCTGGGAGGTAGGTGTTACTATCACTGTTTCACAGATGAGAAGCTGAAGTTTGAGGAGGGGTCACAACTTACTTAAGACCACTCAGTTTGCAAGTGGCAGAGGAAAGATTTATGCTCAGGTCAGTTTTGACACCAGACTATAGTGTTAAGCCACTGTCTGTGACATCAGAAACTCCAGTAGGACAAAAGGCTCTGATGGCATGATAGGGATTGAGTGTGGGGCATGAAGTTGCTGATTCCAGAATGAATGTGGGAGGTTCCAGAGAATCCTCCACATCTGTGAACCAATGCCTCTCTAAAGTTGTCTTAGAGGCACAGGCTGGTGCTAGGACAGCTGCATTAGAATCATCTGGTGGGCATGTGAAGAACGCAAAGAGCTGGATTCCATTCCCAAAGAGTATAATCCAGTAGCTGATATGTTTTGGATGTTTGTCCCCTCCTAGTCTCATGTTGAAACGTGATTCCCAATGTTCACAGGGCCTAGTGGGAGGTGATTGGATCATGGAGGCAGATCCCTCATAAATGAAGTATCATCCCCTTGGTGATAAGTGAGTTCTCGCTGAGTTCATGTGAGAGCTGGTTGTTTAAAAGAGTGTGACACCTCTTCCCTCTCTCTTTCTTGCTCCTGCTTTCGCCATGCGATGCACCTGCTTCCCCTTTTTCTTCCATCATAATTGGAAGTTTCCTGAGGCCCTCACCAGAAGCAGATTCTGGCAGTGTGCTTCCTGTAAAGCCTGCAGAACCATGAATCAATGAAACCTCTTTTCTTTATAAATTATCCAGCCTCAGATACTCCTTTATAGCTATACAAATGGACTAACACAGCAGGAGTGTAATCAAGCCCAGGAACATGAACATTAAAAAATGTCTAAGTGATTCTGATGCATAGATAGATTTAGGAACCACCACTGCCCTTGGCAACATTTATAATCCTCAGGGTTCCTCCTTCTCCCTTTAGTTGTAACATAATCCCCAGGGATTCAGAGCCAAGACATAGTTCTGAAGGAGGAGCTATAGTTACCATAGAAGTGATCACACATGCGCCATTGCACTCCAGCCTGGGCAACAAGAGTGAAACTCTGTCTCAAAGCAAAAAAAAAAAGTGATCACACAGACTCAGACTGGTTAGAACAGAGTGATTGTCAATCAGAAGCAGTGGTGGCATGTGTCAGTACCAAGGACACTTTCTCAACCTCAGTGCACTCACCTCAGTGGAGAACAACTGCATTAGGAGTGTTTGGTTATCCTAGAAATGAGCTTATTGGGGCATAAGAGATAACTGTTTGCTCAGGGATCAATGTTAATCACTTCTGCATTATTACAGAGAAGCCACTGCTTTCTTCATCATATGGCACATCTTCCAGGAGGACTATCTACAGGAATGTCTCATGTGTTTTGCCCATTACAACTAAAGGGAGTTTGCACTTGGGGGTTCTCGTTAGACTTTTCTGGTTAGACATCTGATGCTTCCTTCTTTGGGTTTTGAGTGGTCTGGGACATGTCAATAGCTTCCTGCACACCAAAGGAGGTCCGAGATCAAATGGCCTTGGGTATAAAAGTACATCCATGTGCTGTGTGGGTGGTGGGAACTATGGTGAACTGCCCAAGAGAGATGCTACTTCTCAGTTTCAGTCTATCCCTGCCATGCAGAAATGCAGGATCAGTATTACCAGAGCTTCCGATATGAGAGATAGAGAAGGAGACAAGGAGAGGGAGGTGGAGAGAGAGAGAGAGGCATAGACAGAGAAGAGAGAGCAGATACTGGGATTTCTAAATATTGGCTCAGATGAAAGTTAAAAAAATATGTGGGCCACACAAAATATTTCTGTAGGCCACATCTGGCTATGTCTGCCAAAGAAATAAGTTCCATTTTGGAAGCTGCAATTCCAAAGCACCATGCTTAGTCACCATGCTATGTTGATTTGGCCACCTCTCAGGGTGAACCTCTTAGTGTGGTCTTTGCTTTTAGGGAGAGAAACTGAGGGAGAAAGGTGGGACAGAACCATTTCTTACTGTCACCAACAGGCTCTGGTAGATTGCTCTAAAGCAACTTACTGACACACTGACAGATTTAAATTTCCACTGCTGAAAACCACTCATATCTTACTGTTGTCCAAACCCAAAGAATCAAATGGCCAACTCAATGCTGTTAGAATTTTAATAGTAATACTGGTTCCTCTTCCTCTTATCTTCCAAATCTCCCATGGAAAAATGATCATCTCCATTGACAAGCACCGCCATCTGCAATTGGAGTAATCTGAAGCTGGCATTGTACTCTGCTTATCTCATCAACCCAGATTCCAAGGAGTTGAGGGATTTGATCATTTATGAAGGGGATTCGACCTGCATTTCTACCCTCTACCACCACAAAGTAAATTGTGAAATCATTCACCCTTTTCTTCACTTCTAAATCCCTGTAGTGTCCATCTTTCCTGTTGCAAAGAAGTAGTAGAGGGGCAGAATCAGTCTGCAAGTGACAAATATTCTTTTTGCCTTGCAGCTCCTACTTCCACCAGTTCTCTTCTTTCCCACTCTCTGGTGGGTGAGAACTCTGGTGGGTAAATGTCTTTCCTGAGAAAGAAAGCCTCAACTAAGTGGGTGGTTCTGAAACAAAAATAGTGGCAAAGACTTGGCTGATGGAGAAGTATCCAAGGCAGTTTTGTGGGATCTTCCTGTCCCTTCAAAAGCAACTGGGCTCTGGATTCATATGTTAAAGGGACAGTTACCTTGGTAAGCATCTCTGTGTGTCAGATTCCTGCCCAGAGCCAGTAGCCCCTTTGAAGTATATGATAGTTATCACAAGGATGGAAATGGAGAAAGGTTTTCAGAATCACAGCAGAGATAATCTAAAATATTCATGCTTGTCCACTCCACCCACCCCAATCCTCTGGTCTGTCAGAATTAGCTTGGGGTAGGATTTTAATCATATAAAGTTCAGAAAATCTCCGTAGATGATTTTACTTCACTTGATTTAGTCCTAATTGAAAGCTACTGAACAGAGAATTATCCAGCCATTTGAGTTACTTTGGGAGTATTGTGGCTACATGGAGTCTATAAATGAGGTGCCCATTAAAAAACACACACACACACACACACCCCATGGGCCTTAAATAAGATGTGGATGGGATTAGACATATGCTTAGTCACCTGAAGGAGACGGGGCAGCTCCTAGGCATAACTGAAGATATTACCAAACCTAAAGAATGTGCCAAATTGAATGGATGGATAGTGCAGAGGAAAGAGAAGGTTGGTCAGTCAAGAGAACATAGACGAAGGGAAGCCACTGAAGCAAGGACTGGTAGTGCCCATCCCTGAGGGAGCCTCAGCAATTAGACCTTAAGTATCATGAACCATTGGCAAAACCATCACTATCACAAGAAGGATGAGTCAGGCCACCCGAGGCTGATGTCAGTAGGCATCAATCAACCTAATATCCCTGGTGCTAATTCCTTGCTTCTTCAAACAACCTTCTGGCCCCCTCTCTTAAAGGAAGAGAAAACACTCGTCTATATTTCTGGTCCCCAAGAAAGCAGTCTTTCATGGTGAATAGCTTTTGATTAATCATGATTTGGCATCCCATAAAGCTTGATTCCAAGTCCCTGCTTGATATGGCCTAAGCTTACTCTTCAACCTCATCTTAAACCACTAATGGTGAAATGATAGAATCTTCTTAAAAGGACTTTTTGTTTGTTTTGTTTTGTTTTGTATTTGTTTTTGTTTTTGTTTTTGAGAGGGAATCTCACTCTGTCTCCCAGGCTGGAGTGCAGTGGAGTAATCTTGGCTCATTGCAACCTCTGCCCCCTAAGCTCAACGGTTCCTCCTACCTCAGTCTCCAAAGTAGCTGGGACCACAGATGCACGCCACCATGCCCAGCTAAGTTTTTATATTTTTGGTAGAGACAAGGTTTCACCATGTTGCCCGGGCTGGTCTCAAACTTCCGAGCTCAAGCAATCCACCCACCTTGGCCTTCCAAAGGTTACAGGTGTGAGCCACCACCCCAGACCTTCAAGGGCTTTTTTTTTTTAAGGTGAAATTCTCATACATAAAATTAACCATTTTAAAGCGAACAATTTAGTGACATGTATCACATTCACAATGTGGGGCAACCACCACCTCTATCTTCCAAAACATTGTCATCACCCCAAAAGGAAATCCCTTAGCCATTAAGCAGTTGCTCCCTATTCTCTCCTGCCCCCAGCCTCTAGCAAACATCAATCTTCATTCTATCTCTTTGGATTTTCCTATTGTGAATATTTCATGTAAATGGAATCATGCAATAGATGACCTTTTGTGTCTGGCTCCTTTCATTTAGCACAATGTTTTCAAGGGTCATCCACATTGTAGTGTTTATCCGTACTTCATTTCTTTTCATGGCTGAATAACATTCCATTGTATGGATATGCCATAATTTGTTTATACATTCATCCATTGATGGATATTTGGGCTGTTTCCACCTTTCAGCCATTGTAAATAGTGTTGTTGTGAACATGGATGTACATGTCTTTGAGTAGCAGACAAATACAGTCCTCATTTATACACTTCTTGGAATTGCTGGGTCATATGATAATTCTGTATTTAACATTTTAAGGAACCAACAAACTGTTTTCCACCATGGCTGAACCATTTTACATTCCCACCAGCGATATAAGAGGGTTCCAATTACTTCACATCCTGATCAACACTTACTATTATCTATCTTTTCTTAATTATAGCCCTCTTAGTAGGTGTCATGCCCTAATAACTAATGATGCTTAGTATTTTTATGTGCTTGTTGGCCATTTGTACATTCTCTTTGGAGAAATGTCTATTCAAGTTTTTTCCCATTTAAAAAAAATAATTATTTATTCTTAGAGCCTGGATCTTGCAATATTACCTGGTCTACACTTGAACTCCTAGGCTGAAGCAATTCTTCTCCTGAGTAGCTGGGGCTACAAGCACATGCGACCCTGCCCTGCACTTTTTGCCAACTTTAAAGTTGGGTTGTTTGTCTTTTTATTGTTGAGTTGTAAGAGTTCTTTATAGTCCAGATAGTAGACCCTTACCAAATATATAATTTACAAATATTTTTGACCATTCTGTAAGTTGTCATTTTACTTTCTAAAACTATCCTTTGAGGCACAAAATTTATTTGTTTATTGCTCATACTTTTGGTGTTCTATGTAAGAATTCATTGCCAAATCCGAGATCATGAAGATTTATCTTTGTTTTCTTCTAAGAGTTCTGTGGTTTTAACTCTTGTATTTATGTCATTAATGCATTTTAAGGTAATTTTTGCTTATGGTATGAAGTAGGTATCCAACTTAATTTTTTTGTATGTGGTTATCCAATTGTCCCAGCACCATTTGTTGAAGAGATTATTCTTTCTATATTGCATGGACTTGGTGTCCTTGTCAAAAATCAGCACCATAAACGTGTGAGTTTATTTCTGGACTTTCAATTCTCTTCTATATCTCTATCCTTATGCCAGTACCATACAGTTTTAATTAGTGTACCTTTGTAGTAAGTTTTGAAATTGGGAAGTATAACTCTTCCAACATTGTTCTTTTCCTTCAATATCATTTTGACTATTTGAGGTCCTTTGCAATTACATTTTAATCTGAGGATTGGCTTTTCCATTTCTGCAAAAAAGTCTTTAAAATTATGATAGGGATTGCATTGAGTATGTAAATCACTTCGGGCTTTACTGCCATCTAAATAATATTAAGTCTCCAACCTATGAACAAGGAATGTCTTTCCGTTTCTATAGGTCTTCCTTAAATTTTTTCAGCAATGCTTTTATAGTTTTCAGTGTACAAGTCTTTCATCACCTTGGTTAAACTTATTCCTGGGCATTATATATCTGGGGAGAATGCTAAAAAGGATCATTCTTACTGGTGTGCAGAGAAGAGTCCTCACAGGAGAAAGGTTAAAAGCAGCAAGATGCATTGTATATTCCTGGTGAGAGATGATGATGCCTTGGGCAATAGGGTAGTCTCAGGAATGGCAAGAAGAGGTTGAATTCAGGATAACTTTGGAAGGTACAGCCAAAAGACAAGATTGACTGAGATATGGGAAAATTCTGAGTCAAGGATCACTTCAAGGTTTTTGACCTAAGTAATTGGTGAATGATGGTGTCATTTACTGAGATGGAGAACACTGGACAAGGCACAAGGGAAAAAAGAACTTAATTTGGACAAATCGAGTTTGAATTGTCTGTTAGAGATGGTTATTGTTTACCACAATTTATAATTGCATATCCATTTGTTTATTTGTTTATTGTTATTATTTATAGTTTCAATGGCTAGAAATGTTTACTTTATTAACTGTTGTGTCCCTCAGTAGACAGCAAACTCCATGAGGGTAAGAACCAAATCTGTCTATTAACTGTTGTATCCTCATGCCTAACACAATGCCTGGCACATAGTAAGTTATCACTAAATATTTTTTAACAAATCAAAATGCAAGGCCAGCCAGACATAGTGGGTGTGTCTGTAGTCCCAGCTACTCAGGAGGCTGAGATGGGAGGATCATCTGAGCCTGGGAGGTCAAGGCTGCCAAGATTATGCCACTGCAGTCCAGCCTGGGCAACAGAGTGAGAACCTGAAAAAAAAAAAAAAGCCAGGCCAGGTCCAGGTGGTTTTTCCTATATTCCTGATTTATAATATTACCTTCAGGTGTACATCCTTGTTCTTTACTTACTACTGCATTTCCAGTACTTTTTATTTTTGTAAGAAGTGAGGTTCCTTTATTCAAAATTTGACAAATCATGAAATGCCTCTCACCCCATCTCCTTACTCCTTACACTTTACCTTTCCATCCATGTAATCTCTGGCACAATGTCATGACTTAACAAATGCCAAGAAATGTAAGAAGAAAAGACCTAGTACTTCTCAATAACAATAGCTAATATGTATTGAGTGCCAATTATGTGTCAGGCACGGTGTAAAATGCTCTGTATCATCTCATCCAATGTTTCTAACAAATGTATCAGCACAAAGCCTGAAGCGTTGTTGCATCTTTTCAGTTTTAGGGTCATATTCTTTGGAATATGAGTTTGTCCGTGTAGCCAAAGGGAACAGTTGAGATGGGTACATTAATTTACCTAAGTGAGTATATATAAATGTCATTTTTTAAAAAGATGCTGGCTACGCCAGCATAAATAAAGCCTTGGAGAATCTTGCAACTGGGCAAATGAGTAAATTTAAGGTATTCATTTCAAAAAAAATCCATCAGGCACAGCCTGGGCAACATGGCGAAAACTGCCTCTACAAAAAATACAAAAATTAACCAGGTGTGGTGGTGCCCACCTGTGGTCCCAGCTATTCGAGAGGCTGAGGTGGGAGAATCAGCTGAGCCCAGAAAGCCAAGGCTGCAGTGAGCTCTGATTAATCACGCCACTGCACTCCAGCCTGGACAACACAGTGAGACTGTCTTAAGAAAAAAAAAATCTAAGCATGGTGGCTCACACCTACAATCCCAGCACTTTGGAAGTCGATATGAGAGAATCGCTTGAGCCCAGGAGTTGGAGGCTGCAGCGAGCTATGATTGCACCACTGCACTCCAGCCTGGGCAACAGAGTAAAACCCTGCCTCAAAAAAAAAAAAAAATCCCAAATTGAGAGACATTCTACAACATACCAGTACCACTTAAAATCTTTAAGGTCATCAAGGACAGGAAAAGTCTGGGAGTGTCACAGATCAGAGGAGGCTAAAGTGACATAACAACTAAATGTAATGTGATATCCTGCCTGGGATCCTGGAACCAAAAAGGGACACTTTTAAAAACAGTGAAATTGGATAGAGTGTGGAGTTTAGTTAATATTAATATACCAGGGTGCATTGGCTCGTGCCTGTAGTACCAGCTACTTGAGAGGTTGAGGCAGGAGAATCGCTTGAGTCCAGGAGTTTGAAGCCATCCTGGGCAACATAGCAAGACCCTGTTTCTGAAAAAAAAAGAAAAGAAAAGAAAAAAAATATATATATATATATATAACAATGTACCAATGTTGGTTCTTTAGTTGTGACAAAAGTACCTCAGTAATGTAAGATGTTAGCAATAGGGGAAACTTTGTAAGCGGTATATGGGAACTCCATACTGTCTTTACAACGTTTTTGTTAATCTAAAACCATTCTAAAATAAAAAGCTTATGAGTAAAAAAGGGTACAGAGATTGGGGTCAGAGCAGAGATGACACATTTCAGATCTGTCATCCCATGCAGTGCCCCCAGTCGGACTTATCTATGTGGCCTCCCTCCAAGTCTATTCATCCTTTAAAGAGGCATATCCAAGATGTTGCCCTCTGCACAGTGCTGCGTATCCAGGTCTCCATAACAGCTCTGGGGAACTTCACTGCTTCAGCGTCATCCCAAGGAGAAACCTTTGGGAGGGAAGCAGACATGGGTGTGATTTCAGACACAAACACTTGAAACCTGGAGTGGAAGTTCAGTCTCTTAGAATTTTTTATTGGCAAGGACCTTAGGTGTTTGTCTCATTTTTGTAGATCAGGACACTGGGAGGCTCCCTTTTCTCCTTAGCCATGGCTGGAGGCCAAGTCCAGCCCTCAAGGATCATTGTCAGGACCAACACAAGCTGGACAGCCTTGTTTTCCTACCTCAGATGGGAAAAAGAAAAGAAACTTGGACCCAGTAAAAATGAGTAATTTATTTAAAGGCCAGTTAGGGCCAGTCATGGTGACTCAAACCTGTAATCCCAGCACTTCGGGAAGCTGAGGTAAGAGGACTGCTTGAGCCCAGAAGTTCAAAACCAGCCTGGGCAACATAGTGAGACCCTGTCTCTACAAAAAATAAAAAATTAGCCAGGTGTGGTGGTACATGCCTGTACTCCTAGCTGCTCAGGAGGCTGAGGCTGGAGGATCGCTTGGAGCCCAAAAGGCCAAGGCTATAGTAAGCCATGGTCATACCACTGCACTCCAGCCTGGGCAGCAGAGTGAGAACCTGTCTCAAAATAAAATAAAACAGGCCAGTTAGTAGCTTCAGACATATTTCTCAACAATGTTAGTTTTTTTCAATGTTAATGAAATATCCTCCCCTGCCTTTTAATGGATTCTGACTCAAAACCCTAATACATAGAACAGATAGGAAGTGAGCTGTTCTGGCTAAGGAAAGAGGTGGGAGCCTCAGTTCTAGCTACATATTTACGTTTTACTACCTTCCAATAGGTTAGTGAAAGGATTCCATAGGGTTCCGAAGAGTTCTATAGGATTTCTATGGAACCCTTGGAAGCAGAGTTTAAAATCTGTATCACTTTAAGGCTGCATATTATTCCAGTATGGGGTTATTCTGTAATTTACATAACCAGTCCCCTATTGCTGGCCACTTTATTCAGTCAAACTTTCAATTTTATGAACATTCATCTCTGCACTTATTTCTATTTTATCATGATATGGAATTTTTGGGTCAAAGGTATTTTAATGCTTTTAAGACATATTAACAAATCACTCTCCAAAATGGCTATAAGAATTTACAGTCCCAGCCGCAGTATATTCATGAGTGGCTGATTTCCCTATAAAAAAATCAACACCGGATTTTAACAGTATTTTTCATTTGGCCAATCTGATACAGAAAAAATGGAATCTAAGTATTGTTCAAATTTGCATGTCTTTGATCACTACTACGGCTAAACTTTTGGGGTGAATTTTACTGGCTATTTAAATATTTTCATTTGTGTTCTTTGCCCATTTCTTTCTATTTGGATTTTTGTTGTTGTTATTGTTTTATAAAATTTCTTCAAAAATTAAGACTAAACCTTTTTATTGTTTGTTTTTTTTGAGACAGGATCTTGCTCTGTCACCCAGGCTGGAGTGTGGTGGTGTCATCATAGCTCACTGCAGCCTTGAACTCCTGGGCTCAAGCCATCCTCCAGCCTTAGCCTCCTTATTAGCTGGTACTACAGGTATGCACCACTACGCATGGCTATTTTTTTTTTTTTTTTAGACATACAGGGTCTCACTTTATTGTCCAGGCTGGTCTCAAACTGGGGCTAGGCTCAAGCGATCCTCCCACCTTGGCCTCCCAAAGTACTGGGGTTACAAGCATGAGCCATAGTGCCCAGCAACTCCTTATCTATAAGTAAAGATTTCTGAGTGTTAAATTTGCCTTTTGTTTATCATATAATTTTTAAATATTTATTTCAAATCTAGCAGTCTTTTTCTTTACAGTTTCTGCTGTAAGCTAATGTTTTTTAAATTATATTGAGAAATGTCTTCCCTACTCCAAACATTTTCTTTTAGTGGTAATTCCTCAGTTGTGTGAGTGTTAAGACTTCTTTAGTAAAAAATACCATAGTACACTGGTTAAGAGTAAAAGCTGTAGGATACAAAGTTTCAGTTAGACAAGAGGAAGGAGTTTTTGAGATCTATTGCACAGCATGGTGACTATAGTTAATAATACTGTGTTGCATGTTTCAAAATTGCTGAGAAAGTAAATTTCAAATGTTCTCACCCCAAAAAAATGATAAGTATATAAGGTGATGGATATGTTAATTAGCTTAATTTAATCATTCCACATCGAATACATATATCAAAACATCACATTGTACTCCATAAATATATATAATTATATTTTGTCAATTAAAAATAAATTTTTAAAAAGAATAAGCTACACCCACACACAAAAGTAAGTCACAGCTATTGGATTAGTTGGTCCTAGATTTGAGTACAAGTTCCCCTGACTTATTAGTCATGAGCCCTTGATCAACTTAAATTCTTTGAACCTGTTTACACATCTGAAAATAGAAATAAAATTAATAGTACCAACCTCATAGAATTGTCATGATGCTCAGATTAGTTAATGCTTATGACATACTTGGTATCAGGTCTGGCAAATAGTAAACAATAATATGAGTTATTACTTTTTTTTTTTTTTGAGATGGAGTCTTGCTCTGTCGCCAGGCTGGAGTGCAGTGGTGCCATCTCAGCTCACTGCAACCTCTGCCTCCCAGGTTCAAGCAATTCCCCTGCCTCAGCCTCCCGAGTAGCTGAGACTACAGGCTTGTGCCACCACGCCCAGCTAATTTTTTGTGTTTTAGTACAGACAGAGTTTCACCATGTTGGCCAGGATGGTCTCAATCTCCTGACCTCATGATCTGCCTGCCTCGGCCTCCCAAAGTGCTGGGATTACAGGCGTACTGAATTCATCTTTATTTATAATGGCATATGATATGATATAGGAATTTGAGTGTTCTTTTTTACCCCAGATCTTTAACCAATTTGTCTTAGCATTTTCTGAATAACTGGTCATTTCATAATTGATTAGAAAATGTCACTGTCATGAAATATACTTATATATACTTTTTTAAAAATAGGTGGACAGGAAGTAGGATTTACTGGTGGGCATCAGGAGGGGGCAGCACAGTGGAAGCCCTCACTAGAGCAGGGCCGGACACTTGTCCAGAGGACCACGACTGGGGATGTACTTGGCCCCACAGCCATGTAGGAGGAGCCACTTCTCAGCCACCGTATCTTCAAATTCATCCACCTTGGGCCCAGCGTGGTGGCTCACACCTGTAATCCCAGCACTTTGGGAGGCCAAGACGGACGGATTCCCTGAGCTCAGAAGTTCGAGACCAGACTGGGCAATATGGTGAAAACCCGTCTCTACTAAAATACAAAAAAAATTAGCTGGGGGTGGCGGCATACACCTGTAGTCCTAGCTATTTGGGAGGCTGAGGCAGGAGAATTGCTTGAACCTGGGAGGTGGAGGTTGCAGTGAGCTGAGATTGCGCCACTGCACTCCAGCCTGGGCAACAGAGCGAGCTCCATCTCAAAAAAAAAAATTAATCCACCTTGAATTTGGTAAAGCACCACTTCTTTGAGATGCGGATCTTCTGGCAGCCAAGTAACTTGAACTTGGCCCTGCATAGGTCCTCAATCACAAGCTGCTTGTTCTGCAGCTTGGTGCGCATGGACATGATGACTTGGCCTATGTGAACCCTGGCCACAGTGCCCTGGGGCTTTCCCAAGGAATCTGTTTGGAGCCTACACTGGGGGTAGTGCAAGGTCAGAGACATGAACATACATTTGAAAGGCCTGTCTCCAAGGTCCCTTAGAGCAACCCATCCAAGAAACAGTCTGCGTACCCTGACAAGGAAGCTGCTGTTTGCAGCCATGGCACACCAGGTCCCTGTGAGGAAAGAAACTCAGTTGGCTTAATTGGCTTCTACAAACTTTTATTTGTTATGGGATTTCTACTCTATTTCATTGATTTGCCTGTTTGCTTTTGCACATTTAGCACACTATTTTACTTTGTAGCATTGTATAGCGTTGTAACATGTTTTCCTACTTAGTTGTAAAAGTACTCCCCTGATATTACTTTTTATATTTTCATGATTGTATTTATTGAAACAACTTCTGTATGGAGCACTGTCATAGCTTAGTGAAGGGAGTACTGGAATTAGAGGACACAGTCACTACTGTGAGTGGGATGTATGTGTGTTTGTGTAGTGGAGCCGTGGGGGAGAGATCTTCCATTTCACCATTCATTCTCATATCAGGCATAGTGTTTGGTTTGGAAATATAGGCTGAATAAGACATGGACTCTGCTCTCAAGAAGTCTTCAGTGTAGGGCAGAGACAAATAAAACAGTGATTTTTAGCACTGGATGATTGTAGAGGGTGATATGGGAGCACAGAGGTGGGTCATCGCAATGAGGAAGTGACAGCTGATTTGAGTTTTGAAGGATACAATTGAGGTGGCAAAGCAGAAAGGAAGTGAAGGTAGAAGGGGGCACAGGAGAAAGGTCCTCTGGGAAGGGGAACAGAATGCGTGAAGGTATATCAATTTGTAGAAAACAACAACCTGTTCGGTGTGGTTGGAGAGGATGTGGGAGGTGGGGGGATGACTGGAGTGTAAAGGTACATACACCCAAAATAACTCCAGGACATCTAAAGGGCAGCTTCACTACCGGAGTTCTAGCTGATGCCCTTTCTTCTCCCTGAAGCTTTCAGCATACTCCATTGCATGAAGATTTGGTCAGTCCAGATTACTGAGGAAGAATCCTGTGATATTTTGTGACATCTTTTGTTCATTTTTATTTAATTTCCACTCCTGTTCCTTGAACGCAGCTTCTACAAATTTACTTGCCAGACACATCTCTAGATACTAGGATATAAAGTGAACAAAATGAAGACCCTGCCCTCATAGAGTTTATAGTTTGAGTAAAGGAAGACAGAAAATTAAAAAAACAAGGATGTAAATATGTAGTTTGCTAGTTGGCAATAAAGGATGCTTTGGAGAAAAATAAATCTGCATCAGAGGGATAAATATGCAGTACTTCCTACATTATGTTGTAACTCCTCCCCACTAGACTGAGTGCTTTTTGAGGTCCTAGATTTTATTTTATCAATTCCTGTAGTTGACTAGTCCAGTGCCTAGAAAAGAGTACATGTTTAATAAAAATAGAAAAGCAATATAGGTTACACCTGGGTGAGGCTGCCTTGGCCCAATTCAGTCTCTGCCACTAATTAATCATGACCTTGGATAAAGTACTCAGTTCTGTATGCCTCAGTTTCCTTATCTTAAAAATGAAGACTGGCCGGGTGCGGCGGCTCACACCTGTAATCTCAGCACTTTGGGAGGCCGAGGCAGGCGGATCACCTGAGGTCGGGAGTTCAAGACCAGCCTGACCAACATGGTGAAACCCCCATCTCTACTAAAAATACAAAATTAGCCAGGCATGGTGGCTCATGCCTGTAATCCCAGCTACTCGGGAGGCTGAGGCAGGAGAATCACTTGAACCTGGTGGGGGTGTAGGTTGCAGTGAGCTAGATTGTTCCATTGCACTCTAGCCTGGGCAACAAGAGTGAAACTCTGTCTCAAAAAAAAAAAAAAAAAAAAGACAAAGAAGGTACCATCCTCATAGGGTTGCTAAGAGAATTAAATAAGATAATATATTAAAACACTTAAAATTGTCCCTCTGCATAGGTAGCACTCAACAAATGACAACTGTTATTACTCAGTAATGGACTATAATCTGAGTGCATTCCAACAACATGGACCTTAGGGCAATGAAAATAATTTATTGTCAGTTGAAGATATTGCTAGTGCTAGAGTCTGCTTCTGAATTTACACCAGTATATCATGCAGCCCAAATGCTGTCTGAGATATTTACCCAGAACATGGCGGCATGAGCAACTGACACAGCTCCTGGCTGTCCTTTCATGTACTTCAGACCCGACTTTGCATCCCGCAGCCCGCTAGAATGGAGGCTCTCTGCCTCGTTACTAGGTTTGGGAATATGGCATTAAAAATAGGATTGTCGAGCCAGATGCAGTGGTTCACTCCTGTAATCCCAGCATTTCGGGGGCCGAGGCAGGCAGATCACCTGAGGTCAGGAGTTCAGGACCAGCCTGGCCAACATGGCAAAACCCCATCTCTACTAAAAATACAAAAATTAGCCAGGCATGGTGGTGCACACCTGTAGTCCCAGCTACTTGGGAGGCTGAGGCAGGAGAATCGCTTGAGCCTGGGAGGCAGAGGTTGCAGTGAACCGAGATCACGCCACTGTATTCCAGTCTGGGTGACAGAGTGAGACCCTGTCTCAAAAAAAAAAAAATAGAATTGTCCAGATTTATTTGGTGATAACATGTTCTGACAGTATTTAGCCTGCAGGCCATGTACATTTTCATCATCTCTTCTCAGTGAAGGGATTGCCTGGAGCGATGTCACGTGTCTAGAAATATTGCCTTCTAAATTGTCAACAAAGTAAAAGAGAGTCATTTCTTAAATTTGTCTGGGGATGCTGTAGTTTGCAAAGCACTCTCCTATCCATTATCATTCAATCTGCAAGCAAACACTCCAGAGAGGCAAGACAGGGTGATCATTTCCACTTAACGGCGATGAAAACGAGACTTATATGGTTAAGCCTCAGCCACGTTCTTCTCACTCATGATTCTGTCTCTGTGCCCTACATGAGGTTTCTCACAAATCCTGGGTTCCCTCAAACTAGTCAACATGTTGATATGGGCCCTTATCTTGGTATTTATCAATTTTTATATATTTTTCAGCATATCCAAAACTTCCCCATGTTTAGAGACACAAAATATATAACTATATATTTTTTTTTAGGTTAGGTGAAGCTGACCTCAATCCACTGGAGCAGCATGAATCTTCTGCACCCAGTACCTAACAGCTCTCTGTCATGGAGGCCAACAACCCCTGGTTGTAGGATGGAGGCTAGAATTCTGAAGTGACTCCAAACAAGTCCATAGTTTCCCTGAGTAATAATGATGATAGTTGATCTGTTACCATGGCACAAATCAAGGCATACTGGAAAATATACTCTGCTATATACTCAGGTCAGTAGCTTTTAAAAAATTGGTGATGTGTAGCATATTGAAATAAGTTTGCTAACTTATTATACCATGTAAGGATAGTAAATCATCATCATCATCATCATCATCAAATAACAATATAGGGGCATTTCGACACCAAGAAGGTAGGAGAAATAGAATCTCAGAAGAAGGGACAGTACATTTAGCTTTACGAAGAACTCACAAATCATCCTAATATTTCCTGTTCTAACAAGGTTTGTGCAAAACACTTCATCAGGCACTTGCTCTAGGGCTGGCATTTGAAATCACTGCTCTGGGAGTTATAACATCATTTCTACACTTTTTGGCCTGGTATCCTTAACTCCTGCTATGTTCAGAGCTGGAGAATTCCAGGCCTAAGAAGGTAAAATATGGACTAACAATACAGGTTCTCTGCACATCTGAGATGGCCCAAAGACTTGTGAATCATTCTTTCTGGATATGCTATTAAAAGCAGTGGGAGCTGGGCGTGGTGGCTCATGCCTGTAATCCCAGCACTTTGGGAGGCCAAGGCAGGAGGATCATGAGGTCAGGTGTTCGAGACCAGCCTGGCCAGCATGGTGAAACCCTGTCTGTACTAAAGATACAAAAAATTAGCCAGGCATGGTGGCACGCACCTGTAGTCCCAGCTACTTGGGAGGCTGAGGCAGGAGAATTGCTTGAACCCAGCAGGCAGAGGTTGCAGTGAGCCGAGATGGCGCCACTACACTCCAGCCTGGGTGACAGAGCAAGACTCTGTCTCAGAAAAAATAAAAAAATAAAAAAAAGCAGTGAACGTGATATAATTAAGTATCGTTTGGAACAGTACATTTGTTTTTGTAGTGGTTGGAACAACATGTTAATCCCAAGAAGTCTTAGCCTGGGAATAATTATGGAACCTGCAGTTAGCAGAGGGAAGTGCCTGATTGGATGCCACAAGTTATTGCAACCCATGGAGAAGCTGTCATTCATAGATGAGATCCTGACCTTCGTGTGTTACCAATACCCACATTAAAAAGCCCTATTGTGAACATTTGGGCAGACATTATTATTGTTATCATCATTTAGAGAAACAGGGTCTCACTCTGTTGCCCATGCTAGAGAGCAGTGGCATGATCATAGCTCACTGTAAGTTCAAACTTTTAGGCTTAAGTGATCCTCCCACCTTAGCCTTCTGAGTAGCTAGGACAACAGGTTCATGCCACCATGCATTGCTTACTTTTTGGTTTTATTTTTTGGTAGAGTTGGGGGTCTCTTTATGTTGCCCAGGCTGGTCTTGAACTCCTGGCCTCAAGTGATCCTCCCATTCAGCATTCCAAAGTGCTTGGATTACAGGCATGTGCTACTGCACCCAGTCCAGACATTATAAATGTCATTATAAAGTGAAAAGCGTATTACTAAAAAAAAGCAAGAGGAGAGAGAGAATATTTTTTGAGTGTCTAACATGTGTCAGACACATGCAAGCAAACCAAATATCATTCACAATAACCTTCAAAACTAGCTATCCTTATTTTATGAGTGAGGAAATTGATGTAGAAGATAGAGAACCAGAACAAGATCACATAGCTGGAAACTGACAGAGTTCAAGTCTATTTGAATCTGGAACCATGCTTTCTATATAACATCACTACGGAAAAGAGAACAAGACCTAGAGTCACACTGTCTTTTAGCATGGTGAAATATAAACCACTGGAACCAAAAGTACTTGCAGGTTAAAACTAAAGGGGGGCTTCTTAAAGTTGATAAATACCATCTATGAAAAACCTACCAATAACATTATTCTGAATGCTGAAAGACTGAACGGTAGAAGACTGTTTCCTAAGATTGGGAACAAGGCAAGGAAGTTTTGCTCTCATCACTTTTATTCAACTATTCATTGGAGGTCCTAGACAGTGTAATAAGTCAAGAAAAATAAATAAAAGGCCTAAATGTTGGAAAGGAAGACATAAAACTGTTTTTATTTATAGATTAATAAGATTAGAGAATCCTCAAGAACCTAGAAAAAAGCTACTAGAATAAATGGATTTAGCAAGCCTGCAAAAAAAATCAAGTGTGTTTCCATATACCAGCAATGAACTACTGGAAAATAAAATTTAAAAACCAATGCCAGCCTGGTGTGGTGGCTCACACCTATAAATCCAACACTTTGGGAGGCTGCAGCTGGAAGATCAATTGAGCCCAGGAGTTCGAGATCAGCCTGGGTAACATGGCAAGGGAGACCTCGTATCTATAAAGACAAACGAACAAAAAAGAATCCACAGCTCATGGAACTTAAAATATTTATTGGATTAAATTACAGCTCAATAAAGTTGATTTTAAAAATAAAAAATTTTGCATTGAAAATTTTTTAAATAAATTCCTAGTTGTGTCCTTGTACTAGCAACTGTAAAGAAAGACTTGCACAGACCCGGTCTCAGGTTGTGCACATGTGCTCTTTATTTGGAAATGATGGCCTACGCAGGTAAACAGAGGTAAAATGTCTGACCAAATAGAAGAAATGCATTGTTCCAAGATTTGATTTTTATTGCTAGACTACTGCTTAAAATCTGAACATATCAACAACAGGTTTTGAAGGCAGGAGACAAGAGTAAAGTCACAGGGATAGTCAATGGAGAGAATTAATGAGGCCATGAGAATCTCATATAGGGCAGTAGGAAAGTCATTAAATGCTCTCCTATCTTCTATCTTGAAAGGATTCCTGAAAGGGCAAGACTGAAGGCTTTAGCAAGAGAGGATATGCACACTCTGGCAGCCCAGAGTTCTGAGGTTACAGTAGGCATTTCCCAGTCCAGGAGAGTAAAATTAAACAGAAATATTGTGTAATGGATGGACCCATTGTAGGCATGTATCCTAAAGAAATACTGGGCCAGGCATGGTGGCTCATGCCTGCAATCTCAACACTTAGGAAGGCCAAGGCTGGAGGATTGCCTGAGCCCAGGAGTTCAAGACCAGCCTGGACAACACAGTGAGACTCTGTCTCTACAAAAAACTTTTAAAAATTTCCCAGGTGGGCCCAGCGTGATGGCTTATGCCTGTAATCCCAGCACTTTGGGAGGCCGAGGCGGGTGGATCACAAGGTCAGGAGATAGAGACCATCCTGGCTAACACAGTGAAACACCGTCTCTACTAAAAATACAAAAAATTAGCCAGACATGGTGGCATGCACCTGTAGTCCCAGCTACTCAGGAGGCTGAGGCAGGAGAATCACTTGAACCCAGGAGGCGGAGGTTTCAGTGAGCCGAGATCGTTCCACTGCACCCCAGCCTGGGCAACAGAGCGAGACTCCCTCTCAACAAGAAAAAATTACCCAGGTGTGGTGGCATGTGCCCAAAGTCCCAGCTGCTCAGGAGGCTGGGGCTGGAGGATTACTTGAGCCCAGGGAGTTGAGTCTATAGTGAGCAAGGATAGTGCCACTGCACCTCAGCCTGGGCCATAGAGCTAGAGCTGTCTCTTAAAAAAAAAAAAAAATTGTACCCCTGCATAAGGAAACATGGATGGGAATACTTATTGAAGAGTTGCTTGTAAAAAAAAAATGAGAAATGAGAAAGGATTTAATGAAGTAAGGCACAAAGTCACATCTGTTTTGGAGCGGATCCTATCAGTTCCCCACCCATATGACCTAGCACTTACCATGTCTGTGTGTGTCAACTGACTTCCAATTGATAGCACAAGCATCTCCTTGACTGAAGGCTTTTTCTGGCCACCAGAGCCCTCTCTGCCCAGATGCAAGGCAGGCCAAAAGTCCCTGAGTCAATGTGCCTCTGAAGTAGCCCTTGATCAATGGCAGATGGAAGTCAGTGGATAAATACTCCAGCTCTCTTTAGGTAGAAGTGTTGGACAGTTGTGTGCTACATTGGCTCCCAGTTTCCCCATGGAGTTGAGCTCTGGTTTTACATACAGTGATGACTTGCTTTGAAAAACACCCTTTATTGGCTTCCTTCCCTTCCCTGTCTCACTTCCCCATTACCCTATTTTCTGGGATCACCTCCCACATAAAGTAATCACACTTAAATCCTGTCTCAAGGTCACCTTTCAAATTCAGCATTATGAAAAGAACAAAGCACATTAATAAATAGATTATGAAAATATCCTCATAACATATTGTTAAGTGAAAAAGCATTTTATAGAACTATGTGTATAGTATAATAGCATGTATTTTGAAAACACAAAAAATAGAACCATGCTTTTTTTTTTCTTGAGACAGAGTCTTGCTCTGTCATCCAGGCTGGAGTGCAGTGGCATGATCTCAGCTCACTGCAACCTCCGCCTCCTGGGTTCAAGTGATTCTCGTGCCTCAGCCTCCCAAGTAGCTGGGACTACGGATGTGTGCCACCACACCCAGCTAATTTTTGTATTTTTTGTAGAGACAGGGTTTCATTATGTTGACCAGGCTGATATAGAATTCCTGAGCTCCAGCAATCTGCCCACCTCAGCCTCCCAAAGTGCTGGGATTACAGGTGCAAGCCACAGCACCCAGCCGAGAACCATACATTTTAAAATGTGCATGTGTGTGTGCAAATGCCAAGAATCTTTTCATGAATTACTTGTGATTTTATTTTATTTTATTTATTTTGAGACAGGGTCTTGCTCTGTCACACAGGCTGGAGGGCAGTGGTGCAATCACAGCTCACTGCAGCCTTGACCTCCTGGGCTCAAGCTATTCTCTTGCCTCAGCCTCCAGAGTAGCTGAGACTACAGGTGCCCACCACCATGCCCAGCTAATTTTGTTTTTATTATTATTTGTAGAGACGAGGTCTTGCCATGTTGCCTAGGCTGATCTCAAACTCCTGGGCTCAAGCAATCCTCCTGTCCCAAAGTACTGGGATTACAAGCATGAGCCACCTCACTCGGCCTACTTGTGTTTCTAAAAGTAAATTTAAAATACTTTATAATGGATGGAAGAGCTCAGTTTACGTCAGCTTAAACCAACACTGGGCACTGGGGACGCCTAGCAAAATAGGAGCCAAGTCTCTGCCCTTGGGGAGCTTGTAGAGCATTAAAGGCAACAGATGAGTAAACATTTGCAAGGCCAGGTGACAAGTACCATGACAGACAAAAGCAGAGTGACTGCAGTAACCCAGAGGTGGGGCCTGGCCAGCCATCTGCAGAAAAAATTCATTCCTCTCCTACCTGCCCTGCAGCCTTAGGTACACTTCAACCCAAATCACTAGAGCTCAGTCAGCAGAGCTAAAGGTATAACAATTAAGAATTAAGCAAATCAGGTACTTACCACCCAGTCAGAATACAGTTTTAATGGAAGGATAATGACATCCCTGGAGGAATGTCCTGGAGCAGAAATTTATCAGTGTTTCTAGCACCCCCAGGAATTTCTAGTGGACAATTACATTGACACATCGCCCCTAGCTTTTCAGATCTCTCACCAGCCTCCGGACCTCCCACCCCTGCCCCATGCTCTGAGACCAGCCCACTGAGCAACCTTCTGCTGAGGATTTAGCTTTCCATGGAGGCTTGCTAGGGGAAGAAAGTGTATTTGAGGAGGCAAGTGTTACAATCCAGCTGTCACTGGAAGGCAATCAACTGGCCGGTTTCTTGCCTCTGGGACCTTATTACAAGGCCCATTAGCCCAGTGGTTCCCAACTTTGCTGCATATTAGAATCTACTGGGGAGCTTTTAAAAATCCTGATGCCTAGGTCACACCTCATACCTACTAAGTTGTGTGGGAGGCGTGGGGGTGACCAGGCAGTGGTGTGCTAAAGCTGGCTGCTACCTGGTTCTGGAGAACCTATTGTGTACATCTCTTCCCCATTCTGTCTTCAATGATGTCATACTAGCAGCTTGAAATTAACCATGGCTGGACGCGGTGGCTCATGCCTGTAATCTCAGCACTTTGGGAGGCCAAGCTGGGTGGATCACCTGAGGTCAGGAGTTCGAGACCAGGCTAGCCAACAGGGTGAAACCCCGTCTCTACTTACAAAAAAAAAAAAAAATTAGCTGGGCGTGGTGGCACACACCTGTAATCCCAGCTACTTAGAAGGCTGAGGCAGGAGAATTGCTTCAACCCGAGAGGCAGAGGTTGCAGTGAGCCGAGATCGTGCCATTGCACTCCAGCCTAGGCAACAGAGTGTGACTCTGTCTCAAAAAAAAAAAGAAAGAAAGAAAGAAATTAACCATGATAGAAGTTTTTATGCCATGGATATAAATCAGGGCTTTCTTTTCTTTCTAAACAGCCAATTCTTAAAATATTTACCAGCATACCACTGAAACCAGGCATCAGTAGTTTTTGAATATCCTCAGGTGATTCCAATGTGAAGCACAGTCTGGAAACCACCACTGTCTTAGTCTTTTCCAAATAATGCTCATTGTAGTCTTGGATAATTTGGTTTCACCTGCTAACCCTAGCAATCAATATTTAAGGCTGTGGCTCTCTAATCTGGGACCACTGTCTCTGCGGACTTTCAGCGAGGACAACCTTTATTCTGCCATGGAGGCTGAGCTCTGTAACGTGGTATATTGGGGTGGATAGGTGGTAATTTTGTGTATGGTTCATTGCTGCCCTTTTGATGAAAAGTATCTTGTTGTATTTGGATTCTAAGCTGAAAATAGATCCACAGAATATTGTCTGTATAACATTATGAAACATTCCTCATTTTACTGCTGTGTCCAATGCATGTGAGTTATACTTTCATTTACTAAGGCTTAAGAAGCCAAAGTAATAAAGGGCACCTACAAATGTTAAGCATAACAATTTTGTAATCTATTTTAAAATTTTCTTTTTTAATAACTTTAAGATAAAATGTTCACCACTCATCTAGGAAGAAGGAAGTTTGGGACATCGTCTGACTCACATGGCCAAGGACATGGGTCAGGGCTGAGGTTTGGTCCTGGGGTTTGGAGCTGGGATAAATAACCCATCCAGGGACTGAAAAATGGAGAGGGGTAAGATGAGGCCAACATCCTGAGATACATGCAAAGGGAATTCTCCTGGGGCTCAGAGCCTGTGTTGTTAGGATGGGAAGAGGCCCAGTTGTAGGGGAAGAAGGACCAGGTGGTACGTGAACTTAGATTTGTCTGGCCTCACCCAGTCCCCAGCTTGTTGCCATGTCCTGTCTCTATCTTAGTTGCTATTGGCTCCCTGACTGATTCTTCCACTGTCTTGTCTGGCTTCTCTTGTTATACCTTCCAGTAGCTGATCCTGAACATGCACGTTGTCCTTCAGCAATACCAAATGCCTATGAGGTTTGTAGCCTTGCTCCCACTCTCTCTTATCGAGCCTCCACCTTTGCTTTGGCATTGATGACTTTATCCCCTGTCACGAAACTGATGGAGGGACTGTAGGGGCTCAGAAAAATGGATGAAGGAAGATGGGAGAAGCATTTTACAATTTACTAAGATTAAAGTATCACATCTCATCTCCCCAACCAACTCCCCAAACAGAAGAGCACTGGAAATAGAGATACCAGGAAAATAATGACAAGTAAGCAACACACAGAAGTGAGGAAAGAGGCCAGGTATTGTGGCTCATGGTTGTCATCCCAAGACTTTGGAAGGCTGAGGCAGGAGGATTGCTTCAGCACAGAAGTTTGAGAACAGCCTGGGCTGTTTCTCTAAAAAGAAAAAAAAAGTGAGGAAGGGAACTACCTATCCCAAGTGGCCACTCTGTGTCAGGCATTGTGCTAGATATTTCATATAGTAATATATGACCTTAGTTAATTTTCTCAATATTACCTTCTACTGCAAAATAGGTGTTATTATACCCATTGAACAGATGAGGAAGCATGCTCAAGTGTCTAGTGCCCAAGGTCAGACAGCTAGAAAGTTTTTCACGGCATCACATAAATAAGATTATATAAATAAGAGTGTATGTTTCAAATAAATATTGCAGACATTGAATGTCTAAATTCTTCAGGGGAGAGAGAGATCCAGAGGGACTTGTATCAGGAAAAATGCTTCATGAAAGTTCTGAGGCTACAGCCCAGTGCAGTGGCTCATGCCTGTAATCCTGGCACTTTAGGAGGCTGAGGCAGGCAGATTCTAATGAGCAACAAGGCAAAACCCCAGCTCTACAAAATACAAAAAAATTAGTCAGCTGTGGTGGCACATGCCTGTAGACCCAGCTACTCAGGAGGCTGAGGTGAGAGGATCACCTGAGCCCAGGGAGGTCGAGGTTCTCAAAAAAAAAAAAAAAGACAACAAAGAAGAAGATCTGAGGCTCCAAGAGCAAAGCCTTAAAAGTGAGTAGAACTTGGGTAGAAGAAGAGGTAGAAAGATAAGCCAGGCCCGAAGCATGGAGACAGAGAATGGACGTAGTGTGACCCAGAGGAATGTGTGTGCTAAAAGGTCGGAGGTGATCCTCTTGCCTTCTGCTAACAGTTTTGGGTAAGAAATGTTAAAAAAGTATCATGCACCCAGTGAGGGAGGCCCCTGGCTGCCAGGCTTGAAAGGGTAAGAATTCTCTGCCTGTCCTTCCTGGTACTCCATAGCATCACTTCTTTGCCCCTTCCCTCCAGCTGTGGGTTACAGTGGGAAGTGGGCCAGCCCCAGCTTTGTCACTCACGAGATGTGTGAGATTTGATAAGGTACCTTGACTTCCCGAGTCTGTTTCTTCATTTGCAAAATGGGACATATTGACGATTGATCACATGAGATAACAGGTGTTGAGCACCCAGCACTGTTGAATGTGAGTTGCTCCTTTTGTAGTCCTTTAATATTCCTGGGCCTGGCCCAAGTTCTGCAAAGTCTTTGCAGACAACTCATGGGGTGAGCCAGTTCTTGGAAGAAAGGGAAGATCACCTCCCACTTCCTGCACATTATATTCCTGCTTATGCATTCTGATGTCCTGCTTGCTTTTTTAGGCTCTAAGTGCTATCCTGCTGACTCACTTCCGACTTCTCGTTCTTCATGCTCAGCTCCTGAAAATGGAACAAAATGGAAAAGGCCGGAAATTGTACTGTCTGGTGATGTGTTTAAGGGGCCAGCCACTCCACGTGGATGGAATGCTGGGGACATGAACTGAGTGGTGCCCAAGATGATTTCTCCACTGGACACTTGGGACACTTTGCCTTCGATTGTAATACCTGTACTAATAATAACCATCCCACTTACTGCTAGCAAGCCCCAGGCTATGTGCTTTCCATGGATTGTCTCTTTGAATTATCACAACTGCATCTGTCAGGGAACCTCTCTATTTTACAGACAAGGAAATTTTTCACACTAAGATAGGTTAAGGAACTTGCCCAAGGTCACATAGCTGGTAAGGGACAGATTAAGGATTCAAACCCATGATCTAGATTTGGGCTGTCTAATATAGTAGCTACTAGCCACATGTGGCTAGTGAATTTTGTTTTCCTTTTTTTTTTTTTTTTTTTTTAGATAAGGTCTCACTCTGCTGCTCAGGCTAAAGTGCAGTGGCATGATCATGGCTCACTGCAGCCTCAACCTCCCTGGGTTCAGGTGATCCTTCCACTTCAGCCTCTTGAGTTGCAGGGACTACAGGCACATGCCACCATGCCTGGCTAATTTTTTTTTTTTTTTTTTGATAGAGATGAGGTTTCACTATGTTGCCCAGGCTGGTCTTGAACTTTGGGCTCAAGCGATCCTCCCACCTTGGCCTCCCAAATTGCTGGGATTACAGGTGTGAGCCATCACACCTGGCCTCTTTTAACTTTTTAGTGTGACTACTAGAACACAAAATTTCATATGTGGCTCTCACATTTCTCTAGGACAGCACTGATCTAAATCATGAACATTATTTTTTTTTATTATACTTTAAGTTTTAGGGTACATGTACACAATGTGCAGGTTAGTTACATATGTATACATGTGCCATGTTGGTGTGCTGCACCCAGTAACTCATCATTTAACATTAGGTATATCTCCAAATGCTATCCCTCCCCCCTCTCCCCACCCCACAACAGGCCCCTGTGTGTGATGTTCCCCTTCCTGCGTCCATGTGTTCTCATTGTTCAATTCCCACCTATGAGTGAGAACATGAGGTGTTTGGTTTTTTGTCCTTGTGATAGTTTGCTGAGAATGATGGTTTCCAGCTTCATCCATGTCCCTACAAAGGACATGAACTCATCATTTTTTACGGCTGCATAGTATTCCATGGTGTATATGTGCCACATTTTCTTAATCCAGTCTATCACTGTTGGACATCTGGGTTGGTTCCAAGTCTTTGCTATTGTGAATAGTGCCACAATAAACATATGTGTGCATGTGTCTTTATAGCAGCATGATTTATAATCCTTTGGGTATATACCGAGTAATAGGATTGCTGGGTCAAATGGTATTTCGAGTTCTAGATCCCTGAGGAATCGCCACACTGACTTCCACAATGGTTGAACTAGTTTACAGTCCCATCAACAGTGTAAAAGTGTTCCTATTTCCCCACAGCCTCTCCAGAACCTGTTGTTTCCTGACTTTTTAATGATCGCCATTCTAACTGGTGTGAGATGGTATCTCACTGTGGTTTTGATTTGCATTTCTCTGATGGCCAGTGATGATAAGCATTTTTTCATGTGTCTTTTGGCTACATAAATGTCTTCTTTTGAGAAGTGTCTGTTCATATCCTTTGCCCACTTTTTGATGGGGTTGTCTGTTTTTTTTCTTGTAAATTTGTTGGAGTTCATTGTAGAGTCTGGATATTAGCCTTTTGTCAGATGAGTAGATTGCAAAAATTTTCTCCCACTCTGTAGGTTACCTGTTCACGCTGATGGTAGTTTCTTTTGCTGTACAGAAGCTCTTTAGTTTATTTAGATCCCATTTGTCAATTTTGGCTTTTGTTGCCATTGCTTTTGGTGTTTTAGACATGAAGTCCAAAACCTCCTTAAGCTAATAGGCAACTTCAGCAAAGTCTCAGGATACAAAATCAGTGTGCAAAAATCACAAGCATTCTTATACACCAATAACAGACAAACAGAGAGCAAAATCATGAGTGAACTCCCATTCACAATTGCTTCAAAGAGAATAAAATACCTAGGAATCCAACTTACAAGCGACGTGAAGGACCTCTTCAAGGAGAACTACAAACCACTGCTCTATGAAATAAAAGAGGATACAAACAAATGGAAGAACATTCCATGCTCATGGGTAGGAAGAATCAATATCATGAAAATGGCCATACTGCCCAAGGTAATTTATAGATTCAATGCCACCCCCAACAAGCTACCAATGACTTTCTTCACAGAATTGGAAAAAACTATAAAGTTCATATGGAACCAAAAAAGAGCCTGCATTGCCAAGTCAATCCTAAGCCAAAAGAACAAAGCTGGAGGCATCACGCTACCTGACTTCAAACTATATTACAAGGCTACAGTAACCAAAACAGCATGGTATTGGTACCAAAACAGAGATATAGACCAGTGGAACAGAACAGAGCCCTCAGAAGTAATGCCGCATATCTACAACCATCTGATCTTTGACAAACCTGACAAAAACAAGCAATGGGGAAAGGATTCCCTATTTAATAAATGGTGCTGGGAAAACTGGCTAGCTATATGTAGAAAGCTGAAACTGGATCCTTCCTTACAGCTTATACAAAAATTAATTCAAGATGGATTAAAGACTTAAACATTAGACCTAAAACCATAAAAACCCTAGAAGAAAACCTAGGCAATACCATTCAGGACATAGGCATGGGCAAGGACTTCATGTCTAAAACCATGAACATTATTAAATGATCATCAGACCAATGATTTCCCAATGTTTTTGATAAATTTTTGAGCACAACTCCTCAATTGTGTATTCTTATTTATTCATAAATGTTATACATTTGTGCTACTCTGTAATATTATGTACATTATAAAACATTGACAAAATGGATATTTTTAAAAGATGAAATTTAAAAAATGAAATAGAAATTGTACTAATTTCTTCCAGGAGCCTAGTGGGTCACTTTGTGCACCCCCCACCATGGTGTGCACACACCATTTTGGAAATTCTTGCACCAGAGAGACTTAGAGCTCCTGGGGGCAGAGACTTTAATACAGATGATCCCTGACTTAGGATGGTTTGACTTATGATTTTTCTAGTTTACCATGATTTGAAAGTGATGCCCATTCAGTAGAAAGTGTACTTTGAGTCCCCTTTCAATCACTCTGCTTTTTTTTTTTTTTTTTTTTTTTGAGACAGAGTCTGGCTCAGTCGCCCAGGCTGAAGTGCAGTGACGTGATCTCGGCTCACTGCAAGCTCCGCGTCCTGGGTTCACGCCATTCTCCTGCCTCAGCCTCCCAGGCCGGCTAATGTTTTGAATTTTTAGTAGAGACGAGGTTTCACCACATTAGCCAGGATGGTCTCTATCTCCTGACCTCGTGATCTGCCTGCCTCAGCCTCCCAAAGTACTGGGATTACAGGTGTGAGCCACTGCACCCGGCCTCAACCATTCAGCCTTTCATTTTCACTACAGTATTCAATAAATTATGAGATATTCAACATTTTATTATAAAATAGACTGTGCTAGATGATCTTGCAGAACTGTAGGCTAATGTCAGTGTTCTGAGCACGTTAAGGTAGGTTAGGCTACGATGTTCAGTAGGTTAGGGTATTAAATGCATTTTCAACATACGATGGGCTTATCGGGACACAAACTCGGCCAGGCGCGGTAGCTCACGCCTGTAATCCCAGTACTTTGGGAGGTCGAGGCGGGCGGATCACAAGGTCAGGAAATCGAGACCATCCCGGCTAACATGGTGAAACCCCATCTCTACTAAAAATACAAAAAATTAGCTGGGCGTGGTGGCGGGCGCCTGTAGTCCCAGCTACTCAGGAGGCTGAGGCAGGAGAATGGCATGAACCTGGGAGGCGAAGCTTGCAGTGAGCCGAGATTGCGCCACTGCACTCCAGCCTGAGCGACAGAGCGAGACTCCGTCTCAAAAAGAAAAAAAGAAGGGACACAAACTCATCATGAGTCCAGAAGCATCTGTACATCTATCTCCTCTCCCCCACAGTTGAAGTTAGCACCATGCCTAGATATAATTGGTGCTTAATACATGTTTGTGGAAGGAATAAATAACTCTTAATGTACAATTGTTTTCTCGTGGATTAGATTAATTTATTTATTTCACATGTATCAAGCACTTTCTATGTATTATTATAGTACTATACTAAGCGCTGAAAAAGAAAGTTTACAAAGACTAAGCTCCTTTACTCTAGGCCTGTGCTTCTTAAGCTCTAGCGTTTGTAAGAATGACCTGGAGAGCTTGTTAAACAGATTCCTCCTCTCCTCCTCCAATTCTTATTCAGTAGGTCTGAGGTGAAACCAGATAATTTGCTGAACATCTAAGAAGCTTTTAGGAAACTACACTTTGGAGGAGAGTGCTGTGCATTGGAAAATTGGAAACATCTCAAATATTACATGAGGGTGAGTGTTGAAGAGAATTTATATTGCATTTTCACTATTTGCCAAGCACGTTTAAATACATCACCTCATTTAACCCTCATATAGACCTCATGAGTCATGTATTATTTCAGTTGAGGCAACTGAGATTGAGAAAGGTTAGTTAAGTTGCCTAAACTATAGAGTAAGTAAATGGCAGAGCTTGGGTTTGTACCCACTTCTGCACTCAGTAATTCAGGCAAATCTGTAGCAAGTGTCTTCTTTTTTTTCAGGCACTGTCCTAAGGAACTGGGCATACAACATTGAGTGAGACAGACAAGCTCTCTGTCCCCGGTCAAACTCAACAAGCACTTAAAATATCGATATGAGGGAGGCAGTGTCATGGAGATATACAACAGAAACGTATACTCTAGAACAGAGTTAGAACTTTCCAGGAAAAAAAGTAAAATTTACACGAAGACCTGAGGGATGAATTAGAGCAGTGAAGGATGAGCGGGAAATGTTTTGGGCTGAAGATATACATGAAGGCTTGAAAGCATTCAAGGAGCTGCAGGAAGTTCAGAATGTCTGAAGTGTGGAGTGGAAGGGAGAGATAAGACCCTTGAGGTAGGTAGGCAGGAACCAGATCATGCCAGGCTATTTAGGGGTACAGCCAGCCTTTTTTTTTTTTTGACAGGATCTCACTGTCACCCAGGCTGGAGTGCACTGGTGGGATCTCAGCTCACTACAGCATCTACCTCCCTGGCTCAAGCTATCCTCCCACCTCAGCCTCTTCAGTAGCTGGGTCTAGAGACATGTGTACCACTAATTTTTGTATTTTTTGTAGACACGGGGTTTTGCCACATTGCCCAGACTGATCTTCTGAACTCAAGGGATCCACGTACCTTGGCCTCACCAAGTGCTGGGATTACAGGTGTGAGCCACTGCCCCTGGTCTCAGATTTGTATTTTTAAAAATTTACTATGCCCCCAGAGGGGGATGGATCAAAGGAGAGCTAGCTTGCAGGCAGGGAAATGGTTAAAGATGTTAGTGGTGTAAATTTGGGTAAATGCTGTGTGACTGGGAAGTAGCAGAAGTGAGGGGGATTTAAAATTGTTTAAGACTTGATGATTCAGCCTGGGCAACATGGCAAAACCCCATCTCTACAAAAAAATACAAAAATTAGCCAGGTGTGGTGGCATGTGCCTGTAGTCCCACCTACTTGGGAGGCTGAGGTGGGAGGATCATCTGAGCCCAAGAGGTGGAGGCTGCAGTGGGCTGTAATCATGCCACTGCACTCCAGCCTGGGCAACAGAGACCATGTCTCAAAAAAAAAAAAAAAAAAAAGAAGACTTGATGACTGATAGATTGGAAGGGACAATGTGGACAGGCAAAGGAGGGATCGAAGATGACTTCCAAGTTTTTGAGTAAACTATACAGTTTCAGTAGGGATAAGGTTCTGTAAGCTTATTATTTCACATTTTAAAGGAAGGGTAAATTCAGATAAATGAAGTGATGGAAAGATGCTATTTTAGTAAGATTTCAATGACAGAAACTTACTTGATAGAAAATATGGGAGAGGCTGGAGGCGGTGGCTCACGCCTGTAATCTCAGCACTTTGGGAGGCCAAGGTGGGAGGTGGGAGGATCTCTTGAGCCTAGGAATTTGAGACCAACCTGGGCAACATATTAAGACCCTGTTTCTAAAAAATTAAAGAATCAGCCGGGCATGGTGATGCACATCTGTAATCCCAGCTACTCGGGAAGCTGAGGCGGGAAGATTGCTTGAGCCGGGAGTTGGAGGTTGCAGTGAGCTAGGACTGTGCCACTGCAGTCTAGCCTGGGTGACAGAATGTGACCCTGTTAAGAAAGAAAGATAGAGGAAAATTATTATTTTTGTGGTCAAGTTTACTTTTTTTGTTTTAATTTGCACCAACAGCTTTATCATTTGTCGACAGTGGAGTTCTGAATGCCAGAGATTCCTCCTCTTTTTGCCAAGATCAGGATTAACTATGGAGAGGACCGGCCGTAGACTACGAACTGTCAGTCTACTGAGTTTCTGTCAGTCTTTTGAGTTTCCTTTGTCTTCTTGTTGAGTGACCTTGGACCTTGAGTTTCTGAAGCTCAACATTCCCTTTTTCTTCCCCTATTTTTTACCCCACACTTTACATCTTAAGTGGGATATTGGACATCTCGGATCAGTGGACCAGTGATGATTTGGACTCCGCCTTCTTCGTCTAGGTCCCGCCCACTTTAAGACCCCACCCCTTCCCTAAGCCCCGCCCCTTGAAGAGGTTGTCTCGATATGACAGCAAATTCTCCACAATCCTGTCCTATAGGAGATCTAAAGGGTGGGACTTACATCAACCTTTTTTTTCCATTTGTTTTTTCAAGTGTCTATTTGGCCCAGGTTCCATCCCACTTCATTTTCAACCCAAGGATTGGTTACTCTGTTCTTTGTCTCTGGCTCATGATTGGTTCTTTCGTTCCGCCCCTCTCTTCCAGCTTTTGCAGGCGGGATTACCACGCAGCTTCCTGCTCCTGCCAAAAAAAAAAAAATAAATAATAAAAGAAGAAGAAGAAAAGAGGAGAGAGGCGAAAGAAAAATGTCACAAAGATCTTTGCTTTTTAATTGGCTTTAAGCCTTGTCGGTCAAGCCAAACTCTGCCTTTGATTGGTCTTTCTATCTGCCCATCCCGGATCGGGGGCGGGATTTCCCCGGAAGACCCACACCTTGTTGCCACTGGCCGAACAGTGCGCCTGTCTGAAGCTCCTGGCCCAGGATTGGAGGCGGTGGCGGACAGGTGGGCGTGGATTGGCTAGGGCAGCCGGTCCGTGCAAGGCGGGGGCGGGGCCTCGGCGGCTGGTTGCGCGTGTCCGACGCTGGCTCCGCTCTATCCGGCTTTGCTAGGGGAGGTGAGTCCGGCCGCGGCGGAACCGGCGGCTGAGGAGGCGGCGGCTGAGGAGAAGGCGGCCGCGGCGGCTGAGGAGAAAGCGGCCGCGGGGACGGAAGCCGGGTGGGGGGGAGGGGGGGAGACGGAGCAGCCTTGAGCCCTGCGGGGCCGTTGCGCGGGGGACCCACCCGCTCTCCCCCCCAACCCTCCTCAGCAGAAGCAGCCGGCGGCGGGGGCAGGAGTCAGCCCGCTTCCGACCGTACCCCGCCCGCCTCCCGGGGCTCCTGTTCTTTGGCCCCGGGACCCTAACCTTCTCCCGGGGCGGTTCCCTCCGTCTGGGCGTCCGAGCGCTGCCCACATCTTTCATTCCTCCCTGCACCTCCTTCCCTTCACTTTTGCCCCGGCTCTCTTTCTCCTCTCTGTCCTGCTGTCGCCTCCTCTCCTCACTCCAGCCTCCTTCCCTGGCTTATTCTGCCCAGGAAAGTTTGGAACCCCCGCCCCCCCTCCCCAATCAGGTCAACCTGACTAGGAGTAGGGGGAGATGTAGGAAGGCCTGAGAGTTCGGGGGGGGGGAAGCTGGAAGCTGGTTTCCCAGAAAATTTCCCCCCATCTTCTCCATTTAGGGTGGTGGGAATTTTTTTTAATCCTGTTTTTGAGGAGGTGGTAGGTGTTTAGAAAAGGATGTGGGAATGGAAGGGGTAGATGAGTCAACCCTCTTTCAAGATTCCAAGGGTGGTGTGTTACCTGATCCTTTTCGTGTGTGGAGTTCAGGGGGTCGGGAGGTTTGGCCTTTATTCCCACATTCAAAGTTGGAACCTCCCCCAAATTAAGAATGGAGTTTTAGTACCCACTTGTGGCAGGAATCCTGGGGGGAAGGGGTCCTTTTTTCCTTTTTCTTTTCTTTTTTCCCTTTTTTTTCCTTTTGGCAACCCACACCCTTCCACACACGCTCACCCCAAAATTAAACACCAAGATCCTCTAACTTGTTTGGATTGACTGATGAAGACATAAAGCTCTATGTTTTTTGAGGTGGAGTGAGTGGTTTTTCTTCATTTTTAAATGGCCAAATGACAGCTTGACCCAGTTTGCTTTCCAATCAAAGGGCATTTATTTTGAATGTCTCTTTGTGGCGCAAGAGCCAACGCAAAAATGATGGCGGCTTACAATGGCGGTACATCTGCAGCAGCAGCAGGTCACCACCACCACCATCACCACCACCTTCCACACCTCCCTCCTCCTCACCTGCACCACCACCACCACCCTCAACACCATCTTCATCCGGGGTCGGCTGCCGCTGTACACCCTGTACAGCAGCACACCTCTTCGGCAGCTGCGGCAGCCGCAGCAGCGGCTGCAGCTGCAGCCATGTTAAACCCTGGGCAACAACAGCCATATTTCCCATCACCGGCACCGGGGCAGGCTCCTGGACCAGCTGCAGCAGCCCCAGCTCAGGTACAGGCTGCCGCAGCTGCTACAGTTAAGGCGCACCATCATCAGCACTCGCATCATCCACAGCAGCAGCTGGATATTGAGCCGGATAGACCTATTGGATATGGAGCCTTTGGTGTTGTCTGGTGAGTATCCAAAGAAAAACACAACCTCTCATGGTTTCTTCTGTTGGTTGTCATTGGATGAGTCCATCTCTAATGGTTGTCTCCATGTTGACCAAGGTGCAGCAAGCTTCTCAACCCAACTGTAGGAAGCCACCCTCACTTATGTGGTAAAGAGGCCTAATGCATTGGCTGTCTAGGCTCATGGCAAGTTTTGGTGGAGCGCCTTCTCATGAGCAACACACATAAGTGTGCTGTCTACCAAACTTTTCTATTAGAACCTAAGCAAGCCACTGAACACAGGATCAGTAGATGAATGTATGCAATACTAATTCCTACGAAGACCTTGGTCATCTCGTGTGTTTGATTCAGTGGCCCTGTGGCATTAAGTGTTAGCACCTGATCCAGACTGAATTCCTTTATAATACTCTTGTCATTAGGATATACTTTGCATAACTACTTTCCTGTCCTTTCTGTCTTTTCACTTATTTTGTGATCTTGATCTCCAGAAGAAAGATAGGATTCATAGTTGAACCAGTTAAGATCATTGCTTGAGTGGTTTATTTTAAACCATAAAGCTACAGTTGAGAAGTATGTAGCTGTAGCCTTTTGATAAGAATGCATTAAATATAGCATCACACATGAGTACCACAAATGAGGTTAGTAGACTAGCTATGCAGTGGCCCACATTCAGTGTAATGTTTTAGTGTCATTTAGTGCCTCTTAAGTTGCTGTTATCTGTTGGTCAGTTGCTGTAGTAGGAAATAATACTTTTTTAACAAATGACCCTACCTTTGCTAGTGCTAGGATATTTGTAAAAGCCTAAGGGCTTCTTAAATATAACATTTTGGTCTATTTGGTCTAACCTTAGAAAGATTAGTAGTTTATAATAAAATATGTTTGTTCCTATCAAAACTAGAATGAACTGGGTTTTCTCCCAAGGACTAATGATTCCACTTTGGATAGATGAATTGATATTTTCAGTGCATTCAAAAATTGTTACTCCCGAGAAAAGCGCCCATTACCACAGGAAAATGAACTCTTTGGAACTAGCCCGGTAAATATCTCCTTTCGTCATTGTTTTTGAGGCTAAAATTGATGGGTGCATTGTTTATGCATTTTAACTGGCCATCTTATTTATATTTCAGATTTGATAATCTAGGCTGCTAAGTGATCTCATCCATTTTTTAAAAAAACTAGTAGAGTCCAGTGTTTTCTCAGCTAGTCCCCAAGGAAGTTTCTGCTGCAGCGTGGTCCTTTCTTCAAGGTGTGTGGGATTCAAGGTGGAAAAGAGTATAGCTGGTAATGGTGCCTTGGTCATTCTGCTCAGGGACCTGCCTGTTCCTGCCTTCCTCTCTTCCCTTCCACAGACTATCTCAGAGATTTAACTGTGAACTTATCCTTGCCTAACTCTTGAGGATTTCCAAGCTTTGGTTGGGGGATGGAACAGACAGGAAAACGGTTGTTCCTTGGTTTAAATTTTGTCATTGATTTACTAATAACTTTTAGCACTTGTTTGGATCTTCTTAGATCTGGATGCTTACTTTCTTTTTTAGTGCCTTACATACAATGCTAAAAACTAGGGATACTGAAAGGGAAATGGGTTGCAGCATTCTTGAATATATTCAAAAGGCATTTTTCACTTACATTTCTATCAAAAAGTGATGTGACTTGTAGCAGTTTTTATTTTATTTATTTATTTTTTTAAGGAAGGGGGCAATAAAGAACTGGAGTGCTGAAACATCTCACACAGCAAACGTTCTGCTAGTGGGTACTATGAATCTTTGATATCTGAAAGCCCACATATATTTGGTTTGAAGCCATTCTAGAGGTTTTTAATTGATTGACTGCTCTACCACCTATGGAGTTTGTCTCATGTACTTAAAGTACACCTCTGTGCACCATCTTACTTCAGGTTTGTCTTGTGTCACTGACTACATTCGTAAGCCCCTTGAGGGTAAGGATTGTCTACTGTAGTAATCCTTTTCTCCTCAGCGCCTAGCACAGTGCTTTGGCATCTTTGCTGCTTGGTTAATTGATCTAGTCAGGTCCTTCTTTGTTTTGGCTTAAACAACAGAAAATTATTTCTCACAGTTCTGGAGGCTAGAAATCCAATATCAAGGTACAGGTTTGGTTTCTTTTGAGGCCCCTCTGCTTGGCTTGTGGATGGCCGTCCTCCTGTGTTATCACGTGATTCGGGTCTTTGTTTTTTTAACCAAGTTTTTCTAGTTAACTGCATTGAGTGTTTTCATCAGCTGTTACAGGTGAAATACAATTTGGTATGAAAAAGGAAAGAGTTCCAGGTGTATGTTTTAGTATGCAAATGCTTTTCTATTTTTATATTTACATGTCAATGACTTGCTGTCTGAATTCCTTATTATATTTGAAATTTAACTGTTGTATGACCTAAGTAAGACTGTTTAGAGATTTGAAAACCAAACTACCGGGAATTGCACTAATATTCTGAAACCCAAGGTAAAGATATTAGTGAGGTTTTTTACTTTTTAACTGAAACAGAATGTATCTTTTTAATTTAGGAAGCACCTTATGAATTGGAAACAACTTTTTTCTAAAATGATTATAATGGAACATAAAAATGTTCTCCCAGTGATGCATCCTTTGATTGAAACCGCCATGTAACTAACTACCGGGGTATTATAAGATTCACTTAATTCAAACATATATTCATTTAATGCACTTTGCAAGTATTCTTCTGGAATAGCATATGACAAGAAACTGTATTTGCCCACATTTCCTTGGGGACATACACCCAGGGGTACTAACTGATGGCTAAAAAAGTGGCATGCAATTTTGAGAGAGATTGTTGTTTCTCCATGTAGACAAGGAGAGATATTTGTAGAAGTGATGCAGCATTTTACCAGATTTATCACTGAACAATTTAGTCTAGCTGACTTGATTTATCTTTCTGTTGAATTTAACTAGTGGAATAACTTATCAGTATTGGACAGTTGTGTAAAAGTAGTGAATTACTCATTAGCTTGCTGGTAAGGATGGTGCTGTGACAGTTCAATTAAGGTTTCATTAACAACTGTCTGCTGTATTTTATCTCAAAGTAAGAGTTCCAGTTTACCTGGTAATGTGATTGTGGGATAACCTGAGATAACATTTGTTGCCACTGATAGAATGTTGTTTATGGGTTATCAAGATATCATATACAATTTGACCTTCTTTTTGAGACATTACAGCCTCCAAACACCCACATGGACATTTTCATAATGCAAAAACAAAACACAAAGCAACCCACAAATAGTAACTTCAGTCATTTGGTGAGTAATATAAATCTACCTTTTTGTCTGCAGTTCACATTTGCCAGAGGAAAATGCTGTGGTTAAAGATGTAACAACTTTGGGACAAAGAGTTTCAGGGGCTCATAATTTTGAGAGATGGAGGAAGTTGACCGCATGAGAGTGGTTTGAGGATCGCTGTGCCTAGACCGTTTTTGACATTGGCAACTTAACATATCAGAGATGGAATTAATGGCACATATTGCCACCTTGGTAAAAGTGAGTCTGGGAAAAGACTTTTTTATAAAATTAGCATTTTGGTTTGTGACTTGCCTGATTAATTAAAAGATCAAAAATCCTGGGATTCACTTGCTCTGTTGCCTTTGTGTACTCCAAGTAATGTTGGAGGTCTTTGAATTTTATTATTCTAATAACTTCAGCAGGTTACTTTTATCTGTCTTTCAAAACTGTAGTGATAGTTACTAGCTCTGTGATCTCGATAAATTATTTGACTTCTCTGTTCCTCATCTATAAAATGGGGATAATAATAGTACTTATCTCAGGATTGATGTGAAGATTAAGTGAGGTAATTCTTGTAAACCAATGATTACACTGTCTAGCACACAGTAAGCATCAATAAATGTTAGTTGTTTTTATTGTAGTTATTGTTGGTAGAAAAATCAAGCTGTTGTGTTAATGTGCATGGAAGTGTCTTCATAGATTGTCAGATTTATCAGGTGAAATCAGCATGCAGACTATTTTTGGAGGCATGACTCTAAATAACGTAGCGTGTCCCCTCAGTTGTACTGTATGTCAGGGAGATTTGAAAATGGTTGAATTTAAAGCCAAGGGGAAAATACTCTGTGCTGTCCTGTCAACTAATTAAAAACAAATAAAAATAATACACATTTGTATGGACTTTGTAGGTGTTTTAGTCAGATCATCTGCACTGTTTTAGAAAGTATTATGGATTTATATACTGGGAAATTAATTTTTTCTTTTCAGAATGTAACAAATGAAAGACATCCTTATTGTCGAAGTAGAGATTCACTTTGCTTATGTTTGGATGAAAAAGTGTGAATTGCTAAAGATCCCAGTGAGGTGGGAGAAATATAGTGATTTAACAAAAAAATTACTCAGTATAAGCCCTTGTGCATGGTAGAGATTGTCTAGCTTGCTCATCTTGTGAACATGAGAGGCATCTTTTTTTCTTATGTTTTGTCTGGTCCTCTTACTCCACATAACAAACTAATTTGGAAAAATGCAGAATGCTTTTGGGATATGTTTGGGGAAAATCCTGGAGTAAGTTGCATCAGAAAGAGTAGTATACTAAAGGGTATTTTGTTATTAACTGTGTTTTACAGGTTGAGAATCTGTAGTACTGAGAAGTTTCTCCACTATCAGCCGAGATTAACAGCCACAGCTGGATTCTTTGGGGGCTCTGCTTTGTGAAAAGAGCTTTGAAGAAGCAGAGCCTGCACCATAAAAAGGAAACGGTTGCTCTTCTAGACATAACAAAGCATCCGTATGAAACTAGAAATGTGGAAATCTGTATTGTTAATTTTAACTACAAACGAACTTACTTTTGGAAATTACAGGTTCATGATCATAAAGTAGATAAAGAGTAGAGAATAAAAGTAACAATCTGATGATTCTGCACCCACTTCTTGGTGGTTGAAACTCCATAGCCTATAACGTTGCAAGTCATTTTGTACTTAGACTCCTGAAAAGATTATCCAAATTATGTTCAAAAAACCACAGCACAAAAAATAAACTTGTTTTATTCTTGGGGAGAAATTTCATGTTATACTGTCCAATATTAATTTAGAAAAAAAGACAGTTTTTTTTTTTAAGGCATTTCAGAAACATTGCCCTTTCAAGCAAGTTAGAACAATATCCCTCAACATTAAATACCATCTTTTTAGCCATCAGTACCACTGGGCATGTGTCATAAAAGAGAAATGGGGGCAGATATAGCTCCCTTTCATATGCTATACCAGAACAAAAATTTGTAAAATGCATAAGTGCATTAACTGAATATGTTTGAATTTAAATTCTGGGTTTTTACCTTCAAAGCACAGGCAGCTGTAGATACAAAAAGTCCTCTAATGGAGTACTGGAATGTTTCATTGTCTTCACAACTTGGAGTGTCAGAGTTTTCTCTGCCTTCTATATTGTAAAACTGAGTGACTATTCTTGGTCGTTTTTATTAGATTTATTGATGTCCAAGCAATACAAGAATTAACTGTTCATATACTGTATGTTTCCTTAACATGCTTATTTGGTTTCTTTGATGGAGATTGTCAAGGCCAAAGAAACTTTTTCATTTGTCATCCAACCAATAAATGGACAGAAGCTGTTAGAAGCTCTTTAATTATGCGTCTCTTTGGGTTTTAATTCTGAGTCCCTGTGCCTCTGTGCTACTCCAGTGAATTATTTGTTGATTGGGCCATCTAATACAGGTCAACAATAACTAAAATAGCTTGTCAGTGTGATCCTGATATTGCTTGGAAGTAACAGAGTGTCTGAGGCAACAGTTGTAACACTGTCAGTGAGCACATAACAAGTCATGATAGACATAGTCAGTAGTTGTAAGGTACCTAGTGCAGAAACAGAAAAAACTGGTACTCTGGCATTATGGAAAGATGACTTCTAAGTGAACTCTACTGAGATTGAACTTTAACTCTTAGTTGTAATGGTGTGAGTAGAGGGAGTATATATGGGGATGTCTGCCACTCATAATGATTGGTGCTCTTTACCTAAACCCAGTTTTGAAATAATTTGGCTAATTGAGTCATATCTACTATGAGGCAGTGAAAGTTTTTAACACCTTTGGAACTCACTAGTCTATATATTTTTATTGTCACTTCGCTGTGGACCAGCACTTTTGCAAGCACCAAATGGGGATATTTAGTCTTATAAATAATTTTGCGAACCTCTATTAAGCTGCTGCTGCTGTTGTCTGTATTGTGCTTAGTACTGAGGTATAGGGATGTTTAAGTCACCATATTGCTTTGGAGGAGTTGACAGTCAAGTAAACAATATGAACAATGAAACATGCCTACTCTCAGGGTGTCCTCAGCCTTGGTGGAGAGGTGAAACTAAATTTGAAACCATTAAATAAAAACTTAAGAATATATTATTTTCAGGCCAGGCATGGTGTCTCACGCCTGTAATCCCAGCACTTTGGGAGGCCGAGGAGCGGTTCACCTGAGGTCAGGAGTTCAAGACCCTCCTGACCAACATGGTGAAATCCCGTCTCTACTAAAAATGCAAAATTAGCTAGGTGTGGTGGCACATGCCTATAATCCCAGCTACTTGGGAGGCTGAGGCAGGATAATCACTTGAACGCAGGAGGCAGAGGTTGCAGTGAGCCAAGATCGTGCCGTTTCACTCCAGCCTGGACAACAAGAGTGAAACTGTGTCTCAAAAAATATATATATTATTTTCACTTGTTCTTACAATATTCAATTATTGTATGTTACTATTTGCCAGGCACTGTGCTGGAGATAAGGATTAAAGGTGATTATGACCTACTGGGTGAAATAGATTTGTAAATGGATTATTATAATTCATTGCCATAAATGCAGCAATAGAGATAGTCCCTGGACATTAAGGGCGTGTAGAGGAGGGATTTCTATGGAAGGTCAGGATGCTTCCTAAAATAGGTAATTCTTCAATGAGTTTTAAGAATGAGAGTCAACCAATGGGGAAGGGCAGTCTAGGTGGAAGGGCCTATATGCAGGAGACTACAGGGCTGGAGATGCTGAATGTGCAGTGCAGTGGGTGGTAGGAAGTGTAAGCTAGAGCTCAATCATGAAGAGGTTGGAATGTCATGCTTGAGGCACTAAAAACAGCTTTTTATTAATAAAGCATATGTGGACATATAGCACATAAACAGTTAAATAGCATATCTGTGGTATTAAGATTTTACGAGGGGATGATTAGGAAAATAGCCTAAAAAGGCTCCGTAGGCGGGCAATGATGAGAAAAGGTTAAAACTGCGAATGGCAACTACTGAAAGTTTTTAAGTAAGAGAGACTTCGTCAGATTTAATTTTTTTTTTTGGATATGTAAAATAGAAGAGTAGAGAGAACTGAGATCTGTCTGAGTCTTAGGGAATGTTCTCAGTTGTAGGTGGAAGAAGCTACTGGAAGCAGAACTAAAGGGCAGTTAGGAAAATGTGTTCACAATGATTGACAATCTAAGTATGGCAGAAGATTGTTAGGAAAATGGGAGTGATCTTTGGTGCTGATAAAAAGTCAAAGAAGGCCGGCCATGGTGGTTCACACCTGTAAACCCAGCACTTTGGGTAGCTGAGGTGGGCATATCACTTCAGCCCAAGAGTTCGAGACCAGCCTGGACAACATAGTGAAATCTCATCTCCACTAAAAGTACAGAAAAAAAAAATTAGCCTGGTGTGGTGGCACGCACCTGTAGTCCCAGCTACTCAGGAGTCTGAGGTTGCAGTGAGCTGATATCACACCACTGCACTCCAGCCCGGGCGACAGAGTCAGAACCTGTCTCAAAAAAAAAAAAAAAAAAGTCAGAAAATTAAGATGGAGAAAAGGCCAAAAGGCCATTGTATTTAGCCTGATAGTAAATAGATCATTGATGGCATTTGAGAGAGTGATTGTGTTTGATTGATTCTAAAGAATGTCTTAAGTATTCAGTATTACTTTTTACAATTTTTTAAAATTATTAATACAATTCTTCCAAATCTCATTTGTTTGTTTGTTTGTTTGTTTGTTTGTTTTTAGTTTAATAAACCAGAGAACTTGATGTTCAAGGTGCCATTTCCTTGGGAAGGATTTTTTTTTTTTTTTGAGACAGAGTCTTCCGCTGTCACCAGGCTGGAGTGCAGTGGCATGATCTTGGCTCATGCAGCCTCCACCTCCCAGGTTCAAGGGATTCTCCTGCCTCAGCCTCCCGAGTAGCTGGGATTACAGGCACGTGGCACCACACCCGCCTAATTTTTGTATTTTTAGTAGAGACGGGGTTTCACCATGTTGGCCAGGATGGTCTCGATCTCTTGACCTCGTGATCGGCCTGCCTCGGCCTCCCAAAGTGCTGGGATTACAGTTGTGAGCCACTGCGCCCGGCTTTTTTTTTTTTTTTAAACAATGGGGTAATAGATTACTAAACTAAACTTGTTAGGAGACAAGGTTCTGGTCCTAGCCTTGCTGCCAACAACCCTGTGACCTTGGTAAAGTTATTTAAACTTTCTGAGCCTTGGTTTTCTCATTTATAAAATCCTGTGTTTCCTAAGATTCTATTATAAAATGATATTAATATTTGTTGGAGTTTGCTGGTGACCACAAGACAACTTTCTCTCTTCAGGACTACAGTGTTGAATAGCTTCTAAAATTGTTTAAAGGAGGAATGAGATAAATGTCACCCTGTTCCAGAGTGGTGACTTTTATAGAGTTTTCTAATTTGGGATTAGATTTTAAATGTTCATTTTTTTTTCATCAAGAGACTTGTTTTCTTCTATTACTGAGTTATTGGTAAGGATTATACATGTAGTTCAGCTGTGGAGAAGAGCAGGCCTGTTTGCAAATGAGCAATTTCTTCTACATGTCCATTTGATACTACTATTTTCCTGATAATATTTACCTTTTTAGTGTTTTAGACTTTAAAAACTTGCTTAGTTTCTTATAAGTCTTACAATAGTTTTCTTACAATATTTTGAGTGATTTTTAAATTTTTAAATAAAATTTAATGTTCAGTATTTTGTCATCTTTTGTGTGTGAGTAATCAGGTAAGATGATTTGGGAGCCAGTGCTTACATTAATTTGCAAGTTTCTTTAAAACAAATTTCTTTCCAGGAGTCTCTTTTAAATTCTGAATTTGGATAAGAGAGTTACTAGTTTGCATGTGGGCCTCCCAGAAAATGAGCTTTGACACAGCTTTCAGGCTGTAGTAGTTTAGGGCTTACAGTGCCCAAAGAGGGAGAGTGACTTCCTAAAGCTCTTGTCCAAGAGGAAGGGAGCATTTTTGCAGACACCCTCAGCAAACCAGCAGTGCTATCCAGTAAATACATAGTGAAAGTATGCAATCTTAAATTTTCTAGTAGCCACAGTAAAAAACTGAAAAGAAACAGGTGACATTAATTTTAGTAATGTATTTTAACTCTATATCCAAAATATTGTCATTTCAACATGTATTCACTATAAAAATTATTAATGATCTATATTACTTTTTTTTCATACTGAGTCTGCAAAATCACTATGTATCTTCATGCTTAGAATATGTCTCAGTTTGGTCTAACCACATTTTAAGTGTTCTGTAGCCACACATGGCTACTGACCAGCACCAGCATATTGATCTCTGGTGTTTTTTTTTTTTTTTTTTTGAGACAGTCTTGCTCTGTCACCACACCTGGCTATTTTTTTTATTTTTTTGTGGAGATGGGGTCTCACTTTGTTGCCCAGGCTAGTCTCAAACTCCTGGGCTCAAGCAGTTTGCCCACCTTGACCTCCCAAAGTGCTGGGATTACAGGCCTGAGCCACCGCACCTGGCCTCTCTTTGGCTTTTGTTGGATTACATACTCATTTCTGAACCAGTCACTGTCAATGAAGGTAAGATTACTTTTGGAGCAATCAGATCCACTTCTGGACCTGGAGATGGAGTCAGTTTTAAATGGGAGGGATGAATACCAGCAGTAAATGCCAGGAATGCAGTCATTAATGACCAAGATACTGCATTTGTCTGACTTGTGTCAGACTCAGAAGAACTTGAGTGGGTATATTTATGGAACAAACTGGAATAATGATCTCTATAGAGAAGTCCTGTCTGTCCTGAGTTATTTGGAGGCATTTTTCCTTTTCTTTTCTGAAGCTTTGTTTGCCTAAAGTAGCAGAAGGTAAATTTGGTACCTGATCGTTGCCATGTTTGCTTTCCTTCCCAGTTAGAGCAGATATCTCCTATTGATTTCTCTTTTTATCCTCTCCGTATTGTGGTTTTGTTATCTGGATAAGGTTCTCAGTCTTGTTTTCAATTTAAGTAGTATAGAGCTCAGTAGTGTCAGGCAGCAGACTTCTTACAGGGGAATGGACAACACAGAAACTTTTTGTTTATCCATTCTTTGACCTAAAATTCTTGCTCTGAGCTACAGAAAAAAGGTGAAAAGAGACATTTGAACAAATAGATAAAATTAGTCATTTGACCCAGATTGCAGCTTTTCTTCCTGTCTGCATGGATAAAAATGATCCGTCAATTTACATAAGCAGGTGATTTTTCTTACATGCTAATTTTCTTAATGTACCATGGCAGAGAGTTGCAGATTTGCAAATTGTGTAAGTTAATTGAAATAAGCCAGGTGACTTTATTTCACTGTATTATCTTACCAGTACAAAAGTACCCAAAGGGTACAATTATCAGGTGATTGTCTCATTGCACATCTAAATTAACATGCAGCCTGGTGCAGAGGGTTTTTCCCCACTTTCTTCTCCACTTCCCTCTCTTTTCTAATTTTTTAAAATAGGAAACTTGATTTCTATATTTACTTCAATAGAGCTGGAAATTTAGTAATACAGATGCGGAGGAAATTTGAGCTTTATTAAAAGTAATCCAGAAGCTATAAAAATTGGCAAGTAATGTGGTTATTGTGCAGAAGAAGGGGCTTGGTTTGGGTTTGAATTGCCTCAGAGAATTATGTGAGCATCTTCAACCATGTTTAATTGATTGGCTTCCTCTGTGTTCATTTTCCCAGGTTCTGCAGGTTACAGTAATTGGGGTTATCCTGAAGTTAACTGGGTGTATACCATAGCCAGCGTTCAAAGTAAATATTGACAGGCATTCTTTTAAAAACACAAGCTAATTAATTATAACACTGTTTAAAACATTTTAATAAAATTGAAATTTTTGAAAGGTGCAACAGTTGGTTATAGGGATTCTTTGCAGAAGATTTATGAGGACAAATAATGTCGACCAACAAAGCACCTTTCTTTATTAAGACTTTCAATATTAAACTTAATAATTAATGTTACTTAATTTCTCAGATGTTATAATATTCACTTAGTGATATATACAGGGATTAAATTATACTCCTTATAGCTTTGAAATAATGATTTGGAAAAGAATCATAATTTTAAGCTAGTAAAAGTTGGGCCAGTCTTGTTTCAGTTTAAAGAAAAATAATTTACAGGAACTTTTAGAACAAAAGCAGTTAAAGAATGACCTGAGGAGAACATTTAACATTTAAAGGGATAGTATGATTTAGTAGTCAAGGCTGGGCGCATTGGCTCATGCCTGTTACTCCAGCATTTGGGAGGCTGAGACCAGAGGATTGCTTGAGCCCTGGGCTTTGTAGCAAGAGCTCATCTCTACAGAAAATAAAAAATAAAAATTAGCTGGGTGTAGTGGCACACACTTTCAGTCCCAGCTATTTAAGAGGATAACTCTCTTTAAATCCTAGCTCTGCCCCTCATTATCTGTGGGTAAATTATTTTATCTCTATGTACCTCATGGTCTTCATGTATACAGCGGAGATAGTAATAGTATTCCAGTAATTGTAGGGTTGTTGTGGGGATTTTTTTTTCTTTTTTTTTTTTTTTTGAGACGGATTCTCGCTCTGTCACCAGGCTGGAGTGCAGTGGCGTGATCTTGGCTCACTGCAGCCTCTGCCTCTCGGGTTCAAGCAATTCTTCTGCCTCATCTTCCCGAGTAGCTGGGACTACACGCACACGCCACCACTCCCAGCTAATTCTTATATTTTTAGTAGAGACGGAGTTTCACCATGTTGGCCAGGATGGTCTCAATCTCTTGACCTCATGATTTGCCCACCTCGGGCTCCCGAAGTGCTGGGATTACAGGCATGAGCCACCTTGCCAGGTTGGATTTTTTTTTTTTAGTATAGTGGTGCCTTGAACTCCTGGGCTCAAGTGATCCTCCCACCTCAGCCTCCTGAGTAGCTGGGACTGTAGGTGTAACCCACTACACCCAGCTGTTTTTTTATTTTTTAAGAGGTGGTGGTCCTGGGAGTCTTGCCATGTTGTCCAGGCTGGTCTCAAACTCTTGTCCTCAAGCAGTTCTCCCACCTCAGCCTCCCAAGTAGCTGGGATTATAGACATGAGCCACTGTGTCTGGCTGTTGTGAGGATTAAATGAATTATTATATATTTAAAGTCTTAGAGCTATGTTTGGCATTATGTAAATGTTAGCTATCACAATTATTATTACTGGTTTCAGTATGAGTGAAAAAAATAGTACCTCATGAAAACTTACTAATTTAGGGAAAATAAACAGCTTTTGTGTGATGGTTGACAGGTATCAGGTATGTGACTTCACTAGAGATTTTTTTCTGATTAACTCCAACTGTTTTTGAAAAATTCATTCAAATTCTAGAATGCTTTCCAAATGTAAAATTTTCTTTAGCACATAAAAGGAAGGTTTTTTTCTTTGTTTTTCACCCTCCTCCTTATTATCAGAGTAATAGTATGTTTATTGTAGGACCCTTGAAAAACGCAGAAGAGCTGAAAGGAAAAACAGTTGTTTGTAACCTACAACTCAGAGATAACCACTGATAGCATTTTGGTGTATTGTTTACAAGACTTTGACCTGGTATGCGTGGGTGTGTTTGTAGTATTATTTAGAGTTGGGATCATGATCACACTGTATTTACAATTTTGTATCCTGTTTGTTTCACTAACATTGCAGAATGAGATTTCAGTCATTTGTTTTGAGGGCTTTTTCATTCTCACAAGCCTAGAGCTCTGCCTCAAAGAAACTAGAGAGTTGGAAGATACTTTAGAATGCGTCTAGTCTAGCTGCCTCATTTTATAAGTGGGAAAATTGAGACCCAGAGAAGCTAAGAGATTTGTTCAACGTTGCACAGCTGGTTGGGGGCTGAGCCAGAGTTTTTGCTGTTTTGCTGCTTTACCAGTAATACCTGTCCAACTAAATGCCTATTGAAAATGGAGGAAGTGTTCTTACAAAAACAAAACAAATAAAAAATGAAAACTCTATATAAATGAAACCAGGAACGTGCATCTGAGAAAAACCATGGAATATTTAGATTAATCTGTTGGTTATTTTGTGTGGGCCAGTGACTCTGATTAAATGTTTTCTGATTAAATGTCACAGACTACAAGATTTTTGGTGAAGAACAACTCAGTCTTTTCATGTTATATGTAACTAAGTTGTATATCTATTTTGAGCATATCATTCTTCCACCTATTTTTTGAAAACTTTTAAACCTCAGGAAATTTGAAAGAATTGTATGATATATCCAATGTAACTAAGTTGTATATTTATTTTGAGCATATCATTCCCCTACCTATTTTTTGAAAAGTTTTAAACCTCAGGAAATTTGAAAGAATTGTATGATATATCCAGAAACTGCACTCCTAGATTTCTTCTCAATTAACATTTTGTGACTTCTGCATTACCTACCTTTTTTTTTTTTTTTTTTTTTTTTGAGATGAAGTTTTGCCCTTGTTGCCCAGGCTGGAGTGCAATGGCGCGATCTTGGCTCACTGCAACCTCCGCCTCCCGGGTTCAAGCGATTCTCCTGCCTCAGCCTCCTGAGTAGCTGGGATTACAGGCATGCACCACCACGCCCGGCTAATTTTTGTATTTTTAGTAGAGAGGGGGTTTCTCCATGTTGGTCAGCCTGGTCTCGAACTCCTGATGTCAGGTGATCCACCCGCCTCGGCCTCCCAAAGTGGTGGGATTACAGGCGTGAGCCACCACGCCCAACTGCATTACCTACTTTGAGGCTATTTCTACAGAATTTGCGGAGGTTGGGTTATGATTAATTTAAGACTTATACAGTGTTAAGAAATTTGTGGTCACTGCATCAACTCACTGTTCCATGTAATGAATTTTGTAAGCTCTCCAACTAGAGAAGGAACTCGAAGTTTTAAAGCTTGTGACTATTTTGGAATGCTATTCATTCTCTTAATAATTAAAACAAAATTCAGTGTAAATCAAATGTGTAAATCAAACATGTACCAGTCAAAACTGAGCTTCAGGCAGTATAGAAATATTCCATTCTACAAACTTTTTTTTGTTGTTGTGGTTTTTATCTCAGGTTGAGACTTAAGGGAACATTTTCAAAATAGTGTAAGATCTGGTTTCACAATTCTGTGACAGAGGACATGATTTTATTGTTGAAGTTAAATTTTAAGTTATTGTAGCTTTTTTTAAAGTAAATTACCCTAATGCAGTCATATGAGCTGATGATGCTATGATTTGTGTCACTGCTCTGTATTTTTCAGTACCAAATAATTCCTTTGTTAAACTCATTTTCAGTAAATGAGCCATTGTTTCCCCAAGGGTAATGATTATTTCCCCTATATATAGTACAAAGCCTTGAGAAATAGATTTTTAAATCTAAAATATGAGTTAATGATTGGAAAAGGCTGAAATCATCACTGTGTCAACTGTATGTGTGAAAAGGGCAACTGCTGTGTTTGCTGCCTAGGCTACAATATAAGATACTATGTTTACAAGAAATCCAATGACAGCAAGGCTTTAAAAGTGAGGTCTTTCAGTTTAGATGCAAAAAGGGTGGTTCTGTTGAGTCAACCCAGCTATTTCACTACATAGTTTCGTAATGTAAACACCTAGAATGAGGTAGCTGGAGTGCAAATCTAAATGGCTTGTGACAGTTAAGGAAGTACATAGGCAACAGTTACTGGTTTTCTTGATGCAGCTGATATCAGTATCTTCAAATAAATCACTGACTTAAAGTACCTCAGCAGGAAAGACATTAAATAGGGACACCGTAATGTTTAACTGGTATAGGTGCTGAAGGTCTAGTTATCAACATCTATCAGCTTGTCTCTGTAGGTGGGCAAACTTTAAATAACTAGTTTTTGTACCCTGATTTTCTTTTCCTCTTAAAGTAGATACTCATTCTTGAAGACAATCTGTTTCTTTCAATGCTAATGTAAGTGCTTATAACCACTTGTGACATGTTCTCTACCCACCGATCCACTAAAAATGATGAGAGTTTCGAAGATTCGGGTCATGTCTTAGTTGCTTCTTCAGAGCCTAGCCTGGTCCCATGATGGGTGCCTGTTGGTTGCTGAATTGAAAGCTTCTAGGCTGGGCATGGTGGCCCATGTGTGTATTCTCAGCTACTCAGCCTACTTAGGAGGCTATGGCAGGAGGCGCTTTTGAGCCCAGGTGTTTGGGATTTTAGTATGCAATGATTGCTCCTGTGAATAACCACTGCATCTAGCCTGGGTGACATAGCAAGACCCATCTCTATGTAAAAAAGGAAGAAAGTTTCCAATGCTGAGTTTGTATGTGATGGTGACTCTGAAAGAAGAGTACCGTCAGCAGCCAGGCGCCATGGCTTACACCTGTAATCCCAGCACTTTGGGAGGCCAAGGCAGGTGGATTGCTTGAGCTCACGAGATCAAGACCAGCCTGGGCAACATGACAAAACCCCGTCTCTACTGAAAATACAAAAATTAGCTGGACATGGTGGAGTGTGCCTGTAGTCCCAGCTACTTGGGAGGCTGAGGTGGGAGCATGGCTTGAGGCCAGGAGGCAGAGGTTGCAGTGAGCTGAGATTGTGCCACTGTACTCTAGCTTGGTCAACAGAGCCAGATCCTGTCTCAAAAAAAAAAAAATAAAGTACTATAGTTGGTTCTTGCCATTATGTATTAAAAGATCCCGATTTCTTCACACACTGGCGGAATTTTTATGAGAGGACACTTGTTATTATTTATTATTATTATTATTTAGACCCAACCCGATGGTATTGGTTTTGTTTTCTTATGTTTGGATTTTTTATTTTTTTTTAAGAGTGAGAGCTCTAATCTAAAAATAGTATATGGTAACCAACTATGTCCAGAAATAGTCCTTTATTTTGAAAAGAAATAGTCCTTTATTTATACTGTTTTCTATAATCTACATAAAGTTAAGAATGCTATTGAACTGTTTAGGGAAATACCCTTTTCTTTGCAGTACTGTGATCTATGTTAGAAAAATAGAGATCCAGTTAATAGAAACTGTGTCCAAAGTCTTATCTAATATATCAAAACATACCAAAGTAGTCTGCGATGCTAGAGTAGAAAAAAAAGTTCAATTCTAAGCTCTTTATTCTGTTTTATAAACGTATGAATAAATGGCAATTTAGTGTATACTAGAGATCCTTTTTCAAATTAGTGAACAAAGAATGGTTTATTCCAGTGGTATGGTGGCATATGTTTAACAACAGGCTCTCTGAAAAATAAAAAAGCTGTAGTTTAGGGTTTGCTGATCTCTGTGGTGTAAATACTATAATGGCCAATTTCAAACCACTAATGTGAAGTCACTAAATGCTGAATTGGAGAAAGATATGCACTAGCACGCCCTTATATGGTATTTTCATCATACAGATAAAATAGGTGTTAGATAACCTTAAGAGCATAAATCATAATAAAATAACTAGGGAGTGATGATTCCTAAGTATTTGTTACCTTTGTTTTAAATATGATTTATTTTATTCTAAGTTTATATAACATAGTTTTTTATGGTTATGTTTCACAGTCAGCTTACAAAATTCCAGAAAAATGTAACTGTCATGAGCAGCATGCACCAGTCCCAGCACACTGGTTTATTTTGTTGGGATACTTAGCAAGCAGTGGGGAAGAATAAAGTTTATATTCATTATATACAAAAATGAAGTCCAAGTGGATTAAAGATTTTAAGAAACAAAGCCAAAAAATAAGAAAATATAACTTTTTATAATCTTGGAGGGAAAGACACTATTGACTTTAAAGCAAGAAAAGAACATCAGATTTGTCTATGAAGACATCTAAGATGTGTATTTGGTAAAATATACCATAAAAAAATGCCTAAAAGAAAAAGCAAAATCTAGGGAGAGGATATTAGCAATATATGTGAAAAATAAAAGTTAATATCTTTAATATTAAAAGAGCTCTCTTTTTTACTTTTTAAAAATAGAGACAGGGTTTCACTATGTTGCCCAGACTGGTCTCTAACTCCTGAGCTCAGATGATCCTCCTGCCTCCGTCTTCCAAAGTGCCGGGATTACAAGCATGAGCCACCACACCCAGCCTAAAGAGCTCTTAAAATCAACAAGAAATACACTTGAAGAACCCAACAGAGAATGGGCAAAAGCTAGAGAATGGGCACATAGAAGAAATACAAATTGTTAAAAAACATTAAAGGATTTCACTTTCGTTAATAAACATGCAGAAATAGATAACACTTTTAAACTGCTAGATATTTTAAAGTAATAATCCTAGTTGTTGCAGATGTAGTGAAACACACACACACTCAAATTTTTTATGATAGCATGGATGGATGGAGTCTTGATTGGAGAGCAGTTTCGCAAAATTGAATGCACACGCTCTTTGGAGCAATCATTGACCTTAGATACAAAGATATATTTATAAGGATGTTCATTTACTGTTATTTATCATCCTCCCAGATTGAAAGCAACCTAAATGTCTATGAGTAGTAGAGTGGTCATCTTTGAAATATACCCACAATTTATTAAATGAAAATCTGTATCAGTGACCACTTAAGATGGGGTCTGGCTCTGACACCCAGGCTGGAGTTCAGTGGTGCAATCATAGCTCACTGCAGCCTTGAACTCAGGCTCAAGCGATCCTCCACAGCCTCCTGAGGGCCAGTTAGTTTTAAATAGACTCCTGTAGTAATCAAGTTGCTGAGAGTTGGAGGTTGATGTACGAGTTTATCCAGTTTCAGTGTTTTACCATTCTGTAATTCTATGAGCTATTTTTAAAAGGTGTCTATAACCTTAAAGTTAGAAGCAAATTGAAAAAAAGACATTAAAAGAAAAATGGTCTTGAACGAACCCAGAGATGATTTTTCTGCTGCCTTAGTTATGTATGATTCAACAGTGCTAGTGACAAAAGTAGCACCAGCTAATTTGTGTGATATTTCAATGTCACTTGAGTTTCTAACGTGAATTTGAGAGTAATATAAGTTATTACATGGTTTGTGGAGGCCTCAGCTGTAAGACACTTCATGGTATCTGGATGTCTTCTAAATACCACAGAATACGAAAGTGGCTAATGAGAGTCTGTTATTCCTTAAAACTAGAAATGCAATTTTATTTCCTTAGAAGTTTTATTTTGTAACTTGAAGATAGAGGAGACACAAAGAGGTCATTTTGTCTGGTATACTAGATTAATGCCCTAGTAATTGGTGATTTCTACCTCCAGTTTTTCTGTACAAATTTCTCAAATCATTATTTCATATATATATACATATATACACATATACATATATACATATACATATATAATATATACATATATACATATACATATATAATATATACATATATACATATACATATATATAATATATAATATATACATATACATATATATAATATATACATATATACATATACATACATATATACATATATATACATATATATATATATTTTTTTTTTTTTTAAGAAAACAGTGCCATCATGTCAGCTTTAGTTCAAGCAGTTGCTTCCTCTTGCTGGACTTTCCATCCATCTAATCCCTGAGCTGGGGTTCCAGACCTGGAGGTGCCTTCTGACACTTAAAAAAATGCCATGTACTTTAGTGGGGAAAGTTTCGGAAGTGTTGCCCGTTAAAACTGCATAAATAAGACTGGGATATTAAAGTGTCAGAAAGAGAGAGCGAGAGTTATAGATGGAGCAGCCTGTTGGCATTTTTCTGAGGATGTCTAGAATGGTGACTCCATAGTCCTCATTTAGTGGCTTAATTCAGACTTTTATTGCCCTCATGATCAAAAGAGTTCTGTGTCTAATACTAACTTTTTGACCATTTCCTATCATTTGGTTCTCTTTTTCTTAATGTAAATACCATTATTGAACTTCATATAACACTTAGGAAGCTGCTGAAGATGACTGAAGTTTCTTAAAATGACTGTATAGATTTTTAGTCCTTTTAAAAATCAAAACCTGGAATTGTACAGTGTTTTAAGAAAACATTTTTAAAATTTACTATAATGCATGCTGTTCAGATAATGATGAAAAGTTTAATATTAAAGCCATGTGTATTATAATCTGAGTCACACAACAAACCATAGGATAAATAACGTTTTTCTTTTTTGAGACAGTCTCATTCTATTGCCCAGGCTGTAGTACAGTGGTGCAGTCACAGCTCACTGCAACCTCTGCCTCCCGGGTTCAAGCGATTCTCCTGCCTCAGCCTCCTGCATAGCTGGGACTACAGGTGTGTGCCACCACATCCGGCTAATTTTTGTGTTTTTAGTAGAGATGGGGTTTCACCATGTTGGCCAGGCTGGTCTCAAACTCCTGACCTGAAGTGATCCACCCACCTCAGCCTCCCAAAGTGTTGCGATTACAGGCGTGAGCCACTGCACCCTGCCGGGATAAATAACTTTTATCAAAAATTATTAAATTAAGACAGATTGACGATATTTTTATTTTTTATTTTGGTTTTTGAGACAGCTCTGTCGCCCAGGTTGGAGTGCAGTGGCACGATCGTGGCTCACTGTAGCCTCAAGCTGCCCAGGCTCAGGTGATCTTCCCATCTCAGCCTCCCAAGTAGCTGGGACTATAGGCGTACACCACCATGTCTGGCTAATTTTTTTGTATTTTGTAGAGATGGGGTTTTGTTATGTTGTCCAGGCTGTTCTCAAACTCTTGGGATCAAGCTCTCCGCCCACTTTGGCCTCCCAAAGTGCTGGGATTACAGGCATAAGCCATGGCGACTGGCAACATTTTTAGTTTTAAGAAGTCATTTCTTATCTTTTTCTCTTTGTTACATTGTTAGTCTGATAACACAGTGAGAACATCTTAACCTCAAATAAACACTGTTGAGTACTCTCAATGTTGGATACTTCAGTTTATAGTTTAATATGGCATCCAAGAGGAAAAAGAATTTAAAATCGAGGATGATTTATATATATACACTTTTTTCATCAGTCTATTCATTTTCTCATCTCATTTCTCGGGGTTTGGGTTTAAAAAACAATCAATTTTTTGAACTGTTTTGTAAAAAGTATTCACTAAAATTTAGCTCTCCTGAGGGGAGGTAATTTTACCATCTGATAGTTCTTTTATGTTTTGTCTCTGTTTACATAAAGTTCCTAATTCCTGTTCTCCAAAGATACTGCTTATATAGTCAAACTTGTAGAAGTTTTATTCCCTCACCCTCATAAAAATTCAATTAGTAATATGGAACACCTTATTCCTCACTCTTTATTCTCTGGAGCTTTGCGACAAATAGGAGGTTAGCAGAAAAGAATTGTGACAAAATGAGAAAGGCTTAGAAGTGCATTTGGAAGCTAAGAATAATTAAACTGAACGAAATGAGACAAGAGTGTTGATTTACCTGTTGAAAAACTGCAAGCCTTGACAAAAGGTAAAATAATGTTTTATGGAAAACCTACCAAAGTAATGGGTCTGTTCTTTAGCCCTTTGAATAGTTTAAATAGCTGTGATTTCAGTTCAGTAGTTGGGTGAATGTTCAGGTTTGAGATGTCAAAATAATCTACTGAACATAAATATACGAGTTTGCAACACTTTTAGTGATAATTTTTCAGGAACATAGTAGGCTTATCAAATTTGCTGATCAGAGGAAGTCAAGAAGGATGGCTAACATAGTAGTTAACAGGTATTCAGAGAGCTGAATTTAGAGTCATCTTTAAGTTAGCAAACTTTTTTTTTTTTTTTTTTTTTTTTTAAAGAGACAAGGTCTCACTGTCTTGAACTCCTGGACTCAAGTAATCTTCCCATCTTGGTCTCATGAGTAACTAGGGCTATGGGCATGTAACACCAAGCCTGGCTAATTTTTTTATTTTAAAATATTTTGTGTAGAGACGAGATCTCTCTGTATTGCCCAGGCTGCTCTCAGACTTCTGGCCTCAAGTGATCCTCCTGCCTCTTTTCCCAAAGTGTTGGGATTATATAGGCTTGAGCCACTGCACCTGGTAGTTAGCAGACTATTTATTGAAGGCCTGTATACTAGGCTTTGAGTCCTGAGGGTAGACTGGGAACAAAATTAATATCATATGAAGCAGGTAAGACAGACATTTAACACATTATTTTTTAAAAAAAGTTTTTCAGGGATGGGGTCTCATTATGTTGCCTAGGCTGTCCTTGAACTCCTAGGCTCAAGCAGTCCTCTTGACTCAGCCTCCCAAGTAGCTGGGACTACAGGTATATGCCACTGGGCCTGGCTTAAACAAATCATTTTAAATGTGCAGTCTTTTAAGATAGTCTACCTAGATTCACATTCTGCTGTTTTTTATTGGCCATGTGCCTTTCGGCAAATTGCTTTACTGCTTTGTGTCTCAGCTTTCTCTTCTATAACATAGGGGTTATAATGGTACCTATCTTAGGTTCTTATGAAAATTAAATGTGATAATGTGTATAAAATGCTACAGTGGCTTGCCTGTAGTCAACACTCAATAAATATTAGCTGTTTTAATTGTTATCTCTTAGCACTTTCCATCTTTGTTTTATGGAGAAAAACAGTGATTAATTAGAAAATCCTAATTTAACCTAGTCCAAATTATAAGGTCAAGGAAGCTTCCTTGACATAATTCCTACCCGGGAGAAACTTATACTTGAATATTTATAAACAAATTGCAATAAAGATATATAAATACAGATAAGTACAGAATGGTTACTGTGGGAAGATATAGATGGGATACCAAGGGCCTCAGTTTGTACAATTCTGATGTGACAATGTTTACATTATGTTATGAATGGTACCCCCCTGCAGTTGGCAGTGTAGTTTTTTTCTAGGCAGTGTAGGCCTGATTAGGGGAGTGATATTTGAGTTAAATTTTGATGATGACAGGGGATGAGGGAGAAGGGCAGCTCAAGCAGAGGGAATTTCATGTACAAAGTCAGTGAATAAGAGATGGCAGTGTTTGGGGACCTGGAATTGGTTCATTATGGTTAGAATGTAGGATGAATGTGATCGCTAAGAGATGAGAACAAGAGGTTGGATTATGAAGGACCCTTTTTGCTTTATTAATACCTTGAGATTTTATCTGAATCTGGGAAGCTATTGAATGACTTAAATGATTAAAATGATCAGATTTATTTTTAGAAGGTGGCTCAGGCAATACTAAGAAGAATGGTTTGGAGTAGGAACAGGTCTAGAAGCTGGGAGAAGGTAGTTGTAGTAGTCTAGGTGAATGTTCCTCCTAGTGTGGACCCAAACTTTATTACAAATTGGCAGTGATAAATAAAAACATTTCTCCTTATCCCATAACTTGCTTGAGGCTCATTACTAGATATTTAGAAACTTTCATGGCAGTTTGACATGGTTCATGGTATATAACCTTTGTTGGGCCTTCAGTGTTCTCTAGCAAGTCTTAGACTTGTCTCAAGTCAGCTCATTTCTCCACTGCTCACACAGCTATTTCTAACCACTACCACTTTCCTCAAGTTCCTACTCCACCTCTTCCTCAGTTTCTACAGATGACTTCATTCCCCTATTTCACAGAGAAGATAAAGCCAAGGGATGCAGGAACTGGGTAACTTCCTGTTACACCCACAGACGAAGTTATGTCAACGTAGCTTTCCTTTACTTTTCAGTCTCCAGATCCTGTTCTCTTCCAGTTTTTCCAGAGGCTTTACTCCACTATTATCTTCTTTCAGGTGTTCAACCTCTGCCCCTCTCCCTTTCCTCTTACCCTGTAAACTTACTGAAACCTCATCCCTAAATTCAACCCTCATCCTCTAGATTACCAGTCTAACCTCTTTCTTTCCCTTCGCAGCCAAGGTCCTTGAAAATGTAGTTGTCCATCACTGTCTCTGCCTCTTCATCTTTCATTTATTCACAGTCCACTGTGCAGTCATTTCTACATATACCATATACCATACAGCCCAAACTGCTCTGACAAATACATGACCTGTTATTAACTAGCAGTTAAGTACCAAATCCAGTGGGCACATTTCAGTCCTTACGATTTATGTTGCATGTACTAATAGTTTGTTCTTGTTCATTGTATTAATATATCACAACTTTAAAACCCTCTTCACCTGTTGATGGACATTTAGGTTGTTTGCAGTTTTTGGTTATTACAAATAAAATTGGAATGAATATTCATTTACAATATTTCTGTGGACATAGGCTTTCATTTCTCTTGGGTAAATACCTAGGAGTGGAATGACTGGTTCAAATTATATGTTCAAGCTTAAAAGAAACTACCAAACTGTTTTCCAAAGCAATCGCAATTTGCATTCCCACCAACAAGGTATAAAAGTTCCAGTTGCTTGTGAGCATTTGGTGATATCCAATTTTTTCTTCCTAATTTTAGCCATTTTAATAGGTATGTAATACTGTTTATAGTGGTTTTGCATTTCCCTAATAACTCAAGATGTTGAGCATCTTTTCAAGTGCTTATTAGCTGTCTCTGTATCCTTTTTTGTAAAGTATCTATTCAAGCCTTTGCCCATATTTTAATTGGGTGGCTTTCTTAATAGTAGGTTTTGAATGATCTTTACATATTCCGGATATAAATCCTCTTTCAGATACGTGATTTGCAAATATTTTCTCCCAGTCTGTAGTTCCTTTTTAAAAAAATTCTCCTGAGTGTCTTTTGCAATACAAACATTTTAATTTTGGTGAAGTCCAGTTGATCCACTTTTTCTTTTCAGATCATAACTTTTGGTGTTAAATCTAGAAACTCTTTGCCTGACCCAGGTCATGAAGAATTCTGCGTTTTCTTCTAAAAGTTGTATAGTTTAATGGTTTACACTGAAGTCTGTATTTCATGTTTGGGTTAGTTTTTGTACTAGATGTGAAGTTTAGGTAGACCTTTATTTTTATTTTTATGTTTTTTACAAAAAGAACATCTATTCATTTATTGAAGTTTTAACAATTTTTATGTACATGGACAATGCTTGCACACAAAGTCAGCATTCTAATGCACTTTCATGGAGTCAAATTTGCAAAACATGCATAAAACAAATTAGAACTCTCTAACAGTCTCTATGCAATTTATATCTCCAGTATTGGAAATGATGTGAAGATTAAATACATGGCACAGAGAATTGTTTAAAAAAAAAAAAAGGCTGACAATTAAAAGTAGTGGAAAAAAATTTTTAAAAGAAAAAACTAAAAAAATTCAATATATAAAAAAACTGGCATTAGGGATAGATTTGGGCAGTTAGCATGGAGATAGTTCATAAGATCTGGTCAAACATGATGCAACTATCCTGTGATGGTGACTTTTGGGATCTTAGATGTTAGAGATTGAGACTTTGGGGATTTTGCTCTTTTGGGATTTCAACACTGAGGATTATGGCGTTCAAAATTGTGTCTCGGTATTGTGATCCAAACTGTAGGTAGACCTTCTTAAAATATATATATATATATATATGGTCTGGGCATGGTGGCTCACACCTATAATCCCAGCACTTTGGGAGGCCATGGCAGGTGAATCACCTGAGGTCAAGAGTTTGAGACCAGCCTGGCCAACATGGTGAAACCCCACCTCTACTAAAAATACAAAAATTAGCAGGGCATGGTGGTGCACGCCTGTAATCCCAGCTACTCAGGAGGCTGAGGTAGGAGAATTGCTTGAAGCCGAGAGGTGGAGGTTGCAGTAAGCCGAGAGGGAGCCACCACACTCCAGCCTGGGCCACAGAGCGAGACTCCGTCTCAAAAAAAAAAAAAAAAAAATATGGATGTTCGATTGTTCCAATACCATTTGTTGAAAAGTTTGTCCTTTCTCCATTGATTTGCCTTTATACTTTTCTCATAAAATTAATTGGCCATAGTTGTGTGTCTCATTTCTTCTTTAACCTATAGATTGCTTAGAAGTGTGTTTTTAATTTTCTTTTTTTCTTTTTAGTCAAGTGCAGTAGTCAGAAGGGGGAAAGAGTAAAATAAGGAGTTGTATTTGGAACTGACTGAACAATCAAGGGAACTTAATATCTTCAGATGATCCTGTTTTTAATTTTCAAAAATGATATTTGTTTTTAGGTTACTATCTTGTGATATAATTTTGTTGTGATTAGAATATGTGGTTTGCGTGATTGATACCATTTTGGGGGGGAATTTGTTGAGATTTACCTTGTGGCCTTGTATGTGATCACTATTTATAAATATCCTTTTGTTTTTAAAACGTATATTTATTCTGCAGTTGATTAATGTTTTGTATATGTCCACTAAAGTTTGCTAATTGTATTTTAATTTTTAAAATTTTTTCTATTTTTTAGAGACAAGATCTCTTTCTGTTGCCCAAGCTAGAATGCAATGGCATGATCATAGCTCACTGTAACCTCAAACTTGTGAGTTCAAGTGATCCCCTGCTGCAGCCTTCAGAGTAGCTGGGACTATAGGCATGTGCCACCACACCAGGCTAATTTTTAAAATTTTTATAGAGATGGGATCTCACTATGTTGCCCAAGCTGGTCTTGAACTCCTGGGCTCAAGCGATCCTCACGCCTCAGCCTCCCAATGTGCTGGAATTACAGGTGTAAGCCACACACCTAGCCTTTTTTGATGTGTTTCTACTATAGTAAGTACCACCCAATCAAGATACAGAACATTTTATCACCCCAGAAAGTTCACTCAAGTAAATTCTACCATGCATCCCCCTCCCCCTGCCCTAGGCAGCCACTTTTTTGGTTTCTGTCATCTTTGATTAGTTTTGCTTGTTCTTAGATTTTATATAGATAGAATCTTACAATATGTATGTACTCTTATGTGCGAGGCTTCTTTCACTCTACATAATGTTTTTGCAATTCATCTATGTTGCTTGCACATATCAGTGTTTTTTTCTCTTTATTACTGAATCATATGTCAGTGTATGAATATAGCACAGTTTGTTTATCCATCCTTCTGTTCCTTCCAGTTTTAGACTATTCTTACATAAGTCTTTTTATGGATATAAGTTTTTATTTCTCTAAGGATAAATATCTAGGGATGGAATTGCTGGGTTGTAGAGTACATATATATTTAACTTTATTAAGATTGCCAAAGCAGTTTTCCAAAGTGGCTTTACCAGTTTGTACTACTACCAGCAAAGATGAGAGTTCTAACCCACTTGCAAATCCTTGCAAAATTTGATGGTCTTTGAATGTAGCCATTTTAGTGGGTGTGAAGTAGTATCTCATTTTAGTTTTAATTTGCATTACCATGATGGCTAATGATGTTTGCCACATTTTCATGTATTTATTGGCTGTTGGCATGTCTTTTTTTTTCCTGAAAATTCTGTTGAAGTTTTCCACCCATTTAAATGATTGGTTTGTCATTATTATTATTATACTGTAGGAGTCTTATTTCTTTTTCTGAATACCAGCCTTTTGACAGATCAATCTATTGTATTTTCTCCTACTCTGTAACTTACCTTTTCATTTTGTAAATGATGTCTTTTGATGAACAGAAAATTCTATTTTGAGAAGTTAAGTTTATCAACTTTTTCTTTTATTATTAGTACATTTTTTGGTTCAGTATAAGAAATCTTTGTCTAGCTGGGCATGGTGTTTCGTGCCTGTAATCCTAGCATTCTGGGAGGCCGAGGCAGGCAGATCACCTGAGGTCAGGAGTTCGAGATCAGCCTGGCCAACATGGTGAAACCCTGTCTCTACTAAAATTAGAAAAATTAGTGAGGCATAGTGGCCTATGCCTGTAATCCCAGCTACTCAGGAGGCTGAGGCATGAGAATCATTTGAATCCAGGAGGCGGAGGTTGCAGTGAGCCAAGATCGCACCACCGCGCTCCAGCCTGGGCAACAGAGCAAGACTGTGTCTCAAAAAAAAAGAAGAAATCTTTGTCTAGTGCCAAGGTCATGAAACTATTCTCTTTTATTTTTTCTGGAAGTTTTAAGGTTTTAATTTTTATGTTTAGGTAAGTTTTCCATCTGAAATTAATTTTTTTTTTTTTTTTTTTGAGACGGAATCTCGCCCTGTTGCCAGGCTGGAGTGCAGTGGTGCGATCTCGGCTCACTGCAGCCTCCACCTTCCAGGTTCAAGGATTCTCCTACCTCAGCCTCCTGAGGAGCTGGGACTACAGGCACACACCACCATGCCCAGCTAATTTTTATATTTTTAGTAGAGACGGGTTTCACCATGTTGGCCAGGATGGTCTTGATCTCTTGACCTTGTGATCCTCCCACCTCGGCCTCCCAAAGTGCTGGGATTACAGGCATGAGCCACCGTGCCCAGCCTGAAATTAATTTTTGTATATGGACTAAGATAAGGGTTTGAGGCATTTTTGTTGTTTTGTTTTTTAAAATACTAATTTTAAAGTAAAATATTAATTTTAAAGTAAAATACTAATTTTAAAGTAAAACACTATTCTAAAATACTAATTTTACCTATTCTCACAACATCCTTCTTTAAGAAGATTTTTTCACCCTTATTGAATAGCCTTGCTCCACTGTGGAAAATCAATTGACTATATAAATATAGTGAAATTCTAAGCTTTTCTGTTTCATTAGTCTTTTGGTCTAGTCTTATGTTAATGCCACACTGTCTTTATATACTGTAGCTTTAGAGCAGGATTTTTCCATCTCAGCACTATTGACATTTTGGGCCTGATAGTTCTTTGCTGTGGGAGGGTCTCCTATGTATTATAGGATGTTCAGCATCATCCCTTGCCTCCACCACTAAATGCTAGTAGCCACTCAGTAGGTGTGATAATCAAAAAATGTCTACAGACAGTACCAAATGTCCCCTAGGGAACAAAGTCACCCTCAGTTGAGAAACACTATTTTAAAGTAACTCTTGAAGTCAGATAGCGTAAGTCTTCCAACTTACTTGTTTTAATTCAAGATTATTTTGGCTACTCTAGAAGCTTTGTGTTTTCATATCATTACAGAATTAGCTTGTCAGTTTCTTTAAAAATCTGTTGGGATATTTATTGGAAGATGTCAACTCTGTAGATCAAATAGAAGAGAATTTTTAAGAAAGTTGAGTGTTCCATTCCATGAACATGGTATAGCTCTCCACTTTTTTTTTTTTTTTTTTAACAGCCTTTGTCAACCACTCTGATCTCCATTTATTATAGTCTTTAATTTCTCTTGGCAGTGTTTGGGAGCTTGCATTTTAGAGGCCTTGCACATGTTTAGTTTATCACTAAGTATTTAATATTTTTCGATGCCATTGGAAATGGTATTTTTATTTTCAGTTTCACTGTCCAATGTCATTGACTAGTTGTAGGCACTCCTGTCCTGCCTTCAACCTTACATTCACTTAAGGCACCATGTTACTTGAGGGCGATCCCTCTCAGCAATCCTGCTGTATCCTACGTGAAGGCTTCATCAGAAAGAATTGGCAGAACAGGTCTGGAGAGCCTCAGGTTTTAATTAATTAAGTCAAATATCTTCAGCCAATGAAAGGTTGCTAAAAGATTATTTTGGTTTCTCTTGCCCTGCTTTCAGCATGCAGTTTACTCTTCTTTCCACTGTGACCCAGGGATGAAAAGGGCTTGGAGTGTTTTCTCTCTTAGCAAGGGCTTCTCTTTCTCTGGAGTTTAGTTCATTTACGTTCTTTGAGTTCTCAGCTTTCTTGTATACAACCACCCAACTAACCAACCAACCACCCAACAAAAAGTATGATTTCATTGCTTATCTAACCTTTTCTCCTTGTTATGCAAAGTGTCATATTTCTGTGTTCTAACTGGAAGTGGTTAACCAGTTTTCTTTGTTCTGTGTTTTGGTAGATGTTTTAACTTCTTTTTTATTTTTTTATTTTCAGCATTTCTGTTCTTATATTTTATATGTCTCTGATATACAGCATACATTTAAATTCAGCTTTTTAATCTAGTCTGACAATCTTTTAAGGGAAACACTTAATTCATTTCCATCAATTGTGCTTACTGATCTTCTTTCTTCTTCTTTTTCTTTTTTTTTTTTTTTTGAGACAGGGTTTTGCTTGGTCACCCAGGCTGGAGTGCAGATGTGCGGTTACGGCTCACTGCAGCCTCCACCTGCTGTGCTCAAGCAATCCTCCAACTTCAGCCTCCCAAGGGGCTGGGACCACAGTCACATGCCACCACGCCCAACTAATTTTTAAAAACTTTTTGTAGAGACAGGGTCTCACTGTGTTGCCCAGGCTGGTCTCAGACTGCCGAGATGAGTGCGCTGATCTTTTTAAATTTGTCCCTACCACCTTATTTATATATTTCTTATGTTCTGCTTTTCATATTTTTCTCTTTATTTGCCTTCTTTTGAATTGCTTGAGATTTTCCACCCCTTATTTGTAAGTTTCATACCTTATTTTGTTCTTTCAGTTGCCCTTGAAATTTTAGTATGCATGTTTAAATTCCATGGGTAATAAATATTGTTTATTTTCGAATCTGCCTGGTCCGTTTTAATAGTCTCCTATTCTGTCATACTTGTTCCCCCTTTTATATTTTTTCAAATACATTAAAAATATTTTATGTTTGCATCTGATAATACTCTTATCTGCTGTCTTTGTTGGTCTAATACATTGGCTCTTACTTGTAGGTGCTTGTTTCTTTGGTGATTTTGTAAAATTGTGAGCCCATGACATTAGAACTTTATTTTTTGTGATTTTTTTGAAGCAGGGTATTAGATTTTTTTTTTTCCAGAGATGATGTGAGTATCTAGTAGTACCACCTACTTTTAAGTAAATTTTTGACTTGAGTTTTTCAGGCCACACCACTAGTTTGAATTTTAGTCACAAAGGGTGCAGACTTACTAAGAATTCACAGTGGAGACATATTTCTGTTTTACTCTTCTACCAAGAACCAAAGCCAATAAAGACCCTTATTCTCATTATCGCCCTCTGCAGAATGAGCTTTTACCTATTTCACTTACTAAGGATGCAGACTTTTGGGAGGCTTCTAGCATATTTGTAAAGGTATAGTTAATCCAGTCTCCTGGGAAGGGCCCCAGGTGGCCTCCTGTCATCTCAGCAAGTAGCCCATTAAAACCTAGGCTTTTGTCCACCGAGGATTGGCCAGTAACTCCAGGGAAAACTGTCTATAATGTTACTCACCTTTGTGAATGTATATTTCTTTCTTGTTTCTGCTCTCCAGGAATTTCTTTGCTTCCCTCTCAAGGTTAACCATGTATTTTATCCAGCATCTTTAGATGCTTTTCCATCTAATTTACTTTTATTCTATACTCATATCTTTAGGAATTACCTCTAGCTCTTTTTGAAATGTGGCAAGGGGAAAAATAAAGTCCATAATCGGTCCTGTCTCCCAGTTTAGAATGTCTTTTCCTATTTCAACTGTGATAAATTCATCCTCCTCTTCACTCACTTCAGATGTTCTTCTCTTTAGGTATTCTCCCCATCTGGCTCAACTCCTACCCCTATATATACCCCCGGTAGAATGAATTACTCTTTTACGTTTGTTTCTATACTTCTTTATATATATATCTTTCTTAAAGGAGAGGTATCCCTGTAGACACAAAGATAGAGACTGAATTCTATTTATTTCTATGTTCCTAGCATGTAATATGCATTCACTAAAGTTTGTTGAATTGAGTTTTCAAAGTCTTTATAACCAACTCTTGAAATTTTAAGCTTCTAGCTAGGACTGTTATAACTTAATTTGCTAGTTTTAGAAAATAACTTTTAAAGCAATTAAAGCTTATTCAACACGTTGAAGATAAAATAATTTTATTTGGTATTTGGTAAATTCCTTGGGCTAGTCCTATTTAAGGATGGATTAAAATATGATAGAAGTGTTATCTTACAATCTCCAGATGGGCTGGGGTGATGTAATTTTGGAGCAAATGAACATTCACATCCCAATTCTAAATCTGAGCTCATTTTAAAATTATACACTTGCGGGATGATCTGTGCCACAAACCATGACACACATTTGCCTATGTAACAAACCTGCACATCCTGCACATGTACCCCTGAACTTAAAAGTTGGAGAAAAAAATTACGCACTTTGTATCTGTAACATCAAGGGGAATTTTTGCCTTTGGGTTACTATTTTTAAAAAATTTTTTTAAATGGATACAGTGATAGATTTTAGAGCATAACAGTTACAAATGGAGAGGTTTCCTAAATGACCTTGATTACTTTGTGTGTGTTGGGGTAGGGGGTTGAGGAGGTTGTTTTTCTCCTGTTGCCTGAATTTAAATGTTTTTTCTATGGTGAATTACATAATTATTTCGTGGCCATTATATATTTGTCCTGCAGTTTTTTATTATTTTTTTACGAAAAGAGATCTAAGGGCCTTTAGGTGTCCATTGGCAAAGCTGATTTTATAAATATGTGTTTCTTTTGCCTAGCATCTTTTCACATATTTGAAGATATATAGATGGGAAAAGAGCAGTAGGATGAAAAAGGGAGGTGAGAAGAATTCTTCGTAGAGAGCAAAAACAGGTGAGGAAAGCAACTAGTGTAGCGGTTGGGATGACTTAACAATAGAGGGAAGGCACAGGTCAGAGAAGAAGGCAAGAGGAGGTGCCAACACCCGAGGTTGGGAGGTGGACACCAAGCTGGCTCATGATGAAACAAGCTGGCGTATTTCACTTGTAAATGTTTTTATAATATGCACTTTTCATTTTAACATCTCCAAAATTAGGATGTTTCTTACAATTGTTTGCTTTTTATTTTTGTTAGTACATAAAATAATGGCACATTTACCATTAGTGGCATTTTACAGTTAATGAAATATGGTATAATTTTACATTGCTCACAAGGAGTATTGGCTGTGTTAGCCTGCTAGTTTACATTATGTGATCTGGCAGACAAATCAGTTTTTAAAAACATTCAGAAACAGACTCAGCATTCAGGTGATTTGGACAACTGATTGATGTTATTCCAAAAGAAACCTCTCTCTAAGGTGATTCGTGTGAAACTAGCAACTTCTTTTTGTAAAAGGTCTGCCACTGGATAGGCTGTGTTTGCAGTTGCCACAAATTCTGAATCAAAGGCAAGTAATCATTAGGTGGAAATCAAAGTAACCTTTCTCTACCCCTGTGATTTGAGGGGCTATTTCCCTGAAGCATGTGCAAATTATTTGTTAGGCAAGAACAACTTGTATGGCAACTTCTTAGCATTGCTTAGACAACATCTCTGTACAGTTTGTGCCTCAGGTTCATCTCTGTTTTGTATTCTTGAGTCTCTTTGGAATTTTGACACAGCAATTGAGCTCTCAGACTTACTTATTTTACAAAATTGGGCATTTGAGTAAAAAGTGCCTCAACTTAAAAACTGTTCTTAAGTTTTCTTCTTTTGCTTTGGCTACTATAAAGCCCAGAGTCAAATGTGCACCCTCCTCAGTTAAGGGATGTAGAGTTTCTTAGCTTATGTTTTGGGTACAGACCACTTTCTCGGTCCCTTCACCCCCACTTCATAAGCTTCCTACCCATTTTTTCCCCCTTCCTCAAACCCTTATTCCTCCTCTTCCCGCACCCTTTAATCTTACACTGTATGCTTCTGTCTTAGCTACCTCCCGTCTGTTTTGGAATGGGGTGGGATATAGATAAAAGCTAAAAACGTCAACAGATAAAATCTATCTTTAAAAAACATTTACCCATACAGTGAAAAAAGCACATTGAAATGGTGAAGTGAAAAGCCCAGTTTTGTTGTCCTTTTTTTGTATATGTCTTAAATGAGGTGAGTTGTTTTGAGGAAAGGCGAATTTTGCTTTGCCAACATTTGTGATGGCTTTAGTGTGTTGGAGCTAAAAAGGATTGTGAGCTCTTTCAAGTTACTTCTAATTTAGAGACACTAGATTTTTAAAGAAAAGGATAATTAAAAATTTGGATAACTTTAAAAGATGGAGTTACTGTCAAAATACCAAAGACTAGGTAGCTTATAAACAACAAAAGTTTATTTCTCACAATTCTGGAGACTAGGAAGTCCAAGATCAAAGCTTCTGCAGATTTGGTGGCTGGTGAGGGCCCATTTCCTGGTTCATAGATGATACATTCTCAATGTGTTCTCATCTGATGGAAAGCAGAAGGCAGGTCTTTGGGGCCTCTTTTATAAACGGCACTAATCCCATTCATGAGGGCTTCACCTTCATGATATAATCACCTCTCCCAAGGTCCCACTTCCTAATACCATCATATTGGTGATTAGGATTTCAACATACAAATTTTCAGGGGACTCACACATTCAGTCCAAAGCAGTTCCTGTTGATTAGCTGAAATAATGTGACAGAGCTGTACTGTTTTCCAACAGAAAAGGTACTTTTAACTTTTCTGTTAGAAATTTTGATATTTTTCCTGAGACTGGAGAAGGTAAAAGAGTATCCCCATTTTTGTGCATCTGTGTATTAAATTGGTATGTGAATAAAAGAGGACCTATGGTTTATAAAACAGTGAAAAACAAAGAAGTGGAGTAGAGAGGGTTAGTATCATTGGTTCATGCAGTTTTTTAAACATCTGTCCTAATCTAACCAAATTAAGTGCAATGTAGTAATTGGACTTTTGTATTACCATATTTTGCCTCTCTTCCTATTTCTTCTGCCTCTGAAGTAACATTGCAGCTTGTAAGATTGACAATTATATTCAGTCTGATATAAGTAAAATTTGCTAATTTAATGCTGTGTGTCATGCCATGGTTTTTTTAAATTGATGTTTTCTTTAGTTAGTACCCGTGTCCCTTTTACTTTTTCCCTTTCTTTGCTTTGTACTTCTCTTTCTTTCTTTTTTTTTTTTTTTTTTTTTTTTTGGCTTTGTACTTCTCTTTCTTAGACAAGGTACAAACCTCCTTTCCCTGCCTTCTTTCCTTCCCTTGTTTGCCACCTGTATTAGTCCGTTTTCACATTGCTGATAAAGACGTGCTTGAGACTGGGAAGAAAAAGAGGTTTAATTGGACTTGCAGTTCCATGTGGCTTGGAAGGCCTCAGAATCATGGTGGGAGGCGAAAGGCACCTCTTAACATGGTGGCGGCAAGAGAAAATGAGGAAGATAAAAAAGCAGAATCCCCTGATAAAACCATCAGATCTCATGAGACTTATTCACTACCACGAGAACAGTATGGGGGAAACTGCCCTCATGATTCAAATTACCTCCCACCGGGTCCCTCCCACAACATGTAGGAATTATGGGAGTAGAATTCAAGATGAGATTTGGGTGGGGACACAGCCAAACCATATCACCAGCCCTGGAGGATAAAAGTCATTCCTGAGAATTAATTGTCTTGGAATACTTAAATTATAAACAATTTCTAAGGCTATTAGGCATCTGATACTATCAGTTAATGCAAAACATTAATCTGGAGATAAAATTAGGCATCTTGATCAGTTTGATGCCGAGAATGCCATTATATTAAACTTTGCATTAATATGGAGGGAATTAATAAGAAAATGTTTGGAAACTTTAGCTTCTTTTGCCAGTGGTGTGTTATAATTCTTTCATACTGGAAATAATAAACTAACTATAGATTTTCATGTTTTTATAGTATTAACCTTATTTTAAATTCCTATCATAGGTCTCTCTCATAAGTTTCGAAGAAAGAGTAATTCTTTTTAACAAATATATAGATGCACAGAAAGTTCTGCTTCTTTCTCAAGCATGTTATAGTTATAGGAAAATATGAAACAATTCTTAAGAGGTTGTTCTTCCTTAAGGTATGCATTTGTTATTTCACCAATAAAAAGAATTCATAAAAAAAAAAGTGCTATCGATTGAAGCTTATAAATGCCTCTACTCATTCAATCAGCTAAAATTATGAAATGGTATACTGCTTTAATCCAGAAAGTACTGTACATTATTTTTTTCTCCCAGAAAACATATGTGATTATTTTCTGTAATGGCAGCTGAATGGGGGTTTAGATCATTGCATATCCAGTAGGAGGAAATTAAAATTTAATTATCAGAAGGTTTCCTGAAATAACATGCCTTTTTTCAAGCATTGAAGTAAAAATGACTATAAACCTCTTTTGATTATATGATAAATTAGATCTTTTACCATTAAAAAAAATTAACAGATTTTATTTTTTAAGTCAGTTTTAGGTTTACAGCAAAATTTGGGAAGTACGGAGTTCCTGCCTATCTCCCCTGTGCCACACACACAGTCTTCCTCTTGGTAGCAATATTGAACCTGGCCCAGGAAATTGTTGAAGACTTTGTCGGGGGTCATTCCATCTGTGGCACCAGTAAATTCTGTCATTGTTATCTCTTTCTGCCAGGATTACTACACGTGTTCTCATTGTAGTTAGTCACCTTATAGCCAGTTTCACCCACTTTCCATTTTACTTTGTGTTCATTTTCAGCCTTATTGGAAGATTAAATAAGATGATACATGTAGTGTGCCTAGTACAGTGCCAGACTCAGAGTAGTCAGTTTGGTTTATAGCACTCTCTCTGTAAACTACATGGTTTATAAACCATGGTTTATAGCACCCATTCTCTCAATTGTGAATAAAGTTCATCTGTAGTCCTAGCAAGGCATTAAAGGACCCTTAAAAAAAAGACCTTAGCCTCCCTTCTCAGATTTATTGTACTCTTATGGATTCTTTTTATTGTTAAAATAAAATTGACCATTGTAACCATTTAAAAATGTACAGTATAGTTGTGTTAACTATATGCACATTGTTGTGCAACAGATCTCTAGAACTTTTTCATCTTGCAAAACTGAAACTACCCATTGAATAACAACTTCCCATCCTCCCTATCAGCTCCTGGAAACCACAGTCTACTCTCTATTTATATTCATTTGACTACTTTAGATACCTAAATAAGTGGAATCATGCAGTATTTGTCTTTTTGTGACTAGAATATTTCACTTAGCATGACATGCTCAATGTTCATCTATGATGTAGCATATGACAGGATTTCCTTTTTTAAGGCTGAATAATATTTTGTTGTATGTATATACCGTATTTTCTTTATTTATCCATTGATAGACAGATGTTTCCATCTCTTGGCTTTTGTGAATCTTGCTGTAATGAACAGATATGCAAATATCTCTTTGAGATCCTGGCTTCAATTCTTTTGGATATATGTCAATAAGTAGGGTTGCTGAATTATATGGTAATCCTATTTTTAAGTTTTTGAAGAGCCTTCATACTGTTTTCCATAGCAACTGGACCATTTATATTCGCACCAGCAGTATACATGGGTTCCATTATTTTCACATTTTTGCCAGCACATGTTATTTTATTGTATTCTATTTTTGATAGTGGCCATCCTAGCAATACCTCATTGTGGTTTTCATTTGCATTTTCCTGATGATTAGTGAGGTTGAGCATCTTTTCATATGCTTGTTGGCCATTTGTGTATCTTCTCTTTTGCCCATTTTTAAAATCAGGTTATTTTGTTGTTGTTGAGTTGTCAGAGTTCCTTGTATATTCTAGGAAGTAAACATATATGATTTGCAAATATTTTTTCCCATTCTATAGGTTGCCTTATCACTCTGTTGATTGTTTCCTTTGCTGGGCAAAAGTTTTTGAGTCCTGTTCATCTGTTTTTGCTTTTGTTGTCTGTGCTTTTGGTATCATATCCAAGAAATAATTGCCAAATCCAATATCATGAAGCTTTTCCCCAATATTTTCTTCTAGGAACTTTATTGTTTCAGGTCTTATGTTTAGATCGTTAATCCATTTTGAGTTGATTTTTGTATGTGATATAAGCTAAGGATCCAACTTCATTCTTTTCCATGTGGCTATCTAGTTTCCCCAATATTATTATTAACCTGCAGGTCAGCGACTTCAGATCTACAAACTGCTGAAATTATGTGCAGTATTTTGTGCATGTTTGTGTGTGTGTATGTGTCTGTCATTTTTAAAGAAGAGCTTCCAGTCAGGCACCGTCGCTCATGTCTGTAATCCTGGCACTTTGGGAGGCCAAGGCAGGAAGATTGCTTGAGCCCAGGAGTTTGCGACCAGCCTTGGCAACATAGTGAGACCCTATCTCTACAAAAAATTAGGCCAGGCATAGTGGCTCATGCCTGTAATTCCAGCACTTTGGGAGGTTGAAACAGGAAGATTGCTTGAGCCCAGGAGTTCAAGACCAGCCTGGCAACATAGTGAGAACCCCATCTCTACCAAAAAAAAGAAAGATCATTAACTTTCATCAGATTCTGAAAGTGATTCCCAACCCTTACCCCCAAAGACTAGGACTATGACAATCTGAAACAGGTAATTACTTAAATTTACTGTAATGCCTGGCTAGGGGAAATTGTGGTTATTATTGGTACAGAGCACGCTTATGAATGAAGGGTAAGTTCATGCTGCTCATGAAGTGAGAAACAGGATGGGACCAATATCGCGTGTAGCATTTGGAGGCATTGGAGCATTTGGAGTTTGTTTGCAGTTTCTCATGGACAGGGTTAGCAGATCAGCTTAGTGCATAATCATGTCAAATATTTTGAAAATTTGTTGAAAACAGAAGACCAAACATCCAAAATGTTAGAACTAGCTGCTTCTAAAAGATTTATTCGGTGTAAGTTAATGTTTTTAATTGTGTGCCTTTTGTTCAAGGAGCTTAGTTCCTTGAAGTAATCAGTTTAGCTTTCAGATCTGATTGTGTTTTTTTTGAGACAGGGTGTTGCTCTGTCACCCAGGCTGGAGTGCAGTGGCCCATTCATGGCTCACTGCAGCATCAACCTCCTGGGCTCAATCGATCCACCCACTTCAGCCTCCTGAGCAGCTGAGACTACAGGCACATGCCACCACACCTGGCTTTTTTTTTTTTCTTTTGTAAGGACAGAGTTTCACCATGTTGCATAGGGTGGTCTTGAACTCCTGGGCTCAAGTGATCTACCTGCCTCAGGCTCCCAAAGTGCTCAGATTAGAGGCATGGGCCACCATGCCAGGCCTAGACCTGGTTTGTTTTTGTTGTTTTTGAGACAGGGTCTCACTTTGTTGCTTAGGCTGGAGTGCAGCGGCGTGCGTGATCACAGCTCACTTCAGCCTTGACCTTCCAGGCTCAAGTCTCCTGAGTAACTGGGACTACAGGTGTATGCCACATGCCCAGCTAATTTAAAAAAAAAAAATTTAATTTTTTTTAGAGATAGGGTCTCACTGTGTTGCCCAGACTCACTTTTTAATGAATAGGCGATAATGGTTGTATGTTTTTGGTAGGTGTTAGTAATTATAATACAACATTAAATAAATATTAGAAATGACAGTGTGTTCCATCTCCTGCCACCACTCTTTAGGAAAAAAAATAACAAATACAAATAAAAAGAACTGGAAGAAAGTCTCTTTCATTGTGGGGCAAGATTGACTAAAAGCTGACCTTTGAGCTTTATTACCTGAAGCCTCTGTTGTTAACCCTTCACATGGGCCAATGACGTGTACACTGGGGTAACAAAGGAAATCAGGTTTTGTGTTCGTTTTAATGTTACCTGTTACCAGGTTTGCATTTGATATTGACATCTCCAAGCAAATTCCCTGTCCCTAAGAAAATCAACCTGCAGGAGCATGTGTTAGGAATGCTTTTATACCCCTCATCACTGAACACTTGTCAGTTGCCCAAAGGGACACTTCTCCTCTCTGAAATTCATGGATTTTGTTTTGTTTTGTTTTGTTTCCTTTTGAGATAGAGTCTCTCTCTGCCACCCAGGCCAGAGTGCAGTGGAGCGATCTCGGATCACTGTAACCTCTACCTCCCAGGTTCAAGTGATTCTCTTGCCTCATCCTCCCGAGTAGCTCGGATTACAGGGGCCTACCATTATGTCTGGCTAATTTTTTTATTTTTAGTAGAGATGGGGTTTTGCTATGTTGGCCATGCTGGCCATGCTAGTCTCGAACTCCTGACCTCACATGATCCACCCTCCTCGGCCTCCCAAAGTGCTGGGATTACAGGCATGAGCCACTGCGCCCGGCCTGAAATTCACGTTGTTTTTTAAGTAACTCCTTAAATAGAAATGTTCCATCTGCAACTTATTAAGATTGGCTTCTTCTGACAGACCTGGCCAAAGAAAACAGCTTTCTGGGTAATCTTGTGTTTCAAAAACATTATTAGCTGTTAAAAGGGGGGAAAAGGGAGGGATGTGTGTGCTAGCATAACATAAAACTTTCATTTGAGTTACCTGAATTATAAGGAAATACTTTGGCAAAATGCATCTTTATATGTCCCAGCAGCCTGAATGTGAGTTTCTGCTAATATGTTCATCCCCTTTTTATCAGTTCCCTTTGTCTGAAATTGGGGTGCCTCCCTGCCCTTGTGAATAGGAAGCTGGGAAAAAGAGTAGGTGGGGTTAAAAGGGAAGCACAGTCCCCTGTGTTTCCCGCAGATTTTCTTATTGCAGGATCAGTTTGGATTGTGAGCTGAAACTGAAGAGCAGAATTTAATGTTGACCTCTAAAGTTGATGCCCAAAAGGGTTTGTCTTCACTAAAGCCTGTCTTTTTGAATTGAGTAGAGTGCTTTTGGCTGTAAAAGCTTTGAAATGTAAACACTGAGGAAATAACATGTTTGTAATGTCTACGTAATATAACATATGCAGGTGCACATCTTAGAATTTTCTCACTTATCCTAAAAGATACCTAAATAGAAATTTAGGAGGAAATTTTTAGCCTTAAGAATTGGCTATACTATGTAGTCTAATGCCAAGGTTTCCACTGTGGCCCTTCCTAAAAAGTATTTTGGTTGGTCATAAAAACTGTATGCAGAGGACTGTCTATTTGGAATAATAGTCACATGGTTTAGAAATAAGTAGAGTTTAAATTTACCTTTTCCCACACTGTTCTTATGATACCATTCCTTCTGCTGCTTGACATGTGGAAATCAGCTTGTGCATTTGTTTTCAGTTATGAGCACCTGTGAAGCAGCTTGATCTGTAGAATCTAATTTTATTTGTTTAATTATTAGATGAAAAATTCTGGGTATCAGGATGGGTGTCTGTCCCTTTTGTATCTGTGACAGTGCCTAACATAGCACCTTGTAGGTGATTGATAAATATTTGTTGAATGAATAAACATGTATCATCCTTCTTTGAAAAATACATGAATTTGTGGAGACTTTGATTACTTTTTAACCAAGTATGTTTTTGGAACAGAGAAGAGTATTATTTACATTATACTGATAAGATGTTGCTGTTATATCACATTCAGAAAGGCAAAGCTTCCTGTACTAGATTACATAGATTTAAAATATAGTGTCTGAGCCTTTGTAGTGAATGCTACCCAGGAGTTTATATCAGATGTCTAAGTTCCCAGCCCAGAACTCCTAAACCCAAGTCACAGCAGATAGAGACATCCATTTTTAAAAAGTTCTAACAGTAACTCTAATGGATTGAGGGTACATTTTATGATTTTTGTTGTTGTTGTTGGTTTATATGTTTGTTTTTAGTGTCAAAGAAACCATTCTTTGACATGGATTTATAAATATTTGACATTTTGAACATAAGTCTTGTGAACATTGTTTTAAATCTCTGGCCATTCAATAGATGCTGCTTTATTTTTCTTTCAGAGGTGGGATTTTCGTAGTCCCAGCTAACCATGAAAATTCTTTGTATGACCCTTAAATAATATATAGGTATGAAGACACTATACAGAAGTAGCCACAGAGGAGTGGTTTAAGTTATGTTGAGTAGTCCTCAAAATCTCACCCCACTCCCACTAGATAGCAGACTTCCATGAGAACTGCTTGTGCCTACCACAAAACAATTATGAAAGGAATGAGCCATATCATGATACAGCTGTGAGGGCTGTGTGGAAGACCCATTAGCCCAGTATTCAAGAAGACTAAGGCCCACTTGAGTTAAGTATAGTGGGTTTAACGCTGGACTCAGAGGTAGCAACCTAGCTTGCCTCCTAAATTCTGCATTTAATAGTTGCGTGACTATGAACACCTTCTTTTAACTACCTATGAGTATTGTTTCCTCATCTGCAAAGTGAAAGTAAAAGACCCTACGTTACATGGTTATTGTAAAGATTAAATGAGATAGCCTTTGGTGTAAAATGGTTTAACACATGGTAGGTAGTCAAAAAATGTTGCAGCACATACTTATTGATAACCTTCACTGGTTTATTAAGATGAAATAGGTTTCTTGAGTTAGGAAATACTGTTTTGTTAAGTGTCTAACTCAAAGTCTGAAAGCTAGTGAGTGATAGAATCAGGAACAGAAAGAACCCAGCCTCCTAAGTGCCAATCCAAAAAGAGGTGGTAATAGGAGTAAGTCTTCCAGGCTTCTGAATTGCCTGGGCTGTGACTTGTCAACGGGGCTGTACATTCTGTCCCACTACCTTTTCTTTTTTTTTTTCGAGATGGAGTCTTGCTCTGTCACCCAGGCTGGAGTGCGGTGGCGCAATCTCGGCTCACTGCAACCTCCACCTCCCAGGTTCAAGTGATTCTCCTGCCTCAGCCTCCCGAGTAGCTGAGATTTCAGGCACCTGCCACCATGCCCGGCTAATTTTTGTATTTTTAGTAGAGATGGGGTTTCACCACGTTGGCCAGGCTGGTCTTGAACTCCTAACCTCATGATCTGCCCGCTTTGGCCTTCCAAAGTGCTGGGATTACAGGCGTGAGCCACCGCACCCAGCCCCTGTCCCTACCTTTTCTATTTTTTGCAGTATTGTTCCATGCTGCGCAAAAGTTTGTGAAAAAACACAAATCAGTACATCAAGGTTCAGTATATGACTAATCTAATTTTAGCCATTAGAATCAGCTGTACAGTGTAGTCTAATGCCAAGGTTTCTATTGTGGCCCTTCCTAAAAAGTGTTTTGGTTGGTCATAAAAACTGTATGTAGAGGACTGTTTATTTGAAATAATAGTCACATGGTTTAGAAATAAGCAGATGGAACAGTCTATCTTTATTTCAAGTGCCCAAGATTTGTGATTCATCAGGTTAGGTAAAAATTATCACGTTTTATGCCTTTTGTCTCCCCACCCCAGCCCCTGGTGACACTATTCTGTTAGCACATGGAGTGAATAAAGTTTACATCAACCAGCAGAAAGGAAGTTTCCATTATCATCCCCCAACCCAGAGCATTTTTTGGAGCATTCTTCACAAATAAGTAATTAAATTTAAACTTAAACAAGCGAAGAAAGTACATACAGTCATGCACTGCATAATGATGTTTCAGTCAATGACGGACCACATACACAATAGTGATCCGTTAAAATTATAAGAGCTGAAGGCTGGGCATGGTGGCTCACGCTTGTAATCCCAGCACTTTGGGAGGCCGAGGTGGGTGCATCACTTGAGGCCAAGAGTTCAAGACAAGCCTGGCCAACGTGGTGAAACCCCATCTCTACTAAAAATACAAAAAGTAGCCAGGCGTAGTGGTGCGCAGCTGTAATCCCAGCTACTCGGAAAGGCTGAGACAGGAGAACCGCTTGAACCCAGGAGGCAGAGGCTGCAGTGAGCCAAGATGGTGCCACTGCACTCCAGCCTGGATGACAGAGCAAGACCCAGTCTCAAGAAAAAAAAGAAAAAAGTAGAGCTGAAAGATTCCTATTGCCCAGAGACATAGCCATCATAAAGTCATAGTGCAACACCATTACATTTTGGCTGTTTAGATCTGTTAGATACACAAATTTGTCACAGTAACATGCTGTACAGGTTTGTGGCCTAGGAGCAATAGGCTATACCGTATAGCCTAGGTGTGTAGTAGGCTATACCATCTAGGTTTGTGTAAGTACACTCTATGACATCTATGACATCATATGACAAAAATCACCTAATGACGCATTTCTCAGAACATATCCCTGTTGTTAAGTGACACATGATGACTGAAATTGCCACATTTTTCCCCCAAACCAGTAATACTTTTAAAAGGTAACTATAGTTTTTTTAAATCATGTATGTGTGTTTTAATAAATAAGACATTTACATAATTCAGAATTCAAAAGATACGAAAGGATTTACAAGTTTTTTGTTTCATCTATCTCCCAGTTACCAACTGTCACCCAGTTACCCCTCTCAGAGGCAAAGAAAAACAGGTTACTAGTTTCCTTTTAATGATCCTTGCTGGAAATCACATAACAATTCCTTTTATGTTCCATGGGCTAGAATTGAATAATATGGGCATAATAGCTGCAGAAGAAAAGGAAAATACTGTCTTTTAGTTGAATGCATTGCTACTTTGAAAAAAACTGAAGTTCTGTTTCTGAGGAAGCGTGAGAGAACATGCTACTAGATGGCATCTAGAAGTCTTTGCCTAAGATTAAGAGCTGATGTATACTCACCAATGATGTATGAAAATACAGTTTTATAGTATTATTGTTTTGTTATTTTTTAGCAAACCTACATAACTGAATTTTTATAAAGATTTTGTTTTTTGCCTTAACTTTATTTTTTAAAATATTTTTAAATTTTTTTTCAAGATCTCATGAGGTTGCATTTCCTTCACTTTAATATCTAACTCCAGCATAAGTCAGTATAAGTGACTCTGTGATGAGTCACATCTCATTTAAAATTGAGAGTTAAGGCTGAGAGTGGTGGCTCACGCCTATAATCCCAGCACTTTGAGAGGCAGTAGGATCACTTGAGACTAGAATTTCGAGACCAGCCTGGGCAACAAAACGAGACCTCATCTCTTAAAAAAAAATATATACATATATATATATTTTATATTTTAGCTGGTTGTGGTGGCGTGCACCTGTAGTCCCAGCTACTCTGGAGGCTGAGGTAAGAGGATCACTTGAGCTCAGGAGTTCAAGGCTGCAGTGAGCTAAGATCACATCACTGCACTCCAGCCTGGGTGACACCCCATGACCTTGTCGCTCTCAAAAAAAAAAAAAAGTTGATATTGAGTATATGGCAAACAAAATAATTTTTATAAGGATTATGAGTGAATCTTTTGCTGTTAGATGGACAAAATAAATGAGTTTTCAGAGATAGTAAAGTTAACCTTACATTTATGTGAAAATTACTACCACATTTCTAGCATGCTTAGAGTTTGTAATTTCAAATATTATCTGATTTAATTTTTTAACTTTTATATAGGCTGTCTATATGTGCCAAATTAGGGAAAATTTGGGAAATGTGGGTCAGAAATGAGTTAGAGCTATGTGTAGGTATTAACAAGTGGTATTTGAATTGGACTTGGTGAGAAAGATTTGGTTCTAGCTTGGTTCTTTTGAGTGTTTTATACTCAATCCTGAATATCAGAGATACTGTAGAAATGCTAATCATTCACCTTTATTGTATAGAGGGATGTAAATCAGAATAGAAGATCATTATCTCGCCAATGGGAATATTTCAGCTAATGGAAATAGTAGATGGGGCTATGGTATAGAAACAGATTAGGTAAGAGCATACGGGCATATTTGGGGAATAGCTATTGTCTAGTTTGTCAGTGGAGTAGAATATATGTAGAAGAGAAGGAAGATAAAACTAGAAACAGGGATTGGGCTTTGAATGTTAGGAAATTTGGATTTTATTTATTTTCTGTTCAAAATTTTGCTCCAAGTTTTTGAAAGTGACCTTGTTTGTATTGGATCAGTATGTTAGGTAGATGGTTAGCTTGGATGATTTCTAAGATTCCTTTTGGTCCTGTGAATCTGTAACCCATGATGAAGTTGGGCTTTAGACATGTCACCTCTTTGGTGTCATCATGAGAGATTTGATAATCAGTCACAAAGTTTATAGCTTAATATGGTGAATGAGGTCACCAAAGGAGGAAAGGCTAGAGAAATAAAAAGGTTGAACTTTGAGAATGTCAGCATCTAGGGAGTGGTTCCCTCTCTTATTTTTCCCCTTGGAATTTAATTTTGAGGAATTCAGGTGGCTTTGTCTTAGAGTTTATCACAATCTGTATGTTACTGGTTGCATCCATGTAGTATATAGCATGTTATTCTGCTCTCTTTTCTGTTCATTGGTAGTTTAATCTGGAGACTTGATCACATTCATGTTTCTGTTTATTTGCTTGTTTGTTTTTTGATGGGTGGCTATGACTACTTCATTAGATAGTACAAGTGATCTGTACTTAATCAGGAGGCACATAATATTGGATCATCTCTGCTTTTTCATATTATAGACATTGATGATTAATACCTAGATCCATTAATTTGTTAAGGTTTGCAAAATGGTAATAATCTAATTCTACCAGGTCTTCTGTATTTGTTAGCTGAAATAGTTCTATAAAGTGAAACTTCATTTTCTATTTGATTACTTGTTGGTAGGTACGGTTTCTATAAATGATGGGATAAATGCATAATTTGTTTGCTTTATTCATTTTCAAAATAATGAATTGATCCATTAGCATCCTCTAACAGTAACCAGTTAATTAACTTATGGATTTAAGTTATATTTCATATAGAAAAATATTTCTTAGTTTCAAATAGAAAAATATTTGATATTTTTATTTCACTGAAATCATTGTCTTTATTGGTATGCAAGTTGTTATTTTGGTCACTGGGCTCCTGAGTCCTTTTGACATAACCCTAGTTGTCTAGATTTGACAACATGTTCCAGGCTCATCTGTACATTTTCTAACCCAGATCTGGAATCAGCCATTTCTCCAAGGTTCCCTTGGCACTAGAGGTACTCATCGCTTGGGTTTGTCATTGTTTCTAGGCTTTTTTTAGTGGGCATATCTTTAAGATAAAATGATACCAGGAGTTCATACTGATACTTCAAATTCAAATGATTAAAATTCTGGTCTTGAATCTCCTTTTTCCCATACAAAGTATTGGTTCCCTTGGTTTTCAGTGGTGCCAGAAATGATAGAATTAGAACTTCACATAAGTATTCATTTGTTCACCTCACAGTGCATACACAGTACTCAGAATACCAGCACCAACAATATGATTAATGAAAACAGGTTTAGATGATGTAAAGAACTTTGTTAAAATCATATGGTTTGGTAAGTTTGATGTACGTATACACATGAAACTATTGCCTCAGTCAAGATTCTGAACATATTCATCACCACAAATTCCTCTACCCCTTTGTAATATTTTCTTTCCCCACCTTTCTCTTCCCACTGCCATCTGTAGGCTTTTTGTCACTATAGATTAGTTTTCATTTCCTAGATTTTTATGTAAATAGAATCATATAAAATGAACTCTTTTTCATCTGGCTTCTTTCACGCAGCTTATTTATTTTGAGATCTATCCATGTTGTTGCATGAATTAATAGTTCATTCCTTTTTTATTGCTTAGTAGTAATCTATTGTAGAGATATACTATAGTTTTGTTGTTTTTTTTTTTCATTCACTTACTGATGAACATTTGAGTTATTTCTAGTTTAGGGCTATTAGAAACAAAACTCCTTGGACATTCATATATAAGTCTTTGCATGGACATATGCCTTCATTTCACCTGGAATGAAATGGCTGGATAATAAGCTAGGTGTATGCATAATTTTTTTAAGTTAAATTGTTTTCCCAAATGGTTTTACCACCTCACATTTCCACCAATAGTGTGTGAGTTCCAGTACCTCCGTATCACTGCTGTTACTTAGTATGGTTAGTTTTTTAAATTTTAGATATTTTAATGTGTGTGTAGTGTTACTTGTGGTTATAATTTGCATTTTGCTAATGACTAGTGATCTGCCATCCTTATGTCTTCTTTGCTGAATTATCTGTTCAAATCTTCTCTCTACTTTTAAAAAAAATTGTGTGTGTATTTTTTTTATTGAGCTTTGAGGGTTTTCTAATGCTGAATACAAATCCTTTATCAGCAACATCATTTGCAAATAAGTACTCCCAGTTTGTGGCTTGTGTTTTTGTCTTTGTAACAGTGTCTTTTGAAGAGCAGAAGTTTCTAATTTTAATGACTTCCAGTTTATCAGAATTTTAAATGAATCATGCATGTTTATCTTTCTTGTTGGCTTTTTAGTTGTAACTGTTTGCTATATTATTTTAATGATTGGCTTTAAGTATATGGTATACATCTTTAACCTATCACAGTATACCTTCAATTGGTATTATACTATTTTATGCATAGCATAGTAGTCTATATCCATTTCTCACCTTCCAGCCTTTGGGCTACTGCTGTCATACATTTCACTCTTACATATGTTTTAAGCCCCACACTACATTGTTATTTTGCTTTAAACAGTTGTCTTTTAAGGAGATTTAAATAATACCAAAAGTCTTTATATTTACCTGTGTGGTTGTTGTTTCCTGTGCTTGTTATTATTTTCCATGCTCTTCATTTCTTTGTAGATACCCAGTTTTTCATCTGTTAGTCATTTTACTTCCTTTATGACTACTTATAGTGCAAGTCTGCTGGTGATAAATTATTTTAATTTTTTTTTAATGTCTGAAAAAGTCTTTATAGCATCTCCATTTTTGAAAGGTTTTTTTAGCCACGTGGTAGCTCACACCTGTAATCCCAACACTTTGGGAGGCCGAGAGGTGGGAGGATCGCTTGAGGCCAGGAATTTGAGATCTCCTGGTGGGAGCTTGTTAAAAACATAGCGGGAGCTTGTTAAAAAATAATAATAATAATGAAAGTTATTTTTGCTGGGTATGCAATTTTAGGGTGACTTCCTTTAAGTACTTCAAAGATGTTACTCTGTTATTTTCTGGGTTGTATTGTTTTCAATGAGAAATATGCTATAATCCTTATCTTTGTTCCTCTGTGTGTAATATGTCTTTTTTTCCTCTGGCAGCTTTAAAGATTTTTCTCTTTATCAGTGGTTTTGAGCAATTTGATTGTGATGTCTAAATGTAATTTTCTTCATGTTTCTTCTTGGGATTCAGTGAGTTTCTTGGATCTGTGGGCTTATATTCATATAGTGGAATACTATATATATGAAATAAATGTACTAGATCTAGATATATTAACATGGATCAATTTTATTTCATTTTATTTATTTACTCGTCACTGACTTGAAGCACATCAACATGGATAAATTGTAAAAACAAGGCTGATTTGGGAGAAAGCAAGTTATATATAAAAGCTTAGGCCAGTGTGAGCCATTTATGTAAATTTTAAAAACATAAAACAACCATATTTTTATGGCTACAGTCATATGTATCAAAAGTTAAAGTGTGAGTATCAAGGATTCATACCAGAGCCAGAATAATGGTAAACTGGGACAGATTCAGTTAAAGATGCAGTCTTTGGATGCATCTGTAGTAGCATTATGTCTTAATAAAATGTATCTGAAGCAGATGTGGTAAACACTTTTATCTGGGCAATGAGTACACAGCGTTTAATTTCTACATTTACACACATGTCTAAAATATATAATTATATTTATATATATATATATACACACACACATATATAAAATCATTGATATGAAAAAGGTCAATACAGTTCTTATAGCTTCTGTTGCTTCACTTTATTAGATATAAAATAACCCCCTTCCACATAGTTAACATTTCAGTAATCTACCAAATAAAAGTTATTCCCAGAGATGTAAGACCTGTTTCTTTAGAATGTCATGACCAGAATTTCCATAGTAATCTCTAAAACGACACTCCAGTGAGACAGTCTGATCTGTGGGTCATTTCCTTTCCTGTTAAGAGACCTTTGTTAATTCCATTTTGCAGTATCCCAGAAGAAACATTGCAGGTGTGCAACCAATCCAACTGAAACAGATAATACTGGGTAATGTTCCCTTCTTACTCTTCCTTTTTATTAATGCACTTATTACCCATCTTCCAAAATAAAAAGTCTTTGTCATACTGGCATCTGATTTTTTTTTCTTTTGACAACCAGCCTGTCTTCTGTCTCCTGAATTTTATTTTAACATCTTTTAATATGTTGCCAGGTAGGCACCCCTAGTTGAACAAGAAAGACCTGGAAATCATTAGAGCTAACAATATACAGGTTTTTCTTAAATGTGCTGCCAAAGGGCATAACCTCTTTGGATTGGTGACATGTAGCACTTGCACAGCAGCTTTTCTTCCCATTTCTAATGGTAAGAAGTAAAATAGCCTTCTGTCAGGACCAACTTTTCTTTGGACACATGCTTCTAATCTTAATGCATTAAGACTGGTGTGTTGCTCAGAGCTTTTTTTAAAGAAACCAAAGAAAAGGCGGGGGGGTGGGGGGAGAAGGAAAGGTAAGGAAAGCCTACTCAGCATTTTCATTTGTCTTCCAAAAAGAATTTACATTGAAATGTAACAGCAGTTTCAGAAAACTTGTGGATGTACACATTTCTTTACAGCAAATGGAAACAAATTTAGAACATTTACTTAATAGGTGGGAGCTCTTCCATTTTGGTGATACTTATTTTTCTCTTTGGAGGAAGCCATAGTTTGTGAGGGAATTTTTTTGTTCCCATTAACTATATAAATATTTTAGAATGGTCTTTTAGGATTTATCTTTCCTGTCTTAAAGCTGTTCCACCCTCAGGCTCAGTCAACTGTGTAACTGTTTGTTTTCTAACCAGAGTTAAGTTAGTAAAGCCCTCCCCTTCAACAGTCACCTATAGCGTAACAAGTTCGGGGAGATAATAGTCAAACAAAACAGACTGTATCCTGCCTCGAAGTAGAAAGAGCTAAGCAACTAAGTGGCTTGTTTTTATTTTATTTTATTTTATTTTATTTTATTTTATTTTATTTTATTTTATTTTATTTTATTTATTTATTGAGACAGAGTCTCACTTGCCCAGGCTGGAGTGCAGTGGCGCAATCTTGGCTCACTGCAACATCCGCCTCCCGGGTTCAAACAATGCTCCAGTCTCAGCCTCCCGAGTAGCTGGGACTACAGGCATGTGCCACCAAGCCCAGCTAATTTTTGTATTTTAGTAGAGACGGGGTTTCACCACATTAACCAGGATGGTCTCGATCTCCTGACCTCCTGATCCACCCACCTTGGCCCCCCAAAGTGCTGGGATTACAGGCGTGAACCACCGCACCCGGCCTAGTGGCTTGTTTTTTTGTTATATTTTTAAAGTTTTCCTAAACCAGTTTTCTGAGACTAAGAGTAACTTCATTAGTTGGGAGGGGAGTTGCAGGGAGGAGGGGATATGCATTAACAAAACAAAGGGCTTTCCTTTCTTTGAAATATTCTCATGACCAGATGCTGGAAAAATATACAATAGATTTCTTAAATATAATTCTAGCTCTGAAGTATATACATACTTAATGAAACCAAAATTGAATGCTCCTAAAGTAGGCTGATCTATATATAATAGCATTTCCAAAAGTAGACCTTTTGTGGGCGATCTCCATTAACTCTCCCTCGGTATCTTAACTACATATTCCCCTTACTCCATAGGCATTCCAAGAGGAGTAATTTATAATAAAAAAAATTCTGTGAAATGTGATGGTCATCAAAGGGTTCCTTGGAAGGTATGGTGGGAAAGCTTTGTAATTGCTGCTTCACAGAACTTGAGTTGAGGGAGAGCAGTCTGGTATAGTGAAAAGAACATACACTGTAGAGTCCAAAAGACTTTAATCCAATCCCAGTTCTGCCCCTTATTCTTAGGACGGAAGCAATCTGACATCAACTCTCAAACTACTTGGGAGTTGTACGTAACACGTGGCAAGTTCGTTAACTTCTCTGTGCATTAGTTTCCCTGTTTGAAAAATGAAGATAACAATTCTTCCCATGAAAATTGCACACCAAAGACTCACCATATATTTCATTTGTTCACCTCATTTATTTGTGTTTTACTGGACTAATGGTTTCTGCTATTGTTAATAATTAATGAACATTGTGTCAGGACTTATTCTGTTGTCAGACTGCCTTAGGATATGATCTGCATTATAACATTAGAATTTCAATCCAACATCTCTAGAAAGAGTATGACAAAAGATTGCAAAAAAATGACTATTATTTAATAGGGTAGCAGAAAGAAGCTGTAACATTTTTACTAGAATATGATTAATTCACAGATGCTGACAAAAGCCATTATATTCTCATCAGATGATACTTAATAACTTGTGGACAAATAAGATGACTTGTTTTTATTCATGAGAGATTATATTAAGCTCTCTAGAAAAGCTGTAATTCTTCAGAACGTCCTAGAATTTACTGTATAGGGAATGGTTAGATTCTTCAGGTTTCTGAGCAAAAACAACCCCCAAAACAAAACCAAATTACCCACGTAGTTTGAGAGATGATGTCAGATTGCTTTTGTCTTAAGAACCTACAAGCAAGAACACATTTCAATAAGGCTGCCTTTCTCTTTTACACCTTTGAAATTACTGCCATGGATATATTTACTAGTAGTGCATTATTAACCCAGCTATGGCCACTTGCCTTTTGCTGACCGAGTTCAAAGCTTATGTACCAGAGAGGAAGGTAGTATTGGGAGGGGAGTTCTTGACAAAGGAGCTACTGATTTGCATTTATGGTAATACGTAATGTAAAGTCAGTCATCAAAAGATTAAGTATCTGAAAAGGATTATTTCAAACATTGCCATCCCTAGGGGTTTGCTGTTGAGGCAAATTACATTATTTATAGTCTTTGAGGTGGGTGGGTGGTGGGGAGGAGAGACAAAAGCTAATATTTTTATACAGGTGAAAATAAGCATCTGGTAAAGGGAGGTATAAGAGTTGGAATTCTTGGATTACAAAAGTTCAACTTATATTAGCTAAAAAGTGGGTATGTTGCCTCACATAACCAGGCTTCAAGATGGATAGAGTAGAACTAGCCTTTGATAGTGCAAGACTTGAATATTGTCAAGACTCTTGTCTCCTTTCTCTGACTTTCTCTGCAAATTTGTGTTTATTTTTTAAATTGTTTTCTCCACAGGGCAGAGGTAGTTCTCAGTCCACATATTTGCAGCTCTTCTTTAACCAAAGAGGAAAGGGACCTGACCTAGCTCCAGTTTTCATGATATCTAAGTCTTTTTTGGTGGTGGAGAATGTAGTCTCCTTACCAGAATAAAATTAGAAGGAAAAATTGGGAAGATACAAATAATTGCCACCTCAAGTGGAAGTCATTACTGTGAGTGCTAGAAAAGGATTGTCCTCATGGGGAAAGAGACCATGAGTTATACATGGTGCTAGCAAATGTTACATGATACTATTGTTGCTGCCTTTCTGTGCTAGTCCTCCTGCTTTATCCCCATATTTCCCCTCTGTAGTGCAGTACCCCCTCAAGCTGGGAGGGTAGTCAACTTGGACAGCGGCCTGGACCCTAGGGAAGAGTTTGCTGAAAAGTCTACATGGCCATGTTATCAGATTCGTTCCATTCCTAATTCAGATTAACAGCTTCTACATGTGATGGAATTGTATTACTTTCTAAAAAAAATTTCAGACTGTAACTCAACATAGTTGTGGAAGAAATTCAGAGCTTGTGGGAAAAGATGCATCTCTCTATCCAAGTCTCACTTCTAGAGGCAAGGATTCTACTACTCAGGATTGTAGTATGATTGTACACTTTAATCTTCAAGGACTTTATTATAAAGCAAGGTGCCAATATTATTACTGATGCAGATTATCCTATGATTCCAGATTTCTGCAATTACAATATATATATTTGAAATGATTATTCCATTAAGCAACCCACTTGCCCCTTGCTGTGACCCTTGCTATGGTGTAACTTTTAATGTTTCTGGTTTTACAAAAGAAAATCTGCATCAATCCTTAAAGTTACATTTAAAATTTACATTAACAGTACAACCAGATGGCATTCTGACACTCACTGTAAGTATTCTAGGATTTTTCTAAAATAGCTGGCTCAAATAGAAAAGTCATCTTTTTCCCAAGTGTGTTCCTGTCCTTTTCTCTTGTTGTGTGTTCTAACTGTTGCACTTATATTAAAATCATAAAACCAGAATGGAGAATTTATTCCAAAAGTTCCCATGCATTTCTCCAATCTTACTTCCTGTTGCAAGGACCCACCATCACAAATGAAGTGTAATTGTACATTCATGATGACGTCTTGCTTATTAAATGGTGACATTCAAGAAATTGTCAGCACAGGCATTCTTTTATAGGTCAAGGATATACTTATTTTGAAAACGTTGAAAAATAATAGTAATTATTTAACTGATTTCAGAAGAATCTATTTCAGTGGCATCCTGGACTTTCTACTGACTCACTAAAAATAGGGATTTTTGAAGAGGATGACAAAATTCATAAGTCCTTGATTCTACTATGTAAAATTATAATTTTACACAAGAAAAAGTACAATGTGGTTTACTTTTAGCCTAGTTTACCATAGTTAAGCCAAGAAAATGTAAGCTAACCAAAAGCTTGCAGAATTGTCGTTATTGTGACTCAGTGGTATAGACTTGAGTTTTCAAAAATGAAGTGTTCTTGTAATTTTTTTTATCCTCCTACAATATAGTCTCAGATATCTAGTCCTAAGGGGCTATAATTGAAGGAATATTGAAGGAGGAGAAAATGTCTGTCAACAATTTGCATTTGGTTGGAGAAGATTATGGGAACTTTAATATTGGAATCCTGACACCTGGGCATCAAAAGGGAAACTTTCAATGGGTCATTGCTGTAAATTAATCAAAGCCCTTGTGCATATTGAAGACACTTCTCTAGTTTCCCACTCCCCCATCTATTTCCAAACAGCAGAGAGAACAGGAAAAAGAATTTTTCAACATCTTAATTTTCTTCAATAAATAAGTCCCTAATAAAAATCTACTGTTACAAATCACTGGTGTCAGAGAAACAGTTTAAGAAGAAATCCCTTACTACTGGCAGATAGAGAATTGCTTCCTTTCTGCTCGAAAATAAGAGGTGTATTCTTCTTCCAGTAGTTGCCTTGTAGCATGCATAAGTGGGACACTGAAGGGTCTAAACAGTGATAGGATGGAGCCTTTCCCTTGTTTTCATGCTTTGTGTTATCCAGCTGTGTCATTTATGTTACAGTACAACATCCCATCACCACCACCTCTAGCCAGACTTAATGAGAGTAAGTTTTATTCTTTTTCCATCTAATGAAACTTTGCTTGAGCCATTTGCTTATATTTCAGTTTTGTTTGGGATATAACTTAAAAATGAGACACCAAGGTACAAGATGCATATTATAAGTTATTTTTATTGTATAACCTCTGAAGGCAACATTAAAAAATGTTCAAATAACAAAATACTTACTTTTTGATTATAGAAATTTTTAAATTATACTAATGTTATTAAGAATTGGCCATGCTTCTAACTGTAATTGTTACTTTTATTAAGAAGGTTTAATAAATGAGTTTCATTTCTTGTGTGGATATCTGTATTTAACTTGGTTTCTTTGACTTGGCATTATACAAGTAAAATTCAAATTTCCTTTTTCTGCAGTCAAACTTACATATATTTATTCTCTTCTTTGAATTACATAATGCTGAGTTGCAGGAAAAATTGGTTAGGCATGGTCCTTGTGAACCCAAGTTGTATTTCAGTTTTATAAATAAATTATCCTTACTCAGTTTGAATATCTGAACCTAGTTGGATTGGGAAACGTTATTTTAAAGCAGGCACAATAAATTATTTACCCTAAATAATTTAAAGTATATTGCTTTTTTTCTGTTTGAAATTACCTATAGTTGTTATAGTAGTATAAGGCATCTTACCTACTGTTGATATGATTATAATGACAGATACTTGTACATTTTCAGTGTCTTCAATTAAGATGATTGACTCTAAGTTTTAGCAACTAGGAAACCATTGAGGATATATCACTTTTCAGTTGTGATTCCTGCCTTTGTTAGTCTCCTTGACAAATTGAATTTCCATTTTACGTTACAGTGTGGGTTTAAATTCACCAAGCTTTAATAAGGATCCTGTTCCTTTTCATTTTTTTCTTTAAGTGAATGTTTACAGGGTAACCTAGTTGACAAAAGTTTGTTTCTTGGCACTTTGCATTTGCCACTTCTGTAATTTTTTAAGGTGTCGACTGGTTATTAATAGATTAATCTTCCTTAGAACTACAAATAACCAGATCCAGCACTGTGCCCTTTTCTTTTTATAGATAAGGGAACTGAGACCCAGATAATATAAACCTACGAAGTGTACACTAGAACCTTCTGTTACTTCTTTATCTACCACAGGGCAAACTGTAAGTAAACAATTAAAATAACTGATTCAATTTGTGAATCAGCTCTCTTGAAATGATATAGTTGCTCATGTTAGATCTTTTGTGATAACAATGATTGAAGTCCAAAGGTAATTGTTTAAAAAATTGTCATAAGAATTAGGCAGAACGGGTAGCCTCATATACCCAAGGTGGAGTAAAAGAGAGTAGAAATTATGAATTATTTTTCTTCTAATAATAGAAATCTGTTATGATAGTTATTACTCACTTATTTGTACTATAACTCTTCCAAGTAGAAAGTAAACATTTTTGTCAAAGGTACCAGCATAAAATTCAGGAAAGGGGAAGAAAACTGACATTGAGTACGTCTTTATTCATCAATAAGGGTGCATGTATATTATTGGCCACATCATTTTAATTGGATGGATATTTCATTATTTAACCAATCACCTATTGTTGGGCATACAAGTTTTTTCCCAGTTATTTTTCACAACTATGAAAAGTTTTTCATTACCATTCTTTTTTTTTTTTTTTTTTTTTTTTGAGATGGATTTTTGCTCTTGTTGCCCAGGCTGGAGTGCAATGGCGCCATCTCGGCTCACCACACCCTCCGCCTCCCGGGTTCAAGTGATTTTCCTGCCTTAGCCTCCTGAGTAGCTGCGATTACAGACATGCGCCACGACGCTCGGCTAATTTTTTATTTTTAGTAGAGACGGGGTTTCTGCATGTTGGTCAGGCTGGTCTTGAACTCCCGACCTCAGGTGATTCACCTACCTCTGCTTCCCAAAGTGCTGGGATTACAGGTGTGAGCCACCGTGCCTGGCTTTCATTACCATTCTTGTACAGGCTTATTTTGTCTGATTGTTTCTGTAGTAAACATTTCCAGAAGTAGAATTTTGGGACAAAAAGGTCCACCCATTTTTTAAGGGTTTCGATAATACAACGCCAAAATACTCTCCAGAAATGTACTAATTAACACCTTTCATCACTAGTGTAATTCTTGCCAAGTCTATGAGAAAAAAATAATATCTCAGTTTCAATTTTGTTTCTTTTATTAGTGCAGTGGAGTACTATTTCTTTTGTTTTCTGATTTTGTGTTCCTTTTTTAAAATTAAGATTTTGTTTACATACAACAAAATTCACCTATCTGTGAATTTTGTACACAGTACAGTTTTATTTTGGTAATTATATACGATCACGGAACCCCCACCACAATCAGAACGTTGAACAGGTCTTTCACCCTAAAAAGTTTCTTCCTGTTTCTTTGCAACTGGTCCCCTCTCATCTGCAGCCCCAGGCAACCATTGGTCTAGTTTCTGTCACTATAGTTTTGTCTTGACAAAAGTCATTTTGTAGACATTTATATTTTCAAATAAATGGAGTCATATTGTAAATAGTCTTTTGTGTTTGACTTTTTTTTTTTTTTTTTTTTTGAGACGGAGTCTTGCTCTGTCGCCCAGGCCGGACTGCGGACTGCAGTGGCGCAATCTCGGCTCACTGCAAGCTCCGCTTCCCGGGTTCACGCCATTCTCCTGCCTCAGCCTCCCGAGTAGCTGGGACTACAGGCGCCCGCCACCGCGCCCGGCTAATTTTTTGTATTTTTAGTAGAGACGGGGTTTCACCTTGTTAGCCAGGATGGTCTCGATCTCCTGACCTCATGATCCACCCGCCTCGGCCTCCCAAAGTGCTGGGATTACAGGCGTGAGCCACCGCGCCCGGCCTTGACTTTTTTTTACTTAGCATAATGTTTTGAGATCCATCCATGTTTTATTAATATTTCATTTGTTTTATATTATTGAGTTGTGTTCTTTGCTATGGATGTACCAACATTTATTTGTGTGTTCATCACTTGATTAGCATCTGGATTGTGCCAAAGTTTTGGCTTTTATGAATCACACAATTGTGAACATTTGTGTGCAAGTTTTTACATAGCTCTTGGGTAAATACCTCTTTTTTACATTGCTCTTTTACATTGCTCATTTTAGATTTTACATTTTACATTACATAGCTCTTTTTACATTGCTCTTGGGTAAATACTTAGGAATGGAATTTCTAATTCACATGGTAAGTATATATTTAACTTTATAAGATACCACCATACTGCTTTCCAAAGTGTCTGTACACTTTGCATTCATACCAGCAAATGAGGATTTTCTCCAAATCCTCATGACCACTTATTATTTTCAGACTTTTTTAAAACCACGAGCTCATGTTTTATTGGAATAGAGAAACTTGGCCATAATTACAATATAGTATGATTAGTGCTAAATATGTCAGTCTTTTAAAACTTCAGCCATACCAGTGGCTGTGTAGTAGAATCTTACTGTGGTTTTAATTTGCATTTTTCTGACTAGTGATTGTTGAGCATACTTTTATGAGCTTATTAGCCATCTGCATAAAGTGTGGAGACCTTCCCTCAGTTTTAATTGGATTATTTATTCTGGATACAAGCCCTTTGTCATGTAGGTGTTTTAAAATAGTGTCTCCCATTTGGTGGCTTGCCTTTTCATTTTCTTAACAGTGTATTTTGAAGAGCAAAATGTTTTTATCTTATGAAGTTCATTTCATCTATTTTTTTACTTTCATAGTTTTTGCATCTTTGTGTTCTAGAAATCTTTACCTAACCCAAAGTCGCAAACATTTTATCCAAATGACTTTTTTCCCTGAAAGTTTAATCAGTTTTACCTTTTAAATTTAGTCCTGAAAGGGTAGCCTTATATGTCCAAGGTGGGGTAAAAGAGGGTAGAAACGATGAATTATTTTTCTTTTAATAATAGAAATCTGGCCAACGTTGAAGTTGTGTATAGTGTGAGAGTAAAGGTCATGAGTCATTTTTCTCCATGTGGATATCCTATTATTCCATCACCATTGGTTTAAAAAGCTATCTTTTGTTCTGTTGAATTACCTTGGCCTTTGTTGAAAATTACTTGACATATAAGCATAGGTCTGTTTTTGGACTTTGTGTTCTGTTTTATTGACCTCTATGTCTATCATTATGCCAGTACCACCACATATTGATTTCTGTAGCTTTATAATGTTGAAATCAAGTAGTATAAATCATTCAACATTGTTCTTCAAATTTGTTTTACCTATTCTAGGTCCTTTGTCTTTACATACAAATTTTTTAATCAGCTGTTGCTTTCTTCAAAAAAGCCTGCAGGATTTTGATTGGAATTGCATAGAATCTAAAGATAATTTTGGGAGGTTTGCCATTTGAACAGTAAGTCTTTTAAGCCATGAACATGAATCCATGGGCATGGTATATTTCTCTTTATTTAGGTTGTCACCAATTTCTCTTTGCAATGTTTTGTATTTCTCAGTGTACAAGTCTTGCACATCTTTCATTAAATTTATTTGTGAGTATTTTTTTTGTGTGTGCTTCTTTTGTAAACAGAGTTGGGGTTTTTATTCATCTTTATCTTCTAATTATTCAAAGCTAGTATGTAGAGATGCAGTTGAGTTTTGTAGATTGACCTCATACCCTGGAACTTTGCTGCTTTCATTTATTAGTTCTAGTAGCTCTTTGTATGTTTCTTAGGATTTACTGCATGTATGATTTTATCATCTGTCAGTCAGGACGTTTTGAGTTTTTCCTTTCTCATTCATATGCCATTTATTTATTTACTTGTTTACTTATTTTTTTCCCTATTGGCTAGGGACCCAGTGTACATGCACTTTTACAATTGCTATGTTTCCCTGATAAATTGTCCTTATATAGGTATAAAATGTCTCTATTTCTTGTATAAATTTTATCTTGAGATTTATTTTATCTGATTCTAATATAACCATTTTAGCTGCCTTATGCTTACATGCTATATTCTTTTTCATTTATTTACTTTTAACCTATCTGTATCTTTTGTTTAAAGTGTATCACTTATAGACAGCATATGATTGGGTATTGTTTCTTTGTCCATTATGATAGCCTCTGCCTTTTAATTGGAATTTTGGTTTATTAATCTTTAATGTAATTAGTGATGTATAGTGAGGTTTGGGTTTACCATTTTGTTGTTGTTGTTTTCTATTGTTGCCTGCATTTTGTTTTTATGTTCCTCTTTTCCAGCCCTCTCACTTTTGGATTATTTGAGGTATATTTTTATTAAGATAGAAAAGCTTATATTAACTAATCTTTTTAAGTGATCTGCTGACAGTAATTGCTTTAATCAAACATTTTTTGGATATTGTTGACTTATGTTAAAGTAGAAAAAAGTTTTTGGCCAGGTGCGGTGGCTCACACCTGTAATCCCAGCACTTCGGGAGGCTGAGGCAGGTGGATCATGAGGTCAGGAGATCGAGACTATCCTGGGCAACATGGTAAAACTCTGTCTCTACTAAAAATACAAAAATTAGCTGGACATGGTGGTGCATGCCTGTAGTCCCAGCTATGCGGGAGGCTGAGGCAGGAGAATCACTTGAACCCGGGAGGCAGATGTTGCAGTGAGCCGAGATCACACCACTGCACTTCCAGCCTGGCAACAGACTGAGACTCCATCTCAAAAAAAAAAAAAAAAAGTTTTTACCCCCCTCAGCTAGAAATATTTCATGGATTTGGGATATTCAGAGTTCTGAGGGATGTGATGAGGTTGCAAAAGAAATTTGGCAGACTTAGAAAGCCTAATGAATAAAAGTTCATTTATTATAGAGTCTGGCTTGCATTTTTTTCTTTGTAGTTTCTCCCATGGGACAGAAGTTTACTTCAGGGGGGCATCAGCTTTGTCTTATTCCTCTTTATATATGTAGTACCTAGTGATGGCTAGTTAGATGCCCAGTAAAGGTATATGGAAAGAGTAAATGGTTTGCAGGTGGCTCTTATGTCTGTCTTTCTGCTATAAAGCATTCATGTGGAGCAACTCTGCAATTTCTAACAACCTTTTAACAACCTTTTGGTAGTAATTATCCCTTCCTATATATTTCCTTTCATTCTTCTGAGGGAGAAAAATGGCAAAATAAATAAATAAATAAAAATAAAAAGTTGAGGAATGGTGGAGTGGAGGGAAGTTTTGTTATATGTGATTCCTAGTCTGTTTCTTGCAACTTTGTATAGCATAATATGCTATCTGAGAGTAACAAGAATGAGTCCTGTAGATTGTTCTCTGGAAGTATAGCAGAAGTTCCATAAGCCAGCCACCATTGATATTATGCATTACATGCATTTTTACCATGATTTAAAATCTTTTTGCACTCAAACTTTCTAAGATTGTGCTTTACCCTTTTTTCTGAACTTTGGAGCTTTTGCAGTGTGAAAGTTTTTGTTTGAAAGTTGTATTCATCCATATATATTTGTGTGTTTATATATAAATACATGCAAATTTACAAAGAGCTGCTTCACATAGTCAATACATATTTAAGGTCTTAAAGATTCAATTAAGGGAAGTTTTGTGTATGTGTATTTACAAGTGAGATAATGAATTTGGAAATATGCATAGATTTTAAACTTTTTGTAGTTATCACAGTGGTAGGAAATTAATGTGTTAGTGATCAACTTTTGAAGCCAAGTTCTGAATACTTTCAAAAATCTAGTGTCTTCTTAAACTTAGCAGGTGCACTCTCCCTGTCTATAGTAAGGTCTGATTAAGGTTTGTAATTTGAAAACGTAAGAGATAGTGCCCAGTTAGGTTAAAATACCAAGAGAAATAGTTTTAAGACTGATAAGTTCTTTGAAAAATGTATTCTGACCACTTAACCTGCTAATTTTTTGACTCATACATTTATCATTTTGTTGTATACACTCACTCTATTTCTGTTGTTGATTACCATTATTATTTAATAAATGAAACATTCCAGAATTCTTTTTCAACTTGAAAGAAATTTCCCATTGACCTTTGTCTAGTGATAAATGTGTTTATTGCCTGATATTCATTTTATTACATTATTCACTGAAATTCCTATATTCTTTAAGAACAGAGTAGGGATTTTGAGATGTGGTCTTGGAGTAGAAGTATGTAAAATGTTTTTCTAACCAGTTTCTCAACTAGATCTTGGCCATTTCTCACTCTCTAGTTTCTGGTGATTTGTAATCCAGTAAAAATTGCTATATATAAACAATCATTTTTGCTTTATCAAAGTGGGGCCTGGTCAGTGGAAGATAGGGACTGGACTTTAGTTTTGTTTTTGTTTTTTTGAGACCGAGTCTCGCTGTCGCCCAGGCTAGAGTGCAGTGGTGCAATCTCGGCTCACTGCAACATCCGCCTCCCGGGTTCAAGCGAATTCTCCTTCCTTAGCCTCCTGAGTAGCTGGGATTACAGGCACACGCCACTATGCCCAGCTAATTTTTGTTTTTTTAGTAGAGACGAGGTTTCACCATGTTGGTCAGGCTGGTCTCGAACTCCTGACCTCGTGATCTGTCCACCTTGGCCACCTAAAGTGCTGGGATTACAGGCGTGAGCCACTACACCCGGCCGGGTTTTAGTTATTTTTATTGGATGTTGTAAGTGGTAAATTCAGATAGACTTTTTTGGCAAGCACACAACGTTTTTTGCCCATATCACTTTGATGGTTAGTTTCATCCTTCTTACTGGGTGAGATGGACAAGCAGAGCAAGGCTCTCAAGAGATTAAAAAATGAGGATCCATGTGGAAGTAACTTTCAGTTATTTGGTAAAAGGGGATAATAATAGTATTGAAGTGTTCTTACATGGAATGCTGTAGATTCAGGGAAAATTCCCTTTTCACCCCTGGGGTGGTATTTTGGATATTATTAATAATAGCCAAAGAAAGAAACTAAGAACAAGTTGATGCTGTGCTGTCCTAGTTCTAAATCCATTTTATGGTTTTCTTATGGCCACCTTCCCCAAACTCCCACACTGAAACTGTTGCATTATTGAATCCCAGTTTTAGTTCTTTTTGACTCCCGTTTTAGTTTTATTTGACTTAGTAGCCTTCCATTATTTAGGTGGTTTTCTGTTAGATGTTCAATTCCTCAGTAAGATTCCAGGCTGCAGACTATTTTCCTGTTTTCAGCTACATTCTACATGACTGTCTCTGATTACTACCTTGAATCTTCACCTTGGTTCGAGGTTTCTGTCACAGCTAAAGGGAAAGGAAACAGGGACCTTTTTTCACCCAGCACTGTCTTTTAAATTTATGTCCCAAAGGAGGATTAAAAATCCTCCTAACCATGTAATATACACCTGAAATTCTAGCTATGGTATAACAGGTGACTTCTCTAACATGGCTAATGAACTGTAGCAGAAGAAAATGTATCCCTTTTTACCTGAGATTTCATAGTTTGTGTATATTTCTTAGTTTGTATACCAGTTTTTTTTCAATTGGTAGTATAAACTCTTAAAAATTGTTGTTTGATCCAAAGACTGGTATGCTTCAGATATAAACCTCTAAAGGTGTTTTCATCTCCTTCCTCCAGTTAACTGGCTTTTCAAATGGGAGAAAATATGGATTCTTTTTCAAAGGTTGCTGATGTCATTTGTTAGTAAAAAATTGATTTGGGAAAAAGTAAGTTTCATTCATCAGATAAACCCCTGTCAGGTGTTTGAACAGCCAGTTCTTTCCCCCACCCCTTCTTAAGTGAGCTATAAAGAAGACCTGGTGATTCACTCATAGGTTGGCCACAGAAGAAAGCCTTTGTTATCTCTTGCTAGCAGCTTTTGAGCCTACCTCCATTTCTCCAGCTGGATCTGGAGTAGACATTGTTAGCTAATGATGATCACTTTACTCACTTAGAGTCGTTCTCCTCCCTGCATCATGCCAACAGGCTTCAGTGCCCAAAGCCAAAGCCATAGCCCTGTGTCAGACTACCAACATATAAAGAAAATTTCTGTTTGCAATGTTTGATGTTCCTATTGTGGGTGATTTATTTAATTTCCATTATTGCTCTATTTACCATAATTAAAAATCAGGAGTAAATTGCAGTATTTTTCCCATTGCATTTTTTCCAAGTATGTTTCCCAAAAACTTACTCTGTATCTAAAGCATCCAGATTATGGTTGGAGAACCTAACATGAAATATATAGAATAATGATTTGAGTACCTCACTCTACATATTTTATTGAAAACATGCCTCAAGCAACATTAATTTCTTCTTTTTAGCTTTCAGAATAATTTTGCATATTCAGAACTTATCTTCAACTAAATAAATTCTTTTATACAGTGTGCTTTATTTTTATGAACACTATAGCATTTCAATTTATATTACCATTTTATAATAATTTCAATTCGTATATAATGAAAATACATAAAATAGCCTAGAACTTCTTTTGTAAAATTGAGGTATATCTTATATACTGCTTCTTATATGCTAACAGATGTATTCCTTATAACAGGAAGACAAGGAATGCACAAAAACCAATAAATGCAAGAGCTGTATACCAGAACACTTGAATAAGAGATAATATCTCACTATGAGAATTTCAGTTCAAATAAACAAAAATTTAATTGCCCTCAGTAATGTAATAAGATAAATTTTTAAGAGAATGAAATGGAAGTAGTAGGCCTGAGCACTTTGTTTTAAATGCACAGATTTGAATACACACCATTTCGTAGTAAATACTTTTGACGTAAATTTTACATACAGCATCCTCAGATTATGGTGCAATGAAATTGGAAATGAATAAGAAAACAACAGGTTTTCAACCAAATGAAAAAGAGAAACATACTACAATAAAACTATACTACTTGAAAGACATAAAAAATCCCCATCACCAATTATCCAGCTCATGAGGCTAGCATAGCTTAACTCATAATTTTGTTCAACTCTACATGCCAATTTCAACAAGAAAAAATAGAGCATATATAATGTACTGGTTAATCCCAAAAGGACCTAAAAAAGAACAGAGTAAGATAGACAAAATTAAGATGAAAACTACTGAAATGGATAATTAAAACTTTTTTTAACTTTAAAAACTAGATTACAAAAATTAAAAACACTACACAACTAAGTATTTTGAATACACTAGTTGCAATAGGAAGCACAAGAAAATTGGATGGAATCACTGGTGAATATTTTTCAGTACGTAATATATATATCATAGGAATAGCTACTAAGCCGGGCACAGTGGCTCACGCCTGTAATCCTAGCACTTTGGGAGGCTGAGGTGGGTGGATCACCTGAGGTCAGGAGTTCAAGACCAGCCTGGCCAACATGATGAGACCCCCGTCTCTACTAAAAATACAAAAATTAGCTGGGCGTGGTGGCAGGCGCCTGTAATCCCAGCTACTCGGGAGGCTGAGGCAGGAGAATCGCTTGAATCTGGGAGGCGGAGGTTGCAGTGAGCCAAGACCACACCATTGCACTCCAGCTGGGCAACGAGAGCGAAACTCTGTCTCAAAAAAAAAAAAGAAAAGAAATAAATACTAAACACTGAAGTAACTTGAAGGTTACCCAGAGGTTACCCAGTTTATTTTGTGAGGCAGACAGGTATGGTGCCTACTAAGGTCAGAACATAAGATTGAAGGCAGTCTTGTTGATGAATATAGATGAAAAAACTCTAAGAATAATGTAAATAGAACACATATTAAAAGGTATTCAACAATTAAAAATAATATTCACCATGACCAAGTGAGATTTAGTATAGAAATTCAGGATTGGTTCAGTGTAAGTCAAACTATTAATATAATCCATTTCATTACTGGGAAAAATAGTAAAATCAATTAAAACAATGTTCATTGATCTGGGATGGGATACTGTTTTAGGCACTGGAAGGATACAAAGAGACATATATCAGTAGAATCCTTGTGCTCTCAAGGGTTTATAACTTATTAAATTAAAAAAGAAAATTAGTGAAAATCATGGTGTGCCCCAAATATTTGAAAACATCCTAAAAATGTCTTATAAAAATTAACAGACTGGGTGCAGTGGCTCATGTCTGTAATCCCAGCACTTTGGGAGGCCAAGGTAGGTGGTTCACTTGAGGTCAGGAGTTTGAGCCCAGCCTGGCCAACATGGTGAAACCCCATCTCTACTAAAAATATAAAAATTAGCCAGGTGTGGTGGTGCGTGCATGTAGTCCCAGCTACTCAGGAGGCAGGAGAAACACTTGAATCCAGGAGGCAGAGGTTGTAGCCGAGATCACATCACTGTGCTCCAGCCTGGGCAGCAGAGGGATACTCTGTCTTAAAAAAAAATAATTAACATACATTCCTGACAATCCAAAAGTATAAAGGAAATGTAAGGGTTTTTCATATATATTTGTAACTAAGATTTAATGTTAGCCTAAAAGGAAAAGTAAAGGCATCTTCTGTTAAAAAATAATTAAAATAGTGCGGCCTCACATCAAATGTTAGCTATTATATAAAAATTAAAAAAAACAAGGTACAGATATATGCAAGGAGGAAATTAAACTATCAGAATTCAAATGATTGTTATATATCCAGAAAATCTGAAAAATTAAACAGCATAATAATTGAATTTAGGTTGCAAATTTTAAGTTAACAAAAGTAAAGCATGTTACTGTATTTTAACAATAGATGATATAGCAACAAATATATACCTGTTTACAGTGACACACATAAAATACTTTAACATAATGTTCTGTGTATATGTGAATAATAAAACTTTAATAGCAAGTATGAAATTAGTTTGAATAAATGGAAAGTTGTACCCTGGCTGGTGGGAAGGCCAGAAGTATTAAAATTACATGCTTACTATATTAATTACTAGATTTAATATTTAACCAAGATACCAATATAATATCTTTAGAAGCCTTGATTCCAGCATTACCTGAGAATCTCTATTCCCCATCCCAGACATAGGGAATCAATCTACATTTTAAGATTTTAGGCCGGGCGCAGTGGCTCACGCCTGTAATCCCAGCACTTTGGGAGGCTGAGGTGGGCGGATCATGAGGTCAGGAGATCCAGACAATCCTGGTTAACATGGTGAAACCCCATCTCTACTAAAAAAATACAAAAAAAGTAGCCGGGCATGGTGGTGGGCGCCTGTAGTCCCAGCTACTTGGGAGGCTGAGGCAGGAGAATGGCATGAACCTGGGAGGCGGAGCTTGCAGTGAGCCAAGATCGCACCACTGCACTCCAGCCTGGGCAACACAGCGAGACTTCGTCTCACAAAAGAAAAAAAAAAAAAAGATTTTTAAGATTTCCAGGTGATTCCTGTTTGTTTAAATAAGTGGTTAATATGTGACCTATTTGGATGAATGGAAAAACTATATCAAAGGGGATAGAAGGAAACTGTACAGAATAAAATCAGAATAGGGCCTACAATATTGTAAACAGTTGATATTCTATGGTGATGATTTTTGTTCTAACAACTTTATTGAGGCATAATTTATATACCATCAAATTTACCCATCATAAGTATGTAATTCAGTGACTTTTAGTTAATTTATGGTGTTATACAACCATCACTACCACTCAATTTTAGAATATTTTCATCACCCCAAAGACTTGCTCATTAATAGTAACCTACTCCCAACCCCAGGCAATCACTGAAATGTTCTGTCTCTACACATTTGTTTTTTCCAAGAATTTCTTATAAGTGATATATTATGTAGTCTTTTGTGTTTGGCTTCTTTCACTTAGCATAATGTTTTTGAGGTTTATCCATATGTTAATAAATAATAGTTTGTTCTGTTGTATAGATGTATCATAGTTTATGCATTCACTAGGTAATGGATTTGACACTTTCCAGTTTTTGACTATTATGAATAATGCTGCTATGAATATTTACATATGTCTTTGTGTGGACATAAGTTTTCATTTCCCCTGTGTAGACACCTAAAAGTGGAGTTGCAGGGTCATGGTAAGTTTATGTTTAACTTTTTAAGGTGCAGCCAAACTGTTTTCCAAGGTAGATGTGCCATTGTACAGTTTTACCAGTAATGTAAAAGGGTTCCAATTTTGATTGGGATTACATTGAATCTATAAGTCACTAAGAGGAGAATTGTCATCTTAACACCATTGAGTTTTCTAATCCACAAATATGAAGTGTTCCCTTATTTAAATCTTCTCTAATTTATCTCAGCAATGTTTTGTAGTTTGCATTCTATGTGTTACACTTCTTTTTAAAATTTATTCCGTAAGTATTTTATTCTTTATGATTCTGTTGTGAATGAAATTGTTTTCTTAAGTTCATCTTTAGATTATTTATTGCTTATATATATATATCTTGGAATATTTTCATTTGGACTTCATTTTTGAAGGATAGGATCTTCTTAGTCTGATATAGAATTTTTGCTTTCTCCACTAAAATATGGCATTCCACTGCCTTTGACTTCCATTTTTTCTGATGAGAAGTCAGTCATTTATCATATTGTTGTTTTTCTCTTGCTATTTTTAGAGTTTTTCTTTGACTTGAATTGATGTTTGACTATGAATTGTCTAGGCGTGGATCTCTTTGTGTCTATCCTACTTGGGTTTTTTGGGTTTTTTTTTTTTACAACTTTTTGGATCTGTAGATTATTTTTCATCAAATTTGGAAATATTTCAACCATTATTTCTTTTTCTTCAAATACTTGTTCTGCCTCTTTCTTGCTCCTTTCCTCCTGATATTCCCATTGCATGCATGTTGGTACCCTCAGTGTTACTGCATAGGTCTCTGAGGTTTTGTTCATTTTTTCAAACTTTTTTCTTCGTTTCTAATATGTACTTTTCTCTAGAATCTGATTTTGTTCTATTTTTGTAGTTTCTACGTCTGTGTTGATATTCCCTGTTGAGTCATTGTCACCATATTTTTCTTTAATTTGTTAAACAAGTCTCCTTTAATTCTTTTTTTTGTTTGTTTGTTTTTGTTTTTTTTTGAGACGGAGTCTCGCTCTGTCGCCCAGGCTGGAGTGCAGTGGCGGGATCTCGGCTCACTGCAAGCTCCGCCTCCCGGGTTCACGCCATTCTCCTGCCTCAGCCTCCCAAGTAGCTGGGACTACAGGCGCCCGCCACTACGCCCGGCTAATTTTTTGTATTTTTAGTAGAGACGGGGTTTCACCGTTTTAGCCAGGATGGTCTCGATCTCCTGACCTCGTGATCCGCCCGCTCCTTTAATTCTTTGAGCATATTTACGATAGCTAGTTTGGAAGTCTTTTTCTGAATAGGACATCTGGACCCACTCAGAAACAGTTTCTGTTTGTTCGTTTGTTTGTTCGTTTGAGACAGAGTCTCGATCTATTGCCCAGGCTGGAGTGCAGTGGCGCAATCTCAGCTCGCTGCAACCTCTGCCTCCCGGGTTCAAGTGATTCTCCTGCCTCAGCCTCCCAAGTAACTGGGATTACAGATGCATGCCACCATGCCTGGCTAATTTTTTTTTTTTTTTAGTAGACACAGGGTTTCACCATGTTGGCCAGGCTGACCTCAGGAGATCTGCCCACCTTGGCCTCCCAAAGTGCTGGGATTACAGGCATGAGCCATCATGCCTGTCCAGAAACAGTTTTTATTGACTGCTTTTTTCCCCGAGTATGGGCCACATTTTCCTGTTTCTTAACATGTTGTGGAATCTTTTTGCTAAAAACTGGACGTATTAGATAATACAGTGTAACAGCTCTGGTTCTGATTTTCCTCACCTCTGACGGTTGTCATTATTGTTGTTATGTATATTTGCTTATTCTTAAATGACACGTGCAGACTTAATGTGCAGAATCTGTCTCCCCACTGAGGTGTAGCCAACTCGGGTCTCTGCTCAATTTTGTTTTGTTTTTTTTAATTTTTAGCCTAGCTTTCTTGGAGTCCTGCTTGTGTCTGCATAGCTGAGTGGTTGGCTATTGGTTAAAGGTTGTGCTCAGGCATTTTGAGCTAATAAGGCTTATACCGTGTGTGTGTGTGTGTGTGTGTGTGTGTGTGTGTGGTGTGTGTGTGTGTGTGTGTGTGTGTGTGTGTGTGTGTGTGTGTGTGTGTATGTGTAGGGAGAGCATGTAGTTTTCAAATATGCCCAGCTTTTATTTTCTGCTGAGCCCTCAGTTTTTCCTCACATGCAGGAAGCCTCTCAGTCAGCAAGAGATCTATGGAGAGTTCAGGCTATCTCCAGTCTCCTCTGGGCATATATTCAGCCATCAGTTAGCCAGGACTGTGTGGGGGAGTTTAGCCCCCTCTGTGGCTCTCTCATTTCCAGAATCTCCTTGTTAAATTTCTAGATTTCTGATAGTCTGCCCTTCTTCTCAACCAGGACAGCAGCCTTTGAATAACAGAGCTATAGGCTTTCTCTGTTCTTTTCTAGTTGAGTTTAATGCTTTGACCCCACATTGCTACTGGGTGTGGGTTTTTTGCCCTCCCCTTCAAATCATGTTAGCTCCCTGTGACAACGAAGCTGCTGGGTTTTGTAGCCAGCCTTGCCCAGGAACTATTAGATGTACTGGTGCTTGGGTAGGGTGTGGCAGGGGTGGGGTAAGAAGCTGACCCAAGCTGTGACTCCCACTATTCTTACACAAATTTCAGCAGTTTTTTGTAAAAACACTTAAATTTGTCATTTGACTTTGGCCATTTTTCTGGAGTCCCAAAATGGCTGTTTTTGACACTTTTGTCTAGTTTTATAGTTGTTTTGAGGGGAAAGGATTTGCTGACCTCTTCAATTTGCCACAGCTGGAAGTCCTGCCTCCTGTTTTGTTTTGTTTTTGTAATATTTTTGGGTTTGTTTATTTTTAACAGGCTAATTGAAAACCTGAAGCACATCTATATATTGTAGCTGCTTCAGCATTGTGCTTCACAACGGAAGAAGTTAGGAGATTGTGATTAGATTAGGGGTGGGGCTGTAGTCCTAAATTTGCTGACAGCGCTTTCCTGTGGAATGCTTCCTAATAATGTATTCTTGTGTAATGATGAAGGAAATGTTTGTTTTTTTTTAAGCAAGCAGATTCCTTTGGAATTCTACAACATAAAAAAGACATTATAGTATACTCCTCTCTACAGAATGAATTTGGCACAGGGAGAGAAGTGACAAAGTTCTTTGGGCTGGTATAGATGTATATCTATATGAAAAATAATGGAAAGACTCATCCTTTTAAAAAGTTACTCATCCTTTTAAAAATTATACAGGTTTAAGCTAAAATTTTTTGTGTGCTAGAAAATTAAGCTGGGCAGTTTGCCTTTTTAAAAAACCTTTCTAATTATTTAGTAACACACATACACAAAATAAAATGTATAACTCAATGGTGTATCACAAAGTGCACACCTCTATGACCACCATTCAAGTGAGATACAGGACATCACCAGTACCCAGAAGTCCCCTGTGCCCTCTGGATCCATACCCCAAGAGAAGGTTCTTGGATCTCACACAAGAAAAAATTGGGGCAAGTCCATAGAGTAAAGTGAAAGCAAGTTTACTTAAGTAAAGGAATAAAAGAATGACTACTCCATAGGCAGAGCAGCCCTGAGGGCTGCTGGCTGCCCATTTTTATGATTATTTCTTGATTATATGCTAAACAAAGGATGGATTATTTATGCCTCCTCTTTTTAGGCCATATAGGGTAACTTCTTGGTGTTGCCATGGCATTTGTAAACTGTCATGGCACTAGTGGGAGTGTCTCTTAGCATGCTAATGCATTATAATTCCAGAGGTCACTCTCATCACCATCTTGGTTTTGGTGTATTTTAGCTGGCTGCTTTACTGCAACCTGTTTTACCAGCACGGTCTTTATGACCTGTATCTTGTGCTGACCTCCTATCTCATCCTGTGACTTAGAATGCCTTAACTTCCTGGGAATGCAGCCCAGTAGATCTCAGCCTCATTTTACCCAACCCCCATTCAAGATGGAGTTGCTCTAATTCAAACGCCTCTGACACTCTACCACCATTGTCCTCTCCTCCTGAGATAATCACTATCCTAACTTTTATGCTAACTACTTCCTTTCCCGACAGTTTCTATCTCCTAAGTGTGCATCCCTAAACATTATAGTTTAACTTTGCCTTTTTTTTTAATATTATGGAAATGGTATCTTGTAGTGTATATTTATTGTGCCTGGTTTCTTTTGTTCAAAATTATGTTTGTAAGATTTATCTATGTTGTTGCATATAGCAGTAGTTCATTTTAATTGCTGGAGAGTATTCCATTGTTTGAATATACTACAATTTGTATACTGTATATTATATATTGAACATTCTGTTTGTGGATATTTAAGCTATTTCCAGTTTTAAGGGTATTACAAATATTGCTGCTCTGAATACGCTTGCATGTGTCTTAATGTATAGATATGCATATTCCTTTTGGTTATATACCTAGGAGTCAAATTGCCAGGTCATAGTGTGTATATATTTTTGACTTAATAGATAATGTCAACTTGTTTTCCAAAGTGATTATAACAATTTACCCTCCTAAACTATAAGAATTTCCATTGCACTTCATCTCAACAAAACATTTGCTATTGTTAGACTTTTAAAAAATTGATTTGTAGGAGTTCTGTATACATCTGGATAAGAGCCCTTTGTTCCTTATAAGTGTTGCAAGCATCTTCTCCTATGTGACTTGCATTTTTGCCCTCTTAATGTAGATATGAAAAGACGTTCTTGATTTTAAGGTAGTCAAATATATCAATATTTTCCAGTGTAATTAGTGCTTTTTGTGTTCAATTGAAGAAATCTTTCCCTGCCTTAATATCATATTCTTCTATACGTTATCTTCTAAAAGCGATGTGATTTTGCTTTTCATGTTTATATCTACATCCTACCTGGAATTTGTTTTTGTGTATAGTGTGGAGTAGGTTTGGAGGTTCATCTTGTTTTTCCATGTGGATATTTCATGGTTCCAATAACATAGATTGAAAAGATATTGTATCTGGCAGGGTTTGATCAGGAGAAAGAAACCACACCAGTTATTTAAACAGAGTTTAATATGGAAAAAATGTTAATTAGGTATAAAGTTGTCAAGTAGATAACTAAAAATGCAAGAAGAAAACACTAAGATATCACAAAAGTAGCAGTTTCCACCCCACAGCAGGAAGAATAAAGGGAAGAGATTGGAATTATTCAAATTTAGAACCCCATGATGTCTGAGGAGAGGATACTGGCTCACTTGTGCTGGTATCTGGCATGGAAGATGCAGTGAGGCTAGTTCTGCAAGTTTTGGCAGAACTGTAAACTGGATTCAGCTACTGCTATAAGAAGGTACTACTGCTGGGAGTGAAGAAGTATTGCTTGGGTGTCACAGAAACAAGAAACAGACAGGAAGCCCATAGGAGGTGCAAGTCCCTTCTTCCTCCACCACCACCCTTGCAGTCTCTCTCTACAACATTCTGTTGGCAGAGCCTAACATGGAGCCAGTTGGCAAAACCAAAATGTGGTTTGTAGAGTTTAGCCCCAGCATGATAGAGCAGTGTTTAGGCGGATGGGTTTGAAGCTGAGAGACAATAGCTTAATAACTGATACAACCTTCCTGTCTCCACTGCTCTGCAGAGCCAACTTTTTGGTAAGTCAAGTGTTCATATAGGCGACAGTCTCTTTTTAGATTGATTATATTTCTGTTTCATCTGTCTTTGTACCAATATTACACTATGTAAATTACTGTAGCTTTATTATGTCTTCATACCTAGTAGAGCAATTTTTCAAAACCGACCTATCCTTCTTCAAGTGTTTTAGCTGTCCTTAGCACACTTAAATTTATAGAAAAACTTTAAAACTACTTCATCTATCCCCCCCATCAATTTGGGGGGAGTTGACAATTTTACAATGTTGAGTTTTCTAATCTGTGAATATGATACATCTTTCCATTTATTCTTTAATTTTGCTCTGTAATATTTTTTAAACATCTTGTATAGAAGTCTTGAGTAGCATCTGTTAGCTTTAATCCCAGATATTACATATTTTTAATATTATAAATAGTTTTTTATAAATTTCATTTTATTATTTTTATTTTGAAAATTTCAGACTTACATTATTTTCCTTTTGTATAATTAGACCCCATTATACCCACCACCTAGATTCAGTAATTAATAAGATTTGCTTCATTTGCTTCAACTATTTTTTATTGTTGTTGCTGAAGTATTTTAAAACAAATCCTAGATCTCATGTCATTTCACCTATTTATACTTATAAGTATGCATCTCTAGAAAATACGGACATTTTATTTATAACTAATTCTAAGCCATATTGACATTTCCTCATTTATATTTTTAAAATTTTTTATTTTATGTACAAAGAGCTAACATGGTTTCTATCATTGGGTGGATGCCTTGGATAATTCATTCAACAAAGATCATTTGGTCCAACTTAATGAAACCTATATCCTTCATGTACTGATGGAAACACTGGCAGCACCTATTGAGGCCATGTTTCAGGATCAGACCATGCTGGTTTGAGCAGACGCAGCAAGAGTGAGAACCCCGGCCGAATTTTCATGGGTGGCTCTAGTAGAGCTGCTGGTGACCCATCTTGCTTTCAGGAGTGCAACCAGGTGAAGGGCCTCTTTTATTTCAAAAATGTTTTTTACTGTTGATATGTTCAATTTACTTTTAACTTCAAGCATATTGTTCACATTTTGTATTAAGTAATTATTAAAATATTAGCTTAGCCATTAAAATATTAAAGTATGCTCTACGACAATTCAGAACAAAGTTTTCTTTTCTGATGTGAACTTTATTTCTAAATTCATTAAGATTTTTGACGTCTGCAAAGCCACACTGTCACAAACCTACCATGTGAATAAAACTGTCTTTTTCTTTCAAATGTTTTCTATCCTTATAAACCTAATGTGCAACAAAAATTGCCATTTGTTAAATATAAATTTTTTTCTAGTCCTCAATGTTCCTATTACTGAACACATATCTTTCAGGAAGTCACCAGTGGAATTAAAAATAAGTGCATTTTTGTGTGACATATTTTCAGTTTTACTTGCGCTTTGTGACCTCTTCTTGCCTAGACAAAGTTGTTAAAATGCAAGAGGGAGATGTAGTTGTGAATTGTTTTCCTTTGTGGATTTGCATAGAAACCTTTCCCTCATTCTTTCAACTGGTTTTCCTCCCCATGCAATATTCATAGGTCTGTTTCTAAGCAAGGACTGTGGCTAGTAGGCCATGAAAACTTCCTAGACTTGGCAGACTGGGCTGTATCATCTTCACCCTCTAACATGAGAAAATCCAGCATGGCAGTTTTCCTGCAGGCAGTTCAGATTCCTCGTAGACATATTTAACAGTGACTGAGGAGGAAGTCTCTGTATCTCCCCAGCATCTATAGTATAGATGGAACTAATTAATTCATGATCTAAAGAACAATTAAATATTCCCAAGACCACAAGAATTAGCATAAAATGATTTTCAGCTGCATTTTAACTTATCCAGTATTATTGGTGGGGACTGAAAGGGTCTTAAGAGTTAGGTTTCACTCACTAGTACTAAGTACTTGAAAATAAATATGACAGCCTGATACTGGATGGCTTACCTGTTGCTTAGCCTTCCTCCATTATCAGTACTTTCAGGTGTCTCACTACAGATTAGAATGGCCCAGTGCTGTCTTATCTGCTGAGATCTTTGCTATTTTTAGTTCATTAAACACAGAGTTAGAGGATGTTTAAGTTCTTATTTAACTCTTTCAGTCAAATATAGATATTTTGCTGCTCCTAAGGAATAATATTAGGAGGATATGAAGAAAAGAATGAACTGTTTCTCAGCCTTGGTTTAGCTATCATATAAGGCCTTTTTTCTTTGTAATACAAATTAGCAAATTTGGGAATCATTTTATATATCCTGACAAAATGGAAAAGGATCTCTTTCTTATGCATACAGCTAACCCGACAATTAACAAACTTGGATAAACAAATGAGAAAAGAACTCGGCTAATATAATACATTAAATATAGAAGATGAGAATCCGTTTTTTATTTATGTTTTGGATGGGGGAAAGGCCTAGAAAGATTTCTTCTAAATTGTATACAACTCTATAAATATGGTGGAGTGCACACAAATTATAGCCCTTTAAAATTGCAGTTAGAAAGACCAGTGAGAAATAAAAGTAAATTTCTTATTCCATAATTTGTTACATAAATTTCTTGTGTATCCTTGAATATATAACAAGGACCAAGGTAACAAATAGGATACATTTCCTAGACTTGTTTGTTGTCAAAAATTTTGCCTCAGTTTGCTATTGTTTTCTGAAACAGGCAATCTAAATACAAGTAAAAATAAGGAAATGAATTTCAAAATAAATGTGACGGCAATAATCTAAATATTTAGAGTTTAGTTAGGAGGTTCTGTTACTGAGATATGTACTCAGTATAGTTGACATAGTAATTGTAGTATGTATAGCAAGAAATGGAGGATTGCTGATTACAACTTTATGTGAATAGAATTACAAGAACCTGATTTTCTTAAACCAAGTTGAAGCACTCTTTTTATTATATTATGTATTTGCTTTGAATAGCTAAAAACATGTATCAGAAACATGAATTTTAAAACTGCTAACACATGGGGGATTCTTCACATAAAAATGAAAGAGAAACACAATTTCTTGGAGATTCTTGCTGACTAGTTTAAAGATGTTTTAAGTGACATTTTAGTGGCTGAGAAAGTATTCCCAATAATAAGTTTCACTTTTGTTTCATTACAACTTTTCTGCTTGTCAGTAATTTAAGCAGATTTGTGGCAGTGTTCCGTTTTCTGGGATTAAGAAAACTCAACAAAATGACCACAACAGATCTAAAATGCTTCCTGTTTTGTTATTGTACTCTTTTGATCAACTCTGTATCTCTCTGAAAAAGGACTTGTGGATTCTTCTGGCTTTTTAAAAAACAGTTGAATTTATGAGTATAAAGAAGTATTGATAAACTCTGGACAGGTGTAAGTGAGGATTCTTTCTCACGACTCTTAAACATGCTGCTTGAAGTATTAATTTAAAACTTAGGAAGTAAACTCCTGTAAGTAAAACTTCACTGTTTAAGAAGGGAATCAGATGAAATGACAGATGCACTGTCTTATTTAAGGCATCCAGTGTTTAGCAGAGAAAGTAACTGCCCTAGAATTGTAGGTATAAGGATGGCTCCTTTTTTTCTGAAATGAAGAAACTTGTACTAAATGTTGTTCATTATCTCTACAGCTGGAGCTTCATTAGCAAGTGCATTTAGAATAACCAGGGTATGGCAGCAGCAGAGAAACTAAGCGCCTCAAGCCTTTGAGTAACAAAAAATAAAAGAATTCCTGTATAACATGCTTCCACACTTATCTGTGTTCTGTGGTACTGTTTGTGCTGAACCAAAGCATCTGCTACCTCAAGTTAAGAGAGAACAAACTCAACATGGCGTGAAATTACTGCACTGCCATTCACATTCATTAGAGTTATATTGTTGCCAGCCACAGGCATGACTGGCTTTTGCATGAATAATAAAATGCTGCTTTGTGAATTTTACTTTAAAACATTACAAGACATAGTACTCACCTTGAGCCTGTGTCAAGTATTTTCAGGAGTGGGTTTATCTCCTTTATTATGGTGGCTTTTCTCACCATAATAGGGTAACCAGTAAGTAGTAGTCAGAAGTTAGGAAGAAGTATTGTATGAGGCCTTTGGAAAGGGCACTGTGTTAAATCAATTTATCTCATGTTTAAAAACTAATATTTATTGTGCCCGGCTAACTGTTAAAGATATTAAAATTATTGTCATTTGGCAACCATCGTAATAATTGATTCAGGCAAAAATCATGAGGGGATACTAAAGTTAATGGATCAAAGTTCAGTGAGGAATAGGATATTTACACAGTTACAAAGGGAAAAAAATAGTAACTTTATAGTGGAGAAGCCTGGCAGACACCTCATTCAAGTGATTAAAGTTATCAACAGTAATGGGACATACTGACATTATATGCCTCCTGAGATGATGCACTGAGAAGGCATCAGTTCTTTGTTGTTTCTGTCAAAAATGAATAATCTGAATCTAGTTATGAGAAAACAACAAACCCAAATTAAGGGCTAGTCTTCAAAGTAACTGGCCTGGTCTGTATATTTCACAAATGGCAGTCATGAAAGACATGCCAAATAACTTCTAGATTAGAGAATACCAAAGAGACGTGACAGTTGAATACAGTGTGTGATCTGAAGTTTTCCCTTTTTCGTATTTCATTGACATTTTTCTCTTCTAGTAGCTAGATACTGAAGTAGTATATTTAAACAGAAAAAAAGTACTTCTAACTAATAGTCTGAATACAGCAATATATCAATGTCCCCTCCTATTTTCTAGTTTATGTGGATTTTAATCAGTATTGCAGATTTGGCTTGGGGTGTGTGTGTGTGTGTGTGTGTGTGTGTGTGTGTGTGTATGTGTGTGTGTAAAATACAGACAGGGTCTCACTGTGTTGCCTAGACTGGTCTCAAACTCCTGGCCTCAAGTGATCCTCCTGTCTCAGCCTCCCAAAGTGCTGGGTTTAACAGGTGTGAGCCACTGCGCCCTGCCTGGGTTCATATTTTTTAAGCAACAGTCATGAATGTTAGGTCTCCTGGCCTACTTGAGTTACATATGAAGCTATTGAAAACTCAAAATTGCCTGTAGTCCCAGAAGGCTGAGGCAGGAAGACTGCTTGAGCCCAAGAGTTCCAAGCTGCAGTGATCTTTAATTGTGCCACTGCACTCCAGCCTGGGTGACAGTGAGATCCTGTCTCTAAAGAATAATAATAATAGATAATACTTGTTTTATCAAAATATTGGCCAATGGAAGAAAGTGAAGTCATCGTGTTGTTAAAAAATACTAGAATACTCAGTAGAGATAGCACCATGTTAAGGAAAAAAAATACTAGAATACATCATTTCAGAGTTTCATGAGCACTTAGAAAAGGAAGTAGTGATCACTAAAATGAATCCATAAAGAAGTTTGATATGGTTTTTAGACAGATATGTAGACAATAGGAATTTTTATTTTCAGGAAAGCAATTTGATGAGTGTCTGATTTCCTGAGTGATTGTAGTTCATTGAATGAGTAATTGAATATCCATACTCAAGGTTAATGATTGAATGTCAGTCTCGTTGATGATTTCTAGTATTGTATCTGTTGCAGAGATCTAGTCTCAGTCCTGTTCTAAACTTTAATTAATAACTTAGAAAGAGACATTAATGTCACATGGATCAATTCTTTTTTCTTTTTTTTGAATACAGGCAGAGTCTTGCTGTATTACCCAGGCTGGTCTCAAACTCCTGGTCTCAGGCAGTCCTCCTGCCTCAGCCTCCGAAAGTGCTGGGGACAGAGGCATGAGCCACTGAGCCTAGCCTCAAATTTTAAAATGACACAAATTTAGGAGGAATAAATACTCAGAGCATTGGATGATCAGAACAGGGGCTGAACGATAATAGCTGAGAATGTTAGGCAGGAATCTAGCTAAATAAATTGGACAGGAATAAATTCTACCAGAACAACCAATCTTAGTATGATAGGTAGAAGGGGGGAAAAAAAAAAAAAGCTCTAGGTTAATTCATGGAAAGTCAGTTTGCCAAATGACCAATTGGCCGTGTATACTCAATTTATTGGTATTTCTTTTTTCTTTCTTTTCTTTTTTTTTTTTTTTTTTTTTTTTTGAGACAGAGTCTCGTTCTGTTGCCCAGGCTGGAGTGCAGTCAAGAAATCTTGGCTAACTGCAACCTCCGCCTCCAGGTTCAAGCAATTCTTGTGCCTCAGCCTCCCAAGTAGCTGGGATTACAGACATGCACCACGCCCGGCTAAATTTTGTATTTTTGGTAGAGACGGGGTTTCACCATGTTGGCCAGGCTGGTCTCAAACTCCTGGCCTCAGGTGATCCAGTCACCTCGGCCTCCCAAAGTGCTGGGATTACAGGCATGAGCCACTGAGCCTGGCCTGACATTCTTTTACCTATTTAGTTAATATGTATCAACTGGGTTCAGTCAGAAAAACAGAAACCACACTCCTATTTCAAACATAGGGAAATATAATACAGGAAATTGGTTATATAGGTGTTGGAAGGCAAAAAGAGAAAAAAAAGGGAGTGGGGGGACACAGTTATTAAAAAGATAGTAACTGCAAGAAGCAACTACCACACTAAGAGCTGGGAAATAAAAGGGATGAGGTTATCATTACTCGGGAGCTACAGGGATCCCTAAGCTGGCACCCAGACTTCTAAGGAGGGGACAGTGTTCAACTGCTGCTTATATTGAAGTCCATATTACTAAAAGATGTTCATATACATAAGAAATCTAAATATTTAAATTGTGTTTGAACATGTCTTCCCTCTCAAATGTAGTTCTGAAAATAAAGCATAAAGCTAATTTGACTTTTATCAAATTAATGATCTATGCTGCTTCTGTATGTTTTTTCCCATCTTTAAAATGGCTTTACCACTAATACCTCTCCTACCTCAGATGTATAAAGTGACCTCTCTGAAAGAGTAAGTGTTTATAGAAATTTAGACAGGGATTTTTTTTTTTTTAAAGCATGGCAGATGAGTTGGGTGACCAAACATTCTCTTTAATTATAGATATGTACTCTTTTATCTTTCTCACTGACACCTTAAGCTTCATTAAGTGGACTTAATGTTGAGTGTTTTAAGATAAAGATATTGTCATGATCTGAAACATTGGAAAACAAGGTGTGGAACTGATTTCTCTGTCTTTTTTTTCCCCTTCCCCAAATATTGCTTCTTTAGGTCAGTAACAGATCCAAGAGATGGAAAGAGAGTAGCGCTCAAAAAGATGCCCAACGTCTTCCAGAATCTGGTCTCTTGCAAAAGGGTCTTCCGGGAATTGAAGATGTTGTGTTTTTTTAAGCATGATAATGTAAGTGAAATTGGTATTTGGGGGAAACTATTTCCTAAGCCTCCTGCATTGAATTAGTAAAGAGCAGATGAAAGTTTAAAAGGGCACCTATAAGTAAAATTTGGAAATTGGCTATAGTTTTATGCCAAATGTGAAAAGAAATAAGCGCACCAGTGAGGTTATGGGAGAATACCTATTGATAGGCTTTCAATTCATACATTCTTATTGAAAGAGATGCACACACACACACGTTTTCTAAGCTGTAGTCTTTCAGTGCTTTGCTTTCCTTTTATATATACTCTTTATGTCTCTCTATGACTGTCTTAAATTTTCACTATTGAGATTAGTGGTTTTCAACCTTAACATATTAGACTCACCTGGGGAGTCCATTTTATCAGCATTTTATTTGAAGGTTTGAAAATTACACTATGAATTGTATGACATGCACAAGCCCTAAACTCCAAATCAGGAAACGTTGAACCTATTGAGTTTCGCATTGGCTTCTGAAATGTGGTGTGCACTCTCATTTGTCAATCTGAATGTCTTTTTTAATTCTAAGAATACAAGCTATTAAATATGTTTAAAGCCCATAGAAAAGGAGCATATATTTGTAGGGAAATAGGTTATTAATAGAAACCACAACCAAGGTTTTTATTGAGGGGCTTGGAAACCTGAGACAAATTAGACCCTTTTTGTGACTGAACAATGAACAAGTGTAAGTGAATTCAAGTGAATTCTAAGATTGATTGATTGACAGGTAAATATTGATGCAAAGCAAATATTGATATTTAGCCGAGGAATAATACTAATATTCAACACAAAAATAGAGTGTAGTGATTTATATAGTGAGTGATTTAAGTGGAAATAATTGACCCTTGATTTTAAGTGCTTTATTTTTATCTCAATATTTTAAATCAGAGATTAAGTTAGAGATGTGGGAAACAGTTTCTCCTATAAAAACAGTACATCCCTTAAGGTAACATAGGCTACCTTATTTATGGCTATGTTTAGAGATGTGAAGACTTATAGACAAATAGACTCGTGTTTTGACAGAACTTTCCTTCAATTAATCCTGAGTTAAAAATTTGATACATGTAAAATTTACCTGGAGGTCGCCAGCATTAGAATATGTTTTCATTTTCATGTGAAAAGAAAAACTGCCTCAAATTCTTTATATAATACTCAACCTATGCTATTTTAATTGCCATAATAAAAACTTATCAGAAAAAAAATTATGATTTCTCATGAGTCTGAGTGCTTATTTGCACAAAAAACTCGAGAACTTTGGCCAAAGGTTTGGTCTCACTTTAAGAAGCAAATTTTGAAAAGTTTGAGGTATTTGTTAAAACTGGGAGTACTAAACTTACCATATGGTTCACTCGAAGCTCCTTGGTTTGACATATTTCATTTTAATGATTATTCCTCTTGAAATTCTCTTGCCTTAATTTTTTTAAAGGGCATTGCTGTGTTTTAGTCAATTGGAACTGCCTAGCAATATGCTTGTTTTAATACATTTCAAAATACCACTTGAAGCCAGGGACAATGGCTGCATCTGTAATCCTAGCTACTCAGAAGGCTGAAGTGGTAGGATCAGTTGAGTCCAGGAGTTCAAGACCAGCCTGGACAACATAACGAGACCTCATCTCTAAAGAAGAAAGTTTTTTAAATTAGCTGGGTGTGGTGGCACACATCTGTAGTCTCAGCTATTTGGGAGGCTGAGGTGGGAAGATCACTTGAGCCAGGAGTTCAAGGTTGCAGTGAGTTATGATCAACCACTGCACTTCAGTCTGGGTGCAGAGCAGGACTCCATCTCTAAAAAAAAACCACACACACAAAACAAAATACCACTTGAGTTACTATTTTACTACCAGTTCCTCAGATTTTAGAAATAATTTAGAATAATGTCTAGTTCTTTCTTAGTTATTTCTTGACCTTGCCTTAGTGTGTCACCTCAGCATCAAAGAGTGCAGACCTTCTTTCATTGTCAGAGACTCAAGTAAAGGTATCCATGACGAAAAAATATTTCAAGGGTGGCATCAGAAATTTGCTTACTCGGGGCCGGGCGCAGTAGCTCATGCTTGTAATCCCAGCACTTTGGGAGGCCAAGGCAGCTGGATCATTTGAGTCCAGGAGTTCAAGACCAGCTTGGGCAACGCTGCAAAACCCCATCTCTACAAAAAATAAAAAATTAGCTGGGTTTGGTGGCACATGCCTATAGTCCCAGCTACTCAGGAGGCTGAGGTGGGAGATCACTTGAGCCTGGGAGGCAGAGGTTGCAGTGAGCCAAGATCACGACACTGCACTCCAGCCTGGGCACAGAGCAAGATATCACCTCAAAAAAAAAAGACAAAAAAGAAATTTGCTTACTAATGATGTCAATGGCTTACTATATTCCAACCAATCTTGGCCTCTTCTATAAAGGAAGGGTGGTATAATAAGCTGCTGTTTGTCTAGTTGGTATTTTTGCTCATGACTCATTCCTAGTAACTAATTAAGTTACAAAGACAGTGTCAAAGGGAGTAGTGTAAGAAAAATAAACTGAATTTGTGAAAATCACACCAATTAAAACATAGAAGCAATTCTCATACAGTTTCTAAGAGCTGTGCTTTAAAGTCAGAACTAGGTTTGAATTGTGGTTCTACTATTTTGTACTGTTGTGTCTTGGACCTTAACTTCTCCAATCTTTAAGTTTTTTTCATTTTCGAAGCAGGCATGGTAAAAGCAGAAATAACTGTGTATGATTGTTGCAGAAATTAAATTTTTTTAATGCATATAAACCTGCTCAACACACAACCACTATTTGAAACTACTGAGCTCTATCATAGAAGAGTGCCTGTGACATCTGTGAAAGTGTTTAAAAGTGAGGCACATAGTTGAAGATGGCACAGCACCACTATTTTATATATAATAGATCTCTGCTATCTCTGAGATCTATTTCCAAAAGGATCTCAGGGCCAGCATAACTACTATGTGTGGAATGCCAGTCTAAGAGGCAACTGGTATTTGATCTAGTTAAGGCAGCAAATGTTTATTTATTGTGTCCTATGTAAGGAGTGCGGTGCTAGGTCATGTGGAGGATACAATAAAGGCTTAAAACACTTTCTTTTTGAAGGGGTATGTTTAATATTGCTCTGTGTCAGGAGATATGCTAGATACTTTACATATATTAATTAATTTACTCCTTAAAAATCGTGTCAGATAGGGCTTGTTAACCTTACTTTGTAGAGGAGGAACCAACGACTTGGAGTTACGTAACTTGCCCAAGGTTAAGGTGGCACAGATTGGACTGTAAATCTGTCTTGCTGTAGAGCCCATATTCATTAATTCAGTAAACTTTTATTATGCACATCCTGTATGCCTAAACTACATTAGCTCCTGTTGTCTTTACCTTCAAATAGTTGAAATAATTTTCAAAATGTGATAACTACTATGATAAAAGCACTGTGGGAGGGTTGCCTGCATGGTTAAACATTAAGCCAGGACAGCTGTGTGCATAGCAAAGAGCTGGACAACCAAAACCTAGAAATGTATTCAAAGATTCCCTGGAGAGGGGGACCTTAAAACACAGATTCATGGGTCTTACCTTGCACCTACTAAATTGTAATCTCTGGAGTTGAGGCCCAGGTATCTGATTTTTTAAAGCTTCTCAGGTGACAGGCAAGTACCATAATATTAAGAAAAGAGAAAAATTGTTGTGGACTTAGAAATTCAAAGATGCATCAAACACAGAGAAGGAAAATCTTAATATGAGCCTTTTGAGAACAAGATTTGATTGAAGAAGAAAGGAATGTCATGATAAAAATGGCATTTAGAAAGATCTTGGTCATTGTAGGAAGGTTGGATTTTAATTTGGATGGCTTTTTATGTGTCAAAGAATAGTAACAAAGCCTGGGAGGCTTTGGATTTTCTTTTGAAAGGAACCTTCAAAGTCACTGTATCAAATTCATTGATTTCAGGTGACCTGACTGAATTTTTACACACATACACACACACATCTGAGTACCTGCTTCACCATCTTAACACATTCACCTTGATGAAGTAACTTGGGGAAACAGAAATGGGTTTAGCTTTCTAAAAATTGGTGTTTAGGCTTATTACTAGTATCTATCTGAGCTTTTGTAAAATCTGGCAGAATCTTCTCTCTACCCATCTATGCATTTGTGCTTGTATGTATATACATGCATAGTTGTCATATGATCAGCAGGGAAAGTGATGATTTAGGTTTTTTGGATCTTTGAGATGAAAGCTATGAATCCTGTCAGAAAAATGCACATATATACAATTTTAATGTCATTTTAGGCTTTCACTTGTCCTCTAAAGCCCATTTAGAGCCCCCTTAGGGTCTATTGATTCCTGCCAAGAGCCCCTGTAACGCAAGTCTTGGACATTTTTCTTGTCTTTAGACAATAACACTAAGTACACAGTAGGCGGCGATTCTATTTGAAGAGTAAGTGAGTGAATGAAAGTGACAGAAAAAAAGAAATCTAAGGGCCTGGAGTGATAACTTCTGTGATCTCTCTCTTGGGGTTACTTTTTCTTGTCCTAGCTCTGGAGTGCTCCAGAGAGGGCTAGAATGAGACAAAGAAGCTTCATTCATTTTCCTTTGTATAGTCTGACCTAACTCATACAACACCCCTTTGGGTTCATAAGTAGGTTACAGAATCATACAGTATGGGAAAAACAGATATGGCCTATCTTTTAATACAGACATGCTGTTCAGACATTAGTAATACTAAGTGCTAACTAATACTAACTGTTGTGCCGCTAAGGAGTTGGAAAAAGCAAAGGATGATGTAGAGGTAGGTTACTTTTCAAGGAATTTGGTTTTGTTTGCTGTGTGCCTAAAGTTTATAGTTCTAGGCAGATTACTGTCACATTTAAAATAATACAGTCTCCCATGTTAATGGATTGGAAGACTCAATGTGATTGATAGGTCTTTTCTTCCCAAGTATTGCTATACATTTCAGTATAATCTTAATCACAGTCCCAGCAAGGTTTTATGTCTATATGCGTATGGAAATTCACAAACATCCTGAAACTTATGGAAATGCAAAAGATACAAAATAGCCCAGACAATCTTAAAGAAGTTAAATAAAGTTAGAAATTCATACTACCAAGTATTGAGACTGTTGTCCAATATTGAGACTGAATCCCAGGAGCAACAGAAGGTATAAAGCACAAGATATGGAGCCAGAACAAGGATAGACAGATAGATTAATGGAACAGAATAGAAAGTTTGTAAACTGGCATACTATATACATGTTCACCTGATTTGCAAGAGAGGTGCCACTATAATCCAGTCGGGAATGGATGACCATTTCAATAAACAGTTCTGAGTCCGTGAGATATCCATATTAAAAAAATTAACCTTAGCCATGTACCATATACATAAATTAATTCAAAATGGATCATAGACTTAAATGTGAAAGGTAAAATAATAAAACTCCTAGAATAAAACATAGGCAAGTATCTTCATGACTGAGATAAGCAAAGATGTCTTAACTGGACAGATAAAACACCCATAAAAAATTGTTTAATTGGACACTATTAATGTTAATTTCTATTAACATTAATGTTAAGAACTAAATGTTCAATTAAGAGAATGAAAAGACAGACCTCAAACATATATCCAATAAAATACTTGTTCCCATAAAATATTATGGGCTAGAACAATTTTTAAAATATTCAGTGTTTGAGGAAGACAATTAGAAATAAATGTTTTACTTGATATTTTTCAGACTGAGTTATATATCTAAATATCATATGTAAAGACCTTCTATAAATGAAGACGTTTTGCCCAAAGACTTAATGAAAAATTTCACGAAAGAGGATAACATATCAAAGTGTTCAAAGTCATTATTCATCAGAGAAATGTAAATTAAAACGACATTGAGTTAACACTATGTACCCAACAGATTGGCTGAAATTAAAAAGACTGACAATACCAACTGCTGGCAAGGACATAGATCAACTGAAACTCTAATCCATTGCTAGTGAGAGCATAAATTTGTAAAACTACTTCAGAAAACTGGCAATTTGTACTAAAGCTAAATATACACCTACCCAATGACCCAGCAATTCTATTTCGTATACACTCAAGAGAAATGAATGCATATATTTACTAAAAGAGTGTACAAGAATGTTCATAGCAGCATTACACATAATAGGTAGCAATTGGAAACAATATAAATGTCTGCCAACAGCACTCTGAATAAGTACTTTGTGATATAGTCCAGTTCAATAATAGCACAGTACACAACACCAAAAAGGATAAACCACTGATTCACACAGGAACATGAATGAATCTCACAGGCATAACAGTAAATGAAAGAATCTATACACAAAAGACTTCACTCTTTATTATGCAGTTTGTGTAAAGTTCAAGAACACACAAAATGAATCTTTGGTGACAGAAGTAAAAACAGTGCCAGGATGGGTTTTGACTGAAAAAAGGGTAAATGGGCTGGGTGCAGTGTCTCATGCCTGTAATCCCAGCACCTTGGGAGGCCAAGGTGGGTGGATCACGAGGTCAGGAGTTCGATACCAGCCTGGCCAACATGGTGAAACCCCGTCTCTACTAAAAATACAAAAGTTAGCCGGGCATGGTGGCGCATGCCCGTAGTCCCAGCTACTTGGGAGGCTGAGGCAGGAGAATCGCTTGAATCCAGGAGGCAGAGGTTGCAGTGAGCCAAGGTCATGTCACTGCCCTCCAGCCTGGGAGACAGAGCAAGGCTCCCGTCTCAAAAAAAAGCAAAGGGGCTAAAATGTCTAATTTCTTAACCTGGGTGGTATTTACATAGAAATATGTGTGTATATAAAAATGGATCAAGTTATACTCAGGATTTGTATACCTTATGCTACAACTCTATAAAAAAAAATAATAATGATATAGTCTCTACCGTAAAGAACTTAGAATCTATTATGGGGAGAGAGTGGGAAAAGAGTAGCTCCTTTGCTAAATGGGATTTAGCTGTGTTCCTTATATTCTTATTCTTATTCTTATTCTTGTCTTTGAGTCCTTGGCAGAGTAGAAACTCAGTAAATGTTGATTCTATGAATTAACAGATAAATTTCTTGTCTTTATAGTTAGGATTGAGATTATTCACAGGAATTATTTTATTGATAAAGGGCTGACTGAGACTAAGCTATTTTCTTATGTAACCAGTTTATAGTGAATCTTCTAACATCATGGAGGTTAAAATCCTAAAAAGCAGCTAACATAATGAGCTTTTGTGTTTCTTAAAAGATTTGTGACATATGCAGAGACACTGTTAAGAAATGTGTTTGGTAATGACTATCATTTAAAGACATAACTTTAATTCATTTTTTAATTAGACAAGTCTGCTTGTATTTTTTTGTATTTGAAATCCTTTGAAGAGTGTGGTATTTGAGGATACTTCAACTCTTTATAAGCCAAAGTCTTTACAAGCACGTATTTATATCTTAAGGCTAATCTCACATACTTTATTCCCTCAAATAATAGTGGGGCTTATAGAGAATCTCTAGCTATTTAAATGGGGTGTCAGGCATGAAGTCTGGAGTTTCGAACTCTGCCACTATACCTTCTCACTTACTCATTTACATTGCTTTTGAGATTCCTAGATCATTTCTACTGGTCTAAATACTGTTTTTACCACCTAGAAGCACTGTAGAATGCCATCCTCTGATAAACATTTTGGAGTAGAAAGAGCAGGAGGATAAAACAACAGGCGTTTAAAAAATTCCAGGCATAGTTTAAAATATTGTACCTTTTGAACTAACAATCACAGCTAAATGCTGTAGTGCAAATGTCTATCCCTGTTTTATATGGCTTTTTTACAAAAAGCCTCATCAAATATGGAGTAAGAAAGCCTCATTCTTCTCTATCAAGGTTTAATATGTATGGTTGTCACTTTCTTCTAGATAACCTCTAATTATAGCAGATAGATTTGAAGTGTAAAATAGCTTTGTATAATGGACGCTGTCACTCATTGCATTCTGTTTCCCCCTTAGACAGGATGTGTGTTGCTCAGATACAGAGTTGAGAGTCCGAAAGATGTCAAGTAAAACACTAATTTCTAACTGCCTTCCTCAGTTGTCAAATATTCATGTTAAAAATTGTTCTGGCACATAATGAGAAATTTGTGTGAATTTATTGGTTTAAAAAATATAGCTGGCTAATTATAGGTTTAAAAAATATATAGAAATGAAATAATGCATCTGTCATATGAAAAAAATTACTCTTCAAAGAAACTGGAAAATCTCTTATTTTCTGTTTATACCAAAATTCTAAATATAAACATTTTAATTCAAAAGGAAAGATAGATATTCCTTATAAAAACATCTAAACTATTTAAAAGCCTCCAACTGGCTTTAAAGTGAGTGAAGAATTTTTCATTACAGGAGGCTTTAATGCATAAAATAAATTTTTACTTAAAATTTATAGTGAGAAATGCTTGGCTGAAACAAGAATAACCTTTAAAATGAACCGGGTTTCTTCTACACATAAATTGCAAGAGGAAACGGAAAAGAGATGGTGGAGAAACCTTTAGATTATCAGTCATACTATGTAAATCTTATTTAGCTCCTGATTTAGACTAACAAACTTTTTTTTTAATATGAGAAAATAGAAAATTTGAGAACTGGATATTTGATGATATTTTTAAACACTTACATTTTAGATTTGATCATTGCAATTTTTAACCTTTTTTTCATTAGAGATACTGATTATGGCTGAAATAAGTTTGATATATGCTTGAGAATTATATAGGGAGAGTAAAGGGTAGAGATGAAATAAGAATGTTCATGTGTGTGAATAACTGAGGCCAGGTATTGATTACATGGGCATTCTCTATACTATTCTGCCCACTTTTATATGTTTGAAGTTCTCTGTAGTAAAAAAAAAAAAAAAAAAAAAAAAAAAATTTAAGCTACAGATCATAAAATTTGAACTAGTACCACACAATTTATTTCCTGTTAAGTAGTTTCTTCCATGTCCTTTGAGCTTGGTATTTCTCATTAGCTTAGCAAGACAGCTGGGAGGGGATTTGTTTGTTATGTTTTGATGGCGGAAGTTACACGGGTACTATGCTGCTTTTATAAAGGACTTGCGTCGTAAAGTCTTTTTTCCTCACCCTAGTGACTTCTTTTCTTACAAGAATCTTGGAATAAAATCAAAAATGCTTAGTATGATTTAAAGAGACTTTGTGTAGTGTATTTCATGTCTTCCTCTTCTACTTTATGTTAGTCTATTTTCTTCCTACCCTCTATATTCAATAAGCACTGGCTTTTCTGTCTCTAGAATCTGCCTCAGTGTCTTTACACTGCCTGCCCATCGATCAACCAACTGCCACTCAGCCTTCAAATTCTAGAGTAGTGTTACTTTAGGGAAGCTTTTTCTCTCTACCCTTCTTTACATTTTTCCTCCATAGTAATAGATGTTGTAATTACATATCTGTAACTGTTTAGTGCTTACCTCTTCTGTAGTCATGAGAGCAGGGATGATGCCTATTTTGTTCAACAGGATAACCTAAAAGCTTAGTGCTTGCCAGGTAGAATGCACATAGTAAAGATTTGTTGAACAGAGGAATAAAGGAATGAATGATAGATGTGGCTTCTCACGCTCTTAGAGTAACATTGATTGTTTAAAATAGGGTGTTTATTTCAAAAACTCTCTCCTGTGCAGGGATTTTGGTAGCGTGTGGTGTAACCCAATTGCCTCTCTCATTTTGTAAGTCTTTTGGATAGTAAGTGTACGAATCCATCTTAATGTTTAGTACTGTGTTTCTTGACAGACGAATTTAATTTTCAGTGGGCAATTGTAACTAAGCTTTAAAGCATTAAAGAGTTGTTAGTATTTACTTGCATTTATGTCGAATTTTGTTTCCTTTTTTGTTCTCTAAATTTGACTTTTTTTTTCCTTTTCTCAGGTACTCTCTGCCCTTGACATACTCCAACCTCCACACATTGACTATTTTGAAGAAATGTATCCTAACCAGGGAATGTGAAAGAAGGGGACAATTTTTAAAATTAATTTGTTCTTCTAGCACCTTTTGGGGTTCATGCCTTCAAGTATTTTAAATCTCATCCTTGCAGAAGTGATTGAGTACCTGGAACCAGGTAATTTTGAAATCCTGTGTGTCTGGCAGAGCTCAGTATTATCAACATATCCTGTGTGGTGATGCCACAGAACAGAACATCTGAACAGATATTTAATCCCCACACAGCCTTATGAGATAGATTATTACCATCCCCATTTTGCAGATGAAACCAGTGAGGCAGCTGTGTTGTAGTAGAACCCAGGAAAGTGCTTTTACCACTATACAACAGCTGCCTGTCGGTTAAGAGAGTAATACTGCCCTTTATTATAACACTTGGGGTAAGATAGAAATTGTAGAATTAATGTAAGTTAAGTTGTCTTATGTTCCTTAGAATGATGGTGGTGGTAGTGGTGATATTGACATAATAGCCATTACTTATATAGTTTTTATCAGATGCCGGGCACAATTCTAAGCTCTTTACACATGTTTATTTAATCCTACAAACATTCTCTGGGGAAGGTATTGTGATTATTCCCATGTTACAGAAGAGGAAATTGAGGCACAAAAGGTAAGAAAATTGACCAAGATCACAGAGCTAGTAAGTGTGGGGATGGAGATTTGGTTCCAGGTATTCTGACTATGTAGTCTTGCTTTCAGCCCTTACCTATGTGATTCTCAGGCTAGAGCCCTTAACGTTCTCCTGTTACTACTGTTGATGTTTAAAAATAGTATGTTAGACATTGTGAATAATAATGAACTATAAAATAATGTTAAAATAATGCCTGGTGATAGCTCCATGGTAATAATAAAATAATGCATGGTAGTAGCTCCTGGGACTGTGCATGAAAAAAATTGAGACATAAGTTAACCTCCCTGACATTCCTGGGCAAAGTGTCACCAGTTTCCATTCCACATTTAACTTGGTAAAGCTTTAAATAAAAGACAGGAAATCCTAAGTCATTGATTTTGGTAAGCTCATGATAGTGCAGTTTATTCAAACTCTAGGCTTTTTTATTAATACTTTAGGCCTATGACTCAGAATGGAAACCAATGTAATAGTGAGATACTTTTTCTGATTCACCAGTGAGGTAATGAAAATCTCATTCTTACACAGGGGGTTGGTAATTCCATATGAGATTGTTATCTTTGATAACTTCCTAGAAAATAGGAACAATTAAGAGCTTCCCAAGAGAACTAAGCTGGGTAAGGATTTGGGAAACCTTATATGGTAATAGAATTGTCACTGATCAACACTGCTGGGATGTTTTGATCTTTTAAACCAAAAGCTCTTGAATGCTAGTCAGCCCTCCATAGATGTGAAACTGCATCCATGGATGAAAAATATTTGAAAAAAAAATAAAAATAAAAAAATAAAAAGTATAGTGGGCACAGTGGCTCACACCTGTAATCCCAGCACTTTGGGAGGCTCAGGCAGGGTGGGCAGATCACTTGAGCCCAGGAGTTGAAGACCAGCCTGGGCAACATAGCAAGGCCTCGTCTCTACCAAAAATACAAAAAAAATTAGCTGGGTGTAGTGGCACATGCCTGTAGTCCCAGCCACTCAAGAGGCTGAGGCAGAAGGATCAGCTGAGCCCGGGAGGTCGAGGCTGTAGTGAGCTGTGATCACACCACTGCACTATAGCCTGGGCGACAGAGTGAGACCTCGCCCTCCCGCCAAAAAAAAGTGATACAAATTAAAAAGCAATATAATGACTACTTACATAGTATTTATATTTTATTAGGCATTATAAGTAATTTAGAAATGATTTAAAACATACAGAGGATTGGATACAGGCTATATGCAAATACCACACCATTTTATATAAGGGACTTGAGCATCCATAGATTTTGGTATCCTCCAAGGGTCCTGGAACCAATCCCCCTTGGATACTGAGGGGAAACTGTAATCTTTGGTGATATTTTAATCCACAGATCCTTTATGGAGTTAATCCTTTTGTGCAGTGAAGGGTTATTGGACTTGGGGTGCCCCAGCTCTGCACATTCCAAAGAAAAGACTGTCCCTTGACTGGTTCCTGGCTGACAAGAATGTCTTTGTATAGCTGAAACCTTGAACCTGGCCAGATGGTTCTGACAAACTCTTATTTTAAAAGTACAAAATTAACCTAAGGGTAGAAGGATTGAGAAAGTTCTTTTCTCCTCAACTGTAGGTCAGTAGTAGCAACTGAGGAGAAAGCATTAATGATTCCATTTCATAGACTTCCTGAAGATTACCTGGGTCTTCATTGAAGAAAAGGAGAGAGCTGGTGGGAATGGATCACCACTTGTTTCATTCAGCAGAAGTACCTTCTTATACCTGGCCAGGAGCTACCCCTCTTTATTCTTTTTAGTTGGTGGGAAAGAAATCCATATAGTAGCATTCCTATCAGTGTGTAGTACTGTTTCTGTCTCTTTGGAAATGAAGTTGCTGAAACCAAACCTTAAAATTAGAAGAAATTTCCTTTATTAAATATGAATTTTGCTATATTTTAGCATGTGTTGGGGGTTCCCAAGACCACCCTCAGGCTCAGTGATTCGCTAGAAGAACTCACAGGACCCAGAAAAGCTGTTATTCCCTTGGTGTTCAAGGTTTTTATTGTGGGTCAGTCACATAGGCATGGAGCACCCATGTGAGTGACCTTAGCTGCCGAGTCTCCAGCCCTCCTTTTTCCCTTCCCCTCCAGAGGTCAAACTAATATGGCGTAGCCCAAGGCCCCAGACAAAGACAGGTATTCACCGTATATCATATTGTTAGCATAAACTATCTGGCATGCCCAAAGCCCCAGGTATACTAAGATACTATTGTCAGGTGGATATTGCAGTGGCCCAGAGGTTATTTCCTAGAAGTCAGGGGCCAGTCTTGAAGACTTTCGGAATGTGCAGGGTTTGGACAGCCCAGGTCTGCTGAGTTAACCCTTTACTGCACATAGGCCATATGTGAAGAAAGAATGTTTCCATGTAAGATAATTGGTGAATGTGGATATATTGAATAAATGCCAAAGATATTTAGGTTCTCTTCATTGAACACTTAGTTAATTCATTATATCCATTTTCTACCTTATAGTTCAGGCACATATTGTTTATATCAGGCATTAATTTTGGTACTTGGTTTGAAAACTGTGTATGTGCTTCTGTAAGATAAGAGTTCTCAGTCACTTATTATTATTGGCCATAATTTAATTGAGTCTAGGAGATCTTTGATTCATCATTATTTCAAATACTTACAAAACAGAGGGAAAGTTAGCATAGTTATGGTTTAAAACCATGAGTGATATAGGTTAGTAGCTGTTGGTAGCAAATTTCAACCCGTTTCATCAGTTAGAATGTTTCTTTGAAATTTTCCTCCTCAAAATTGTTCGCAGATGTTTAAGTAAAGAGCCTTTGTCAAAAAATATTCATGGAACCCTCTGGTATACCATTTACTTAAATGTTTTATTTTATTTCATCCTATCATATCACTTAATTTTTTAGCTTCAGGTTAAAAAATTGACACATTACTCTCACAGTAATTAGCTGACTACAGATGGAAAAATCAAATCTTTCAAACCTAAACTTCAGTAGTCTTCTGTTTTCTGCCTTATAATTCTTAGCTACATGTAGAAGTATGCATAGAAAAAAGGTAAGCATTTTCCAATAGTGGTGTCAATTGGAAAAAACTGAATCCTTTTAACATAAAAAGGAATCATACCTATAGCAGCCACAGGATTATAAAGACTTTTTAGGAAGGAATGATTTAGCTTGGAGTACAAGATACTGAAAACTTGTATTATAGAACAACTATTAAATGAAAATGTAAGAAATACCTTAGTTACATATATGTTCTGCCTTCACTGCTGATTCTTTTAGTGTCCTAAATGGGAAGTTTTCCATGTCCTTTGTTTTGTTTTGTTTTGAGACAGAATTTCGCTCTTTTTTGCCCAGGCTGGAATACAATGGCATAATCTCGGCTTACTGCAACCTCCACCTCCTAGGTTCAAGAGATTCTCATGCCTCAGCCTCCCAAGTAGCTGGGATTACAGGTGCATGCCACCATGCCCGGCTAATTTTGTATTTTTAGTACAGACGAGGTTTCACCATGTTGACCACGCTGGTCTTGAACTCCTGACCACAGGTGATCTGCCGCTTTGTTGGCCTCCCACAGTACTGGGATTACAGGCATGAGCCACTGTGCCTGGCCATGTGTCCTGTGTTTTTGATACAAATAAATTTGTTGTAGCCAAAGCAAAAAAAAAAAAAAAAAAAATTCCTCAGTTTCCTCTTTTTTTCTCCTTGAAAAATAAAAAACCTATTACCTAAAACATAAAAATATTAAAGATTAATAGGACCTCAAGTTACTATATGAATTCAGCATACTATATTATCTATGTCAGCAGCTCCCTCTGTAGTGTCTCCGAAATATGGCGCACACATTACAAATGGCTTTAGATGTTTTTTAATTTGGAGGATTATTGTGTCTACAGATTTTACAGTAGATAATATTTTGAATTTTAAATAAGTGATCCTGGAATTATGCTTTTAAGAAACTATTTTTGAGGTCTGTATGAAGTGCTATTGTTTTAGGCAAGTTCTTAGTATATCGTTATACATCTAATGGGTTCTTTAATACTTAGTTGAATGGGTCAGTACATCGAGTCAAAAATATATATTTATATTACTTAAGTTGTGAGGGAAAATAAATAATCCTAAGTAATTATCCACTGTACATAAAGTACCACATCATTACACTTTTTCTAAGATTAGAAAAATTGGGATATATATCACATATTCAAGTTTTAATAGACAAACATTTTAAACCAGCAGGCGCTTTTAAACCTAATATAATAGTTAATATAATTTTAGAAAATTTGAGTTCTGTGTGCATTTTGATGTAATCAGATGTAAAGTAAGAGTATCGGTGTATAGTATCATGCAGTTAATCATGTATTTCCTAAAAGAGACTGAAACTGTAATAAAATTATTATGCCAGTGCTCACCAAAAATTTAGTGTGGGTTTTGAAACACCATGCATTTTTAGATAACTCCTTGAAGCAACAAAAAAAAAGTCAATATCTAGACTGTAAGTTTTTATAAATCTGCCTACAGGGTTCAACAGATGTAGGGCAAGTCAGATGTGAAAGGAGCAATAAATTCTATCATGACCTCTGTATCTTTTAACTTTTTGTCTTCATAGTTTTTAATCTATCTAGGAAATATATTATTTAATAATTTTAAAGATTATATATTTTTCTGAGCTGATGTTAGCTTTTAAAGGATTACATTTTTCATTTTGTACTTTGAGTTTCTATTTGGAAATCTGTATGCAAACAGTTTGGTACTTAATTACTTTGAGCCTACTGAAATTTAAATCAAGAGAAACCAGTTCTAATTGTTTATTAGAAAACGGAGTTTATTATGCTTCAGTCAGGATTCTGGATGCTCTACAATGCACATTAACAGGCCCCTTCCCAGAAAGCACTAGTTACCTACAGGGTTGGAAATAAAAATTTGGTCTGCTTTGGGAAAAGCTTATTTTTAACTTGAAGCATAACTTAGCATTCTATGAAGACGAACATGGGTGGTGTGAGTCTTCTATGCTAGAAGCAATTACATTCTAAACTCAGTGGAAATGAGAAGTCTAGTGGAGTGTCCGTACACGCTGGTTTGTTGGGACAGTCTTGGATTTTACTTGATGTTCTGGCGCAATTATTGTGAAGTTCTCACTCTCAGAAGTGTCACTGTTTGGATGATAGGTTTTGCTTGTGCAGGCAGTGTTTTAAATAGGAATCTCTTGTCATAAAGACAGTGAGGAAACCTGTGTGTCCATTTCAGCCAGTAAGAGTCTCTAGTGCTTTGAAGCAGCTCTGTAACCCTCAGGGAATCTTAGGAGTCATTAAAAAACTAAGAACAATGGAAACAAAATGCATATATGCTTATGTAAGTGTACTCTTTCTTCAATAATGGTACTACTAAGGACCAGAAATCTATATCCTGGGAGCTTTGAAGATTCCCATATTGTAAGAACTTCCTATTCATTTATTGCATAAACATAAGCATCAACTGTGTTTCCACATTCAGGAAATTCTGTTTTATTCATTGTTACACTGCCAGTACTTAGAACAGTACCTGACATAAAGTAGGTACAAAATAAATATTTGGTAAATGAACCAATAGATGATTTCTGGTCCAGGTTTATAATCTAGTAGAGGATACAATCACATAAATAATGACAATAGTATAGGTTGGAAAGTATACTGATAGAAAAGAACTGGCCAGGCACAGTGGCCCATGCCTGTAATCCCAGCACTTGGGGAGGCCGAGGTGGGTGGATCACCTGAGGTCAGGAGCTCGAGACCTGTCTGGCCAACATGGCGAAACCCCGTCTCTACTAAAAATACAAAAATTAGCCGGGTTTGGTGGCACGTGCCAGTAATCCCAGCTACTCAAGAGGCTGAGGCGGGAGAATCTCTTGAACCCAGGAGGTGAAGATTGCAGTGATCGTGCCACTGCACTTCAGCCTGGGTGACAGAGAGAGACTCCATCTCCCCACCAAAAAAAACAAAAGAACCAAGGTATCCTGAGAGCACTGAGGGGTTCTGATTTTTACTCTTTCCCATTTTAGTTTCCTACTGAATTACTAGAAAATTCATTTGATGATTTAAAACAAAAACAAAAACTTTCACTTACCCACTATCACTGATCCTTTCTCCTTATCTCTGAAGCCTAGAACAGAAATTTAAAGAAAGGAAAAACCAAAGAAAGGTTGATAGAACAATCCAGGAACAGATAAATTCCTGACTTAACCACCATTTTTGTCAGTATCTGGTTAGCCTTGCTTATTCATTCAGCCAAACCTTTAGCACTACTATGTATATGACATTGTACTAACCTCTGGGATGAATACAAAGATGCATTGTTCATTTATTTAATTTTTTTAAAAATGTAATATGTGAGACCCTATCCTAAATTACTTTATTCATATCTCCAATTTATAGATGAAGAAACTATAGCTCAGAGAGGTAAATAACTTGTCCAACGTCACTTAGAAATAACAGAGCTGTGATTTGAACCCATATTGTATAGTCCAATGGGCCAGGAGTGCTCTCAACCCACCATGCTCTGCTGCCTCTTAATGCTTTCCCTGAAGGAAGATACTACAATCAATGGGGCAGAGATGAGCTGTAAAGGGATAACTAACATGTGGTAGAATGTGCCAAAAGAATATAGTGAGGTAGTGTGGGACTTTAAAAGGAGAGATTACTTCAGGCAGAAAAAAACGATAAGGAAACTGTGTGGAGAAAAGACATTTCAGTTGAGCATTGATGGATGAGAAGGATTTGGACAGGTAGCATTGAAGAGGATAGATATTCCAGATGGTGAGAGTAAGTATCAGGAGCATAATTAGGGAATGGTAAATCATCTAGTTGGCCAGAGTTTGATATGCAGAAATAATGAGAAATTAAGCTAGGTGGGGCCAAGTCATGGGGGATTTTGAATGTTGAACTAAGGAAATTGGTCTTTATTCAGTTGACATTGGGCCCCAATGAAAGATTTTTATGATGAAGAATAACAGAATCAGAAATGTACTTTAAAATCTTAACAAGGAGTTTGTATTTGATAATGAAAAGGTTCTGGAAATGGATAGTGCTGATGGTTGCACAACATTGTGAATGTGCTTAATACCACTGAATTGCACACTGAAGCGTGATTAAATGATAAATTTTGTGTGTATTTTACCACAATTTTTAAAAAACACCATAACAAGGACCTGACTGTTGGAGCTGAGAGGCAGTGACTGTCGTGAAAGAAGAACAGAATGATGCTTGGCATTTTCCCAGATGGTTTTTCATGATGCTCAATGTTTGTTTTATGCCCTTTCTAACTTTACCCTCAGCAAAGATGTACCAGCAGGTAATACAAAATATGGTTGTTGCCATTACCTTTAAGGAGTTCATGGTTTAATAGAGATGATAGACAGTTTTCAAATAATTATAGTACCAGAATAATCAATTTTACAATAGAGACATTAACCAAATTGTCTTATGGATAAAAAAAAAAAACCTGCCCTGGACTCCTTCTCTACTCCCCTACCCCACCCCCCAAAAAAGAGCTGGGAAGACTTACCTGCAACTTAATAATTTTCATAGAATAAAACATGTTCAGTAGTCCTTCCTGTATCAATTCGTGTAAGAACAGTTACATATTAGTAGGATAAGTATATTTTCAATATCTCTAGTAACACTTTCATTTTTCCACAAAATTTTAATCCATGTCTAATTCCTGTTCATGGGTCCGTGTAACCCTTTTTGCATAGCTTTTCTAATTAAATAACAATATGAAACAGTGCTAATAGATGGCACAACTAAGTGCATAATAGAATATTCATTCTGTAAGAATTAGAAAGTGGGTACTGTGAACAAATGTATTAGGCACTATGTTGTATCATCTATCTAGACAGAGGAGGGAGATCCTTTTAAATGGACCACTATTTTATTTCATCTCTTTTCAACTCCCGTAAAAAGTACTCAGAAACAGACTCTTTGATATACTTTTCCTAAATTCTTCTTGTAGATTTTTGTTCTCTGTTTATTTTGAATCTTCTCTGTTCTTCAGAACTGTTTCTTTTAGTAACTTTGTCTTTTAGAATCTCCAACCACAAATGAGCTACACTGGTGATGGGTAACACTGAGTAGGTAAGGACTAGCATCTGTAGATTGATGTGTTTAGAGACTTGCCCTCCATTCAAAATGCTGTTGCGGTTGCTTGTAACACTGGTAGCAGTCTGCTCTCAGGTTTTAATGACATCATTTGTGCAGCTTTACAGTAGATCATACTGGAGTAAATGCTCTCAAATTCTATTGAGCAGAAGGACATTTGACACCAAATTGTCTAGATATGGAAGTAAGTTTTTCAGACGTGTTAAGGAAAGGTTACTTGGGTCTAATTTGAAAGCTCATTGTCTTTTGGAGAAAATGTTAATATTCATTGTATTGGCAGTAAGAAGGACGATGAAGTTTACATGACTGATATGTTCATCCCTTACCTTCTGAATGCATTAAGAGATCATCGAAGAATTTGCCCTTTCTCTTCATGAATGAAGAAATTGATACAGTAAAATGTTCCTAATCTATATAGAGGCTCCTCTTTCAAATTTGGTTTTTTATACTCCAAAAAACAGTGACTATTCCAGTCACTTTGGCTTCTGTTCCTCAGCTCTTAATCTCTGGGTTTATGTACATATGCATTTGCTTTGGAGGGTTATGACGGTGGAAGATTAATCACCAGTCTCTGCCATCTATGTTTGACAGACACAGAGCTTGCCTTGCCTTCTCCAGAGCACTTTGTAAAGGAGAGAGCTGAAGTTTAAAATAACATCATTTTCTCTAGAATGCTCTTCTTGTTTTATTACATACATGGTTATAGCCTTAGTGAAAAATACTCATCTGACAGACCTTATGGACTGTAACAATATGTAGAATGACAGCTTTCCCGCTTTTTTCTTTTTTTTCTGGTGATTGGATTGATTTTTTTTTAGTCAGTTTTAAATTACAACTGAGGTAGTTTTAATTTTTGACATTCTATACAACAAATTTGTTACTTTACAAAGAAAAAGAATCTGCCTTTGCCTGGGAAAGAGATTGTCGTATTCAAACGTTTTAACAACATGACCTTTTATTCCATTGATTTCTATAGAGAAGCACAGGCATGCTTCAGAAAAGGTCAGTGATTCTAATTGAAGCACACCGATTTTTTTCTAGTTGCAAAGGCTCCCATGCTTTTTGTTGCAAAGAAGATGATGAGATTTACGGCTGACCATTTGTTACAAGAGAACACAATGCTCTCTGTGACACATTGCTGTTTTTCTTTCATGTGGAAAGCATTGTTTGAAATCAACCATATCTGTAAACCAGATTGTCATTATCCACGCTATTCAATGCCCTCACTTTTATTTCAGATCAGCCAGTTTCATATCTGAGTACTAGGCTGAAACTTCCTTCCCCTGTGCACCTGATTTTGGAAGAAAAAAAAAACGAGCAGGAGATTTTATTAAGTCTCACACATTTATGGCTGTAGATTCTTTTTTCAGACAGGAATGGCAGGATTTCAGAATTTGTGCTTAAGGTGCCTAAGCATGTTAGTGTTTAAAGTGCTTAACTGTGTTATTGCTTAAGCATGTTTTAACTGTCATTCATATACTTGTCATAAGAGAATCTGTGGCTTGAGGGGGCCAGGCTTGGGCATCTATGTACTACAGTTTATTAAACCAAATTTACTATGTCTTTTGGAAAAGTCACCTGACTCATATTTGTTCCAATATATGTCACATTGAAGATGAAAACTTTTTTTTTTTTTTTTTTGAGACAGATTCTCACTCTGTCACCCAGGGAGAAGTACAATGGCATGATCTTGGCTCACTGCAACCTCCACCTCCTGGGTTCCAGCAATTCTCCTGCCTCAACCTCCTGAGTAACTGGGACTACAGGCACATGCCAGCACACCAGGCTAATTTTTGTATTTTTAATAGATACAGGATTTCACCATGTTGGCCAGGATGGTCTCGCTCTCCTGACCTCATGATCCGCCCGCCTCGGCCTCCCAAAGTGCTGGAATTACAGCCATGAGCCACCATGCCCAGCCAAAGATGAAAACTTTTAAAAAAGGATTGTAGAACCTTTGACCAATATGGGACCTACTTGATAAATATTTAATATTGTAAGATTTCTTTTTTTGTAATCTGGCTTAGCATTAGTTTCTGTCCATATTAAATGAAAAAAGAATGATTAAGTTTCCATTATCTGAAATAGTAAAGAGAGTTTAGGAATTAAAATAGGGTTTTCAAAGCTTTCTGTCCATATTCATTCTGTAGGAAATAATTTGATACAACATGTTGCCATTTTGTTTTCCCAACTCAGATAAACCAATTAAATATCTTTATTTTGCTATCTGAAAGTTTTTAACGCATCATTAGAACGTCATACAGCATCAGTAGCTCATTGCACTTGGAATATTAAATATGTTCTCAGACTTCAGTTGAGCAGGGAAGCCAGCCCACTATCTTTCTGAACTCTAGATGGCAAAAGCTTTTGACCTGATAGTTTTTTACATAAGACAGTATCACAACTTTTCACACATACGCACAACTTGAACTGTCCACAATGGTTAGCTGTCTGTTATTAAAAGCGTTTATTCAGCAGTGCCTTATTATGACATATTTATACAACACCTTGTCATCGGTAAGCATTTATTTGTAATACTTTGTAAATTCTCCCAGTTCTTATTGACTCTCTAAATGCTATGTAATGAATCAACTTTATTTTTCTTCTTTTTTTCTGAAGGGTGTGAAAAATGTAAGTCATAGACTATGTTGGCAGGCCTGAACATGGGAAGATAGAAAATTGACCGCCATCTACATACGACATAATTTTCTGCTTCAGCCTGAGATCCCAAGAACCACTCCCCTTCCTATGCCATGTAGTAAAACTCACATCACCTCTTTTAGTTCATTTAAAAGGCCTTCCTGTCTGCATAAAGATGATTTAGTGTGTAGCAAATCCTGAGATTGTTTTAAAGCACTGTTTAAAGTTCAAACTCAACAGCTGGATTTTTTTTCCCTCTGCTTTGAAGAGAGTCACTATAGTTGGAACAACTTATTCACGCTAGCTCTTTGAAACACCTGTGTTCCAGGTGAAGCCAAAAAAAAAAAAAAAAAAACTAAAGCTTGAATCTAGTCTTTTCACCTCTCCATTAAAAAATAAATATATCTCTAAAACTTCCCAGCTGGTGGGAATGAAATGCTGTCAGTGCTCCCAACTGTTAGAGGGTAATATTGAATAATAACAAAGCCACACTTAATTTGAGCTTCTGAAAAGCCTCATAACCTCATTATCATTCTCCTGAACTGCTTAACCTTCTGGTTAACCTTCTGATTATTAACCTCTTGACATACTTAATTCAGGTGTGAGAGTTTAGCGAAGCTCATGGGACTGTATTTATTTGATCTTTTTTGTCATGTCCCACTGTGTTGACTTTATTTTTTAAGATTGCTAGACACCAGGAGGCATGTGTTAGGTGGAGACCTAGAGGTTTCAGAAGCCACTAAATATATCAGACTTGCCATAATTGGAGGATATGGTGAATCAGTGGGGCTTTTAGGCACTTCATAGACCAGCTGAGTCTCCTGCTATCAACCCAATTTATTTGAGAGCAGTACCTCAGGAAACTTAATAGACCTGTAGCACACTAGCACAAATCTGGATTTTAGCCAGAGTACAGTTTATTTATGTGCTGCTTGTATTATTTTGCTCTCTGCATATTCTATGCCTGTCATTATTAAGTATTAATCAAAAATATTGAATTGTATCTTTGGCAGTGGGTTTAAAAATTACACGTTTAATTGATAGTTTACATCACTTAGAGGTGGCAAGAGAACCAGATGGTAGAAAATAGGATCAGGTTGAAGTGGCATTTTTTTTACCAAAGAAAATATGATTTGCATGAGTAAGCAAAGTTTTGGGGTTTTTAATGTGTGCTTTTGTTTTGGGGGGATATGGGGACTATTAATCAGTTATAGAATATTAATCCTTTTCTGTAATTAGGGTTAAATATGAAGAATACTAATCTGATAGGTAATATTTATCACTCTGAGCTCAAGACTAAGAAACGCTTCAGGTTATTAACCCTTTACCAAAACCAGGAGTTACCTTCTGTAGAGGTTCTCAGAGGTCTCACAGAAACTAGTACTTTTAATTGTTCCCTCAAGTTCCCATCTGTCAAAAATATGTCCTGTAGAAAACCTTTCTTGGTGTAAGTCAAGGGCTTTTTGTCCTTTGAGTGAATGAGTAAACTCTAAAGGAATGTGACTGTCACGGACATGTTTCTTTGATGCCAAAAACCCTGCATGAGACCACATTAATAAAAAGTGAATAAAGTTTTTCTCCTTCTTCATTGATGATATCCTTTTGAGATGGCCTAGTCTTTCCTTTTGAGATCACAGTGGCTTAAAGGAGCATTTTTTTTTTTTAAAGACAGTCTCACTCTGTCACCCAGGCTGGAGTGCAGTGGCATGATCTCAGCTCACTGCAGCCTCCACCTCCAGGGTTCAAGGGATTCTCCTGCCTCAGCCTCCTGAGTAACTGGGATTACAGGTGCCCGCAACCACACCTGGCTAATTTTTATATTTTTTAGTAGAGACAGTGTTTCACTGTGTTGGCCAGGCTGGTCTTGACTCCCGATCTCAGGTGATCCACCCACCTCAGCCTCCCAAAGTGCTGGGATTACAGGCATGAGCCACCGCACCCAGCCAAAAGGAGCTTTTTTGAGTGGTTGCCAGTTTCTTTGTTCCTTATATTCTTTTGCTTTTTTCCCTGGGGAGAATGTTGGAAAGAAATAGGGGCACATTCATACATTTTGAAAAAGGCCATGGACTTTGATATCAGGCAGCTCTGAGTTCAAATCCTGATTTTTTTTCCTCCACTTACTAGCTTTTTGACCTTCAAAAAGTTACTTGATACTCTTCCCTAAGCCTCAGTTTCCTCAATGATAATGGAGATGATATTCTTACTCACAGTTATTTTAAAGGAATAAATGAATTAATGTACGTTGAACATTTGGCATACCACCTAGCATGTATTGATGTTTTAAAAAAAACTCATTTCCCCTCCTCCCTCATATAACGATGTTGATGATGATGATGATGATGATGACGATGATGATGATGATGATAGCAGCTACCACCTAAATCGTTTTCTGTGTGCCAGGCATTTATATGTGATTCTAAATCCTAGCAGTAACTCTGTGTAGTAGGTGTTCCTGTACCTGTTTTATAAATGCAGGAACAGACTCAGAGAAGTTATTTAACTTGCCTAATGTTATCAAGCTACTAAGTGGCAGAGTCAAGATTCTAACCTTGGTCATTTTGATTCCAAAGCCTACAACAAACACACCGCCTCCCACTGCTGAACCTGTTAACTCCTTATTTTAAAAATCAATTTCCAGGCCTTCTCCCTCCTGAAGTAGAATTGTTTTGTTCTTACCTCTTTTTTTAGTTTTCTATTTTTGAAGTTTACTTTATCTTTTGAAGGACAGAGTACAAGAACGAGGGCTGTGATCTAGTGCCACGTCCGCTGCACACTAAGACCTTTGACTAATTTCTTTACCTCTCTAAACCTCTTTGCTCTGTATAATGGGAACCCATAATGGGACTTACTTCTTACAGTAATTAGGAGTAGGTGAGGCAAAATAAATTTAAAGCTGGATGCCTAACACATAGAAAATTGCAGTAAATTTCAGCTGTTTTCAGTCAGGCTTCTTTGTTCATTTACATTAAAATCTTTTTGCACCTTCTTGCCCTCTCTCCTTGATTTTTACATGTCAATGTCAGTCTTTTTCCAACCTCTTGGCTGTTGCCTTGCATTCATCCATCTTTTTTCTCAGTCTTGTCATTGAGTTAACATGTTCTCTACACCCACTTAGTACCCAGTCAGTGTTTATTGATGCTAATGATGATGGTTAAACAAAGATGCTGTTGGCACCAGTCCTGAAGGCTCTGAGACTCCCTGAGTAATCATGACTTCCTAAAAACAGAAAAGTACTCAATCATCTTATTTATAATTGAAGGTCAGAATTTGATGTCAGCATTTGTTTCTGTGGTGACTGTGTAGCTTTTTCTGAGGAATTACCTTTGACAGTTGGGGTAGTCAGTATTTCTGGTGTGAGGCTGATTATTATGCATTCTTAAATTACTTCCTAAAATAGATGCAGCATCGTATAGGTGGGTTAAACAAATATTGATCATGGTACAGATCTGCTTTAATTGGAGCAAGAGGTCAGGAGAGGCTTATCATTGAGGTGTAGATGGCTGCCAGGCTCTAGATTAGTTACCTGGTCTTCTTGCCCATAATCTTTTTTGCGTCAGAGAAAATTGTACAGGCCTATTTTTAATTCTAAGCAACCCTCTCTGTTCTCTCCCTTTTTGATATCTCTAATATGTTCCCACCTAATGTCCTTGATCTTCAGAAGATGTCTCATTTCTTGCTTTTTCTTGCCTCAAATTCTGTCCTCCATGATAACGTTTTCTTCCTCAGCAAATTTTGTGGGAATCTAGCAGGATGTGCTGCTTGTTATATTTGGGCACTGTCCACTAACAATTCAGCTGCTGACACTGGTTGCATTATTCTAAAGAATGTCATGTTGTTAAGGTTGAATTTAAAACCCATTAATGGTGAGAAGCTTCCATAATTTTAATATCCAGGTTTTTTAATAAAAGAAGGAAAGAAATGGAAAAATAAATTTTAAAGATAAACTTTTATGCAAATGAAAAGCAGATTGTAACCAAATGCAAATAAATACCTCAGTGTGGCATATTTCATTTAGTAGAAAGTAGAAATTGTTAATTTTTACTGTATCTAATGATTCCCAAACTTATATTTTTAACTTTGATCTCCCATCAAAGGCCTGTCCTGTATTTCCAGCAATCTCTCATTTAGACTTTAAAAAGAAATCTGTAAAGGGCTACTAGTCCAAGCCCTGTACCCTGCCCCCACCCCCCCACAAAAAGTAGCCAGGAGTTCCTTTTTTTATATACACATGCACATAAACATTTATACACATTTATACATACGTATGCACTAACTTTTTAGTTCTCATGCACTTAAAAAATATGAGGGGATATGAATCTATTTAAGCATATATGATTCATAAGTGCAGGGAAAATGTTTCTTGTATCGTCAAGATTATTTTTATAATTTGACTAAAGAAGGGTAAGAGGTAAAATACTTGAAGGAAGTGAATACTCAGGAGGTTAGAAAGAGACACTGAGACAAAGAGAATGAGGTAGCAAAATTTGCCTCTTGATTTTTTTAACCTTTTTATTTTTCAGTCATTGGCCAAAAGGGTATCATTATTTGTCAGACATTTCTTCACTAGCAGTTTAGACTTGTTACGTGGAAATAGCCACAAGTTGTTATGAGGATTAAATGAGGTGACCTATGTTAAAAGTGGCACATGGTAAGCTCAAAAATACTTTTCAGCAAACAGATAAATCCTCTGCAAATGTGGGATTATTTCTTATTTTGGTTGTGTTCTGCCAGTAACAGAACTAAGACTAAAATTCAGGTGCTGGAAGAAATGAATAAAAGTACTTGGGTGGATTGAGCAGTTACTTCAGGTGTCTTTGGATTCAATTTCTTCTGAAAGGAAAGACTAAACCTCAAAAAGAGAAAAATTAGTTATTTAGCATAACCTGCTACTTGTGTTGTGGGGATTCATGAAATAGTTCATATGAAGTACTTAAAGAAGTGTCTGGCACATAGTGAGCACTCAATAAATGTCCATTTTATTTTTATTACTTTTCATGTTGTTGTTAAAAAACGTTTTTTTGAGACAGGGTCTTGCTCTGTCGCCAACGCTGGAGTGCAGTGGCAATCAGAGCTCACTGCAGCCTCGAACTCCTGGGCTTAAACTTAAAATCCTTTCACTTTAGGCACAAGTAGCTGGGAATACAGGTGCGCACCACCACACCCAGCTAATTTTTAAATTTTTTTGTAGAGACGGGATCTCTTTATGTTGCCCAGGCTGGTCTTGAACTTCTGGCCGTAAGCAATCTTCCTGCCTCGGCCTCCCAAAGTGCCGGGTTTATAGGTGTGAGCCACTGTATCTGGCTTAAAGAAATTTGTTAAGGATGAACCATTTTAGGAAACCAAATATGAGTGTATGTGTTTTTCATACAGTATAGATAAATTGCCAATTAGTTTGCACATCTAATTCAGAAATTTGTAGGTGCTGAAGAAAGCTTTTTTGTTGATGGTTTCTCACTTGTTGAAATCTCTTTAGTTATTGGAAATTAGTAATTCTAATTTAGAGATTTATCTCTTTAGAAGAATATATCTTTGTTGTGCAACTTTGTTGCTCTTATTCCTGGTGGCTCTATGATGGCAAGTCTGGCTTATTCAATTGAAAATCAGAACCTAAGGAGCTTTATGAGATGAATAGCCATAACAGTGTTGTAATCTTTGAGTGAATTGCAGTTGCTTGTTTAATTGTCTGTCTCCCTTGTTAGGCTGTTGAGTTTCTCAGTGAAAGCAGTGGGCTGTCTTGTACACCACTGCATTTCTAGTACCTAGATTGGCATCTTGTACATGCTGCTATTCAAAATTTGTTGAAGATTGAAGACAGTGACTTCTCATTTGGAAAAAACATGGCAAGGGAAGGAATACTACATTATGTAATACAATACTGATTTTCTGATTTTGCTTGAAGCCTGGTTTTTGCAGCATTCGAGTAATGGCAGTCTCATGTATTTCATTTTCTCTTTTAATAGTAAACAAATTGAGGTAATAGAACTTCATGGAAAGGGTCAGACTTCAGAATCATTACAATCTAGATTTAAATGCAAACTCTGTGTGGAGCAGCGTAACCTCTCCCAGCCTCAGTGTGCTTATTTCTTAAATAGAAATACAGCAGCTATAAAGTAGGTGTTATGAGGATTAAATGAGATCATATATGAAGTGGCACATAGTAGCTTCAAGTAAACATTAATATCCTTTCTCCTTTTCTTCTCCTCATAGCCCATAATTAAGAATAATTCAACTATTTTTTGTTTCATAGAAACCTGCTTATGGTGGTGATATTTGGTTAAGAAATTGGATTAGCAGACCTATAAAGGCAAGTTTCCACGGGAAACAGCTTGGTGGGAGTGGAGAGAGCACTAGACTAGGAGTCAGGAAACCTGAGCTAGTCTTGGCTTTTTACTGACTGGGAATGTGACCTTAGGTAAAGAATATAACTTCTCTAGCCCAAGTTTGTGTTTAAGTGATGTTCTCCAGTGACTAACATGAGAAAGCAGTAAAAAAGCTTGTAATATTGTTTTTAAAAATTAACTCTTTAAAACAATACAGAGACATTGTTACTTCTCTTGGGCACCTGAGACATCAGAGCTACCTCCTTCCCCCGCCCCCACTAAAACACTTGCATCATTCAGGTTTTTTTGAAGCAAATCAGTACATTTGAAATCCATATTTCATGGAGCTACTTAACTAATTGCTGCAATCAGCAGCAATTTGTTTTATAGTAGGGCTGTTCAAATCACTTTGAGGTTGGCATACCATGCACAGTGTGTTTTTAACAATCATATTTTTAATGGCACGTTTAAATAGGAGAGATGGTTAATCTGCTCATATTCTTCTGAAAACCTTAACTTTGGTCCTATAGTTTATCTTCATCCAATGGTAACTTAAAGGGCCATAGCAAATTCATTGACCCAGTGGGTACACCAGCTGTTGGAGTGGCTGTCCCATTTAGAAAGACCAGGAGAGGGAAGGAGCACCCTGTTTTCACTCTTGTTTGGAGACCCTCATTAAATTTCTCAGAAACAATAATCAGATAGATGCTGTTCAAGTTAATGGCACCTCTGAGTCCCTGTCAAGAGAGCTTTATTTAATGTGCAACAGACCTGGAGTGATGCAGGTGTCTTTTCAGGCCCTCATTTAATTTAAGCTGCTTTAGTTGGCATGGCAACTAGTTGAGACATCTGGGAGACATTATGCTGGGGATTGAGACTTCAGAGGATTTCTGCTAGAGCAAAGCAAAAACCGTATCATAAGGTGGTGTGTATTGCTTCTGAATTTTTGAAGCTGTATTGTTAGAGCTTCAAATTCAGGAATTATTTTCCAAAGAAAATTTTAAAATGTTGGCCTGGTTGTCTCATTGTTTTCTATAAAGAAAAAAACTGCATTATTCATGGAGTGAAAAATGTTTTTCCCCTAAGAATTTACTTTGCTAAACTAAAGGTTGACAAAACGTATTCTCTGCAAAGTGGCTGTTTTAATCACTTTATAAAAATCCTATATTTAAAATTTTCCAGTCTTTTATGTTTAAAAGATACTAAAGAAAGGGAAAGCATTTCTGCACAAGGGTAAATGGAAAATGGTAGAGGTAGATAGGAGCTCTGTGTGTTTTGCCCTGAACTTTCCAGTTAATTAAAGTTAATTAACCTGTCCCTATTTTTTAACCCAACCTGTCATCTTCTCAAGAAGCAGAGATATAAAAGTAGCATTATTTTAAACTCTCCTTTCTTAAACATTATAATAGATAATAGAAGGTTGAATGAAAGGTTTTTGAAGTTCATGGATCCTGAAGATAGTGACATAAGTGATGTAGTCATTTGTGCTTAGGAGAGGGAATGCCTGCTAGTTTATATTTTGTGAGAAATTATGTACGTGTGTATGTGGTCTTAGTATGAAGGAATTGACTTACCATTTGAAATCATGCTTTATATTCATTTTGAATACCTTTTCAGTTTTTTGATATCTGGTAATACTTTGCTCTGTGTTAGTTGAATTATATGAAAGTGTTACTGTTGATCAAAAATAGTTCAGTTTGTCCATTCAAATCCCACAGGTATAGGGTGAGCAACACCCTGACCTGATAGGTTTCATAATGCTAGATGAAATGTCAGATTTCTTTTTCTGAAACGAGTACTTAGTTATAAAATATCTGCTTAGAACAGTACTCCCTCCAGTCACTTTTCCATTTTCTCCTTTCTTTGAAAATGTAGTCACTGTTAGAATAAAGCATATGACATTATTTCATACTTACTCTGTTTTTGGCTTTTGTATCAGTTTGTTTCGTTTATAAATTTATAAGTCAAAGCAAGATTTTCCAAGTGCCAGCACTATGATTTCAACCTGATAAACTTGAAAATTAAGATGTTTTCTCTCCGCTGCTTACGAGCTACCAACTGTCACTACTAACAGTAAGGATTCTGGCATCACAACTTGGCTGCCAATTTTGTAGATATGTGAAGCAGAATAGAATATAACCTGTTCTTCGCATCCATGCAAGAACTCTTCAATCCTGGCAAAAGCAAAAAAAAAGTCAGTAAACTCAGCAGATCTGGCTGACATCCCATACACATAAATGCTTTATACTTTTTTTTTTTTGAGATGGGGACTCAACTCTGTCACCCAGGTGGGAGTGCGGTGGTGCAATCATGGCTCACCACAGCCTCGACCTCCTGGGCTCAAGTGATCCTTCCACCTCAGCCTCCCTAGTAGCCGGGACTACAGGTGCAGGCCACCATGCCCAGCTAACTTTATTTTTTTTTGTAGAGACAGGGTGTCATTAAGATGCCCAGGCAGGTCTTGAACTGCTGAGCTCAAGTGATCCTCCTGCCTTGATCTCCCAAAATGTTGGGATTACAGGCATGAGCCACCATGCCTGGCCATTGGTACGTCAGGATTTTTTTATTTTTTATTTTTTATTTTTTTTTCCTGTATAAAAGCTCAAGTTTCGGCCAGGCACAGTGGCTCATGCCTGTAATCCCAGCACTTTGGGAGGCCAAGGCGGGCAGATCACCTGAGGTCGGGAGTTCAATACCAGCCTGACCAACATGGAGAAACCCTATCTCTACTAAAAATAGAAAGATTAGCCAGGCGTGGTAGCACATGCCTGTAATCCCAGCTACTCAAGAGGCCGAGGCAGGAGAATAGCTTGAACCTGAGAGGTGGAGGTTGTGGTGAGCCGAGATCATGCCATTGCACTCCAGGCTGTGCAACAAGAGCGAAATTCCCCCTCAAAAAAAAAAAAAAAGCTCAAGTTGACAACTGTCTTAGTCCATTCATTCTGCTATAACAAAATACCATAAACTGGGTGGTTTATAAACAACACTAATTTACTTCTGACAGTTCTGCAGGCTGGGAAGTCCAAAATCAAGACTTGGTGTCTGCCGAGGGCCCATTTCCTAGTTGACATTCTTTAACTATAACCTAACATTGTGGAAAGAACTAACAAACTCCATTAGGTCTCTTTTATAGAGAGGCTCTGACCTCATGACCTAATCACCTCCCAAAGGTCCCACCTCTTAATCACATCTATTTGGGGGTTAGCATTTCAACCTATGAACTTTGGGGAAGACACAGATGTTCAGAACATAACAAAACGCTTAATGCAGGGATGGCAATTGTGAAATTTTTATTTTTGTTTTGTTGTTTGGGTTTTTTCTGTGTAATGGTCCTTTGTTTCCTCTCCCTTGACAATTCTGGAACCAGTGCAACTCAAGAATATTGGGACTTCTGATTAAGACTTAAAGGTGCAAGTAGCAATTTTTTATGTCACCATCCTGTGATTTCCTAGTGGAAAAGAAATTTTTGGTACATACTAGCGGGTTAACATCCTTAATATGAGAAACAGTATTACAAAAAAATTGTCACCCTAGTAGAAAATTGAGCAAAGGACAGGAACAATTTGCTGTCAGTCTTGGTTTTCCTTTTTTTTTCTGTCTCTCATGGTCACACATATGTGTGGCCAATAAACATGTAAAGAGTTTTCAACCTTAAAACACAGTGGATAGAACATAAATCTTTACTACCATTCCTTCCTGTAGTCCCCTTAAATTTCACTAAAGGGTTAAAAATTCAGTCTAGAAAAGGCAGAAATCTAAGCTGGCAGTAATGAGAACCCAGAAACAGGTTGATTCTTGCTACAGAATGTCAGAAAGTCTCAGGAATTGGAGGCATCAAGTATCTCAGAAAGTGGGGATACATGTGGGCCTAAACATCGGATTGGTTGCAAGCCTGTTTAAGAAGTAGTACGATGCTCAGATCTTCTTCCCTCACCCTGCTGGAGACTAAAAGTTTATTCCCTGGACACCCACTAACATAGAATTCTGGCAGCCTGACCTATTCATCCTAAGAAGAAAGATTGGAGGACTCTTCTGAATAAATGATTAACCCAGGAAGGAGGATCTGTACATAATTGAGGGTTCCTCATGAAATAATACCTTAAAGCTCTAAGCACTCCCACAGAGCTACATTATAGTGAAACAATAATATTGTAAACATCCAGTGGCAGGAGATGACTTAACTCCTGACATATTATGTAAAATGGAGTACTATTTAAGCATTTGAAATGATATAAAAGAATATATATAATACCATGGAAAGAGTTTACAGTATTTTAAAACTTTTTTAAAGTATATGTAATATCCTCACATACACATAAAATTCTATATATAGGATGTTTATCTCAAGGTTATTTAAAATAGTTAAAAATAGGCCAGTCTCAGTGGCTCACACCTGTAATCCCATCACTTTGAGATACTGAGGTGGGCAGATCACTTGAGGTCAGGAGTTCAAGACCAGCCTGGCCAACATGGCGAAACCCCATCTACTAACAATACAAAAATTAGTCGGGCATGGTAGCATGTGCCTGTAAGCCTAGTTACTCAGGAGGCTGAGGCATGAGGATCGCTTGAACCTGGGAAATGGAGGTTGCAGAATTATGAGCCAAGATCACAGCACAGCACTCCAGCCTGGGTGACAGAGCAAGACTCCATCTCAAAAAATAAAATAGTAAAAAATAAAATTAGAAATAGCTTTTTAACAATGATCACTTGGTTAAATGAATTATAATATAGCCACACGTTAGAACACTATGCAGTCATTAAAATTCTGCATTATTAAACCATTGAATGGGATAAGCAAGGGATTCCCTTGCTTGTTTTGTTTTTAGAACCTTATATTTTATTAAAAGAACAGGCAACAGCAGAAAAGTTAAAAGGTCATTAAAAAGTCAGGAAACAACAAATGCTGTAGAGGATGTGGAGAAATAGGAACGCTTTTACACTGCTGGTGGGAGTATAAATTAGTTCAACCATTGTGGAAGACAGTGTGGCGATTCCTCAAGGATCTAGAACTAGAAATACCATTTGACCCAGCGATCCCATTACTGGTTATATACCCAAAGGATTATAAATCATGCAGCTATAAAGACATATGCACACGTATGTTTATTGTGGCCCTATTCACAATAGCAAAAGACTTGGAACCAACCCAATGTCCATCAGTGATAGACTGGATTAAGAAAATGTGGCACATATACACCATGGAATACTATGCAGCCATAAAAAAGGATGAGTTCATGTCCTTTGCAGGGCCATGGATGAAGCTGGAAACCATCATTCTCAGCAAACTATCACAAGGGCAGAAAACCAAACACCGCATGTTCTCACTCATAGGTGGGAATTGAACAATGAGAACACTTGAACATAGGGCAGGGAACATCACACATCAGGGCCTGTCGGGGGGTGGAGGGCTGGGGGTGGGATAGCATTAGAAGAAATACCTAATGTGAATGATGATTTGATGGGCGCAGCAAACCAACATGGCTCATGTATACCTATGTAACCTGCATGTTGTGCACATGTACCCTAGAACTTAAAGTATTAAAAGAACAATGTATATAATACCAGTTTTATTTTAAATATACATGTATGTACCCATGCACATTAGTTTCATCAAAATGTTCTAAATTCACCCAAAGAGGTAGAATTCTGGATATTTTTAATATTCTTGCATTTTTTTATAATTTCCATTTTCTACAATGAAGTTTAAGAAAACTATTAAGGAAATTTTCAAAATATACAAAAATATATACAAAATATGCAAAAATATATACAAAAATATAAGAGCCAGTAGTATATAAGTATATAACTTGCGTACCTCATGCTCAGCTTTAACAATATTAATCATTTTGCCAATCTCATTTCCTCTATTCTTTTTTATTGAGGGGAAGGGAAAGGAGGGCTGGAGTATTTTAAAGTAGATAACCAAACATCACATTATTCCACCTATAAATACTTAAATGTGAATTTCTAACAGATAAGTACCTTGAAAACAACAATTATGCCATTATCACACCTAATAAAATTAGCTAATTCCTTAATATCTGTTGTCTGATTGCCTCAAGAGTCACTTTTTGAATAAGGTTCTAAACAAAGTTCACACGTATGTATGGTTATTATGTCTCTTGAGTCTCTTATCCCAAACATTTCTGCCTGCCCTTCACCCCGCAACACACACTTTTTTTGTGGGAGGGGGAGGGGGATGGTCATTGATTTGTTAGATAAATTTTTCCTGAAGAATGATCCACGTTGTGTGTTTAGTAGATTGCTTCTTCATAATGTCTTGTTTTTTAATTCCACATATTTCTAGTTAACTGGTCATTAGAGCTAGATGATTGATTACATTCAAATTAAGTTTTTTGGGACATGAATAATTCTAGGCAGTGGTGTGCATATCACAAACATAATATTCTTGTTCCACATTAAATTATGCTAAGATTGAGTGGTGGATTGAAGTGATGTCAGTCTCACACTCATCCTTTTCAAGTGGTTTTACCAGCCATCGATGGTGCCTAGCTCCAGAGATTGCAAAACCGTGGTTTTTTTTCTAATTCTGTAATTGTTTCTGCATTTATTGGTTGAAATTATTCTATAAAGAACATAGTGAACATTTAGTCTATTTTGTGATAGTTGTGGGGGGTTTTGTTTGTTTTTGAGACAGGGTCTCACTCTGTCACCCAGGCTGGAGTGCAGTGGCAAGATCAGGGCTCACTGCAACCCCTGCCTCCCAGGCTCAAGTGATCCTCCCACCTCAGCCTCCTGAGTAGCTGGGACTACCAGCAAATGCCACAATGCTCACCTATTTCTTAAAAAAAAAATTTTTTTTTTTAAGACAAAGTCTTGCTCTGTCACCCAGGCTGGAGTGCAGTGGTGCGATCTCAGCTCACTGCAACCTCTGCCTCCTGTGTTAAAGTTGTTCTCCTGCCTCAGCCTCCAAGTAACTGGGACTATAGGCACATGCCACCACACCCAGCTAATTTTTGTATTTTTAGTAGAGATGGGGTTTCACCATGTTGGCCAGGCTCGTCTCAAACTTCTGACCTCAAGTGATCCACCTGCCTCTGCCTCCCAAAGTGTTGGGATTACAGATGTGAGCCACCGCACCCGGCCTATTTCTTAAACTTTTTATAGAGATGGGATTTCTCCATGTTGCCCAGGCTGGTCTCAAACTCCTGGGCTCAAGCAGTCCACCCTCCTGGGCCTCCCAAAGTGCTGGGGTTACAGGCATGAGCCACCACACCTGGCCTACTTTATTAGTTTTTAAAAATGTTACTTAAAAAAAAGAATAAGAAGATAAATCCAAAATTGCATAGAACCATTGAAGCAATTTTAGACATGATCAGATCTAAAATCTTCACTACTATGTAACCGTAGGTAGGTTGTCTTCTGTTAACGTCAATTTCTTTATCTAAATTTAGGGTACCACTACATACCTTGTAGAGTTACCATGAAAATTAGATGAGATTATCTATTTAAAATACTTAGTAGAGTACCTATACCTAGCAGGTGCTCAATATACATTCATTCATCAAATATTTATAGGGACCTACTATGTGCACTATATTCTAAGAGTTTAGGATAAATTTGTGAACAAAGCAGACAACCCTTGCCTTTATGGTGCAGGCTTGGCAATACAGACAGAGAATAAACATAAGGAAATTACAGGATAATAACTACTAAGGGAAGAAGAAAAAGTAAAGCTGTGCAAGGTGATAGCAAATGGATAGGGAGTACAGGTTGTTACACAAACCTAGATGGTATAGCCTATTACACACCTAAGCTGTATGGTATAACCTATTCCTCTTAGGCTACAAACCTGTACAACTGTACAACATGTTACCGTACTGAATACTGTAGGCAGCTTTAATACAATAATAAGTATTTGTATATCTAAACGTATCTGAACATAGAAAAGGTACAGTAAAAATATGATATAAAAGATAAAAATGGTACACCTGTATAGGGCACTTAACACGAATGGAGCTTGCAAGACTGGAAGTTGCTCTGGGTGTGTCAGTGAGTGGTGAGTGAATTTGAAAGCCTAGAACATTACTGTGCATTACTATAGACTTTATAAACTCTGTGCTCTTAAGCTACACTGTTTATTTTTTTAAAGTTTCTTTAATATAAATTAACCCTAGCTTACTGTAATTTTTTTACTTTCGAAACTTTTTAATTTTGTTAAATATTTTACTCTTTTGTAATAACACTTAGCGTAAAACACAAGGACATTGTACAGCTGTACAAAAATTTTTTTTTCTTATTTATTTATTTTTTCTCACTCTGTTGCCTAGGCTGGATTGCAGTGGTGCAATCATGGCTCACTGCAACCTTGACCTCCCAGGGTCAAGTAATCCTTCCACCTCAGTGTCCTCAATAACTGCTAGGACTACAGGCACAAGCCACCACACCTGGCTAAGTTTTTTGTAGAGTTGAGGTCTGAGTTGCTTTTTTACTTTTTAAAATAAGACACAAACATATACATTAGCCTAAGCCTACACAGGTTTAGTCACCAAGACACCCCTAGGCAATACAATAGGAATTTTCAGCACTGTTACAGTCTGTGGGACCACCTTTATACATGTGGTCCATCATCAACGAAACATCATTATATAATGTCTGACTGTAGTGTCAGAGTGGTTGAGGTAGGCCTCATTTGAAAGATAAAATTTGAGCAAAACCACAAAGGACGTGAAAGAGTTAACCAAATAGATGTCAGGAAGTACAGTCCATGCAGAGGGAATAGCTAAGGCCTAAGGTTGGAGTGTATCTAGCATGTTCAGAGAATATCCAGGAAGAAAGCAATAGAAGAGGTCAGAGAAGGAAGAAGGCCAAATGATTTATGGCCTGTGAGACCATTTTAAGGACTGGCTTTTACTCTTAAATGAAATGGAAAGCTTTTGCAGAAAAGTGACATAATTTGGCCTTCATCCTAAAAGATCATTCTGTGAAATGCATCCAGTTTTGGATGAATTGATGGATGGAAAGAGCAATGGATAGATGTGTGACAAAGCAAATATAGCAAAATATTCAGTGTAGATTCTAGGTGGTAAGTGTGTATATGGGTCATCTCTGCGTAATTTTCTGTGTTTGAAAAATAAGAAAAAGTTGAATAAAAACTATTAAAAACTATAACCCTGATGTCATTATTTAACTCTTCATCATTTTATAGAATAATTTTAACATGTCACTGAAAACTGTCCTGTAAGTGAATCCCACATGCCAAATATCATTTTCTCATTAACTTTCATTATGAAGTAGAATATATTTCTTTGGAAAGAATCTGAGTGATAAAACCTAAGATTAAAATATCTAAGAATGTAAAAGGCTTAAAAATTATATTTTCTATATAATAAAGTAAATGTCAGTATATAGGCAAAATAAAAAATATAACAGTAAAAAAAATTATCCTGGCTGCTGTTTTAGAAATCTAGCAGTCTTGGGCCAGAGTAGTAACAGTGGATATAAGAAGTGGCCTTAATTCTGACTAAATTTTGAAGGATTTCTGATGAATTGGAGGTATGGTGAAAGAGAAACGGGGAGTAAAGGATAACTCCTTGATGTGGTTTGTGGTGCAAGCAACTAAGAAAGATTTGGACAGTTTTGGACTTGTTAGTTTGAAATGTCAATTAGGTATCCAGGGGAAATAGGTAGGCAGTTTGATATACCAGTCTGCACTTAAGGAAAGATTAACTAGAGAGAGAAATTTGGCAGTCTGCAGCATGGATGTTATTTAAAGGCATGGCACTGGATCCGAGTATCCACGAGTGTGGATAGGGAAGAGGAGTGAGGACCAGCAGCCATGGGGCATTTCAACGTACAATGATTGAAGGAGACTAAAGCGATTTGGAAAAAATGTCTCGAGGAGGAGGGAGTTTGAAAACAATTGAAAAACAATTTTTAGTTGTTTTGTCAAAGGCTGTTATTATCAGTTCTCCTCCCTGTTCCCAAGTTATCCCCTTTCCTACTTGTTTTTGCTAAAACATTAAATTAGAAATTGCCTTAAGAAAACTTAATACTTAAATTATAAGATTTACCATACTTTTGCTTCCCTAATGTATCTAACACGTGCTTCACAAGAGTCTTGAATTGCATATCTCCATGGCTCCCCAGGCTCCAGCCTTTAATCATCGGCCATGTGTCCATTCAGCAAAACCCTAAACATACAACAGAGTACAACGTATAGGAAGCTCGCTCGAAATCTAGTGGTGATGGTGGGGAGGGGTGTTTCATAAATATATACAAAGTTAAATAATAAAGGAACTAAATTACTAAGATTGTGGAGAGACTTAACTAATTATTTTACATGTGTTTAGGAATACCATATTTTATAATGTAACAAGCCACAGCCCTTGGATAGGTTGTGATCTTTTCCATTGGTGTCATGGTGGCCTAAGATGAGATCACCAATCCCCATTTGTTTGGATTCAAAGGACATTCCTGTAATATGTCTAAGTAGAGCTTAAGACTGTTTGGTCGTCATACTTTTCCTGGCCTGGCTGTTATTTAAAATGTTTACCTTTGGTTTTCTCTTTGATAATGCTGATTATAAGGAAATCATTTGGTCGTTTACTTCTGCTGACTTTTAAACATGTAAGTTCTTTTGATTTTAGTAGTGTTTTGTGAGGGCTGGAATTCTCACCTCTGTCACGCTGTCTAGAAGCTTTCTTTCCCCACTTTTCCAGCCTTGAGAATGGAAGTTATTTTTTAGATCTGGTCACCACTTTGAGGGGGTAGGGGACTGAATTCGCCGAACTCTCCTTAACTTAAAACTTCAAGATATGTTGTCACAGAATTGATGCAGAGTGACCTACATAAAATTATCGTCTCTCCTCAACCACTCAGCTCAGATCATGTCAAAGTTTTTCTTTATCAGATTTTGCGAGGTAAGATTTCTTTATGAAGAAAAAGGTGCTGTCACACTGTAAATGAAATGTTTTGCTTCTCATTTAGACTTTAATCCGATCTTCCAAGGTTTTCTTCTTCTCTAAAGACTTTTTTCTTTTGACCAAAGCATATTTTATAATTTCTATATTTAATGTTAAAGAGGAAGCTTTTTAGGGTTGCCAAATAGTTCTTGTTTTCAGTGATGAAAGAGAAAGCCCTGTCAAATTCATTAGGCAGTTGAGTGGGCTAATCTAGGTGAATAAGCAGGATGGTTTGTCACAAGTTCACAAAACAGCCTTTAGTTTTCAACGGAATAGGAATATGTGGCATCAGACGACTAAAGTGAAAAGTGACTATATCCCCTATGGATGACGTCCATCCTGCAAGCCAACAGTAGGTGGGCCTGTCTGAGTATTGGCTGGCATACCTGAAGCCAACTCCAGAGAAACAAAATGACCCTTAAAACCAAAGTAGATTGGGAAGACCAATAAACAGAGCCAGCTAAATTCTAGACAGCTCATTAAAGAGCACAGACTTGACTGAGAAAGGATTTGGGCCAACATTATTGACACTTCTTCTGGCCATCAAGTATGTCCATGAGAATTTTGCCATTACAAGTAGAGAATTGCTTAAACCTGAAACAGCTTTCTTACCTAGTAAGCAAAATACTTTCCCCCTGCCCCAGAATTCATAGAATTAAGAGATTCTTTATAGAGATTGAAAAATAAATGCCAAAAGGATGAAAACACATAAGCAATTTTTTTTTCAGACAGAGTCTTGCTCTGTCGCCTAGGCTAGAGTGCAGTGGTGCGATCTCAGCTCACTGCAAGATTCGCCTCCCAGGTTCACGCCATTCTCCTGCCTCAGCCTCCCAAGTAGCTGGGACTACAGGTGCCCGCCACCACGCCCAGCTAATTTTTTGTATTTTTAGTAGAGGCAGGGTTTCACCGTATTAGCCAGGATGATCTTGATCTCCCGACCTTGTGATCCTCCTGCCTCGGCCTCCCAAAGTGCTGGGATTACAGGCGTGAGCCACTGCGCCCAGCCACATAAGCAATATTAAAACTAAAAAACTCACCTCCAGGCCAGGCATGGTGATTCATGCCTGTAATCCCAGCGCTTTGGGATGCTGAGGCGGGCAGATCATCTGAGGTCAGGAATTCAAGACCAGCCTGGCCAACATGGCAAAACTCCATCTCTACTTTAAAAAAATACAAAACTTAGCTGGGCATGGTGGCACTCGCCTGTAGTCTCAGCTACTTGGGAGGCTGAGGCAGGAGAATCGAGTGAACCCAGGAGGTGGAGGCTGCAGGGAGCCAAGATCGCGTCACTGCACTCCATCCTGGGCAACAGAGTGAGACTCCGTCTCAAAAAAAACAAAAACGTTCACCTCTAAGATTTGTTCATATTCTATGGTAGGGGAAAATGGGGAAGATATTGGCTCTTTTTGTACTTGTGAAAAATGTGATTTGCTACATTTTATCCAAAAAAGACTCAGCCCATTAGCCGGATATGGTGGTACATGCCCGTAGTTCCCACTTCTCAGGAGGCTGAGATGGGAGCATGGCTTGAGCCAGGAAGGTCGAGGCTTCAGTGAGCTGTGATCATACCACCACACTCCTGCCTAGGTTACAGAGCGAGACCCTGTCTCAAAAAAAAAAAAGAAAAGAAAAAAAGAAAAACGCACACAAAAAGGACTCAACCTTGAGGCTGGGACCTTTAGCAGTACTGAATGAAGACACTGGTCTTCTAAGATTTCACAAATATTTTTAAAGTGGTTCATTACCCTCTTGATTCTGAGCGGTAAAGAATACTACTGACAGTGTGGGCAAGTTCCTGAATTTTGTTCTATCAGTGAAACATCTGTCCTGGGAAAGGCTCCCTGTAGTAATGGAAACTGTTTTGTTGGAGCAGGCTCCGAGTTGCAGGTTAAGAGTATCAATAGCAGCAGTCCAATAGCCACACTGACTAGCAATCTAAGGTTATTAGTATGGTCTTAACTCGAGTGCCTAAGAAGCTTATCTGTATTTAAACCTACATAATTGTTTAAATTATAGACATTATCTCTAGACTTTGCAAACCTTTGGTGACATTTTATTTTACTGTAGCAAAATTACGGTATTTTGAGGTGGGACTAGCTTTTAATAATGTTCATTATGCAGTTATTTAGGGAACAATTTTAAATCCTCTACTGTTTTCTTCCAAGGTTTTTTTTAAATTATTGGTTGAGTAAAAGGAATTAAATATCTGCAATTAAATCTGTTTGTTATTTCAGGTTTGAAATATCTCCATTCAGCTGGCATTTTACATCGAGACATTAAGCCAGGGAATCTCCTTGTGAACAGCAACTGTGTTCTAAAGGTAGCTTTTCAGTTTATTTAAATACCTGGGAAAAATCAGAATGTCAGGGCAGGTTTAAGAACAACATATTTTTGTGAAAGAAAGAAGTTCATTTCCATTACTTTACCAAAAGTTAACCCAGTTTTCTCCATATCACTACTCATAGCCATGGTAATAATTTGTAGTCCTGCCTCATGTTCTTTTCATGATATTTGGCCTATGTTTTAGAAACACTGAAATTGGAATTGTAGTGTAACTAGAAAGAAGAATAGACAAGGTGACTCCTTTACAGCTTGTTCCATTATTAAAAGAAGTGCATATCAGAAGAAATATTAGAACAGCAAGCATCTGTTTATATAAGAGAATGAAGTGTGACTTTTAGGAAGACCATTTACATTTTTACACAGCTAACATATCTATATGCTGTTTGACCAAGGTAGCAAAGTAAGAAGTAGAAACATATTTAAAAGGGATAGTGCTGGCCAGACACGGTGGCTCATGCCTGTAATTCCAGCATTTTGGGAGGCTGAGGCGGGCAGATTGCTTGAGCCCAGGAGTTCAAGACCAGCCTGGGCAATGCAGCAAAACCCCATCTCAATAAAAAATTCAAAAATTAGCTAGGTGTGGTTGCACATGCCTGTAGTTCCAGCTACTCAGAAGGCTGAGATGGGAGGATCACCTGAGCCCAGAGCGTGAAGGCTGCAGTGAGCTGTGATCACACCACTGCACTTCCACCTAGGTGACAGAGTGAGACCCTGTCTCAAAAAAAAAAAAAAAAAAAGTGAAAATGCCAAACCAGAAAAGGGTAATATGCATCTATCCAATGTATTTCCATAATGTATAGTAGCCAATTCTTAATTATTCCTCTGAAGAGGAATTGATTACAGAATTATATTTAGTAGTTCCAAAATTTCAAGTCATCAGTTTCAGTTTTACTTCTCTTCCCTAGTACAGCCATTGTCTTTCATTTAAAAAGGGGCTTGCAAATAGCAAAGTCCACATATTTGTATTTCCCTACCTCTAATACAGATGTGTATTGGCAGAACTCTTGAATAGAGAGAGGTCCACTATATTTTTCCTCATAATAGAAATTGGAAATAAGGGCCTTTAACTGCTATATTTGAAAAGAAAAATAAATTTTTAAAATGTTACCCACTTTAAAAGTAATCAAGACTATCATTATTACTTAGGTTGCTGGCGGTTAAACTAAGTAATAAAACCAAGTGTATAAATAAAATTCATTTTTTATTTTAAATGATTTCTCTGAACTGTAGGTCAGTTCTCTTGAAAAGCTGGTGGATTATACTGCTTATGAATGAAAATTCTCCCTTCATTATAGCCTTGAAGAACCCTCACCCTTATTTTAACTCAAGAAAGATGAAAACCTATTTTTCATATTTTCCCTAAAAATAGCTGATGTTGTAATTCAGTCTTTTGTTTCCACAGAGAAGTTAATTGCCACCAAAATCTACTAAAGTATTCCTTCTATAGGTTATTGAGTTTTTCCTGCCACCTTTTCACTTTTTAAAGAGAACTTGCAACCTATCCCCATAATCGTTTTTTAATTAAAAAAAAAATTTAAACCTTATAGTTAGAAATTTTTTTGTCCTATTCATACCTAATCAATCTTACGACAGTTTAAGCCAATTTCTTCTTATTTTGGTTTTTGATTGGAAGACTTCACACAGGATTTTGTGCAGGACCTGTCATGTTTGATGCCATTAACTGCTTGAAGTTCATTTTCCAAATTGTCCGTTATGGTTTTATAACCTTGGACTGTATGAATGGGCAACTAAAGGAAAATGCCATTTGTGAATACACAACACACAAATCAGAACAAACAAATTTTGCTCCACTCCTTTGACTCATCTTATGGGCCTACTTTTAAAAAGCCAGAATAGAGTCTAGGCTATAGACACTAGTTCTTTCTTCTCAAACATACAAATTCATTGAAGATCATTATAACAAAACATTTTTTAAAAATCAGTATCCTTCCATATCGTGAATGTATTTTGTTTCCTATTAAGCACAAGATGGATAATTTTGCTGGAATTTTTTTAGTTATCTGATCATGTAAGCTTCCTATTTTGGACTCAGGTTGTCTTCCAAATAAGTTGCTAAAAATGACGAAATCATACTGATGTTTTTAATAAGGGATTTGCTTTATAACAGAAGGCCTTTTTTTGTTGGATGGGTGGTTGGTTGGTTTTTCTCATATAAATATGAGAAAAAAATTATGTTCTTTCCTTTTGTTGGTTTGGTTTTTAAAAATATCCTCAAGAGTCATGGCCAAGTAATAGAGTTTTTAAAATATTATATGTTATTTTGGCCGGGCGCAGTGGCTCACGCCTGTAATCCCAGCACTGGGAGGCTGAGGTGGGCAGATCACTTGAGGCCAGGAACTTGAGACCAGCCTGGCCAACATGGCAAAACCCTGTCTCTACTAAAAATACAAAAATTAGCCAGGCGTGGTGGCGCATGCCACTAGTCCCAGCTGCTCAGGAGGCAGAGACACGAGAATCACTTGAACCTGAGAGGCAGACGTTGCAGTGAGCCGACATCATGTCAGTGCACTTCAGTCTGGGTGACAGAGTGAGACTGTCTCAAAAAATATATATATATATATGTTATTTGAACATATTTGATGAACTCGGGCTTTTGTTGTTATGTTATATGGTTTATCTGTATAGTATGGAAAATTTTCCTGCTTTCTTAAGTTGTAAAGATGGTGGCTTCATACTGATTCATTCCCACATACACATCTGAATTCATTTGATGTAACCAGACATAGTAGATTCAAATCAGAAAGAGGGGATTGCCAAAAATTGGGGGATAAATTTTGTTTTCTTTAGAACGGGGTTTTCAGATTTTCTTTTTAAGCTGCCGGAACTCTTTTTCAAATAAAATCTTATTTGGGGACTTCAATTTAGAAAACAGATTTAAAATCATATTTTATCACTTGCAATATTGTGACTTGTAAAGTTAATCAGTGAGAACACTGGAGCTTAGATGGCCATTACTATCTGATCTCATCCTCAGTGCTCCTAGTTGTGTTTTGATTGCCCAATATCAAGAAAATTTTAATTCCTAAAGATAAGTAGTAGTTGCTGGTGGTGGCACGGCTGCTGTTTATTAATAGCTCACCTTGTAACCCTCAGCATACTTTTCAGTTGAGCAGAAATAGCAAGAAAAGATTTATTTCTAAGTTTGTATAGAAGTTAACCTGTCTTTATTATTTATTGCTGTATCTCCAGATTCTAACATACAGTCTGTAATATAACAAGTACTAACTTAAATATTTATGGCATGAAGAAATGAATGAACCCCATAGCATTAGTATTCTACCATATACTGCATTTTAACATATTTATACATTTGAGTATGAATTTGTATTTTAAATAGATAGGTACATGTGAAGTTTGGATATAATATTCATGGAATGCCTAAAGTCAGAAGTAGATTCAACTGGAGTCAGTTTGAAACCCATTGCTTTAAAGAAATTCACATATATTTCATAAAGACGACAGACACAGTCTCAGCTAAGGAGACCTTCAAGATACACCCCTTTATCTTATGATATCTTCCTCTCTAAACTAGTCTTGAAAGTAATTGGTTTTGTGGGGGTTTTTAAATTTTTTTTAAAGATAGGGTCTCAATCTCACTCTGTCTCCCAGGCTGGAGTGCAGTGGCACAGTAATAGCTCACTGTAGCCTCAAACTCCTGGGCTCAAGCAGTCCTCCCACCTCAGCCTCCAGAGTAGCCGGGACTACAGGTGCACACCACCACGCCCAGCTTTTTTTTTTTTTAATTGTTTGTAGAGTTGAGATCTTGTTATGTTGTCCAGCCTGGTCTTAAACTCCTGATCTCTCAAGCAGTCCTCTCAATCCCTGGGATTACGGGCATGAGCCACTGTGCCTGGCCAACAGTTGGTCTCTAAATCAAACCTACAAGTATGCATTTGGCCAGGTGCAGTAGCTCACGCCTGTTATCCCAGCACTTTGGGAGGCCAAGGCAAGCAGATTGCTTGAACCCAGGAGTTCAAGACCAGCCTGGGCAACATGGCAAAACCTCATCCCTACAAAAAAAAAAAAAAACCCACAAAAATTAGCCAGGTGTGGTAGCACATGCCTGTAGTCCCAGCTACTCAGGAGACTGAGGTGGGAGGAGCCTCAGATCGATCACGCCACTGCACTCCAGCCAGGGAGACAGAGTGAGACCCTGTCTAAAAAAATAAATAAAGTCGTTTACGTTCACCTAGTTTTTTTTGCTTCGATTATCAACTGAAAACAGACATGTTTTTATTGATAAAGATGAGAAGAATATTTTTAAGAAAATGATGTAAGTTTGAGACTTTTTTCCTCTCTTAACCAAATAAAACCAGATTGTATATTGACATAAATATACTATACCTATATCATTAAAAATGTTCCAGAGTGGCCGGGCGCAGTGGCTCACACCTGTAATCCCAGCACTTTGGGAGGCCAAGGCAGATGGATCACCTGAGGTCAGGAGTTTGAGACCAGCCTGGCCAATATGGTGAAACCCCTTCTCTACTAAATAATACAAAAAAAAAAAAAAATTAGCCAGGCGTGGTGGTAGGCACCTGTAGTCCCAGCTATTCGGGAGGCTGAGGCAGAAGAATCCCTTGAACCCAGGAAGCAGAGGTTGCAGTGAGCTGAGATTGTGCCACTGCACTCCAGCCTGGGTGACAGAGTGAGACTCCATCTCAAAAAAAAAAAAAAAAGTTTCAAAGTTCAGTGCCCTATCAAAATTTTGATGTTTTGTTTTACTCTTTCATTTGTATTTGCTTGATAATGTTTTGATTGCCTTTTCTGTCTAGATTTGTGATTTTGGATTGGCCAGAGTGGAAGAATTAGATGAATCCCGTCATATGACTCAGGAAGTTGTTACTCAGTATTATCGGGCTCCAGAAATCCTGATGGGCAGCCGTCATTACAGCAATGCTATTGACATCTGGTCTGTGGGATGTATCTTTGCAGAACTACTAGGACGAAGAATATTGTTTCAGGCACAGAGTCCCATTCAGCAGGTATGATTTCAATTTAAGGCTTTAGTTGCAATTCTATTGCAGATTTGAAGGAAAATCCATCTTGCACATGTGTCTTGGGCTTATTCATTATACTGTCTAATTTGCTTTTAGGAAATTCAGGTTCACTTAAAATTCAGAAAGTTATAAAGTTGAAGATTACAAAGAGATTCATTTTGTAACTTATGAGCCTTTAGAGGGAGTATTGAGTTTATTTATGTATTTATTTATTATTATTATTATTTTTTGAGACGGAGTTTTGCTCTTGTTGCCCAGGCTGGAGTGCAATGGTGCCATTTTGGCTCACTGCAACCTCCACCTGCCAGGTTCAAGCGATTCTCCTGCCTCAGCCTCCCAAGTAGCTGGGATTACAGGCACGCTCCACCACACCTGGCTAGTTTTTGTATTTTTAGTAGAGACAGGGTTTTGCTGTATTGGCCAGGCTGGTCTCGAACTCCTGACCTCAGGTGATCCACCTGCCTCAGCCTCCCAAAGTGCTGGGATTACAGGCATGAGCCACTGCACCCGGCCAGTTGACTTTATTATATGCACTGATGCATAGCTGTGAGCTCTGCTATGACAATTTGCACAGGTATAATCTTCAGTTGTTAGAAGGCCTCTCTTCCTTCTAAGTGAATGGCTCTGACTTGAAAATGTATTGGTGACTTAATGTACTTACACTTTGTGCTTAGAATATAAATTTTTAGTGTGTTGATTTCTTGAAATCTGAACATTTAGGAAAATTTCTAACCTTTATTATTGGACTAAAATATCTAAATATGGCAGAGAACATCAGGAGATGATTAAAATATAATTTCCTCAGAGAATCCTTTAGAAGCCATTCATGTTACTTGAATTGTCTTTAAAGCTAATTATTCACTAATACACATATTGACATAATTACTGGGTATTTTGTATTAATTTGCTTGCATGAAAATAATGTAGTAACTATGAGCTCAGGCTGTGAAATCAGATTGGTGGGTTCAAATCCTAGCTGCACCACTTATGTTAAATCTTGGGTAAGTTACTTAACCTCTGTGTTCCTTTTTTTTTGCTGCTTCTTCTTCTTTTTTTTTTTTTTTTTTGGCCCCTAAAACTGTTCTGAGGATTGTTGTACAATGAAGTAGGAAAGCTGAAAACGGGGCCTGGCACATAGTAAGCACTCTGTAAATGTTTGCAATTACGATGGTGGTAGTGTGCCAGGACTCTAGGGATACAGCAGTAAATAAGACAGCATTGTTCTTAACCTTTGTGAAACTTTTACATGAGACAAAAATAAATATGCAAATAAATATGATTCCAAGTAATGGAAGTTCCATAAAGAAAAATGTAGCCAGGTTAGGGACAGACAATGGTGGCAGAGCAGAGCAGGCACTAAAGGATTCTCTGAGGATATAACATTTCACCCACATAAAATAAGGCAGTAAGATGCTGGAGAAATGTTCCAAGAAGAGGGACAACCACCATAACAAAGCCCCTGAGGCAGGAACAAGCATGGCATGTTGGAGGGAAGGTATGTGATGGAAGACGCTGTAGGAAATGAGGTCAGAAAGTGAGAAAGAACCTGGCCATGGTGACATGATAAAGCCTTAAGATTTTATTCTAAGTGTGATAGAAAACTTAAATGAAGGTTTTGACCAAAGGAATACTAAGATTTGATTGATGACATTTTAAAAGATCACACTGACTACTGTGTCTTTGTAAATAATTAATGCACTTGACCAGACAGAATTATTTCTTTTATGCTTTTTCTACAAAGAATTTTTACCTAATATGTTAGAAACTATATCTGCTTTTATCAACATTTAAATTTTTCTATGCTATACGTTTTAACTGTCTTTTTTAAAGTTTACATCTTAAAAATTGATTCTGGTGTTAAAAAAATTATGTACATATAATACTTAATCTAATGTTGGGTACTTTTGACAATATTCACTTTTCAATTTCTTCAGAAAGTAAAGTTTAACAGACTTAACCTGTAAGACTATCATATCTGGACATAAGCTGTCATAAAATGGATGTGACTACTACCTTGCATACAGAAAAGCTTAAGTAAAAAATAATAAGGAAGTATTCAAATCCTATATATGGAACAAGAATCTTGAATTGCTGCTGCAAAAAATATGTGAGGGAAAGTGTGAAGCAACTGGACTGGAGTTCAGATATCCCTTTGCTAGAGAAATACATAGATCTTCAGTTTGGCAGTCTGACATAGCCACTGCAGGAGAATTCATGTCTGTCTAATTGTTGGTGTGTGTTGGGGTGAGAAATGAAGATCTAAAATAGGAAAAGGCTCTAACTTCTAATGGAAGTCATTATTTCCTGTTGTATTTTCTCTGTATCTTTGAGATTTAATTACCCTGGTACTAGCAGACATCATAAAAGTGTTTCTCATGTATGGATCTGACCCATTTTAGACAACTTTCTGAATGTTTCAGTTTGTTTTTATAAGCTAGTCATTTCCTTCTGCCTTTAGTGTGGTTGTTAGAGATCCAAAAGTATCACCTACACACTTTTCCCAAAAAGCTTTGTATAGAGATCTTTATTTCTGTGGAAAGCAAGCTTCTCAAGTATCTCCATTAACCTGTAGGGTGTTGATGCTGATGGCTACCCCATGGTTTAGATAAGTGCAGAAAATAGTGCTTTATATTCGGCAAGCCCAGAACCAGGAAAAGAAGTGTTCTCTAGGTAAGAATTTCCCATCCTGGAAGGATCCAAATGAAATGTTATTGCTAATTAGGTTATGAAGTTAGAACAATTGTGACACTACAGAAAATTGGTAAGATAGTTTGCTACCCAAAGACTTGTTTGCAAGAAGACTGTTTTATTGGTCTCTTTTATTGTGTCCAGCTAGCTAAATGTGGTCTTATGTGGTGTCATATTTTTCTAAGTGTCACAGTTTTCTGCCAGCGTAAGAGATTTCTAGCATGACTAGAATGTAAAGGATGTGTACTGGCCCAAGCATGGAGAGCTTAGCTTTCATTTCAGGTGTGAATATTTTCAGTATTTATTAAATCACAGGTGTCTGATTTGTGGATTAGCACCTTGGTGAGCCTGAATCCATTTGAAGCATCAGAATCCATTCATTAACTGTTTGGAAAGAATAGTCATTAGGCATCAACAGAAGAGGAGTTCAACTTTGCAAAGATCTTAGATGCTATGGTATCAAGAAAACAGGACAGACATGCAGACTCCCAAATTGCTATAGCCTTAGAATGTCATGCTTATCAAAACATATTTTCTATATTTCTATCATATAAATAGGAACTTTTAAATAAATAAGTAGGAACTTTTAAATAATAGGATAAATAGGAACTAAATAATAGAATAAATAGGAATAGGATAAATAGAAATAGGATAAATAGGAATGGAATATATAGGATAATCCTATATATAATAAATAATATGTTAAATAGGAATAGGATAGATAGGAACTTTTAAATAATAAATAGGAATAATAACAGGAATTTATTTAAATTCCTTTACATGAGGAATTTATTTAAATTCCTTTACATGAGGAATTTATTTAAATTCCTTTACATGAGGAATTTATTTAAATTCCTTTACATGAGGAATTTATTTAAATTCCTTTACATGAGGAATTTATTTATTTTAAATTCCTTTACATGAGGAATTTATTTATTTTAAATTCCTTTACATGAGGAATTTATTTATTATAAATTCCTAGAAATCTTTTTTAATAGGCCAGAAAGTGAAAGTAGGGGCTCCTGTCAGTTAATCTAGAGCTTGTCTTAAGGTTTTTTCCCCCAGATTTGGTCCACTTCTCTAAGGCTATGATTTAAGAGTAATGAAAAGTTATTTCCATGAGATTACTATCTATCTGTATTTTATTTCCTTGTAGTTGGATTTGATCACGGATCTGTTGGGCACACCATCACTGGAAGCAATGAGGACAGCTTGTGAAGGCGCTAAGGCACATATACTCAGGGGTCCTCATAAACAGGTGAGAGGAGGGGGGAATCTTTTTCTGGTAACCATCTGTTTGGGCAAGATTTCCCTTCCAATAGAGTAATCTATTAAGGATTTTTAAGCAAATGTATTATCTGTAGGATTTTTTTTTTTAACATCAAGGTCCTAAGTAAGAAAATGTTCAATATTTGTCAAACTGAATAAAATCTCATTCCTAATGCCGTAGGAGAAAGTGCGTGTTTGTGTAGCTCCTTTGCTAATAGATGACCCTTGGCTTTGTGTCTCCTGATTTATTGGTGTCTATGGGAAAAATTACTGGAGATGGAGCTTTGACCTCAATGCCATAACCTACTACATGTATATCAAGATGTCCTTTCCAAATACTGAGCCAAAATACCTCGTATTTCTTATTCCAGCCAGGACTGTGAAGCTGTTGCTATTGCACTCTTGCCACTAACACAGAATCAGATGTGAACGTTGTTAGAAAAGAAGTATGAAGATAGATTGCCAGATTTGCACTCATCAGTATTACTTGCAACTAGCCAAGTCACTGCTGAGAAAGACAAAATGGTTTTTTATCTCCACCTGTTGATTTAGCAACAGTTTTTACAAGCACTTCCTTATCTCCTTTGGACAGAACAGCTTAATGATGTGAAGAGTGAATAAGGGGAATACTTTTCCTAGGAGCAACAAATTAAAACAGAACAGATAAGACTTGAACAGGATGACCCAGCAACAAATTTTCCTGAGTTTTGGTTTCTTTTGAATTGGACGTTTAGATTATCTGATTGATGGTACCAAATGACAGAGTGAATTTGACACTCCTCCTCTCAAACTGTCAGCCAGACATTTGCAAAGGGAAGGTGGCAAAGGGAAGACCTCACCTTCCCTTTGCGGTTCTCTCTTTGTAATTCTAGTGTGACTCCAGAGCTTTTGTTGTCACAGGCATAAAGGGCAATGAGGTAAAGTGTGTTCTCTTCTAAAACCAGCCCAGGCTAGTAAATAGAGATGTATGCTTGTATGTTAAATAGCCCTCTGATGGTTACATGTTTCTGTTGCATTTGGTTTAGAACTGTAAAATAATATGAGGCCCTAACACCTTGAGAAGAGCACAGTAAGTCTTAACCTAGAGGAAAGTTCTATATTATAGAAGGAACTAACAAGATCTATTATGTTCCATTTATTGGCCAGCATCAGGAACATAAAACTAATTTACTAATGCCTCTTGGTAAATGTGTCCTTAGAAGTAGCAAAATAATTGTCCTCTTTCACTGACTTCATTAATTAGTAAATCTTGCCTGGTTCAAGGTAAACAATAATGAAGAGTGAAGAAGATCAGACACCCTTATGCTACCCTTCTGTCTCTAGAGGAGTTTTAACTGTTGTTAATGGTTGCTAGTTAATTAATCATCTGTGTCAAAGAGTTGCTAAACAGCAGCCTGAAGAACAAGGTTTCCTGAGGAGTTTCCTGTCTGCTGTCTAGATAGAACGGCTGGAAAATGTAACCTACTGCACCAAAAGTCACTGTGCACTGCTCTGAGCATTCCTGGCAATTGAGTACTTTTTCTGTGAAAATTTTAAAAATCTGTTAGTTGTAAAAACCTAAGACTTTCCATGAAATAAAAAAAGGGTAAATATATTATTTTGTAAAGCAAAAGAAGAGGAAAGGAAAATCCAAAGTTCCACTATTATTTAACTAGTTAAATAGGTTGAGATGTCTAAACAAATCATTTCTTATATATTTTGCTATTAATTGGCCTCTTAACAGTAATCCCTTTGCTTATCACTGAGTTTAGTGATGACCTTAAGGGAGCACTGTGGTAAAAGTTAGGGGCAGCCCTTTCCAGTCTTGGTGTCGGCATATTTTGATTTTGAAGAGAAGACTGGTGGAGTGAAAACTAGTTAGGAGGCCATTTCCGCTTAATGGCTAGATGCACTTTGCAGAGACTTTAAAGTCTTTAAACGGCTTTTATCCACTGCTTGAAGTGGTCTCCTTAGGCAGATGTTCATGGTCTTTTAGCACTAATCCAGCTAGATGTGTATAAAGTTATACCAACAATACATAATTGAATGTAAATAAACCTAGCATATTGCCTGCTTCCACTTTTCCTCCAGTATGGAAATTCAGTTTTTGATCTATGTTTGCTAGTTGATCTTTATCATCGCTACTCTCATGAGATGTCAACAGGTTCTTGAAGCTCTTTACTTAAGCCACCAATCAGATTCTACCTTTTCACTTCCCACTCCCTGCCCACTCACCAACCACATGATGCATATCCTGTGTGCCTCTTGTTGGCCTATTAGCAGCTGCTTGAAGGTATTGCCATTCATGTTATAGCTATTTACAGCTGAGGTTGGAAGACACCTACACACGATTATATTTGGTATGTAGCCACCTGGATTTTTTTTTTTTTTTTTTACTTTAAAAGATTAATTTGGTCTTTGGAATATACAATATAGCTTATGTTTTGGTACATCATGACTTTTCTGCAAAATGTATAGGGTTTAGCTTAGTGCTCTGCACAGGTTATGTACTCAATTTATAACCTCTGGACTGTAGTGATTAAGAGTGTAGTGTCAGCCGGGCGCGGCGGCTCACACCTGTAATCCCAGCACTTTGGGAGGCGGAGGCAGGCGGATCACGAGGTCAGGAGATCGAGATCATCCTGGCTAACATGGTGAAACCCCGTCTCTACTAAAAAAATACAAAAAAAAAAAATTTAGCCAGGCGTGGTGGCAGGCGCCTGTAGTCCCAGCTACTCGGGAGGCGGCAGGAGAATGGCATGAACCCAGGAGGCAGAGCTTGCAGTGAGCCGAGATCACGCCACTGCACTCCAGCCTGGGCGACACAGCAAGACTTCGTCTCAAAAAAAAAAAAAAATAGTGTAGTGTCAATCTCAGTTTCACCATGTTGCACGTGTTTTGAATGGTGAACTGGGAGTTGTACAATACGGTTTTCAGACAGATTGAGTATGAATCCTGGCTTTACTAGTACCTCCCTTTGTGACTTAGGCAGATTATTTAACCTCTGTGTATATCAGTTCATTCATCTGTAAAATGGTGATTAAAAATGGTTTTACCTCATTAAATTGTTACAGTGAGAAAAGAGCTAATGCATGTAAGGAGAACATAGAATAGTGCCTGGCACATACTAAACATTTAATAAATATTAACCATTAAAGTTATGACTCTAAAATAGCAGATAAAGCTTGTGACTTCTAAAAATTATACATTGTGATCAAGTGGGGTTTATCCCAGTAATGCAAGGGTGGTTCACCTACAGAAAATCTATTAATATTTTATAACAGAAAAATCTATTAATATTTTTAACACCTTAAGCAAGAAAAATCATGTTTATCTCAATTGATGCAGAAAAGGCATTTGATAAGCTTCAGTTTTTTTTATGCCTTAACATAAAGGATCTTTACGAAAATCCATAGAAAAATTTGGGGTGAATTTCTTTTAAGCTTACAAACAATACAGTGAACTGTATAACACTTTACATGAAATAAAAATGTGTGCACACAGAAGGAGCCTCTGGCTTTTAGAAAAGACTCCTAGTAATCCTCAGTGATGCTGCTTAGGCCAATTGGGAGGTCTTCATTTGGGGGTCTAACTGGGGCAAGTTCAATCTCACTGTATTTATTTTAAATTACTTAATATAGGAATATTAGATTGATGGTGTTTAAACTCATGAAGAATACTTCTAAAAATTCAATACAAGTTTTTGAGTTTGGACTGAGAAAAACTAAGCTTCTTTCAAGTAGTTTTCATTTAAGTAATTACTCAAAGTTAGACATAAATTATCATTTTTGTTCATAATTTCTAACAATAATTAGAACTTTGCTATGTGCTGAACACTTCTTATATACTAGCTCATTAAATTCTCACAATAACACTATAATGTACCATTACTATTCCTTTTTACAGATGGGAAATGGAAGATTAACAGAAGTTAAATAACATGCCTAATGTCATAAGCCAGATGTTAAAATTAGGTTTCTTTAACTCTAAAATCTATGTTCTTAGCTAGTATACACTGCCTGGCACTTACATATTCACAGCAGACTTATTAAAATTTCATTTGTATATCTGCAGGTAATCTGTGAGAACATATAAAATAAAATTAAAATTTTACAGCAAGTTAGTTATCTGCAACTACCACCCCCAATCCTAGTCTTGTCTGGATTAACTTGAGAATATCTTTCCGGATATATATTCACATATTTATATTCATTTATTTACATATATTTGTATAAATAGAATATGAGACTTTTAAAAACACACAAATACAATGGGCCCTTAAGCAATGCAGGGGCTGGGGTGCCAACTCCACCCCCCTAACCCCCTGCCTACAGTTGAAAATCCATGTATAAGTCGATTAACACATTTTGTATGTTTATATGTATTATATACTGTATTCTTAAAGTAAGCCAGAGAAAATAAAATGTTATTAAGAAAAATTATAAGGAAGAGAAAATAGACTGTTTGTAAGTGGATCATCATAAAGGTCTTCATCCTCATTGTCTTCATATTGAGTAGGCTGAGGAGGAAGAGAAAGGAGGGGTGGCAGAGGCGAAAGTGGTGGAGGAGGTGGAAGGAGAGGCAGGCACACTCAATATAATTTCTATTGAAAAAAATTCACATATAAGTGGACCCATGCAATTCAAACCTGTGTTGTTCAAGGGTCAACTGTATACATATACAGAAGGAGAACCTATTTGACTGTCATCTTAAAGTCACAGATTAATGTGTCAAATTAATGTATTTGTGTTGGTTAATATAAATGCTTCTATGTGGCATGTTTAGTCAAGACTCTTTCCAGTGAAACTTAGTTTAAACTGGCTTAAGCGAAAAAGGGAACTCTTAAAGGCTCATAACTGAAAAATCTTGAGCTACAGCTGACTTCAGGCCCTGTTGGAATTCAGGTTGTGAGATGATCTTCCATGCCAGGAATCTGACTCTCCTCTGCTCCGCTTTCCTGTGTTCTGCCTTCATTTTCAAACAGGATTTCCCCAAGTGTTTGCAAAGATGGAGCCAGCAGTCCAGGCCTACATTCTATTACCATAACAATCCTTCTGGAAAGAGCTTCCTAAATAGCTCCAGAAAAAATCTTTGAAAGACTTTTTATTAGGAATGTGTTTGGCTATAAGTAGTAGAAAATTATAGTGGTTTAAGAAATAAGATACATGTTTTCCTCATATCAAGAGGTTTCCTCCATAGTCTGGAGCAGATAGAGTAGCTTACTTGTGTCAAGGATCCAGCTTTTTCATTTTCTGCCCTGCCATCTTTAGAATGTTGCCTGCATACTATATGGTAACTTGTCACCATATGACTGTAGCTTGTCCAGAAATCACATCGATATTCAAAGCAAGAAAATGGAGGAAAGAAGGTGCATTAGCAGTATCTGTTCCCTTAATCGGGAAAGCAAAAGCTTTCCTAGAAGCCTGCTTAGCAAACTCCTGCTCATATGTCATCATCCAGAACTGTGTCATATGTGACCTCCTAGCTGCAAAACAGGCTAATAAAGTGAGTATTTAGCTTTTCTGTTCTATATAATAAAGTCAGATAAGGAAAAGAGGGTTGAGGGTATATATTGGGTTAGCCATCCCATTGTCTGTCCCTTGCCTATTTCAGACCATGTGTCCATCCTGGAGCTGGTCATGGTGCTCAGGAAGGGTATCATTTGATTGGCCAGGCCTGGGTCAGGTGCCCATCCTTAGGAGTTGGGAGATTGCAATCAAGCCTAATCAAACCACTTGGTTTGGGAGTGAAAGGGGGTGGTTCCCTAAAGGTCAGGGAATCCTGGGCAGAATAAAACACTGTGTGATGTTTCAAGTTTATTATCTCTTTTCTACAACTCAAAATCTTGAATGAAGGGAAGTATAGCTGCCACAGCCCACGTATCTATTAAAGAAGATAGTTCTTCAACTGACCTGTTGATAGGATTGAAAAGTCTATTGTCAGCTCTTAGTCCTCTTGTTCTTCTCTTATAATTAGGTTTAGGTCTTCAGTTTTCCTCAGTTTGTTCCCACCTAATTGTGTCAGAAATAGATAACAATATTTTTGCGAAGTGAAGATAGTCCTGTCTCCTGACAGGAACCATATCTTATATTTAACAGACTTTAAGGATCTTAGAGAGTTCATTCAGTTCAAACTTATTTTATAGGTGGGGATTTATGTCACCCCAGAGTGCTTACTATTGTGTACTCACTGTGCATGCTCACTTAATGTTACTGACTGATCATCACAGCTTCTTTACTGCCAGCTAAGGTCTAAAACTTACATGTAGTTGAATGAAAACTAATAGGAACGTCTGCTCGGGACACTTGCACGGTCTAGCTGACCCTGCTGTAGCAACCAGCATGCTGCAGTTAGCTTATGATGACTCTGGCATATCATTTAGGGCCACTCACCCAAGTCCAGAAGCTCATCTTTGCTTCATTTAATTAATCATAGTCATTAATAGAGAACTCTTTATACCCCTTCCTGTCCTCATGATTCAGCACTGGCACCCACTCACTCCCACATTGCTAAGTTACTTATAAACTTGCAGAACAAACAGAAAATGGAGCAGTTTATTTTAAAGGAGGAAATTTAACATGTGTGAATGTTAGGAGAATTGGCAAAAATATTTCCAAATGAGATGTTTAGGGCATATTTTTTTTTTCTTTTGAGACAGGGTCTCGCTCTGTCACCCAGACTAGAGTGCATAGCTCACTGCAGCCTCAATTTTCCAGGCTCAAGCAATCCTCCCACCTCAGCCTCTCGAATAACTGGGACTACAAGCACATACCACCCTGCCTAGCCTTTTTTATTTTATTTTATTTTTATTTTATTTTATTTTAAGAGAGAGGGTCTCCCGGCTGGGAATGGTGGCTCATGCCTGTAATTCCAGCACTTTGGGAGGCCAAGGCAGGCAAATCACTTGAGGTCAGGAATTCAAGACCAGCCTGGCCAACATGGTGAAAGCCTGTCTCTACTAAAAATACAAAGAAAGTTAGCCAGGCATGGTGGCAGACACCTGTAATCCCAGCTACTCGGGAGGCTGAGGCAGGAGAATTGCTTGAACCTGGGAGGCAGAGGTTGCAGTGAGCCAAGATCGCGCCTCTGCACTCTAGCCTGGGTGACAGAGTGAGACTCAAACAAAGAGACAGGATCTCTCTAAGTTGCCTAGTCTCAACTTCCTGGGCTCAAGCAGTTCTCCCACCTTGGCCTCCCAAAGGGTTATGATTACAGGCATGAGCCACCGTGCCCAGTTCTAGGGCATATTTCTAAGCATTCTTGGTTTTTTTTTTTTTTTTTTTTTTTTTGCTTATTCAGATTGATTCTATTGCACTTAAGAGAAATGTAAACTTCTTGTTTGTTGCTGATATCGTGGTCCAAATGGTTTTAACCTAATGGCTGGTGAGTTAGTGGGAAGAAAGTGAACTTAGAAATGCAGTATCTGTAGCACTTCGTCTTTCCTGTGGAGCCAATGCTAGAAACTAAAATTTTAATCGTTGTCTTTCTGAAGAACCATTGGCATGAATAAACTGACACAGAAAAGGAGAAAGTATGTAATATGGCTGTTCTAGGCTGAAATGATACTTTTATTTTTATTGTATTTGTTGAGGTGTCCTTCTATAAAGAAAGGTGAAATTTGGTGGAGGGAGAAAATTAAAATTTCAGGTAGCCTTAACATCACTCATTTTATTTTCTTCAGCCACTCATTCCATACCCAGTTGTCTTTAAAAATTCTGCCTTTTAATTTGTTCTCTGTCCTCATTCACTGGCATATAGAACTACTTATTTGCCTGTCTTCCTTGCCCACCAGAGAAGTCTTTTTCATCTTCATTACTTCAATAACTAACCCAGGCCCTGACATTGGGTGGTTGCTAAATGAGTAGCAATGATGTTAGGAGGCAGGGGTGTGTGTACTGGTGCAGTTTAACAGATGAGAAAGCCAAAGCTTGAGTGACTTACCTAAGTCTAGTAATGGCAAGGATAGGATTCAAACTCATGTCTTCTAGTACTTCTTCCAGTGTTCCCTTTGCTAAGCTATGACATATCTTCACCACAAAAATAGTTTGAGTAGTTTCACTTTGAGAGTGGAAGGGAAAGAACTGTTTATGGTGAGGCAATTCAATTGTACGAATTGTCTGGAATTTGGCTGCCAACCTGCACAGGCTAGTAAAAAAGAAGACAGCTATTCACAGTAAAAATTTTTCAGGAATATCAAATTACTTCACTTTACACAATAAAAAAAAATTCTTGTGTAAAACACATGTAAATTAAGTTATAAGTTAGAGCCTCTTCCCCATCACTCTCCACCTCTCCTTATTTTGACTAATACAGATAATTTCAGAGCTTTATAGACTCACACATTTTTAAACAAGAAATACTTAGGCTGGGCATGGTGGCTTACACTTGTAATCCTAGCACTTCGGGAGGCCAAGATGGGAGGATCACTTGAGACCAAGGGTTTGAGATCAGCCTGGGCAACACAGGGAGACCCTGTCTCTACAAAAAAATTTTTAAAAAAGTTAGTGAGGGTGGGTGCGGTGGCTCACACCTGTAATCCCAGCACTTGGGGAGTCCGAGGCAGGCAGATTGCCTGAGCTCGGGAGTTCGAAACCAGCCTGGGCAACATGGCAAAACCCCGCTCCACTAAAAATACAAAAAAATTAGCCACGCGTGTGGCAGGTGCCTGTAATCCCAGCTACTCTGGAGGCTGAGGCAGGAGAATCGCTTCAACCTGGGAGGTGGAGGTTGCAGTGAGCCGAGATCAGTCACACCACTGCACTCCAGCCTGGGAGACAGAGCAAGACTTTGCCTCAAAAAAGAAACAAAAAAAAAGCCAGCCGTGGTGGCACATGCCTGTAGTCCCAGCTACTCAGAAGGCTCAGGTAGGAGGATCACTTGAGGCTGGGAGTTCAAGGCTGCAGTGAGCTGTGATCGTGCCACTACACTTCAGCCTGGGCAATAGAGCAAGACTCTGTCTCTTAAAAAAAAAAAAAAAGGAAAAGAAAAATACTTCTCTTTTTATTACCAAGGAATAGCGAGTTGGTCTACAGATACTTGAATGCCAAATATACTGTATGGGTTCTGTGCATATATGTAACTTTTTTATCCAGAGTAATCTTATCAAGACTCACACAAGGCTGGGTGCAGTGGCTCACACCTGTACAAATCCCAGCACTTTGGGAGGCCGAGGAGGGCCAAAGGCTTGAGCTCAGGACTTTGAGATCAGCCTGGGCAATGTCACGAAACCGTGTCTCTAAAAAAATACAAAAATTAGCTGGGTGTGGTGGCGCACGTCTGTAGTCCCAACTACCTGGGAGGCCAAGGTAGCAAGATCGCTTGAGCCTAGTAGGTGGAGGCTGCGGTGAGCTGAGATCGCACCATTGCGCTCCAGCCTGGGGGACAGAGCAAGACCCTGTCTCAAAACAAACAAACAAAAAACAGACATACAATTTTAGAACTAAAGTAAACTTCAGAAATCAGATGGTCCAACCCCCTCATTTTATACTTAAAGATACCAAGGTTAAGACATGTTGGATTTATCTAATTAGTGACAAGACAGAGCTAGAACCTCACCTAATCTTATCTCTATTACTCTTTGATCCTGAAGAAAACTTATATATAATGAATAATTACCTCCTGATGATTCTGAGGTATCTTCTTGGTGTTGTTTTTGTTTGTTTGTTTGTTGTTTGTTTGGTTTTTTTGGATTTTCCTACATGGCTTTTGTTGGAAGGAAGATATATAAAATTCTTGATGTTAATAGTTGTCCTAGCAGGATTCTGAGGCTATGACCAAGGTCCAAGGAAACCTTTTAGTGTTCTGCTTCTCCTGTTTCTGGTGTTGTGGAGAGCTTGACCCACATGAGACCTGTTTATGTTGCTGTTCATGCTGCTGTTTCTGGCCTTCCAGTGCTGAAATGGCAGGAGCTTTCTGTGATATTTTGAATTTTCATCTACTGACAAACCAGAAAATACAAGGCAGACTACCCACAGGAAATTTATTTAAGAGTTTGCAAGTAAAACTTCCTTCCAGTTTGCCTTGAAAGTAATGTAGTGTTGCTGAGATGGTCAAATTCTCCCAAACATAAGCCAGACTGCCTTCCCCCACCACCCCACCCCTGTTTGGAGCTCTGTTCTCTTGTTAGTAGACCATTAATGATGTAGTAACAAAATGTAAATGCCCTGACCCTAAAGTGGTATGATGAAGCAGTGTCTGCAGAAGAGATCAGGACCAGATAAAGATACCACACGGTTCACAGATGGCTTTTTAAATTGTTTTTCAAATGAGAGAAACACATATGTTTTTTAAACTCTCTTTTAAGTTTTTCCCACAAATATAATCATAGTGAAGCAGGCTGGGCATTATATAAAACAAGAAGCCCAGGAACTATGAAAGGCTGCTCTAGTCTGAGATTATATCCTAAAAATTCAAAGTTTTATAGGGAACCCCTGAAGAAACAGAGGATGTAAAAAGGATTTAGAGAAGCTGGGCACAGTGGCGTGTGCCTTTGGTCTCGACTACTCGGGAGGCTGAGGTGGGAGGATCGCTTGAGCCCTGCCTGGGCAACATAGCAAGACTCCATTTCTTTAAGAAAAAGAAGAAGCAGCAGCACTTAGAGCTAATGGGAAGAGATCAGATCCAGATAAAATACAGTTTATGGCACTTGAGCCTCTTCACTTTCCAAAGCATAGTGAAGGTCAGGGGTCATTACTCCTACAGTTAGGTTTTCTTTAGGCTAGGCTTTGACTTTTTTTTGTTTTTAGAATCTCACTCTGTCACCCAGGCTAGAGTGCAGTGGCATAAGCACAGCTTACTACAGCCTGAACCTCCCAGGTTCAAGCAATCCTCTCACATCAGACTCCTGAGTAGCTGGGACTACTGGCATGTACCACCATGCCGGGCTAATTTTTAAGTTTTTTGTAGCAATGGCATCTCACAATGTTTCCCAGGCTGGTCTCAAACTCACAGGCTCAAGCAGTCCTTCTGCCTCGGCCTCCCAAAGTGCTGGGATTACAAACGTAAGCCACCGCACCCAGCCTTAGCCTGTGACTTTATTGTTATTTGAGTTGATTCTCATATGCTTTGACCTACCAAACTTTCTGACCACAGAAAGGTTATAAGTAGACGGCAGGTCTAAAACCCATTAGGAAAATCATTTACCCCACTAAGAGATTAGTTTTTTGTTTTTTTTTAAGTGGTATGAAAGTCAAGCCGATAATAATTTGGCCATAAGTCTAGAACTTTCAAAGCTTGAGGAAAAAATTCTCTGCTAAAGGTTGTATTAAGCATGGGAAGAAAAGGAGTCTCTAAACATTTTTTGTCACCTTCCTTAATTCTGCCTTTTTTATGTTAGAGATAAATAATTTACTTGTGTGAGAGACAGAGCAATGATGCCATTTACCTGCTCTGTCCCCTGACGCTTCTAGCAGTGAAATGGAAGCTTTATAAGCTCTATGGCTTCTCAGGTCATTAAAGCCACCTCCCTGCTTCACAGAAGTCAGATATGGCCATGTGGATATGCCTACCACTTATGAAGGCAATTCTTGAGTGAGAAATCAATGCTAAAGGCCATTCAGATTGAACCATCAAAACCAATGGTGTACTTTCTTACAGGTTCTGTAAGTTCTTGCATGTCCTTTGGCTCCTTTAGGACTAATATCTCAGCACCTTTATGGTAATGTCATAAGACATAGTTCACATTCTTATAGTTTACATGCTTTGCATGTGGCCCAGGTTTTAAAACCTTTCAATCTTTTCTCTCCCACCCCTAGGCATGTTTGATTATCATTCTTGCCAAAGCATTTAAGATGTAAGGCTAACTAAAACCCATTTTTGGCCATGCTCTGATCCCACATTGTTTCTATAAACTCAAGCTTCTGTACCTCATTGGGGGTTTGGGGCTTTATTTGGAAGCCTCCCGTGTACGCACGATAAATAAATGTGTATGCCTTTTCTCCTCTTTAAAAAAAAAGATGGCTAGCAGGAGTGCCATATTTGCAATTCGTTTTCATTTTTTTATAGACTCTTTTGTGCTTTCCCCTACAGTGGGTAATCATGCAATGTAAAAATCTACGGGGATGGACGTGGTGGCTCACGCCTGTAATCCCAGCACTTTGGGAGGCCGAGGCAGGCAGATCACTTGAGGTCAGGGGTTCGAGACCAGCCTGGCCAACATGGCAAAACCCCTTCTCTACTAAAAATACAAAATTACCCAAGCGTGATGGCACATGCCTGTAATCCCAGCTACTCGGGAGGATGACCACAGAAGAATCACTTGAACCTGGAAGGCGGAGGTTGCAGTGAACCAAGATGGCGCCACTGCACCCTAGCCTGGGTGAGAGAGCGAGAATCCATATCAAAAAATAAAAATAAAAATAAGTAAATAAATAAATAAATAAAAATGCTACGGGAAGTTAGTAACAATTGTTGCTTTTGAAGACTGGTTACTGAAGGGAAAACTCATTCTCCTTGAGTTTAGACACACATTGCCTTTTGAACTGAGTACTTACCTTATCATAAATTGGCTGTATTCCATAGCTGTTTACACAAAGACTCACTTAAATATTTGAATTTTTAATTTTTTCACAGCCATCTCTTCCTGTACTCTATACCCTGTCTAGCCAGGCTACACATGAAGCTGTTCATCTCCTTTGCAGGATGTTGGTCTTTGATCCAGTAAGTAGTGTTTTTTTTTATATATTTTTAATGAATTACAAATACATGTGTTCGAGAGAAACATTGTGGTTTTGAATAGATTGGCAATGTAAATAATTACTTTTCAGAATATAAACTTCAATCCCCAGTATCATGTGTATCATGCACGCTCATCACACAGAAGTTTGATTATTAACACATAAGAGTCTAAGGGAAGAGATAAGGAGCTGGATCTTATTTAACTCTTATTTCTTATTTATCTCATTATTTGTAAAAGGAGTTTGACACCAAGTTAAGTCAAGACAAAATGATTTTTTGTTTTGAGACAAGGTCTTGCTCTGTCACCCAGGCTGGAGTGCAGAGGTGTGATCTCAGCTCACTGTACCCTCAACCTCCCAGGCCCAAGCAATCCTCCTACCCGAGCCCCCTGAGTATCTGGGACTACAAGCATGCTCAGCTAATTTCTAAATATTTTGTAGAGAAGAGGTCTCACTATATTGCCCAGGCTGGTTTGAACTCCTGGAGTCAAGTGATCCTTTTGCCTCAGCCCCGCAAAGTGCTGGGATTACAGATGTGAGCCACCGCGCCCGGCCAGGACACAAAGTTTTTTAAGGTTATTTGAAAAAAAAATCTGACCATTATATTGCATAAGGAAATGTTTGCTCTGTGTTGTTGAGATGGAAGCTTTTCCCAATACCCTTTCTGGACTTGACTCTTCTGGAACATACTACAAATT